>NC_000003.12:93705574-96205574 GCF_000001405.40 Homo sapiens | reverse complement strand
CCTAGGTTTTCTTCTATGATATTTATAGTTTTAAGTTTTACCTTTAAGTCTTTAATCCATCTTGAGTTAACTTTTATATATGGTGAAAGGTAGGGGTCCAGTTTCAATGTTCTGCATATGGATAGCTAGTTATTCCAGCATCATTAATTGAATAGGGAATCTTTTCCTGATTGCTTGTGATTATTGGCTTTGTCAAAAATAAGATGACTATAGGTGTGCAGCTTTATTTCTAGGTTCTGTATCTTGTTCCATTTGTTGATGTGTCTATTTTTGTACCATTACTATGCTGATTTAATTACTATAGTCTTGTAGTATAGTTTGAAGTCAGGTAGTGTGATACCTCCAGCTTTGCTCTTTTTTGCTGAGAATTGCTTTGGCTAATTGGGTCCTTTTTTGATTCTAAGTGAATTTGAGGATTTTTTTTTATTATGAGAAAAATGTTGTTGGTAGTTTGATATGAATATCATTATATCTGTAAATTCCTTTGGGTAGTATGGCCTTTTAAAAAATATTGATTCTTCGTATCCATGAGCATGGGAAGTTTTCCCATGAGTTTGTGTTGTCTCTGATTTCTTTCAGCAGTGTTTTGTAATTTTTGTTGTAAAGATCTTTCACTACACTACCTTTGTTTATCTGTATTCTATCATATTTTTGTGACTATTGTGAATGGTATTCTGTTCTTGATTTGGCTTTCAGCTTGTAAATGAATGGTGTATAGAAATACTACTGATTTTTGTATGTTAATTTTGTATCCTAAAACTTTGCTGAAGTTGTTTATAAGATCTGGAAACATTTGTACAGAGACAACGGGCTTTTCTAAGTACAGAATTATGTCATCTGTGAAGAGAGATTTTTTTATCTCATTTCTTCCTATTTGGTTGCTTTTTATTTATTTCTCTTGCCTGATTGCTCTGGCTAGGACTTCTAGTACTTTGTTGACTGTGAAAGTCTTTATTTCTTCATCATGTTTGAAGGATATTTTCACCAGGTATACAATTCAAAGGATTTTTTTTTCCTCAGTGCTTTAAATAAGTCATGCCACTTTCTCCTGGCCTGTAAGGTTTCCACTAAGAAGTCTGCTACCAGATATATTATAGCTCAATTGTATGTTAGTTGTTTCTTTTTTCTTGCAGCTTTTAGGATCCTTTATTTATTCTTGATCCTTGAGAGTTTTATTAACTATGAGGTAGTCTTCTTTGAGGTAAATTTGTCTGGTATTCTAAAACTTTCTCACAGTTGGATATTGATATATTTTTCTAGGTTTGGGAAGTTCTCTGTTATTATCCCTTTCACTAAACTTTCTAGTACTACCTCTTTCTCTCTACTTTAAGGCCAATAACTCTTAGATTTGCCTCCTCTGTGTATTTTCAGATAATCTGCTCATTAATTCTTTCTTTTTCTTGAACAATTCTGCTATTAAAAGACTGGTGCATTCTTCAGAATGTCAGTTGCAATCTTTAACTCCAGAATGTCTGCTTGATTCTTTTTAGTTACTTCAATCTCTTGTTAAGTTTATCTGATAGAATTATAAATTCCTTCTCTGTGTTATCCCCAATTTCTATGAGTTCCCTCAAAATAGCTATTTTGAATTCTCTTTCTGAACAGTCACATATCTCTGTTTCTTGAGGATTGGTCCTTGGTGCCTTATTCATTTTGTTTGTTGAAGTCATGATATTTTTGTGCCTTTTAAGTGTAGTATTTAGCCTGTTTACATTCAAGGTTAATGTTGATATGTGTAAGTTCGATTCTGTCATTATATTGTTAGCTGGTTGTTATGTAGACTTGACTGTGTATTGCTTTATAGTGTCAATGTCTATGTATTTGAGTGTGTTTTTGAGGTGGCCAGTAATGGTTTTTTGATTTCATGTTTAGCACTCCCTTAGGGACCTCTTGTAAGGAAGATCTGATGGTAAAGAATTTTCTCAGCGTTACTTCTCTGAAGGAGATTTTATTTCTCTTCCACTAATGAAACTTTGTTTGGCTGGATATGAAATTCGTGGTTGACTTTTTTTTTTCTCTTTAATGTTACCAAATGTAGGCCCCCAATCTCTTCTGGCTTACAAGGGTTTCTGGTGAAAGGGCCACTGGTAGCTTGGTGGGGTTCCCTTTATAGATGTTCTGTTCTTTCTCTCTAGCTACCTTTAATATTTTTTTCTTTCATTTTGACCTTGGATAATTTAATGACTTTGTGTTTTAGGGATGGTCATCTTGTGTTGTTTCTCACAGAGATTCTATAAATTTCCTGAATTTGCAGGTCAATTTCTCTAGCAAGTTTCAGGAAATTTTTGTGGACAGTATCCTCAAATTTGTTTTCCAAGTTGCTTTCTCCTTTTCCCTCTCTTTCAGTGACACCAATTAGTCACAAAATTTGGTCTCTTCACATAGTCTCATATTTCTCAGAAGTTTTGTTCTCTTTTATTATTTTTTCTTTATTTTTGTCTGATTGAGTTAATTCAAAGAACTGATCTTCGAGCTTTGAGACTCTTTCCTCAGCTTGTTCTATTCTGCTGTTAATGCTTCCAATTGTGTTATGACATTCTTGCCAGTTTTTCAACTCAGCTCAGTTTGGTTCTTTCTTAAAATGGCTATTTCATGTTTCATCTCTTGAATCATTTTAATGAATTTTTCAGATTTCTTGCAACAGGCTTCACATTTCTCCTGAATCTCAATGATCTTCCTTGCCATACAGATTCTGAATTCTATGTCTGTCATTTCAGCCATTTTATTTCAGTTCAGAACCATTACTAGGGAGCTAGTGTGGTCATTTGTAGGTAAGGACACACTCTGGCTTTTAGGGTTGCCAGAATTCTTGTGCTAGTTCTCTCTCATCTGTGTGGGCTTATGTTTTTAACTGTAGCATAATTTGAGCATAGTCAGCTGGCTTCATTTCTGTATCTTTTCAGAGGACTAAGGCTTTATGCGTGGGTCTTTATTTGTGGATGAATTCTTGTCCTTGATTTCACAAAGGAGTATATTGTAAAATATTTTGGTTTTGAAGTTTACGCTGTGATCCATGGGCTGCTTGGTACTTAAGCACAATGGCTGTAGGTAGGCTTTTACTTAGCACATGGCTTCTCTGTATTTCCTCATGTTTTCAGCCATGCTTCCTCTCAGTGATATGAGAACTTGGGCCACTCAAGTGCTGGCCACAGATCTCAGCTTGGCACTCCCAGACTTTATCACAGCCCTGGGTGAGCCTATCCTTTTTGTTCTTTTCCCAGCTTGGGGTCAGTATGTGCAGAGCCTTTGGCAATGACAATGGTAGAGGGCCTTTCACTTGTCTCTTGGGGATTCACCCCAGAGGAACAGAGAGACACTGCCAATTGCAACATTCAGCCTGGAATGGAGCAACTACATATTGGGCCCAAGGCCAGGGGCCCTGCTTGGTGAAGAGCAAAGGATGAAGGGACCTAATGGGGAAGACAGTCTGGCCTCTTCTCTATAGGGCTGCTGCAGTGTACTAGAGGTGCAAGTAAAGTACTAAGCCTCTTTGTTCCTTCCCTAGCCTGGTAACAGTAAGGGCAAGTACAGCTGCAGTGGCAATGGCAGAGGCGTTGTCAGTCGCCTCTCCAATGCCACCTCAGAGAAGCATAAAGCTGCTGTCGGTTGAAATGTTGAGCCGTGGGTGCAGTGGTGGCACTACAAGCCTGAGCTGGGGACACTACCTAGTGAAGAACAGGGCATCAGGGTCTCACAGGGAAGAGAGACTGGTCTCCTCTCCATAAGGCGGCTGTGACATGCTGGAGGCATGAGTAAAGTAGTCAAGTTCTTTGTTCCTTCCCCAGCCTAAGGGCACCAAGGGCTGTACTGCTGCAGCAGCAATGGCAGAGATGTCAGTTGCCTCTCGAAGCATCACCTCAGAGAAACACAAAGCCACTGCCAATGAGAATGTTCAGCCTGGGGTGGAGGGGCAGCACTGTGGCCCAACCGGGGGCCCCTGCCTGGTGGAGAATAGGAATGAGGGCTCACAGGGAACGGAGCCGGGGTTTCTCTCTGGGTAGTGGTTGTGGTGTGCTGGAGGTGACAGCAAAGTGATCGGGGCCTTTATTCCTCCCCCAGCAGGAGGGCAGCAAAGGCAGTACTATTGCAGTAGTAATGGCAAAGATCCTGTAGGTTGTGTCTGGGATTTTCTCCCCAAAGTAATGCAAAGCTGCTATAGACTGATGTGCTCAGGCAAGGGCAGGTCCACTGTTCTGGGGGCCCAGGTCAGGAGGCCCTGCCCAGTGAGGAGTAAGAGGGGCATAAACCCATGTGAAAACAGTCTGGCTACTTTTCTTTAAGGCAGCTGCTGTGTGCTGGAAGCAGGCTCTTTGCTCCCTTCTGAGCCTGAGAGGAGTTGAGGAAAGGGCTGCAGCAATGGCAAAAATAGTGGACCTGTGAGTAATGTCTGGAAACTTTGTGCCAGAGAAATACAGGGCGGGCACTGGCCTGAGTGCTTAGATGGTAGTTGGGTGGCTGTGCTGGAGTGCCAGGCCAGTGGACTGTGCTTGTTGAGGTGTAATGGAGGTGAGACCTGCAGTCCATCCACTCCTCAGCATTGTGGATGTGGCATCTATCTTGGGGGACCATAAGAGAGCCTGGCCTCCCTCATTGGCAGAGCTATGACACCTGGCATCACAGATCTAAGAGTCCAAGGTCCTTGGGGCTTCACATGGGCCTAAGCAATGCTCTGCCCAGACTCCACAAGATCTTTGTGTCAGTGTACAGGCCCAGGGCAAGGAAGCTGGGGGGATCTTCAGTGCCCATGATTTCCAAGGTCTATGGCAGAAATTTGGGCCCCCAGAGGCTCTCACTCACCCAACTGTTTCTCTGCCATGGGGAGCCTCCCTTGGCTCTGCACCAATCCTGGATGGGCAACTGTCCAGTCTTGCTTTCTGTGAGTTACATTGCTTCCTTGATGAATCCCAATGTGTCTTCCTGGATGATCCAGTTGAAGAGCTCCTGTTTACTGGCCACTCTAACTCTTCTCTGTGAAAGCAGCACACACCAGCTACTTCTAGTCAGCCTTCTCGGCCAGTCCCTCAATTATTTTTTTCCTGAAACTTTTGTTTTCTCTCCTTCAGGGCTACTAATTACAGGCATATTGAGCTGTTTGGTAATTTTTCAAAACTCATTATTGATTTTTCATTTTTTCTCTGTGTTTTTATGGATTATTTTCTTGCTATGTCTTCAAGTTTCTTTATGTTTTCTTCTGCGATGTCTAATCTGCTATTAAACCATCAATATATTTTTTATTTCGCATGTAGTTTTCATCACTTGATTTTTAATTTTGGTCTTTTTTTCACCTTTTATAATTCTGTTCATATTTTTTGAACATATAGATTGCAGTCATACTAACTGTGTTATTTTTTTTGTCAGCTCATTCCAATATTTGTGCCAGCTATGGATCAGTTTCAATTGATTGACTTTCTCTCTCATTATGGGGTATGTTTTCCTTCATCTTTGAATATATGATACCCTTGGACTGTGTTCCAGACATTGTGAATTGTACATAATTGGGTACTGGACATATTTGTTTTCTTTTAAATAATTTGAGACTTGTTCTGAGTTGAGTTAACTGGAAACAGTTTAATCACTGAAGTTATTACTTTTAAGATTCGTTAGGTGAGACAATGGTAGGGTTTAGTCTAAAGCAAGCTTGTCTAACCCACAGTCCATGGGCCACATGTGGTTCAGGATAGCTTTGTATGCAGCCCAACACAATTTGTAAACTTTCTTAAAACAATATGGGATTTTTTTGAATTTTTTTTTTTTTAGATCATTAGCTATCGTTAGTGTGAGTGTGTTTTATGTGTGGCCCAAGACAATTCTTCTTCTTCCAGTATGGCCCAGGGAAGCCAAAAGACAGGACACCCTTGGTCTAAATCTAAATACTTCCCACTACTGAGGCAATACCCTTCTCATTATTTAACCAATGCCCTGTGAGTTATAAGGTCTAATATGGCAGGTGGGTACAGGCACTATTTTTTGCTCTGGGTGAGTGCCAAGTATAATTTTCTGTAGTAATTTTTGCATATTATCTTTCACTGCCTCAGATAGTTTCTTCACAGGCACTGATTAATATTCTGCTGCATACTTGTTAGAGATGCTCTGTAGATCAAAATTCTATCTATCATCTATCAATCAATCATCAATCTATTATCTACCTACTTATCTGTATCTATAATCTATCTTCGTCTATCTCCTATTTATCTTCTATCCATCATCTCCTCTTTCATATCCTGTGAACTCTAGATGCCTTGTCCTCCTTAGACTTTTGGTGCCTTCTCTTCATTTCCAGAAGGCCTCTAAGGGCTGCCTGCTTTCCCCTCCCAGCAAAGGTCCAGGTACCTTTCTTTAGGCAGTAATCTGGGGCTATGGTAGTACCCAGCTTGTTTGTTTTTTGTTCCTCAGGAATCACTGGCTTTTGTTGACTGATTTCCAATAGCATACATCATATTTCATGTATATATTCCAGTTTATTTAATTTGTTTGTTTAATGCAGGAAGGTAAATCTCATCACAATAATTTCTTCTTGTTCACAAACAGAAATCCCAATATGGTAACTTAACCAACTACATACTATTGATTTTCAGATGCTGTTATGTCCTCATTCTATGATGTAGTATACATGAGGATTCCAAAACCATTTGTCTTTTTTGATTTTTAATTTTTACTAACACCATCTGTCACCTTCACATGTAATCTAAAATTAGGCACTGGGCTAGGTGCTAGATTCCTCACTTTAGCTACAATATCAGTGTAATAATATTTGATAAATATAGTCTCCCAACAACCCTAATCACCACACTACAATGAGAGCAGATTCCAATGAGTATTATTTGTCACACTATTTAGCAAATTCTGCAAATTATTCTTGGCCTCCATATAACAATCCTAAATTTACAGTTAAAAATAATGATTTCATGAGATATTAATAGATGCTAGCTAGAAATGGAATAGATTTGAATAGTAGCAATTTATTAGCAATTTAGCGTATTATCTCACCAAACAGTGAAAACGCATTAAAGTATCATTTGTGTATTTGTGAATAAAGAAGAAATTCATATTCTATGGCTTTCAAACTATCTTTCTGCTCTGAGACACTGAATCATGATGATCATGTGGTTGCAGTTTTCAGTCAGATAATAGTAGAGAACTTCAGACTTAGAGCAGGTGAGTAATCGGCCGGAGGTGTAAGGGGAGCCATTATTTTTCAGAATCAGAGACTTACTTGGACAATAGCGTGCATTTTGTAAGGGCATACCTCCATCTAGTCTACTTCATTGCCATTAAATGCAGAAGAGAATTTGGAGTCAAATTAGAACCTTTGAAAACATATTTATGGCAAATGTATCTCCAAGAGCAACATTTAGGAGTGTCTGCATAAACCAAGTTTCAGGTTAGGGATAATAGTCTATCAGGAGCCATTAGGAGCCTAGTAACAAATGATCTCAGTACCAATCCTGGCCAATTCCAACTAATACTCATATCATTACAAGGTGGCAAGTTGTATTTATCTGCATTTCAATATTGCTGCTTTAACTAAATGAAAATCTGATTCATTAATTTAGGACCCCAGAAACAAGTTAAATAGAAAATCTAACATAAATTTATGATTAAATAATATGAATCATTTTAAACATTCTTGAAAATATATGTGTGACTTAAAGATAATGTTTCATTTTGAATCGTAAACACCTCCCCATGAAGGAATGTAGCAAAGAGTTGATCCATTGTTGTTTATTATAATAAACAATATGCCACTTCTGCTTCTGGACACCAAAATCAGTTGTGGCCACTTTGCTTAGACTAATGCATAGTATGATTGACAGTACTACAACCTGAGTAGTACTGTTAGTCACACTATGCTATTATTGTGCTACTATACTATTACTGCTTTTAATATGATTATATTAAATAGTACATGATAAGCATTTAGCACAGAGTCTGTCTCATAGAACTGTGCTTATAAATATTAGATGTTGTCACTATTATTTCTAATATTTTCCCCTAAAACATCAAATCTTTTTTCCTACGACTTTTTCTACTTCAGGAATAAAAGTTCACATTTCTTTTATAGATGTGCTGCAAGGGTCAAAGTCACCATATTCTGTATGCAAATATTTGGGTCACATTTAAACTGTTTATATCCATTAGACAACATCAAAATTTTTAAATATTTTCCGCCAAAACGTGAATTGATTGCAACTGTATTTCTAAGTAACATATATAAAGAATCACTAGTTTTTATTTAAAAAGCGATTTTATATTTTAGATTTTATTTAAGTGCATGCTGTAGGGAAAGGCTGGAGTAAATTGAAAAACATTTTTCTGATACAATTCCTTGGCATTGCTGGGATTTGCTGGTCCGTTTGTTTCCCTAATAGCTGTTGTACTCCACTGCTTCAGTCTTTGCCCAACCATTCCCTCAGATGATCATGTGCTTAGCAGCTAATACTGGAGCCACAGCAGATGGAGAAAAAAGCAGAGCACCAGAAGATAGTCAGTGAAGAGATGTAGAGGACCTAAGATGTGCAATTAGCAAACTGTGTATCTGACAATGAAAACTTAACAGAAATGTTTCAATAAATGCAATATTTCAAGTCATTGTGAGAAAGAAGAATAGTTTTTTTTTTCACTCCTAAAGATGTATCTGCATTAGCAGTCACAGAAATAGTTAAGATAAAAGAAATAATTTGAAAACATCACTTAATTCATGTTAGGATATAATGGAACAATTCTCCTAGGGCTAGAATTACACCCTGGGAGTGAGTTAAGCACACCGGGATGCTGCATTAGCTCCAGCACGCTAATGTGCCATCCCAAATCATCAGAGTCTCTGTCTCCCTGGTAGGAAATCATACCCTAGGATAATCTGACTGATTATACTTAGACATAATAATTACAATATTTAAAGTAAAAAGATCTCAGAAGCCTACTTTCTCATATGTGCATGACAAATTTGCCACATGTACTGATGTTGATTTTTGTCTTTCACAATATCTCTATTGTGCATGACTTCGAATGACAAAATAATCATTTCTTAGAAATCAGATCAATTGGGCAAAGAGACACATTCTTTGAAACTTTTATTTAGATCATTCATACCAAAATAATTTGAGGATACAAGTTCATGATTGCAATCAAGTGTGGTCTGATACATCTATTCCACCTTGCTGTTAATAGTTGTACATGCTCATTAGAGAAGGAATTAAGAAAACAAGAACACTGGAAATACAAGTAAAAATGGTTGCTATAAGACAAAGTTGAAAATGTTCTTTAGTGTACTGAGCACAAGTAACTGTGCTAGCTATCCCACTTGTACAGAGTAAATCAATACTGTTTTAAAATTAAAAAAAAAAAGCTGTGTAAACAAGCGAAGAGTTTGTCTCTCTATCAATAAAATGTACATATTTAAATCACTGAAGCACATATTTCAATACATTGCACATAGTTTGTTAGAAATTTAAAATTTTGAATAAATATATCTTGTAATTTATTAATTTTATTAGTAACTAGAAGAAGGACTAGTAAAACACTATAATCACTATAAATAGTTTAACTACACATTTAATAAGAAATTAATATTTCATGTTTTATCTTCAAATATTTTTGGCTAGGATATATATTTGTACTAGGATTAAAAAGACGGGTAGAAATATTCACTGTCTTTTGACTTTATTGTGTTTTGAAGTATGTATGTAAAGAACATGTCATCTTCATCATTATTTTACTACCATTAGTCAAATTTCTATTTGCTATTAGACTTCAAAATTTTGCTTTATGAATTTTATAAATACAGAGAGGTGTACTAGAGACACATCACACCATCTCATGAGAGGAATTTTGTGCACCTTCAGAATCCACATTGATAGCTTGACATCTGCCATTTTGGGATTACTTACATCACAGAAATATGCAAACACTACAAATCAGAGGTGATTTATTTTCCTGCTATTAGGAGACTTTGTTGTTCACTATTTCCAAGACAACACTACAAACATACAGATATAAATCTGGACACACTCTTACTGTGGTAGAAAGAATTCCCCTCTCTCCCATTGCTGGGAACTATGCTTATTTTACATTACATGACAAAATGGACTTTACAGATGCTATTAAGGTTATAGATCTTAAAACAGGTAACTTATTTTAAATTATCTAGGTAGACACAATCTAATTCCACGAGACTTTAGAAGCAGAGAACTTTCTCAGACTAGGATCAAGTCTCACAAGACAGAGGGAGGATGCAGAGAGATTTAAAGTGTGAGAAGTACTTGACCCATTCTGCTAGCCTTGAAGATGAATGGTGTCACAAGTTAGGTCTTGCAGGAGGCCTGGAGAAGCTCTGAATGATCCCCTGCCAGAAAGGAGACATTAGACCTGCGCCTGTATGGAACTGAATCCTTCCAGCAACCTGCATGGGCCTGGAAATTGAGTCTCCCCCAAACCCTCTTGATAAGAGCCACAGTTGCTGATAGCTCAATCTTAGCCAGTGAGACCTGGAGCAGAGAAACCAGCTAAGACCCATGAACATCTACCTTAAAAATTGTAAGATAAGAAATTCATCTTATTTTAAAATGCTAAGTTGGTGGTGATTTACTATGGCAGCAAGAAAAAATGAATATGCTTAACATAGATACTTCATGATCTAATCAAATTCAAATACTTAAAAAACATGAAAATTTGAGTAATCTGTAAATCATCTTTGCTCATGACCTATGCTTTTATTCTCTATCGTTTTTCCAACTTAGGATTCACAGTCCTAAGCAAGCATGCAACATAGTCTTGACAACTTTCTGAGATATACTTTATTATACGGAAAAACATATGGATAAAAATCATTTTCTTCAAAGAGAAAAAATGTTTAATTAATGAAAGTACCACAAATATGATTCCATACTTTTTAAAGTTACTAAACTTTGTGTCTTAATCATTATTTTAAATAAATAAATTCTGTTTCAAATACTTGTTAACGGTGCTTCCAAAATCAGAAGTAAGCCGGTATTACTCTAATTATTACCCACTTAATATTAGTTAAGGCAGAGTTTTAGAAATGCCCTCTGTGGAGAATCTCTGAATCTATATAGAAATAGAATAATGTTAAGAGATTAAGAATTGTTACTACTGTAAAGATATGTTAATAAAATGCATGCTAAGTTAGCATTATTAAATACAGAGCTAGGCTTTTATAGCTAATGTTTGGAAACAATTGATAATAAATGATAAAACATTTGAAAGAATGAAGTATTTTAATTAAATGATATAGAAACCTAATTTGATTTAGACATCTAACTTCCTAGAAGATAGATCAAAAGAAGCAATTTTTAGAATCATTTGAAATTAGACAATAATGGCAATGATTATATATTGACAAATATAAAAACTATTATAAAAATGCTTTTAATTCTTCAGAATTCTCTTACATAGATGACAAATGCAATTAGCCTATTTACTCTGTTAAGAGGCAATAGTCATTCACTGGGAAGGAATTTGTTAAATAAATAATTTTACAATACTGTAAATGCTCAAAACATAAGAGGATTTATGACATTTTAAATTGAATGTGAGTCTTCTATTAACTTAAGAAATAATATTTTTTATTTGCATGTGGGAGGGACAGAGATGAAGAAGCAAGCATATATCTGACTATAAAACTATTTAGCACATTAATGATACGTATACTTTTACTTTCTGCACTTCACTACATTTATCATATATAAGATTTAATGATTTCTTATGAATGATAAAATATATTTTGTATTGATTCTAGGTATTTCATTTGGAATATTTGTGATTTCAAATTATATGGGTTTATTATTTTTTAAAAGAGCTATTTGGGGTAATAATCCTTAAATTACAAATTACAAGAACAAATAACTACAACCCACAGACTTTAATGCAATAAAATTGTATCATTTCTAGAACTGCATAACATGCCTATGATTATCCATCCATTAAACAGAATGTTACCAACACCATAATTTTTATCATTTCTAGTCTTCAGTTTCTGTATGCTTCTAATTTTCCTGTAGGTTTCTGATTCATAATAACACATTTTCCATTAGGATGAACTGCATTTAAAAGTATATGAATGATATTTAAAATCCTATTCTGAAATGTTTCATAGATTGTTAAAGCCATGCTTTTAACATGTTTATAAACCACAGTCCCCACAGTTCTCTTCTTCCGTGACAAGACCAAAGAACCTGGATGATGCTAATCTAGAAGGACATTCACAGCTCATGAAAGAATCATCACTGCTAATCAAATCAGAGAGAAAACCCACCACTCTGCACCACTGGAGACATTTCATGTACTGAATATTTCATAAGATGGGGGCTGTAACTGAAGCAGAAATTCTCAACAGCTTCAGGTTGCGTGCAAATATTTACTTAAACATTCCAGCACAGTCCAACTGGTGTGCAGCACCAGCACCAGTGAGCCTGGAGTGATCTTTATAAATTATGGTAATTATATGTGACATGATTCTTGCTAGGTCACAGGAGCTTGCCTTGGTCTTTCCCGCTTTGCCAGTAGTTCCCCTACTTGAATGATTAAGTGGGCAGGATGCCACAGGAAACCGGATGCAAGCACAATGACAAATGTCTGCTTTGACTGCTTAAAATTGAGCCCAATTGTTGATCTGCAGAAACAACAAAACACAATCAAGGACTGACACCAAGCCCCTGAGTCAGGAGAATTGAAGAATTGGTGTAGGGATACGACTTGAAAGTCTTGGAAAAGGCTGCGTCAGTTTGTCAAAATTTGCACCACCACTTTTCATTACATTTACACACAGTGCCCTGCTATAGTTTTCTTTACATTTAAAGAACATTTTGGCATCTACCATCATACAGAATAAAAATGTCAACGATTCAAAGAAAACAAAATAATCATTTTTATTGTTTTCAAAGATGATTCTTGCAGTCTCCTGATGAGTACTAGGAATTTTTGGTGTAAATAAAGATTAAAATATCAAGAATTAAGTAAGAATAAGCTTAAGTAATGAAATTGCTTGGTTAAGTAATGTAGGACAGTTGTAAAAGTTTGATCATAAGAAATTCATTTGCAGGAATAGTGACCAATAAGTCTATACTTTATGGTTAAACTTTGACAGTGAACTATATACTTCTTGATATCTTCTTATATTTCATTATTTTCTTTTTGAGATGATCGTGGTGATTTCCTCTACTCTCAGATTATCCAGCTAAAGTTATCTACAAGTTTTTTTTAACTGTTTATACATATTAAGTGGAGTTTTTTTTTTTTTTTTTTTTTTTTTTTTTGAGGCAGAATTTCACTCTGTCACCAGGCTGGAGTGCAATGGTGTGATCTCGGCTCACTGCAACCTCTGCCTCCCAGGTTCAAGTGATTCTCCTGCTTCAGCCTCCTGAGTAGCTGGGACTACAGGTGCACGACACTATGCCCAGCTGGTTTTCGTATTTTTAGTAGAGACGAGATTTCACCATGTTGGCCAGGATAGTCTCAATCTCTTGACCTCATAATCTGCCTGCCTTGGCCTCCAAAAGTGCTGGGATTACAGACGTGAACCACCGCGCCCGGCCAAGTGGAGTTTCTTTTAACATTTGTATACATCTTAATGTCTTGGAATTTAAGTGCTCTTTTTTGGAGTCCAGCCTAGAAATAGGCTTCCAAGTATTAGTTAGAAGAAGGACTGATGAGTCAATGGTAAAAAGGAAGGAAAATAATATAGCAAATGGTTTACTTCCTTAAAAATCAGGGGTATAACAAATAGGGCAAGATAATAGAGTGTTTGATATATAAGCAAAATTAAAATTTTATTTAATGTTGCTATATATAAAATACCCACAAATATATAAGTGAAAACGTTAGTAATTCTCAATACTGGTATTTATTCAATTGATTAGAATGATAGTAGAAACTAAAGAGATAGCAATAACATTGAAATTAATTGGTGGAAAATTAAAATCAAGCTATCAAATTTATGATGTGTGTAATTAATAAGATAAGAATGAATTTCTAGATGAAAATAAACTTTTTAGATACACGTGAGGAATCTAATACTGAACTGACTTATTTCTTCTTTCAATATCAGGTATGAGTATAAATACTCAGTATAAAATACACAGTATAAAATACTGTGATTTTACAAATTAAAATTAGGCAAAATATTTCTTTATGACTTTATCAAGTATTTTGTAGCAGAAAAGGCTTCTAATGAGAGCAACTATGTGTAATATATAAGATTTTTAAAAATTTCTTCCATTGAAATGCCTCAAAGAGCTTCCAAGACAGTCAGCACTTGAAGAGTAAAGATTCAGAAGAGGAAGAAAACTCAGGATTACATCATTCCCTTTGAATTCAGGGAGCAGATTTTGTCGTTAGAAAGCACGGGTGCTGGTAGTCCTCTTCAGTGTATTTCTCTTACTGTTGGGAAATGGAGGGTTTTATGGCCACTTCTTTGGGAAACAATTGGTAAGCAGATCTTAAATGATAAATTGACTCTAGAATTTTAATATCTCTAAGATGTGTCCCTCTCTCTATAAATATGCTAGGAGAGCTACGTCATTACACTGCCTTTGGCATAGGCCAACTGTTGGTTCAGCTTGAACTCAGCCAATTATTGGAATAATCTTCGGCCCCTCAAGCTAAAATTTTAATGCAGGATTTCTGCTACATGGGTCTATGTCAATATATTTAGCCTAATACACTTTACTATTCCTTCTACTCTGTTCACACTCCCTTTCATTCCATTCTCATGTGTATTATCCATGTTCCTATGAACATAATTTGGCTAAAGTTCTGCAGTTCTTCTGAGATACACTGCACCTTCTCATAGAGCATATTTTGTAACTCACCTTATGAGACTTATTGTTACTTGAGTCTGGTTATAGCTCTAGAAGCAATGAGAAATGAAGGGTTAGGTTTTTATTAGGTTAAACAGTTCCTTGTGACACAGGATCCTTTCAGTGCCACTTCTCCAGCTGCAAATTATCATGTCCAGCAATACTCCTGGCTGGGCTTCTGCACTTGGCTTATACTACTTGCCTGGATCTCACACCTGCCATGGGTGAGCTGGTCATGGAGTGGCAATGGGTGCGTGAGTGAGTGAGTACAGGGTCTGGACATGGCACACAGCAAGTGGCTTCCACCTTGGGCACTGGTGTCCAGATAAGAGGAACACAGTGGCACTCAAGAAACTTGGAGACACCAGAAACTGCGGAGCCCCAGAACGGCGTGACAGCTCTGGCTCAGGAAGTCCCGAGGTCTGGGCCCCCAGGAAGTGTGATGGCTTGTTTATGTAGCAGCTCATTCATTCCCAATGTCCACACACTTCAGCGAATGGGAGCATGTCCCAGCTTGTTCAGTCCTGTTGCCCCACTATGGCCCATGACTCCTGGGCTGGCTCAGCCCCACCACCACTTCCCACTATGTGGAACAGCTGCCTGGCGCTGGCAGAGGGCAGGAGGGCTACAGCATTACAGCTCCTTTCACATCCATCATGCGGCAGGTCTCAGATTCTTGTCCCACATCCAGGAAGAATGAAGTTACATGGACAACCAAAGAGTGAGCAAGGTGGAGAAGAGTTTATTAAGTAAGAGAACAACTCTCAGGGGAGAGAAACCCAACGTGGATAGCCCTTACGCAAAGGCGAGTAGTCCCAAAGTGTGGCTCAATCTGGGGCTTTTATGGGCTCATAGTGGGGGAGTGCATGCTGATTGGTCCAGGGCAAGCTTGGAAAAAGCATCATTTGATTGGCTAAAAAGGCATTGAGAAACTTTTCACTCAGGTCCTGGACTTTACATGGAACTGACAGCTCAGTTTTCAGGCTTTAGACTGTACTTGGGTTGAAGGTTGGGTTTCATCAGGGACCCACCCCTTTCTGCCTAAGAATTTGTCTGCCTCATGCTGCTACCACTTGCAAGGCAGCTACTTCAACGTAGGCTCCTATAGGTTCTACAGAGAAGGGGAAACTCAATTCCATAGATAGAAGAGAAGGGATACTTTTAATAGCAGAGGAGAATCAGCAAAAAAGTTTAGGGTTTCAAGGTCTCCAGTTTCATCTGGTTTTACCTATATATCCTCACCCCAAGTTTTAGTGTCTTACTTTTTCCCAAAATTTTAGCTCCTAAAATAAGAGACCCATGAAATTGAGAATTTGGTTTGCTTTGCAAGTCATCCAAGAACATGAATAAACTGAAAACTTGGTTCTCAAAATTCTTAAGCTATAGGAGATAAATATTATATTGTTTTATCTGGTTTTGGTTATTTTTTTTAATATAGTCATAGAAGCTTTCCAGTTTCTTATGCAAATGTTGAGCTTGCAATTAAAACAATGAATTGATTGTCTTTGTCCAGGTTCTCTAGCACACCTAGAGGTCAAAAAACTCCATTATATGCTAATTTTACTAAATGATATTATAGCACAAAATACTTGGTTATCCAGTGCCTTACATTTTGTATAAATTTGATTACAGGGAACCAGAGGCAGTGATTTGAGTAACTTCTTTGCCACCACATTCTGAGGATTACCCATGTCCCTTTTCCCATTGAAAACATCATTGCAATGCCTTTAAAAAAAATCACATCAGAGATCTAATTTCATACAACTCAGGGCCCATTCCTTAAGCTTCTTTTTATTTGAAATCATTTCTAGTACCAGTTTTCTATTTTTCAAATAGAAAAAATATCAATAGAAACAGAAAACAGACCATTAGGAGAGAATATATAAACAATGTAATATACATATTATGTAATATACATAATATACATATTATTTGTATGACAAGATTTTATATATATCTTTTAAATATATACATATTTTATATTATATATATGATGTATATAAAACATATCTCTATGTGGAAGAAAGAACAGTATTCTGCTAATGCAAATTCTCTGTTTTACCTAAAATACATAGTTCCTAATAGCGGTGATGATAAAGCTAGAATGTCTTACGTTGAAACAAATGACTTCATGGCACAGCCCAGGATCATTAATCAGTGCTATCTTTTATAATCAACCTATTTTATTTCCTGTTCTCTGGCTATGCAGATACAGTAAATAATATTTTGAGATAATAGTAGAGTTTTCTTTGTCCAAGAATTCTTTTAATGATTGCTCTTCCTCCAACCTTCATGCAGAAGTGAATTTTCTCCTTACCCAGCAGCCTCAGGGTCAGAGATTTTGTATATAACAACAAAGACAAATTATTGATGTTGAGTTTTAAATAGTCTCTTGAATTTTCAATTGAGATAGTCTTGAAAATATGAGTCTTTTTACTACAACAGCTAGTTTTATCTATTTTTTGGAAGTGGTGATGGTGGTTGTATGTATATGAAAGAGATAAAGAGCTTTGGATTAAATTCTAATATTATTGCATGGCTTCTTACGTTGTTAAGCTACTGTAACCAAAGTTTAGAGGTTTAGATTTGCTTTCTGCTATGATGGAAGCCTCTAACCATATGTCCTGGGGATAATCTTTTTCAATATTTATATTAATGACTTGCACAATGACATAGGCTATATGACAGTAAGGTGCACAGATGGCACAGAACAGACGTAGCTGGGATAGGTGCAAACATTTTGTGTGACAGCATAAATACACAAGAAAAAAAACCAAGCAAACAAAAAACAAACTACAACAACCCAAACTATTGTCAAACATGAGGAAGGATAAAATCAAATAATAAAATTATATTCCACAGGGATAAATGTAAACTCCAGCACTTTCTTTGTAATACGCATGGAATAATCATAAACGACATTTAATGACACCAAAACTGTTCTGTGACAGGTAGTTGGATAATGATTTAGCAATAATATACACCTGTTTTGAATTATTTGGCTTAAATTTACAGGAAAAATTACCAGGGTTGACTTGAGTGTTATAGTATAGTATCATCTAACAAAAAGAATGCAGCATCTTTGTGGCTTCTGTTATTAATCAATTTATAAAGGCCCTACTATTACGCAGACCTATTTCTAATGAGATGGAGGAGTGCTCTTAATTTCTCTTTCTACTTCAAGGCTGTCACGTCGAAATAGAGGCTTGTTATTCTGTTGCAATAATATTTGTTGTATTATTTTCTTCACTGCCTATTTAGATTAGTGGAAGATACAGGGCCAAATACTTTTCATTTCTTATAGGAAAAAATACTAAAGGGAATTTATCTGGGGTCCTCATAATCGATATAACTTATCTCTAATGCACACTGATTGTCTTAGTCTTTCAGGGTTGCTATAGGAAAATATCATACAGTGAGTAGCCTATACACAACAGAAACTTGTATCTCACAGTTTGAAGGGTGGGAAGTCCAAGATCAAAATGGTAGCAGAATCAGTGTCTTATGAAGGCTCATCTCCTAGTTCCTAGATGGCTCTCTTTTTCCTATGTCCTCATATGGTGGAAGGCGGTAGAGAGTTCCCTGAGGTCTGTTTTATAAAAAAGAACAATATGTCATCTGCATAATCTAAATACTTTACTCCTAATACCATCAGCTTGGAAATGAAGATTTTAACATATGAATTTTGTTTTGGGGGGACACTAACATTTAGACCATTACACTGATAAAAAGCATATATAAACCTAACCATAGTTTTGTGACTATTGTTTTACTCTTTCCAAGGGAAAAATATATGAAAATTGTGTTAGGAATTTTCTTTAAAAATTCCACAGCTCTGCGTGTGTGTGTGTGTGTGTGTGTGTGTGTGTGTGCGTGCTTGTTTCTCATGTTAGGCAAAATGATTCCGAAAGGAACACAAAGAACTCTCCCGTATACAGTATGTTATCCTATACAACTTAATAAAGTATCAGTTAGAGTTGAAACTAACAGCACTCTGAGCTCTGCCCTATTGTACTCAATTTTCTGACCAGTATGAACACTTCATATTCTAGGACTATATAGAAAGATGTAGAATAAAGAGAACTTTCTCATCCCAAGCTATACTCCTTTGTCAATGTCAAATGAATTCAAAAGGCAACCGTCTCCCATTGGGAAGCTATTTGCTAATAACAGTGGCATCGTACTGTAGGAAAACAAAGGCTGTCTGTAACATATCCTGAGGCTGGTAGTTTGTTATTATAAACTAGATACTCAGGACAATTTTATGACTGAAGAGTGTACATTACAAATACACACACCTATACATGAATATCACAGATCTTATACTCACCTATGGAGAAATTTACAATAAGATCATAAAGTCCTATTGCATTCAATTTGTAAGAAAAATAACCTATTTTTCTTGGGCCTAGACTATCATGCTATTTAAATCTTAAACTTTTCACTAAAACAAGAATATGGAAGATATGAGGTATGTAATTCAATGTGAAAAATAACTTTTCTTAAAGATTTTTCAACCCCCCTTATATTGCTGGGTGCTACATGAGAAGTACATGAAATATAATATATTAAATCAACTTGCTTCCAAATATTTTATGGAATTTTTCTCCCTAGTTAATAAGTAGCTATCAAATTCATGGTCTTATAAGACAATGGTCCCATTCAGAACAACTGAAACCCTTACACTTCTTCCAAGAGTTAGTAACAATAAATATAACTTATTATGAAACATGTGTAATGTTCTGCTAGTCACAAAGATCTAACATTTACGAGTCCTTGTAAAGCAAATGAGAAAATATCCTCTGCTTTTACTTACAAAGGGAGACACCAGCTTAATGTTTGGTGGAAAATGAATTAATTGGTAGAATTATATTCAATAAATTAAACCATAATCCACCTCCCTTTTATTTGTACCCATTTATCACAATCACAGGTGCTTTTTTAAACCCATGCTTGACTTTCTTGTATTTGAAAAACTTTCATGATCCTTTTATTTTTTTGATTTTCTCTGAGCTAAAACAAGTTCCTTCAAGCAGTCCTCATTTTATGAGATTTCCTTACCTTTAAGCATGGTAGCCACACTTTTCTGTATGAACTGTTATTTCTCAATACCCTGCTCAAAATTTACTTCCTGGAACTTAAGACATGTCTATGAGTGTTGCTGGCAACTGGAGAACACAGTGTCTATCCAATTGTTGAGTTTCTGCTTCCATCAATTTTGGTCCACATCAGGCAATCACTGTTATAGCAGTTGTGATATTCTCATCTGTGAACATAAGATGATCTTGTTATGAACTACTCTTAAGTTAGACTTCTCGCTCATCTCATGTTATACAGCTGGTTTTTAACTAAAAAGCATATTTTATATTTAACACACATAAACTTTCATCTTGTTGGTTGTTGATCCTTGCTGTTCATTCATTTTGCTTTCTTGTTCTTTTTTTGGCAGTATGTTCTGAGTTCTATTATAAAATTTATTTTTATTGTGTACATTAAGGTATCCAACACCCGCCCCCCAACACAGACACATTGAAATAATCACTACAATCAAGCTAATTAACAAAATCTATCACCTTACAAGGTTACCATTTGTGTTTTCGTGTGCTGACAACACTTAGGGTCTACCCTCTTAGAAAATGTCAAGTACGCATTACAGCGTTGTTACCTATAGTCACCATGCTGTAGATTTCCAGACCTTATTCATCTTGTATAACTGAAACTTTGTATCCTTTGACCAACATCTCTCCATATCTGCCTTCTGCCATCTCTTGGTAACTATCACTCTACTGTCTACTTCTATGAATTTGACAGTTTTAGATTCCACATGTAAGAGATATCATACAGTATTTGTCATTCCGCATCTGGCTTATTTCACTTAGCATAGTATCTTCTACCTCCATCATGTTGTCACAAATGGCAGGGTTTTCTTCTTTTTTAGAAGATAGTATGCCATTGTGTACATATGTTACATTTTCTTTATTCATCTGTTGATGTACACTTGGGTTGTTTCTATATCTTAATTATTGTGAATAATGTTAGAATGAACATGAGTGCAGATATGTCTCTGAGATCTTTTGATTTCAGTTTTTTTGGATAAATACCCAGAATGGAGATTGATGGATCATAAGGTAATTCTTTTTTTAATTTTTTGAGGAATCTCCATAGTGTTTTTTATATTGATTGTACCAACTTACATTTCTACTGATAGTGTGCAAAGCTTCCTCTTTCTCTACAGCTTTGCTCACACTTATCTTTTGTTGTTATTGTTGTTTGAATAGCCATTCTAAAAGGTGGGAGGAGGTTTCTCACTGCGATTTCAATCTGCATTTTTCTGATGATTAGTGATGTAGAGGTGGAAGATACTATGCTAAGTGAAATACTATGCACCTTTCATATACTTGCTGGCCATTTGTGTGTCTGTCCATTTGTGTGTCTGTGTGTATATGTATGTTTATATATATACAATTTATATGTGTATATTTGAATAACAACATACAGATTCATTTTATTTTATATGGCTGAACAATTCATGTCATCTCCAAGTTGGACATGCTTTCTATAATTTTGAACTAATCACAGAGATTTTTTATAAGATCTGTTCTGAGTTCTTTAGCATACTACAAGCTTTCTAGCTAAACTAATATCATATCATGTTTTCTGAGCATAGTTAATCATTAACCCTGAAAAATACCACACTGTTTTTAACTTTCTGATATCAGCCACCACTTTCTCTGGTGCTGGTATGCCTAGAAGAAATTTAGGTTTGAATGTCATTTCTCCTATATCTGGGTTAACAAGGACAAGAAAAACAAACTTTTTTTTCGTATTTAACCTATAGGGTAATGAAGATAATGCCCATCTTACAGGCAGTAATAAGAATTTAATAAATAACTGTTAGAAAAACATAGAATCCACAGAAAAGTAGATATTTGATAAATATAATAAGTTTTATCTGTGCCTAAATCATTTAGTAAGATACCATAACATACATTATTAAAATGTCAGCTTAAATTCATTCAATATCTCTGTGCTAGTCCTATTATATTAACAATGAGATTAATAAATCACGTACACATTAAAATATTTAAAAATTAACAGAAAACGTGGAAAGCATATTAAATCTCTCTTTAAAAATTTAGTTGTTGGCAGTTGTATTAAATTAATGTGGATGGCTAATTTTATAATACTAGCACCACTTTTAGAAAGGTCTTTCGTATGGCTCACCCTATGTTTTTCTGATATGTTTTCTTTAATATATAGGAGATTCAATAAGACCTTACAGGATTATTGATAATGATAGCTTATTTAATCTTTCTTGGGAATAATAAATTGATGTTACCGAATTAGTATGAATATCACTTTTATATAACCTTTTCAAATCTTAACTATGATAGAAACAAGTTTACTTACTAGGTGATTTAATTAGAGTATGTAGTTTAACTCTTTATGTGTGTGTGTATATATATATATATGTATTTTCAAGTAATATTTCTTCAAAAGGTCATTTTTGAAAAGTATGACATACTAGGTATAGATTTTCATTAATTAATTAATTAATTAATTATTTTTTTTGAGATGCAGTCTTGCTGTGGCACCCAGGCTGGGGTGCAGTGGCTTGATTATTGTTCACTGCATCCTGGAACCCCTGGGCTCAAGTGATCCTCCCACCCCAGCCTTCTGAGTAGCTGGACTACAGGTACATGCCACCGCATCTGGCTAATTTTCTTTGCTTTTTTCCTGTAACCACAAGTTCTTTCTGTGTTATCCATGATACTCTCCAATTCCTGACCTCAAGTGATCCTCCTGGTTTGGTTTCCCAAAGTGCTGCAATTATAGGCATGAGTCACCATGCTTGGTTTAGGTATAGATTTTAATGACAACTCAGAAGTAAACATCTGAGTTTATTTGAGATTTAAACTGACTTAAAACAGGATAGCAAGAAAATAATACTATTTCCACAGACTGTAAACATAGTTGTGTGATTGCTGCCCAATGTTACATATTTTAAAGGTTGTAAAACAATAGCAATGTTAATAACCTTAAAATATATTTGTTTTATTTTCTAAAATAAGCACAGATTTTGTAAAAAGCAAAAAAAAGTCCAAGAAAGAAATTCCTTATAGAGAGATTATAGCTTTTGTGTGATGTTCTCTTTGAAGACTGAAAAATGCAGGTTTATACATGTTTTAAGATATCAAGCAATATAAGAAGACCTTATTGGAATGATAGACAAATAACAATATAACAGGAGTTCCAAAGTGATAGCTAGCTATGATTTACTACTCAATTAGCTGCTTGTTTGTTTCTACATTTATTTTTACTTCTTTTTTATAATTAGTATCTGCTACAATACATAGCTCTTGAAAACAGAAGTTGTGCCTCACTGTGTCTTTTTATAAGGTATATTCTACAGAATAACTTGTCCATCAGTACTTGCTGACTAAATGTGTTATTACCCAGAGGGAATCTAGCAGTAGACAGAAGGAGAGAAAGGTATCAGAGTGATAAGTAGGTAAATGTAGCCAATACAGAGGAGAAAAAAATAGAAAATACAGAAAAACTAAAATTGAGTTGCATTGAGTATATAGGTAACCAAGCACTCAGAAAAAAAACAAACCACAGTGGCACATGCCTGTAATCCCAGCACTTTGGGAGGCTGAGGCATCGGATTACCTGAGGTCAGGAGTTCAAGACCAGCCTGGCCACCATGGTGAAACCCCGTCTCTACTAAAACACCCAAAAATTAGCTAGGCATGGTGGTGCACACCTGTAATCCCAGCTACTCGGGAGGCTGAGGCAGGAGAATTGTTTGAACCTGTGAGGTGGAGGTTGCAGTGAGCCGAGATCATGCCACTGCACTTCGGCCTGGGCGACGGAGCAGGACTCTCTCTCAAAAATACACACACACACACACACACACAAACCCCACAAAAATACACACACACACAAAAGAGACATGCCTCACCAAAAGTCTTGGTCAAAGCTGCAAGCTACCTTCTCCATTCATGGTTGATGGAGATTCATGGTTGCTCTGGCAACAGGACTCTTTCTGCTCTAGATCATGACAATTATAAATAGAACATACACACACACACACACACACACAAAAAAAAAAAAATATATATATAATAAATATTTATGTATCATATAAATATAGATAAAATATATATGAAATTTATATAAAGTTGGTGTGTGTGTTTGTGTGTATAAAGTACTACCTACTAATCTACCTACCTGCATCTCTACCTATATACATAGAAATGGGATAAACAGTCATTAGTTGTTGGTCCATAAGTATGGCTTGGAAACATGTCTAGAGAGGGTTTTTGCCATAGAAATTATATCATTATGGTGCATCATATGCCTTAGTATAGAAAAGTATAATTGCGCCTGTAGAATGATGCTTTTTTCCTGTGTCATCCAGCATATCAAAAACAATTAAATTTGATCATTTTATTATCTTAAAATATCATATCAATTTTAGTCTTTCCCTTTTGTATAACTTTTAAAAGGAAAATCAAAATGTTGTTCAAGTTATATAATTAACACATAAGATAATTTTGCACACGTTGACACTCAGTATTCAAATATATGTTAACTTGTTTAATTATGCTTTTACTTTCTTCCAAAGTGTTTCTGTGATAACGTGTGTTTAATTTCACTTCTTTATTTGGATAAAAGAACTATATACAAGTTGATTCTGTTTCATTCATTTTTTTAATCATAAACTACATTAACAGAAACAGTAAAGTGAACAAAAGCAATGGGGTTTATTTTTGTTTTGCTTTATTTGTAGGGTTTGTTTTTGCGGTTTTTTTTTTTGTTCTTACATCTTGATAAGAGTATCTTTTCATTAGTAAATATATTGTTTATGTTTTAAACATTTGCCAAATTAAGATACTTAGAAAATATCTTTTCATCTGTAATTTCTATGACCTAATTTCCTTAGAAAAGATTGAGCTGTTTAGAGGAAAGTGCTTTATAAGTTCAGCAGAAGTATAGATAAAAACAGAGTCAACAATTAACAAATTATTAAGTGTTTACAGTCATTGGACTTTGAGTTAGTCAATATTGTACTTGCAATAAGTTCATATAGATTGTTTTTTAAGGGTAAACACATATCTAAAAAGAAAAAAAAATCCCTTTTGAAAATAAGGGAAGAGATTTCTCCTACTCTTTTTTGTGGAGCATTTACTTTTAGAAACTTCTAACTGTAAGTTTTTTTTCTGTCTTTTTGGAATGTATGCAAATCATTTTAAAAGCTAAATTACAACCATTGTGGAAGTCAGTGTGGTGATTCCTCAGGGATCTAGAACTAGAAATAACTTTGACCCAGCAATCCCATTACTGGATATATACCCAAAGGATTATAAATCGTGCTGCTGTAAAGACACATGCACACATATGTTTATTGCAGCACTATTCACAATAGCAAAGACTTGGAACCAAGCCAAATGCCCAACAATGATAGACTGGATTAAGAAAATGTGGCACATATACACCATGGAATACTATGCAGCCATAAAAAAGGATGAGTTCATGTCCTTTGTAGGGACATGGTTGAAGCTGGAAACCATCATTCTCAGCAAACTATCGCAAGGACGAAAAACCAAACACTGCATGTTCTCACTCATAGGTGGGAATTGAACAATGAGAACACATGGACACAGGAAGGGGAACATCACACACTGGGGCCTGTTGTGGGGTAGGGGGAGGTGGGAGGGATAGCATTAGGAGATATACCTAATGTTAAATGACGAGTTAATGGGTATAGCACACCAACATGGCACATGTATGCATATGTAACTAACGTGCACGTTGTGCACATGTACCCTAAAACTGAAAGTATAATAATAAAAAAAAAGCTACATTACACCTCTTACGAGGTTTATGATCCAGGAATAATGTTCTGTTCTTAAGGACCTCTCTTTGAAATGCAATCATCAGGAAAGATAGTGTCCCTATTTCAGTTTCTGTGGGAAAGTAAGCACCTGACTTTTAAGGGCACATTGGTATGAGTTGTGAGACCATTCCCTGTCATGAAGACAGGAATAGTTTATTTTTCCTTTCGATAAAGCTAATTGGCCAATCCAGAGAATCCCTCCAATTGCCAAGTAAATTTAGGATGAATTTATGTGACAAATGGTTCTGTCAAATTATCTTACTTGAGGACTAGCTATTGTTTATCATGAGAACATGTATGTAATTGGTTACATTTGCTCAGCTGTATAAACGTGTAAGGTTTTTCTATTTTTGTAATATCTTGAGTGGATTGCCTTGATGTGCATGACATTCTGGTTTAATGTTTACTCTCTAAGAAACCTTATTTTGGTAATATCTTTGTGGAGAAGTTTTCTAGGTTAGGAAGAGATTTTGATTTTAATTATATATCTGCAAGAGTGCTCACCTACATGTTGCAAGGAGCTTTAGATTCTAACTTGTAAGCTGTAACACTTTATATTCACTGATTTAAAATTTTATTATTATTTTATTTTCCTCTAGACATTGGAAAATGTATAATAGCCATGAATAATTTAATAAAATTGTAATTTCTTTTTACTTTTTTGAAGTTAACTAGAAAATAACATGTATTAATTGCAGAAAATTAAATTTCTGTCATTCTGTAAAAAATGTATACTTATGTATATACTTTACAATTAGATTGTCAATCCTCATGTTGATACAATATTTAAGACTGATGTGTCTAAAATGAATTCACAATATAAAATATTTAAAATAATTTATATTATGTTACAATCATGTGACAAAATCTCAAAGACAATAATTTGATTTATCAGTTTTATTATTCTAAGATTCATTTTCACTTTACAAATAGAGTCTTAATTATATAAATATATATACTTTTACATTCATCTTTGACTGAAAACCTCTGCATGTCCACCTAACATTGATCAGATGCAAATTATAGATATTTGTCAGGCAATATTGAATGAAGAAAAAAATAAAGAACAAAGCCTGGGATTACCCAGGCAATATTGAATCTGCCAACTTGCACTTTAAAAAACATCTAAACATAAATATTGTTTGACTTTTGAGTATAATGTGCTTCATTCTGTTGAAAAGTATATAACTTTAATATCTTGCCATAGTTTAATTGTTTTAACTTCCTTTAATTTAGATTCTTCGTTTATCCTTAATGGGAATATCTTAATATCTCTGACCATATGGGTGTAGATTTTACATTGATAGTCTTTATATTACAACTTTATATTTACTGATATTTTTAAAAAATCATTTGAATTATGCCAGAGGAGTATAACTTTAGTGGAAAAAAGAAAGTGGCAAAAATTAAATTTATGCTTACTGTTTTAATGAGAATTTGTGTTATCGCCCATTTCTCTTCCTCTCTCTTTTATCTGTCTCTCTTACTTTCAGATGTTCAGCAAGTAAGGCTTTACATTTTTATGAAAAACAGTGGCGTAGTATAAGTATTTAATTCCAGTTGATTCTCTAGATTATTGTCATATATTGACTTAAAAAGAATCTTAAATAAACACCCTGAGAAATGGCTTTGTCCCAAAGCAACATTTAATAAAGGATAAAAACAAAAAGCTGGTTTCAAACCAGTCCAACTTGGATATTCAAATTGATACTCAACTTATATCAACTTGTCAATTATTAGTCTCTTTTATCATTAAGAAAGAAAATATAATTTGAATTGATTTTGTCTCTTTTCTGGCTCTGGTATTTAAATGTGGCGTTAGGTTTTTCCTCTAAGATATTTTGTCTCTTTCTAGCAGTATATTTTGCTGTACACACAAAGTCAAGAGATGTTAAACGGGGTATTTAAAAAAAACTTTTTTTTTAGGTTCAGGGGCACACATGCAGTTTTGCTATATAGGTAAATTGCATGTTGTGCGTGTTCAATGTGCAAATTGTTTCATCTTCCAGGTAATAAACCTAGTACCTGATGTGCTATTCATAAGAAGGCGTTTTTAAAAGCAACTTAAATATATTATTTGTCTCTAAAACTTTTTTCCCATTTGTGATATGTGCAACTTAACCTTGTTTTCTTCTTCATAATGAATAATTACTCATAAATAACAAAAAACAAAACATAGAGATATCAATTAAAGAGGAAAATGCACCCTTTGAAAAATTCTGAATTTGTAAACGAGTTCATGTTTTAAAATGTTCCTGATAAATTTCCATGAAGAAAATCATTTATATGATTTCCTGATTAATTTATAAAGAGAATTAAGTGCCCATGTCCAAGTTACAGACTCTATTTGAATCTTCCCCAAATTTTACATTCTATGTTGTATGTTAAATAAAATGGTTTTCTGAACAAAACTCTTACTTGGAATTCTTGGCTTTATGTTAACTGTATCATCAGTAGTGTTAGTTCCTTTTGTTCTAGTGTCATTTTTCAAAGAGAAACATATTGTATAGCTTTCTGAAGATTATTCTCTGCATGGCAAACCATAGAAACAAACAACAATTCAATGTTCTGTGGCCTTTTCCCCTACTGGTCAGGGTTTGGAGTCACTGCTTGGGGCCACTGGCACTGTCAACATTTTGATACAACCACACCTATTTGCCATTGCATTTGTTTTCTGTAACTACTTTTAAAAAACCTTTAAATTCCACACTTAAAATTTTATCCCTACTGCTTTGGAAAGTTTATTCCTAAATTAAACTTAGAGAGACAAAGTTTCCTCTTCAGGTTTTGACTGAAACATTAACAGTAATATTTATATACCTATCCTGGAACCTTTGAATTCTATCTTTAAGAATACATTAAATGTTTGCAATATTTTATGTAACATTATTAATATATGTGTATGCCTGTGTACAGACAGATAGACCAAGTTTTACAATATGACATGTTAAACTATGTTACTTAAAGAGAAAATGAATAAGTGCAGCTGGTGTTTGCATTGTTTTAATAAAAACGTATTCTTTTCAATGTTAGTAATGTTGAAAGGAATATTATTGGTACACAATTTAATTAACATAATGATGACACCTAAAACACTGTAGTGATTATGGTCAACTGGTTGTCTTATGATGTGTTTGTGTTTTGGGGGATAGACATCAAGCTGAAATCACTGATAAAAAAATCATAAATTTTAAACTCTACATTACCAATGCCCATCGATTTTCACAAGACATAATATGCTTTCAAGCATGATGTTTCCTTTACTCTAAGTATATCTTAACAAAAGCCACATGTATATTTTAAAAGCAATAGGGTTGAAAGATATCACAACGTTCTGAGTTTACTTCCTTAGCCCTTGGCCAATATCAGTTTGAGTAGTAAGTATCCCAATTTTATCTTCTGTTCTTCTGCAGTTATCTTGGTCAGTATCACATCTTGGTCCACATGATTTCTCATCTATGTATTTGTTAGTCCTGAGAAATTTGCAACACATTTGCTTCTTTCACAATTTGCTTTAAAAGCGTATGATTATTCTGTGGGTCTTCAAATATAGCACTAGCTTCTCTTTCTTAATAGGTATAAATATGTTTGGTGTCCAACTGAGTTCTTTTACATTCATTCAAATTTGATAAAGGAATTAATCAATTACTAACAGAACAATATCTAAGCCAGGTGCACTGTTAATGAAAAACTTTTTTTTTTCACTCTTTGATTACTTCTCTTGCTATTGTCAAATTTAACATTTCCCCAAAAGTTTACAGTTGAAATGGTGGTACTAAAAATTCATTTCTATCCATCTAAGTGATATTTTCTACTTTTAAAATACCATGAGCAACCACTTGTGTTTCAGATGTGTTTGATACATTTTATGTAATTGATTTTAGTCAGAAACACCCATTTTGTTCTCTTAAATGAAACATTATTATAAAAATACCTGTAAAGTTAAATAGTACATTAGTAGAGGGTAAATAATCAGTGGTTTGGGACATTAATTTATAGTAATCTATAAGATTTTAATGCAGGATTTTTTTTGGTCACTTTGCCAGCATGGACTTCTGTGGCCAGTGACGCCCCTCTGGGGCCTCTTTCAGCTCCAGGCCTGCCACAGGGGACACCCTGCCCACTCAGCCTGCCGGGCCATGCCTGGTTTGTGCACTGGCTCAGCCCACGCCTGGGCCGGGCATGCCCCAGTCCATCTGTATTACAGCTTGAACCTGCATCCGGCATTTCCCAAGTTCTTGTCCTGCAGGCGAGAAGAATGAGGTTATGCTGACAATCAAAGGGTGAAGAGGGCAGATAATAGTTTCATTGAGTGACAAAACAGATCTCAGTGGAGAGAGGACCACTGAACTTGGGTGGTCTCTCCCTCAGTGTGGCTGGGTCCAGGACTTTTATGGGCTCAAAATGGGGAGTGCTTGCTGATTGCTTTATGAGTATGTGAAAAAGTTTAAAAGAAAGACACAACTCAAAGGTGGCCATGAAAGTGTAAAAAAACAATTAGGAAAGGGGAGGTATATAAAAAATAGGTGAAGGGTGAGGATTAATCAGAAGAAACCATGCCAGATGGGAAGAGAGGCTTTCAGTCTGGTCCGTGGATTTATGCAGGACTTGTAGCTAGACTTTAAACTGTCTTTGAAGGTCAATTTCACTGGGGACCCTCCCCTATCTGCCTAGGGCTTTGACTGCCTCCTGCTGCTATCATTCCTTCCTCTGAAAAGGTAAATTTAACTTCCATTAGGATAAGTATGCTGACCACTTTTAACTATGTCATGATGACAGGGAGTGCTGTTTTTGGAAAACAGCAGTCAGATCTCTCTTAGAGACCTATCTATGGGTCTCTGGCAAAAGGGAGCCATCATCCGAAGCTCTGGTTGCATGACTGTTTAGAGTTTGATGGCCTGAAGGTGAGAAGAGACAAGCCAGGTTATTAGAAGACATTTATTAAAACAAAACAGGAGGGTAAGGATGGCTCAAAAATCATGAGGCTGCTGACATGACCAGATAACTGGTAGCTATAGTTATGCCTGCTAAGATTTTGGTGCATTGAGCTTGGCTTTGGTTAGCTCCCTTGGTCTTAATTTCCCAAGAAAAGAAACCTCCATGTTATGGACACCCTATCTACCCCTATCACCTGTCAGAATTTGCAGGATAATTGCCCAGAACTAGAATATTCATCCATATTTTTACATTAGCAATTCCTTTTGTTTCTTCTGAGCTGCAGCCAGAGATCACTGGTTGGTTCAGAGGAATAAGCAAGATTAGAATAAAATGCAGACAAAAGCTGAAAACAACTAATGAGGCTAGAATTTAATGGCAAGTGTATGGTAAGTTTTCAAACATGAGTTCTCTTTCTCCAGTCCTCATTTTTATTAAAAACAAATCATGATAGGACTGATTTGTTTGCAAAAGTATAAGACTTTGCAAAACTAAAGTCTTATACTTGGCCAGATTATTTGCATAAAGTGCAACAACAATAATTATTTTCATGTAGCCTTTTAAATTTGGCTCTGATGTAACTCTGTTCCATAAGGAATCTCAGATAACACTTTTTAAAGCCAAGCCCAGCCATGGGTTTGTACCCCCAAAGACCTATAAGTTGGGTAGATTCCTCTCTTCTTGAGGTCCCAGACAACTTAGGGCTCCTGGGCCTGTCAGAAAATGAAATTCTTTACTTACCACAGATGAGGAACCCTGTGCATGGGCTGTGTAGATAAGCTATGAGGCCAGTATTCCCAAGGGACTTTTATTGCCTCTACAAGTCAAATTTGATTCCTTAAAGGAAAGCACACCTTTCCAGTAAAAGCCTTGGTAAAACAACCAGTTTCTCCAATTACATTCTGTTGCAAAAGAAAATGGATTCTTATTCTTATTGCACGTATGCAAATAACTATATTGCCATAAGTTAAGAATACTCACGAATAATTTCCCAATTCTGGAGAAACTAGGAAGAGAGAAACAAATATGATCCAAATTTTGTTCACAGGAGTATACCTTATTCAATTGTTCAAAACTGTAAAGAGCTCAAAACAAAAATTTTTCTGACTTTGAAAAATAAAGGACCAGCAACATTTTAAGCAAAACAGTTAAAAAAAAGACCGCTTCAATTTTCTATTAGTTCCATCCATTCAGTTAACTCTTGTTCTGCTTGATATTTATGAACATTTCAGCTCCTCATGAGTCCTGAAATTTCCTCTATTCCCATATCACAGTCTCAAAGGTTATCAGAAACCTGAATTTGAGAGCATCTGTCAAGATCCTATAGCTGATTATAAACTATTTTTGAAGAGGATTAAAACAAGACAACAATTGTCTGTGATTGACAAAATGTCTAGGGTAGTTATAGTAAAAAACATGATTCACAAAGAAATTTGGTTATTTCTGTGGTTTACAAAAACTTAACATAATAACCCTAATTATGATTGATAGTATATACTCAGACATTAGAATTTTATAAGTCCCATACAATTTTAGAATATATATTCACTAAAATATAACCTGAAGAAGATTAAACCTTATTTTTGTTTTGACAATCCCATGTAACTAAATATGTCAAATAATCATGTTTATCTCTCTTTTGGATACTCCATGGGCCCTCTGTAACATCCAAAAGATGGGGGTTAGAAAAGACTAGTTTGAAGCAGAAATTTGATTTTGGGAAGCCTATCAAACTTGTTAAAGGTTTAAAACAATTGATATTGTGAAGTAGAATTCCAGATTACCATAAATCATGGATTTATCCAAAATGATGACTCAGAATTTTTTAAACAGGCAAAAACCTTTACTCATTAAGAGGGAAGACAGCTTTCCAAATAATCTGTCTCTTGTCTTTCCCTTCTTTTTCAGTAGTTTATTCTCAAAGCTAACAAAAATCTTTCATGATCCTTTAGTGTTACATGAAAATCTTTTTCAAGAGAATGCCAAATTTCACCCTTGCATTTGTCTACTATTAAGGTTAATCCCAATTTTTTAATGAAACATTACAGATAAATTTATCCCATCTTAACCAGTTTGACCATGAGGTGAGATTCTTACAAACTTTCTATAACCTTTCACAAATTTTTGTTAAAGATCAGTGCCTTCAGAAAACCTTGTGTGCTTTCATTCCAATGTTCTATTTACAGAATAACCAAATAATACCCTTGAGAGTTTAGTCACTATGTTCACACATAGGATTTCTGTTAAAAGGTTAATTTATACAAACCCTCCACAACTAGTTTAAATGTTTACCTTTATTGTATCTAATTTAAAATAATCTTTTAACTCTCTAGGCAAAAATTTACATTTCCATGCCTTCTTATAATCTTTTACTAAAAATACATTTTACTTTCCTAACACACCTTGCATGTAAATCTATTTTCAGTGGTCTCAATTACATGTTATAATGGTAATTCTTAGCAGTTCTTAATTTTGATGTAAAACCTGGTAAGTTATTTTAATTATGTACTAGGTGCAGATAAGGTCTGACTCTTTCAAGCATAGTTAGGTGCATGGTTAACTCCACATGTCCCCAGGCCTTACCAAACTCAAAAGCAGGCAAGCCAAACAATTTTCAAAGACCAAAGAATCAGTTTATGACCTTAAAGAATTTAGCAAATGTAATATCTGAACTGCATGACTTAAACTATATGTTTACATTCTGAAGACACTTTTACTTTACCAATAAAATTTAAAACTGTCTTCTATTTCTTAAAGTCATGTGAACTAAAAAGCATTACAGCTTTTATTCTTCCTTCAAAAATATTTGGTCTAAGCACTTATTTTTCCTGAAGCCAATTAATTAGAGCTCTTTTTATGTAAACATCAAAAACATGATACATATATATGTGTATATATGTATACATACACACACACACACAGACAGACAGAAGATCCAGTCATAAGATTTTTCTTTTCTTTTCTTTTCTCTTCTCTTCTCTTCTCTTCTTTTCCAGCCTCCCGAGTAGGTGGGATTATAGTGTAAGATTTTATTTCCAATCTCCTAATGAATTATTGGCCCCAGGGTGGAGCCCTTCAAGAAACAGGGCTAGGAAAACCTGCAGTTTCTACAGCTTAGTAAGCAGGCAGAGTTGGAAGACAAAAACAGATTTTGAGAAGGATATAGCTGTTTTTAATTCTTGGGGTTCCAGGAGGAAAACAGGGTTGTTTTTTTTTTCCAAAACGGGGTCAGTGGCACCTTCTCTGTTTTTCCCAAGGAGTACCAGGCTATCAGAAGTTATCTTAGGGCCTCTCTTATGCGCATTAAGCATGGTAAGACAAATGGAGAAAAATAATTCAATTGACTGAGAAGAAGAAAACCTTTTTCCAGAAAAACAAGATCCATGAAGAGAAGACATATAAATACTTTTAAATATACCTATATCTTGGATATCTAATTTTAATTAAGTTGAGTGCTCCTTTTTTTTTTTAAGTCCTATTAAATCTCTTATTACCCAACTTTAACAAGCCAAATGGCCAATACTTCTGGCTTTTGAACCTATGGAGGGGGAAAGAATATAATGATTTTTGTCATTCCTACAACCAATTTGTGCAGAGACAGAGAAGCCAGAAGTCTGACTAGTAGAAACTTTTGCCCTTTTGCCAGCATGTCAGGCTCCTGGGTTCCCTTCCCCCAAGCTATGGAGCCCTATCAACCCCAGAGTACTGTGAAGGGGGAGCAGACCCTTTCTCTTCTCTTTCTCTTCTCTTCTCTTCTCTTCTTTTCGAAGTGGAGTCTCACTCTGTCACCCAATCTGGAGTGCAGTGGCACAATCTCAGATCACTGCAACCTCCGCCACCCAGGTTCAAGCAATTCTCCTGCCTCAGCCTCCCGAGTAGGTGGGATTATAGTGTAAGATTTTATTTCCAATCTCCTAATGAATTACAGTATGCAGAGCTTATCTGCATACTGTAAAAGTTGTCCCACCTCAAGAGATTTGCTCAGTTAAATTTGTAATTTCTTCCCAGTTCAATTTTAAGCCAAGCACTTTAAGGTTTGGGGAAATTAAACTTTCCCCAATTTGGGGGATGCATCCATAGGAAGTGTCCTGTGGTATGGGAATGCAATTACCCATCTTCAAAGAGAGAATAGAGGAGGAAAAAGGAAAAAGAAGGCTTTTTTTTTTTCAAAGGAGCCTCAGTTATTCAGGATGTACTCGAGAGAAGTACAAACTGAACCTGGTTGGTTACCCATCAGGTAAGAGCGGGGAAAGGCACTTTTGTTCCTTTATCTTTCCAGCAAAAGCCCAGGATAGGTGAGGGAGAGAAAAAAAAGGGCATTGTCTATTTTTCTTCCATCCTTATATACTCAAGTCCCAGAGACCTTGGCAGGTGCCACCATGGATGCCAGCGCAAACTTCACCCATGTAGCAGGGAAATCTAATGGGTAGGAATTATTCACACTCCCCAATATGTTGCCTATCCTTCCACTGTCTTTGGGTTCCCTAGACCTCATCTGTGCCACGGACGTGAGCATGACCTCTATCCATAAAACAGTGGGGGGCAGGGAGGCCAATTGGCAGGAATTAGTCATGTTTACCTGCACTGCACCCTTGAGTTTTGTTGTCATCTGCCTCTATGGATCCCTCAGATCCAGTTTTACTTTCTAGGGCTTCAACCCAAAACTTGGAATTAAGTTTTGGACAAAAAGGTTCCTCAGGAGGGTACAGGGATTCATTAAATTAAGTCACAGGTGGCCCTTGCCAAACTCTAGTCAGTGACTGGTGGGGCGACTCTTCCATTGCTTTGTTATAAACAGAATGCTAAGGTGAAGTTGTGGAATTGGGTCCTCCTTAAACAAGGGATAGAAAAGGGAGTCCTGGGAATTGGCAGCTTAACCTAGTAAGATGCCTCCTAAAAGGAAAAAGTAACCTCTTGCATAGAAAAGTTCCCCATATTTGCAGGGCTATGTTAACTCCTGACATGATGGAGAAAAAGAAAAACAAAAAGCATAAGTGCAAGGGAGGGGAAGGCACCTGAGGAAAAAACTTCTTGCTCTATGCAAATGTGTTTCTTCTAGAGGGGGAAAAAAACATAATTGCTGCATCCTTCTTCCAAGAATAAATGGAAACCACATTGTTCTGAATTGCATTTTTGATGACTCGGCCAAGTGCCCATTCTACCCAGTAACATTGTCACTGAAGTTTGCAACAACACCTTTAACATTATAAAAGAAGATAAATGAGACATGACATCCTTAAAAGGAAGAAGGAAGATGCCATAGAAAAAATCTAGAATGGAACAGAGCCAACATTCCAATCCCCCAGGGTGACAGGAGGTGGGTGACAATGTCCCCTGCAGCCACATTATTCATTTCTTAATTGGCTGACAGAGACATGGTGCTTTATCTGTCTGCAGAAAAATTCTGAGGACAAGAAGCCTCAGAAAAAGTGAAAAGTCATAGGTCCACATTGACTCACCCTTCCAACAATTCCAGACAAGCACCTCCAAAATAACACAGTATTTTTCTTGGTCACTTTGCCAGCCGGGGACTTGGGGCTGGTGACACTCCTGCCCTGGCCTTGCTTGGTCCCAGCTCTGCCACAGGAGGGACCCTGCCCACTTGGCCCACCAGGACAGACCTGGCTTGTGCACCAGCTCAGACCACAGCTGGGCTGGGCATGTCCCAGTCCACCTGTGTTACAGCTCTTAGCTGCATTTGGCAATTCCCGAGTTCTTGTCCTACATCCAAGAAGAATGAGGTTATCCTGAAACTCGAAGGGTGAAGAGGGCAGAAAATTGTTTTATTGAGTGACAAAACATCTCTCAGTGGAGGGCGGATGTGAAGGTGGTACACCACCCAAAGTTGGGTAGTCTCTCCCTCAGTGTGGCTAGGTCTGGGGCTTTTATGGGCTCAGAATGAGGAGTCATGCTGATTGGTTTGTAGGTATGCAAAAAAGATTAAAACAAAGTCACCACTCAAAGGTGCGCATGACAAAAAATCAATTAGGGAAGGGTAGGTATATGTAAAATAGGTGAAGGGTGAAGATCAATCAGAGGAAACACGCCCAACAGGAAGAGAGGTTCTCAGTGTGGTCTGTGGATTTACCTGAGACTTTGTAGCTAGGCTTTAAACTGTCTTAGGCTTGAAAGTGAACCTGCCTCTATCTGCCTAGGAATTTGACTGCCTCATGCCACTATCAATTTCATGGGCTTTGTGTGGCCTGATATTGAGTGGTGGTTTCAAGCACTGAAACTGTAATTTAAGATCTTAAATATTTATTAATATTCCATCAAGAAAGTTTGTTATGGTAGGTAATGAAATACAGTTCATTAGAAGGCAATATGAGTTATGTACTTATTATTGTACATGGCCATAGAAGAAAATTCTGAACAAACAAAATCATGGCCAAAGTATTTTATGTCACATTACTGTGAGAATTTACCCCTTATCTAATATTTTGACTAAGGCAACTAGTTCAGATGTAATAAAGAAGACCAGAAGTGGAAAGAATGAAATGGAAAGAAGAGAAATATTTTTTAATTTGTATTTTTAACAATAATTCCATGAAAAGAGGTTACTATGAAACTTGAATAATCTAAAACAATAAATTTTTACAAAACACTTTTGCATAGTTGTCTTTTTGGTAGTAATCTGTGGGCCATTTCTAGGGATAGTGTGGTTATATAATAAATCAATATATATAAATTATTTAGTAATGAAACAAATTATTAAATATTAAAAATAACAACTATGAAATTGTTAAAAATGTCAAAATTCAACCACTCAGAAATAAATGTAAAGACCTTATAAAAACATACTATTCTCATTTGAAAATACTATAGTATTATTTTTATTCTCTATGTCTAATTTCAATTAATTTCAAATCAAAATTTGTTTTCTTAGATGCAATCACTAAGGGAAATTTTAACTGTCAAATACTTTATTTAAAGAAAGTCAGTTTAAAAGATAAGGATAGTTCTTGAGTATACTATTATTCCATAGAATTTGAAATTAGAATTTTTAGGGAGTATAATAATAGACGTGTGTCCACTGCTGTTTTGAGGTTACTTTAACATTATAATACAATATTATAGTCAACATAGCAAATGGATTATGGTGCTTTCCTTGATCTAGATATTATATGTTGAACATTCATAGTAACCATTTATCTTCATTTGAGAATATAAATGCTGGGTGTTAGAAGCATTCTATTTATAGTTTTAGTACAAGGTTGAATGAACTTATCACACTTCATTGGTTGCACATTTTATACTTAGAAAAAGTGTTGAGTCTTTTTTATTGATTCACAGGCTAAGCAATTTCATTTTTTGTTTTCATACTTTGACCTATGACCCTAGGTTCCATTAGGGCACTACAATAGCAAGGTGTAGACACATCAACAACAAAGAAATAGAACTAAAATGACAGTGTCTCCAGCTAGGGATGCATTGACAGACCTGAGAATTCAAACGTAGAAAAGGCAATTTTTTTTCATGCTGGGAAGTGGAGTTCTCAAGAGACCCATCTTAGACCGAAGAACACGTTATGAAAATCAATAAAGGCCCTATTGTGCTACTGAAGTGTCCAGGAAGTGTCATTTTATATCTTGCTAGCAGATATCTAAAGGAAGTTAAAGCTACTTTGCTCATAGTAATTGGATGACTCCTCTTTCATCAGTGGTCTATTTTGCCATTCAATGTAAAAGCAAAATATACCGTGGGGTACTGTTTGAAATGGGATATTATGAAAGTGAATTATGAAAACTGTTAGTTTTTTCACATATATAAGAATGGTATCACTGATGTTTTCTACTCTCAAAATTTCTTTAATTACATGTGAATTTAAAGAGCTAACTGTAAATACTAGGCAAACTGACAGAAATTGTGGTTGGGGAAACATCATGTTGGTTAACCAAGGAAAAAAACTTAAAAGGCATCATTGTAAACATCAAGATGATTTGCAGAAGTTGAATTATTGATTTGAAAGTTTTAATTTTGTAAATACGTATTGCATTAAGCTGGAAAAGTTATATGTTCGGAGTTATTTAGTTTGGTGCAAAAGTAATTGTGGCTTTTGCCTTCAAAAGTAATGGCAAAACCACAATTACTTTTCACCAACCTGAATTTCTAGAATCTTTATTGCTTTATACTACTGAATATCTTGTTTTCTAAGATCACTATAATAGAAATTTTGAGAATTCTGTGGTAACTATGTGTGGTTTACCGAAAATCACTTGCCAATTTTTTCTTAGCATTTTACACCAAGCATATTTCTCCTATAAAAATTCTAATAGTGTCTTATTGCTACTACATGTTTGAAAGAGAATAAGGGGAAATAGTTATCAAAACTTGAGGTTTCTATTTTAGATTCTACACTTTATTCTCCTTTTACTTCTATTTTATTGCACAGATAATTTGAAATGCCCTAAATCTTTACATTGACATAGTTAACCTGAAAATTTTAAAACTTCTGAATATGTTTACTTAATTAAAATGAGTTTTATTATTTATCAGTTAGTGCAAAACTCTAGAGGTCAGAATTAATTTATTCAATAAGCAATTTTTGAGAGATGACTATATAAAAAAAACTGTGTACTACACTGTCCCCATTAAAACAAGTGTATAACCTCAAAGGTGAAAATGGTTAGACAAAATTAGAAGTGAAAAGATAAGGAGACAAAGATGCTTTAACTGGGAAGGGAAGAAATTAGGATTATGTTAATTACACAGGCTGCTATAAATTGTCTCAGTGTATATTGCAAAGCAAATACATTTTTGTCATTTTGAAAACCTAAAATCTATCTCAAGGGTATAAAATTTTTACTTTTAAATCGTGTCTAATGTATATATATTATATATAATGTCAGATTTGAATAACCTTTTTTCATAATACCATTTTTATAAATTAATCTTCAAAAGATGGCATACTATTCTTAGTTAAGATGTGTCAATAAAACAAGACTGTATTTTAAAATAGCACACAGGACTGAGGGAGCAGTGGACAAACAGCCAGGAAATTTAGGTAAGAGTCAGAAGGCTAAATCAACCAAATGACAAATGCAGTGAAAGTTGATTTTATATTAACATATAAATGGTGACACAGTGATTGTCTCATTGGAGAAATTGTTTCATAATTAACAGCTATTGAACATCTTTTAGGGTTCTAATGAAAGGGCTGCTATGAAATTTTAAAACTAGTGACTTAACAAAATTACATTACTTGGCAGACTTCTACTGAGGTAAAAATTAACCATGTTATTTTACCAGTGGTACTACTTAGCAATGGCTGGACAGCAAGGAGGCAAGGGGATTGTTTTACCAGTAGAGTCTTTTAAGGATCTAAATTTCATTTACAGAGCTGGCAAAAAATGATAAGACCATCCCTCCTTTTCCATCAATCAGTGGTGCTGGCAGAGAAAAAGATTTGCTCCAGTTGTCATTTTGGGGAAGTCTGCCCTGCATATTTTTGTAAGTCTAATTTCTATGGATCTTCTCATACCTATAACACACACAGACACACACACATATATATATGTGTATGTATATATATGTGTGTGTATATATATGTGTGTGTGTGTGTGTATATATATGTGTGTGTGTGTATATGTGTGTGTGTATATATATATATATATATACATACACACACATATATACACACACACACATATATAATTTTTTTTTTGAGATGGAGTCTTGCTGTGTCACCCAGGCTGGAGTGCAGTGACAACATCTCACCTCACTGCAACCTTCACCTCCTGGGTTCAAGCTATTCTCCTGCCTCAGCCTTGATTAGCTGGGAATACAGGCATGGACCACCACGTCTAGCTAACTTTTTGTATTTTTAGTAGAAATGGGGTTTCACCATGTTGACCAGGCTGGTCTCTAACTCCTGACCTCAAGTGATCCACCTGCCTCAGCCTCCCCAAATGCTGGGATTCCAGGCCCCTATAATATATTTTATTAATTAGTCATTTCAAACTGAGATTTATAAAAGTAAAATGTTTTTTGAGAAGATCTAAAATCAAGTTCCAAAATTAAAATGTATTTTATCAATTCTGAGATGCACATTTTCTCATGTTATTATCTGTGAAACTGGAATCCATTTTACAATTAATGGCAACTCAGCACTGTGTAAAAGTTAAGCTAGAAATTTATTTATTTTTCCTATGTAGTGACACAAATCATGACACAAAATTTACAACCTCTTAGAGTTGATATGTGGAATCTAATTAAATACATGGCAATTTAAAACAATGAATAGCCATATTTACACTGTGATTAACAGTAGCTATAATATCTGAAAACAATAGGGAACAGAGTTTAAATTCATCTGTATAGGTTCCATCAAAAATTTTCTCATTTTTTTCTCTTGCTAGTCCTAAACATTCAGTTTCGTTTCCTAAAGTTATATACATGAAAAAAGATGTTTTTTTTTTCCTATATTGAAACTCCTCTCACCTCTTTATCCTCCATAGAAATTATATAAAATATAGCTATATTTCTAAAATAATTCAATTATGCTATACTCTTTATTTAAATTTCTCAGTCCCTCTGTAGCATTTTCAGGATACATTTCCAATCCCAGCATGACATACAGAATCCATTATGATCAGAATCCTATTCCCCTTTGTTTTTCATTGCTCTCCACTTTTGATATCCACCCCTGTCTATTTTTACCAAACTATCTAGATTCCCCAACTATGAATCTTCCTTACAATTCCACATGTTGTATTCTCTATGAGTACTTTGTCTTGTACACTTATTGAACATAATGTAAAATCAATAGATTTTCCTAAAGAAATGAGTAAACTGAATGGACAATTATGGATTGGTCATTTATATGTATCAAAAATAGCAATGTAATTACTTATAAAATTTCTAAAAAGGTCAATTTCACTCACATATATATATATATATATATATATATATTTTTTTTTTTTTTTTTTTTTTTTTTTTTTTTCTTTTTCTTTTTGAGACAGGTTCTTCCTCTGTTGCCCAGGCTGGAGTGCAGTGTGTAATCATGGCTCACTGCAGCCTTGATATCATGGCTCATTGCAGCCTTGACCTACTGGGCTAAGCAATCTTCCCACCTCAGCCTCCTGAGTAGGTGGGCAGCAACACATGCCACCATGTGTTTTTAATTTTTGTAGGGATGGGTCTCACTATATTTTCCAGGTTTGTCTCAAACTCTTGGGCTCAAGTGATCCTCCTGCCTCCGCCTCCCAAAGTGCTAGGATGACAGGCATGAACCACTGTGCCCAGCCATGTAGATATTTTTTACAATCACATTTCTGCTGTTTATTCCTTTTACTAATTAGCCTATATGCACATGAATGTTAATACAAAAAAAGAACTTGGGATGTTTTATTGTCAGCCCCCCAAATGTGTTTTAATTCAGACCTTTATAAAAATTACCCCATGCTCTAGTACCTGTTCATATCTGTTTCATGCACTACGAAGATGATAGTGCTGTTTTATTGGAAAACAAGATTATCTCATGAAACGGGTTCTACTCATTAAAAGACAATTTTCTCAATTATTTTCAAGTTTTTTCTTAGGTCCCACTGTCAAGATTGTTCACTCACTTTAGTACCTGGGATAAAAATATTTAGTGGGTCTAGGATTCTGTATTGATCTCACTCTATTTAATTATTTTTAAAATGAACTTTCTAAAATTTAACATGTATAATAATCGTCTGAGTAAATTTATATAAATGAAAACTCCTAGGATTCACCCTATGGTTCTGTTTCTTTAGATCAAGGAATGTATTCTTATAACATTAATTTTTAATAGACCTTATTTTTTAGAGCAGTTTTATCATACAGGGTGTAGGAATCATGCAGAATGTAGTCACAGCGAAAATGAGCAGGAGGTACAGAGATTTCTGTACACCCACTGCCCCCATAAGCACAACCTCTCCCATTATCAACATCTCCCACCAGACTGGTACATTTGTTACAATCAGGAACATACATTCACACCTCATTATCATCCAAAGTGCATGGTTTACATTAGGGTTCACTCTTGGTGTTGTACCTTTTATGGGTTTGGATAAATGTACAATGACATGTATCTGTAATTACACATTCATATAGAATATTTTCACTTTCCATACATTCTCTGTGCTCTGCCTATTAGTCATTCTCCCCACCCCCCAATACTAAAGTATACATCTAACAAAATATGATCATTCCATATCAACCACTGACTTTTTACTGCCCCCATAGCTTTGCCTTTTCCAAAATGCCATACAGTTGGGATCACACAGGATGCAGCCTATTCAGATTGGCTTCTCTCACTCACTAATATGCATTTAGGATTCCTCCATGTCTTTTCCTGGCTCTATAGCTCATTCTTTTCAGCACTAAATAAATTCCATTTTCTGGATGTACTGCTGTTGATTTTTTCTTTCACCTACCGAAGGGCATTTTGGTTGCTTCCAAGTTTGCAACTTATGAATAAAGCTGCTCTAAATATCTGTGTGCAGGTTTTGTGTGGATACGGGTTTTCAACACCTTTGGTTAAATACCCAGTAGTGTGATTTCTGAACCTTATAGTAAGAGGGTGTTTGTTTTTTAAGTAACTGCCACTCTTTCTTCCAAAACAGTTGTACTATTTCACATTGCCACTGCCAAGGAATGAGAGTTTCTATGGGTCCACATTCTGGGCAGTATTTGGTGTTGTGAGTGTTGAAATTTGGTCATTCTAATATGTGTGCAATGGTCACTGCTGTTTTCATTTGCATTTCACTTATGTCATATAATGTGGAGCATCTTTTCATACATTTTACTTGCCAGCTGAATGTCTTCTTTGGTGAGATATCTGTTAAGGTCTTTAGCTAACTTTTTTACTAGAGTTGTTTATGTTCCTGTTTTTGAGTTTTAAAAGATATTTGTATGTTTTGAATAACAGTCCTTTATTTGTTATGTCTTTTACAAATATTAATATTTTCATTCAGTCTGTGGCTTGTCCTTTCATTTACTTAACAGTGTCTTTCACAGAACAGAAATTTGTAATTTTAATGAAGTCCAGCTTATCAATTTTTTTCATTGATCATGACTTTGATGTTGTATCTGAAAAGCCGTCACCAAACCCCACATCACGTAGACTTTCTCCTATGTTATCTTTTAGCAGTATTATAATTCCATGTTTTATGTTTAGATCTGCAATCCATTTTGAGTTCATTTACAAATCCATTTGTGTGGGGTGTAAGGTTTGTGTCTAGAGTCATTTTTTAAATGTAGATTTCCACTTTTTCTCAACATTATTTATTAGAAAAAAACTCTCTTCTCCATTGCATTGTCTTTGCTCTTTTGTCAAACATCAGTTGACTATATTTATGTGGCTCAATTTCTGGGCCATCTATTCTGTTTCACCAATCTATTTGCTATTCTTTTGCCAACACCACACTCTTGTAATAGCTGTAGGTTTAGAATGTTTTGAAATCTGATAATGTTAGTTCTCAAACTTTGTTCTTGTCCTTTAATATTTTGTTAACTATATTCTGAGTCTTTTTCATCTCCATGTAAACTTTTTAAAAAACTTTTAAGTTCAGGGGTATATGTGCAGGGTGTGCAGGATTGTTACATAGGTAAATCTGTGTCATGGAGGTTGGTTGTACAGATTATTTTATCACCCATGTATAAGCCTAATATCCATTAGTTACTTTTTCTGCTTTTCTTCCTCCTCTTACCCTCCACCCTCTGATTGGCCCCAGTGTGTGTTGTTCCTCTCTATGTATCCATATGTTTTCATTATTTAGCTCCCACTTACGAATGAGAACACATGACATTTGGTTTTCTGTTCCTACATTAGTTTGCTACAGATAATGGTCTCCAGCTCCATCCGTGTCCCTCCAAAGGGCAAATCTCATTCTGTTTCATGGATGCATAGTCTTCCATGGTGTATATGTACCACATTTTCCTTATGCAGCCTATCATTGATGGGCATTTGGGTTGATTCCGCATCTTTGGTATTGTGAATAGTCCTGCAGTGAAGATATGTGTACATGTGTCTCTATAATAGAACCGTTCATATTTCTTTGGGTATATACCCAGTAATGGGATTGCTGGGTTGAATGGTGTTTTGCTTTTAGGTCTTTGAGGAATTGCCACACTGTCTTCCACTACAATTCAACAAATTTATACTCCCACCAACAAGGTAAGTGAAACTTTTGCTCCACAACCTTGCCAGCGTCTGTTATTTTTTTACTTTTAGCTATTCTGACTGGTGTGAGATGATATCTCATTATGGTTTTGATTTACATTACTCTGATGATTAGTGAGTTGAGATTTTTTTCATATGCTTGTGGGTCAGATGTATGTCTTTTTTGAGAAGTGTGTGTTCCTGTCCTTTGCTCACTTTTAAAGGGGTTGTTCATTTCTTTCTTGTAAATTTATTGTAAGATTTTTATAGATGCTGGATATTAGACCTTTATCAGATGCATAGTTTGCAGAAATTTTCTTCCATTCTGTAGGTTATCTGTTTATTCTGTTAATAGTTTCTTTTGCTGTGCAGAAGCTCTTTAGTGTAATTAGATCCCATTGTCAATTTTTGGTTTTGTTGCAATTGCTTTTGGCATCTTCGTCATGAAATATTTGCCTATGTCCTGAATGATATTGCCTAAGTATTCTTCTGGGAATTTTATAGTTCTGGCTTTTACACTTGAGTTTTTAATCCTTCTTGAGCTAATTTTTGTATATGTTATAAGGAAGGGGTCCTGTTTCAATTTTCTGCATATGGCTAGCCAGTTATCCCAGCACCATTTACTGAATAGTAGTCCTTTCTCCATTGCTTGTTTTTGTCAGGTTTATTGCAGATCAGAAAGTTTTCTGTGCGTAGTCTTATTTCTGGATTCTCTATTCTGTTTCATTAGCCTATGTTTCTGTTTTTGTACCAGTACCAAGCTGTTTTGGTTGCTGGTGGCCCTGTAGTATAATCTAAAGTCTGGCAGCATGATGTCTCCCCCTTTGTTCTTTTTGCTTAGGATTTCCTTGGCTATTTAGGCTCTTTTTTAATTCCATATGAATTTTAAAACAGATTTTTCAGGTTCTGTGAAGAATGTCAGTGGTAGTTTAATGGGAATAGCATTGAATCTGTAAATTGCTTTGGGCAATATAGCCATTTTAACAATATTGATTCTTCCTATCCATGACATGGAAAGTTTTTTCATTTGTTTGTGTCATCTGTGATTTTTTTGAGTAGTGGTTTGAGGTTCTTCTTATAGAGATCTTTTACTTCCTTTGTTAGCTGTATTCTTAAATGTTTTATTCCTTTTGTGGTAATTGTGAATGGGAGTTTGTGATTTGGCTGTCAGTGACTCTTATTGGTATATAAGAATGCTAGTGATTTTTGCACATTGATTTTGTATCCTGAGACTTTGCTTTAGTTATTTATCAGCTTAAGAAGCTTTTGGCCTGAGATGATGGGGTTTTCTAGATATAGGATTATGTCATCCTCAAACTGAGATAGTATGACTTCCTCTCTTTCTATTTGAATGCTCTTTATTTCTTTATCTTGCCTCATTGTTGTGGCCAGAACTTCCAATACCATGTTGAATAGGAGTGGCGAGAGAGGGCATCATTGTCTTGTGCTGGTTTTCAAGGGGAATGCTTCTAGCTTTTACCCATTCCATATGATGTTGGCTGTGGGTTTGTCATAAAGGTTGTTATTATTTTGAGGTATGTTCCTTAATATCTAGTATATTGAGAGTTTTTAACATGAAATGATGTTAAATTTTATCAAAAGCCTTTTCTGTATCTATTGAGTTAATCATGTCATTTTTGTCTTTAGTTCTGTTTATGTGATGAATCATATTTATTGATTTGCATATGTTAAACCAAATTTGCATCCCAGGAATAAAGCCCACTTGATTGTGGTGGATAGGCTTTTTGATGTGCTGCTGGATTCTGTTTCCCAGTATTTTGTAGAGGCTTTTTGCATCAATGTTCATCAAAAATATTGGCCCAAAGTTGTCTTTTTTTATTGTGTCCCTGCCAGGTCTTAGTATTGGGATGATGCTGGTCTCATAGAATGAGTTAGGGAGGATTCCCTTCTTTTCAATTTTTTGAAATTGTTTCAGTAGGAAAGTAACAGCTCTTCTTTGTACATCTGGTAGAATTCATCTGTGAATATGTCTGTCTTTGGCTTTTTTTAGTTGGTAGGCTATTTATTACTGCCTCAATTTCAGAGTTTGTTATTGGTCTGTTCAGGGACTCAGTTTCTGTTTGGTTCTGTCTTGGGAGGATGTATGTGTCCAGGAATTTTATCCATTTCTTCTAGATTTTTTAGCTTATGTGCATAGAGATGTTTATAATATTCTCTGTTGGATGTTTGTATTTCTGTGGGGTTGATGGTAATATCCCTCTTTCTAATTGTGTTTATTTGAATCTTCTCTCTTTTCTTTGTTACTCTAGCTAAGTGGTCTATTTTATTTATTTATTTATTTGAAAAAACCAGCTCCTGGATTCGTTGATCGTTTGAATGGCTTTTCATGTCTCTATCTCCTTCAGTTCAGCTCCAATTTTGGATATATTTTGTCTTCTTCTAGATTTGGGGTTTATTTGCTCTTGGTTCTCTAGTTCTTTTAATGTTAGGTTGTTAATTTGAGATCTTCCTAGCTTTCATGTAAGTATTTAGTGCTATAAATCTCCTCCCCCTGCCTTTTTTTTTTTTTTTTTTTTTGAGATAGAGTTTTGCTCTTGTTGCCCAGATTGGAGTGCAATGGTGCCATCTCGGCTCACTGCAACCTCTGCCTCCCAGATTCAAGTGATTCTCCTGCCTCAGCCTCCAAGTAGCTAGGATTACAGGTGTGCACCAGCCACCACATCCAGCTAATTTTGTATTTTTCGTAGAGACAGGGTTTCACCATGTTGGTCAGGCTGATCTCTAACTCCTGACCTCAAGTGATCCACCCACCTCTGCCTCCCAAAACGCTGGTATTACAGGCATGAGCCACCAAGTCCGGCTAAATTTCCCTCTTAACACTGCCTTAGTTGTGTCCCAGAGAGTCTGGTATGTTGTATCTTCATCTCATTAGTTTCAAAGAACTTCTTGATTTCTGCCTTAATTTCATTATTTATTCAGCAGCTATTCTGGAGAAGGTTATTCAATTTCCATGTAATTCTATGGTTTTGAGTGAATTTCTTAGTCTTGAGTTCTAATTTGATTGTGCTCTGTGTGGTCCAAGAGACTATTTGTTGTGATTTCAATTATTTTGCATTTGCTGGGGAGTGTTTTACTTTGCATTATGTGATTGATATTAGAGTAAGTGCCATGTGGTGATGAGAAGAATGTATATTCTGTCATTTTGGGGTGGAAAATTCTGTAGATGTCTATAAGATCAATTTAATTCAGTGCTGAGTTCATGTCCTGAATATCTTTGTTAATTTTCTGTCTCAGTGATCTGTCTAATATTGTCAGTAGGGTGTTAAAGTCTCCAACTATTATTGTGTGGGGGTCTAAGTCTCTGTGAAGGTCTCTAAGAACTTACTTTATAAATCTGGGTGCTTCTGTGTTGGGTGCATATATATTTAGGATTGTTAGGTTTTCTTGTTGAATTGAACCCTTTACCATTATGTAATGTCCTTCTTTGTCTTTTTTGATCTTGGTTCATTTAAAGACCATCTTGTCAGAAATTAAGATTTCAATGCCTTTTTTTTCTGTTTTCCATTTGCTTGGTAAACTTTCCTCCATTTCTTTATTTTGAGCATATGTATGTCTTTGCATATGAGATGGGTCTCTTGAAGAGAGCAGACAAATGAGTCTTGACTTTTTATTCAGCTTGCTACTACTCTATGTCTTTTAATGGGGCATTTAGCCCATTTACACTTAAGGTTAATATTGTTATGTGTGGGCCAGGTGCGGTGGCTCACGCCTGTAATCACAGCACTTTGGGAGGCCAAAGTGGGTGGATCACAAGATCAGGAGTTAGAGACCAGCCTGGCCAACATGGTGAAACCCCGTCACTATTAAAAAATACAAAAATTAGCCAGGCATGCACCTGTAGTCCCAGCTACTTGGGAGGCTGAAACAGAAGAACCGGTGAACCAAGGTGGCAGAGGTTGCAGTAAGCTGAGATTGCACCACTGCACTCCAGCCTGGGAGACAGAGCGAGACTCCATCTAAGAAAAAAGAAAGAAAAAATATTGTTATGTGTGGATTTGATCCTGTCATCATGGTTCTAGCTGGCTATTTTGCAGACTTGCTTATGTGGTTGCTTTATAGTTTTACTGCTCTGTGTACTTTAATGTGTTTTTGTAGTGGCTAGTAGTGGTTTTTCATTTCCGTATTTAGCTCTTCCTTCAGGAGCAGGTCTAGTGGTAAGGAATTCTTTAACATTGGCTTGTCTGAAAAATATCTTATTTCTCCTTCACTTATGAACCTTAGTTTTGCCTGGTATGAAATGCTGGGTTTAAATTGCCTTTTTTTTTTTTTTTTTTTTTTTTGAGACAGAGTCTCACTCTGTCACCCAGGCTGGAGTGCGGTGGCACAATCTCGGCTCGCTGCAAGCTCCGCCTCCTGCATTCATGCCATTCTCCTGCCTCAGCCTCCTGAGTAGATGGGACTACAGGTGCCCACCACCACTCCTGGCTAATTTTTTGTATTTTTAGTAGAGATGGGGTTTCACTGTGTTAGCCAGGATGGTCTCGATCTCCTGACCTCGTGATCCACCCACCTCAGCCTCCCAAAGTGCTGGAATTACAGATGTGAGCCACTGCATCTGGCTGAAATTGCTTTTCTTTAAGAACATTACACATTGGTGGTCTATCTCTTCTGGCTTATAGGGTTTCCATTTCGATGTTTGCTGTTACTCTGTTGGGATTCCCTTTGTAGGTAACCTGGCCTTTCTCTCTCATTACCCTTACCATTATTTATTTATTTATTTATTTTGAGATGAAATGTCACTCTGTCGCCCAGGCTGAAGTGTAGTGGCATAATCCTGGCTCACTGCAACCTCTGCCAGTTCAAGTGATTGTCCTGCCTCAGCCTCCCAAGTAGCTGGGATTACAGGCGCCCACTACTACGCTTGGCCAATTTTTATATCTTTAGCAGAGATGGAGTTTCACCATATTGGCCAGACTGGTCTCAAACTCTTGAACTCAGGTAATCTACCTGCCTCGGCCTTGGCCTCCCAAAGTGCTGGGATTACAGGCGTAAGCCACCAGACCCTGCCAACATTTTTTATCTTTCATTTTAACCTTGGAGAATCTGCTGATTGTGTTTCTTGGGGATAATCTTCTTGTGGAGTATCTTACTGGGGTTTTCTGCATTTCTTGAAGTTGAATGTTGTCCTCTCTAGCTTGGTTGGGTAAGTTCTCATGGATGATATCCTGAAATATGTTTTCCAGGTTGGTTCGATTCTCCCCATCTCTTTCAGGTACACCAATCAGTCATAGATTTGGTCTCTTCACATAATTCCACATTTCTTTCAGGTTTTGTTCATTCATTTTTATTCTTTTTTTCTCTATTCTCATCTGCCTAATTTCAGAAAGATAGTCTTCCAGCTCTGAAGTTATTTTCTCCACTTGATCTATTCTGTTATTAATACTTGCAATTGCATTATTAAATTTTTGTATTGTGTTTTTCAGCTTTATCAGGTTGATTATGTTCTTCTTTATCCTGGCTATTTTGTTTTTAAGCTCCTGCAATGTTTTATTGTGATTTTTAGCTTCCTTGCATGTAGTTAGAACATGCTCCTTTATCTCAATGAAGTCATTATTTGTACACATTTTGAGGTATATTTCTGTTATTTCAGCCATATCAGCCTCAGCCTCATTTCAAACCCTTGCTGGAGAGGTATGTCATCATTCAGAGGAGAACGGGGATTCTGGCTTTTTGAATTTTCAGCCTTCTTGCACTGATTCTTTATCATCTTTGTGGGCTTATCTACCTTCTACCCTCAAGGTTGCTGACTTTTGAATGGGGTTTTTGGCTTTTTTTTTTTCTTTTAACAGTCTGGCCACTTGTGTGTAGGGTTGCTGTGGTTTGCTGGGTGTACACTCCAGTCCCTAGTTGCCTTGGATTTTCCAGTACCTGGAGGTATCACCAGTGAAGGCTATGAAACAGTAAAGATGGCAGCCTGCCCCTTCCTCTGGGAGCTTCATTCTAGGGGGATATTGACCTGTCGCCAGCCTGAACTCACCTTTAGGCGGTGACTGGAGACCCCAGATGGGAAGTCTCACCCAGCCAGGAGAAACAGAACTGGGGACCCATTTAAAGAACTAGTCTAGCTCTGCTTTTGTAGAGCAGCTGTGCTGTGCTGGGGTACCATTTCCACCCCCAGGCTTTCTTCAAAGCCTGAAGGCTGGAATGGCTAAACTGCCAAACCAGCAAACACGGTGGTCCATCCCTCTCTCTAGCAACTCTGTCCCAGAAGTTTTAAAACCTCTGTCAGCCAAAGAACATTGGTGGAATTGGCTGAAGGACCCAGTTGGGAAGTTCCAACCAGTACAGAGAACAGATCAGGGACACACTTAAGGAAGTAGTCTGGCCATGTTTTCGTAGAGCAGCTGTGCCATGTTGGGGTACCACTTCTGCCCTAGTCAGCTTGGACTCTCAAAAACACACAGTCTGGAATATCTGGGTCAACCAAAAAGCAAAGATGGCAGCCCTCAACTTCCCCTGGGAATTCTGTCCCAGGGAAATATCAAAACTCTGTCAGTGAAGAATATGGTGGGGGTGGCTGGAGGTCCCAGTTGGGAGGTCCCCCCAGAGATAAGGAGTGGATTAGAGTTCTGCTTAAAGAAGCAGTCTGGCTATGTTTTTGTAGAGCGGCTGTGCTGTGCTGGGGGATCCCTTCTGCTCCAAGGAAGTTTGGACTTTCCTAAGCCTGCAAGCTGAAAACAGCAAAGATGGTGGCCTGTCCCTCCCCCTGGGAACTCAATTCCATCACAAGTAGGTGCAACACTATTGTCAGGAGCTGGCTGGAATTCCAAGACAGTGGATCTTATCCTGTGACTTCTTGTGAAAGTGGGGCCAATAGACAATTGCTGCTCAGCCCCCTGGATTCAGCTCCTTCCTATTTTGGGTGAGGAATGAAGATTGTTTGCCACAGGAACTGGTGTGATTTTCTTGACCTTTTATCAATGCTAGATTCTCTACAATTTATGAGACAGTCTCATTGTCTACCCATGGTCCATCATGTCATAGGAATTTGGAAATAGAACTAATTTCATTTTGTAAATTTTATATGATTTACTAAAAATAGAAAGCAACAATATTTAGGTAAAACCCAGGGAAAGTGTGCAATTTTCGTGTTTAGATTTTTCTTGAGAGTTTTTCACATTTTCAAAATAATACAATAATAGTAGATGTACTTATGATTCACCAATATCATATAACTGTATAAATCTGCATTTTGATTTTGTACTTTTAAGGTGATTCCACACGTAGATTATGAGTCTGTCATTATGTTTTCACTTCTAATGTGCTTCAGCAGTTACATGGCGAGATATATATAATTTTACAGAAATTAATTTTCTTCTTTGTTTTTCTTTATCTATAAAGCATTATATGCATATACCTATATATAAGATATACATTTAAACATCTGTACAGTGGTCCAACCTTACCCAACATTTTGCTTTCCACAGTCAACCACAGTCTGAGAATATTACAGTATTTCTAGAGAGGAAGAGAGAGAGATCACATTCACATAACTTTTATTAGAGCATATTTTTATAATTTATTTTATTTTATTATTAGCTATTGTTGTTAATTTCTTACTGTGCCTAATTTATAAATTAAACTTTATCATAAGTATCTGTGTATAGGATAAAACAGTACACACATTGTTTGGTACTGTCTGTGGTTTTAAACATTCACTGGGGGGATTATTGGAATATATCCCCTGTGGATACACAGGTGGGTACTTTATTAGTAGATTATGTTATCCTTGAATTAGTACAGAATGTGTTGTATAGTATATTTTGTTTAAAAAATGTTAGTTCCAAAAGGATTGAGACCTAGATTTGGATCTTGAAGTTGCAGTGTGCCTCATAGCAAGAGAATAGTAAGAAATTCACACTGTAGTATTAAATTTTGTGAGACAGTTCTGCTGAAAATTTATTTATGAAATGGAGCCTCTCATAGAAGTTACAGAGAGGTGAATCGTATTTTGTAAAATTTAAAATTGTTTTTAATTTAAGGAGGTTTTCTCACATCCCTTTCTTTTTCTCCTCCTTCTCTTCTCACCTCCACTATTTGAACACCCATTCATATACTGCTTGACCTTTTTATTTAATATGAACTTGTTTTTATGGATATTAATTGGTATGAATTCTGATAGCTTACATTAGAGCTTATTTCTCCAAAACATGCCTGCTATTACTTGCTATTTGGAATTCTTTTGTTTTTATTATTTGGTTTTAGATTTCAAGTTTTAAATTTCAGATTTCTAATATAAAACCCTTGAAAAGAAAAAACTGAAAAATCAAATATTCAGTAAAAGCTAATATTTTTAAGAGCAGTTGGGGGGGCACATTTAGGGAACAAAGTCTCAGATGCTCTACCCTCTAAACTTTTCCTGATATTACTGATGTTTTTAGGGGTCGAGGCCTAATTTTCCCCAGGCTGGCTATCCATTTGATCAACTCTCAGTCCTAAAAAGAGGAGAAACTGATACTATTTTCAAGACTAGGAGGAAATGTCTAGGGACTGCTTTCAGCTTTGCAGCTTTCAGAAAGTTTAAATTATTTCTAAGTTTGTCAACTTGTATTCCCTGTTTAAAAAAAATGAAGATAGTGATTTTGTTTGTTCTACGGGCAGCAGAGTCGCTCAGAAGAATTTGAAGCTGAGAAAGGATGTCTGACATATTGAAACTGAAAAGATGAAAGTAATAAAAAAAGATAATTATCAGAGTAAGCACTTACATATCTGGAATTTTTTCAAACACTTTGCATATACTAATGGTTTAGTTCTCATAACATCTCTGTGAGGTAAATATACTAGTATCATCTCAATTTTTAGATAAATAAATTATCCAGTTGTATGATTAGAATGACTTGCCAGTTGTCACACAGCTATTAAGTTATGTAGCTAAATTTTGAACCCTGAGTTAAGTGTCAGAATCACAGTCAAGCCTACACATAACAGTGCACGAAAATTATTATATTGACAAAAGAGAGGTACAAGGAGTATCCATCTATAATGTTGATCAAGAATCTGGACTTTAAGGAGTACATAGTCACCATGTTATAATGGAGAGAAAGTAAAGCTAAGTCTTCACAATTAGCTGGGCAAAAATCCCAGCTTTGACATTCGCCAGGAATGTTATTTTGGACAATTCTTTTAGTCTCATTGACCATAAATTATATGTTCTAAAAATGAATACGACTCTAAAACTCCTCTGGTCCTTTGTGAGAATTAAAGATTGGTTAAAAAAAAAAGACTATTCTACAAATATCACTTGAGTTTTTGTTTTGTTTTGTTTTTGGTGTCAATAATGAACCCATATGTTTGAACTGGGGGACATTTTGGGGACAGGTAATAATTGTATAAAGATCAGAATAGTCAATATATGATCTGAGGTATTAAGAGTAACCTGATTGATAAAAAATTTTTATAAGGAAGACATCTATGTTATTACTGAATACCAAATTGGCTTCATGGTTAGTGCACCATTACTCTCTGGGACTCTAACAATATATGATTTTAAAAATGTATATTTCTTATTAGTAGAAGGATTTATTTAACTTTTAGAATCCAACAGGAGGCAATGATACTAAAAATGTTAAACATATTCTGGAGTTCATCATCATTTTCAAGGTAATAATAACTGAAATATTGACTACAAGTAAAAGAATTAAGTAGATTATGATAGTTGATGGAACATTATATATGAAAATATTCTTAAAAGATTAGGTGTTACTACTATATACCAACCTTGTAGCTGTGTGATTATTAAATAAGCAAAACAAGATGAAAATTATAGAAAAGTATGAAAAGCAAAGGGAAAGTTTGTTGTAGTCAAAAAATTTAAAAAATTTTTAATGGGCGATCACACCTTTTCTGCTGCTGTCATTAATCTTAGTATCCTGTCATCGTAAGTGAATTGTTACTGCTAGAAGTCAGAGAAGATCTTCCAAGGACTTAATCTACGGGGCTTAATCTCACTGTACCCGATTTGGATGAAAATACTTATTTTACAGAGAAGTACAAATATGACATACTTCTCTTTGTTAATATGACTTTGTTTAATTAAAAGACTACAATTTTTAAAATACAATCTAAATTTGGTTTAGATTTTATGATGTTAAAATTCAATTTAAATCCCTTTTTGATCTAGTTATAACTTTTTAAATTTTACTGAAAATTCTCATGTTTGTTTGTTTGTGTTCACCTTGGTCTTGTTGATATTATTCCTGGGTTTTTCTCAAGTCTTCCACAGTCTCACTGTCATCTCCCAATATTTCAAGAGAAGTAAAGTTCTGTGGGTTGCACATCTGAATTAAATGGCTTTATCCTATTTTGCAAAGCAATTACTATGGTTCACAGTTGTTCAGAACTAGCTTTGATACTCCTGGAATCTCCAGAGTGAGAGCCAGAACACAACTAGCCTTGACAGAATCTCTCAGCTTTTTGTCCCCATAAACTGTTTTATATCAAAATTTATAATGTCTGGAAATACCTGGTACCTGAAATGAGTTATTCAATTGAGATTATCGGAGTGTCAACAATTAAAGGCTCTGAAGAAAGGTCTTTGTTTTAATTCACATAAGAAACATTGAGATGAGTGCAGTATACCCAGAATAACACCCAGTGTACAAGTGGGATACAAAGAAAATGCACACACACACATACATCCATACACACACACACAAACACACACACACACATATAAATATATGTCATATTTACTGAGAAGGAAAAAAAACAAACAGAAGAATATGACTCTAAAAATGATTGTGAGAACTTCCCTTTCAATTTTGTCTCTGATTACCCATTTATAAATGCTACTCCTGAGAATATTTTTCCAATCATTATGTTCATATTTATCTCCTCTGCTCATTTTTCTTTAGGAATAAATTTACTATATATTCAATTTTAGGCCACTCTGAAGTACTACCAGAAGAAATTAAGCAATGAGGATTATATATCCCTGCCAGTATTTATGAAGTAATCATAAATATAATTAGGTGCTAGTCAAACATAATTGAGAGAATAAAATATCTCCAAATAGAGAAGCATTTAAGAGGAGAGGAACATTAGATTTTAGGTTTCTGCTGAAGAAATAATGGGTATCTCAGAGAATTATAAAGATAAGAGAACCAAGTTCCAGGTTAAAGTTCTAGAGACAATCAATGTCTAAAATCCTCAGCAGAAATGGTGTTAGGAGGCTGGGCGTGGTGGCTAATGCCTGTAATCCCAGCACTTTGGGAGGCCAAGGCAGGCAGATCACTTCAGGCCAGGAGTTCAAGACCATACAGGCCAACATGGTGAAGCCCCATTTCTACTAAAAATACAAAAATTAGCTGTGCATGGTGGTATGCACCTGTAATTTCAGCTACTTGGGAGGCTAAGGCAGGAGTATCACTTGAACTCAGGAGGTGGAGGTTGCACTGAGTCAAGAGCATGCTGTAGAGTGAGACTCTGTCTCAAAAAAAAAAAAAAAAAAGAAACAGCCTTAGGAAATTTTTGTTATCACTTTTTCCTCATCAACAGAAAAATAATTTAATGTTCACTAATTACACCAATGCATTGAGAAACTGGCTTCGTAGACACAGTATCTCCTGAAAGTCAGATGCCTTCACCTTCACTGATAAAAAGAGTTTAATGCCAGCCCTTTTCCTCATGTGTGCTGTGCATGGATACATCACAGCTGGGTGCAGCCAACATAATATGCTAGCATCCTGACTGAAAAAAAGCAGAGAAAATTATTTATAAAATTCTGGATTCTGACCTGGGGTATATTTATGAAATTCAAAACTTTCAGACATAGTACGAGCATTCCAAAGTTACAGAAGAGTGAGAAAAACCGTCTATTGTGATAGATTGTTTTCATTAAGTTAAAATGATCAAGTTAACCTTCTAAAACTATTTAGAAGAAATTATTCAATGATTTTTAAAGTAAAATCATCAAAATTCAGTATAAAACTTGTCAATAATCATATCTACCTCTCAAATTGTATAGCTTTATTAATTTTTTCTTAATAACTGACATTTTTAAATAATATAAAATTACAGTGGCTTTCAGTGTTTTCTGAGTATAAATAAGTATGTTAATATCAATAAATATGGCCTGTTCTTACAGTTAATAGTAGTGTGTTTCTTTCCATATCAAACAACAATTTCAGGCATAATTATGCAACACTAGAAATAAATATAATCAAAGAATAAATATTTGGCACCTGCATTTATAATTTATTTTTAATATATAACATTACTGTATATTACATTAAGAAAGGAAAAAGAGATCCACAAAACATCAGCCCACAAAACATCATTGGTTCTATGAAAATCCAAGTTAAAATATTGCATTATTCAACATATTTGTGAAAAAAATTATTTACAATATTTATTCCAGGAAATAGAAGAAAAATATATTAGGCCAAAATATCTCAAGCACTCAATAAAATGAAAAAGGGGAGAATTGATTTTGTGATACTGGATATGGTCAAACAAAAAAATTAGGTTTACAGTAGTCAACTGACAGAACTTATAATAAAAGTCAAGGAAAATAGATGTTGATATTGCAAACTCAAGGAAAAAGGCTTCAATGAAATTAACACTGCAGGATTGACTCTGTATTATAAATTACAAATGTGAACAAAAGAAAATACCTAAGAAACCAGAGATGAATGACCAAATATCAGCATTAGGAAAAAAGACTTTTGATGTATCCATGCATTCATTCTTTGATTCAATCAGCAAGCTTGTACTGAGCATTTGTTATTTGTCCTGCAGCATTGTAAGCACTGAGAATACAGTGCAAAATCCCTCTCCTGGAGCTAATATTCCCAAAGGAGACAAACAGAAAAAAACTACTGAATATGTGTTATAATTTCAGGTGTTGGTAAGTTCTATGAAAATAAAGATATTTGTAAATGATTGATTATTTAAAGTTAGATTGTCAGGGAATAGTTCAAGGTATGTTAGAGAGAATAAGTCATGTGAGGATCTGGGGAAAGGACATTTCTAGCAGAAGCAAGCACTAAGTACATTCCTATCATTTTTAATGGTTATAATAAATTTAAACATGTTCACTTAACAATCTCCAAATTTAATCAATATCACTAGACTACTCCAAGAAAGTATACACTGAGTGATTTAACTCTAGTATTGTTTTATATTTTAATTTTGTGTTGTTCCAACCTCCACAAACTTAGTTATTAATGTTTCATTATTCATGTAAATTTACTAACATTTTAATCTTTTTCAATTTTTCTTCTTGCATTCTGTAATTTTCTTTCTTTGGACTGACATAATGTAAATGAGTACAGTATATTTTTAAACAGTGGATTTCTGTTGAACTCACATGTGATTTATTTTGCTGGCAGTAGAGTGACTCCTTTGATCAGCCTTTTAATGTTCTCCAGAGTCTGCCTAAAAAAATAATTTCAATTATCCCCTTTCTTTCTGAGCCAACTCCAAGAGACGCATTGGGGAGTATAATGTAGCTAAGAGCTCATTGATCCAATCTAGGTTAGTTCACTTTTTAAAAAATATATTGTGGGAAGAACACAACCTGAGATCTACCTTCTTAACAATTTTTAAATGTATAATATGATATTGTTGACTATAGGTACAACGTTGTATAGCAGATTTCTAGAACTTACTCTTCGTGATTAACTGAGACTTTATGCTCATTGATTAGTAACTCCTCATTCCCCCAGCCCCTGGCAACCACCACTCCACTGTGATTCTATGAATCTTACTATTTTAGAGACCTCCTATACCTGGAATCATGCAGTGTTTGTCTTTGTGTGACTGGCTTGTTTCATTTAGCGTAATGTTCTGTGTTGTCATATATTTCAGAATTTTCTACCTTTTTATGTACATACATACCACATTTTATTTATATGCTTTTCTGTTGATGGACATTAAGGTTGTTTCTACATGTTGGATATTGTGAATAGTTCTGTAATGAAAATGAGATTTCTAATATCTCCTTGAGATCTCGATTTCAACATAAAAAACAAGTTGCATTTCTATGTGCTAACAATAATAAAAAATAGGAAAACAGTGAACAAAATTAGAAAACAAACCCATTTATCATAGCAACAAAAAGAATAAAATACTTAGGAATAAACTTAAGTAGGGAGAAGAAAGACTTGTATATTGAAAACTACAAAATGTTTTTACAAGAAATTAAAGAAGGCACAAGCAAATGAAGAAACATCCTGTCTTTATGAATTAGGAGACTTACTATAAAGTGATCTATAGATTGAAGCAATCTGTCAAAATCCTAAAGGTACTTTTACAGAAATATATAGAAAAAACAATTATATATTTCACATGGTGTAAAAGACCACAGACATCCAAGCCAAACTTGAGAAAGAAGACCAAGTTGGAAGCAACACATTTCCTGATTCCAAAATATATTACAAAGCTACAGGAATAAAAGCAGGTTAATTCTTGAGAAGATAACTGGTCCTTGGATAGTCATTTTATTGAGAGGCAAGAAAGACTGAAGTTCTTAGAAGAAGGTGTGGTGCTACATAACTTACAACATAGATGTCTCCTACAAATTAAAAGCATAAAATAGGGTGTCAAAGGTGAGACAAAATATGTTCTAAAAATAAATGGAAATACATATCAAAATCATCAAATATGTTTATGTTATTTGACCCAGTCATATTACATATAAATATCAACCTAAAGGTTTTATCATAAATTTTAAAGTTGAATGCAGAAGGATGTAGTTTATGTCAATTTTTAAAGTAGAGAATAAAAAAATTTCTAAATATATAAAATTATGGTAGAAATCTTAAGTAAAATTTTAAATATCCCTTTTATGGAACATCTTCCAGCCATCAATATCATCTTAAGAAAATGTCCTAAGGAGTTGGCATATATTGATGGTAAATAATAACAGACTACAAAATATCGCCAACAGAATAATACCATCTGCTCATATGTTCATGTTAAATGAACAAATAAATGTTATATGTTATAGTTCAGAATAATGTTCAATATTATATGTTTATAATAAATGAACAAACAAATTTCCAGGGTAAATCATGGAAATTAGTGATAAGGCATTCAACATGATAATAATAGCTATTTCTGGCTGCTGGGCATATAATTTTTAATTTTTCTTTTCTCTACTTTTTTCATTTTGGTATTTTTTAAGTTTACTTCACTGGATATGAATTACTAACTTAAAAATCACTAATTTTCAAATAGATCACAACAAAGAAAAAAAATTTAATTTAAAACTTTGAATACCTAAAATTCCCCTTCTCTTCTTTTTGATAAATGAGCAAAGAAGAGAATGAGGACTGAGTCTTGAAATTTAACATTTTCCATGTAATCCCTAAGCTAATGAGCTAATAAATTCCATCACCTTCAGATTTATATCTGTACTCCACAGCTAATGCAAAGGAACAAGGAAAACTCCCCATCCTCTCCCCTTCTCATACACATTTGCAAGGTAAATACAGCTAGATCATCTAATGGGAAAGAAGGGGCTAAATTCTATGAATAATTCAGAATTTATTTTTTTAAATCCTATTATATCAGTACCATGTACTTTAATAAAAATATAATCTTCCTAAATAAAATATTTTTAATCATAAACTTTAAAGTTGGGTAATTTTTTTGAAGAAAGAAGCACTAGAGTATCTTTCACAGTGTCCATGCAAAGCAGGACTTAATTATGAATTTGTGTTTAAAGGAATCCATGCTGTTTCAAGAGAGTGACACTTACTGCCTAATTCTCTAGTGAGATAATAGCATGGTTCATTTTCCAGTCAGGTGTAATCTTTTGCTTTCAAGTAGATATGGCATAAATGAGTTTAAGCCTGAAATCCTGGCTAAAACATATTTCATGATTAATTAGTCCCTTTTAGAAACTCGATTAAATGCTGGATGCCACACATTAAAATGGAGAGGTGATGACTGACAGCATAGATAAACATGGGTGTGCATAAATTGTCTCTGACCTGATTTAAAAACTTAAACTGAAAATTTAACATCGAAATGAATATTATGATAATGTGACATGTCCTTCATTTTCTCAGCCATTGTAACATCATTGAGTTTTACCATAGTGTGAATACTGACATTGTTTCATTAACTTTAATATTTGTTTTAGTCAAAGTGCATACTTCCTACAGCTTAAAATATTGTGATTGTCTTTAGAACCCTTCAGGTTTTATAGAATTCTAAATTTTATATTCATTCTCTGCTTTTCCTTTGAGCTAGTTTTGAGATGAATTCAGGCTATCACCACCAGACTACAAGTATAGGGTATTGACAATAACTGCTTGATGAGACTTTTGATATTAAGAACTGCAAAGTAATCGGGTCTATTTAAAAAAAAATTTTTTTTTAATTAGAAAACTGAGATTCAGAGGAGTTATTTGTAGTCATGGTCACACAATACTTTTTAATGAATCTAAAACCTGGATGTTGTTCTCCACATTTATCTGATTTCTTTTTAAGAAAATATCTAAATGCCTTGGTTATTCCCCTCATAGAAAGACAAACTTAATCATGTAGAAATCATGAATACAATCTAATTTTATTGTAGTGATTCTATAATTTTATCCTTCACAATATTCTTACTTCCAGGCCAAGAAAACTCAACTTGACTGATTGATATGAGGGTATATTTTGTTGTAACTACCTTTCTGCTGATCTGAGAACCCAGGGAGTAGGGTGCCCTAGCAATCTATCCAGGGAAAAACATTTTATGTGTTTAATATGGTTTGGCTCTATGTCTCCACCTAAATCTCATCTTGAATTGTAATCCCCATAATCTCCATGTATCAAGGGCAAAACCTGGTCAGAGGTGATTGGATGATGGGGGTGGTTTCCCCCATGCTATTCACATGATAATGAGTGAGTTCTCATGAGATCTGATGGTTTTATAAGTGTTTGACAGTTCCTCTTATACATGCATTCTCCCTCTTGCCTGCAGCCATGTAAGAGGTGCCTACTTTTCCTTCTACCATGATTGTAAGTTTCCTGAGGCCTCCGCAGCCATGTGGAACTGTGAGTCAACCTCTTTCCTTTATAAATTACCCAGTCTTGGTAGTATTCTTTGTGGCAGTGTGAAAACTGACTAATACAGTGTTGATGGAATAGAATAGAAAATAGTTTTAATAAATTTTCCAATTATAGCAACTTAAATTGGGAAAACGAGAGAAGACAGAAAATAAAAGCTTACTATAATAAAATTTAAATTTCACAAAAATGTTAAAATATGAATAAACTTAGAAAAAAATAATGTGGTACCAAAACCTCAAAAATAACAATATAATTTAGAAGATAAAAATACTAGAAAGAATTTACCCTGTAAACAAACATGAGATATTTAAAAAGCAGAAAAGAAATACTTTGAAGTTTAAGATTGTTTTAAAGAAGTTTTATGGATTAAACATTTTGCATTGTTACCTTAATTATCCTTCTCCACGTCGTCCTGATAAATTACATCAATCCTTCAAAATTCAACATGAAATCATCCTTTAACATCTTTGGAATTTGTAAATAATTCTAATTTTAAACTACAGTGTGATGTTTGTATCCTTGTGCCTGTTTATAAACTGATGACTCCTTTGGAGTAGGTATTAGAATAATTTTTCCATGATTCACAGGACTTAGTGGTGGACACCACAATAGCCATTGTGTAAATATGTTTAAATGGATCCAGATTATCTGCTTGTCAAAAACATATATAAAACAAAATGATAATGAAAGATAGCCAAAAAAAATAATGATTTCAAGCTTATATGAAATCTTATTATATCCTTCAAATGATTTACTGAAATCTTTATGGTAAAAAAAAAATTTTTAAATTATGACAATTATGTCTCAAAAGGAAAAACTGAAGTTAGCACAGTTCTTCAGCTAACAAACTGACTTACAAATTACTATCTTTGAACAAGCAAAGAATCTGATAAATCATTGTATTATAGCCACATTAACAGTAGGATATGTGTTTACAAGAGAAATTTTTTACATTTTGACTGTCTTAGCTTGGGTTCCACTGGAAGCTAACCCTGTGGTAGGGATTTAGGTATGTTTAGTTAATTTGAGAGATAAATCCAGGAAGCACAGGTGAGGGAACATGAAACCAGGAAGAAGGAAAGCCTAGAGATATCATGTAAATGAGCAGGTGAATGTTGTAGATCACTAGGCTGAATCCTGCTATGGTCCCTCATGTGGAGTATGCCTCATAATTATCCCATTGTGGAACCTGAAGTCCATGGTATTTATCCTTAGATTCCTACCCTTCATTTTTTGAGAGCAGACCTGAGGGCATTAACTGCTGGAGAAAGCTTTCAGCAGAGAAACAGAGGTGCAGTCACTGGAGATGGGAAGCAATCCCTGCCTAGAAACTGTCAGTAGACAATGCAGGTGAACTGAGATGTGGGCTGAGAGTGTAAGAAGTGGAGTGTCAACAATGTTGGATACATTCCCTGTGGGTATGTTAGGCTATGTGAGGATAGATCACTAGACAAGTATCTGAATATATTTAAGGGACAACCATCTTTAAACGTATTTCTATGCACACCAATAATAAGCAGTATGGTTGGGATATTTTCTAAAGCTAGCATATTTCTAAAATACAGCAAAACACATTTTTTAAAGGTAGTAATATCAAATGTTAAATACAGGTGTTTAAGCTTAGTGAGGAGGAGCCAGTGAACAAAACAAAGTTAAATTCTCATGCTACTTACTCTTACCATTTTTCCTACTTTCTTATAAATCAGGAAGGAAAAAACTAGAAATATTTCTGAGGTTTTCTAAAATGAAATTTTTTTGTCTGAAGATATATAGAGAAGTTTATACTGTTTTATTTCTACATTAATAGAGAATCTACCTCATATTTTGTAGCAAAATGTCCAAAAGTTTTCACTTATTAACAGTATTTGATATATATCAGATAAATTAGTAGCTTTAGTTTATTTTGGTCTACACTGTAACATGAAAGTGTTTCTGGGGTTACTTATTTTTATCCTTTTAGTGTTGGACATTAGTAGTTTTTCTCGAATTATTAAGTTATAGTTTTCTTAGGTTATAGTTTTAATCAGACTTAACTATGTTAACCATTTGCATATGCCTTGTCTTTTTTATTTTACATTATTATTTAAAGGTGATGTCGTTCTGTAGCATTTATTTTAAATTACAACTTATAACAATGCTAATGGTATCTGATTTGTGAATATGGCAAAGTAGATATAAAAGCAAAATCACCATAATATGTCATTATCCAGTAACTGAAAATGGTTTAAACTAATTTTATGGTAAATTTTATTTCCATTCTTTCTTCCTTTCTCTCTCTCTCTTTTTATTTATCTTTTACTATCTATCTATCTATCAACTAGTTAGCTAGCTAGCTATTCATTCTGTCTTTTTGACATTTTTACTTTGAATTTACTCCCATCAAAAGCATTATTTTAGAAATTGAGTATTAATTCATTTTATATTAAATCATGGTCATAATAGAAGAAAATATACATCTTATTGAAATAAAACCATCAAGAATAAGAACGGCATGAAGGACTTCAAAAAGCAACAATTAATGGATAAATACAGACTAATGTAGGAAACTTTTAACAAAATATGAATTTATAATTTATTTTTATTTAACTTTTAAGTTCATGGGTACATGGCAGGTTTGTTATATAGGTAAACTTGTGTCCTGGGAGATTTTTATACAGATTATTTTGTCACTCAGGTGTTAAGCCTAGTACTCATTACTTATTATTCCTGATAATCTCCCTTCTCGCAACCTCCACCCTCAAGTAGGCCCAGTGTGTGTTTCTCCTCTCTATGTGTCCATGTGTTCTCATCATTTAGCTCCCACTTATAAGTGAAAACATGCAGTATTTGATTTTCTGTTCCTGCATTAGTTTGCTAAGGACAATGACCTCCAGCTCCAGACATGTTCCTGCAAAAAAACATGATCTTTTTCTTTTTTATGGCTGCATAGTATTCTGTTGTGTACCACATTTTCTTTATCCAGTCTTCCCCTGATGGGCAATTTAGGTTGAGTCCATGATTTTGCTATTCAGTGTTGCAATGAACATATGCGTGCATGTGTCTTTATAACAGAGCAATTTATATTCCTTTGGGTGGATACCCAGTAATGAGATTGCTGGGTCAAATGGAATTTCTGTTTTTAGGTCTTTGAGGAGCCAACCACACTGTCTTCCACAATGGCAGAGCTAATTTATACTCCCACCAATAGTGTATAAGCATTCCTTTTTCTCCACAACCTCGCTAGCATATGTTGTATTTTGACTTTTTAATAATAGCCATTCTGACTGGTGTGAGATGTTATTTTATTATGGTTTTGATTTGCATTTCTCTAATGATTGGTGATGTTGAGCTGCTTTCCATATGAATGTTGGTCGCATGTATGTCTTCGTTTGAAAAGTGTTACTTCATGTCCTTTGCCCACTTTTTATTGTTTTCTTTTTCTTGTAAATTTAAGTTCCTTACAGATGCTGAATATTAGACCTTTCTCATGCACATAGCTTGCAAAAGTTTTCTCCCATTGTGTAGGTTGTCACTATGTTTATAGTTTCCATTGCTGTGCAGAAGCTCATTAGTTTAATTATACCACATTTGTCAATTTCTGCTTTTGATACAATTGCTTTTGGTGTCTTTATCATGAAATATTTGTCCATTTCTATGTCAGATTGGTATTGCCTAGGTTTTGTCCTGGGGATTTTATAGTTTTTAGTTTTATATTTAAGTCTTTAATCTATCTTGAGTAAATTTTTGTATATGGTATAAGGAAGGGGTCCAGTTTCAATCTTTTGTATATGACTAGCCAATTAATTATCCCATCACTATTGAATGAATAGGGAGTCCTTTCTCCATTGCTTGCTTTTGTCAGGTTTGTTGAAGATTACATCGTTGTAGGTATGCAGCCTTATTTCTGGGTTGTCTATTGTGTTCCATTGGTCCATATGTCGATTTTTGTACCAGTACCACGCTATTTTTGTTACTGTGGCCCTGCAGTATAATTTGAAGTTGGGTAGCATGATGTCTCCAACTTTGTTCTTTTTGCTTAGCCAAAATATAATTATTGTGGTTAAATTGCAATTAATAAAATTAATGGATATATATTTTATGTGAATCAAGAGAAATTAAACGGTTGTAATTTGAGGAAGTATTTAAAGAAACCATTGTCATGAACATACCGCTGATGGCTAGAAATGGATCTTTGTTGTAAAAACTCAATCTTATTAGGCAGAGAAAGACTCTGAACTAGAAGTATCTCATGAATAAAGGAATTTGTCATCCATTTTGGACTGTTGTTAATGCACATTAGTACCGCCTTTGTGAGGTAGAGAGATTACTATAGGTGATACTAATGGAGGGTTGTTCAGCTTAGAGCTCATAAAACCATTTAAAAAACTTTAGTGATTATGAGATATGGAATACAAGATTATATGGACCATTAGAATTGATTGATATACATGTTAGATTTTTAGCACACTCTTGGGAAATGCCACTTTATCTCTTGTACAATACCTCTGGTATCGTTATGCAATATTAACTAGCTAAACATTGAGTTGTGACTACCCGTAACAAATACACAGTTTAAAGAATTCAAGACAACGTTTTAACGAGTGAAACTGTGCTCAAAAAGATATTATTAGTGCCTTTTTGATGTTAAGACTTTTGTGTGTATGAATCATAATTATATAGCTTTGTTGTCGTCATGTTTCTTAGCTATTCAATTGAATACAAAATTATAGTTTCTATTATACAAATATAAGAAAAACAAATAATTAGCATCCTTGAGGCCTCACAAGATCTCGATTTGGCAGGAATTTTGGCAGATACTACAATCAGGTATCCACTAAAATATTAATATAGACTATAGACTATTCCTCTTGTTAGTGTTTATGTCGAGTAGGAATCAGGACAAAGACTTTGGCCATTTTCCAAAAAATGTTCTTCATATTTGTCAGATTGTACAAAGGGGAGTCTTTTAAATATACAGAATGTTTTCAAACAGAGATGTCTGTTAAATTTAGCTTAAAGGAGTTAAAAGATTGGTAGCAAATAAAAATTATGCTCTTGACTCTAAATTACCTTTCTTTGAACTTTTGTATAAAATGTGAATGAGCATTACATAGTCCACATTTAACAAAATTATTTCATAATCCATAGTGGCAAAGTATCATTTGTGTTTCTTCTAACTAGAATTCACATCCTAGAATAATGCTATGCATGAACTAAATAAAAATGAATACACTGTGTACCTTAAGGTGTTTAGAATGGTTCACTGTATGTATGCTGGTTATTTAAGAAGTGATCGGTAGTCCAAAAATTTCAACTTGGGTTATACTTAATTTGATGCATATATAAAAACTGTAGGTTTCTTAAATGAAGGGACAACAGTGAGTGCTTATGAACCATAATGTTCCAACGTAGTGATAGCTGATTATTTTCCAGGGTGTAGAGTAAGTTGTTATAAATAATACACAGAAGAAATCTGATTATTTAGTAACATAGAATGTTAATTCATTTTGAAGTAATTAAGTAAATAAATAAATACCATTTGTTTCAAAAGATAAAAACAAATATAGGCATTTTTATTGGTGGAATTAAATTTTCACCAATAGTGTAATAGGATTTACTTTAAAAATATCAGTTAACTGAAATTGTAAATTTCTTTTTTTTTTTTTTTTTGAGACAGGGTCTCACTCTGTCACCCTGGCTAGAATGCAGTGGCATGATCTCGGCTTACTGCAGTCTCTACCTCCCCAGACTCCCACCTCAGCTTCCTAAAGTAGCTGGGACTTTAGACACATTCCACCATGACCAGCTAAATGTTTTTGTATTTTTGAGATATGGGTTTTTGCCATGTTGCTCAGGCTGGTCTCGAACTCTATGTCTCAAGAAATCCTGCCTTGGCCTCCCAAAGTGCTGGGATTGCAGATGTGGGCCACCACATCCATTCTGAAATTGTTTATTATTAAAATAATTTTGAAATTCCAATTAGAGCACTTCAATTACTAAACTATTTTCTTGACTTGTTCAGAAAATATATTCCTTATATTAGGTGAAAATTTAGAGTAGTGTAAGAAATAAATAATGCTATAATATTTTAATTAATGTGTTTGCAAATTATGAATGCATTTGTATTGATTTCAAGTATTTTTTTTATTTCTTGCTAATTTGCTCTTCTATATTTTAGCACTTACAAATGAGGACACAGATATTCAGAAAAGTTAAGAAATTTGCCCAAGATCCCATACCCTAAAGGATTAAAAAAACACTTAAATATATTTTTAAATACAATTTTGAAAGGCTTTTACTACTATTCTTCCTAGGACTATCACAAAAATAACCTACAGAAAATTACATGTTTTGCTAATCATTATTTAGTAAGTGGAAATAGAGCATCGATCTTCAACATGCAAGCATGTTTAAATAGGAATTAAAACAAAATCTCAAAGATGTATATACTGAGAAGGTATCATAGAAAATTGCATGAAAGAGTATTCCAGAGTTAACAGTATGGGCAAATTCATGGGTATAGGAATATAGTATAAAAAGAGTTCAATGAAATTTGACCAAAGAGGTCACATATGATCAGACCAGAGAATGTGCATGTGTGTCTTTGTGTGTCTGGGTCAGGGGTAGGAGGTTAGAGATGGTATTTGTCTCAAATGCAGGGACTCATTAAGAAAATACATTGGAAGTAGCATAATGCCTGACCTCAAAATATATAAAAAGGCTATAGTAAACAAAACAGCATGGTATTGACATAAAAACAGACACACAGAACAATAGAACAGAATAGAGGGCGTAGAAATAAATTCATATGTTTACAGCCAATTGATTTTTGACAAAGGCACCAAGAGTATACATTGGAGAAAGGATACCCTATTCAATAAATAGTGTTTAGAAATTAGAATATTTTTATGCAACAGAATGAAACTGGACCCCTATATCATATCATACACAAAAATCAAATCTAGGTAGATTAAAGACTTAAACATAAGACATAAAACTATAAAAATACAGAATAAAAGATAGGGGACACTGGTCTGGGAAAATTTTACGGCTAAGACCTCAAAAGCACAAACAGCAAAAACAAAAATAGTAAAAGGGGACTATAGTAAACTAAGAATATATATTCTGCACAGCAGAGGAAAGAACAGAGTGAAGAGAAAAATCTGTTGAACATGAGAAAATATTTGCAAACTATTCATCTGACAAGGGACTGATATCCAGAATACAAAAGGAACTCAAACAACTCAACAGTAAACACACACACACACACACACACACACACACAGACAATTCCATTAAAAAGTAGGCAAAAGACAGACACTTTTCAAAAGAAGACACACATGCATCCAACAATCATGTGAGAAAATGCTCAGCATCTGTAATCAGTGGAGAAATACAAATTGAAATCACAATGAGACATCATCTCACAATAGTCAGAAAGGCTATTATTAAAAAGTCAAAAAACAACAGATACTGGTGAGATTGTGGAGAAAAGGGAACGCTTATACATTACTGGTGGGAATGTAAATTAGTTCAGCCACTGTGGAAAGCAGTTTGGAGATTTCTCAACGAACTTAAAACAGAAGTACCATTCAACCTAGCAATCCCAATACTGGGTTATCTACCCAAGGAATAATAATGTTGTACCAAAAAGGCCCATGCCCACATATGTTCATTGTAGCACTATTCACAATAGAAAAGACATGGAACCAACAAACATGCCCATTAATGGCAGACTGAATAAAGAAAATGTGGTACATATACACCATGGAATACTGTGCAGCCATAAAAAAGAATAAAATCATGTTCTTTGCAGCGTTGTGGGCACAGCTGGAGGCATCATCCTAATCAAATTAACACAGGAACAGAAAATCAATTACTGCCTTTTCTCACTTATATGTGGGAGCTAAACACTAAGTACACATGGACACAAAGAAGGGAACAATAGACATTGGGGTGTACTTAAGGGTGAATGGTGAAAGGAGGGAGAGGGTACAAAAACTACCTATCTAGCAACATGCTTATAACCTCGGTGATGAAGTAATCTGTACGCCAAACCCCAAGACCTGTAATTTACCCGTGTAACAATCTTATACAAATACCCCTGAACCGAGAATGAAAGTTGGAACCTAGAATGAAAGTAATAAAATACAGGCAACTCAAATAAATTTTTTAAAAGTCCAAAAACATGTATATCATTGTTAGCTGAACTTGAAAGCATTTCTGATGCTTAAGAATGAATAATAGCCACAATTTTAGTATTAGTCTCTGCTCAGAAATGTGAAAACAATTTTCCACTAATGATGACCATACTGCTATTTTACAAGCTGGGATTCTGAATTCCATGCAAGGTTTCATACATGGAAGAGTATCAATCACCAACTTGGGAAGCTATCTCCTAAACAAACATACAAACAAAACTAGTTCCAACAGAAGACAATATTAACATGGTGCTGAATGCTTTGAGATAATTTGGTCTTTTAAACCTTATGCTGTTGTTAGGTAGTTAGTTAGACATTAACAGCTGGGAGGGGGTGAGAGAAGAGAGCAAAAGGGCTGTCACTAAGACAGATCCTGGCCCACCTAAATTCAGCCCCAAACCACCCTAACTCCACCCTAACAGATGGAGTTTGTGGTAAAGCTTGTGGCCAGAACCTTCTGGAGAAAGAAAAACTGGAGCAAAGGTAAAAATCCCCTGAAGCGGCGCATGGCCAGTCCAACTAGGCCATAACCCCCAGGAACCCCAACCTAATTATACAGCATTATAATAAAATGTACATGTGGCTTTTCCCCCTTGAGAGGGTTTTTCTTAATGAATTATGCATAAAACAGAACATGTGCAGTTTAACTTCAATTATAAAACCTTAAACTGCCAATCAAATAACATCAACCCATCACTCAAACACAGCCCAAGCCTCAATTCCTCCCCACAAATCCTGTAAAAGCACCCTGAGCTCTGTAAAGAGTGGCTGATTTCACTTCACAGAAGTCAGCCCTCTATCCCTCTGGGAGTGTATTACTGTGTTTCAGTAAAGTTTACTTTAAGCTTGCATTTTTGGTGTTAGTCTGCAATTTTTTGCTCACTATCACAGGAACTGGGATTGCTGGTCCAGAGCTCTGGCTCTATTGATCTTGGTTAAAGGATCCATCCCAATGCAGAATCCCTGGTGACAAGTTGATTATATGTATATCAAATAAATAATTGTATAAATTAAAAAATGTGGGCAAAGGACATGAATACACTTTCTCAAAAGAAGATATACAAATGGCCAGTAGGTATATGAAAAAATGCTCAACACACTAATCATCAGGGAAAATGAAAATCAAAACCACAATGAGTTATCATCTTACCCAAATTAGAATGACTATTTTAAAGAAGACAAAAAAGTAGCAGGTGCTGGCAAGGATGTGGAGAAATAAGAACCCTCATCCACTGTTGGTAGGAATGTAAGTTAGGGCAGCCACTATGCAAAACTATATGGAGATTTCTTAAAACACTAAAACTAGAACTACCATATGATCCAGTAATTCTACTACTGGTTATTTATTCAAAGGAAAGAAAATCAGTGTATCCAAGGGGATACCTACTCCCCCATGTTTATTGCAGAACTATTCACAATAGCAAAAAGATATGGAACGCACCTAAGTGTCCATCAAGGGACAAATGGATAAAAGAAAATACATAATGGAATACTATTTTGCCACAAAAAAGAATAAAATCATCTTATTTGCAACATTGTGGATGGAACTGGAGGTCATTCTGTTAAGTGAAACAAGACAGGCACAAAAAGACAAATATCGCATGTTCTCACATGTGCGAGCTAAAAAAATAAAACGAATTCATGTAGATGGAGTGTAAAATGATACATATCAGAGAGTGGGAAAGATGTATGTGTGGCAGAGAGATGAAGAGAGATTGGTTAGTGAATACAAACATAGAGTTAGATAGCCAGGTGTGGTGGCTCACGCCTGTTATTTTAGCACTTTAGGAGGCTGAGGCAGGTGGATCACTTGAGGTCAGGAGTTCAAGACCAGCCTGGCCAACATGGTGAAACCCTGCCTCTTCTAAAAAAAATACAAGAATTAGCTGGGCATGGTGACAGTCGCCTGTAGTCCCAGCTACTTGAGAGGCTGAGGTGAGAGAATTGCTTGAACCTACGAGGCAGAGATTGCAGTGAGCTGAGATCGTGACACTGCATTTCAGCCTGGGCAACAGAGTGATACCCTGTCTCAAAACAACAAGAACGTAGAGTTAGATAAAAGGAATAAATTCTAATATTTGATAGCAGAGTAGGGACACTAAATAAAAATGTGCTGTGTATTTTAAAATAGCTAGAAGAGAGGACACGAAATGTTTCCAACTCATAGAAATAATAAATACTCCAGGTAATGGACATCCTAAATATCCTGACTTGATCATTATACAATACTATGCATATAACAAAATGCCACATTTATCCCATAACCATGTACAAATATTATGTATCCATTTTAAAAGACTTTGTATTTTATGAGAATGATAATAAAAATTATGAATTGATATTCTGAAATCTCAATCTTGTTGAAGAATAAAAATATCTATGGAAGAAAGATTGTGCTAGTACACTTCTCACTATCCTTTCAATTAACCTTCAAATACAAATAATTGCAGTTACCCTTTGCATGTGATAGTATATATGTTTCTAGAATGTTGTGATCAAAATGATGCTTTCCTAAATAATGAAACTAGAGTGAGATATGATGTAAAGAATAATGAAGTTCAAATAAGCTTATGTACTTCTCCTTCATATGTAAAATTTGACACACAAAAAAACTACAGCATTTTTAACATTATGTTAATAGTTGAAGATTAAATTATTTGATATGAACTGTATTTACTGACAGTAGTTAGAAATGTCACTAATGGAGTAGATTTTAAGGTAGGTCACAATCATAATAGTATCTGTTTAAGATGTCAATATCCATACTTTTGCCTCAAACAAAATAAACCCCTAGCAAATTACACATTCTTCAGCTCTCCACCTCAAGACTAGTTTCCAACCACATAGTGCAGATGTGTACGCACACATATATACTGTAATTATATAATAACTACTATTTCATTTTAAAATTGTTGATCACATTGTGTGCTGACACAGAGACAAAACCCAGAGTTTGAAAAACGACCTAAAATGGTCTAAGCAAATTCTGTTTTACTCTATCAATCACAATTTTGGTACACAGCTATCTCACTGAAGTCCATCTTCCTACTTAATTTTTTATGCTACTGTTAGTGTTGAAAAGGTTAATTTCTGGTGTTAGAAATCATGTCAAAAGAATAGAAATATTTGAACAAGGGAAAAGATGTAATTTAATAGATATGTAGAGGCATTATAGTCTTATAAATTCTCATAAACATTTAATATATTTATCAAATATCAAAGGAAAAAATAGAATCCACACAGTAGGATGTAATTTATCCCAGAAATTTATTATAAACATTGTGGAGTAATTTTTAGGTACCTTGTAAGGCCTTATTAATATATTATTCATGTTTATAACTATTTTGTCCCTTAGTTTTCCTTGGTAGAAAAAGAATACATTGAATCAACACAATAGCAAAATGCATTTCATCATCAAGAGTCATGGAAATACAGACACAAAATTGCCTTAATGGGATATAGGGAGAAACTGAGGTGAAATAACCATGATTTTTGCTGATGGTAACATTCAGGATCATATACAGAATGGTCTGCATTTTGGAATGTTGCAACTGGACAAGAAAGTGACATTTTAATATGTAAAGTGAATGAATGCCAATGATCCTTATTGCTATTTAATAAATTTAATTTGCATGCAGATATTTTAAGTACAATATTAATATTTAACACCTCTGTAGTAATTACGTACCAACAACTTTTGTAAGTATTTCATACACATGCACACACACACACACATACACACAATTTAAACCTCTTTAAATACAGAGTTATCTTTCTATGGAACTATTATTATCTTTGTTTCATAATGATATAACTGAGGCATAGAGAAAGTAAATTTCTCAAGGTTACTAAGGAAAATTGTGCCTAGATAGTCTAGATTCAGATTCCATGCTTTTAAACACGGCACCATTCTGCCTGTCCTTCTACATGTTTCTGTTTGGGTACTACCTTTCAGGTATTTTTTCCTGCGTTGTTTCTGTGAGCCATTGAATAATATTTTAAGAATATGCTCACATGTCTGTAAGCCATTTGAATAACATTTTAAAAATATGCATAATTCATATTAAATTCACTTATACAATATGTGTTCTTATAAATTAAGTTTTGATACAATTATATCACCAAAGTTAATGTAGTTTTGCAGAAGAATCTCCTACACATTTCATCAAGAGGAATTAATATTCTCAGGTATCCATTAACTCAGTTAACAAATGTGAAGTGGTATTCTCCATAATATGTGAATGGGAAATTTATTTGATAATTTCTAAGTTTGATTTTTAACAGCTTTATTAAAATATAATTCACACATCATAGAATTCACCTATTTAAAATATACAGTCCAATGGTTTTAGTATGTTCACAGCAGAGCTGAGCAAACTTCACCACAATCAATTTTGGAACATTTTCATAATCCAGTAAAGAAACTCCATAACCATTAGTAGTCATTCTTCATTTCTCTTCCTCCCCTTTCTATCTTCTTCCCTTCTACCCCTTGATACCAGGCCACTTACCTAGTATCTGTATCTATACATTTTTCTATTGTGCTCATTTTAGTATTCCTCATATCTAACTGTGATTGTGTATCTTCTGACTCACATCTTCCCCATGTTCTCTCCTTCCTAACCACTCAATATTCTGGTAACCACCATTCTATTCTCTCCTTCTATGAGAAAACCTATGATATATTCCACATGTGAGTGAGAACATGTAATACATCTTTCTGTGCCTGGAATATTTCACTTCACGTAATATTCTTCAGGTTTCTCCATGTTATTGCACATGACAGGAGCTTGTTCCATCTTATTGCTTCATAGTATTCTGTTGTGTGTGTGTGTGTGTGTGTGTGTGTGTGTGCGTGTGTGTTTACATATATGTATATCACATTTTCTTTATCCATTCATCTGTTAATGGACACCTAGGTTGACTGCATGTATTGGTTATTGTGAATGGTGCTGCCATAAACATGAAAGTGCAGAAGTATTTTTGACATATTGATTTCAAGTCCTTTGGATATAGAGCCAGTAATGAGGATATATGAATGAGGGTAATGAGGTTGCTGAATCATATGATAGTTCTATTTTTTATATTTTGAGGAACCTCTACACTGTTCTCTTTAGTGACTGTACTAATTTATATTATCACCTAAAATATACCAATGTTTCCTTTTCTTCACATCCTTGCCAACACTTGTTATATTTTGTCTTTATCACTAATACCCATCATAGCAGGTGTGAGGTCATAGCTCATTGTGGTTTTCATTTGCATTTCCGTGATGATTACTGATGTTGAGTAATTTTTCTTCCACCTGTTGGGCACCGGGTATGTCTTCCTTTGCGAAGTGTCCATTCACGTCTTTTGCCCATTTTCAGTAGAAATATTTGTTTTCTTGCTATTGAGTTGTTTGAGTTTTCTATATATTTTGGATATTAACCTCTTTTTGGATGTATAGCTTGTGAATATTATCTCCCTTTCTATAGATTACCTCTTTACTCTGCTGATTGTTTGTTTTTATTTTGCTGTGCAAAGCTTTTTAGTGTAATGTCCAACTTTGCTTTTGTTGCCTGTGTTTTTGAGGTCTTATCTAAAAATTTCTTACCCATATGAATGGTCATGAAGAATTTCCCCTATGTTTTCCTCTAGTAGTCTTACAGTTTCAGGTCTTACATTTAAGTCTTTAATCTATTTTGAGTTGGTTTTTGCATATGGTGAGAGATAAGTAACTAATTTCATTCTTTTGCATGTAGATGTATAGTTGTCCAAACACAATTTACTGAAGACACTGTCCTTTCTCCAATGTATGTTCTCAGTGAACACATATTGTGTTCTCTATTCTAATCTATTAATCTGTATGTCTGTTTTCATGCCAGTACCATGCTGTTTTTTGTTACAATGGCTTCCTAGTACATTTTGAAGTCAGGTAATGTGATGCCTCCAGCTTTGTTCTTTTTGCTCAGGATTGCTTTGGCTCTTCAAGATGTTGTGTGGTTCCAGACCAATTTTAGAATATTTTTTCTGTTTTCATGAATAAATTCATTGGTATTTTGATAGGGAGTGCATTTACTTTTATATTACTTTAGGTAGTAGAGATATTCAACAATGTTATTTAAATTCATGAACACAAGATAACTTTTCCTTTTTTGTATCTTCTTCAATTTTTTTCATGGGGGTTTTATAGTTTTTGTTGTAGAGACCTTTCACCTCCTTGGTTAAAATTATTTCTAGAATTTTTATCTTTTGTAAATGGAATTTTTTAAAATTTCCTTTTCAAATAATTTGATATTAGAAAATAGAAATGCAACTGATTTTAGTATGCTGATTTTGTATCCTGAAACATTACTTAATTTGGTTATCAGTTCTAACAACTTTTTTGGTGGAGTCTTTAGGGTTTCCTAAATACAATATCATGTCGCCTGCAAACAAGGGCAATTTAGCTTCCTTCCCTCTTTCCAATGTCGATGTCTTTTCTTTCTTTCTTTTGCTTCCTAATTGCTCTAGATAGGACTTTGAGTGCTATGTTGAACAGTGATGGTGAGAGTGGGCATCCTTGTCTTGCTCCAGATCTTAGAGGAAAAGTTTTCAGCTTTTTTTACTGTTCAGTATGATGTTAACTGTAGTTTTGCCATACATAACCTTTATTTTATTAAGATACATACTTTCTATACCTAATTTCATGAAAGATTTTATGATGAAGGGATGTTGAATTTTGTCAAATCCTGCTCTGCGTCTATTAAAGTAATTATATTTTTGTTCTTCATTCTGTTAATGTGTTATATCACATTTATCAATTTGCATATGTTGAACTGTCCTTGCATTCCTAGGATGAGTACCACTTGATCATGATGAATGATCCTTTCAATGGGCTGTTGAATTTGGTTTGGTAGAATTTTGTTGAGAATTTTTTGCATTTATATTCACAGAGATACTGGCCTGTAGTCTTCATGTGTGTGAGTGTCCTTGTTAGGTTTAGGTTTCAGGGTAATGCTTGCTTTATAGAATGATATTTTCATTGCACATATTAAAGTTGATACTATGTCCTGTAAAGTTTTATTGCTTTTGACGGATGCAAAGTGTTATGTACCCTCCACTACAACTATTATACCAAATAGCTTTGCCATGCTAAAAATTCCCCTTTGCTTCACTTATTTACCCTCCTTCTCTCCATGAACTAGTGGCAACCACTGATATTTTAAATGCAAAATTTTGCCTTTTTCTGAATGACAGTATAATTATATAGAACGTGACCTTACATACTAGATTCCTTCACTCAGCAATATGCATATCAGATTAATCTGTCTTTTGTGGCTTTTAAAGTACATCCCTTAAGATGTACCCTTGGGGTTACATCTTAAGACTACCAATAAATCCCTGAAACTGCAGATAGTAGCAAATCCAGTATATACTCTACACATATTTTTGTTCTTTACAATTTAACAGATATGATTTATTTTTACTATACATCTTAGTAAACTTAGCATACGTTGTTTTCCTTATTAAGTAAAGAAGTTTCACCATTTTATTTAAAGCAAGCACTTTATGACTACACTTTGAAATATTCAAATTGACATCACCACTACACTTGTACTTTCAGGACATTTTTAAGTAAAATAAAAACTTAAAAGAAAACTTGATCACAAGCACTTTGATACCATGACAGTTGATATGATGACAAAATGGCTACCAGGTGACTAATGAGCAGGTAGTGTATATACAGCTTGGATACACTGGACAAAGGGATAATTCATGTTCTGGGCAGGTCAGAGTGAGACAGCATGAGATTTCATCACACTACTGGACAGGTGCATAATTTACAACTTATGAATTGTTTCTCTGAAATTTTTAATTTAATATTTTCAAACCATAGTTGACTGTGGTAATTGAAAGCACAGATAAGGGGGGAGGCTATTGTGTTATTATAACTTATATGTCTTATTAGAATTATAATAGGTTATAACAATATTATACTGCAACTGTAATTGTATATTTTTATATTTACCTTTTAAGTCATAATACTTTTTTGTCTTACATATTTGATATTAAGTGCATACATGTTTAGAATTGCAATGTTTTTCTGAATAATTTTTTATTATATATTATCCTTCTTTATCAAGGATCATATTTCTTGATCAGAAGTCTGCTTTGTTTGAAATAAATATAGTTACACCAGCTTGCTGCTGATTTATGTTAGCATGATACGTATTTCTCCATCCCTTTTTACAAATCTTAATCTTTATATTTAAAGTTGGTTTCTAGTAAACACTAGTTGTGCCTTTTTTATAATTACTGTGACATTGTACCTCCTTTAGCGTATCTAGACCATTAACATGAAAAGTGGAATAAAAAAGACTTGATTATCTATTATGTTCCACAACAGCAAATGAACTGCTTTCATTTGTTCATTTTTCTCCCCTCTCCTTTTCTGTATCTTCTATCTGTATAGGTTATTTTGTTGCTGTTTTTTAATTAATTTTTTTTTTACTGCAATGAGTGCCAAGTTTATTTTTTAACTACTTTGATGAGGTATGACTGCCATGTAAAAAGCTGCACATATTTAGTGTATACAACTTAATGGGTATGAGAATAAGTGTACACCTGTAAAATCATCACCACCATCACAGCCATAAACATACCATCATCTACCGAAGTTTCCTCCGTACCCTTTATTATTATCACGATATATATATATTTTTGTGGTAAGAACACTAAACATAGTATCTACCATCATATCAAATTTTAAGTGTACAATACAGTATTGTTATCTATCAGCACTGTGCTGTAAAGTAAATCTACTGAAATTATTTATTTTGTGTCACTGAAATGTTGTACCTTTTGTCCATTATCTTCCCATTTTCCCGTGTTGTTAGCTCCTGGCAAACACCATTCTATACTCCACTTCTATGAGCCCAGCTATTTTAGATTTCACATATAAGTGAAGTCATACAGTATCTGTCTTTCTGGGTCTGTCTTATTTTACTTATATGTCCCTAGGACTATCCATAATGTCCCCTAGGACTATCCAGGTTTATTCAAATGGAAGGGTTTACATCTTTTTACAGGCTGGATACTATTTTAATTCATGTGTATTACCTCATCTTCTTTTTCCATTTATCCATTGATAGACATTTGGTTGTTTTCATATCTTATCTACTGTAAATAATGCTGCAATAAACATAAGAAGGCAGGTATCTTTTTCAAAATTCAGATTTAAATTCCTTTGGATAAATACCAGAAATAGGAATGCTAGATCCTATAATAGCTATATTTTTAATTTTTTGAGAAAAACTTATAATGTTTTCCACAATGGCTCTATTAATTTACATTTACACAAACAGTATACCAGGGTTCCCATTTTTCCACCTCTCTGTCAACATACACTATCCTTTGTATTGTTTTAATAATGGCCATCTTATTAGGTGTGAAGTAATATCTCATTGAAGTTTTAATATGCATTTCCCTGGAAAATTACTAATGTTGAGCACTTTTGCCTATATGTGTTGGCTTTGCATGTCTTCTTTGGATAAATGTATATTTAGGTCCTTTGCCCATACTTAAATCTGGTTATTTGCTTTTTGGCTAATGAATTGTAGGAGTTTCCTAAATATTTTGAACATTAGTCCGTTATCAGATACATGGTTTGTTAATTTTTTCTCCCATTCCACAGGTTGTCTTTTCATGTTTTTTTTCCTTGAGTCTACAGAAGACTTTTAGTTTAATGTAATCCCATTTTGTCTTCCTGTCATCATTGTCAAAAATTAGTTGACCATATATGGATGTATTTATGTCTGGGCCCCATATGCTATTATATTGGTCTATGTATCTATCTTTATGCCAGTATAATTCCGTTTTTATTACTGCAGGTTTGTAATACAATTTAAAATCAGAAATTGTGGTGCCTTTAGCTTTGTTCTTCTTTCTCAGGATTGCTTTGCTTATTTGGAGTCTTTTGTTTTCCCATATGAATTTTAGAATTTTTTAATACTTTTATATAAAAGCTATTAAATTTTTAATAGAGATTGCATTGAATAATTATATCAATTTGTGTAGTAAAGCCATTTTAACAATATTGTTTTTCAATCCATGAAAATAGGATATCTTTCTACTTATTTGTGTCTTCTTCAGTTTCTTTCATTACAGTTTTATAATTTTCATTATACACATCTTTCACCTCCTTGGTTAAATTTATTTCAAAATATTTTACTTTTTAAATGCTATTGTAAACGAAATTTTAAAAGTTTTTTTTTGAATAGTTCATTAATGTATAAAAATAAAACTAATTTTTGAAGGTTGGTTTTGTGTCCTGCAACCTTACTGAATTTATTTGCTAGTTCTAATAGATTTTGGTAGAGTCAATTTTCTGTAGATAAGGTTATTAATATTATTATTATTATTTTTAGACAGAGTCTCACTCTGTCACCCAGGCTGGAGTGCAGTGGCACAATCTCGGTTCACTGCAACCTCCACCTCCTGGGTTCAAGTGATTCTTTTGCCTCAGCCTCCCGAGTAGCTGGGAATACAGATGCCCACCACCATGCCTGGCTAATTTTTGTATTTTTAGTAGAGATGGGGTTTCCCCGTCTGGGCCAGAGTGGTCTCAAACTCCTGACCTCAAATGACCCACCTGCCTCAGCCCCCCAAAGCGCTGGGATCACAGGTGTGAGCCACTGCACCCAGCCTTCTATTACAAGATTACATATTCTGCTTTGCAAACAGAAATAATTTTTCTTCTTTTCTGGCTTAGATGTTTTTAATTTTTATTTTTTTGTATAATTTTTCCAGCTAGGAGATCCAATACTATGTCAAATAGAAGTAGTGAGAGTGGGCATCTTTGTCTTGTTTCTAATCTTAGAGGAAAAGTTTTCACCTTTTCACCACTGAGTGTGATGTTAGCTGTGGGCTTGATGCATACATATTTCATCATGTTGAGGTTTATTTTGTCTGTACCTAATTTCTTCAGAGATTTTATCTTGAAAGGATGCCGAATTATGTCCATTACTTTTCTGCATCTACTGAGATGATTATGTAATTTTTATCCTTCATTCTATTTATGTGGTATATTGCATTTATTGGTTTGTATATATTAAACTATCCTTGCATCCAAATTATACAGTGCCCTTGATCATGGTGTGTGATCATTTTCATGTGTTGTTGAATTTTGTTTGCTAGCATGTTGTTGAGAACTTTTGTGTCTGTATCCATCAAGAATATTGGTCTTTAATTTTATTTTCTTATAGTGTCCTTGACTTGCTTTGGTTTCAGAGTAATGCTAGATTTGCAAATGACTTTGGAAGGGTTGCCTCATCTTCAACTTTTTGGAAGATTTTGAGAAGGATTGGAATTAAATCTTATTTAATTGTTTGAGAGAATTCACCAGAAATGTCATCGGGTACTCGGCTTTCATTTGTTAGAGGGTTTTTTGTTACTGATTCAGTCTCCTAACTTGTTTTTGGCCTGGTAAGATTTTCTGTTTTTTTTTTGTTGTTGTTGTTTGTTTGTTTGTTTTATGATTCAGTGTGGTAGGTTATATGTTTCTAGGAAAAAAATCCTTTTTTATAAGGTTATTAATTTGTTAGCATATAATTGTTCATAATACTCTCTTATGATACTTAGTTGTAATATCTCCTTTCACATTTAAAATTTTATTTGAACCTTCTCTTCTTTATTCTTAGTCTAGCTAAAGGTTTGTCAATTTTGTTTTTCTCTCAAAAATGGTTATCTTATATACTTCCTGTTATGGAGTTGACATCAGTCATTTCTCCTAGGAATTTTTCTCCATTTAATGGTAAATGATATTTACAAACTTTACCATGGCTACTCAGAATGCTCAGTATTATGGTATTAATACAGTTGAGATTTAATTGTTTCTATAATTGTTTAGTGGATGGACCTAAGAATAGCATGTTGTATTTCTAGAAATATGTTACTTTCTGCTCGAATTCAGAAAGTTACTTTTTTTACTTGACTTTATTTAATTTTGTATTCTATGGTAGTGAGGGTAATAAAGGTTAAAAACAAAATTGTATGTATGCTGTCTTTCATATTTACTCATATAATTACATTTGCTTATGATCTTTATTTCCTTATTTGAATTCAATTTATCATCTAGTATCCTACAATTCATTAGCTTTCAGTACAAGTCTGTTGGTGATACATTCTCTAGGCCTTTTTTTAATCTGAGAGAGTGTTTATTTCTCCATTTGTGAAGGATGGTTTTGCTGGGTATAGAATTCTTAGTTGACAACCATTTTCTTTTAGGTCCATTGAGTATATCATTTTACAGTCTTATGGCCTCTATAGTTTCTGATGAGAAGTCAGCAATTTGCTATTATTGAAGATGCCTTGTGCATAAGCAACCATCTTTTTCTGCTGCTTAGAAATTTTCTTCTTGTTTTTGACTTTGACAGTTTTACTATGATGTGTCAATGTGTAGATCTCTGAGTTTATCCTATTAGGAGTTCATTGGAACTTCTTAGATGTGATATTAATGTGTTTTTAAAAATCAGATTTCATAAAGTTTTGACTATAATTTATTTACATTTTCGTTGTTGTTGTTTGTTTGTTTGTTTATTTGAGATAGGATCTTGCTCTTTCACCCAGGCTATGTGGTGCATTAGTGCAATCATGGATCACTGCAGCTTAGAACTACTAGGCTAAAGCAATCTTCTTGCTTCAGCCTCCTGAGTAGCTAGGACTACAGACGCACATCACCATGCCTAGCTATGTTTAAAAACAATTTATTTTGGCAACAAGGTCTTGCTATGTAGCCCAGACTGGTCTTGAACTCCTGGCCTCAAGTGGTCTTCTTGCCTCAGACTCTCAAAATGCTGTGATTACAGGCTTAAGCCACCATCTCCCAGCTCATATATATATTTTTTTCTGATTATTTTCTTTGTCTTCTGCTTTTGTAATTTATATTGTACCTATTTTGATTTGCTTGATAGTATGCCAGAGGAAACTAAAAGTGTTTCTTCTTAAAAATGTTTGCTTTGGGAGGCTGAGGTGGGTGGATCATGAGGTCAGATCAAAACTATCCTGGCCAACATAGGGAAACTCCATCTCTACTAAAAATACAAAAATTAGCTGGGTGTGGCAGTGTGTACCTGTAGTCCTAGCTACTCGGGAGGCTGACGCAGGAGAATTCCTTGAACCCGGGAGGTGGAGGCTGCAGTGAGCAGAGATCACACCATTGCACTCCAGCCTGGGTGACAGAGCAAACCTCCATCTCAAAAAAGAAAAAAAAAAAATATATATATATATATATATGTATATATATCTTTTCTACTTTCTATTCTTCAGATATTGACAAATCTGGTTTGATAATTCCTTCTTCTACAAGCTTATAGTTTCAACATCTCCAGAGAATTTTCATTTTAGTTGTTGTACTTTTCAACCCCAAATTTCTATTCATTTCTATTATAAAATATTTTTGTTTATTGTTACTCTTTATTTGGTGAGATATTATTGCCATACCTTCCCTTAATTTTTAAATATACTTTTTTTAGTTGTTTAAAATGTTTATAATTGCTGATTTAGAGTCATTGTATAATAAGTCCAATATCTGGATCCCTCAGTGACTTTTTCATTTAACAGGTATCCCCATCACTACCACACGCACTATGTATGGGCCATACCTTCCTATTTCTTTGCATGTCTCAAAAGATTTTCTTAAAACGTCCCCATCTCAGAGTCATATTCTAGCCTTTATCTGTTCTTACTGATCACTACTGTTTACCATAAGCCACTGGAAATAAGGTGTTTTCCATGCAGTGAAGCTTGGCATAAGATCAAATGCCAAGACTGGGAATGGATTTTTTCAACGGAGGTGAAAATTTAATCAAACATTTGCCTATTTTCTAACAATGGGGCTCTTAACCAAGCCTGAAAAGGAGTAAGTCCCTTTTGTTGGCTGTGGGCTGGCCAGCTTTTTATGACTATCTCATCATGGAGTTGGAGCATGGAGGTAGGAATAACCCTATGTAAAATGACAAAGACCTCACTGTTCATATTAAGGTTCAGTACTTTTTCCTGAAATATGCTTTCCAGGTATGTGTGTGTGTATGTGTGTGTGTGTGTGTGTGCCTTTGGTTAATTTTAAGCGTGCTGAATTATTTGATTTTCATAGTTTGGCAGTGTTTTCATTTCTTTTATGAGGGAAAAAATTTACAGATATCCTCACTCTAACTTCTGGAAGTTCCATACTACTTTGGTAATATTTATCCAATATCTTGCCAAATTGAGCCAACACAAACCAGAAACATGTTGAAACATTCTTTCTTCTAACCTCTTCTACACATGTTACTTTATTAACCACAATTTTCTACCTCAAGTGTTACTATGGGTGACAATCAAAACAGTTTTCCACTGGATATGAAAGATTGGCACCTTTCCCGTCACTGATAATAGCTCACAAGCTACTAACCACCCAGCCCATAAGCCAAATAAATGTATTTCAGTTATTATCATTGTTATTTTTTAATGGCAGCCACCGACTTATAGGTACCAGTTTCTGAATTAGTTATGATAGACTTGGTGCTATGTTATTTCCCTTAACAAATTGTCTTGAATCTCAATGGTGTAAAATTATAAGTGTGTATTTATCTTCTACTCTGTCCAAAGTATGTCAGTAGGAGGAGTTTTTATGATCATTCTAGACTCAAGCTAGTGAATGCTCTATCTCAACAAATAATTCCAAATTCACAAGGTGCAAGGGATAGCTTACATGCTTGGAGATATACGTCATGTTTGCTTACATTTCATTGATAAAAACAAGTCATATGTATATGACCAACTTCAAATGAGGCAGGAAATTGCAATCTTACCATGTGCCCCTGAGGAAAGCAGAACTTATGACAAAAATAATGGGAATATACTCCCAGAACTCTAACAATTTATGCATTCAATCTTTCATGTTAGGAAATGGACAGGCTAGAAGATTTGCATTCTGATGTCATTTCTTAACATGTCTTGTATCTGTACTCATATATCAGGAGAGTAGATACTACTATAAGTTTTTAGCTCTAGCCTAGGGATAGAAAAATATATTTTATTTCCAATTTTAGCTTAGATAGATTGATAGCAATTGCCCTTGTGTTGAGAAGTGTTGTGAAGTCTCTTCAAGGCTCAGTGAAAAAGATTGCCATGATTGATTAGTATGTTTCAGATAAGCAAAACTATTATAGACATCTGAAATAGGTCGTTCAATCACTCTACTCTCTAGAGCTCCAAGCATACAATGTAAACATCCATGCATTGGTTCTAGAAAGATACAAGTATTTTAAACAAAATAATTATGTCAAGTACTTCAAACATTTTTATACAATTTATAGTAATTATAGACACCTCAGGGATAGAAATGCCTGGTATCTCAAGGAAAATAAAAATAAATACTTTCAAACTGACAGTAAAGCACTAGTTTCAAATATTTTATTCAATTGTCTATATATATACATACTTACATATTTGTTAAATCATAAACTTTGACTTGAAGGCAAGAGAGTGCCAATATAAATTTAATAATCATCAGTTAAGCTACATGATAAATTATTTGGCAACAGTTGAGAAATATTTCTAATAACTATGTTTAATCAAGACTAATACACATAACATATCCCTGGAACACACTGGATTGGAAACAAAATATTATGATTTAAAAAAGGTATTTCTCATGGCTATATTCTCTCCAGCTTTTCGTCCTTATCTTTGTGTTGATACTTGTATTTTCTTCAAAAGAGCCTACAAAGGAATCATGGCCAGTGTCTGATCAATTGCATTCCTTCTAAAAGTTTGTTCCCCCAAAAATGAGAATTACTACTATTATATGGCAGCTAAATTCTTACATTTTTAAGTAAAATATCTTCAATTGGATTGAAAATCCTTTTTTTCTTTCAACACTAAGACATTCTGATTTAACCACCTTGACTCTTTCTGTGGAATGAATTATGTTCTAGAATGTCTTTCTATCATTGTGGCACAAAGCTCTCTTCAGGCCAACCCCAGTGTTACTTCCTGGTGTTAATTTTGTGATGGATGTAATTTAGCATTAATCTGAATCTTTGGAATAATCACGAGTCTGCCTTCCCATTCTCACTAGTATATGGACATAGGCACAGTATTTGGGTTATCTATAACTGGAAATAGTTTCTTTGGTTATATAACTATGACCTCATTTATAATAAACCTACCTAGGGGGTTCTATGTAGATTTGCACTTGCCAGAATTAAAAATCAATTACTTCTCCTTCTGGCAATCACATATTTTTACAAAATCTTTTTCAAGAGTTGTAGTGTTCTGTTCCATTATAAGGCATGTGCAACATTAAATCTAGAAAAAGTTGTAAAGGTTTCATATGACAAGCATTTGTTACAGAAAGTATTCTAGAAATTATATATACTTTCATCCATTTTATTCCTGTGTTAATCCGTTTTCACACTGCTGATAAAGATATACCTGAAACTGGGAACAAAAAAGAGGTTTAATCGGACTTACAGCTCCACATGACTGGGGAAGCCTCAGAATCATGGTGGGAGGCAAAAGGCACTTCTTACATGGTGACAGCAAGAGAAAAATGAGGAAGAAGCAAAAGCAGAAACCCCAGATAAACCACCAGATCTTGTGAGACTTATTCACTATCACAAGAGCAGTATGGGAAAGACTGGTCCCCATGATTCAATTACCTCCTCCTGGGTCCCTTCCACAACATGTGGGAATACTGGCAGGTACAACTCAAGTTGAGATTTGGGCGGGACACAGACAACCACATTGTTCCACCCTTGGCCCCTCCAAATCTCATATCCTCACATTTCAAAACCAATCATGCCTCCCCAGCAGTTCCCCAAAGTCTTAATTCATTTCAGCATTAATCCCAAAAGTCCACAGTCCAAAGTCTTATCTGAGACAAGGCAACTCCCTTCCACCTATGAGTCTGTAAAATCAAAATCAACTTAGTTACTTCCTAGACACAGTGGGGGTACAGGTATTGGGTAAATACAGCAATTCCAAATGGAAGAAATTGGCCAAAACAAAGGAGTTACAGGACCTATGCAAGTCCAAAATCCAGTGGGGCAGTCAAATTTTAAAGCTCCAAAATGATTTCCTTTGACTCCAGGTCTCACATCCAGGTCATGCTGACACAAAAGATGGGTTCCAAGGGTCTTGGGCAACTCTGCCCCTGTGGCTTTGCAGGGTACAGCCTCCCTCCTGGCTGCTTTCATGGGCTGACATTGAGTGTTTGCAGCTTTTTCTAGTGCACGGTGCAAGCTGACAGTGGATTGACCATTCTGGGGTCTGGAGCACAGTGGTCCTCTTCTCGTAGCTCCACTAGGCAGTATCACAGTAGGGACTCTTGTGTAGGGGGCTCCAACCCCACATTTCCCTTACGCACTACCCTAGCAGAGGTTCTCCATGAGTGCCCCTGCCCCTGCAGCAAAATTTGCCTGGGCATCCAGGCGTTTCCACACATGTGAAATCTAGGCAGAGGTTCTCAAAACTCAATTCTTGACTTCTGTGCACCCACAGGCTCAACACCATGTGGAAGTTGCCAAGGCTTGGGGCTTCTACCCTCTGAAGCAACTGCCTGGGCTCTACATTGGCCCCTTTCAGCCATGGCTGGAGTGGCTGGGACACAGGGCACCAAGTCCCTAGGCTGCACACTGCACTGGGACCCTGGGCCCAGCCCACAAAACCACTTTTTCTCCAGAGCCTCTGGGCCTGTTATGGGAGTGGTTTCACTGAAGTTCTCTGACACGGCCTGGAGACATTTTCCCCATGGTCTTGAGGATGATCATTAGGTTCCTTGTTACTTATGCAAATTTCTGTAGCCAGCTTGAATTTCTCCTTAAAAAAATGGGTTTTTCTTTTCTACTGCATCACCAGGCTGCAGATTTTCTGAGGGTTTATGCTCTATTTCTCTTTTAAAATGGAATGCTTTTGACAGCACCCAAGTCACGTTTTGAGTGCTTTGATGCTTAGAAATTTCTTCCACTAGATACCCTAAATCATCTCTCTCAAGTTCAAAGTTCCACAAATCTCTAGGGCAGGGGCAAAATGCTGTCAGTCTATTTGCTAAAACATAACAAGAGTCACATTTGCTCCAGTTTGCAACAAGCTGCTCATCTCCATCTTAGACCACCTCAGCCTGGGGCTTATTGTTCCTGTTGCTATCAGCATTTTTGTCAAAGCCATTCAACAAGTCTCTAGGAGGTTCCAAACTTTCCCACATTTTCCTATCTTCTTCTGAGCCCTCCAAACTGTTCCAACCTCTGCCTGTTACACATTTCCAATGTTGCTTCCACATTTTGGGGTATCTTTTCAGCAATGCCCCTCTCTACTGGTACCAATGTACTGTATTAGTCCATTTTCATACTGCTGATAAAGACATACCTGAAACTGGGAATAAAAAGGGGTTTAATTGGACTTAGAGTTCCACATGACTGGGGACACCTCAGAATTATGGCGGGAGGTGAAAGGCACTTCTTACACGGTGGCAGCAAGAGAAAAATGAGGAAGAAGCAAAAGCAGAAACTCCTGATAAACCCAGCAGATCTCATGAGACTTATTCACTATCATGAGAATAGTACAGTAAAGATCAGCCTCCATTGTTTAATTACCTCCTTCTGAGTCCCTCCCACAAAATGTGGGAATTTGGGAGATACAGTTCAAGTTGAGATTTGGGTGTGGACACAGCCAAACCATATCACTTTCTTTATAGAAAAGAAAGCAGTGTCTTTCAAATAAAATCAATTTCCAAAGACACAAGTTACTAGGGATAGAATCCATAATGTGGTTCTTCTAGAGAATATAGAAAAAAGAAAGAAAACTATACTATAACGATGTCCCTTGATTGTTAATTTAGTATTGAATTTCCCTAATATTTGATTTTAATTCAACAAATAGTTTATTATATTTTATGCTAGAGTTTTTATTGAAATAATTGGGGTTTTGAGTAACACATTGCCACTTTATGTGCTTGTATAATACAATACATTTTGTCATTTGTGAATTAGAAATTTTGAGATGACCCAGTAAGGATGGCTTACCCCTTTTTCACAATGTCTAGTGTGCCATTTGGAGGTCTCAAAGGATGAGATTGAGATATATGAAGCCTACTTCACTCATCTCTCTCAAGTTCATTACTGATGTGGGGAAGATTCAAAAACCTGTACCTAATATAGCTGTGACTTCTTGGGCAACTGTATTTCTATATGATGTCTCCAAGTGCTATCTCCAGCATGGTATCTTCTAAGTACTCATATTTCTCATATGTCATCTCAGGGCACTCAAGACGTATGTCTCAAGACAGAGAATCAGGTCTAAGCTACCTGGTTATCATAATATTTATCATAACATATGATAACATATTATATTATAATAAATAGGATAAAAGGATAATCAATATATATGTTATAATATATTTTTATAATAAATTATATATTATAATATATTTATATAATAAATTATATATTATAATATATTTATACTTAGAAATCACTCAGTGATATTTCTGCCACATTTTATTTGTCAAGATTATTAAAAAGGCCACAGAATTTCAAACAGAAGACACCTGCATCTCATCTCTTGATCGAAGGTTATGCATAATGAAATATGTAAGTGGTTTCGCTATTTTTGGAAAATACGGTCTGAAAGGACTCTCCCTCTGGCCATAATAATTCAAAACCATCTCACATTGAAAATGCCCTCATTCCCTCCACTAAAATTTCTAAGTTTCATCTGGTTATGGTATCATTTGGGACCTCCAGGTGCAGATGAGCCTCCTTAAGTACAATTCCCTATGCAGAGTCCTTTTCAATGTGAAAAAGTGTAAACTAAGAAAAATGTTATATATCCTCACATAGCCTACATAGAACGATGGATCAGTCAAAGGATAATCAATATAGACCCTATTGTTCAAAACCTGGAAGAATAAGGCACTTAAGAGTCATGGGTCCAGCCTAGAACATTTTCCCAATTTCTTGAGAAGAACTCTATCCTACTGCTTGGGATGATTCTCCTTTTGTTTTGGCCCTGTTTTCTGGGGACTTGACTCTGCTCTCCACATTATCCTCTTGTTCCACACAATGAAGTCTATATTTGCACATGAGCAGGTTCCTTAGCTTGGTTTCTGCTTAGAGAAATTTGTATAGTCTTTTACTTTATATCCTCTCTATCCCTTTCAGCTCAAGTTTTTATAATTCTTTACAAAATACATAAGCTTCTATGAATCAATTGATAATATATTCCATTAGACAAGAATCATACCCACAAATATCTTACAGATTATCCTTATTCTACCTTAGAATGTTTGCAAGATTGTTGAGAGAAAAGATTCCTGAGATTCTAGAAGCCCTATTGTTTAATGATTGAGTCTGTGATTTATGTTCTTAAAAATTCCAGAGAACCTCTTTTTAAGGAAATGATTCTCTGAAGGACTGTTATATCTTTCTGCAGTCCAATGAAAGTAGTTTACAGGCTCACCTTGGATTTTCTTCTTCACAGTACTAAAGCCAGTTTTGCTAAACCTTCTGCCAGGATATAACAAATATTTCATTTTCTTCTTTTTCCAATAACATTCTCTTCACGCTCCTTTAAGCTATCACTGACGCCTTTCCTGAAGTCCTGTTCACAATATTTTTTGAGGTTGTATCATAGTTTGTCTACTTTCTAATCCCAAAGAGTATATCACATTTTTAGATTACTGTTATGACAACACCATACTTCTGTTACTATAATGTATATGTGTTATTTATTGCTGCAACAAACAAAACAAAACAAAATAAAAACCAACTGAACAAATAAGAACACCCAAGAATGTAGTGCCTTAAATCAACATCTGAAAGCATTTCCAAAATGGTAGAATAAGAACGTCAGAAAATCTACTCTTCCATAAAAGCAAGAAAAACATTGGCAAAATTGCCTAAATCAACATTTTATGAAACCCAGGGAGCTCAGTGTAAACAAAGACCTGAATCTCTGTAAGAACAGTGACTTTTGTGGCATTTTGCCTTGCCTTATTCCTAGGACCCTCTCCAGAACTTCATAGTAATCTTGAAAAATAGTAACTCTACAAAGATAGTAGCTGTGAAAACCAGCAGCCCAGCAGACACTGGGCAGGGGCGGGGAGAGGGGGGTAGAATGGTTTTTCAGCTGCTCGCAAACCCCTAGAAATGAAATTGTCACTACTGTGCCTTTCTGGCAGCCCACAAGAAAGGCCTCATTCAGAGAGCTAGTCATTATTTGAAGTGATTCAGAGCTTTCTCAATTAGAAAATCTCCATACCCAAATCACTTATCAAAAATTGAAAAAAGTAGTTGTTTAACATTGCAGCTGCCAGAGACGGTGCTGCTAGTTGTATTAGATAAGAGATGGTCCCTCTCCCCGCAATTTTTTTTTTTTTTTAATCTGAGAAAGAGACGGCTATAGTGGGGTCTGAAAATCTTGGACATGTTCTCATGATTCAGGAGCATAGAAACATGTACAAGGTTGTCATTTATTATTCAGTGTCCTACAGAGAATGAAAACCAATAGAATGTGTTTATAATCATGTACATGCACACTTGTACACACACACAAACATGTAAAGTCATGTGTCAGATAACAACATTTAGTCAGCGATGGACTGGTGTATATGACAGTGGTCTAATAATATAATACTGTATTTTACTGTACCTTTTCTAGGTTTATATATGTTTAGATACAAAAATACTTGCCATTGCACTACAATAATCTGCAGTATTCAGTACAGTAACATGCTTTACAGATTTGTCATCTAGGATCCAAGGGGTATAGTAGGTTACACCATTGAGGTTTGTATATATGCACTCTATAATGTTTGCACAACAACAAAATCACTTAAAGATGCATTTCTCAGAACACATCCCTGTTGTTAAATAATACATGACTCTGTGATGACTGTGTGTATATATGGAGAGAGAGCTAATTTTAAGGAATTAGCTCATTGGTTCACATGGTTATGAAGGCTGACAAGTCTGAACTCTGTAAGGTGGGCTAGGCACGGTAAACTGGGGGTCCAGGGAACATCTGACTTTGCAAGTATGAGAATGATGTCTTATCAACTGGAAAATGTCAACAAAGACAGAATTATTTTTTAAATGAAACAAGCAGAATTTCTAGAGTTAAAAGTAAAATAACTGAAATTTTAAAAATTCAATAGATGAGCTGAACAGAGTATTTGAGCTAAAAAAATCAGCTAAGGATCATAAAGAAAAGTAAAAGAATATATAAAAACAGAGACTTGGGGGACACTAGTGAATTACCAACATACACATAATATGAGTCTGAACAAATGAGAGAGAAAGAGAAGTGAAAAGAATATTTGAGAAAATAATGGCTGAAAACTTCTCAAATCTGATGAAAGGCATTACACTTCCCAGATATGTTTACAATTAGGATAAATGCAAAGACATCACACCAGAAACATCACAGTCATGCTGATAAAAAATGAGAAAGAAAAAATATTGGAAGCACAGGAAAAAACTGATTGAATAAAAGGGATTTTAATAAAATTAACAGATGGCTTTTTATTAGGAACCAGAGAAACAGGAAGGCAATATTATGATATATTCAAAGTGCTGAAAGCCAAGAACTGTCAAACCACTCATTCTATAACCAGCAAAACTAACCTTCAAAAACGAAGGAGAAAATAAGTTTAAGAAAATACACAGAGAGAATCTATTGCTTGCAGACATACCCTAGAAAATATATTAAAGGAATTCTTTCAGGATACAAACAAAACACTACACAGTAACTCAAATCCACATAAAGAAATGAGAAACAATTATAAAAAATAAACTAGATAAGTAAATATGAAATGCAATATGAATATATCATGTTTTCATTTATTTTCTTATATTTTATTTAAAGCCAATTGCATAAATCAGTAATTATAAAGCCATGTTGATGGGCTTACAATGTATAAATATGTAATTTGCAGGACAATAAGAACAGAAATAATACCAAAAGGAATGGAGCAATGTTGCAGCTACATTGTTTTACTATTGAAATTAAATTACTATTAATCTAAACTATATTACTAGATTATTTTATGCTATAATGTTAATTGTAATCCCCAGGGCAATTACTAATACTATAACTCTATATTATGTATGTGTGTTTGTGTGTGTGTGTGTGTGTGTGTGTGTATCTATGAGATGACAAGTAAATTAAAATGGGACATTTAATATAAATATATAATCCCTCTCTCATTTTATACATATGAATATATTTATATAATACATATATATTTTTTACACATATGTTTTATGTATATATTAAATGACAAGGGGATTTAAATGTCACACCATAAATTTAACAAGGAAGGAAACAGTAGTCATGAAAAAAAAGAAAAAATAGACATAAGACAGAAAACAAACAGAAAAACAGCAGATCTAAATCTTACCTTGTAAATAATTACAAGAAATGCAAACAAACTAAACATTCCAATCAAAGACAGTGATTGGCAGAATTTAAAAAGAACACAATAAAGCTACATAGTGTCTACAATTGTCAGAGATTCAATACTCCACTTTCAGTAATTGAACAAGCAGACAGTAGATCAACAGGGATTAGAAAAATTCAACAACACGGTAAAACAACTAGTCTTTACAGATATCTATAGCACACAAATATGTGGAAATTAACATATTTGAGTGAGGGGTGCAATGGAGAGTGACTGCTAATGGGTATAGTGTTCCTTTTTGGGATGATGTGTTCTCAAGTTAATTAGTTGTGATGGTTGCACAACTCTGTAAACATACAAAAAAATACGTTAAAAGGTGAACCCATGTTATGTAAATCATATGTCAGTGAATCTGTTACAGAAAAGCACTTACAACTCATTTATTATATGACAAATAACACAACAAAAAGGCAAAAGGTCAGAATAACATTTCTCTAAAGAGGATATAAGCTAGACGATAAGCACTGAAAATATGCTCAACATCATTAGCTATTAAGGAAATATAATCCCAATGAGATCTTACTTCACATTCATAAGGCTGGCTGCATTTAAAAAGAGAAATAAAAAAAACACAAATGTTGGAAAGGCTGTGGAGAAAGCTGACTGTCAGGAGAAAGCATAAACTGCCAGTGGGAACATAAAATTGTGCAGCTGCTGTGGAAAACAGTTTGGCAATTCCTCAAAATGTTAAACATAAAATTACTGTATGACCCAGCAATTCCACTCCTAGGTAAGTACCCAAAAGAAATTAAAATACATGTTCACACAAAACTTGTACATTAATATCCACAGCAGTGTTATTCATAATAGCCAAAATGTGAAAACAACAGAAGTTTCCATTAGATGACGAATGAACACATGGAATGTGGCATATTCATGTAATCATTCATTATTTGGCAATACAAAGGCATGAAATATGATATATGCTACAATGTAGATGAATCTTGGAAACATTATGCTAAGTGAAAGAAAGCAGTCACAAAAGACCACCCATTATATGATTTCATTTACAAGAAATGCCTACAATAAGTAAATCTATAAAAACAGGAACAAGGTTAATGGTTGCCTAGGGCAAGGGGAAGAGATGTGGGCAATGGGGAATAATGTCTAATGAGTACAGAGTTTCTAAATATTCTAAAACGGATTTTTGAGTAATTGCACAGGTCTGTGAATACAGTAAATATCATTAAAATTGGTTTAAATGAGTAAATCTTATGGCACATCAGTTATAGCTTAATAAAACTGTTTTTTTATTAAAGCACAAATTTTGCTCATACTTGCAGTCTGGGCTGTGCTTAGTAGGGAGTGTGGCTTTGCTTCATATGGCATTATCTTTGACAACTAAAAGGCTGGGGGCTCAATTCATCTCAAGGCTCAGTCATTCATATGTTAAGCACTTGATTAGGGCTCCTTGAGCTCTTCATCCATTCCTATATATTCTATATACGTGTTATTTTTAGCATGGCATTATCAATATGGTCAGGGTTTCTATTTATCTACCCACGATTTCCAAGATCCGTGTTCAAAGTAAGAGAGGAGACACATGTGAGTTTAGTTGGTAATCACAAGAATAAATAAGTTGTCTGTATCCATGTGGTGAGAAATTTGCTAGTTTAAAATTAAAATTATAAAAAGGAAATACATATCATTCATATACATGGAGATAGAGACAAAGGGAAAGAGAGATGATAATCATGAAAGATAGTTTGCACTTCATAATCTTCTTATCTATTATCCACCCGATGAAATCCTTCATTGCAAAGGGGAATTGAATGAACTCAAATGGTAAAAGCCATTACTGAGGTGCTGAATCACATGATAGCACGTACTTGAATATCAAGAGGATTGAATGCAATACAGCACAACTTTCTTTCTGTGATGGATGAGCTATTTCACAACCTGTGGCCTCTTACAAGCATCCCTGTCTGTCTCTTATAAGCAAACAGATAAAAGCTTTGTTTCAGATACTGTATTTTTTCAGTTCCCAGATATCTATTTGCTTCTTTTCTACAGTTTCTATTTCCCTGTTGATTCTTACTATCTTTACCTTATTATAAACATATTTTTCATTATCTCCTGATCCTAATTATAAAATGTTTAAAATTCTTCTCAGCTAATTCCAATATCTGTATCTTCTGGGAATTGGTCTCTGTTGATGATATTTTCTTCTGAAATTTTGTCATTTTTTCATATTTCTTTATATAAGGAGTAATTTTGGATTATATTCTGAATATTGTAAATGTATTGTAGAGGTTTTAGATTATCAACAGTTTTTATTTGTTATTTCAGAAAACTATTACTTTTGAGAATTCAAAGCACAGCCTTTGTTTTTTTGATAGCATCTTAGATCTAAGTTTAGTTTATTCTATGTAGCTGAGATGCTTGGATTCTGTCCTGTGCTTGCATTAGTGGAGAGTTATTCAGATGTTTGGGTATAGTTTATGCACACACACAAATAGAGTGGCATTTCTCTAGCTTTTACTTCTCTTGTATTCCTTCTTTATTTCCCAGACGGTTTCCCAAAAGATTGTTCTCTGGTTCTTCAGAACACAAAGACTATGGTTTTTATAGCAAAGTCTAGACCTATGCAGTTAGTGCCTGTCCTCAAGCTAAAAGCATTAAAACCTAATCTGAGGACCCTTCTCTTCTTTTAAATGCTAATTACCCTCCGTTAACTATATAATTTTGCTTTCTTTCCTGTAATTTCCAGTAATTGTTTTCTTTTATTTTTTTGTTTCTGGTTTTTATTATTTATTTATTTTTGCATGTGCACTTTGACAAGAGTTATATTTGTCTATAGGAGAATTCATTGAAAAGGAGTTGCATACCCATATCAAGAGTGGAGGTCCCATGAACGGAACCTGACATTAAGGAATGTAATTCAGGATTCCAGGATCTTCTCATGCTTTATCTCTGCTTTTTCTGAATTTCTTCAGTAGCTTGGTCATGACAATACTGCCTTCTTTATTTCTTTCTGGGTGAGATTATAATCTCTGAGTAAATAAATAATACTGATAATTCTACAACTGCCAAATAGAAAGGTGCTTTAATATTTTAGTGGAATCCATTTTGAAATTGTTTAATCCGCATTTTAGAATGAATCACATTCCTTTTAGCCTGTATTCCATACAGAATTTCTTCTGTAGGTTTACTTTATATATATATATAACTATTTTTTCTCTTTTCTTAATAATTATAAATTGTTTTTCATCAGAGAAACTACAAATTATTGAACATTAGTGCAGTAATTTATCTAAAAATATAGACAAATATTAATGTAATGCTAAATAAAATTTAACTATTTTCATATGCATATGTATTTTTTAAACAGAAGTTTCTAAGACATCTTTAAACAATGACTATTTGAATTTTGATTAAATCATCCTGAATTTTAGAAAAAATAGAAATTTATAGTCTTCCTGGGATAGCTTGAAAATACAACTTTTATAGCAGAGACATGACCATGATGTCCATCTACATACTTTTAGAACATTAATAACTTCAAAATATTAAGGAATAATTTTAATATATTTAGAGCTATTTAAATTATCTACCAAAAGACAATTAATTTGACAATATAAATTAAGAAATTCCAGTGTTATCACAGGAGTATTTCTAAAACTATAATGCAGTGGGTTAATGAATCATTAATAAGCATTTTTCTCTTTATTAGCAAATATGTACAAGGACCTTTTAGATGGGACTTCTTTACTCAAAGCTTTTATACTTACCAAATTGACACACTGGCAGGAGCTGGCTCAAGATTCAAACACGCCATTCTGCACTTAGAGGAAAAGACCACGGGATGTAGACATTATGTCTGCAGTGAGAGTTTCAGACCTGTTGTGCTCTCTGCATTTGTACATAAGAGCACTTGTTTCCTGTCAAAGAGATTCTAAGACAGGCTTTCCTCTGGCGCTCAGGTGCACTTTATACCACAGAAAATACCCTGAATAAAATGTACTGATTTTGTACTCATCAAAATTCTTGGTCTATTAAGGCTGTCTTTTTTGTTCGTTTGTTTTTGTTTGTTTTAAGACGGAGGAGTCTTGCCCTGTCGCTTAGGCTGGAGTGCAATGGTGCACTCTCAGCTCACTGCAACCTCCACCTTCTGGGTTCAAATGATTCTCCTGCTTCAGCCACCCGAGTAGCTGGGATCGCAGGTGCCTGCCACCATGCCCAGCTAATTTTTGTATTTTTAGTAGAGACGGGGTTTCACCATGTTGGCCAGGCTGGTCTCAAACTCCTGACCTCACGATTCGCCCACCTCAGCATCCCAAAGTGCTGGGATTGCAGGCGTGAGCCACCCCGCCCAGCCAAGGCTGTTTTTCTTAGAACCCACATCGTCTCCACCATTCCCATACAGTCAAGTGCTGCATGATAACATTTTAGTCAATGATGAACCACATATATGAAAGTAGTCCTGTAAGATTCTAACGGAGCTGAAAAATTCCTGTTGTCTATTGATATCCTAGCTGTCCCAATGTTGCAGTGCAATACATTACTTACATGTTTGTGGTGATGCTAGTGTAAACAAACCTGCTGCACTGCCAGAAGTATAAAAGTATAACACACGATTATGTACATTACTTAATACTTCATAATGATAATACACGATTCTGTTACTGGTGCATATATTTACCATAGTATACTTTTTATTGTTATTTTATAGTTGCTTCCACTTATAAAAAATAGTCCTTTGTCAAACAGCCTCAGGCATGTCCCTGAGAAAGTATTGCAGCAGAAAGCACTGTTATCATAGGAGATGACAGCGCTCAGTGCCCTTGAAGACCTTCCAGTGGGACAAGATGTGGACGTGTAAGACCGTGATATTGATGATCCTGACCCTATGCAGCCCTAGGCTAATGTGTGTGTCTGTGTCTTAGTTTGTACCAGAAAAGTTTAAAAAACATTTTTTAAAGTTAATTAGAAAAAAAGCTTATGGAATAAGAATGTATAGAAAGAAAATATTTTTGTGCAGCTGCATAATGTGTTTATTTTAAATTATTATTACAAAAATGTCAAAAAGTTTTAAAAAATTAAAGTTTATAAGTGAAAAAGTTACAGCAAACTAATATTAATTTACTATTAAAAAAGAAAAATATTCTTTATAAATCTAGTGTACCCTAAGTGTACAGCGTTTATAAAATCTACAGTAGTGTACATGAATGTCCTAGGCCTTCCCATTCACTCACAGCTGACTCATTGACTCACCCAGTAAAACTTCCAGTTCTGCAGGCTCCATTCATAGTAAATAAACTATATGTGTCAAGTGTGCTATCTTAAATTTCCTATAGTGTATTTGTACTGTATCATTTCTATATTTAGGTATGCTTAGATACAAAAATATTTACCATTGTGTTAAAATTCCCTACATTTTTCGGTACAAAAACATGCTATACAGGTTTGTAGCATAGGAGCAATAAGTTAAACCTTACAGGCATTGGTGTGTAGGAGGCTATATCATCTAAATTTGAGTAAGTACACTTTTATGATTTTGCACAACGAGGAAATTTCCTAATGATTTGTTTCTCAGAACTATCCCCATCATTAAGTGACAAATGACTGTAGTTCTACAAGGGACCAAGCTAATAAACAAAGATTTTACTTAATCATATTTTAAAATAATTGAAGGAATTCAGGAGTGTATAGTTATGATCATGCCATAATATTATGTTAATAATTATTCTGTGACCTGTACTTCAGTGTCAATACATAGCATTGATGAAGTTATAGCATTGTAGCTCTGTTAATGTCTTTATTTGAGGAGATGATGAAACACATGAGAAGGTGTGTATATTCATCATTTCACAAACCAATATTTAAAGATTAAGCAACAAAGAAACTATCAGATAATTAAATGTCTTTTCTATTATTCTATAAATGGTCAAAACATCTATCTTTCAAATAACTGGTGTAAATAATTATTATCTTAATAGTTACACCTTATCAGTCATTGGAATTGAAATCATCATTTGAAAAGTAAATACTTTAAAGTGAAAAAAAATCTTCTAAAAGTTTTGAAAATAGATTTGGAATAATGACTTTATAATTTATAAGTGGTATTAATAGTTATAAACTGTATATAATAATCTAACCAATACACTATGGAATAAATTAATTTCTCAAGGTAATTAATTACATGGCCTTTTCAGTACAACAGAATAACATGGGATTGAATAATCCTATATATTGTATGATATAGGATACAACATGTTCATATCTTTCAGTAGCTGTGGAATTATATATCAAAATTAAATCTTTTAAAAGATGCTCGTCCTCTGGTCCAAGCAAGATAAATTTCAGCAAAGGGAGCCTAGGGCCAATGATTAAATTTACTTTATTTTAAAGTAGGAGTCAGTCAGGCACAGTGGCTCATGCCTATATTCCCAGTAATTTAGGGGGCTAAGGCGGGTGGATCACTTGAGGTAAGGAGCTCGAGACCAGCCTGACTGGTATGGTGAAACCCAGTCTCTACTAAAAATACAAAAAATTAGCCTGGCATGGTGGCAGGCGCCTGTAGTCCCAGTCACTTGGGAGGCTGAGACAGGAGAATTGCTTGAACCTGGGAAGCCGAGGTTGCACTGAGCCGAGATCACACCACTGCACTGCAGGCTGGGCGACAGAGCAAGACTCCTGTCTCAAAATAAATAAATTAATTAATTAATTTAAAAAATAAAATAGGAGTCATACCAATTTTAATAGTGTTTGATACTCTATCGTGATTGTTAAGAATGCTACTATTCATTAATATTTCAGATTACTTACAAAAGGATGTTTTCTTCAATTTTAAAACTAACTGCTATCTCAGTAGTAAACTCTTTCTTGTTTATTTTGTTAAGTAAATTCTGTAAGAATTTTGAAACATGATATAAAATGACACATTTACAACAAAGGAATATTCTTATGTATTTTCACACTCTTCAGACAAAGACAGAAAACAAATAAATGTGCCTCCAAACAAAAAGAAACATGTAATAAGAAAAATATGTCAAAATTTTAACTTATAATACTAGATTCTTTAAAGAGTGAATTTATTTATTTACTTATTTATTGAGACTTTTTTATTTATTTACTTATTTATTAAGAGAGGGTCCCCTCTGTTGCCCAGGCCGGAGTGCAATGGCCTGATCACAGCTCACTGCAACTGTGACCTCCCAGGCTCAGGCAATCCTTTCATCTTAGCCTCCCATCTTAGCCTCCTGAGTAGCTCAGACTACAGGCATAGGCCACCATGCCAGGCTAATTATTTTATATTTTTGTAGAGATGAGTTCTTGTTATGTTGCCCAGGCTGGTCTCCAACTCCTGGGCTCAAGCAATCTGCCTGCCTTGGCTTCCCAAAGTGCTGAGATTATAGTCATGAGCCACCATACCCAGCTAAACTGTGAATTTAATTAGCGCTATTCTGAATTTCTCTTTGAGAAGCCCACATATAAGTTAAAACGAACTCAAGACATGAGAATTTAAATGATTTCAGAAGAACCATGATATGATGTTATCTTTTATTCAATTTTTAGCCAAAGAGTTTGCAACAGTTTATTAAATTGTTAGAAAGTGTGTATTAAAAGAGAAACAAATTATAATTTTAGATGAAAATTTTCAGAGATTTATATCTCTTACCATCCAAAAGACAGATACTATTGTTTAAAATTTTGTGAAGAACAGTAGTAACCTTTATGAAATCAGTACGATTTTGCTTAGCTAAAGGAATGGCTCAAGCTTTTACATCTGCCTCAAATTTGGGAATTTAACAAAGATAAATAATACTATGAATTAGAAGAAATGTTTCCTACTTCTGCACAACTCAGCATTCTGAAATTTTTTCAGCTATTCACTTTATTAATCTGAAAGAAGATTGCATTTAAGAGGCTTATTGCTGCTGTGCTGGATAGAGTTGTAGAAATAGTCAAGCATTTGGGATTTGGATTTAAGGGAAGAAAAAATAGCTATTGAAAATGAAAGATAATGACTGGTTGCTAAATTGCTAATATTTTGTCTTATAATTAAAATTATAAAAAGTTTTTGCATATATTGTGGATATATATGTATATGCACATATGTGCACATACATATTTGTGTTTGTGTGTGTACATATAATAAAAATTAGCCTTGTGAAAGTAGATTATTCCCATTGAAGAGCTAAGAAGAGTCAAAATAATTTGGCATGTTGTCAGTTTTCACACTGCAAAATTTTTATGAATGTTGAAAATTCTCTTGATTTATGGAACCATTCAATAAAAAGTGATTTGATATTTTTATATTAAAGTTATTATAAAATGCTTAGCATTTGGCTTGCATTAGATAATATTTAGCCAGCAGAAGGGCATTTAGGAAAACAAAATATTAGATTAAACCATTTACGTAGGAGAAGGAAGGTTTCTTTTTTATTTCTTTTCCTCTGTAATATGACAATAGATACATTCTAGAATTTGGAATTCTACAAATTGCTTTGATGCATACAGCACCCCTAAAAATTAATTTAGAAAATAAATTTGGTTTAGGGAAGATATGTTCTGTGGAAATGATCAAAGGTGGGACTTAGATTTTTTAGGATAAGTTAAAATATAAGAAATAGTCTTACTAAAATATAACAACATAGAATTATGATTGTGACATTTAAGAGTCTATGAAAGAAAGAAAAAATATAGTCAATTTAACTTTTGTTGCTATCTCTGGAAGAGTGGTAACATGGATTTCTGCAACATTTTGTTTGTGTCTCAGATCTTAATTTACTACTTGAACACTTCTGATTTGTTTCAAAAATATATTTTGTGTGTACTGTATTTATAGAGATAGGATAAATGCAAACATAAAATTCATTCAAACTTTATGTATAGTAATATTTATATAGAATTATCAATTGCATTACTTAAAGAGTAGTGTGTCTTAAATTCATTTAAAGACAGTACAGCCAATGTGATAGGTAATTACTTGGGTAAATTTTTTTTTTGCAGTGTTCAGAACAGCACTCAGATGCAGAAATGATATAAATGTTAATGCATATTGATGCTGTTTAAAGAATAATTAAATACATAGAACTTCCAACTTTATATAAGATATAAATCATAAACATCCTTTAAAAATTAAATGGTGATTTCTGCCATTTCACAATGGCATGTTAGACAATGAATATTTAATCTAATTTATGACAGCACTTAATATGAATAAATCAACAGAAACAATCTATTTGATTGCAGCCTATAGCTATGGCTTCATATTTAAATAGAGAATTCATCACAATCAAGTGGATTTTATTCCAGGGATCCAAGGATGGTTCACATGCACGAATCAATAAATGTGATTCACCACATAAAGAGAACTACAATCAAATACAATATGATCATCTCAATAGATGTATAATAGGTATTTTATAAAGTCCAACAGCCCTTCATGATAAAAACCTTCAACAAACTAGGCACTGAGGGAACATAACTCAAAATAATGAGAGCCATATATGGCAAAACCCACAGCCAACATCATACTGAATGGGAAAAAGTTGAAAGCACTCCCTCCAAGAACTGGAACAAGACAAAGATGTCCATTCTTACTTCTCCTGTTCAACACTCTAAATACTAGGCAGAGTGATCAGAGAAGAGAAAGAAATAAAAGGTATTGAGATTGGAAAAGAGGAAGTCAAATTATCTCTGTTCAATGATGAAATGATTATATCACTAGAAAACCTTAAATATTCCTCTAAAAGATTCCCAGGCTTGATAAACAATTTCAGTAAAGTTTTGTGATACAAAATCAGTGTACAAAAATTATTAGCATTTCTATACAGCAATAACATTGAGGTTGAGAGCTAAATCAATAATGCAATTCCATTTACCATAGGTGCAAACACACAAACACACATACACACAATCTAGGAATACGTCTATACAAGGAGGTAAAAAATTTCCACAAAACAATGATCAAAGAAATCATAGATGACACAATCAAATGGAAAAACAATCCATGCTGATGAATTGGAAGTACCAGTACCACTAAATGACCAACCTGCCCAAAGCAATCTACAGATTCAACACAATCACTATCAAATTATCAATGTCATTTTTCACAGCATTAGAAAAAACAATCCTAAAACTCACATGGAATTATAAAAGAGCTGTACAATCCTGTAGCCAAAGCAATACTAAGTAAAAATAGCAAATCCGAAGTCATCACATCTCTTGACTTCAAATTATACTACAAATTAACTACTGTAGTAACTAAAACAGCATGATATTGGTAGAAAAATAGACACATCGATCAATGGAACATAGCAAAGAACCCAGAAATAAAGCTACATGTCTACAACCAACTGATCTTTGATAAAGTTAACAAAAATTAATAATGGAGAAAATACATCCTATTGCGTAAGTAGTGCTAGGAAAATTGTCTAGCCAAGTGCAGAAGAATAAAAACTGGACCTCTATCTCTCATCATATACAAAAATGAACTCAAGATGAACTGGGACTTAAATATAACACTTGAAACTATAAAAATCCTGGAGGATATCCCAGGAAAACCTCTTCTGGTTATTGGCCTAGGCAAAGAATTTATGATGAAGATTCCAAAAGCAAACAAAAAAGACAAATGGGACTTAATTAAACTAAAAAGCTTCTGCATACAAAAGAAATAATCAACAGATTAAACAGACAACCTACGGAATGGGAGAAAATATTTGCAAATTATGGCTCTGAAAAAGAACTAATACCTAGAATCTACATGGAACACAACTTAACAAGAAATGAACAAACACCCTCATTAAAAACTGGGCAAAGGACATGAACGAACAGTTCTTAAAAGAAGAGATACAAGTGGCCAAGAAATACATGAAAAAACACTCAACATCATTAATCATCAGAGAAATGTAAATTCAAACCACAGTGAGATATCATCTTACACCAGTCAGAATGGCTATTATTAAGAATTCAACAAACAACAGATGTTAGCATTGATATGCAGAAAAGGGAACACTTCTACACTGTTGGTGGAAATGTAAATTAGTTCAATCACTAAGGAAAACAGTATGGGAATTTCTCAAATAACTAAAAATAGAACTGCCATTTGACCTAGCAATCCCACCACTGGGTATCTACCCACAGGAAAATAAATTATTATACAAAAAAGACACCTGGGCTTCTATGTTCATCACAGTGCTCTTCTTAATAGAAAAGTCATGGAACCAACCTCAGTGTTGGTTCATCAATGGTTGACTAGGTAAAGAAAATGTCATATATATATATGTGTGTGTGTGTGTGTGTGTGTGTGTATAAGTATATATATGTGTATATATGTATATATGTGTATATATGTATACATGTGTGTATATATCTATGTATATGTGTGTATATATATGTATATAAACACACACACACACACACACACACCATGGAATATTATCCAACCACAAAAATGAATAAAATCTTGTTGTTTTCAGTGACATGGATGAAGCCAGAAGCCATTATCCTATATGAACTAACTCAGAAACAGAAAATGAAATACCATTCGTTTAGCTTCACAAGTGGAAGCTAAACAATGGGTACACATGGACATAAAGATGGAAATAATGAACACTGGGGACCCAAAAGCAGGGAGCGTGGGAAGGGGACCAGTTCTGAAAAATTACCTGTTAGGTAAAATGTTCACTATTTACATTATTGGTACAATAGAAGCTCAATCCCCACTAGCATGCAATATACCCATATAACAAATATGTTCATGTACTCCCTGAATCTAAAATAAATTAAAATTTAAATTATAAGTAAATAAATAGTCTTTAAATGCCTAGGAAACCAATTTTGAAAGCCATGATTGTTACTATAAACAGTCCCCATTGACTTAACTACCAATCAAGGAAATATCCTTTGAGGTGGGTAGATAAGTTAGTGTATGCCTGAGAGTTAACATAATATTTATAACACATTGTGTATAGTGTGCATGTTGTATTCACTTGAGTTAGAAACACAAAGCAAGTTCAATTTTCTACTCCTCCATACACCTAAGAAGTGAAATATCAATGTTTCCATTATAGTACTTGAAAGTATTATACAGATTTTCATTGACAGTCACCCAAATTGACAATAAAAAATTGAATGAAATATTTGGTTATTTCTAATAAGTTACACAGATGTTCAACCTACAGAGAGAGTATAGAAGGATTCCATTTTATATGTATGGAAATTTATTTTCATTAAATTCTATGTGATAGTAAAGTAATCCTAACTATTAAATAAAAATTGTATGTGAGGATAACACTTATTTAACCATCCGATCCATTACAAGTTCTTTAGCAGACATAATTAAGTTGTAAAGTATCACTTTTCCTTTTAATATGCAGTAGTGTAGAGCAGCATCCCCCGAACTTGCTCAAACACAAACACCTGAAATATATTTTAAACAATCTATGTCCTGTCTTCCTTCTAATAAGATGTTTTCACATAAAAAATATTTTCTCAAACTTAATAGTCATCCACTCTAGCCCAATTTCAAGGTAATGAAAATTTAAAGGACAAAAATATTTTCAGATTAATAATTTTGAACACAAATAATCTCTCATTCTCCCTGACACACACACACACATGCCCCATAAAAATTGTGTAACTTTATCCAAATATACTACAACATTGCTTAAGATTAACATCCTAAGAAAATAGTTAAGAATTAACAGAAACAGTCATGATTTAGCATTGGTATTATCCCTTTTTATTAATTTTGAAAGCTAAAAATAATCTAATTATAGAAAAGAGGATTAGTTGAATAAATTATACTGTTTACTAGAGTAATTTAAAATAACACTGTATAAATATATTTATATTACTAGTTCTATTTATGAGATATTTTTAACAGAGAAATCCCAATAAAATAGAAAATGCAAATAATGACCAACTTCACATAAACATATATATGTATATTGTATTAGGGTTCTCTAGAGGGACAGATAATTTGATGTATGTATATATGAAAGGCAGTTTATTAAGGAGAATTGACTCACACTATCACAAGGTGAAGTCCCACGATAGGCCATCTGCAAGTTGAGGAGCAAGGGAGCTAGTAGTGGCTCAGTCCAAGTCCCAAAACCTCAAAAGTAGGGAAGCCGATAGTGTAGGCTTCAGTCTGTGGCCAAAGGCCCGAGAGCCCCAAGCAAACCACTGGGGTAAGTTCAAGAGTCCAAAAACTGAAGCACTTGGAGTCTGATGTTTGAAGTCAGGAAGCATCCAGCATGGGAGAGATGAAGACCAGATGACTGGGCAAATCAGCTTCTTCCAACTTCTGTCTGTTTTTTCTAGCATCCAATTGCGCTGGCAGTCAATTTTGGGTGGGTCTTCCTCTCCCAGTCCACTGACTCAAATGTTAATCTCCTCTGGCAACACCCAGAAACACCTAGATACAACCAGAAAAAAATACTTCGTGTCCTTCCATTCAATCGACTTGACACTTAATATTAATCACTGCACATATAGTATTTATAAGAATTTTTACTTATAATTTAGAAATTTTAGGTTTATGGTAAGGTCTCAGGTAAAAAATATTTTGTTTATTATTGCCTATTTTTCACAACTTTACAAATAGCAATTTCACTATATTTAATCAAATATAAAGTTAGAGCAATTAAATTCTCAAGACAGATGACTGAAACTATAAAATACTACTGTCTGAAAATGAAAACACATAACAGTGATCAATTATTACTTTTTCAATAATCTGGTACCAATATTTGCTATATGACTATGTACGTGTTACAAATCAAAATAAAATGACATTTTTATATCATTTTTTAAATAAGGTAAAGTAGTAGAGATTCATCCTTAAAGATTACTTTTGAGTCCATGTCCAATTATTCCTTACACTATATTTTAGGATTCTACAATATTTAAGTGTTAATATGCTATTTTTTGTAATGTAATGCTTACAAAAGCATTTTTACATAAATTGTGTTATGTTCCATAAAAATTCATTTTGCTCTGTCAGTTAATTGTTATAAGTAATGTTAACAAAAGACCAATGAAATCTGTGGAGGCAAAAGGAGAATTTTCGTTTCTAAAAGCAACCTCCAGATTGGAGAAACATAGCCTTTGGCGTGCAACAGTTGTATGCTCTGAGGACAAGTCACGGAGTAGGAGATTATAAAGACAAAAACCGAAGGGCAGAGGTTGGCAGGTCAGAGAAGTGAAGAACAGAGTCTTGATTGGATGACCTTTAAGCTCAAATCACCAGTCTCTCAATTGTCTGTGTCCACGTGGTCGGTAGGTTGATACCAGGTGGTCTCTTGGTGGTCAGTTGGGCGATTTCCACCTGCAGTTGTTTTCAGGAACTATTCTTTGCATTGGTTGTAGAAAACTAGGTTTTGTAACACATTCCCAAGCACACAGAGAATGTGACCTCTCCCTCACTATGTCATAACCTCTTGATTCTGCTTAACATTTTAGCCATAGGGAGTCCATTTGGCCTGTGTACTGGGGGTGTAATTCAACAATTACTAAGAGAAAAAATTGTATGAAAAGCCTGAGCATGGAGGGAAAACTAAGCTAAAGTTGCAGTATTAATCTTGTACCTCAATAAGTGCTATTTTTTAGAATGTACCATTTGTTTAAAATAACGTTTTTCAAATGGCTTGCTCAATACTCCACTGAAACCTCAGTGATGCCAAAACGTACACATGCACAGGAACATGCAGAAATAGTGTTGTGTAATTTGCCAGACAACCGGACTGTTTAAAAGTTGGGTTATGAAGAGAAAATATTTACCTAAATTTTCTTTTCTTTTTTTTTCTTAATTATACTTTAAGTTCTGAGATACATGTGCAGAATGTACAGGTTTGTTACACAGGTGCACATATGCCATGGTGGTTTGCTGCACCCATCAACCTGTCATCTACATTAGGTATTTCTCCTAATGCTATCCTTCCCCTTAATCTCCACCCCTTGACAGGCCCTGGTGTGTAATGTTGCCCTCTCTGTGCCTATATGTTCCCATTGTTCAACTCCCACTTATAAGTGAGACCATGCAGTGTTTGATTTTCTGTCCTTGTCATAGTTTGCTGACAATTATGGTTTCCAGCTTCACCCATGTCCCTGCAAAGGACATGAACTTATTCTTTTTTATGGCTGCATAGTATTCTATGGTGCACATGTGTCACATTTTATTTATCCAGTCTAACATTGATGGCATTTGGGTTGGTTCCAAGTCTTTGCTATTATGAATACTGCTGCAATAAACATATGTGTGCATGTGCCTTTATAGTAGAATGATTTATAATCCTTGGGGTATATATCCAGTAAAGGGGTTGCTGGGTCAAATGGTATTTCTAGTTCTGGATCCTTGAGGAATTGCCACACTGTCTTCCAGATGGTTAAACTAACTTACACTCCCAATAGTTTAAAAGCATTCCTATTTCTCCACATCCTCTCCAGCATTTGTTGTTTCCTGACTTTTTAATGATCACCATTCTAACTGGCATGAGATGGTATCTCATTGTGGTTTTGATTTACATTTCTCTAGTGATCAGTGATGATCAGCTTTTTTTCATATGTTTATTGGCCACATAAATGTCTTCTTCTGAAAAATGTCTGTTCATATCCTTTGCCCACTTTTTGATGGGATTATTTGTTTTTTTCTTGTAAATTTGTTTAATTTTCTTGTAGATTCTGGACATCAGCCTTTGGCAGATGGATAGGTTGCAAAAATTTTCTCCCATTCTGTAAGTTGCCTGTTCACTCTGATGATAGTTTCTTTTGCTGTGCAGAAGCTCTTTAGTTTAATTAGATCCCATTTGTCAATTTTGGCTTTTGTTACCATTGCTTTTGATGTTTTAGCTTTGCCCATGCCTAAGCTCTGAATGGTATTGCCTAGGTTTTCTTCTAGGGTTTTTATGGTTTTACATCTTATGTTTAAATCTTTAAACCATCTTGAGTTAATTTTTATATAAGGTGTAAGGAAGGGATCCAGTTTCAGTTTTCTGCATATGGCTAACCAGTTTTCACAACACCATTTATTAAACAGGGAATCCTTTCCCCATTGCTTGTTTTTGTCAGGTTTGTCAAAGATCAGATGGTTGTAGATGTGTGGTGTTATTTCTGAAGCCTCTGTTTGGTTCCATTGGTCTATATATCTGTTTTGGTACCAGTACCATGCTGTTTTGGTTACTGTAGCCTTGTATTATAGTTGGAAGTCAGGTAGCATGATGCCTCCAGCTTTGTTCTTTTTGCTTAGGATTGTCTTGGTTATACGGGCTGTTTTTTGGTTCCATATGAAATTTGAAGTAGTTTTTTCAAATTATGTGAAGAAAGTCAATGGTAGCTTGATGGGAATACCATTGAATCTATAAATTACTTTGGGCAGTGTGGCCATTTTCAAGATATTGATTCTTCCTATCCATGAGCATTGAATGTTCTTCCATTTGTTTGTGTCCTCTTTTATTTACTTGAACAGTGGTTTGTAGTTCTCAGTTGAAGAGGTCCTTCACATCCCTTCTAAGTTGTACTTGTAAGTATTTTGTTCTCTTTGTAGCAATTGTGAAGGGGATTTGCTCATGATTTGGCTCTCTGTTTGTCTATTGTTGGTGTATAGGAATGCTTGTAATTTTTGCACATTGATTTTGTATCCTGAGACTTTGCTGAAGTTGCTTATCAGCTTAAGGAGTTTTGGGGCTGAGACGATGGGGTTTTCTAAATATACAATCATGTCATCTGCAAACAGAGACAATTTGATTTCCTCTCTTCCTATTTGAGTACGTTTTATTTCTTTCTCTTGCCTGATTGCCCTGGCCAGAACTTCCAATACTATGTTGAATAGGAGTGATGAGAGAGGGCATTCTTGTCTTGTGCCAGTTTTCAAAGGGAATGCTTCCAGCTTTTGCCCATTCAGTATGATATTGGCTGTGAGCTTGTCATAAATAGCTCTTATTATTTTGAGATACGTCCCATCAATACCTAGTTTATTGAGTATTTTTAGCATGAAGGGGCATTGAATTTTATCAAAGGTGTTTTCTGCATCTATTGAGATAATCATGTGCCTTCTGTCATTGGTTCTATTTATGTGATGGATTATGTTTATTGATTTGCATATGTTGAAGCAGACTTGCATCCCAAGGATGAAGCCAACTTGATTGTGGTGGATAAGCTTTTTAATGTGCTGCTGGATTCAGTTTGCCAGTATTTTATTGAGTATTTTCACATCAATATTCATCAGGGATATTGGCCTGAAATTTCCTTTTTTGTTGTGTCTCTGCCAGGCGTTGGTATCAGGATGATGCTGACCTCATAAAATGAGTTAGGGAGTAGTCTCTTTTTTTTCTACTTTTTGGAATACTTTTAGAAGGAATGGTACCAGCTCCTCTTCGTACATCTGGTAGAATTTGGCTGTGATTCTGCCTGGTCCTGGACTGTTTTTGGTTTGTAGGCTATTAATTACTGCCTCAATTTCAGAACTTGTTATTCGTCTATTCAGGGATTCAAATTCTTCCTGGTTTAGTCTTGGGAGGTTGTATGTGTCCTGGAATTTTTCCATTTCGTCTAGATTTTCTAGTTTATTTGCATAGAGATGTTTATAATATTCTCTGATGGTAGTTTGTATTTCTGTGGGATCAGTAGTGATATCCCCTTTATCATTTTTTATTGTGCCTATTTGATTCTTCTTTCTTTTCTTCTTTATTAGTCTGGCTAGCAGTCTATCTATTTTGTTAATCTTTTTAAAAAACCAGCTCCTGAATTCATTTGATTTTTTTGAAGGGTTTTTTGTGTCTCTATCTCCTTCAGTTCTGTTCTGATCTTAGTTATTTCTTGTCTTTTGCTAGCTTTTGAATTTGTTTGCTCTTACTCCTCTAGTACTTTTAATTTTCATGTTAGGGTGTCGATTTTAGATCTTCCCCGCTTTCTCTTGTGGGCATTTAGTGCTATCAATTTCCCTCTAAACACTGCTTTAGCTGTGTCCCAGAGATTCTGTTATGTTGTGTCCTTGTTCTCATTGGTTTCAAAGAACTTATTTATTTCTCTCTTAATTTTGTTATTTACCCAGTAGTCATTCAGGAGTAGGTTGTTCAGTTTCCATGTAGTCGTGCAATTTTGAGTGAATTTCTTAATCCTGAGTTCTAATTTGATTGCACTGTGGTCTGAGAGACTGTTTGTTATGATTTCCATTCTTTTGCATTTACTGAGGAGTGTTTTACTTCCAATTATGTGGTTAGTTTTAGAATAAGTGTTATGTGGTGCTGAGAAGAATGTATATTCTGTTGATTTGAGGTGGGGAGTTCTGTAGATGTCTATTATGTCCACTTGGTCCAGAGCTGATTTGAAGTCCTGAATATATCCTTGTTAATATTCTGTCTCATTGATCTGTCTACTATTGACAGGGGTGTTAAAGTCTCCCACTATTATTGTGTAGGAGTCTAAGTCTATTTTTAGGCCTCCAAGAACTTGCTTTATGAATCTGGGTGCTCCTGTATTGGGTGCATATATATTTAGGATAGTTAGCTCTTCTTGTTGCATTGATCCCTTTACCATTATGCAATGTCCTTCTTTGTCTTTTTTTATCTTTGTTGGTTTAAAGTCTTTTTGTCAGGGACTAGGATTGCAACCCCTGCTTTATTTTGCTTTCCATTTGGTTGGTAAATCTACCTCCATCCCTTTATTTTGAGCCTATGTGTGTCTTTGCACATGAGATGGGTCTCCTGAATACAGCACACTGATGAGTTTTGACTCTTTTTCCAATTTGCCAGTCTGTGCCTTTTAATTGGGGCATTTAGCCATTTACATTTAAGGTTAATATTGTTATTTGTGAATTTGATCCTGTCATTATGTTGCTAGTTGGTTATTTTGCCCATTAGTTGATGCAGTTTCTTCATATTGTTGATGGTCTTTACATTTTGGTTTGTTTTTGCAATGGCTGGTACCAGTTTTTCCTTTCCATATTTAGTTCTTCCTTCAGGAGCTCTTGTAAGGCAGGCCTAGTGGTGACAAAATATTTCATCATTTGCTTGTCTGTAAAGGATTTTATTTCTCCTTCACTTATGAAGCTTAGTTTGGCTTGATATGAAATTCTGGGTTGAAAATTCTTTTCTTTAAGAATGTTGAATATTGGCCCCTACTCTCTTCTGGCTTATAGGGTTTCTGCAGAGAGATCCACTGTTAGTCTAACAATACTCTCCAGTATTGTTAGTCTGATGGGCTTCCTTTTATGGGTAACCCGACCTTTCTCTTGGCTGCCCTTAACATTTTTTCCTTTATTTCAACCTTGGTGAATCTGAAGATTATGTGTCTTGGGGTTGCTCTTCTTGTTTTATGAAGCTGGGTGCTCCTGTATTGTATTTTGTAGTGTTCTCTGTATTTCCTGAATTTGAATGTTGGCCTTTCTTGATAGGGTGTGGGAGTTCTCCTGGATAATATACTGACGTGTGTTTTCCAGCTTGGTTTCATTCTCCCCGTCACCTTCAGGTACACCAGTCAAACCTAGGTTTGGTCTTTTTACATAGTCCCATACTTCTTGGAGGATTTGTTCATTCCTTTTCATTCTTTTCTCTCTAATCTTGTCTTCACACTTTATTTCATTAAGTTGACCTTCAGTCTCTGATACCCTTTCTTCCACTTGATCGATTTGGCTATTGATACTCATGTATGCTTCATGAAGTTCTCGTGCTGTGTTTTTCAGCTCCATCAGGTCATTTGTGTTCTTCTCTAAACTGGTTATTTTCGTTAACAGTCTAACCTTTTTCAACGTTCTTAGCTTCCTTGCATTGGGTTAGAACATGCTCCTTTAGCTTGGAGGAGTTTGTTATTACCCACCTTCTGAAGCCTACTTCTGTCAATTCGTCAAACTCATTTTCCATCTAGTTTTGATCCCTTGCTGGTGAGGAGTTGTGATCTTTTGGAGGAGAAGAGGTGTTCTGGTTTTTGGAACATTCAGCCTTTTTGCACTGGTTTTTTGCTCATCTTTGTGGATTTATCTGCCTTTGGTTTTTGCTGTTGGTGACCTTCAGATGGAGTTTTTACATGGTTGTCCTTTTGTTAGTGTTGATGCTATTTCTTTCTTTTGTTAGTTTTCCTTCTAACATTCAGGCCCCTCTTGTGCATGTCTGCTGGGGTTTGCTGGGTTCACTCCAGATGCTGTTTGCCTAGGTATCACCAGCTGAGGCCGCAGAACAGCAAAGATTTCTGCCTGCTCCTTCCTCTGGAAGCTTCATCCTGGAGGGCACCTGCCAGATGCCAGCCAGATCTCTCCTGTATGAGGTGTCTGTCAACCCCTGTTGGGAGGTATTTCCCCATCAGGAGGCATGGGGGTCAGGGACGCACTTGAGGAGGCAGTCTGTCCCTTAGCAGAGCTCAAGTGCTATGCTGGGAGATCTGCTGCTCTCTTCAGAGCCAGCAGGCAAGAACATTTAAGTCTGCTGAGGCCGTGCCCACAGCTGCCCCTTCTCTCAGGTGCTCTCGGAGTTCTATCTATAAGCCCCTGACTGGGGCTGCTGCCTTTCTTTCAGAGATGCCCGGCCCAGAGAGGAGGAATCTCAAGAGGTAGCCTGGCTACAGCAGCTTTGAGGTGCTGCTGTGGGCTCTGCCCAGTCTGAACTTCCCATAGGCTTTGTTTACACTGTGAGGGGAAAAGCCTCCTACTCTAGCATCAGTAATGGCGAACACCCTTCCCCCCACCAAACTGAAGCATCCCAGGTCAACTTCAGACTGCTGTGCTGCCAGTGACAATTTCAAGCCAGTGGATCTTAGCTTGCTGGGCTCCACGGAGGTGGGATCTGCTGAACAAGACCACTTAGCTTCCTGGCTTCAGCCCCTTTTCCAGGGAAGTGAATGGATCTGTCTTGCTGGCATTCCAGGCACCACTGGTGTACGAAAAAAACGTCTTGCAGCTAGCTCATTGTCAGCCCAAATGGGCACCCAGTTTTGTGCTTGAAACCCAGGGCCTTTGTGGTGCAGGAACCAATGGAATCCCCTGGTCTGCAGGTTGCAAAGACTGTGGGAAAAGCGTAGTATCTGGGCCAGAATGCACCATCCCTCAAAGCAGGGTCCCCCATGGCTTCCCTTGGCTAGAGGAGGGAGCTCCCCAACCCCTTGCGCTTCTCGGGTGAGGTGACACCCACACCCCCTGCCCCCATGCCCCACTTCTGCTTGTCCTCCATGGGCTGCACCCACTGTCTAACCAGTCCCAATGAGATGAACCAGGTACCTCAACTGGAAATGCAGAAGTCACACGCCTTCTGCCTTGGTCTCACTAGGAGCTGCAGACTGCAGCTGTTCCTATTAGGCCATTTTGCCCAGGAAAAAAAAGCATTTACATCCATTTCAAATGTAATTTCTAAATTACTATTTTTAGTTGTATAATTTGTCAAAAATTGAGCAACTCAAAGATACCTTCTAGACATCTTTCTCTTTGGCAAGTAATTATTAGTAAGTAACACTACATTTGGTATTTTGTAGACATAAACTTTTATTGAATTATTAAAGCCTTATGAATTTATATTGTATAATTTTTAGTCATTATTTTAGATGTGCTTGTACTAATTTTTACTAAAAGTATTAAATAACATTAATTATCTATTTTCCCAATTTCCCACCATATCCTCACTCCTTACCAGGAAATGCTAAAAGTATATTTTGACAAGTATTTGTCCTTAAAATTGTATTCTTATTGGTGTGTTAAAGATCTTGTCTTGCTAAAGGATACTATTATAGATTACTGCTAGCTAATTTATTCATCTATAATATTTCATTGTATACAATGTCCTGATTAATGTCTTGTGGAACTATATTTTTTAAGCAATATATGGAAAATATTATTTGCATTGTTGTAACTCAAGACAATATAATTTGAAAAGCAAATTAATACGATGTTATCTGCTAGGTTTCTTTTAGCTGTAAGCTTTATAGTTCTATAACATAAACACTAAGGTGTTGGCAAAGGTTGATAAAAGTATGTAGGAAGTTTAGGAAAATTTTGTATTCATTTTTCAGTAAATCGGTTGGTGTATTTTTCAGTAATGCTAGAATATGTTAAGTTAAAATAAGACTTAACAATCATGGGAGCCACCCCCAGTCTTCTGCTGACCTCTGTAATCATGTCACATCTTTTCCCCTTGGGATTTCCATAATTATTTCCTAGAGAATTGAGGGTCCAATACCTTCAGCAAAAGTCGCCCACAGTGATCTCTCCCAAAGAAACTGCATTTTCCAGGGAAGAGCTGTCCTTATTGCATCACTTTTCTAGTATTCTCTCCAGGCATAATTAATTGGATGAACTATCAAAAATAGCATTCTGATAAATGAATTATTTTTAGGGTTGATAAAATTAGGAGTGAATTTTTTTCACAACCCAGAATATATAATAAATAAAATGATAATTTTTTTCTCAAGGTATTTACTATTTTTTTCTTATTTTTCTAACTCATTTACATTAATATAAGCAATCTATATATTTAATGATAAATATATATTGAAGTATATGTCTTCAGCATTGTTCAAGATATAAACTGCAGTTCTATTTCAAGTAGGCAATGACGAAGCTCATTTTTAAAACAATTGTCTCTTTCTTAGCCCATGGGATAATCTTTCTTAGCCCATGGGATAATTCTGAGATAATTCATTCTGCTGTTAAATGCTATCGAAGGACACTGGTCTCTATAATTTCTTGATGGCTTTTTCAATAACAAATTTAATGATTTTAAAATAATATCCCTTGAAAAATGTACTTTTTGCCTATTTTGGCATAAGATGCTTCTTATAATAGCATAAAAATGGACATGTGTTTTATAAGATAATATTTTAGAACAGATTTAGGTTTCAAATGTATTGCAGAATAAAGATAAATATTAACAATGTCTAAATGGATGATAGTTTCATTAATTAATAACATTTATATTGACTTTTTGTATTATAATGGTAAAGATTGCTAAGATGCCAAATATATCAGTTATGAATAACAAGAAAATATTTCGCCTCTCATTTATAATAAAATGTTTATCTGTTTTGAAATATATAAAACCATTATAAAGGCCAAGGTAAAATATCTTTCAAAAGTCACTTTTGGTTTTAAGAAAAGCAAGAAACAAATGAACAGAAAAATGGAAGTGATACATTACGAATGTGTTTTCAATTAGCTAAGAAAACAGATTACAATTTTTCCTTCTACCCTTCTACTTCCTATTGCTGAAGCTAAGTGATTTATTCTTAATATGATGAATTATTAAAGTTAAAAATAAATTGTATAGCTAGACATGGAACAACTGCTTGTGGAATTTGGTTTCTTCATTGGTTTTCTACATTATTTTTCAATTTTCTTCCTAATCCTCATATTGTCATCAACTTTCTAGTCACTGTTTTCTTTTGAATGTTTTACTGGTCCATAAAAATCAATCTTTATACCTGAGGTGTGGGTTCCTTTTTTTACCCTCTTCTCCAACATATATCAGTCTTCTCCACTCTCTATGTTACCTGTTTCTGTTAACAGGAACATTTATTTTTACCCTGTCACTACATTTGTGTATTTCAGAGTATAGCATAAGCTGCTATATAAGAAGTCCCTGACTTAGATGAGAAATGATTTTATTTCACTCTCATTTAGAAATCAGGAGGTGGGTGCTCCAGGATAGCAGGGAAGCTGTATTCCACATGATCATTCTTGCTAGAGAGAGAAGTTCTTCCTTTTCATGGTTGAGCATAGGTAACCATCACATTGGCTTTCTAAAAAGAAAAAGGGTGAAACTCTAGGCCAGAAAACTTTCTTTTAAGCAAGAGGCCAGAAAGAGCTGGACAATCACTTCCTCTCGTATTCTACTCTTTAGATCTTAGTCAAATGACCATACAATGCTGTGTACAAGAAAGGCCAGGAATTGGTCTTTGGCAGAGTGGCCATATGCTCAGGCAATTCACTATTATCATAAGTAAATGGAAAAAAACATTTTAAGGGCACGTTGCCAATCTGCTATATCAAATTAGCAAATTTTGAGTACCAAATGTTAATTCTTTTTTTATATAGCTATTAAATAATTTAAGTAACTTCTGTATAGGTTCTATTTGATATTTCTTATTCTTTCTAATTTTCTAGATTTTCTTAATGATCTTCAAGAATGTTGTAGACATTTCCTAACCTACTTGAATACTTAGAGCTGGTTAATTTTTCTACAGGATAACTTTGATATGTATTAACTATTTCAAGAATCATTACAAAATGCTCAGCAAGCCTTTATCTATTTTAAATGATCACATTTTTGGTGCCAATCCAATCCTTCTGCAATCCTGGTATCAGCCAAACTTCATACTTTTATCTTTTATTACTGCCAATCCATAACTTTCAACCCATACCTTATAGATTATCTTTATGACTTTAGTTCCATTGCTCTCTTTGCTTAGGATGTTTACTTTTATTTGTACTAATATGTTTTCAAAACCATAAAACACATGCTACTTTTTGTTTTTCACATTTCTATCCCCCCAAATAATAATTTATCTCTGCTTTCTAAAACTCCATAATATTTGTATACTATAGTTATTGCGCTGATTTGCCCCAACTTATAATAAAATCATTAAACAAAAATGTATCACCATACAGTAACTTCCATTTAAGAGATTAAAAAAATGTTTACGTATTTCTTTTTCTTTTTTTTTTTTTTTTTTTTTCAGCGAAGTCTCACTCTGTCGCCCAGGCTGGAGTGCAGTGGTGCAATCTTGGCTCACTGCAATCTTTGCCTCCCGAGTTTAAGTGATTCTGATTCTCTTGCCTCAGCCACTTGAGTAGCTGGAATTACAGGCACCTGCCACCATACCTGGCTAATCTTTGTATTTTCAGTAGAGACGGGGTTTCACCATGCTGGCCAGGCTGGTCTCGAACTCCTGACTTCAGGTGATCCACCCGCCCCGGCCTCCCAAAGTGCTGGGATTACAGGCCTGAGCCATGATGCCCAGCCATGTTTACATATTTCCTTTGGATAGGATAGAATAATTTGCTGCAATGTTCTTTTCATGAACAAATAGAAAAATTAGAAAAATAAATATAGACATCAAAGGAAAAAAAAAGAGAGGAATCACGTTTTTAGAGAGGTAGAACCATGGAATGCTTACCTGACAATTTGTAGCCACATTTTTTTTTCCTGAGAGTATTGGCTAATCTTGGTCACTTTCAAGAAGCTTGAAATATGGTTTTATGTGAGCAAATAGGAACTACTGTAGGAAAGCAAAATATTCGAGGCTTTTTGTTGATCTCATGGGCTAAAGCGAGAAGTAGCAAGTTTGAAACTTCAAATTCATAGTTATTTCCTCAACATATTTGCTCAATTCTGAAGCCATGTAGCTGGGAGATGTCAGATTTCACTTAAAACTTTTAAAAGGAGAGCAGAGTTTTCTAAAATTAGATTGAACTGAAGAGATAAAGATTTGCATCCAGAACTAGACAAAGAGCTGTGGCCTTGAAGGGCACACACACAATGCACCCAACCAACATCTTTGAAGGTCTAGGCACTTGGAAGAAGTCAACCTTGTGGGATGCTGATTTTCGTCAAAACCAGAATTCAGCATCTACTCAGCTAAATCCTGGAGGGATTTAGTTGAATTGAACCTATGTTGGTTATCATACAGAAGAAAAAGTGAGCTGTTTTTGAAGAATAATGATGTAGACTTCAGCCTCTGTAATAGATGTTATTTTGGTTTCAAACCCTCCTGAACAGGCTGATGTCCACATCTCTAACTGCTGATAGGGTTATTTGGTAATAGTTATTAAAAGAAAAACTTTAGACAAATTCAATTTAGATGACTTTATTTGAGCCAAGAATAATGTGTAAGTTGGGTAGCACCCTGAACCAGTAGAGATTCACAGAGGTCTACCCAGCAATGTAGACAGACAGTATTTGTAAACAGAAAGAAGTGACACACAGAAACCACTTGATTGGTTACAGTGTGGCAATTGCCTTATTTGGGCACGGTATGATAAGGCATTTGCCTTTTATGGACATGGTGTTATAAGTTGGTAACCTATGATTGGCTGAGACTTGGTTGCTCTGATTGGCTGAGACTCAGCTATCTATTACAACAATATAGTTTTAAGTTAGGTTGCATTATGTTTGCCTACTAAATTATATTGCAGTTTGCTACGTATGGAGTCAGTTTTAGGCACAATTTAATTAAATTTAACAATTGCCCTCTTTGGGTCAGTCTCTAATTGAGAGACTGACCTAAATCGTGGGCACGGATGCTGCTCTCTATTATCATCATAATGGATTTGTTTTGTCTCTGAATAAAATTCACAATTCTTGATAGCAGGTTAACTGAAATTTTTTTATGTCCTCTTCATGTTTTTGTTATTTTATCTGTAGTGAGAACAGATGACATATAATGATGGCTGCACAGGGACATTTAAGACTCTTGAGGGACAACAGTGTACCAGGAGGGCCATTATAATGGCTATTAGGAAGCCAATATCAACAGACTAAAATATACTCCTTAACAGGAGCCCCCATGAACTGAACTGATCAAAATCAACATACTAAAAATAAGCCAGAAGGGGAATCTACTTGTTTTTTTTTTTGTTTTTTTGGGTTTTTTTTGTTTTTTTTTTTTGAGAGGGAGTCTCGCTCTGTCACCCGGACTGGAGTGCAATGGCGTGATCTTGGCTCATTGCAACCTCAAGTAGCTTGTTTATTGATTTCTCACAACTAAGTTTTTACCGTATCAAACATATTCATCTAAGTAGATATCACACACACTCTCTCCTATTCAGCCAACAGATAGTCCAAAACAATCATGTTGTCTAAAACAACTTTTACAATAGAATTTAAAAATGCATGCTGGACTACTATAATCTTTGAAGTGGAATCAGTTATAGTAGCTATGTTTGATATGGATTTTTAATCATATTTTTATTTGCATTTATTCCAAGCTGAGAAAGGATAATTCTACTTAAACATGTCCATTTAGAGTGATTTATGCCTGCTGGCAAATCTTCTTTATTTTATAGTACCAATTAAGAAGCATAGACCAATTTTCATTTTCCAACTAGTTATGGAGTGACAATGATACCATTAGAATCCCTAATCCACACTTGCCTCTTATTTCCCATTTGTTGATATATGGAGTTGCTCACATGTGTTGTTGATATTTAAATCATACACACATAAAAATATATTCTAGATGGGATCAACAGAAAGTTCTCTGTGGGATGCTTTGGGGGTCAGCAATAGAAAAACACTAATAATATTTGTCTGTGATTCTCTTACTAAATCATTTCATGGTTAGAAAGAATTAAGGAATTAGGGTTATAAATTTGTCTCAAAATTATTAAATTATCTTACTGTTGGATTTCTTATTCAATTTTTTGGTATAATTTAACTGTAGAAGCTTTACTATAGGTTTTTGCTTGTTAAAGTTAAAGAAGAAATCTTAATATGTGACTCTAAATGCATAACCCTATAGAATATTGATTATGAAATTTTAACTTTTGCATTATCTTGCCATTTGTAAGCAGTAAACAAAACAAAACGAGAGAAAAGAGGAAAGGGAACAAATGTTTCATGGTGACAGAGAAAGAAAGCCTTTATTTAATATCTTGGGAAAACCTTCTACATCTAGGATGTCATCTTCCAAAGAAAAAACTTTTCCTTGTTAGCTTTACCTTGAAGTCTCCAATGGCTGTATAGTCCCAAGAGTCTGGAAGCATTCTTCTAAGTTGATAGATATGGATCTAAGACTTAAGGCCCTGAGGTTTTGTTCCAGAAAAAACTTGATATTGTCTCTCCAAGAGAGTTCAAGGGCAGTCTTTCTCTGGTGTCTTTTCATAAAAACTCAATGTCCAGGTTCTATAGAATAAGGTCTAGTTGTCATCAGTTGGTGGATCATGAAAGGACTTATTTTACCTAGTGAAAATACACTTTGTCATAATGCATCAGAAGCTTTGCAATATTGAGTCATGTCAGAGTTTACAGGAGCAGGAGAGCATATGTTTCTATTATTAGTGGCATAGGCCTTGCAGTAACTATTTTCACAGGGGTTTAATCTATGTTTTCCAGTGAAAGTGGATCTGATTGCCATCGATTGGTAATTTATTTGACCAAGGCAATCCAATTGATTTTCTTAGCTTTGCCTAATACCACCATGCTTGTAATACCTTATTTATCTGTTTTACAAATTTTCCAGTGAAATGAGTACTTCTATTGCTAGAGATTTCTTTAGAAACATCCATCTGTAAGTGTTCAAGTGATCCATCCAGTGCTGGAAATGTATCACCTGAGGTTTTTATTGTCTTGACAGTATTATGGAATTTATGAATCAAACATTGGCTATAAACCGCCTTAGGAATTTTAGAACAGTCATTTTACTACTTTATATTTATGATTTGTACAATTTTATCTAATCCATGATGAGTCATAGAGCACAGGGCTTTCAAAAATGAAAGCTTTAAGGACTTAGGAAGGACCAAGCAGCCATCTAGGCTTTCCTTGAGTCTATGCTTAACAAGGGATTTATATCTCTTAAATACCAATTTTGTTTCCCAAATTCAGGTGCATCACTTTTTATTAAATAGGTTATTATGGAAAAATTGACTTCAATTAATCCTGTGGAGTTCATTCAAATTGCAAATCTTAACAATTTCAGTATTGGCTGGCATAGCATGAAAATATGCCAAAGAATTTTCTTGGTATCTAGTCAATGTTTGTACTGTTGATGATGGGTTATCAGTTTTATAAAACCAGTTTCTTCACTAGAGTTCAGGGAATTTCTACTAGTCCAATTGTCTCATCAGATTTCTAGGAATTTCATACTATAGAAGACATATTGGTAAGACATCCATACAAAAATAACTCAATACATTTTTTTCTTTCTTTTTGAGACAGGGTCTCACTCTGTTGACCAGGTTACAGTGCAGTGGTGTGATCTCAGCTCACTGTAGCCTGGACCTCCTAGGCTCAAGTAATCCTTCCGCCTCAGTCTCCCAAGTAGGTGGGACTACAGGCATGCACCACCATGCCCAGTGAACTTTTATGTTGTTAGAGAGACTGAGTTTTGTCATGTTGCCCAGGCTGGTCTCGAATTCCTGAGTTCAAGCCATCTGCCTGCCTTGGCCTCCCAAAGTGTTGGGATTACAGACATGAACCACGGTGCTAGGCCATAAATCAAGGGATATTTAGCATTCCTTATTATTTAACAATGACTTTTAAGTAATTTAACAAAACAAATAAGCCTAATTAGTTTAATATCCCTCATTTTGTAAGAAAATATATCTGTTGGCTGGGTGCAGTGGCTCACATCTGTAACCCTAGCACTTTGGGAGGCTGAGGCAGGTGGAGTGCCTGAGCTCAGGAGTTTGAGACCAGCCTGGGCAACACGGTAAAACCCTGTCTCTACTAAAATACAAAAAAAAAAAAAAAAAAATTAGCCAGGTGTGGAGGTGTGCACCTGTAGTCCCAGCTACTTGGGAGGCTGAGGAAGGAGACTTGCTAGAACCTGGAAAGCAGAGGTTGCAGTGAGCCGAGATTGTGCCACTGCACTCCAGCCTGGGCGACAGAGCGAGACTCTGTCTCAAAAAAAAAAAAAAAAAATCTATGTATCTGTCTATGTATGTATGTATGTATGTATGTATGTATGTATGTATGTATGTTTGTATGTGTCTGTCTGTCTGTCTGTCTCTGTCTATCTATCTAGATATTCTTTGAGATGCTCCAAAGACTCATTTGTAAAATCCCAGTTAATTCAATGTAAAAATAAAAATAAAAATATAATTTTGATTTTGATTTGGGAAACATCAAAAAATATCAAGGGTTTAAAACATTTCATCAAAATAGTATCACAGGCCACTGTGAAGAATAGTCATTTATTTAACAAGACTGGCAATTTAAAGACTTCAAGGGAAAATACAGAAAGATACACAGAGGTAGAAAAACCTTAGACTTAAAATAGATATAACCCAGTTTTCTTAAGTGATGGAAAAACCCCTAAAAAAGACAACATAAAGCACAGGAAATTATGATGGTAAAACACAGAATCTTTTTTTCCTAGACCAGCTACAAAAGGTAAAGAAAACTCACAATTTTCTGTTAAGAATAGACCAGTAGCCCAAGAAAGTTGTGTTGTTTTAACATAGTGGGCCAAATTTTAGTTTTCTATCAGTGTTCCTTTTATATTAATGCTCAATTATTGGAAAAACTTTAAATAATTCTCTTCTAATCTTAGCCAGCTTCATCACACATAAAATTTATTTTACAAGATTTATACTCCACAAACCTTCTCCAATTTTCTTATCCATTCCATTTTTCATCCTACCATTTTATTTTTTATTTTGAAACAACCAATTATTCTACTTTAGTACAAGCATTACTCTTTTTTCTTAACAAAACATCTTCATACGTTATATATTTTTCTTTTTTTTAAAGTTTTTCTTTTTTTAAAAATTTTATTATTATTATACTTTAAGTTTTAGGGTACATGTGCACAATGTGCAGGTTAGTTACGTATGTATCCATGTGCCATGCTGGTGTGCTGCACCCACTAACTCGTCATCTACCATTAGGTATATCTCCCAATGCTATCCCTCACCCCTCCCCCCACCCCACAACAGTCCCCAGAGTGTGATGTTCCCCTTCCTGTGTCCATGTGTTCTCATTGTTCAATTCCCACCTATGAGTGAGAACATGCAGTGTTTGGTTTTTTGTCCTTGTGATAGTTTACTGAGAATGATGATTTCCAATTTCATCCATGTCCCTACAAAGGACACGAACTCATCATTTTTTATGGCTGCATAGTATTCCATGGTGTGTATGTGCCACATTTTCTTAATCCAGTCTATCATTGTTGGACATTTGGGTTGGTTCCAAGTCTTTGCTATTGTGAATAATGCCACAATAAACATACGTGTGCATGTGTCTTTATAGCAGCATGATTTATAGTCCTTTGGGTATATACCCAGTAATGGGATGGCTGGGTCAAATGGTATTTCTAGTTCTAGATCCCTGAGGAATCGCCACCCTGACTTCCACAATGGTTGAACTAGTTTACAGTCCCACCAACAGTGTAAAAGTGTTCCTATTTCTCCACATCCTCTCCAGCACCTGTTGTTTCCTGACTTTTTAATGATTGCCATTCTAACTGGTGTGAGATGGTATCTCATTGTGGTTTTGATTTGCATTTCTCTGATGGCCAGTGATGATCAGCATTTTTTCATGTGTCTGTTGGCTGTATAAATGTCTTCTTTTGAGAAGTGTCTGTTCATATCCTTTGCCCACTTTTTGATGGGGTTGTTTGTTTTTTTCTTGTAAATTTGTTTGAGTTCATTGTAGATTCCGGATATTAGCCCTTTGTCAGATGAGTAGGTTGCGAAAATTTTCTCCCATTTTGTAGGTTGCCTGTTCACTCTGATGGTAGTTTGTTTTGCTGTGCAGAAGCTCTTTAGTTTAATTAGATCCCATTTGTCAATTTTGTCGTTTGTTGCCATTGCTTTTGGTGTTTTAGACATGAAGTCCTTGCCCATGCCTATGTCCTGAATGGTAATGCCTAGGTTTTCTTCTAGCATTTTTATGGTTTTAGGTCTAACGTATAAGTATTTAATCCATCTTGAATTAATTTTTGTATAAGGTGTAAGGAAAGGATCCAGTTTCAGCTTTCTAGACATGGCTAGCCAGTTTTCCCAGCACCATTTATTAAATAGGGAATCCCTTCCCCATTGCTTGTTTTTCTCAGGTTTGTCAAAGATCAGATAGTTGTAGATATGTGGCATTATTTCTGAGGGCTCTGTTCTGTTCCATTGATCTATATCTCTGTTTTGGTACCAGTACCATGCTGTTTTGGTTACTGTAGCCTTGTAGTATCGTTTGAAGTCAGGTAGCGTGATGCCACCAGCTTTGTTCTTTTGGCTTAGGATTGACTTGGCGATGCAGGCTCTTTTTTGGTTCCATATGAACTTTAAAGTAGTTTTTTCCAATTCTATGAAGAAAGTCATTGGTAGCTTGATGGGGATGGCATTGAATCTGTAAATTACCTTGGGCAGTATGGCCATTTTCATGATATTGATTCTTCCTACCCATGAGCATGGAATGTTCTTCCATTTGTTTGTATCCTCTTTTATTTCATTGAGCAGTGGTTTGTAGTTCTCCTTGAAGAGGTCCTTCACGTCCCTTGTAAGTTGGATTCCTAGGTATTTTATTCTCTTTGAAGCAATTGTGAATGGGAGTTCACTCATGATTTGGCTCTCTGTTTGTCTGTTATTGGTGTATAAGAATGCTTGTGATTTTTGTACATTGATTTTGTATCCTGAGACTTTGCTGAAGTTGCTTATCAGCTTAAGGAGATTTTGGGCTGAGACAATGGGGTTTTCTAGATATACAATCATGTCATCTGCGAACAGGGGCAATTTGACTTCCTCTTTTCCTAATTGAATACCCTTTATTTCCTTCTTACCAAAAATATATCTTACCTTCCTTTTATAGTTTCATATGAAGCTTTTGCCTTACTATTTCTAATAATTTTAATTACATATATTAATCAGAAGTCTTAGATAGCTCATAGTGATCTTAATTTCCAGTGAACACTAGGAAGCAAGCAATTGTGAGTTGCACACTGGCAGTCTGTACTTTGGCAAATCTATGAATCATAATATCTAAAAGCATATCCTTTCTTTTAGTATAATTTGTCAGTGTGGCACAGAACATGTCTACCAACAATTTCATATATATTTAATCTGTCAATATTAAGAAACTTTAGAAAAGGAAAAAGTTTATCTCTATCAACTTAGGTTTTTGCTTTTGTTTTTGTTTGGGTGAGCTTGAGAATTAAATTGTTATTTGTACAGACTTCTCTCAGTCTCAAGAATGTTAAAACCTTCCGGGTTCAGAAGGACATCTTTTACATAAAAATTATATCTTACATATACTTAAATCACTTGTTTTTAACAATCATGTTTGGAATGCTTATGAAAATGGTATAGTAAACAAGTAGCAATCATGTTTAACTTTTTTGTTTAGTTGATGAATTTTGTGATATAGAAATAACATATTTTACCAGTAAACAAAGGTAGGAAAAGCCATGATTATGTATTATATTTAATGCTGACAACTCTGGAGATATGTCTGCTTTAATCAAACCATCAATATTCTTATTTATCAAACATTACCCAAATGGCATTAACTTGAAAAGCATTTAGGTTAGTTTTTCTTTTTCTGAAGGGATACTTAATTTATATAAGTGATTATTTTTCTCTAAGCCAATTAAATACAGCTGTTTACAATTTAATTTTGGCAATGTGGTAAGATAAGAGAGAAACCAAACATATAACATATATATATTACACACACAGATATACATAAACACATCCTATACACAAATTTGTCTTATTTCTTAAGGCAGAAACAGGTCTTACAGCTTTCATTCTAAAATTTTAGCCATGGGCCAGACACAACACTATCAAGTTCACAAATTTATTAAGGAAAATCTGGTCAAATTCTGTTTCCCCAAGGAAAAAAGATTACCTACTCAAATGGCCAAAACCTTTAACTAATTTTTGAGCGAGAAAGAGAGAGAAAAAAAAGAGAAGAAAAAAAATTATTTGCCAGTTTCTAAACAGTTGTTTTTCTTTTGCTCTCTCATCTTCTGATGTTGTCTCCCAGAAATTTGCATTTCCAAGGGGATGGTTCTTAGGTAAGACCAGGTAGAAAATTTATGTCTCATAGGCACAGAGCTGAGACTTCAGACCTAAATACCATTATTGGCTTAAACCAGTAAAGAAGGGTATTGATAAAGGCCCAGTTAAGGCAAGATCCTGAGGAAGAGTGCCTTTAACAAAGACAAGAGTTGCTATATATTTTTAAACAAATTCCTTTGCCATTGTAAATGTTTCTAGTAATTTGGGTGTAAAGGGGACACCCTTGACAAATGAAGATTTCCTTTATAGATGTAAATTTCTTTTACAAAAGGGTCTCAAAATAACCAGCTGAAAATAAATAGCTCTTATGACAGAAAGTCATATTTTGGAGACTAATTTGGTTAGACTGACAATTTCCTAACTCAGCTGTGTCTTTTAACTAGAATACTGAGCGAGTGGAACTACTGAATCCTAGGAAGAATATTTTCTATGCCTAGACCCAGCGTGGACACTGCTAATGTTGTCTTATTGTCAGAGACTGGTTTATCTTTTTTGTTTTCTTTTTTTCAAGATTGAATGACAGGCTAATTTGTCCCCCTCTCCCCCACCTCAAGGAGTTTGGGGGTATAGCAAATATAATTACAAGAAAGGTGAACAGAATTGGCAGAACATATAGTCAAAAGAGGTTTGAGCAGAAGGGTTTCTGCTGACTGAGTGGTGCTTATGAGAGAAGTAGGATGAAATAGAGAAAGTAGAGAGGATTCTTATAAATGTTTTCCAAAAAATACTCTCAATTGGAAAGATTCTGAAATGGAGACATTTTGGACTTTATTGAAAACCCTAACCAAAGAAATATTATTTTATCTCTCTGACAGACTGGTTGATTATTGTCCTGGGAGTTAAGTGGGACCTCTCTAGTCGGGGAAACATTCCAGGCCAAAGGGAGTGAGTCCGTTAGAACTGCTGGTGCAAAAGTGGATAATTTATTTTCCAATGATTGTACTGTTAGCAATAAAGGGAGATATATAGGAAAACAGAATTTTTAAATTTGAGATTCACTGTTTGGGTTTAAAATACATAGGAAGGAGTCTCCTTGATGCCTGTAGCTGTTGTAGCTATAAAGACCTGTGCCTATTTGCCTTTTGTAAAGAGTTTCCTCACTGTGGCCGCTGTAACTCTATTATCCTTGGTAACTCTAACTTACCTTTGGTAAAGTTCACCCATTTCCCCAGAAAACACAGTTTCTGGATCCACAGTTCTCATACATAAAATTGACTGGAGATCCAGATGAAAGCGTTCTAGTCTTCTTGGATTGAGGGACTAAGAATATACTCAGGATGCAGTTTGTTTACATGCTAAGTCATGTTGCAGTTTGCCATGTATAGAGGCTGCTTTAGACTAAATTTAATTAAACTTAATATAGTTAACAGAAATCCTACTTTTCCAAATGATTTTCCTTGACTCAACGATTCCTTTTCTGGAAAGTTATGCCTGTCACTCAATCTTGAAAAAAAGAAAAAAAAAAAGTCTCTGACAATAAGATCATCTGAGAAGTCAGATGATCAAATATGGCCAAGGCTAATGATTGTCTTAAAATACAAAAGGCAATCCTGTTGCTTTAGAGTTAGGGTTCAACACTTTGGTACAAGGCATACTTCTTAGACCTTCTGCTATGGATCAAGACAAGATTAGAATTAGTGGAGCCACATTTTCGCTCTGCGATTTCATTTCCTATCCCACTTCATAGCTATCTATATAAGATGTATTTTTTGATAAGCACTCTGTCTTGGAATTTATTTCTAGAACACCCATTCTAAGAGACTCCAAAACTATTTTTAAAGTGTGCTGGATTCATTTAAAAATTTCCAAGCATTCAAGACATAGTACAATATAAATCAAATCCAAGAGAAAAAAATGAAATAGATATAATCCAGATATTAAAGTTAATAGACAGAAACTTAAATTTATTTATTAAAAATGGAATAAATCTGGAATAAAATAAATGAATGAAATAATTTTCAAAACTATAATTTATTTTAAAAAACATTAAAGGTTAACTTCCAGAATCGTGACTAATAAAATAATTAAAGAGCAGATGATGAAGTTACTAAACTTAAAGATAGGTCAAAAGAAAATATGCAAAATCAATTGCTATGCTATGGGTTAAATTGTGATTCCCCAAAGATATGTGTTGAAGCCCTAACCCCCAGTACCTCAGAATGGGACCTTGTTTGGACACAAAATTATTGGCAGATATAATTGGTTAAGATGGGGTCATTCTGGAGTAGGGTGGGCTCTTAATTGAATGTAAGTGAATTTTTATATGAAGAGAAGAGAAACCCAGAGGAAAGGCAGCGACATGAAGACAGAAATATGAGGAGAATACCATGTGAAGATAGGAACTAAGATCGGAAGGATGCATCGACAAGCCAGTTGCCAGCTGGCACCAGAAGCTAAAAGAGATACATGGAACAAAGCTCTCAGAGAGAACCCATTCTTCTGACATCCTGATTTTGGACTTCTAGACTTTAGACTGTGAGATAATATCTTCCGTTTTATTAAGCCACCCAGTTTGTGGAAATGTGTTATAGCAACCCTCAGAAACTAAAAACATGGGGATTTCTTTAAAGGAAATTAAATAAAAGAGAATAAAAGACCTGGAATACTATAAAATAATCTCTCACACATGTAACTGGAATCTCAAGAGCAGAGGTTAAAGGATTTCACACAAATTGTATCTGAGGAGATAGTAGTTGAGAATTTTCAAAAATTGATGTTAGAAATTAACTAGCATCTCAAAGATTCAAATGTTCTGTAATTTCTAAGTGATATAAATTCAGAGAAAATAGTATAACAAAACTCCTGGAAATCAGAAACAAACAATAAATCTTAAATTCAAAGAGAATGAACAAAATATAAGTTAAAAGAAATGCTGAAACCAAAGGACAATCAGAAGACAACTTTAAAATTAGGAAAGTATGGCCAGGTGCGGTGGCTCACGCCTGTAATCCCAGCACTTTGGGAGGCTGAGGCAGGCAGATCACAAGATCAAGAGATCGAGACCGTCCTGACCAACATGGTGAAACCCTGTCTCTACTAAAAATACAAAAATTAGCTGGGCGTGGTGGTGTGTGCCTATAGTCCCAGCTACTCGGGAGGCTGAGGCAAGAGAATCGCTTGAACCCGGGAGAAAGGTTGCAGTGAGCCAAGATCACGACACTGCACTCTAGCCTGGTGACAGAGCAAGACTCTGTCTCAAAAAAAAAAAAAAAATTATGAAAGTACTAAATGCCAGTCCAGTATTGCATAGACAGTTAAAATAACCTTTTAAAATGGCAGAAAGGAAACATTTATTTCCATGTAAAAGGTAAAGGCCATGGCTAGTCAATGATCCTGTGGAAAAAACAACAATGAAAAGCTGGGAAAATCACACACAAAAATACCTTGTGAAGGTGTTAGAAAGTAATGAGGACTAAATAAATAAAAATTCCAGAGAGGACTAAACTCTTCAGAGGCATATTGGTGATTGACAGACATTTTTCCTGCAGGTATTTGCTCATTTCATATGGAGGCTAAGTTTTGAACAGTCAGAGGAAGTTTGTTCTCTGAAAAGGAAGGAGAAAACCTGCCAGCAGTCTTGTGAGGTTAGAATTACAAACTAGACAGTTAAAGAGCCTCAAACACACAGTCAAATTTCCCCAGTGGGACTTTGCTGAATTCTGGGGTTGCATAGGACACTGAACCATTAGGCCAAATACATCTCAGTTACAGTAACATTTTAAGTCTTCAGTGACTAGGGTATAAAAAGAATTGTGGCCTGACTCAAAGTCACCTCCAATGTTTGCCTTAAATCCTTAGCTACAACTTGAATTTACATCAGGCAGAAGTTGAAAAGCCCTAAAGTTCTGACATGTTTAGAGCTTGGGAGTCATCACCCCCATTTACAACAAGAAAAAAAAGCTGTACCAACTAAAAACCAACAACCTCTCACCCCAAAGGGGGAAAAACAAAAGGAGGAGACACATGAAGAGAGAATCTCAGTTTACTGAGAACAGAAGTTGCTGGTAGCAACAGTGCTTGCTGTTAGCAACACTTAAATGGTAACTAACTAATTACAGGAGTTTGAACATAGACTAATTTGAAAGATAAAATCTCTTAGAGTCTAGGTTTGGTGAGGAATGAGGAGATAATACACTTTTGTAAATTTTATCTTTAAGAGCCCTACTAGGTAATCAGGGTAAAGATCAGAGAATTATCTTGTGCTTCCATCAGGGGAAGGAAAGAAGTAGCCATTTTGAAGTATGCCCAGATCATTCAGAATTGTATTGAGCAAACTTTCTAAATTCACATTTTTTCTAACCATGTTTTTCTGCCTTCAACATTTTGGTGTCTTTAGTTTAAAATGTGACTCCTGTGAAGACCATACAGACTGGTATGTGTTTTTTAATCTACTCTGAAAGATGATATAAGGCAATACAAAGGACGTACTGAGGGATATTTTTATCTAAAATTAATGTAAGAAAGTTGGGACTTCAATTCAAAGTTATTGGTTTACCTTTATTTTAATGGTTCTGGACTCAGCCAAAAACTTATTTACAACATTTGGATTTATATGAAATTAAAAATATGTTGATAATAATTTCTGGATGTGATTTAGTAGTATTTTTTTTCATATATAAACTTATCATCAACTATTTTTTACATTTCCATATGCATTATTTAGCTTCTGTAAAGCCTTCTCAATCTTCTAAAGAAAACCCAGGCTATGATTCTGTCCGTGCCTCCATTTCACTCCCTATTGGGAGAAATATTTTGTGACTAAGCTCAATTATATGAAGGTATGCAATAAGTTATTGTTCTCTGCTATTCTCCATTATGAATGGTTGTTGCATAAGGAAAACATTTTTTACATATTATATAAAAATAACCATCTTACTATTAAATAAATCTCTGTCACATATTCTGTTACAAAAGCACTGCTATACATGCTGCTAAACCTTTTTATATTATCTTAAAATAATTTACATAAACCATCAATAGTGGATTAATTTGGTCAGAGAAAATGTATTGCTTACATTTACCTATTAATTTATTTTCATTTTAGACTAGTGCATATTCCCTTAATTTATTCTTAGATTAGTACATAATTTTTAAATATTTAATTCAATATGGTAGCATATTCTGACATTCTTTACATCTACATAGCTTGATTTGATTTAATTCTGTAAACTAGTTCATCAAATATTTATACTAATTTATAAGTATATTTATACTTATATGAAGTAATATATATTTTAAGTTAAAATGTATTTAAATTTAAATGTGATGTCTGAGAGACAGGTTTAACTTGTCATATAAATATGAAAAATATTATTTCTCTTTAGTAAAATACTAGGGTCTAACAGAAACAGCAGCCATTTATTTAGGGATACAACTTAAACTCTTTTACTTATTGATTCAATAAGAAATGCTTGTCTGTTAGTTTTTCTATTAAAGTATATTTTTATTTAACTTGTTAGGCTATATTATTGTTGAATTGAATCCAGAACACCGAGGACAAAATGTAATGTTCAACACATTTGGTATTTCTGGAAATTGGAGATAGCAGAAATATATCTTACAATGTGAAGACAAGGAGACTGATCAGCTTGAGGTCTTTCTCTTCCCAAACTGGATATGCTATTTTTAGTTAAGTTACTGAATTCCAAAGTAAAAATCTTCCTAACTTCTCAAGCAGTATAGATCTGCAAGTAGGTATGTCTTATTTAATTAAATTTAAACTGTGTTCTTTCAGTTGAGGATTCTCACAACAAACAGAGAATAGTTTTTCTGTATCAACATCACTAAACCTACAAAATGTGAAACAGTGATATGTAAGTGATATATATATATTTGCATTTCATCCAAAGACACTGAAAAGATAGAAACATGCTTATATTGCATACTAAGAAAAGTAGTTATATTAGAGAAAGAATTTTAAAGAACAAAATTACCATGGAAACATATATCAGTGATATTATCTTTTTGAGAAACTGCTTTTCCCCTTAACACTTCCTTTTTCATCTGTTGGAAACTTATCTCATCTCTGGAACCACCTGCCCCTTTTAGGATCAAGCTTGAAATATCTCACAGTAGTGTTTGTGTTGGAGAGCATGCAGATTTTAAAGAGGAAAAATTCCAAACCTAGAGAATGAGTCTATTCAAGATGCTCAGGCACAGCATGCCATCTGAGGATATATGAGAAGAGGAATATAGTTTCTCAAGAAAAGGCAGTCTCTGAAGTAGCAATGGATTGATCCAAAACTGAGTTCAGAGTAGAGTGTCAGAGGGAGAGGAGCAAGAAACATTCTGAAAATGAAAGGAGTTCAACATTCTGTTTGCTAATGAGGAGATCAGAGCCTGAAGTCAAGAGCATGGTCTTTGTAAACATCCTCTACTCTATCAGTGATTTAATTTTGCAAAAACAATGAATTTATTAGCTTAAATTTCCTCATCAATGAAAAGGAGCTATACATGCTGACTTTTTCTTGTATATTGACTTGTTAGTCACTATACAAATTGCAGGATTTCTGTTATTGTCCCTTTTAATATTTGCACAGTTTCATGTTTAGTCCCATGATAATTAGTGAGATTTTGAAAAAAGTTGTTGAGAAATGTAAAGTAAACCTAAAGTAATGGGATTACTTTTGTTTCTTAAAGTAATATACCAGATGATTTGTGTGTGTACATGTATGTGAATGTACATAGAATAATACAGAGAATGAGAGAGAGAGAGAATAAAATGGTTTATCAGCCGGTTGTCTACTTCAATCAATACAATACTTTTTATTGAAAATATTTCAGGAAACCTTCATGGAAATGTTCACAAATGTTTTGGTATGGGCTTTGGGTTGAAAATTAACCCCCAAAGAGATGTGCTCAAGTTTCAATTCTTGGAACCCATGTAAATGACCTCATTTGGAATGAAAATTTAAAAAATCTTTCTAGATGTAATTAAGTATCTTCAGATGAGACCATCCTGGATTTAGGATTTATTATCCTAAATCCTATGATAAATACCCTTGTAAGAAAAGACAGAGAGACATTTGAGACATAGACATAGAGAAAAGAAGTTCAGAGACTGAAATTAAGTTGCCACAAGTCAAGGAACGCCTAAAGCCACCAGAAGCTTTAGGAAGGCACCACCATGCCTGGCTAATTTTTGTATTTTTAGTAGAGCAGGTTTCGTCATGTTGACCAGGCTGGTCTCCAACTCCTGACCTCATGATCCACCCGCCTTGGCCTCTCAAAGGGCTGGGATTACAGGCATGAGCCACCACGCCCGGCCATATATGTTTATTTTTAAAGAATTCCCTATCCTCAAGGTTTGAATACCTACTAAGGCTATTCAAAACAAATGTGTAACAGATTTTTAAACCTAGGATAAAATAATCATGCCAAAGAAAACTCTGAACAACAAAAGCATTGTTAAAGCACATACAAATAAAGATAAATCATTAAAAGTATGTTTAACTAAAAAACTATCATATTTTTATATGTTAGATATTATTTCACAGTCATTTTATTTTGTTTGTAAATTTATTCATTCATAAGGACTTTATTGAAAGCTACATTGCCAACAAAATTGGGAATGAAATGGAAAACAGTAAATTTCTCTCCAGTTGTGACAGGGAGAATGGAAAAAAAAAATCATATGGGAGGATTGCATCATCATTTGAAGAAAGAAAAGCAGAGACAACCCAGATGGTGCCAGGAGAGACAAGATTCTTTGGCCAAATTGATAGCTGATTAGTAATGGGAAGTTAAAAATGTGTACCAGTGAATATGACACACAATTTATCATTTATCCAATGTTATTTTCATAAGTAAATTAAGAATAAATTATAAGTATCTGTTAATAGCAAAGACTAACCAGGCGCCTTTATAATTCCTAATGAAAATTTATTTCAAATATTAGCTTTCTATAATCAATGAATACCTGTTGAAAATTCCCCTTAACGTTTCAGTGCCCAAATACTCAGTCTTAAGCAATTGTATTTAGAATAGTGTTGCTTAAAGTATGCGGTGGAAAAACACAAACAAAACCAACAGATAAACAGGAATAAATGATTAAGATGCAGATTGCTCACCTCAATACAGGTCAGGTGAATCAAGAACTATTTAGGACCACTGCCACCTAAATAAGGTTTGTGATCTCACTGTGTTGCAGGCTATAAAGACTACATTTCCTGTACTTCTAGAAATGCAGGGACACAGGAAGAATTCAGAGGGAGGTGATATTAAACATGTTCATTTAATAATGAGTAGGAGTCCATGAGGTGAAAAATGCTCCATGCCGCTATCTTTCTGTAAAGAACAAGAATTCTTTACTGAATTATAGATTTTACAATACGATAATGATAATTTTGTATTGTGATACAAATGATTTATAGGAAGAAATATATAAACATGGGTGCTCCTATGAAATCACAGTAATGATAATTTTGTATTGTCAAATCTATAATTGCTTGGATCTAAGTTTATAGTACTAAGAAAAATAGACTAAATTCAGACTGTGAAAGTACTTATTAGCCATTTTAAGAATTCTGGAATTTACTCCTTAAAGAACACCAACATGGCACATGTATACATATGTAACAAACCTGCACGTTGTGCACATGCACCCTAGAACTTAAAATATAATAAAAAAAAGAAAATACATTCTGATCCATAACTGTTCTAGAAATACAAAATAAATATGAGTTCCTATTAAAAACAACAACAAAAATCATTTTTAATTGAGTTGGTTTTGGGCTATTAAGAGGGATCTGTTGGAGTTTTCTGCCTTCAATTTTAGGTTGTATTAACTTTATCTTTTGGAATTTTGATTGAGTTGAAATAAACAGGAGGGTAGTGATGGCATGATGCAGCCCATCATGGCCATTGCCATGATGCCAGCTGCAGTGGGGGAGGCATGGCTGAGGCTTTGCACTCCACAGAGCTGGCAGGGTCAGGAACAGGCAGGGGCACTACCCCATTTTGAGTTGGAGGGGTGGGAGCCCTGCCCTCCCGGGAGCAGCTGCAGCCACCCAGCCATGGCTGCAGACCTAGGAATCCCTGTATTCTTGGGGACCCTGGAAGTCCCCCTTATCCCACAGGCTCAGAAGTGCCTGCTCCTGCTGCCTGGATTCTCCTTGCTCATTGTGCCTGTTCCAATTTTGTAGCAAAGTTGAAGTCTAGCCCAGACACTGTCACAACCCAGCCAGGTGTGTACATAGATGGGGCAGTGCTGACATGCCAGGACACTGCTGCCTTAGCCTCCTCCAGACTTTGGGCACCAAGGAGCACAGAAGGAAGGCTGAGGATGGGCTGAGGGCAGCTCAGTGTGGGCCTGCAGGTGTCCCTCAGCATGAACAGCCTGGGCACCATGGATGGCAGGTTGATGATGGCAGGAGGCAGACAGGTTCCTGGGCAGAAAGGGGTGGGTCCCCATTGAAGCCCCACCTTCAAGCCAGGGATGACTTGAAGCCTGGGCCGGGGCTGCCAGTTCTACAGACCAGAGTGAGAACTTATGGTGCTTTTTCTTAGACCAACCCTGACCACCCATGGAACAATCAGCATGCATTTTTCTCCTCTCTGAAGCCCATAAAAACCCCAGACTCAGCCAGACTTGGACAGATAAGGGGAAGACCTGCCTGAGGATAGTAGCTACCCACTCCAGGTCACCTCTCCACTGAGGGTTGCCCAGACATCAGGGTTACCTGCCTGCAGAAGGGAGGTACCCAGTTTGGGTCTCCTGAGAGCTGCTCTGCCACTCAATGAAGTTCCTCTCCACCTTGCTCACTCTCCAGTTGTCTGCATACCTCACTCTTCCTCTGCATGAGACAAGAACACAGGACCTGCCGAAAGGTAGGAATAAAAGAGCTGTAACATAGAAACAGGGCTGAAACACCCCTGCTTGCCACATTGCAAGTGATGAGAAGTAGAGAAGATCTGCATCCCTTTGGGGAACCCAGACCTAGGGGATCCCTGAGCCAGGGCTATGACACCTTTTTTGGGGTTCAGCAGTTTCTGGCATCTCCAAGCTTCTGGGTGCCACTGTGTTCCCCTCTTCCAGACATGGGTGCCTACAGTGGAAGCCACGAGCACTACATTTGGTCCAGCAACAGCCTCACACAGAACTGGACCCTGTGCCGATGGCTGGAGCCTCTCGTCCCACAGCAGCAGCCAGTGTGCATGGCTGTGTGCTGTGGCTGGACCCTGTGCTCGCTCACCCACACACCCCTTGCCACTCTGCAACTGGCTTGCAGGTGGTAGATGTGTGATCTGTGCTGGTAGTGCAAGTAGAGCACAGTCTGCTGGGCTGAGTAGGCAGAACAAGCCCAGCAGGTGCAAGCAGTATTCAGGCAGAATGCACCACCAGCCACAGAGGTTTCTTACTGGCAAAGCAACACCCTAAGGATCCTGTGACAGTAGGTCCAAGAACAAAGCAAAGAAGGCTCCTTAAGATAATTCATATATTAAGAACATAGCTGTTCCTATGAAATTTACCCATCAATGGAAGAGTTAGAATTAAAATATGTGATAACAGGGAACATTAAACATCAAATAAACTTCAAATAGCCGATTTTGGACTTCAAAATTCTGAGGTGTTCTTTGCTCATGTTAGCGGTTTCTGATCTAGAAAAGAAATTTTGTCCAAGCATGGCTCTTACAGAGGAATGGTGATAGGAGCTTAAGTGTAGCTACTCTGAACCCTTTACTGTGAGGCAGCTGCTAGCTATGATGTGTATCTTCACTTTAATACTATTACTATATTGCATCTTTTTCCTATAATAAACTTCAGATTTTTAAGCATTGTCATGTTGTATCTAGTGAATCTTCTTTAACGATTGAAACTGTCTGACATCACTGAAGGCAAATATGAATTTTTTTAAAATGTTACCTTTCAAAATCACATTATTTCTATCTGTGTCAATTTTATTTTGGGCTTCAGACTATAAATTTATAATGTTACATTTACCGAAAGGACAAAAATGTGTTTTCTTTGAAAATTAATAAAAATTTTGTAATAAACTTCAAGTTGTGTATTTTTGTATATTTTGGTGAGAATTTACGTAATTTGGCAAGACTTTTATGTATTTTTGGCACATTTCTGTATTTTTGACATATTTACAAAGTTTTTTTATGAACATTATGTCTTAATAATAACAGCAACAAATGCTGAATCAATATCTATCATATTTTTACTAAAAAGTAGACTGAGTGATTCCATAGTACAAATTAAAAATCTACGGAGAAACTTTTGGGATCATATTAAAACCTAGATTAATATCATGTTGCTAATTGGAATACTGTTGTAAAGGACATCTCACATAATATATATTTGGTTTAAAAACACATCTTAGTCTGAACACCTTCAACATTTAATGAAAAATGTAAAACCATTGTTAAAAATAATAAAAGATAGCAAGCTGGACTGAGTTCAATTCATCTCTTTCTTTGATGGCTATAAATAAGGAAATTATTTGTTTTACCTTTATACTTAACAAATCCCATTAAGGAATGCATATTCCATTTTTATCTTTTAAATTCAGATGTTGTATATTGACACGTTTATATTAAGCATTTTGGACCTGTGTCTCTCCAGCTTTTTTCAAGTGAAAACAGTTTTAGCTCACTCTCAATATTTTTGATAACACAATGCCAAATATTTCATTAAAACATATGCTGGATGATATATATCATTCTGCAAAGTCATATTGAGTTACTTCTAATACTGCAAAAGTTTGTGTGTGGGGGTATATGTGTAGCCTATATGTTTGAGAGAGGAAAATAAAGACTGTTTTATTTTCTAATAATGTATTACATAGTACTTCATAGCTATTATAATTTAAAGGTGGAGTATAATGGTTGAGAAATTAAATAAGTCAAATTCTATTTGTCCTTCTCTTACTCCCTGTGTTTTAGAACAACTTAATTTTCCTAAAAATTCATTCAAATGAAATAAATGTAATTTTACTTACAAATAGTAAGTATCACTTATTTTTAACATTTTCTGAGTTACGTGTGATGCTTTGCAATGTGTGTACCTATACATATGTTTTCGCCTTTGGATAATTTAGTGATGAAATCAACAATAAAGTAAGATTTTTGTAATTAAGGATGCATATGTACTACAAAAATATCATATGACTTCTCTAGCAATAAAAAAGAAATGTCATACCAAATCAAAGAGCAGCATTATATAGAAACTGAAAATGAATTAAATATATGGATTCTTCTTTGCTGGAAGTAAATCAACAGGTGTTTTATCTTTATGTTTAGAAATAATCATAAAAATAAAAGTGTGTCAGCAGCTAAAGATGAATATGTGAATCTTATGAAAAGTAGCTGAATTTAATTTTAGGTAATTTATTTAGATTCATAAAATACAAAACCCTATTACACATAGTTTTCATATGTGTACTTCACTTGGCATTCTTACCGATATATGAGATGTGACCATTTTAGCAACATGGAGTTAGAAATGTGTGCCTCTTGACCTTGTAAATTACTAATTATCATTAAATTGGCCTTAATCAACTCGAGTGTAATCGAAGTAGCATGGTTCTCTGTGTAGGTGAACAGTTTATTGAGTGCTTATTTTGCTATATCAAGCTGAAAATGTTAAATGATAAGTACTTCCTAAATCAATATGGAGCATGTCTCATTTATCAATAGCGAGACTTTTCAAATTGCATTGTTGATTTTTTTTGTGAGAGTACTGCTAACCATTCATGGGCTAATGACCCACTAAAAAATCAAAAACATACGGATTTTGAGCACTTTGATAGACAGGTGCTGGTAAAGGTGAGTCTAATCTTTTCAAAGACTGATTGTATTTTAAAAACTGATTAAACATAAATTTTAGTGTGATTTAACATCTAATTTCAAATATACAATAGTCAGAATTTCATAATGAAGTCATTTTGTTAGTATTTCTACAATTTTAGTAAAAATTCAGTATTGGGGCCTCACCTATTAAATATTTCAGTATGCAGAATTTGCCGACATTTTTATTTTAATCTATATCAGTTTAATTGGGAATTGAAATAAATGTTTTTCATTTTATTATCTTCCATATGTTCAAAGATGCTTTTACCCACTGAAGTTTCATATACTATATAATCACCAATGAAGGTATAAAATATTATAATTATTTGAAATTAAATTGTTCTAAGTAAAAATATTCTTAGATTTTTAGAAGACTTACTGACATGTAATTCATAATCTACAATTCATATATTTAAAATGCACAGTTGAATATTTTTCTTTTATTGAAGTGTGAATTCATAGTTGTTCGATCACCACCAAAATCTGATTTTAGAACACACATTTCCTTCCCAGAAAAAGAGAAGCTGCATTCCCAATAGCAATCACATCCTTCTTCCCACCTAACCTACCAATATCCACCACCCCTCTTTTCAACTCTGGGAAAACAGTAATCTACTTGTGGGTTTGCCTCTGCTGGATGTATTTCATCTAAGGAAATCATAGAGTATATGGTCTTTTGTGACTGTCTTATTACATTTAGCATAATTGTTTCAAGGTGCATTCATGTTGTAGCATGTATTGCTACTTTATTCCTTTTTATTCAGGCGTCATTTTTATTATATGGACATACCACTTTTTAAATAAATTCATCAGAAATAAACAATTGGGTCATGTGAGGTTTTTGAACTAAAGGGAGAAATAGACAACTCCACAGTAATGGTAGGAGTCTTCCATGGCCCACTTGCACTTATGGCTAGAACAAACAGTCAGAATAACAATAAGTGAAGAGAGGACTTCATCACCACTATAGATCAATATAAATACAAATTAATATGAATAAGGAAGTTATGAATTTTTGTGTACATGTTTCTGCATGGTTGTATGCTTTTATTATCTTGTTTATTTACCTGGAGTAGAATTGCTGGTAACTCGAGGTCTAACATTTGGAGGAACTGCCAGACTGTTTGCCAAGGCAGTTGCACTATTTTATATTACCACCAGTTATGCATGAGGTTTCCATACTGGCCAAATTTTAACTTTTTTTCATAATAAAATTAGCTAAGCAATGCAAATGCTTGATCATTAAACTATCACAAATTTTCATGATAAATAAAACCATATAGTTTTCATAATGATTAAATATATTATTATAGGTTTGCACAGTTTATCTTATTGATAGATATGAAGTGTTTGAAGAAGACTAAGAATACATGCAAATAGCTGCATTCATTTTGTCCACAAATACTATGCAAGAAAGTAAACGTATACATATTTTGATTTTGAAAAAGTGACAAGTTACCCTAAATATGTACATATATTACAAAATAATGAGGCTTTTATTTCCTGTTGTGTCAGTGAAATCGTGATATCTCTTTATTCACATATAAATATTTTATAGCAGGTGCTATGACTTTTTATTTTAGGTCTCAATTTCTTTGCCAATTAAAATGAGCGAAAATAAATTTATGTAAGTTTTGTTAAATTCTAAGGATTATAGAATAACTGATAAAATTACATAAGACTTAGGGGCAATGTTGAAAGCAACAAAGTGCCATTAAATAAAAAACACAGAAATAACCAAACATAACTTTCAAAGTTTATTTCGTACTTTGATGTTTTCTTCAAAAATAATTTTATAACATTTTTTATTTCAATAAGCTATGTTGTTTTTTCTATTTTTTTAAGGTGTTAGTCTCAAAATTTACAAGAGTAGAATCTCATGCTCTGTGATATTATACTAGAGTATTTCATATATCACAGATCCTTGTTAAATATTGTTTGCCTGTCAATCTCTTTTAATGTGTAGAGAAGAATGGACGTTTTAGTTAAAATACAGAGTGAGGATTAAAGCAATATGTTACAGAAAATGTTTCAGTTCACCTGTGTATTCAACCATGAATCCATTATTTGTATTATATGTGGGACCATAATTACTAAAATAATAAATTACCTTATAATACTGTTTATATATAAATAGATACAACAAATCATTAAAAAATTTTATTTCTAAGGCTATTATCAACAATGATGTAATAATTTACTTCATTTTATATTAATATGCGTTGTGTGCTGCTTTTGATGCACATTTTTCTTTTAGCACTTGAATTTTGTATGTAAAGAGTAATTTAACCCTAATTTCACATAAATATTGATCATACTTTAATGTCACATTTTACATAGCTCCTGAAATGTGTGCACTGAATAATTTGGTAAGTAAATGTATATATACACATACAAACATGTAGACATTATATTCAGCATCAAAATTTCTAGTGTTTTAATGATTGGTATAATACTATTTGAAATGTTATAAACTATCATTCACAATACCACAATGGGAGTAATGTTTTTTCAAATATATATGTAAACATTCATGATATTTAGAAGTGTTAAGTTTAATTATTATATTATAATTTGAACTATTTTTATATTTTCTTAGGTCAAAATTTTACAAACAAGAGAGACTCAGCCTAAATTTCTAATTGAATGTCTTTCAAAGATTATCTAGAGCCTTATGGAAGATGTTTTTGACTATTGAGTGCCACTATGGATATAAAAGACCAATAAGGTGTTAGATTTATGACAGCCATGAATGCTACAGGAGACAAATAAAGTTAACCCAATAAGCTTTAAACTTTAATCTCTTTTATGATGAAGAAGAGGAAGAGGAAGAAGAAGAAGAAAAAAAGGAGAAGAAGAAGGAGAAGAAGAAGGAGGAGGAGGAGGAGAAGGAGAAGGAGGGAAGTAGGAGGAGGAGGAAGGGGAAGGGGAAGGAGAAGGACAAGGGGGAGGAGAAGGAGAAGGAGGAGGAGGAGAAGGAGGAGGAGGAGAAGGAGAGGAGGAGGAGGAGGAAGAAGAAGAAGAAGGAAAAGGAGAAGGATGACTATGTTAGTCTATTCTCACACTGTCACACTGCTCTAAAGATATTACCCAAGACTGGGCAATTTATAAAAGAAAGAAGTTTAGTTGACTTACAGTCCCACATGGTTTGGGAGGCCCCAGAAAATTTACAAACGTGGCACATCTTACATGGCAGCAGGAGAGAGTGAGAGTGTAATGGGAACAGCCTCTTATAAACACATCAGATTTCATGAGTACTCACTCACTATCATAAGAACAGCATAGGAGAAACCACTCCCATGGTCCAAGTACTTTCCACCAGGTCCCTCCCTCAGCAACTGAGGATTACAATTCAGATTACAATTACAGATGAGATTTGGGTGGGAACACAGAGCCAAGCCATATCATTCTGCCTCTGGCCTCTCCCAAATCTCATGTCCTCACATTTCAAAACACAATTAAGCCTTCCCAACAGTACCCCAAAGTGTCTTAATTCATTTCAGCATTAACTCAAAAGTCCAGGTCTAAGGTCTCATCTGACACAAATCTCTTCCACCTATGAGCCTGTAAAATAAAAATAAAAAAAAAAACAAGTCAGTTACATCCAAGATATGATGGGGATACAGGCCTTGGATAAATGCTTCCATTCCAAATGGGATACAGTGGTCAAAACAAAGGGCTACAGGCTCCATGCAGCCTGAAAGCCGGAAGGGCAGTCATTACATTGTAAAGCTCAAAAATAATCTCTTTTGACTTCATGTCTCACATCCAGGGTGTGCTGATGGAAATGATGGGCTTCCACAGCCTTCCGCAGCTCCGCCCCTGTGGCTTGCAGGGTTCAGCCCCTGCAGCTGCTTTCATGGGCTGACATTGACTGCCTGCAGCTTTTCCAGGCACATGGTGAAAGCTGTCAGTGAATCTACCATTCTGGGGTCTGGAGGACAGTGGCCCTCTTCTCACAGCTGCACTAGGAAATGCCCCAGTGGGGACTCTGTGTGGGGGCTCTAACCCCACATTTCCCTTCCACACTGCCTTAGCAGAGGTTCTCAATTAGGGCTCAACCCCTGAAGCAAACCCTTACCTGAACATCCAGGCGTTTCCATACATCCTCTGAAATCTAGGCAAAGGATCCCTAACCTCAATTCTTGACTTCTGTGCATCCACAGGCTCAACACCACATGAAAGCCACCAAGGCTTGGTTCTTGCAACCTCTGAAGCAATGGCCTGAGATGTACCTTGGCCTCTTTTAGCCATGGCTGGAGCTGGAGTGGCTGGAATGCAGGGCACCACGTCCTGAGGCTGCGCACAGCAGCGGGGATCTGGGCTTGGCCCATGACACCATTTTTTCCCTTCTAGGCCTCCAGGTCTGTGATAGGAGGGACTGCCATGAAGATCTCTGGCATGCCCTGGAGACATTTTCTCCATTGTCTTGGTGATTAACATTCAACTCCTAGTTACTTATGCAAATTTAGTCAGCTGGCTTGAATTTCTCCCCAGAAAATGGGTTTTTCTTTTCTACCACATCATCAGCCTCTGCAAATTTTTCAAACTTTTATGCTCTGCCACCTCTTGTATGCTGCTTAGAAATTTCTTCCACCAGATATCCTAAATTATCTCTCTCAAGTTCAGAGTTCCACAGATCTCCAGGGTAAGAGCAAAATGCCACCAATCTTTTTGCTAAAGCATAGCAATAAAGACCTCCAGGTCTCAGTAAGTTTCTTGTCACCATCTGAGACCACCTCAGCCTGGACTTCATTGTCCACCTCATTATCAGCATTTTGGTTAAAGCCATTCAACAGTCTCTAGGAAGTTCAAAACTTTCCCACTTCTTTCTGTCTTCTTCTGAGCCCTCCAAACTATTCCAACCTCTGCCCGTTACCCATTTCCAAAGTTGCTTCCACATTTTCAAGTATCTTTATAGCAGTACTCCACTCTACCAGTACAAATTTACTGTATGTGTTCTTACCCACACTGCTATAAAGATACTACCCGAGACTGGGTAATTTATAAGAAGAAAAAGGTTTAATTGGCTCACAGTTCTGCATGACTGGAAAGGGTTTAGGAAACTCAGAATCATGGCAGAAGGTGAAGGGCACACAAGACACATTTTACATGGCAACAGGAAAGAGTGAGAGTAGAGAGGGATGAGCCCCTTATAAAACCATTGATTTCATGAGAACTTACTTACTATCATGAGAACAGAATGGGGGAACCATCCCCATGATCCAGACACCTCCCAGCAGGTCCCTTCCTCAACACCTGGGGATTACAATGCAGATTACAATTCGAAATGAGATTTGGGTGGGGACACAGAGCCAAACCATATCAAAGACTACTACAGAATTTCTTATTTTGAAAATTATAAAATATATGGAATTTGAAAGGTACCCTCTGATTTTAACCTATCTAAAATTCTAGTGATAAAAGTTAATAGCCCATAAATATGTGAGTTAAAATAGCATTCCAGAATGTTTATGCATATGTGAAATCTAACTTATGTCGATATAATATCCAAATAATAGATGTGCTTTGCTATAAAATGTGTACTGATGCTGTATATTTAAATGATTAGTAATATTTAACATTATCTGAAAGTTCTCCTAGTCACTCTTTAATAAATGCATTCACTCTGTGTATAGATGGCATACACATCTACTTGTAGCACTTAGAAGACTGTTCATTTTTAATAAATTATTACCTAGTATGCTATTATTTATATATATTTATTTATAGCTTATTATTATATTTCTACTAAGAGTTTTTTTTTTTTAATAAATCAGAGTTTGTTAGCTAGACCTCCATTTTTACCTCCAGGTTTTGTCATTGTCTTTCTAATAGCATGTGAAATCCAGGAAAGTGAACATAAACTTCTCACTTCAACAGGTGATTAAAGCAGAAGGGCCAACAGAAATAGCCCATTTCTCCAACTCTTCAGATACACTAATATCTCCTAACTTGCTCAGCACAACATGCACACATTTTATGAATGAAACAAAGTGTTCTCAAAGGGTGGATAGAAACAACAACTTCCTACTGGTCTCTGGTAAGTTTGGTAAAAGAATTCCACTCTTCTTTGTTTTCTGGCCAGTGGTGTGTCAGCCAGTTTGGCAGTTGTCCATAATAAAAAATATAAGATTTATGATGCCATTTGGCAGCCATTTCCTGGGGTCAGTGGAAAATGCAGAAAATTTATGTTAGGTGTACATGAAATGCATGTGTTCCAGTATTTATATAGACAGCAGTCTGAATGCCTCTGCTACATTGATTTATGACATGGTTTGACTGTATCCCTGCCGAAATCTCACCTTGAATTGTAATAATCCCCATGTGTCATGGTGGAACCAGGTGGAGATAATTAAATCTTAGGGACAGTTTTCCCCACAGTCTTCTCATGGTAGTAAGTCTCATGAGATCTGATGGTTTTATAAATGGGAGTTCCGCTGTACAAGGTCTCTTGCCTGTTGCCGTGTTAGATATGCCTTTGCTTCTCTTTCACCTTCTGCCATGATTGTGAGGCCTCCCTAGCCATGTGCAACTGTGAGTCAAATAAACCTCTTTTCTTTATAAATTACCCAGTCTTGGGTATGTCTTTATTAGCAGCGTGAGTACAGACTAATAGAGTTTACTAATCTTTTTTTGTTTTCTGACATTGATATTTTAACTTTTTATTGTTTGATCACTTTTATTTTGTAATTAACCATTGTTATCAGTGACCTGATAAAGAGAAACATGCATATGTATTCCAAAATTAAGAACTAAATTTTCACTGTTCAAGAAACTTGGCAAACATGTAACTTGTACAACATGTTTGCCAATATTTGCCTGTACCTTTGATATCACTTGTGTCAGAAAATGGTAAGATGAAAATCAGAAGATGTGGATGTACTGAAGAAGTCTCAATCTCTACTTTAAAAGATAGTGGTTATTTTGAGAGGACTACGCCCCAAAATGATGATGTCATGGGACAGCTTGCTATTGTAATTCATGCCTCAGAAGCAGATTAAGTATGCTAGTTATGATTATGATACATTCAAAAATAAAAATAGTGCTTGGGACCCAGATTATACTGTTTCTTAGAAAATAAAACTGTATTTTAAATCTAGGAGCACATGTGCAGGAATAAAAAAAAATCACTGCTTCTTTTGGAATCCATCATTCTCTTACTGACTTCAAGGATGTGTGAACATTCTGAAGCATGCCCTTACTTTCTTCTTTAATTTCCAACTTGCATACCTTTCATGTCAGATGTCCTATGCTTACTGTCAATATCTTTTATTAATCTATCCCAGAAAGTTAAAAAAAAAAAAAAGACAGCAAAGTGGATGACAATCAGGGTTAGAATAGTTGAATGAGGACATTTTACATTTCTAAATTCCTTTTCTTTATACCTCACAACATCCCTGGCCCAAGAGTTAATGAATTTCTTATTTTTTTAACCATTAGGGCAATCTGATTAATGATATTGTTGAAGAAAGTATAAACTACTGTTAGAATTAGGTTTGGTTTAATGTTTTTCATATTGAAGATTAAAATTTTTACTTTTTTTGTAAAGATTGCCATTGATTTTGTCATTATTGAATCCTTCATCTTGAGTTTTAATAGAATGATAATTGCTTTAAGACATTTGGTTTATATTGTGTAATGCAGTATTGCTATAGCAACTAATTGGTAATTTGATAATAATGGCGATGGTTGTAAAAACATTTTCATTATCTTTGATTATATTGCATAGTGTGTTTCTTTTAATTTATAAATATAAGAAAACAAGGCTAATATAGTAGGTGAGTAAAAAAGAGGAAGAAGAAGGTAAAATAAATTTGGGGTAACTGGTCAATTATGGAAGACAGAAAAGAGAATTCCAGAAAATATATAGAAGCATTTAATTATGGTTCTTAAAAACATTATCTTTAAGGAAATTGGCTGTAATATTAGTAATATTATTAGTCTTCTTGGGTGGCTATAATATAAGACTACAGACTATGAGTGTTAAACAACAAAAATTTATTCTCTCACAGTTCTAAAAATGAAAAGTCCAAGATTAAGGTGCCAGCCGGACTGGTTTCTGGTGAGGCTTCTTCTCCTATCTTGTAGACAGCAGCTTCTTCTTATGTCCTCACATGGCCTTTCCTCTGAAAATGCAGAAAGAAAGAGAGCTCTGTGATGTCTCTTTCCCTTAAACACTAGCCCTGTCGGTTTGAGACCTCACCCTTATAAACTCATTTACCTTTAATTACATTTAAAGACCCTGTCTCCAAATACAGTCACATGGGGGTTAGGGCTTCAACATACAAATTTGGGAGAACACAATTTAGTACCAAAAAATGATGGAAAAATAATTTTTAAAGAAAGATGACTCATATAATATTATTTAAGGAAAAGTAAATCTAACTGGGAAAATGATGGCTGAGATTCTTCCTGGTCATGACCTCGACGTGAAGGCATTAGAAAAGCACAATTCGCTCACTGAACAGTCAGAAAAGCTGTTTACAATATCTATAGGTTAGGCTGTGTGGAAGGGAAAAAAATAACCAGGAATTATAAAAATATCAATAATTTAAATATCAAAATATAGTTATTAATTTGTATTGGTACTTATATTATTTACAGATTGAATTTTAAATTACCAGTGAAGAATTTTTACTGTGTAATTTGTTCTTTGAAAATTATTTTTATTTGCAGAGACAGAAATGACCCATGATATACCTACCAGTGCTATACAAAACTAATATATTTGATACAAAAACTATTAGAGAAAAATTTCAACTTGGATACTTATTAATGCCTATGATTTTTTACTTAAATAATATATATATATAACTCCATAAGAGTTTATGTTCAGATTTTGCCAATTAATAGGATAATTGTTAATAGACTTCATACCCACACACAACTGAAAGTTACAGTAATATCCCTTTTTAAAGTGTGACTGAAACAGTATGCAGTAGTTTTATAGCTATTTTAGTTGTTTCAACAATAGTCTATACTTTTCCCAACTATCATTAATCAGATTAATCAGATGGTAAAAAAAATCAGAAATTCATTAACTTTTAGGCCAAGGATGTTGTCAGATATAAAGACAAGGAATTTAAAAATGTAAAATGTCCTCATTTAACAAGAGGAAAATAATGATCTGAATTTCTTTCAAATAAGATGAAAGGAGGAGTTCACAAAGGTGAATCTAATATGAATGACTCCCATGCTAGTTGAAACTAATTAAACAGGAAGAATCAAACATATTCCTTATTCTTGATTTATTTTGGTAAAATTATTTTAATTGTTTTGCTTTCACTAATTGCTAAAATACAAATAAAAAGGTAGAAGTTATCTTTTATAAGTTTGAAATGAATATCTCTTTTCCTTTCCTAGTTAGTGTCCTCAATTTCTTGTGCTGGCTTGATGTTCCTAAGAACTACAGATTCTTTCCAATATTAGGCAATATATTACTTGCTGTTTTCAGGAAAAATGTAGGTAGGAGTTATCCTTCTGTTATAAGTCAGAATGCAAGTAATTCAACTTGAACATGTATAGCTCCTCACTCACAGATTATGTTAATACTTTATCTGCTCTGTGTTCTTTTTCTGCTTCTCCCATCCAATCACCATTCCTTTTTGCTTAATCTTTCAATACCAGAAGGTAGTCATTACCCCAAACTATGTGGTTATTGCAAAAATAAGTTCAGTTAGAAATATTGTGGACCTAGCATGAAAATCATATAAATATAACGTTTTTAAGAAACCATTTTTTTATAAGTTGACATATACAAAGGACTGGCTTCTCCAGGGATGACTGATATAATTAAAGTAAATTAATTCCCACAGGCAGAGTAAAATTCCTGAGTATTTGATTAAATAAAATGTCTACTATTGTACTTCATTGGTAGAAATAGACTTTACAATGCTTAAAGTAGGTCTACATTAAGAGAAGCCAACAGGACTTGTGAGACTTACGTATTACGTTAGTACCAACACTCCTTTTTATTATTTCTTTGGTACAGTGAAAACTCAATGTCATCTAAGAAATACTCATCAGTAATTTTGTGACCAAATGATAATTCACAAAAATATTACATATACTATATATGTGTGTGTGTGTGTAAAAATGTCAGACTGTTTGACTAATGATGAATGAAAGAGAATCTAACATGAATGTGGACTGTTGAAAAGAGTACAATATTAGGAAATCTCTAATTCTATTAAGTTCAAATCAATACTGAAAACTAGAACAACTTTGTTTCTAGCTCCATTTCACCTTTCAGGGTCACCAGCTTCAAGGCAACCAGTGAGCGCTTGTCCTCCCCTGCACACATAATGACTTTTGGTGAGTTGACAATTTCATCCTGAAAGAGTAAGCTGATCATTTCTTACAATGGTTCATCCATGGCATATTATTAGAGGATATATGAAACCAAAAAATCTTCAAATCCAGAGGGACCAATTTCTAGTGAGAAAATTTCAGGAAACATCATGGGGTAGGAATGACTCCATATCCTTCACTAGGCACTCACATACTCAAAGTATTTGTAAAGTTAGAGCTAGTTTAGCTGTGTTCCCAAAAATTCTGCAATAGTATTAGTACAAAACAGCTAACATTTATTGAGCAGTTACAATTACCATTATTAGGTCTAGTCATTTTATTTCCATTAATTCATTACTCCTCAAAATAACCCTGTGATATGGGCATTGTTGCGCTATATGCTAAGATTACAAATCTAAGAGTGGCACATTTAGGAGTAAAACACAGGCATGGTGCTGGTTATTCAACCTGAATACTTATAGGTCTTTTAAGTACAGCTTATACTAATATCTTAGTTGCTCTGGTTTCAAAGCTGCTGGTCTTCACTGCTATTTATTATGATGTCCAAATACATATATAAAATGTGTTTTTATAATATGTAATCATACATGTTTTAACAAATGAAGGGCATGTATCAAACTTTTTAAAATATATTTTCTAAATTGTATTACAATTCTAGTTTTTACTAAAAGTGTATGGAGATACCACTTGGAATAAACAATTATACTCATCTCATTGCTGCTAAATGTAAATTTGATTAACAGAAAGCTTTCTATTCTGGCTAATAACAAGTAAATTAGAGAGTCATTATTGATATAGGAGTAACAAAAGAACTCAATAAATCTATGCATTTTTCATTGTGTCTACAATTTTGAGGCTCATCAGATAAGAAAATAGCAGGAGAGACTGGTTTCTTCCTCCTTTATCAATACCAAAGTAAACTGGAATTTAAAGTAACTGTGACACTTGAAACAGAATTGAATGGTAGGTAATCAATTTTAGCCTATTGGGAGGACAAAAAGTTATCTCAAATAGATGGAGGAATAACTATAGTTTACTTGATATGCTTTGGATATTTGTCCTTCCCAAATCGCATGTTGAAATGTAATCCTCAGTTTTTGAGGTGAGACTGGGTAGGAGGTAGGCTGACGAACCACACATGGTTTGGTGCTGTCCTCATAAGAGTGAGTGAGTTCCCATGACATCTAGTTGTTTAAAAGTGTGATACCTCCTTCCCCTCTTGCTCCTGCTATTGCTTTGTGACATGCCTGCTTCTGCTTCACTTTGTGCCATAAGAAAAAGCTCCTTGAGACCTCCCCAGAAGCTGATTAGATGTCAGCACCATGCTTCCTACACAGCTAGAAGAACTGTGAGCCAATAAAACCTCTTTTCTTTATAAATTACCCAGTCTGAGGTCTTTCTTTATAGCAATGCAAAAACAGTCTGATAGAAAATTCATACTGAGGAGAGGGGCATTGCTATAAATATACCTGAAAATGTGGAAAAGTATTTGGAAGTGTGTAACAGGCAGAGTTTGGAAGAGTTTGGAAGGTTCAGAAGAACACAGGAGAATAAGGGAAAGTTTGGAATTTCATAGAGACTGGATAAATGGTTGTTACAAAAATGTGGATAGTGATGTGGGTTGTAAAGTCCATGCTACTGAGGTAACAGACAGAAATTAAAAAAAAAATATTGGGAACTGAAGCAAAGGTCACTAACATGATTTGGCTGTGTCCCCATCCAAATCTCACCTTGAATTCCCATGTGTTGTGAGAAGGGCCTGGTGGGAGGTGATCAAATCATGGAGACAGGTCTTTCCCATGCTGTTCTCATGATAGGAAAAATGTCTCATGAGGTCTGATGGTTTTAAAAAGGGCAGTTTCCCTGTACAACCTCTCTTCTCTTGTTTGCTGTCATGTGAGAAATGCCTTTCCCCTTCTATCATGATTGTGAGGCCTCCCCAGCCAGGTGGAACTGTAAGTCTGATAAACCTTTTTGTTTTGTAAATTACCCATTCTCAGGTATATCTTTATCAGAAGTGTGAAAATGATCTAATACAATAAAATGTTACCAGGAGTTGGGTGGTGCAGAAAAGATACCTGAAAATGAGGAAGCAGCTTTGGAACTGGGTGACAGGCAGAGGTTGGAATAGTTTGTAGGGCTCAGAAGACAGGAAAATGTGGGAAAGTTTGGAATTCCCTAGAGACTTGTTGAATGGCTTTGAACAAAATGCTGATAATAATATGGACAATCAAATCCAGGCTGAGGTGGTCTCAGATGGAGATGAGGAACTTGTTGAGGACTGGAACAAAGGTGACTCTTATTATGTTTTAGCAAAGACAATGGTGGCATTTTGCCCCGGCCCTAGAGATTTGTGGAACTTTGAACTTGAGAGAAATGATTTAGGTTATCTGGCAGAATAAATTTCTAAGCAGGAATGCATTCAAGAGTTGACTTGGGTGCTGTTAAAGGCATTCAGGTTTTTAAGGAAAATGGAGCATAAAAGTTATAATAATTTGCAGTCTGACAATGTGATAGAAAAGGAAATCCCATTTTCTGTGGAGAAAGCCAAGCTGGCTGCAGAAATTTGCATAAGTAATGAGGAGCCAAATGCTAATCTCCAAAATAATGGGGAAAACGTCTCCAGGGCATGTCAGAGGTCATCATGGCAGCCGCTCCCACGACAGGACCAGAAGCCTAGGAGGAAAAGATGGTTCCATAGGCTGGGCTCAGGGCTCCCTTGCTCTGTGCAGCCTAGGGACTTGATGCCCTGCTTTCCAGTTGCTCTAGCCATGGCTGAATCGGTCCAACATAGAGTTTGTGCTGTGGCTTCTGAGGGTGCAAGCCCCAAGCCTTGGCAGGTTCCACATGGTATTGAACCTGCGAGTGCACAGAAACCAAGAATTGAGGTTTGAGAACTTCCACCTAGATGTCATAGGCTGGATACCAAGGCAGAAGTTTACTACAGTGGTGGGGCCCTCATGGAGAACCTCTGCTAGGGCAGTTGAGAAGGGAAATATGGGGTCGGAGCCCCCACACACAGTCTCTATTGGGACACCACCTAGTGTAGTTGTGAGAAAAGGGCCACCATCCTCCAGACCCCAAAATGGTAGATCCACTGACAGCTTGCATTGTATGCCTGGAAAACCCTCAGATACTCAATGTCAGACTGTGAAAGCTGTGGAGGTGGGCTATATCCTGCAAAGCAACAGGGGCAGAACTGCCCAAGGCTGTGGGAGCCCACCTCTTACATCAACGTGAGCTGGATGTGAGACACAGAGTTAAAGAGATTATTTTGAAGCTTTAAGACATGACTGCCCCGCTGGATTTAGGCCTTGCATGACACCTGCAGCCCCTTTGTTTTGGCCAATTTCTCCCACTTGGAATGGCTCCATTTACCCAATGCCTATATCCTCATTGTATCCAGGAAGTAACTAATTTGTTTTGATTTTACAGGCACGTAAGTGGAAGGAACTTGCCCTGTCTTGGATGAGACTTTGGACTGTGGACTTCTGAGTTAATGCTGAAATGTGTTAAGACTTTGGGAGACTCTTGGGAAGGCATGATTTGTTTTGAAATGTGAAGACATTAGATTTGGGAGGAGCCATGGGTGGAATAATACGATTTGGCTGTTCCTCCCAAATCTCACCTTGAATTCTGACATGTTGTGGGAGGGACCTGGTGGGAGGTGATTTAATCATGAGGCAGGTCTTTCCCATGCTGGTCTCATGATAGTGAATAAGTCTTACGAGACTGATGATGGTTTTAAAATGGGGAGTTTCCCTGCACAAGCTCTATTCTCTTGTCTGCCGCCATGTCAGACAGGCCTTTTACCTTCTGCCATGAGTAAGAGGCCTCCCCAGCCACGTTGAATTGTAAGTCTGATAAACCTCTTTCTTTTGTAAATTGCCCAGTCTCAGGTATATTTTTATCAGCAGCATGAAAACAGACTAATACAGTCACCCTCATAAGTTAGCAAATTACTTAGCTGCCTCATCTTCATGCCCTGGGGATCTGTGGAAGCTTTACCTTAAGAGTGATGACTTAGGGTATCTAGTGTAAGAAATTTCTAAGCAGCACAGAATTCAAGGTGTGGCCTGGCTTCTTCAAACCAGCATACTCTCAGATGCAGGAATGAATAAATTACTTAAAATTGGAAGTTATATTAATATTAATATTTACCAGGGAGGCAGAGGGTGAAAGTTTGGAAAATTTACAGCCTAGTCCTGTGGCAAAGAAAAGAGAAACTTTTTAGGAGAGGGATCCAAGCAGTCTACAGAACAACCACTTGTTAAAGAGATTTGCATGTGTAAAAGGGAGCAACTGCTTATAGCCAAGACAATGGGAAAAAGTCTGGAAGGCATTTCAGAGATCTAATAGGCAGCACCTCTCATCACAGGCCCAGAGGCCTAGGAAGACTAAATGGTTTCAGGGGAGAGGCCCAGGGCCCCACTGCCCTGCTCAGCCTTAGGACATACTCCCCCGATCCTGATTGCTCCAGCCACAACTCAAAGGGGCCCCAGGACAACTCAAGTCACTATTCCAGAGGATGCAAGCTGTAAGCATTGATGGCTTCCATGTGGAGTTAAGCCTGGGAACATCCAAAGTGCAAGAGTGAAGGAGGCTTGGCAGTCTCTGCCTAGATTTCAGAGAATGTAAGAGAACACCTGGCTGCTCATGAAGAAGCCTTCTACTGGGGTGAAACTCTCACAGAGTACCTCTACTAGGTCAGTGCCAAGGGGAAATGTAGGGTTAGAGTTTCCACACAGAAACTCTACTGGGGCATTGGATTCCTAATGGCTCAGTCCTGTCCTCAAGATAGTGAGTTCTCATGAGATCTGGTTGATTAAAAGTGTGTGACACCTCTCCCCCTGACTACTGGTCTTACCATGTGATATGACTGTTCCTGCTTCACCTTCAACAATGAGTAAAAGCTCCCTGAGTCCTCCCAGAAGCCAAGCAGGTGCCAGTGCCACATTTCCTGTATAGCCTACAGAACTGTGAGTCAATTAAGCCTATTTTCTTTATAAATATCCCAGTCTCAGGTACTTCCTTATAGCAATGTAAGAACAACCTAACATACCACACTGGTAATTTTCAGTTTATTCAACAGTGTTTTTCTTTAATACTAATATCTGTATCAGAAATATGTCATAATCATCTAAATTGTATGCTAATAAAATTAACATTTATTTTTACTTTGCATTTGTTTTCATGCACTTATTATCAATAACTAGAAAAAGACATTTACAATAAACAGTTTGGGTGTAGTATTAGAAGTCTAATCATTCAATAATTCTTAAAGATATTTAGAAGTCTGCTTCATTGTTACTGAAGATATCACTAAAACTGTATTATTGTTGGCCAAACATGGCTGAAAGTCCAAAAAGAGTAGATCATTTGTTGTGCTTTTGAAAGAAATTGAATGTGACATTTTGCTGGACTATAATAATACTCATAATAAAAAAATACATTAGCTGTGTTCTATACATACATTATTAATTATCTGTTGATAGTCAATAATATTCTATATAATGTTAACTATAGTTTTATTTACCAGTTCAATAAAGAACAACCTCTTTTACTATACTGTTAATTATAGTCTCTATAATGTTAGCTATATTTTATTTACCATTTTCTACACTTAAGTTACACTGAAGTAAAAGTCTTATTGCATTTTTATTTTTATTTTTTAATTTATTTAATTAATTTTTTTGGGAGACAGAATCTCACTTCATCATCTGTGCTGGAGTGCAGTGGTGCAATCTTGGCTCACTGCAACCTCTGCCTCCTTGGTTCAAGTGATTCTCGAGCCTCAGCCTCCCAAGTAACTGGGATTACAGGCATGCGCCACTAAGCCCAGCTAATTTTTGTATTTTTAGTAGAGATGGCTTCCCCGCATTGGCTGGGCTGGTCTTGAACTCCTGGCCTCAAGTGATCCATCCTCCTCGGCCACCCAAAGCACTGGAATTACAGGCATGAGCCTCTGCACCTGGCTGCATTTTTTTTATTTTCAGCTTTCATTCATCAGGATATAGGAAGTGATATCTGTTTTATAGGGATAATACCACATCAGCTGAAGAGCTACTTATTACAGAAAAAATGATTGTACCTTTTCAAAACTTAAAGAAATTTGTAGTCAACATTTTGAAGGAAGGTCAGCATGACATTAAATAACAAAATTTGTAGTTTCATTGATTTGTTTATTTTTATTTAATTGAATGATTTACATGTTGTTTAGATGCTAAACAGATAAAGTTTAAGATCTTATATTTAATTTGAAATAGAATGCATTGTGTAATTTCATTGTAAACCTGGAATTTATAAATCATAGCTCCTATGTTTTTAAAATAATTTATTTACTGATGTTCAAAGGACAGAACTGTACACAATGTGCTGTGAAATTTGCTCCAATATTTTCTTTCTCAATTTGAATAAAGCAATCTTCTGAAGGTGCTATGAAAACATAATGACTAGTGTTACATTTTATAATATAGTTTGTAATTTTGCATTAGCTCATATACTGAAGTTTAAATGACAATTATCAGAGAATGTATTAAGTATACAATCATTATTGGGATCTAAGTTCTTTTTGCTTGGATGTTAGGTTAGCAGTCTCCAAAATTAATAAATATGTCATTTATTAGTGCAAGGTGTATTTTTATTAAATTGCTACAGACTTTTGTATGTTTTGTGTGTTGGTTTTACACATAAGACTAACTATTCAAATGGATTTTTCTCCAGAACACTTGTATCACATATCCATTTATTTCTCTTTATCATGTTTTCTGTGGTCAAAGTTTACTTTTTGAGAAGTTTTTGCCTTATAGACATAAGATTAAGGAAGTTTACAACTTGATGACAATTGCATGCTTGCTAAATTAGTTGCATAATTGTTTTGCACAGGAAATTGTATGTGCAAATACTTTGATTAGATTCACATTCTTCTGGCTAAGTTCTCAAAATATATCATTGAAAAAGACATTTACATTTAAATGTACCCCTGCTACAGCTACAAGTTAAATCCCAATTTAGCCTTGTCAACAATAATTAAGTTTATATATATATACAAAAGACTGAACTGATGGAATGACAATCAGGTATGATGTATATGACTTTGAATTTGATGTTAGTTAATGCTTTTTGAATAGGCAGATAATTGTAAGTTACAGATTGAAGGCTTAGGAACTTGATTGCTGTTATATAAAAAGTTATAAATTGAGTTTCTCAAGTTTGTAATGAAAAGCTATATTTGATTAGTATGTGAATAAAATGAAAAAGTTGAGGAGAGAAAGAAAATGATAAATGATGCAGAATGAAGAGGGTGTTGTGAACAATATGTGAACAATATATGATAATACTCTTGGTGGTTTATTTAATGTTTGTAAATTACTATAAATAATTTTAAAATTTATACATTTTTGGATTCATATATCAGCAAACCTAAAGACCTAAAACTTATTCATAAAATTAATGAATACTCATAAAAAGCATATTTAATAGTGTACTTTTGTCTATGTGTTGCACATAAAAGAATATGAAAATAAACGACTATAAGTAAATAAAAGTCTTTTCTAAAAGTTCAGTCAAAAACAGATCACTAAAGTGACTAAACATTTGACACAAGTGGCTTTCTCAAATTTTTGGCCAAAATGTGTAGTCACATTTTTAGCCTATTTACGTAGATAAGAGAAACAAATATTGAAGAAACAAATACAAATGATGCCAAAACAGATACTACTGAAAGAATTTTTTGAAATTTGGGTTATGTTTAAGTCTATCTGGGCTGCGTTAACCAAATACATACACACATTGACTTATAAACAGTAGAATTTATTTCTTATGGTTCTAGAGACAGAGAAGTTCAAGATTAAGTTGTAGGAAGATTCAGAATGTGGTAAGAACCCACATTCTACAGAGGACTTTCTTTTCACTGTACCCTTACATTGTAGAAGAGGCAAAATCTCTCTGAGTGTCTTTCATAAGGGCACTAATCCCATGTGTAAAGGCTCCACCCTAATGACCTTATTTACCTCCCAAAGGCCCCCCTCCCTATGCCATCATCTTGAGGGTCAGGATTTCAACATACGGATTTAGGCAGTGGGTAGTGCAAACATCCAAACCATAGCTGGATGAGTTCTTTGGATATATTTTAGAAATTTGGGTGTACTTTTTTCCCCATGCTCCTGCTTAGATTTTATATAAGTTTGTTGGTTACTATTCGGTTTGTTTTTGAATCAAGTACTTATGTTTCAGTGATTTGATATATGCCAGAGGAAATGAGACTGAGTTGGGAAGGACTGATAACTGTGGCAAAGCCAAGAAAGCATTCAGGCTTAAAATAACTTTTTTCTGTATGATGACTACAGTTATCTAAGTCAAGGTTCAGGGAACTCAGCTAAAGTAAGCACTTGGGATGTTAAAATAGTTTAGTGATTTAGAGTAAAAAATATAATGCCAAAGATTAGAAGAGAATTTATGAACTATTTTTAGCTCTTAACTCTATATAGTATTCCACATAGAGTCAGTTGTGTAATTATGTGGACTATATTTGGAAACTGACTTCAATCTTGTGCTAAAATTATAAACAAAGATGGAGTATATATATTACCTTTTATGATTAGGATTCAAATTATTCCTTTAGCCTCAGTATTTCATGAATAATTCATTTTGATATTTGGCTATAAGAATGTTCCTGTGATCACAGTTATTTTAGGTGACTGTTCTTATTGCCTTCATAGTTCTCACTATCTTTTATGTGACTTTTAAATTTTTACTTTAAAAGCTTTTGTGTTTCTTTTTGGTACAAGCAATACTTTAAAATATATATAATTATAATTCTGGGTAGAATTATTTTTCCTTCCATCTTACTTTTCAAATTTAAAGAAAAAATCTTTCAACCTATATGTTTACCGAATAAAATTACAAATTAAGATTAAAAAAGTGAAGATTTGTTCAAACATAGAAAGATACAGAAAGTCTGCATAAATGCAAAAATTCTTAGTGTATTTGTGCAATATACCCTAAAGATACAGAAAATAAAATAGAGAAAGTATAAAATTACTCAGAAAATCAAGGTGGCAAGCCTGATCATATGGTTTGGCTGTGCCTCTGGTTTGGCTGTGTCCCTGGTTTGGCTGTGTCCCCACCCAAATCTCATCCTGAATTGTAGTTCCCATAATCCCAGCGTGTCATGGGAGGTACCTGGTGGGAGGTAATTGAATCATGGGGGTGGTTCCCCCATGCTACTTTTGAGACAATGAGTAAGTTCTCACAAGATCTGATGGTTTTATAAGGTGCTTCCTCCTTCACTCAGTTCTCATTCTCTCTCTTGCCACCCTGTGAAGAGGTGCCTTCCACCACGATTGTAAGTTTCCTGAGGCCTCCACAGCCATGCAGAACTGTGAGTCAATTAAACCTCTCTTCTTTATAAATTACCCAGTCTTGGGTATTTCTTCACAGCAGTGTGAGAGTGGACTAATACAGTAAATTGGTACCATAGAGAGTGGGGTGCTGCTGTAAAGACGCCTGAAAATGTGGAAGAGACTTTGGAACTGGGTAACAGGCAGAGGTTGGAGCAGTTTTGAGGGCTCAGAAGAAGATAGGAAAATGTGGGAAAGTTTGGAACTTTCTAGAGACTTGGAGGGCTTAGAAGACAGGAAGATGTGGGAAAGTTTGGAACTTCTTAGAGACTTGTTGAATGGCTTTAAACAAAATGCTGATAGTGATAAGGACAATAGAGTCTAGGCTAAGGTGGTCTCAGATGGGGATATAGAACTTGTTGGGAACTGAAATAAAGGTCACTCTTGCTATGGAAAGAGACTGGCAGCATTTTTCCCCTGCTCTAGTGATCTGTGGAACTTTGAACTAGAGACAGATGATTTAGGGTATCTGGGGGAAGAAATTTATCAGTGGCAAAGCATTCAAGAGGAAGCAGAGCATAAAAGTTTGAAAAATTTGCAGCCTGAAGCTGCAGTAGGAAAGAAAAACCTATTTTCTGTGGAGAAATTGAAGCCAGCTGCAGAAATTTGCATAAGTAATGAGGAGCCAAATGTAATCTCCAAGACAATGGGAAAAATGTCTCCAGGGCATGTCAGAGAGGCAGCCCCTCTCATGTCAGGCCTGGAGGCCTAGGAGAAAAAAGTGGTTTCCTGGGCCAGGTCCAGGGCCCCACTGCTGTGTGTAGCCTCTGAGCTTGGTGTCCTGCATCCCAGTCACTCTAGCTCCAACTGTGGCTAAAAGAGGCTAAGGTACAGTTTGGGCCTTGGCTTTAGAGGGTGCAAGCCCCAGGCCTTAGCAGCTTCCACGTGATGTTGAGCCTGCAGGTGTGCAGAAGTTAAGAATTGAGATTTGGTACCTCTACCTAGATTTCAGAGGAAGTGTGGAAATGTCTGCATGCCCAGGCAGATGTTTGCTGAGGGGTGGAGCCCTCATGGAAAACCTCTGTTAGGGTGGTGCAGAAGGGAAATGAGGGGTCAGAGCCCCTACACAGAGTCCTCACTGAAGCACTGCCTAGTGAAGCTTTGAGAAGAGGGCCACCATCCTCTAGACCCCAGTGGTAGATTCATGGACAGCTTGCTCTGTGCATCTGAAAAAGCCTCAGACAATCAATGCCAGCCTATGAAGGCAGCCAGGAGGGAGGCTGTACTGGGCAAAGCCACAGGAGTGAAGCTGTCCAAGGTCATGGGGTCCCACCTCTTGTATAAGCGTGACCTTGATATGAGACATGGAGTCAAAGAGATCATTTCGGAAATTTAAGATTTGACCATCCCACTGGATTTTGGATTTGCATGGGGCCTGTTGGCCCTTTGTTTTGGCCAATTTCTCCTCCTTGAAGCAGGTTTATTTGCCCAATGCCTGTACCCCCATTGTATCTAGGAAGTAACTAACTTGGTTTTGATTTTTGCAGGCTCATAGGCAGAAGGAACTTGCCTTGTCTTAGATGAGACCTTGGACTTGGACTTTTGGGTTAATGTAGGAATGAGGTGAGACTTTGGGGGACTGTTGGGAAGGCATGTTTGTGTTTTGAAATGTGAGTACATGAGACTTGGGAGGGGCCAGGGGCAGAATGATATGGTTTGGCTGTGTCCTTATCCAAATCTTATCTTGAATTGTGGTTCCCATAATCCACACGTCATGGAAGGGGCTCAGTCTGGGATAATTGAATCATGATGGTGTTTTCCTTCATGCTATTATTGTGATAGTAAGTAAGTTGTCACGAGATTTGATGGTTTTATTAGGGGTTTCCCCCTTCACTTGGTTCTCATTCTTTCTCCTGCCACCCTGTGAAGAGGTGCTTTCTGCCATAATTGTAAGTTTCCTGAGGCCTCCCCAGACATGGGGAACTATGAGCCAATTAAAACTCTTTTCTTTACAAGTTACGCAGTCTTGGGTATTTCTTCACAGCACCGCGAGAACAGACTAATAAATGAGAGCTGTAAATGTAGGTTTCATTGAAAGAAGCGCAGCAGAATTGGAAGTATGGTGTCCATGGTGAACAGCAGAATGGAGACTTTGGAAGTGGACCTCTGTCAAGAAGGGGCATTCCTAGATAACAAAGGATAACAAAGGATGATTGAGAAATTACAACATTTGAAAAAAATATTAATAGCAAATAGGAAAAGTTCAGATTTTTGAAATACTCTTAGAAACTGAAATTTGAGTGGCATGGGAGTAAGTCTTCATTTCCAAGCAAAACCAAGACAGGATGAGAGCAAAAGAAGAATAAACAGAGAGAAAGTAGAAACGTAATAAGGAAAATAATGTATATTGTGTGAATAAAGTATACAATGGTGCCTTAAGAAAATTAAGCCAGAAAATGAAGCCAGAAAATAAAGCCCTCCCAGAATAAAGGGATAAAACCTGGAGAGGAAAATAAGCAGAATATAATGTAGATAAAGAGTAAAGAATAGTTACCTGAGTACATGAATATATATTTTTCAAGTAAAAAGTATGACAATAATAATATATAATTGAAGTGAAATTTCCTGAGAAAAATGAAAACAAATGAATGCAAATTTAAAATCTTAAGTATTGTCGTGGAAAAAGTCTTTTTTTTTTCCTGTTGTTCCAAAATCAAATCAAGTAAATCCTAAAATAAAGTTTTAAAAAATGATAAAATATTAACTATTTCTGTAAAATTTACAATGTAAAACTCAGCAAATGCATATAAGAAGGTTACTTTGTTTTGATTACCACCTGTAACACGAATTTTCTGAATATGATAGGAGTCTAGAATAACAATTCAAAAGAAAACTGCATACAGGCAGTTGGTATTAAATGTGAAACTCAATCCTCAAACTTAGGATATGTTAACATAACCAACATAGGTACTATATTTATTCATTAAATTATCAAATATTAATGTTATGCATACAAATCAGCATATTCATGTCATACTGGTGAGCTTATAAATTGAGATATTTATTGTGAGTAATTTTCAATATAGTACAAAGTCAAAATATTACAATCATTATTTTATTAGAAAAAAGAGAAAGTTGAGACAAATTAGTTTTTAGGATGTGTATTACCCAATTGTTCAAAAAATAATGGAAATAACAATAAATATGAATATTTTGTAAGTTGGTAAAATTCTAAAATGTTTTAGCTTTGAATTGAAATGTGTTCCCCCAAAATTCACATGCTGAGGTCCTAACCACAATGCGATGGTATTTAAACATGTGAACTTTTGGAGGTAATTAGGTTTAGATGAGGTCATGAGGTATTAGTGCCTTTATAAGACGATAGACCAGAGAGCTTGCTCTCTTTCATCCTACCGTGTAAGAACTCACCAAAAAGGTGGACCTCTGTAATCAGGAAGAGAACCTTTACAAAAAAATGTATTGGGGCCCAGTACAGTGGCTTATGTCTATAATCCCAGTGCTTTGCTAGGCCTAGGCAGGGAAATTGCTTGAGGTCAGGAATTTGAGACCAGCTTGGGCAACAAAGTGAGATCCTGTCTCTACAAAAAATTTAAAAAATAAAAAATAAAAATAAGTTAACTGGTCATGGTGGTACAAACCTGTAGTCCTAACTACTTGTGAGGCTGAGGCAGGAGGTTGGTCTGAGTTAAAGGTTACAGTGAGCTGTGATTCTGCCACTCTCTGGCCTGGATAAGAGAGTGACACCCTGTCTCTAAAATAATAAAATAAATAAATTGGCTGCAACCTTGACCTTTGATTTCTCAACCACCAGAACTGTGGGGAAATAAATTCCTGTTGCTTAATCCACTCAGCCTATGGTACTTTGTTATGGCAGCCTGAGTTTACCTAGAGAGTTTTTTGGTGAAATAGCCTACTAATGTATATATGCATTAATATAATATGCCTTATGCCCTGCATTTTCTTCTATAGAGTAACTTCTCCTTCCCTTCATTTTACCAAGAAGAGACAGTATATTTTGTGGTCAATGGCCAACTCAATTTAAGCTGAAATGTACTGTGACTTTGAGAAAAACACAGGCCACTAATCACACTCTCCATTTGCTGAAAATGACTTCATTTGTAATGTATCATCTTTAAAGAAAAATTAAAATTTGTAGTTGTCTTTTTAAAACAATATTTGACACCATAATAAAAATGAAGATATTTCATTATTTTTATTAAGCAATAATTGATAATCTGCTAGTCATATTATTTTATATCTTAAAGTCAATGAATGAATATTAATAAATAAACTGAGGATTTAGAGTTTCTTAATATTATATTGTTATAATTTCCTGATTGTTACCTAGTCTGACTAAATAATTTATTTGGTAATCTATATAGATTAAGCTAGTATTATATACTGATAATCTTGTGCACACCTCTGATAAGTTCCTTTGGATTTATTTCTAAATGTACAAATCAAATGTTCTAATGCTCCAAATCAAAAAAGAATGATTTAAGAACATATACAGTATTAAAAGAATATTAGTTCTTTATTTTGTTTTTACACGAATGACAAAATCTGGTCTTTTTCAATAAATATGATGTTGGGTATTGACTTCAGCTAGTTATGAAAGAATATGTTACTGACTAGAAATAATTAATACTAATGAAGTGTTGTCAAACGTTATAAATCTCTATAGTGATCTTAAATGTGTTAGTAAAAATGCATTTTATGAAAAAACTATAATGAAATAGTCAAATGGTAATAGTTGGTGGGTTTTGACCTATAATTTTTTTACTTATCTTTAAACTGCCTTACAGTTCCTACAATTTTGACAATCAAACCACACTGATATTCTATTTTGAAATAGATGTCTAAAATAATTATCAAACTAATATGATTAATATTATTGATCCTTAAACTTCTAAATTAAATACTGCCTCAACCCCTTTTGGATCTCCCTTTGGGGCCTGATACATTCAGCTTGAATTCAGGAAAAGTGGGTATTTAATATGTAAGATATTTAATATATAGAAAGAATAGAAAATTTATTATTTGAAGTTAAAATTAGAATATTTCTCAGGTATTTAATTTATTGAAAATTGAAATAAGGAACATCGTTTCCAGAGATGTACAGAGAAAAAAAAATCTATTTCATGAGGCACCTTCATAATGGAAGTTCAGTTTTAAAGACGGAATGAACAATCACTCAGCTTCAGTATTTGTTACCTACTCTTCAAAATATTGAAATCTACACAGTTGGGATGTTTTTTAATTTACACTAAAATATTAATGAGAATTTCCAGTTTCCAATTCTGCATGCAAGGAGCTTGAAAGTCATCACATCATCGTAAGAACCAATAAAAATGTGAATAAAATGAAAAATTAGCAACTCTTCTTAGATCAATAAGAGAAGACAGAAAGGTAATCAAAGAGAAATACACAATAATGGAGCAGACACCCTCATGGGAACAAATATAGGGCAGAAAAATCTGAACTCCAGTTGATGAACTGCTGGAGACTAGGTGTGGACTAGTCTGAGAGTTGAAAACACCAGGGGGACAAGGAGGGATCCCCATGCTTTTGTCAGCATTACCTCTAGGAAATACACTGGATCCTCACAGTAAATATCAGAGAAATAGACCCTCATGCTTCTGGCAGAGGGAGGGAAAAAGGAACCATTTTGAAATACGTCACAGCACTTTACTCTTAACAAGGTCTGCCCTCAGGAAAAACTAGCTTAACATGCTGAGGTTTTATCAGAGCCTAATTGATCTAAGGGGAGGGCAACAACCAACTGCAGATAGCTCTAGCCCTCCACTTGGAAGAAGAACACCCAACTCCAGCTCACTCTAGTCATCCCACCCCAAATAAGGGAAGGGGGAAAAAACGGAGAAACACTTATGAAGTACAAAATCCAAAGACCTAGGCTTACTGAAATTTGAAAATGAATGATAGGAATGTAGATCATTCCCCATTTTATAATCAAAGGCCTATTTATAGCAGTTCCTTTTGTCTACTACCTTGTATCTGGTAATCAAGAAAAAAATTACAAGGCATACTGAAAGCCCAAAACATGGCTTAAAAGGAGAGAGCAAGCCTATGATCTGAACTTTTGTATTTCTTCCCATATTTGTATGTTGAAAGCTAATCTCCCATGTGAGGGTGTTAGAAGATGGGCAGTTATGAGGTGATGAAGGCTCTGCCCTCATGAATCAGATTAGCACTTTAATGAAAGAAGCCTAAGATAGATTGCTCAACTCCTCCACTATGTGAAGACACAGCAAGAAGATACCATCTAAGAATCAGAAAGCTGTCCCTGACCAGACACTGAATCTTTCAGTTTCTTTATCTTGGACTTCCCAGCCTTCAAAACTATGAGAAATAAATTTTTGTTGTTTATAAGTTATATACATTATGATATGTTATTATAGCATCCCAAACACACTAAAACAGCAAGTCTTAGAATCAGATTTAGCAGGGATATTGGAATTATAAGGCGGGGAATTTAACATAACTATTATTAATACTAAAAATACTCTAATGGATAAATAGGCAACATGCAAGAGCAAATAAGCACTGTAAGCAGGGAGATGGAAATCTTAAGAAAGAGGCAAAAAGAAATGCTAGAGTTCAATAACACTGTAACAGAAATGAAAAATGCCTTTTGCTATATGGTTTGATTTCCTCCTCTAAAGCTCATGTTAAAATTTAATTGACATTGTAACAATATTAAGGGAAGGGACTTTTAAGAGATTATTAGTCTTTATAGCAGCATGATTTATAATCCTTTGGGGGGAGAGGGGAGGGACAGCATTAGGAGATATACCTAATGCTAAATGACGAGTTAATGGGTGCAGCACACCAACATGGCACATGTATACTTATGTAACAAACCTGCACTTTGTGCACATGTACCCTAAAACTTAAAGTATAATAATAATAAAATAAAATAAAAAGAGATGATTAGTCAAAGAAGGCTCTCTCCTCATGGATGGGATCAATGCCAGTATAAAAGGGCAAGTTAGGCCCCCTTTTTCCTCTTTCCCTTCTGACTTATGCCATGTATCACACAGTAAGAAGGCCCTTGCCAGAGGCAGGCACTTTGATCTTGGACTTCTCAGCCTCCAGAACTCTGAGAAAAGCTTCTGTTTATTATAAAGTAACTAGTCAGGCTGGGTGCAGTGGCTCACGCCTGTAATCCCAGCACTTTGGGAGGCTGAGGTGGTTGGATCATTTGAGGTCAGGAGTTCAAGACCAGCCTGACCAACATGGTGAAACCCCGTCTCCACTAAATTCAAAAATTAGCTGGGCATGGTGGCAGGTGCCTGTAATCTCAGCTACTTGGGAAGCTGAGGCAGGAGAACTGCTTGAACCCAGGAGGTGGAGGTTGCAGTGAGCCAAGATAGCACCACTGCACTCCAGCCTGGGTGAGGGAGTGAGACTCCATCTCAAATAAATAAAGTAACCAGTCAGAGATGTTCGGTTATAGTAGTAAAAAAGAACTAAGACAACTTTGATGGGTTCATTAGGAGACTGATGTGGCTGAGGAAAGAATTTCTGAGCTTGAGGATATATTGCTAGAAACTTTCAAAACAGAATTGCAAAGAAAACACAGATTAAAAAAGAAAAAGAATAGCATATCCAAGAACCTGGGACAACTACAAAAGTTGAAAATTATTTGAAATGGGAATACCCGAAGGAGAGGAAAGAAAGAAACAGAAGAAATATCTGAGATAATAATGAATGAAAGTTTCTCCAAATTAATGTCAGACACCAAAAGACAGGTACAAGAAACTCAGAGGATACCAAGCAGAATAAATAAAAAAATAAGTTTAAAGAATCTTACACCTGGCATGTTCTGAAGCTGCAGATCGAAGAAAGTAGCCAGGAGTGGGAGATGGTGGTAGATAACTTAAGTATAGAGGAGCAAAGATGAGAATTCCATTGAACTTATTCTCAGAAACCATGCAATCAAGAAGACAGTAGAGTGAAATATTTAAACTGATTAGAAAAACAAAGAAAACTATCAACCTGGAATTCTGTACCCTGTGAAATTATTTTTCAAATGTGAAGGATAAATAAAACTTTTTCAGACAATCATTTAGAAAAGTTGTTGTCAGGAGATCTACCCTTCAAGGAACGTTAAGTTAATTTTTTTATAAAGAAGGAAAATAATATAGATTAGAAACTCAGACCTGCATAAAGCAAGAAAGATATTAAAAGGAATAAGTGAACTTAAAATAAAAGATTTTTTATTCTTAATGGGTCTAATAAGCAACAGTTTGTTCAAAATAATTGTATCCACAATGTATTTAAATATATATGCATATATATATATGCATATATATATATATATATATATATAATATGTGTGCTTGAATAGAAGTGGAATAAATGACAGAAATGATACAAGACACTAGAGGAAAAACTTAGGATTATTTTGTTATTATAGGACACACACAGCACCTATGAGGCAGTATAGTGTTATATAAAAGTAGAATTGAATTAGTTGTAAAAATGGCAACTCTAGGGCCACCACACACACGCACACAAACAAAAACACACCATATCAAACATTGTGAGTTTTAGTAAAACTAGTGCTTAGAGGAAAATTTCTAGCATTGAATGCATATGTTAAAAAAGATGAACTAAAATCAATCATCTAAGCTTCCACCTGAGGTAAATGAAAAAAATAAATAAATAAATAAATTCCAAAGTAAGCAGAAGTCAAGAAATAATAATTATTTTAAAAATAGAGAAGAAGTCAGTAATATTGGACACAGGAAATCAGTAGGGAAATATTAGAGAAACCAAAAGCTCATTCTTGGAAAAGATTAACAAAATCAATAAGTCTCTAAGCAGGCTAACTAAGATAAAAAAGAAAGGACACAATTTTTAATATCAAAAATAAAAGAGGGACATCACTATAGATCTTATGAATATTAAAAGGATAACCAATAAATACTATAAATAACTTTTCTGCACACAAATTTGATAATGTTGATGAAATAGACCAATTATTTGAGAGAAAGAATCTGCAAAAACTCATGCAAACAATTGACATTCATAAAAGGCCTATATATATGTTAAAGATATTGAATCAATAATTAATAATCTTCCAAAAGAGAAAGCATAAATCCCAGATGAGTCCAATAGTGAATTCTAACAAACATTTAAGGAAGAAATTATTCTAATTCTCTATAATCTATTTGAGAAGATAGAAGCAGAGGGAATACTTCTTAGCTCATTCTATGAAGTCCACATCACCCAAATACCAAAACCAGACAAAGAAATTACAAGAAAAAAAATTACAGATTAATATCTCTCATGACCATAAATGCTAAAATCAAAATATTGGCACATCAATCCCAAAAATGTATAAAGAGAATTATACACCATTACCAAGTAAATTTTTTTTCCAGGTTTGTAAGACTGGTTCAACATTCAAAAGTTGATTAATATGATTCATCACATAAAAAAGTAAAATGAGAAAACAATACAATCATATCACTAGATTCAGAGAAAGCATTTGACACAATCCACCATCTGTTCATCATAAAAACTCTTAGAAAATTAGGAATAGAGAAGAATTTTCTAAACTTGATAAAAATATCTACAAAAAATTTACATTAACAGCATACTCAACTGTGAGAACTTAAGGCTCTTTCATTAAGCTCAGGAACAAGGTGAGTTTGTTCTTTGTCCCAACTCTTTTTCAATATTGTACTTGAAATTCTAGCTAATACAATAACAAGAAAAATAAAATAAAAATGTACAATTTTGGAAGAAAGAAATTAAACTATCCTTGTTTGCAGATGACAGTATCATCTATATAGAAATCCCAAAGAATTGACAAAAATTAATGAAACTAATAAGAGATTATAGCAATCTTAAAGGATACAAGGTTAATATATAGAAAACAACTGCTTTTCTTAAACCAACAATGTACACAAAGAATGTGAAATTGAAAGCACAATGTCATTTACACTGGCACACCAAAAAATGAAATAGTTGGGTATAACTCTAACAAAATATATAGAAGATTCATATGAAGAAAATGACAAAACTCTGATGAAACAAATTAAAGAAGGATAATAGACATATAGCTCATGGTTATATTTAGTAAAACTCAATATTATCAAGATGTCATTTCTCCCCAACTTGATCTATAGATGCAATACAATGCCATATAAAATCCCAGCAAATTATTTTATAAATATTCAGAAATTTATTTCAAAGTTTATATGGAGAGGCAAAAGACCCAGAATAGCTAACACAATATTGAAGGAGAACAAAATTGGAGGACTGACATTACTTGACTTCAAGACTCACTATAAAACTACAATAATCAAGACTATGTGGTAATGGAAAAAAGAAACAAATTTATCAATTCAACATAATAAAGATCCCAGAAATATACCAGCACAAATATAGTCAATTAATACTTGAGAAAGGAGCAATGACAATTTAATGCAGAAAAGACAGTCTTTTAAACAAATGGTACTGGAACATCTGGATACCCACAAGCAAAAAATGAATCTAGAAACAGACCTCACACCCTTTACAAAAATTAACTCAAAATGTATCCCAGACCTAAATGTGAAATGCAAAACTATAAAACTCCTAGAAGATGAAATAGGAGAAAATTTAGATAAGTTTGGGTTTACTGACGACTTTTTAGATACAAGACCAAAGGCATGATCCATGAAAAAAATAATTGATATGCTGGACTTCATTAAAATTAAACATTTCTGCTATGTGAAAGGCATTCCCAAGAGGAAAAAATAACGAGCCACAGACAGTGAGAAAATATTTGCAAAAGACATATCAGATAAAGAACTATTATCCAAAATAAATGAAGAATTCTTAAAACTTATTTTAAAAAACTATCAAAAAAATGGACCAAATAATTTAACAAATACCTTACCAAAGAAAATATACAAATGGCAAGTAGGCATATGAAAATATGTTACATATCAGGGGAATCCAAATTATAACAGGGTAATCCAAATTATAACAAGAATATAACGGGAATCCAAATTATAACAAGAAAGATATCCCACTACCCACATATGAGAATGGCCAAATTTCAGGACCCTGACAGCACCAAAGCTCGTGACGGCATAGATCAACAAAAACTCTCATTCATTGCTACTCGGAATGCAAAATTACACAACCACTTTGGAAGACAGGCTAGTGATTTCTTACATAACTAAACATTATCTTACTATACAACCCTGTAATTGCATTTCTTGGCATTTACCCTAAGGAGCTGAGAAGGTATGTCCACAAAAAAACGGGCACATGGGATTTTAAAGCAGCTTTATTCATAACTGCCATAACTTGGAAGCAATCAAGATGTCTTTCTGTAGGTGAATGGATAAATAAACTGGTACATCTAGACAATAGAATATTATTCATCACTAAAATAAAGGAGCTATCAAGCCATAAAAAAACATGGTGAAAACCTAGATGCATATCACTGAGTTAAAGATACCAATAGAAAAACGTCTACATACTGTGTGATTCCAACTATATAATATTCTGGAAAAGGTAAAATTATGAAGACAATAAAAAGTTCAGTATTGCCATAGGTTGGGGGATAGGAGAGTGGGAGATATGAATAGGCAGAATATAAAGGATTTTCAGGGGAGTGAAAATACTCTGTATGATACTATAATTGTTTATGCATGCCATTATGATTTTTTCCAAACTCATAGAATGTACATCAAGAGTAAACCCTAATGTAAACTGCAGAATTTGAATGATGATGTGTCAATATAGATTCATCTATTGTAAAGAGTATATCACTCTGTTGGGAGATACTGATAATGCTGGTATTTGTGCATATATTGTGGGCAAAGGGTGTGTGGGAAATCTCTGTATATTCCTGTCTATTTTGTCATGATCCCCAATTTGCTCTAAAAATGAAAGTCATTAAAAAATTTGTCTGTATTAAAATGGTTGTAAATTCACCTAATCCTATTTAGTATTCCTGTAATTTGAGAAAAATAAAATGTTATTAAAAAGTTTTTAAATTAGACTTTTAATGTGATAAGATAAAGCATAATTCATGTTATCTTAGTATACATAAACTTACTACTGAATAATTATAAATATATCATAATTATAAACATATTATAAAATTTTAGGATATTTAAATGTATTATATATAATGTTGTGTTCCCCAAAATACGTATTTCAGTGCTTTTGGTATTATCTCTTTTCCTCTTCTCTTCTCTTTCTTTTGGAAGTAATGTTTGCTCATACTTTTCTAATGTATAAACTTTTAAGACTATTGAATAAACCCCGTTGTGTAAATCAACCATGATGTGACTATTTATTTTACACAGTTATATTCTTCACTGTAACTATCTCATATGTTCCACATAGTAGGTGCTCAATAGCTATTGATTAAATGTAGATAATTTGGGATCTATAAATTATGTACAACTCTATTTCATGCTTCCCATTTGAATAAAACAGATTAGGATATATTTCAAACAAGGCAGGTCAATTCCTTTTGTTCATTTGTAATCTAGTTGAAGTTAATAGACCCAATAAGTCACTTTCCGGGAGTAAGTTACTCAGTAGAGAAGACATCTTAACTCTTTCAGTACAAAGTAGAACCATTTTGTGTTTTGGAGATTGAGTTACTACCACAAGTCACTTAGACACTGGTGATCACAAGTTTTATTAAGAAAGCTTAAGACACTGAACTGACACTTAAATAAACCATATTTCACGTTAATATACCTTTTAACCCATTTACCATTCAGGGACAAAAAAAAAAAGGTCAGTTCACTGCCAGAGCTCACTTAATTTTACATAAACAAACTCTTTGAGGCTGAAGTAAATCTGACTAATTTTTTAATGTGAAAATAAAATATAAAAACTGTCCTTGGAGTTATTTCTAAACAGCACTTGTCTCTAATCATAATGAAAAAGAAATGTAGGCCAGCACGGTGGCTCATGCCTGTAACTGAACACTTTGGGAGGCCAAGTTGGGTAGATCACTTGAGGTCAGGAGTTTGAGACCAGCCTGGCCAAGGTGGTGAAACCCCGTCTCTACTGGAAACACAAAAAATTAGCCAGGCATGGTAGTGGGCACCTGTAATCCCAGCTACTAGGAAGGCTGAGGCAGGAGAATTGCTTGAACCTGGGAGGTGGAGGTTGCAGCTAGCTGAGATCGTGCCATTGCACTCCAGCCTGGGCAACAAGAGTGAAACACGGTCTCAAAGAAAAAGAAAAAAGAAAAAAGAAAAAGAAAAAGAAAAGTATATAATGTTATATTAGGATTGGAAGCAAGACTATTTTCAGGGCAAACGGGAAATGGGTTAAGAGGAAATAAAAGTGCGAATATTTTACCAGTAGCACAATATTGAGAAAAATCTATCAATTGTAGAAAAAAAATTTATTTGTTCAATAATTATTCTCACTATTTTTTAGAATATATGCATTGGTTCAAAGATAAGCAAGAGATATGCAAAATTGCTTTGTTTATCGTTTAAAGAAAATATGGCCTATTAATGCTGTTAAGACAGAAAACTAGAATATGATAGTTGATGCCTTTTTACCCCTACTCTCCCCCACACACAAAGGGGAGAGCACTCAATTGCATAGCAGTTAAGACACTATTGGGGTGTATTTTTTTTAAATAAGGGGAAAAATAATAATTTACTCTTTTGTCCTCAAAAATCTGTCAATTTTAACCACCCCTATGTATCAGATGCTTTTCAAGGTTGAGTGTACAGCAAATAACAAAAGAGACAAATATTCCTGCCCTTCAGAAACTTGTAGTCTAATGAGGGAGACACATAATAAACAAGATGAATTAGAAAATGTGTACTAATTAAATAATCATAAATGTTAAGAATAAAAAATAAAGCAAGGAAAGAAAATCTGTGTTGGGAGTATGTTCAAAGAAGGCTTTATGAGATGGCAACATTTGAGTAAGACATGAAGAAAGTGAGGATGTGAGCCATATAGATGGATGTAGGACAAGTATTATTAGCAGAGGTAACAAGTACAAAATCCTCAAGGCAAAAGCAGGCCTGGCGTGCTTTCAAGTTGCAAGATGGAGCCTAATGTATTTAGACACAGTGAGCATGGGAAATTATTATACATGTGATTATGGTCAGGGAAGTTAATGGGACTTTAGAGATCATTTAAGAATATATAGTTTCAGTCTATTTTTAGCAGTTATAATGGAATACCTGAGACTGGATAATTTATAAACAATGAAAATTTATTCCACACAATTCTGGAGGCCACGGAAGTCCAAGATCAAGGCACCAGCAAGCCTATTTCTGGTGAGAATCTGGTTTCTGCTTCCAAGATGGCACCTCGAATGTTGCCACCTCCAGAAGGCAAGAATACTTGTGACTTCACATGGCAGAAGGCTGAAGGACAAAAGAACGATTAATTCCTTCTGTCAATTCCTTTTATAAAGGCACCTAGTCTTGTTGGTGAGGGGAAGAATCCTTGTGACCTCTTAAAGATTCCACATCTTAATACTATCACATTGACCATTTAAGTTTCAACATCTGAATTTGGAAAGGGACACATTCAAACGTTAGAACATATATATATATATATATATATTTATATATTAATTGGGTTATGTGATGTGATTGTGTCGTCTGGCAGGTCTAAAGTTTGTCAGCAGCTCAGAAGGCTGGAAATTGAAGAAGAAATTGTTAGATAAATAGACCAAAAGTGGCCACTGTATACTGGCCCTTAACTTGTTTAGCTCTCCACAGAAGACAGGGATGTTACCCCAAAGCCCTGAGACTTCAAAAGGCTATCTACCACCATTCTATCAAACCACTTGCTTCAGGGGCAGTGGGTAATATGGCAACACCAGTGCATTGCATGATCACAGGTCCATTGGACATTTCATTTGCTGTGAAATGAATTTCTTTATCAGTAGCAATGCTCTATGAATACCATGTCAGTAGATAAGGCATTTTGTATGTAAACAAATGGTAGGTTTGGCAGAGGCACTGCGTATAGGGAAGGCAAATCCATACCCGTAGTAAGTGTCCATTACATTAAGAACAAAACATCTCTATTTCCTTGATGGAAGAAATCCAATATAATCAGCTTGCAAACCAGGTAGTTGTCTGATTACCCCAGGAAATAGTGCCGTATCAGGAATTTAGTGTTCATTATTGTTGCTGGCAGATTGGGTACTGGGCAGTGGCTATAGCCAGGCCAGACTTGGTGAGTAGAAGGCCATGTTGCTGAGCTCATCTACAACCTCCATCCCTGCAGTCATTTGAATTGCAATCATGAAGTATTGATGTTTTAATTTTAGAGTACATCTTGAAATCATTATACATTATTAGAATATTATGCTAAATGCCTAAGAAAATTTGGAATTTTCCATTTGGGAGAAATTTAGTTGTGGTTATACTTGCTAGTATTATTTCCCCTAAATTAAATTATCATAATAACTAAATAATGTAAATAACTATAAAGGATAATTACTATAGTGCATATAACAACTAATTATTTTTTAAAATTTAATGCTAAATAGATACAAGTTTTCAGTAAGTTGTTTATTCAGACTGCTAGAAATACTTTATGAAATACTTTAATAAATAAATGCATACATAGCTTTAGAACATATATGATCAAGGTTGCTTTTTTGTTATTGACAAATCTACTTCATTCTCTGCAAATATTTTCAGTATTGAACAAACTGTTCATGTTCACTTCTAACAAGGATTTTGATTAATTAAATGAATTATTTAGTTAAAGGAACAATGTCTGCTTTCTGCTGTAGACTTGAAAATTATATAGTTGTATATTTTCAGTTCCTCCACATCCTAGCTAATGCTTGGTATGGCCAGTCTTTTAAATTTTAGCCATCTTCGTAATGCGGGGATATGTAAGAGTCTTATTTTTAATTTGCCTACCGTCTAATGATATTGGGTATCTTTTCATGTACTTAAGTTGCAATGCATATGTATTCTTTGGTGGAATATCTGTTCAAACCTTTGGTTTACTTTTTTAGTAAGATATTGTTTGTTGAGTTTTTAAAAAATCAACATTTTTTTAAATCCAACAATTTAGTTATTTCAACAATAAGGGCTATTCAGATCATATAATCTTGCCAGTGGACTCTTTCCACATGTAAAATTTTATTGTCACACAGACAAGTGGATTCCTGCTTTCATCCTACAACAACAGAGTTGAGAAGTTGCAAGAGAGATTTAAATCTGCGAAGCCTAAAATATTTATAATATGATCCTTTATAGAGATAGTTTTTGAATTCCTGATTTACCTATTCAATTGCTATAAATCAAATCTTCCTATTATAGCATCCCTTTTTGTCAATATTTTATTGCTGCATCTTTTAAAAACAGAAGATTGCTGGATTAGGGTCATATTTTAATCTGCTTTTACAAATCTACTTTTCAGGGGATAATTTATATCATTTACATATTTTAGGATTGATTATGCATATATTTGAGTACACTTTTACCAACATTTTTTTTGTCATTGTCTTGCTCTTATTTTCCCATTATCTATTGCCTTCTTTTAATTGAATGAAGTTTTATTGTCCCATTTTTTTTTTTCCCACTAATCTAAGATACAGTTTATTTTTGTTCTTCTGGAGCACATCCTTGATAAGTTAACATGTAATATTAAATTAACAAAGTTAAAATTTTTTATTATGATCTTTATTAGCCAGCCCCAAAATATAAGGTCTTTCAAGTATTAAATTTCTGTTTTACCTTCCTCACTTCACGTGCAACTGTTTTCCATTACAGTCATGCACTACATAATGATATTTTGGTCAGCAATGGACAGCACAGACAACAATGGTTCCATAAGATGATAATTGCAGTACTTCATTGTAATAATATAAATTCATATTATGAATATGAATATTAATTTGTAAATAATTTATAAATATAATATAAATTCCTATTATATAACATTTATGTAATATACATATTGTATATGTTTATATTACAGTAATATACAGTATATAATAAAATCTATAAATTTATATTTTAGTAAAATATATAGACAATTTATTTGTATATTTATAATTAATTTAACAATTTAATTTATAATATAAATTTATATTATATTATTTATATTAACATAAAATTATCAAGTAAAAATAATTACAGTATTTTTTACTATAACTTTTCCATGCTTAGATATGTATAGATACACAAATACCATTGTGTTACAATTGCTTATCGTATTCAATATAGTGACATGTTGTACAAGTTTGCAGCCTAGAAGCCTTAAGCTATAGTACAGCTCCTAGGTGTATAGTAGACTATATCATCTAGGTTTGTCTAAGTACATTTCATGATATGCATACAATGATGAAATCACCTAACAGCATATTTCTCAGAATGTATCCTCATTGTGAAGTGACACGTGAGTGTACTTTTAGTATGGCATTATGATAAAAAATATAATGGGATTATTGCCAAGAAGGTAGATTTAAAACATTGAATTGTATTTCTTCACTGTAGAGCGTAGCTGGAACATTTTCTCTGTGGATTTCATTTGAATTTGAAGAAATATTTCAGATTGGTGTCCCAAGTGAACATATGTATAATTTATTTGGCTTGTAAAACGGTCTAAGTGCATTCAATTGAATTATCTTTTCAGTATTTAAAATAGCACCCCACAAGACCCATTATGGAGAGTTCTATTAGTTTCTATTATATAGCAACCACTTTTAAAACAAATCTGATGGTAATTTACATTTCAGTTATACCATTGTATTGAATCTGATTGATTACACAGACCTATATGTAAGGTAGTCGTTATGTAGACAAAAGAAAAAATGTATGTAGAGTTAAAATTATTTGCTAGTTTTTAATGAGACTCTATTATCCAAGACAGATTCAAATCTAAATATAAAATTACTAAAAATAACTTCTTTCCTTCATCTGAATTTCTGAACGTAATAGTTCATAACAGATTCTGAATTTTTATAGGATAAAATATGTAAGCCCCAAAATAAGCATTTTATATTCTGCCGCTTAAACCATCACTTAACTGAAGGTTATTGATTTTCAATGTCAAACCTCACTATGAATCACAAGAAGTAGTGTCTGAGTTAAGAAACACACATATACAAACACACATGTGCACATACGAGTAAAGACTCTATTATGTGCCTTTGAGGAACAGAAACAAGGAACAAGCTTAAAACAAGAAAATGTAGAAACTTGTAGTCAGCTTTTTCTTTGTTGTTTGAGTTTAAGAGTTTTTATCATCTCAAAGTGTTTCCCATGAGAAACAGATATTTAAAATCAAAAGTTCCACAAACAGAAAATGAAAGTAAAATGATTAAATGCTGAACAAAATAATATAAATAAATTTAAGCATCCTGTCACTAGAATGTCTAATAATAGAACCATTTTATGTAGCATTCTAGAAATTTCTGTTTTTCTGAAATGTTTTCTCCTATATATTAGTTTTGAAATAACGCAAAACAATAATCAAAAAAGCTTCTCTGAAAAGATTAATGAATGAGTACAAGATAAAAGGAAGATTACTAATAAAAAATAAAATATATTTTTATACTACTAAAATCAGAAAGATTATAAGAAAATACTGCAGGTAATTATTGAGCATGGCTTTTAAAACGTAGAGAAAATAAGTAATTTCTAAGCAAACATATATCATTAAAATTAACCTCCAAAAAAAGCAGATGCTTCAACAACAGAGTAGCACAGAAAAGACTTGAAAGGCAATTGAAGGTACTTTACTGAAATAAAGACACCAAGACTACATTGTTTGAAACTGAGAAAATGTTAATTTATTAATATTTTTCTCCAAAATATTTGAACTATTTTAGAATATATTAAAATAAAAACTCCAATTTATTTTATACATTAGCATTACACTAATTTCAAAACCACAAAAAGAGAGCGATATATATGTGAGTGTGTTCAATTTCCTCATTTCCGAAAACATATTTTAGCCTCTTTTCATAATACATATTCTGTAGTGCTGTTTCAACTATACTGTTAAATGCTGTTTGAACAATACTCATTAATTGATAAACTATACACACCAAAAATCTAATATAATATTCTAACTGTAAGATAGAGAATAAAGGTAATTAATTGACAATAATATATTTCAACATATAAAGAACCAGTGAAAGCTTCACCATTCAGATTCAGATATCTATGCCTAAATGAAGAATTGCCATAAATATACAGTTAGAGGCCAGACGCGGTGGTTCATGTCTGTAATCTCAGCACTTTGGGAGACCAAGGGAGGTGGATCACTTGAGACCAGGAGGTCGTTGCCTGGCCAACATGGCAAAACCCTGTCTCTACTAAAAATACAAAAATTAGCCAAGTGTGATGGCATGCACCTGTGATCCCAGTACTTGGGAGGCAGAGGCACAAGAATCACTTGAATCTGAGAGGTGAAGGTTACAGTGAGCTGAGATTGCACCATTGAACTCGAGCTTGGACAACAACAGAGCAAGACTCTGTCTCAAAAAAAAAAAAAAGTAGTTACAAATGTAGGGTAATAGAGTTGAGTTGGACTATTTACTCAAAACCCGTTTTTGATGTTTCTGTTATGAAGGGATTTTAGGAAATAATCAGGAACTTTTAGTTTGAACTAAATAAGTTACAATATCTCTTCAAGTCTTTCAAAAATCAGTTTATTTAATAATTCACCACAAAGAAAATACTATATGAGGCTCTCAGCCACAATTAGATATGCACAAATGCTGAGAAAACCTTGCATCATGTATTATGAAAGCATTACACTATAGCCAAGTAAAGTATTTTATTAATGTGTTAAAGTATAATTTGAATAATTTCAAAAGCCATTCCTAGTAAAAAATTGTACATTAAATTAAACAAAAAGATTTATCAAATGATAAACTGTCTGCAATATCGGCAAAAAGCATGATTATAAACAGTGAGATTCCTAAATTATTTTCAAGATTATAGAGAATAGTCATTAATCTATAATATCTTCATTGTTTATAATACTGAAATCGACATTCAATATTGTAAGAATTCCAGATGATAAGTTCCTGAGCATTTAGAAAGATAATAAAGTTACATGTTAACCAATAAGACTATTCTCTACATACTAATGATGTAAAAAATTCAATAGAAATTAAAAAATAAACCTATTGGAATTAATAAAGCAATTAGATAAACTGGTTAGAGGGTTCTATATTTGATTTTCTACAAAATAAAAATAGCTTCTTGGCCAGAGAATATGCTAGCTATATCTACAGCTTTTATTATGAAATATTTTAGACAATGATCCCATAATCTTATAGGTTATGAAATCTCTGACAATAAGGACATTCTTAGAAATGGAAACACTACTACTTCAGAAGTCTGAATGTTTAAAAAATGTCTACTTTGAAGTTTTTAAAAGAACGAATGAACTGGAAAGACAAAACACTGGAATTTCCTCTTAGCACCTGCAAATTTTGAAAAGATCCAAGAAAATATTCTTCAAATGTTGTCTATAAGAGTTTAAAGCATATCTCTAAGAGATTTAAATTACTTCTGTACCAGGTGGTAGAGAATAATTTTATTTTGTCTTTATCAGAGATACAAACTTGAAGATTAGAAAAAGAATTTACATATAATCTGATTCAAGTGCTTCTGGCTACAGGAAAAAATTCAATACAAATAAAATACTATATATGTGTATATATTTTATGTTTGATAATTTGGTTCATTCTATATAGATTTATTTTATTTTATTTTATTTTTATTTTTTAGACAGTGTCTCACTCTGGTCACCAGGCTGGAGTGCAGTGGTGTAATCACGGCTCACTGCAACCTTTGCCTCCCAGGTTCAAGCAATTCTCATGCCTCAGCTTCCGTAATAGCTGAAATTACAGGTGTGCGTCACTAGCCCTGGCTAATTTTTGTACTTTTAGTTGTGACAGGATTTCTCCGTGTTGGCCAGGCTGGTCTCGAACTCCTGGCCTCAAGAGATCTGTCTGCCTCAACTTCCCAAACTGCTGGGATTACAGGCATGAGCCACTGCACCTGGAATATACAGATACATTTTAAATTAAAATGCTCAAGGGTCATGGAGCTCTCTGTAAATTTAGAATGTATTTTAAAGTAAATTTTCTACCTTTACCAGAATTTAATAGAGCTTCCTATTCCTTGTGATTACTTTGGACACTACCCATACACTAAAATATTGCAACTCCAATTTTTACCTTGAGCTGTAGCTCCTCATTTCCAACATTAGTGTTTAAGTGTTTAACAGGCATCTCAAAGGCATTTTTCAACTGTAGCACTGAATGGTAACTGTTATGCAATGTCCACTCACCTTTTCCTTTAATTATTTACATTATATTCGTTTATCCATTTACTCATTAACTAATTAACACTTATTACGTGATAAGTATTCTTGTAGGTACTAGAGTCCTAGCGCACAAAACAACTCCTGTTGTAAAAGCTTACTTTCTAGTATAATAGATATGCACAGAACTGGACAAATAACGGAATTTTAATATACTGAATGCTGATGTATGTAATGAAGAAAAATAAACAAAGGGAAAAGAATTGAGAATGCCATTTAGGAGAACGGCATGTATCATAGTTAGTCCAGGCTGCTATAACAAAGTACCATAAAATGGGGTGCCTAACAACAGAAATTCATTTCCCACAGTTACGGAGGCTGGGAGTCTGAGATCAGGATGCCAGCATGATTGGTTCTGGTGAGGACTTTCTTCCAGACTGCTAACTTCTCTTTGTATCCTCCTCATGTGACAGACAGAGGGCTAAAGAGCTCTCTGGGTCTTTTTTATAAGGGCACTACTCCCATTCGTGAGCGGCTCCACCCTCGAACACCCTAAAGGTTTCAACTCCCAAAGACTCCACTTCCTAATGCCAACACTTTGAAGGTTAAGATTTCAACATATGAAAGGCCGGGCACGGTGGCTAACGTCCGTAATCCGAGCGCTTTGGGAGGCCAATGCAGGCGGATCACAAGGTCAGGAGTTCAAGAACAGCCTGGCCCAGATGGCGAAACTCCATCTCTACTAAAAATACAAAAAAATTAGCCGGGCGTGGTGGAGGGCGCCTGTAATCCCAGCTACTTGGGAGGCTGAGGCAGACAATCGCTTGAACCCAGGAGGCGGAGGTTGCAGTGAGCCGAGATCGCACCACTGCGCTCACTCCAGCCTGGGCGGCAGAGTGAGACTCCGTCTCAAAAGAAAAAAAAGAAAAAAAATTCAATATATGAATATTGCGGGCACAAATGTTCACACTATGACAGAATGTTATAATTTCTAATAGGGTGGCCGGCCAGAGAAAAGCCTCACTAGGTAATTAAAATTTGAGCCAAGATTTGAGGCATGTGGAGAACAAATCATAGGCTATCTGAAGTAAGACAATTTCAAATAGAAAGGCTAGCCAGTGCAAAGATCTTTGGCCAAGAGTATCCTTGAAGGTCTGTTGAAGAAACTGCAAGGACAGAGGCTGACAGAAGAATGATTGAGGGAAAGGTAGTAAATGACAAAATCAGAGTGGTAATGGAATGATGTAATCTAAATTTCAGTTTTAAAGGATAACACAGACTACTATGTTGAGAATTATATGAATAAATGAAAATCCAGTTAGAATCCTATTATAAAATCCAAATGTGGTTTTGGCAAGGAAATTAGCCTTGGAAGTCATGAGAAATGGTTGGCATCTGGAAATATTTGGAAGTTAAGACAACGGAACATAAACACTAGAGCTAGTATGTAAGGAAAAAAAATCAAATAATAGCTCCTGATTTTTTAGCCTGCGTAACTGGAAGAATGGAATTCTCAATAAATGGTAGGTATAGCACTGCAATTAGAGAAGTTTGGGAGGAAAGATTACAAATTTTGTGCAAGTTGTATTAAGTAATATATTAATCAAATAATACATATTAAGTTTGTTTAAAAGTATATTTGATGCATTAAAAATAATAAGTATTTACTGTACATTCAGCAGAAATGTCAAAGCTTTAGTAGTAGAATCATAATTTCATTAATGGCACAAGTCTACTTTGCCAGAAAATCTTGACTCCTTAGTTTCTGAGACTATGTGGTTGCCATCTTTTTGCCCCTCTCCACATTTTTCTTCTTCTTGCCAGGAGCACAAACATGATTTGAAAACAATAATGTTTATATTTCGATTTTATGCCTCCTGGAGGCAGCTTTGAGTATGGACAGCCACACACAAGAGGTGACGCAGTAGAAGATCTGAAGGAAGTTGGATCCTTGCTAACATCATAAAAGTGCCATACTAGACCTGTGTTGCCCTCCTAATGACTTCATTTCATGTGGGAAAAAAATATGCTTCCATCTCAATTAAATAATTTTCTTTACCTTCTTTTAATGGTAGCTAAAAAGAGAAAGCTTACCTAGTACAGTTCACCAAATTTAATCTACTCCTTCATAATCATTATTTCTTCCTACTTGCTAATTAATAATTAGTTACAAAGCTTGCTTTTTTCAGTTTTTCTCTCTGTTATCACACCTAAATCAAATCAATAAAAAGGCACTGTGGCTCTATTAGTTGCAAAATAAAATATCTAAAAAAAAAATCAAATAATTCAATAACTTTTAAGACTTGGAAACAGAATTCCTGGTTCTCCTCTACACCGTGCCTTCTACTGCTCTTTCACGTTTTCCAGTCTCAATAACTGATCATTAAAGCTGTTATGAAAATATAAGAATTATACTTAATTTATTTCCTTTCATTATATCTCATCAGTAACCTTGTCTAGTTATATTTATTTCCAAAATAGATCCCACTCTATTTTACATGATCTTCATTTTTATTTATAGCATTTAGAGTACTATCTGAATATGCCTCATTCCTTCATCTATTTACTTATTTGTTGTCTGTCTTCTTTCCCAAATAATATAACTTATAAAATTAAGGTCTGTGACTGTCTTGTTAGCATTTATATCTCCAGGGTCTTAAGTGCTCAAAATTATTTGCTATATATATATATATTATATATATATATATATATAATATATAATTATATATATATATAATATATAATTATATATATAATATTTTCTGCAAATAATTTATATATAATTAATATATAATATTAATTTTATATATTATATATATAAAAAATTAAGGAGGAAAGAAAACAGAAGGAAAAAAAAAACCTGAGTTTTATACCTGATTATGACTCAGTTACAAACCTGAGATGACTGAGTAATCACTGAATCAGACTAAGTTTTTGTGAATGTGATTGATAAAAATACTAAACTAAGAATTTAGTTCAGAATAGAAAACTAAATTAAGGTAGAGAAAAATTGCATTTTTCACATGAGTCTGTGACTGGAAAATAGATGCATGCAATATGATTTCAAATAATTTGGTAAAGAGTCTTATCTCAGGAATATATTCAATATCTTCAAAACTCAAACCTTTTAAATGTGAGCAAAACCACAATAATGTTAGAATAAGAGATTAGAATTGTTTCAAAAATACTATATAGTTACCCAAAAGACAGCACAACGCTTTCCCAGTACTTGATATCAGAGGAAAAAAAATAACATAAATATCCAGAAATTATATAATCCTTCATAGTAGAGCATAAATAAGTATATATTTCTGTATTATTCTGTATTTATTATAATATTTCTGTAATATTCCGTAGCATTTCCATAATATAACCCATTGCAACTTGAAGATCCAGAGTTCTCTGATGTTATTAACACACTCTTCTGCCTTTTCAAGTGACCCAAAGTTGTGAGTAAAGACTTTATATTTCTTCAATATAAAATATAAGTGAAAATAAAAACCTGAATGTGGAACTCACTCTTCCATTTATGCTGAAGATAGACAGTTGATGAAACATTACAAACATTTTTCTCTTATTAATATTACATAATAATAACAAAATTACTAGTGTTCATTAATATGATTACCTTTCAATTAAAATATTTGCTAAAAATACAAAACAGAAGAGGTTGAATACAAAAATCTAACCATTATAATTACCTTGTGTTACATGAACAAGTATATAAGTGAATGCTTTAGAACTGTTACAAAGAAAATAGTAATATATTAAGATATATTCTTGCTTTGAACTTGTGTGCCACTAAAATTTTAAATCCTATTCAAGTTTTTTTATAAGTAGTATAAGCAGTTATTAAACTGTTTAAGAATGAATTTAATCCTGAATCCGGGTACTTAATTGGCTGTATGATATTAATTATATCTTACATTAATTTATAGCATAGATTAATGAAAAGTCACAGTTAAAAATATCTCCATGATGCAACTGTATACATGATTCTGCCTTTGGGTGTGGTTTCTTATTTACTCGCCGAAGTCTTGCAGAAAAGGAAAAAATTTAGCTCAAATTATTGTATTACTTAATTTGATACATAGATACTTCCATATTGAGTTCCATTTGGGCCTGTAAGAACTTACCTGGTTCTACCCTACCACTGAATATAGGAACACTTTCTAATATTCAATTTAGATGTCCATCAAGTAGACTAGATTTTCCTATTTGTTGGAGAAATTATTTTCCACATTTGGGTTTGGCTAATTACTGTACCAAAATTATACCTCCTCTAATTTTTAAACATGTGTCCTAGTGTAGAACTTCTCAATATTTTTGTGATAATTTTTCATAGATTTTCCTCTCTTATAAACATAATATGTATATGATGTCCTGCATGAGATTTCAGGAATCTAAGAGGAGGTCAGCACAATCTCACCATCCTCTTAAAATCTAGCCTGGGAACCAGCGCAGTGTCATTTCTTCTATGTTGTATAGTCCAGGCAAGTAAAAGGACAGGCTACTTTTACTTCTACATGTGTCAAGTTCCATCTGTGTAAAAGAAGAAAATGAATTGATAATTACCATCTTTTTATTCTATCAACCACAGTCTATTTTGCATTAAATTTTAATAAATCAAGCAAGAATTGATAATTTGGGGAATAACAAAATACTTGTTTAATAAAAAAGGACCTCAAGAGGGGAAAGAAAATAGAATATCTAGATGATACAAATAACAATCAATAAAAGGTGATAGATACAAATCCCAAATATGTCTGTCATTACTTTAAATGTAAATGGACTAAAATCTTTCATTATAAAACTAAGATTTCTGACTGCTAAAATAAGCATATCTGGCTTACAAGATGCACAACTGAAAAATTAAAACAGGAAATATTTAAAAATAAATAATAGAAAAATATATTTCAGGAAATAACTCTTTGCAGCAAAGCTGATGAAGCAAACCTTAATGCACAAACCATTTCTAGAGAAAAACAGAGTGATCACTTGATGGGAAAAAATAAATCACCTAAGAAAATATTATGTATTAAATTTTTCACACAACTTATAACAACCTCAAAACAAGCAAAAAAAAAAAAAAACTTAATGTAGTTTATTTGGGTTGCTATATCAAACTACCATGAACTGGGGAGCTGATAAACAGCAGAAACTTATTTTTCACAGTTCTTGAGGCTGAGAAGTCCAAGATTAAGACCAATTTAGTGTCTACTGAGAGCCTGCTTTCTGGCTTATAGATGATGCCTTCTTGCTATGTCACCAGATAGTGGAAAGGGTCTCTCTCTGGCCTCTTTAATAACAGTGCCAATTTTTGTGTTTTCTTTCTTGCTTTTTGTAGCACAATTCTTGCAACACAAAACTTAAACACTGTATTATTTAGCATTCAGATGTACATGAACTAGGATACTTATGAGAAACCCAATCACGTCAAAAGTATGACATTATGGTTAACTCAAATATATCAAAACGCACAAAGCACTAGTCTTCTTCCATTACTGCTTAGAAAGATATGATTGTTTTCCATTTACAAAATAGAATCAGGACAAGTCAAATTTTTTAAAAATTTTGCATGCAAAACACTGCAATTGCTTATTTATGTAAGAGGGAAATCTCACCAGCTTCTTCTGCACACAATTGAGTATAAAATATTGCATGGAAGAAACCAGCAGCTCAATTGAAATTTCAGAAAAAAATCAAATAGATACCTTCAGGAATGAAAGTTATTGAGGGTTTTTATGAGGCCAGGAAACTTTATCTCCCAAACCTAACAGCCCATCATGAAGGCTCTGCTCCCATGATCTAAGAACCTCCTGATGGCCCCACCTCCTAATATTCTTACATTGCAGGTTAGGATTTCAACATATAAATTTTGGAAGGACACAAATATTCAGACCATAGCAAAACTAAAATAGAAAATATTAACTATCATACCTAAAGACAATAGAACAAAAATCAGCAAATTTATAGAAGCTCTGAACAATATAATTAAATAAACACACAATTAACAAAATCTATATACTTGATATATACAACATAACAACTGACAATGGCAAAATACACATTCTATTCATGTTCACATAATAACACAGTGGAAGATAGAGCTCAATAAATTTGAGGCCTCAAAAAAAGTCATAGAATAGTCTACGGCAATAGATAAATTAAGCTGGAATGTAATAACATGGTAAATGAACAACAACCAACTTCTTGAAAATTAAACAATATACTTACTAATATGTCAAAATCAAAGAAAAAAGCCCAATGGGAATAATAAAATACTCTCAGTTAAGTAATTAAAAATATATCAAAACTCGTGATAAACCAAAAGGAAAATGTATAATTTTAATGCATAAGATTAAAAAAAGCATATAAAAGAATCTGTAATTTCATCTCAAGAAGTTAACAACCGCCGAACCTAGAGTTACAAAGGAATAAAATAGATATATATGATAAATAAAAATAAATATAGCCAATTTTGATTTTTTAAAAAGACTAAAAACATTGACCAACATTTAGCAGAATTATTGGTTAAAAAGTGAGAGAAATAAAAAAATATAAATGTGAAAAGGAAGTGTCACTATATATCAAAAACATATTCTAAGTATAATAACATATTTGAAAGAAATTTTTCCAATAATTTGAAACTTTAGAAGAAACAAAACAAATTTTAGAAATGCATATCCCTTAAAAACTGAAAGAAGCAATAAAAAGTCGAAATTTTTAATACTGATTTTAAGAAATGAGTCTGTAATTAAAAGAATACCCCCCCAAATCTCCAGGCCCAGGTGTCTTCCCCTCAATCATTCCTTCCAAACATTTGATAGGTATCTTATTTATTCTCTTTTAGAAAATAAGAGTGAAAGTTGTTGAGGGTTTTTGTAAGTCCAGGAAACTTTATCTCCCAAACCCGACATGCACATTAAAGGAATAGAAAAGTACCTTTGAGACCTAGGATCTGGCCTGGGGCTTGTGTTGCACTTTAAACAAGGCCTTAGTGTTCCTCCGAATTTGTATGGCACTTGCTGTGATGCTCTTTTTCATAAATAATTCAGTATCAACACCAGACAAAGCCTCTCTGTGAGTTCAGTGGATCAGATGAAAACGAGACCACTCCATATTCATGTACAAATTTAGAGAAAACAGCAACTATGTCCAAACTACAATAATTATCAAATATTTTCATCATCAGTCTAATATAAATTACTGGTGCTGCTTTATCCATGACAACTTTAGCTTTACATTATTCTTCCCAGCTTCTACATCAGCAATACTGGGATACCCAATCATAGAGTTATCTTCAGTTCCTGATAAAAACCAATCTAGAACAAAGCATTACTTCCTTGAATCTATGAAAAATTCCCTAACACAAGACAAATTACTATAATAAATATTCAAAGACTCTCAAATCAAAGCCATTCGATTACCATGGTGTGCATTCACCCTCATTGCTCCAAGACAATAAAACCAACTTTATTCAAACACAGGTGTGTCCTCCATTTTATTTTTTAGGACATTGATGCATCATAAATATTTGATCTTAGTATTTTGAATGTACTTGTAAAATGGTGTAAGTGTGTGTGAGATATTGGGGAACTAGGGGAAGGAAAATGCCAGCAATAGGAAACTCTAAATGATTTTATGGAGAGAAGTGTGATGATTTCCCTTGACTTTTTGTAATTTCATAAAACTGCAAAACTTAGATAGAATGCAACTTTTCTGTAGTACTATCTCAAGAATGAAGCAAAGTTCATTTCTTACTGACTGGATCTGACTGTGTTTTATTTTTATCTGTTAGATTAATTCTAAGGCTTACTGGAATGACTGAATAGGGAAATTATTTAGCTTAAGCAATTTTGTAACAGTCTACTTCTTGAATATCTTATGTATAATCCTATTTATCCCAAAGTAGCTCTGTCATTGAAAATTATTTGATACACAAAAGAGGTAATTCGGACTGATATATTTTTTTAAAGTATTTATGGTAAACTCAAGCCACTTCTCTAATGTAATTTCTTCCCACTCTCATATGGGCTTTTAACATGTCAATTATATTTTTGCCCCATGGCTTTGCTCTGGATTTTTCCTGTGCTCCAGATACTCTTGTGGGAGATATTCTCATTTTTTTCCCTATTCCACTTAGGTTTCTGCTCACATGTGAGCTTTTCTGAGGTGTCTTTTCTGAGCACCTGATCTACAGTGCCACCATCTCCAGTCACTCTCTGTCTCCCTAACCATGTATGGCCTTCTTTATAGCATTATTATCAGTATATTGTCATATTATATCCTAGCACATCATAAAAGCTTAATAAATATGACATAAATTAATAAACTAAAAGGAGAAAGTTGAAAATAGTCACCATAGATGAAAGCAAGTATCATTATTGTTTCTATTTTCTTGTTAATTCTGAATCTACTGAAAGGTTTTCTAAGTTGGAGTTAGTGGAACAAAAACAAAATAAATTACTTAAACATGAAATTAGCTTCCTTTAAATTCTATTCATTTTTTTCACAGAAGATATGACATATGGTTTTTAATTGATAGGTATGTTCTAATCTGAGGACAAAATACTTTAAAAACAAACTTTAATAAAATATTTTTGTTTATCTAACTTTGAAGTTTTACTGATAGTGAGAGGTGGAGCAGCTATTGGAATGCAGGTTAATTTCAGCACAGTAAATGATCTTGAACATTCATTATTGTTTCTATTTACAGTAATTTTAAGTCTTATAAGTTAATTAACAAAATAGCAATTTGCTATGTTATACTATATCACAAGATAAATTGAAGGAGATGTGCTGTTTACACCTTCCAGATGAAACTCAAATATGATAGATGAAATGTCAGAGCATTATAATAAATACAAAGGCTAATAGCCTATTAATCCTACTTGATATGTGATGTACCAAATTAAGAAAGATTATTTCTGCACTGGATCTACTTTTAAACCTCCTTCAGCACCCTTGGCAGTCAAAAACAGTAGACTTTAAATTTTTCATCCGTGCTTTATTTAACATAGGAAATTGATGCACAGAAGTTCATCATATATATATGGGAAGACTTTTACTGCTTTGAGATATTTAAAGAAGAATTTTTAAAACCTCAACTACTATCATATTTGTCATTATCTATAAATGATCAAATACATTATGCCAAAAGATATTGCTCTCACTTTCCTCTGTAGTAGAATGCTCACTCTAATTTGTCATATTAAATATATTACAAATACTTCTCTATTTTACATCACTTTCCTATGGGCTCCATCAGGACACATCTACAAATTCCACTGTAGAATGGCATGTATTAACTATTGCAGAATGTGTAGACATGTACATTGTCATGAGCATGTAACATATAATATAGTATTTATTATTTGATATATAAAATTCAAGATTTCAGAATATTTTGATGTTCAATTTTAATTTTGTGAAAGAAACCTGAGAAACAATTTTTTCTAGACATTAAGAAATGGTCAAAGAATGATGAAAATAATTTATATTTAAAATATTTTAGCTGTTGCTTCCATTGGATGCATTGAGAATTTATGTTCATTGATAAGTCCTAAAACTATAGCATATCTAGTAATATATTAATTCAATATATAATATTTCAAATAATAATTTACTGATATATGTATGTATTTTCTGAGTGTGATGCTCCTGTTACTAATCTAAACATGATTGAATCAGAATTTTTATTATGAAGTAATTTCAGAAATTAGTTATGTTTATCTAATTTGACACTCATTACACAATGCTGGATACCTTAGATCTTACCATCATAGCAGTTGTGATATCCTGTGCTCCAAAAATCTTTTCATTTCCATTTGCCTTTTGATGGTCTCTTGGCTTTGTATGGTATCATAAGATACACTGAAATTTCTATTATGCTTAAAGTTGTGTAATTCTAATGCATTTTTATACTCACTCTGGAGTCCTGGAGACAAATATTTTCATTGTTATATGGGCAATGAATGATTTCTGAGGTTTAAACTTCAAAAATCCACACACAAATGTGGTTAGCCATTCAACTGGCTAAATAAAGAAAAATTTTAAGTCTTGAATTCTCAAAACTCTAATCAAGGGGACTTAATTTTAATCTCAAAGAAGTGCAATTACAATGTGATTATAATGCCACATGGGGGAGCTTAATTTATCCTATGAAACTCTGATTCAAAAATTAATGTGCAATTAAAAGACATCATCAGGGTAAATCATAGAAAATGGAAGCCTCAAAAGTCAGAAGTGAAAAACTTTCTCAGCAAAGTCTAAGATAGAGACACGCTGTGTTCTCAGGAAGAGTAGAATTACTTCAGTAAGACTAATAATTGCCTGAGTAGAAAATTTCTCCACAGCGGTCACATCACTTCTTTTTGCTCTAGATTGATGCTTTCTAAGCATCTTTCTAATTGTTAATTTGGTTTTCCATAAAGAGTGATGTTAATAAGAGTTGCCAGTTGGGATAATATAATCACTGCAATTTGTGAAAAAGTATATTTTTAATTTTATGTGAATGAAATACCAATTATAGTTATATACTTCAGTCTCTTAACATATTTTATTGCTATGTTTTCTCCCAAAGCATAATCAATTCTAAAATATAGACATGTTAATTATACATACAATATAGACATCTAGACTAGAGGATATGATACATACACAAAAACAATGTCATAGTTGGGGTGAACCCTGTTGTCCTAGTAGGGTGCCTTTTTAAATTTTAAAGATGTGCCCTAGATCCAGGGCTGGTTCACTGAATTTGATTCCACTACTGCAAAAAACTTCAACATGAGTTATGTGTGCAAAGGAAAGATAGTATAAAATGAATTTTAAGTACGGTGTCTGTGCTATGTACGAACAGATCTTTTGAAAATGTTCACTGCATTTGGAATGACCTTGTTGGTTAGAAAAATTAAACAAAATTTCAGAGCAGTACAAACTGTCACCTCTCAATGCAAATCAAACATCTTCTCTGATGAATGACTCTTATGCCCATCATACAGTTTCTGTGAATTGTGTATGCTGATGGTCTGCAGGATGTCATTTACATTTCATGATAAATAATAAAACATCTCTAATGGCACAGCACTTCCATTATGCTCTCTATTATAGTCTGTGACCATGCTGAAATTGAATTTCAAGTTTAAAATCTACCCTGCCCTACTGAAATTTTACAACTAAACTTATATTATTTAAACATTTTTCATGGCACCTCTAAAGACCATAAACCATAGTTTAATTGATAATAATTAGATAAAATATCTGAGGAAAAGAAACAAATTAAGATAGATGAAAAATTGAAATACTCTGTTCTGATAAAGAAATGAGTTGGTTAGTTTATTTTTTACCTATAATATATTCACTAATCTTTCAAAGTATTGGTAAAATTAATTTAAACATTATATTGAATACCATATTTAATTTTGTTCTTTCATGCATAAAAAGTCATTTTTTTCTTCTAATTTTGAGTAATATTTCACCCTTTATTCAATTAGACCTAAGAATTTATATGATCCAAATAAACTAGATGTGTATTTGAACAGCAGTATTTCAAGGGGAATATGCCCTCAGTGATTTATTAGGAAATCCTGTTAACTTGTAAGCATGATTCATAGGTTACTGTGCTTAAAAGCAAAGCAAGGCATGTGAGAAGAAGGAAGTTGAGTGGCTGGATTCTGGATATGCGTTGGTTTTATTAACTGTCAGCACAATTAATTTCTTGACCCTTTTAACTATCAAGTCTTTGTGAAATATGCCACTGCAACCTGATCACTTTCATTTAATGACTTCAACACGTAAAATTTGGTACTCATGGATTAGCTCTCAGTGCTAATTATTATTTTTGTTTTCATGGCTATTATTAATAAACCCTTTATTATATCCCAGGGATGTTGCTAAAAATGTTACGGACTTAATGAATTTGATTTTTCACATCAATATAATAAGGCAGATGCTGTCACTATCTGCATTTCATCCCTAAGTAAACATAGATTCATGGAGGTTAAAATAAGACAGATAGAGGCAAAGCAGCAACTACCCATATTCTTTTCTCTGAATTGAAGTCGCTATGCACATCTGATTGCTTATTTCACATGCAGACAATTTTTTTTAACTTTCATGCTTAATAAATGATAAAACCACATTTTATGTTTTTGACATTTCCCCACAATTCCTATGGATGGTGCTTACAATTGATTGGTCATTTTGAATAGTTATGGGTTGGCCATTTTGAATAGTTATGGGTTAAATCGTATACCTCTAAAAGATGTCGAAGTCCTAACCGCAGTAACTATGAATGCGACCTTATTTGGAAATAGAATTTTGCAGACGATCAATTAAGATCGGCCCTAATTCAATATAACTGTGTCTTTTTTAAAGGGGGAAATTTGGACAACGGGAAATATGCGCACACAGAGAATGCCATATGAACATGAAGACAGATATCAGAGTGATGCATCTACAAGCCAAAGAATGTCAAAGATGGCAGCACACCACCAGAAGCTAGCAGAGATGCAAGGAACAGATTCTCACGGACCTCAGAAGGGAGCAAACTTTTTCACACCTTGACATTTCTAGCCTCCAGAAATGTGAGACAATACATTTCTTTTCTTTAAGCCACTCAGTTTGTTTTGCAGATTTACAGCAACCCAAGAAAACTAATACAAATAAGTTGTGTTCATTGAAACAAGTGGTATACTGTATATATGTCTGATGAAAAATATGAATGTAATTCACTGATACATTTTGTTCACAATGGTAAAGACTGTTTTGACCTAGGAGTCTAAAAATCAAAAACACAACAATTAAAAGTAATAATACTTCTTTTCATGTTTTCAAATCAGATGGCTACTAAATGTAAGATGTAGAAGTCGCATGTTAAAAACTAACTTTCTATTTATTGTTTTGATTTTGGAAATTAAACATAATTATGCATTTAATGTAAATGTTTTAATTTGCTGAACGGTATCAAATAATTAGTTATATAGAATTCCCTAACTATAATTTTTAGCAATTAGATTCCAAGAATCTAATTTTCGAAGTATCTAATTTTCAAGGAGATTATAAAATAATGACCAGATTTAAACACACAGTACCACATTACAGAAGTCCTTAAATACAATATCCAAGTATGCATCCAGGAAAATCATAAAATAAATAGAAGAGTCGTTTTACACAAAAGTGGATTTTCATTTTGACATAGGCTAATTTTCATTTTAGACTAAAAAAAGTTTGTTATCATACCTAATTAAATTTGGAAAAATTCCGACTGCTTTTCAATAACGAACTTTAAAAAAGCAATTTCGTTTCTAGTCTTGGATTTCCTAGAGATTCTTTTGCTTGTTATTTTCTATAGGGTATTACCGTCAATTTTGATCAATGCTATATAAATCAATACATTACAAATTATTTCAAAATTTTTGAGATAGTAGTAGAGTTTAAGTACAATATGGAAAGTACTTGCAAAGTTAATAATTAAATATGTAATTCAGGCATGGTTATACTGTGGAAAATAATTGTCTAAATTCATAAGAATAATAATGTCTACCTCAGTTCATTTTAATGAAACAATTTGAATCTTTCATACTCCTTTTTAACAAAACAATTCTTTTACAGAGAATCTCACTTATTTAATTACCGATGCCTCTCTCATATGTGAAATGCTGAATTGACATCCAATTTGTTTTTTTCCATAGAAAATATTTATTATAGCACTGATAATAATTAATGACTCAGAAAGAGGCTCAAAGCTTTCATTCCTGGCTCCACTGAATATTTTTAAACTTAATCAAGGGCAACAATAATAGCTCCTTCACCTCTGATCCAAAGTTTCTTAATTTTTAGCTTTTAAGATCTAATTATAAAAAAATTGATGGAAAAGAGTTTTAAATGGCTTCTAATTTATTTTGACTTTCCATTTTAGTAAGCATTCTAGCAAGTCACTTTGATAGTCTGAAAACTTTTTTACATATGTAATTCAATTTACTTTTTGGCAACAAAATGGATTCAACAGAAATTATATTACAGTATTAATAGTTTGAACTGAATATTGTTTACTGTGTTTTCAACAGCATACAAAGGTGTCAGATATTCCTTTAACCTATTTGATGATTTCAATTTTTCACTATTCGAAGTAAATAGTAATTTGCACCTACATATATCATGAACAATTTTCATTATGATCATGACCATGCATTTTCTGGATATACATATAGATTTCCTTTACTTTTGATAAAAAGTGTAGCTTATTTTCATCCATATTAAATAAAATCAATTGTTTTCTCATTTCTTCATGACTATACAAGTCAATGATAAATTTATAAATATGATGAATATATGGATAAATAATCATATGGCCCATTTTACTAAAACAGCTCTTTATGCCATTAGTTTCTGTCTCTTTCTGTCTTCTACCTCCCTGTCATTCTTTCTCTCTCTCCTCCAATTTTCCACTCATAACATTAATTTAATTTGAAGCAGTATATATGAGAATCCTATCTGCATTAAAAGTCAGGAGATAGATATAATATTTACCTTTGACTGTGATTTTCCTATTTTGCCAGTTTGGAAAATTTCCTTTCATTAGTTTTTTGTCATTGAAGTAGACAGGTTTTGAATATGTATTAATACTAATTATTAATAAAATATCTTCTTATAATGTTATAGTCTTCTTATATTTTTGTATAGTAGAAAATAAACTTTGTTATAATTAAACCAAATCCAACAATGTAAACTGGACCTAAATAATATGGAATAAAATTTGTAAAATATGGCAAGTTTTTCATCAATATAGGCTAAGTTATATGAGGGTAAGAATAACTCCATAATCTTGGTAGCTCTATAAACACTTATTTCCTATTCAGATAAATTTTGACATAGGTTCTTGTGATTCTCTAAAGTCGCTATATTCAATTATTGAGTCGCTATATTCAATTATTGGGTCACTATATTCAATTATCAAAGCAAAATTAGTTGCTTTAATTTTCAACTTGTTAAATTACATAAACAAGAGGACATTGGCTTGAGGCTGTCTCTTGACTAAGTTTCTCTCTGTCAAACTGCACCTTAAGTTAGTACATAAACAAGCTGAAACCTGATTTAGGAGTCCAATTTTTGTAACACATAGCCAGGTCTCAGCCAATCATTAGCAGAAAAGTTTCAGCCAATCACAAGCTGCCAACTGTTCAGACCATTTCCAAATAAGTCAAAGACCTAGCTTTTTAACCATTCAGCTATTTCTACACTTTACTCCACTTTCTGCCTATAAATATTCACTGCAATTAAGAGATGGGAGTTCTTTGAGCCTGTATCTGGTTCTGAGTTCTGTTTAATGAATTATTTTTCCCTTCAAATATGCTGTTAAATTTAATGTCATCATAAGTTTGTCTTTTTTCATATAAATGTATTGGGTACAGGTGCAATTTTGTGGCATGCATAGATTACATACTGGTCAAGTCAGGGCTTTCAGAGTATCTGTCACTCAAATAATGTGCATTGTACTCATTAAGAAATTTCTCATCATCTACCCACTCTCACCCCCTCATACTTCTAAGTCTCTATTGTCTGTCAGTCCACTCTCTACGTCCATGTGTGCACATTTTTGTGCCCACTTAATAGTGAAAACATGTAGTATTTGTCATCTTTCATCTGACTTGTTTCACTTAAGATAATAGCCTCCAGTTCCACCCATGTTGCTGCAAAATATGTGATTTAGTTTTTTCCTATAGGCAAATCGTATTCCATTGTGTATATATATCCAATGTGTGTATATTTTCTTTATTCAATCATCCATTGATGAACACTTAGGTTGATTTCATATTTTTGCTATTGTGAATAGTGCTGCAATGAACATACAAGTGCAGGTATCTTTTTCATATATTGATTTTTTTTTCCTTTGGGAGATATACCAGTAGTAGGATTGCTGGATTGAATGGTAGTTCTATTTTTTAGTTCTTTGAGAAATTTCCAAATTTTCTCTACTCTTTGCCATGAAGGTTATAGTGTATGAGTTCCCTTTTCTCTGCATCCTCACCATCTGTTGTTTTTTGACATTTTAATGGCAGCCATTCTGACTGAAGTAAGATTATATCATCCCGGTGTGGCTTTGTTATTCCTCTGATGATTAGTAATTTTGAGCATTTTTTCACACACTTGTTGGCCATTTGTATGTCTTCTTCGGAAAAAAAAGTCTATTCGTGTCCTTTAACCACATTTTAATAGGGTTACTTTTTATTTTTGTTTTGGTCATTGAGTTGCTTGAGTTTCTTGTGTATTCTAGATGTTAGTCCCCTGATGAATGCACAGTTTACAATATTTTCTCTTACATCTCATTGAGCTTCTTTAACACTAATATTATGAATTCTTTATTTGAGATTTATTCCTAGTTAGGGTCTATTGTTAGAGAATTAGTGTGTTTTCTAGAGGGTGTCATATTACCTTGCTTTTTCATGTTTCCTATGTCTTTCCATTGATTGCTATGCATCTGAAGCAACAGTCACTCTTATTTTTTAATTTACTTTTGTTGGGGGGTGGGTACTTTTTTCTTGAAGTGTGTCTATGATGTTGTTTGGGTTGTTTGGATGTCTGGCTTTCCTTTTGGTGGATGCAGTGGTGAAGACTTTGTATGACTTACTTGGCTATAAATAGCCTTATTGCCATTGGTATCTGTGTTTGCCTCAGTGTGTTAGGTGTGGTTATTTGTGGAGGCTGCAGTGAAGTTGTGCTGAGAACTAGAATGCCAGATGGGTCCTTCTTCATGTTTCAATGATAGTGTTGATGGGCTAAGTATATCTATTTTTGTGACCAGGGACAGCATATGGTGGCACCTGTTTTGGTGGTTCCAGACAGGCCAACTCTTGGGTTTCTGAGTGACTTTCTCAGAATCTAATTATAGTAGTGGTGTACTGAGTGGGTGAGTGGACTCTCAAGCTCCTGAGCAGCTAGGTTGACATGCTGGTGGTTGACATGGCAATGGTGGTAGTGGTGGTAGTGAGAGACTCTTTAAGTTCCTAATCTCTGTGCTCTTGTGTTGGAAGTGGTTGCAATGGGCCATGTGGGCCAGCCTCCAGGTCAGTAGGTGGTGTTTTCAGGTAGAAGCCAGCTAAGGTGGTAGCAGAAGGGTGTTTATGCCTGACCTCTGATCTCTGGGAGAACTGCTTAGGTGCCCCAGGAGGAGGGCTGGGGTGTGGAATCCTCAGAAGCCTATGTCCCACACTCTGTCTCAGAGGGTGAGGCAAACCCAGGATGAATTGGACCAGGCCAGCCTGAACTCAGACCCCCAATGGTAAGCCTATGCACAAGCTGTGATGCGAGTGAGGTGGGGCAGTCCTCAGTTCCTGGCAAAATGCTTGAGTAAGAGGTAACTGCTTCCACACTGAGGTCCTCCCATGGGTGGGTGTTGCTGTTGCTGGTTCTAGCAATTGCAGCACTGGCTGGCAAGTGTGGAATTGTGTCCATCTCTCACCCCAGTCCTGATGGAGCTCCTTCTCTCATTCTGGCTCTTACAGCTGACCCTGAAGTTCCATTCAACTAGGCAGTTTGTGCTTAGCTCATAACTAAGCCCTGGTTCATAGAAGCACCTGCCCAGCTCAGGACCAAGCCTCTGTGGCAACTCTCATTCTGATTATGTCCTGGGGGAATTTGTCTGGCTCCAGTGCTGGTGGCTGGAGCCCATACTAGGATTGTTTTTTAATCCTGATTGTAGGAGCCCATCAGTTCAATTCAAGCCACAGTTCATTAGTTTAGGCCCCAGTTCAACAAGCTACAGCTCAAGTTTCCATAATACCCTGTGCTGGCCACACTGGTTTCCAGGACTGTGCAGTTTGAAAGCTAAGTCTAAGAATGTCTTCTTGTTGTAGCAACTTAGGTTTAAGGGCAGATGTAGGACCCGGGGCATATTATTTCCCTGGAGCAATTCCTTCTCACAGTCTTCTGGCCATTCCCCAAGTCAAGTCAGTTCTTGGGGAGGTCAAGGTGCACTCTCATGGCCTGGATTGCATAATTCCCCAGTGGGAAAATGGATCACAGAGAAGACAGTCACTCACCCTCTCCTATACTGGAGATTTATTCCCAGATCCTAGTTGGTCCAGGCCATGTAAGCTGCCTATCTTCCTCCTTCGCTCACAATTTTGGAGTTTTCCCTCACTTCTCTGTTGATGTGGCTTGTTCTCTCTTGGATAACACATAACAAAGAGTATATTTTTGTTATAAGTAGCTGAGTCTCAGACAATCACAGCAGCCAAACTTCAGCCAACTGCAGGCTACTAACTGATCAGATCGTTTATATGAGGCAAATGCTTCTTCAAACAATGCCCAGATAAGGCAAATGCTGAGCTGTAACCAATGATGCTCTTTCTGTATGTCACTTCCTATTTCTGTTTTTAAATAGTGTCTGCCCACATTGCTGGGTGGAGCTCCCTTAACCTCTACTGTTTCTTAGTGCACCCTGATTCATGAACTTTAGTTTGCTCAAATAAACTCTACTATTTAGTATTTACTATTTATCTAAAGCTTTTCTTTCAACATTTTCAACTTCACAGGTGAATGAAAGTAGAATTATAAAAACCAGTAACCTTTCCAAGTTTAGACTGTGCTTTAACAAAAGAGAATCCTGAAAGAGGTGTATTTTTTAAACTCAATTTTCCCATGGTGTGCTTAGTTTAAGGACCAAACCTGAAATGTGTGTTACACAGTGGTATGAATTGACCCAAACATGATTGAGGGCAGGGTGTTTTATATTTAGAATGCTATTCAGAAAAGGTATCTAATAATATAGCAAACAATTATGTAAATTAGTAGCTATAATTTACAGGAAACTGTGCTTCATGTTTAATTTATCTCTAAATCATTTTCCTAGTTTACCTACAATCTTGAACATGAGTTAGCAGTTTGGGTTTTGATATCCCCAAATTCTTGTATATAAATATATGTGAAAGAAATGCCAATTCTTAACTAGTGTCATGAATATGTTTCAAAATTTAAACTGACGTATCTCTTTTTTAAACTATCCACTAAAGAGTACTAATAGATCAGTAGCTTACCCTGGAAATGTAGGAAAACAGACACTTCCTAGTCAGGGCCTTATGCAATTGCTGCAGGTTCCACGGCATAGATATCAGTTACAGTGATGACTGCTGAATTTCTCAATACTATGATAAATAAAGCAAGAATAGAAGTTTAAAAATTATGGGTATGTGCTTTAAAGCATGTGTACTGTGTCATTTGCATGAAGAGTTTCAGACAATTGAATGAAACCTCAAGACTGCTAAATAAATTTCAACTCGATTCAACCCCAAGATGAGGGAAAATTATGTATGCATATATAAAAAATTATATATTATATATGTATGCTTACATATATAAAAAGTTATATATGTATGCATACATATATAAAAAGTTATATATGTATGCATACATATATAAAAAGTTATGTATGCATACATATATAAAAAGTTATGTATGCATACATATATAAAAGCTATGTATGCATACATATATAAAAAGTTATGTATGCATACATATATAAAAAGTTATATGCATTTATATATGCATGCCTATATAAAAAATTATATATGTATGCATGCCTATATAAAAATCATATATGTATGCTTACATATATAACAAGTTATATATGTAAGCATACATATATAAAAAGTTATATATGTATGCATACATATATAAAAAGTTATATATGTATGCTTACATATATAAAAAGTTATATATGTATGCATACATATATAAAAAGTTATATATGTATGCATACATATATAAAAAGTTATGTATGCATACATATATAAAAGTTATGTATGCATACATATATAAAAAGTTATGTATGCATACATATATAAAAAGTTATGTATGCATACATATATAAAAAGTTATATGCATTTATATATGCATGCATATATAAAAAATTATATATGTATGCATGCCTATATAAAAATCATATATGTATGCATGCATATATAAAAAATTATATGTGTATGTGTACATACAAAAAAGTATATATGTATGCATACATATATAAAACAGTATATGTATGCATACAATATATAAAAAATTATATTGTATGCATACATATAAAAATTATATATGTATGCATACATATATAAAAATTATATATGTATGCATACATATATAAAAAAGTATAATTTTTAGATCATGAGAGTGGGGGATGCATGGTGTAAACTTTTAAGAACTCTCCAAACTGGATTTAGGGGCTGTGAGGACAGTGGGTCTCTCCTGTAGAAAGGTTGTCTTGTGTCCATGGTAGAAATGGGGACCAAGAGGGATCTCCAGCTTATCTTTTTCCTAAAATAAGTCCTCCCACCACTGAGCCAATCCTATCAGGGGAGACAGTGTGGCAGGGGTGGGATGTCTTATTCCCCTCTCTATGGTGTTATCCTGGGCTTCTATGTTCTACAGAGATTTTGCTGCTCCCCTGGTTCTCTCCACCATACCTCCTCAGTCACTGGCGTTGAAGTCAACTTGTTTATTGACGTTGTGGTCTCTTTTTGTGGGGCAAATGAACACAAGACAACTGTTGTCATCCCTTTCTCCAGAACATATTTATTGAAAAAGTTATTTGATGTTGTGATCTCTATATTTTTTGTTCTCCTTTTTTTAAAACTCTTTTTATAATGATATTAGTTTTTGTTTGTTTTTTTTTAGTGGATACGTATATTTGCTTTTCCCCCTCTCAAATAATTTGCTATTCAGCCAAACTATGTTACCTGTTTTCCTTGATTTTAGATGTGGCAATTTACATAAAAATTTATCAATGGGATATGAACAGAAGGGATATCTAAACTTGTGGTATATTAATGGATGTAATGTATTACCATATATACCTTGGTATATTAAATTAAGGTTTTTTTTTAAGTTCTATCACCTTTGATAATGCCTCTGTTTTCTCTAATTTTCTTTTTTTCTTCTTATTTGTATTTCTGTATTTTTATGGTAGAAACTGATTTCTTTTTCTAATATTCACTAATCATAAATTTTCTAGTAATATTTAAAATCAAAGTACTAAAAAGTTGAATGGAATCTGTGTGATCATGAGTAGTGTTTTATTTTGGGTTTGTGTGATTGAAGTATAAAATGGTGAAGGTCAAGGATTTATTTTCATAACTGACAATTTTTTTACTTGCTTCATTTATTTCACTAGAGAAAAATCCTCCAGTCTCATTGTCTATCAGTATCAATGCTAGGTTTTAATAGCTAATTTTTAAAAAGGTTCTTAGGGTTACAACAGGCTAACTTTGCTTTACACCTCGTGTTTTCCAGTAAATTTTTTATCAATCAGAGGTCTGGAGGAAAAAATATAATACCCTTAAAATTAATTTTAAAAAAGAGTTTAATAGTAAGATTATTTAAATAGTCATAGCAGGGTTACAAGAATTGAGTAAGCAAAAATTCAGTTACCTGTAAAGAAACTCAATAACCTCTACTAGTAACAATAGAGAGCTGGTATGAGCCCAAGGAACCAATGTGCAAGGGGAGAGAGCACCTACCAGAACCTGAAGAAGGTAGTTGAATGGAGGAAAGGCAATCTTGTAGTGATCAATATGCAGCTAGTCAATATCCAGAAGGAAAAGAACCAGGGGAATGGACACACTCAAAAATGTCCAGCACAACCTTTTCCTCCTGATGCTTCCGATGCCTCAATGTCAAATCCTCTCTGGGTTAATATCTCTACAGGGTAAACCTCTAATTTTGTAAATTTGATTGCACTGCTCTAGGGAAGGAATTTGAGCATATATCTATTCATTAAACAGAATTTCTTCTAATTTTATTGTTTTCAGTCCTATCATCCCCTCCAGAAGTATCCTTCTGATATCTATTAAAGCAAATTATAAGAACAAATATCAATAAATTTACTTTTTGAAAATTCATATGTTAATTTTTCAGTTTACATAAGAGGTGACGTGCATGCATTTTTTGTCTAGTACATAAAAGCATATTTTTAAATTTGGCAAGAGAACTACAAAAATTAGTGTTTTAAGTAGGAGAGCCACTAGGGCTATGCTGCATGATTAAGACTGTGCAGATTCAGAGTTAGATTATCTGGTTTAAAAAACCCTAGTTTCTTCATTTATTAGCTGTGTGACAATAACTGCTAAATTCCCTGATTATCAGTTTTTTAAAATAAAATTGAAGCTAATATGAAATTAATTGAAATATTGCATACTATATTCAGCACAGTGACTAGAACGCTAATTTAGCCATTACTATATTGACAACCAGATTTATTTTTTGTTTTGTTTTATATTAGATTATTTGCGGAGAAAAGATTACTGGCCACCAGTAATAAATTCAAAGAAGCTTGTTGTAGAGGCAGAATTCTAAACATATTTGTTTTAGTTTCTTGTTGTTATAACCAATTACCATAAATTTAGTAGCTTAAAACACCATAAGTTTACTGCCTTACAGCTCTATCAGATGTCTAAACTGAGTTTTATTAGACTAAAACCAAGGTTCTAGCAGGTGTTGGCATTCCTTTTGGAGATTCTCCAGGAGAGAATTGTTCCCTACCCTTTTCTAGCTTCTAAAAGCCACCTGCATTCATCAGCTCATGGCCCCTTCTTCAAAGCCAACAGTGTAACAACTTCAATTCTTTCTCTGACTCTGACCCTCTGTTTCCTTCTTTCTGTTAGAAGATTCTTGTTCTTAACCTGGGCCCAAACATAATCTATCATAATCTCCCTTTCTCAATATCATTAACGTAATCACATCTGCAAAGTTTCCTTTGCCAAGTTAAGTAATGCATTTTCAGGTTCTGGGGATAAAATTCCATTTACCACAATGTTATTCAGTCAAACACTAATTACACTGCTGTAAAGGAACTTTGCAGATGCAATTACAGCTAATAATTACTGACCATAAAACAGGGAGAAAATAGGGAGATAATCTGAGCAGTACCACTGTAATCACCTGAGTTCCTAATAGTAAAACAGGAAGGCAGAACGATAAGACAGAGAGGCAATAGAAGAGAAAGGCAGAAGAAATCTCGAGCATGAGAAGGACTCAACACGTTTTTTTTTTTTTTTTTTTTTTTTTTTTCTGGTTTTGAGATGTAGGGGGACGTTTTTAAGGGGCCTCCACTCTTAAAACAATATGTAATGCTGATTCTCCAAACAACTAATAGTGATATTGAAACAGGCCAGGTTCACTGGTCTTGTTGTCTAAGGTGTTATCCAAGCTCATTGTCTCATGACCAAGATAAATAAGGAGCATGGACACAAAGAGTGAGGTTGGAGTGAAAGTTTAATAAGCTAAAGAAGAAAGTCTCTGCAGTGGAGAGGGGAGCCTGAGTAGGTTGCCATTTTTACAGTTGAATTCAAAAGCTTTTATAAGAAACTCCTCTCATCTCTGTAGCTGTTTGAGTAACTTCTCTTATCTGAAAAGCTGTCTGCAAAACTTCCCCTCATCTATGTAGTTGTGAGTATGTCTCTAGGTAAGCAAAAAGTGCCACTTCTCTTGTTTGTATAACTGTGGGTTTGTTTTAGGTAAGCCCACCTCCTCCCTGTGCAAGTTCTCACAGAGCCCAGAGCGTACATGTCGGAAAAGGGGAGGAAACTTTCTCCTGGGAGCCCGCCAATTACAAAAAGAACAAAAGGCTTTTGTGCTGGGCCCTGCCTGCTTATCTGTGCAGGTGCAGCCTGAGTTTTCCCCAAGTTGCTCTATTTTTGCCTGTAGCTGTGATTTTTCTGGCAGGCTGCGTCTCCAAGGACCAGCCTTCACTGTGTACCTAACTGATTCTTCCTTTTCTTCTCCCTCTATATCATCAGCATTGAGGAGTTTGTAAAAATGTTGGGGAAAAAAAATCTAGAAGATTCCCCAGGGTTCATCTTGATTTAAAGTACTGGTGGTTAAAAGTAAAAAATGGGATACAGGAATAGTTGTTAATATGCATTTTTAAAAGCCTACAATAGGTACATGGCATGAGTTTTAAAAGGGAGTGATAGACCGATGATGAGGAAGCAGCAGCTGAAAATAGTATTCTAGTCCTGTGAGGAGAAAACGTGTGTGTCTTGGAGCCTCCCCTTTATTGACATCCTATGTTTAGTTTGTCTGATTTTTCATATTCAGTATTAGAACTCAAAATACATTATATTTAGAGTATGCTTGGATATTACTTATTTTAACTTTTTATAACTGCTTATGTTTTCAATTGTCTTTTACAGCATGTTAAATGTATGCAGGATTTATAGAATAGGCATCAAATAATTTCTTGTTGTTTTCTCATGTCTTCCAAAAATTAATGGGAAATACACACATAAGCATTCACATACAGAGATATATGTCAAAGATCATGTATATAAAATTTATTTTTGACAGAGTATACCAAACACATTTAAAAATAAATTTTCACTCCAATCTGGTTTATGCAACAGTATTTTTTTTTTTTTTTTTTTTTTTTTTTTTTTTTTTTTTTTTTTTTGAGACGGAGTCTCTCTCTGTTGCGCCAGGCTGGAGTGCAGTGGCGCGATCTCGGCTCACTGCAAGCTCCGCCTCCCGGGTTCACGCCATTCTCCTGCCTCAGCCTCCCCAGCAGCTGGGACTACAGGTGCCCGCCACCACGCCCAGCTAATTTTTTTTTTTTTTTGTATTTTTAGTAGATACGGGGTTTCACCGTGTTAACCAGGATGCTCTCGATCTCCTGACCTCGTGATCTGCCCGCCTCAGCCTCCCAAAGTGCTGGGATTACAGGCGTGAGCCACTGTGCCCGGCAGGAGCAGCCTTTCTCGAAAATAGTTCAAAGGAAGTCACCGTGCCAATGAAAGATAATCTTCCTCATAATTGTACAGGATATCTGAGTGTAGAGTTTCTCAAAACCCAAAAGAGCTACATAACTGTGTGGAGATAACTGTATTAATCATTTCAACAGTCCCCCTTCCCTACTCATCACATCTCCCCACCGCAGCAAATTGTTCTCGTTGAGAGATGACACTCTTTCAGTGTTCCTTAAACTGAGAATGAATACTTTTCTGGACTAAAGCTATGTAGACTTAAAATTACATGATTATTTCTAATCATAAAAAGTTTGCTTTGTAACTTGTATGCAGTAACTTTAACTGAAGATAAATGCGTAAAGTTAATGCTTGCTTTATACCATTTGCACCGTCCTGGTCAGTTTTATTTTACATTAGTTGACATTTTGTCCCACCAAAACTAGGATTTGAAACAAATCTATTGTCCACTTCACTAAGTCTATATATTAAAACAGAAAGTTAGCAAAAAAAAAATCAATAATTTCACATGCAGTTGTTATTATATCACTGATGCCAGTGCCATTTTTTCTTTTACGTGTCTTTTTAAAACCAATTTTAATTACTATAATTGTGCTTATTTGTCTTAATATAGACTTTAATTTTTAAAGAAGTTTTAGATTCATAGCAAAATTTAACAGAAAAGACAGAGTTCCCATGTACTCTTTTTCCCCACACACGCACAGCCTTCACCACTACCATCTCACACCAACGTACATATGTTACAATCAGTGAAACAACCTTGACATGTCATTATCACTTAACACTCAAAGTTTACATTAAGATTCACTCTTGCTGGTCTGTTTTCTATGGCTTTGGAAAATACATTAATGACACTTATTCACCATTATAGTATCATACAAAATCGTCTTACTGTCCTAGCAATTCTGAGTGCTCTACCTCTTCGTTCCTCTTTCCCTTTAAACTCCTGGCAACCAATAATCTTTTTATTACATCCATGGTTTTACCTTTTCCAGGATGTTTTGTAGTTGAATCATAAAGCAGGTAGGCTTTTTCAGATTGATCTTTTTCACTTAATACTATAAATTTAGGGTTCCTACATGTCTTTTCATAACTTGATAGCTCATTTCATTTTATGGGAAGGATGTATCACAGTGAATATTAGGACTTGTTTTAATGACCCATGAGACATAAGGAAACAAAATAATTACCACTATCAGTTCCTATACTTTCCTTTCATTAATGATATCCCCTTAAGAATATTCATATTAAAATTAAGTATATTATTAAAATTTTGGAATTTTAAAATTTTACTCTGGTTATGAGTGTTTGATTTTACATTTGACTAGGAAATGAAATGATAATCTAGTATATGTTTCATATTTTAAAATATTTGTTTATTCCCATTAGTATTATAAACACATTCATTAAGAATGTGTTTATTACATATTTATATACTATTTATTATATGTTAGGATTAGGAATATAACACATTAAAAGAGACTTTTTTTCTGCAGTTGAGGAGTGTTTTTATTTTATAAACAAGAACTGAGAGTGATTTCCAAGTGACTTGTACAATGAAGTAAGTTAAGGGGGAACCCAACTTCATTTGACAGGTGGGTCATGGTGCCTTTCATATAACAAATGTGCAAAAATGCTGGTGGCCAAGTGAATGACACGAATCAGTAAGAACAAGTGAATACAGCAAGTCTAGAAGTATTAGTTGCAGGTAGTTGAGAATTTGGGAGGCAATCTTAGAGGGATGGACAACAAAAAGGGATTGTTATACCAGGAGACAGGGAGGAAAATAGCATATGACAGGTCAAGAAAGTCACAAAGGAGTAGGAGTCGGAGAGAAGAGACAACAGCATACTTGCTTGGCCATACAGAGGGTCCGCATGAGGAGGCCATGAGCAGTTAGAGAGGTATAGTGGGCAATGTAGGGAGGGTCTTGAAGGTCCCCCATGGAGTCATTTAATGACTTTCCACATTATAAGGATGCGGATGACTATTTTGAAATTTCTTGACTTTTGTCCTTTAAAATTGTATGGGTTGCATAACATTATAGGCTTAATCGGTCTTGTGTCGTCTATAAAGTCTTAACTTCACCTTTACATTTTAACACCTATTTTGTGTATCAAAGCTTTATTAACACCACTGTGGTTATATTTTCTAGAAATTTCATATATTATACAATATCTCATTTTGTATATGTTACAGGCTGTGTCTTGATACATTTGAATATCTAATTTGAAGTTTTATAATAATAATTAATCCCAATTTTCTTAACACTAGTTCCTATTATCTAAATGTGATATAACTATTTTATTTGAAAACATTATCTCTGAATCTCAAAGAATTTCATGAACACTAATTCATCTTCCAAAAAACCATGAGTAAGATTGTGTATGAATTGGGATATTTTGCAGCTAATAACCAAGGGGAAAATAAGTGATTTAATCAATTCTGTATAACCAAGTTTTCTAATTTATTATCAATGACTGTAACTGGGTAATTTTCCTATAAGGTGTAAAAACCTCTGATACATCTAACCTGAGAGAAGAAAGAAACTTCCTCTATGGGAATACCGTGAAGCACTAGATTATTATGTTTTTAACGCTAGGCCCCGATATTTGCAATTTATTTACAATTCTCTCTTTGTTAACCTTCAGAAATTTATATATAGCATCTATTGAACAAGAATTTATTAATGTAAAAGGTAACAACTTGACTCTTGAATTATAAGCATTATCTTAATTAAATTGGTGTTCTTGTACTACACGTGCCTGGGGACCAGGGAAGTGGATGAGTTCTGTAAATCAAAATATTAATAATACACATGAATTTTAGTTCATTAAATGTCTCTGGATTCCCAGATATAGAAAGGGTATTTTAATATAGTTTGTGTTGTTCATTAGAGTGCTTTTTTCTACTGATTGCCAACTTTCTGGACCTCGCTGACAATTGCACTGAATTTTCAATTTTTTAGTTCACAATAACTATAATACAGCATTTTTTATGCTGTAGAGGTTATAGAAAATATATTTTACTATAAATAAGATAAGTACATATAGGTGTATATATGAAACATATTTATGTGTAACTACTGTGTGTGTATATATATATAGAGAGAGATAGATATAGAATTATAATTCTTTCTCAAATATTTGCAGATTTTAAGATATTCCAGTTCCCAAAAAGAGTAGTGGTATTGCTTTTAATTTTTGAATGAATTTTGAGTTAAAACAATTCTCAAAAGTTTTTGGTTTCTAAATTAATATAAATATGTATTCATTATATCTTTCTCTTTCCTTTACATAAATGCTCTTTTGTCAAAGCACGTATTTCTTGATCAGTGTATTTTATTGCATGCATCCAGGGGCCTAGGAAATTTTGAGCTTTATATTTCACATTAAAAATGTAGTGATTTTAAAATATTAGTTTTTTTTATTAACTATGTATTTATGTAAGTCATTCAAGTCTTGTGGACAATAAATATAATTTTCTAATAATTATGCATTATAATGCTTACATTTTGCAGTTACTACATAGGGGGTACAGTTAGAAAATGTTCTGTTCTGTACTCCAAACCTAAGAATCACACAATATACCTTTGTAACAAATCTGTACATGTACCCACAATTCTAAAATAAAAGTTGAAAAAAAAAGCTAAAAAATATACTCTCCCTGACAATATGGAGCTTACATTTTGGTAACAAATAAGACTTTCATGAAACTTATTTAGTATAAAGCAAATAGTAAAAGAGAAAAAGTATGATGCCTGTTCAAAGTTAAAAGAGAATACTATAGGTTGAGGGATCAGAAAACCATCACCAAAAAAAGTATTTCTACTGACCCATGATGACCAATTAAAATTGGAAATGTAGAGAAAAGGTAGACATTGGAATAGCACAATGAACACAAAATAGCATTAAAAAGTCAGAAAGGTAATAAAACATAAAGTGTATTCTGGGAAAATGAACTATTCACTTTGAGGATCTGACTGATATCAAATAACATTAAAAATTCACAAAATTAAAGTGCCTAGATTTCATTTTCTATTTCATAATGACATACTGAAAGCATTTACTTGAGTCATATGTTTTGCTCTATACGTAGCGAGGTTTACGATACAGACTACATAAGAGACTGATAAAAAAATGGAATAAAATCTGTGTATATTTCTCATTGCCATCTCTGACAGAATGGATTATAAATTACCCAGAGACAAAAGTTTTATGTTCTCTCATTCATATGCTTTTATTTTAAAAATCAATTATACCTATTACAGCAGGCTGCAAACTATGGTTTAATAAATATGGCATATTAATGACCACACTGGTTGGTACTAGAAAATCCTATTTAAATTTTATAATTTCTCTGTCTAATCAATGTATGCTATGACAATTCAGAATTCTTTATTTCAAGCTGTCAGTATGGCAGACTATCAACATATTTTTACTAAGTTCTGTCAACCAGATGTCATTCCTTATAGATAAAAACAAGCAGTATGAGCATTGACCAATCAAATACACGCCAATCAGTGTGTTACGAGTTTCTAGCGGTTGAATATCCAGTGGTTATATTTAGCTGCTATTTGGCTCATTATGATTAATTATACCTCATTCTATTCACATAAATAACTACAAAGTAAAAAGTTTCCATTTAATTTTTTCCCAAATATAAATAGGCATTTTAATTTATAAGCATATCATTTAAATGTTTTTCAATGATTAAGATAAAAAATTTAGTTATGTATTGGAGTTTGCCTCCCACTTGAAATGTTCTATTTTCCTATTGAAACTCCTTTCATTTTTATCAAATCATTAAAGTTTCTATTTTTCTTCTTTTAAAGTAATCATTAATTAAATTTATACAGTTACATCATCTTGTGAAATAGCATTTTGAATTGACAAAAAGACACATTAATTTGTTAAATGTATCTGATTCTTATTGCAGCAGTATATTTTAACAGCTGTAGCTATATATATGCATTTAATTTATCTAATATTATAAAGCAAAAGATTAATTATCAATTCTCTAAAGATTTGTAAAGAAATAGATGTTACAAGATAATTACTAGATTTGGCTTCTATAGCAATAACATTTTTAGATCTGTATTTAGTATTTGTATCTTCACAAAAATTTAGAATAAACACTAATAACTAGCCCTCATCTATTTTTTTTATTATTGGAAGAAAATAATTATTGAAGTTTTAGGAGTTATTTAGCCCTAATAATACATAACTGGAAGTAGGTTACTTTAAATTTCATATCTGCCAGGATTGCACTCAGAATGAATGAGCAATTCTAGTTAATTTTTTGTGTTTCAAAATACAGATAAGGTTTTCCTGGAATGGGACAGCTTCTTATATCAGATTGATACAGTTTTTCCTTCTGTAGAGTTCTTGTAGACCAAGAATTTTGTCACCAGATTTTTCTTCAAGGGAAAATCCAGCAGGTGCTCCAAGCAGTCACGTTCTTCAGGGCTTGTCTCAGCTGCTCAAGGCCACCTTATTTGAAGGCAGGTTCTGCTCAGAATGGCCCACAGCCAATAGACTCTGATCAAGGCAGAGACTAACATCCCTGGCCATTTGCTGCAAGTTTTCTATTTTAAATACCAATATTTACCGCATAAATCCCCATCGTTTTGGTCAAGGTTTCATAGGCGCACATCACAGTTCTACATCAGCTCTGTAATGCTACCTTTTTCACCCCTTCCTTACTTGTTGATCAGCAAAAAATACCACGAACATGAAATACCAACTCAGCGTCTTTTCTGTAAAACCAAATCTGCATCAAGAGTATTTTCAGAATACAAAGAACCAGATCAAACATGGCTAATGCTGTTGTTCTGCCTCATATATCATCAAAGTGGGATTAGGCTATAAACATGTTCCATAATTTATAGCAAAAAATTGTTAATCAAAGAAAAAAGTGGAAATTACTTAATGCATAAGGATATGAACACAAGCTATTACAGTGACAGAAGCTGGTAGCTTCTCTTTGGTCTGTTGCTTGGAGAAACTTTCCACAGTCCTTTGAGTCCACTGAAACATACCATCAACAGATCAATTTGTTAGCAGCTCATAAGAGATGGTTCTCATTGAGCCAGGTATATCAGGTTATGTCTGCGCACATCATTGATATCACTTGCCCACAGCAGTTACCTTTATACACGTATAGTAACAGCACAAGATATAACACAGCAACATTAACCATAGACATACACCAGACATTCATATGTTTTTTTTTATGTTCAGCTATTATGACCTCTGGAGCATAAAATTTTTTCAAGGACACTACATTATTTTTCTATTATCAATTTACATTTTAAATGTAGCCATTACCCTAAAACTTACTCCAATAAAATACTGAGAATACTGCATTATTCCCAGTATTATTGGGAATACTGCACTGAGCAGCATTCGGCTCAGTATTGAGCCATATTGAGCACAGGCATTTGGCTAAGCATTATACAAGAGGTAAAATGTGTAAGACCTGGCCCTTGTAGTCAAGGAACTCATTATCTAATGCATTGAACAAGTAGGTAAGAAAATAAGGTAACTGTTATAAGATAAATAATTAGAAGATACAGTAGAAACATGAAGGACAGCATGAGTAACTTTGATGTGTTTATTGATCTGTACCAGCTAATCTTACTTCTTCAACTGAGCTACTTCTAATTTGCAGTGGATTTGACAAAATGCATAGACTTTCATTACAATCATGTATAAGGTTAACACTCTGAATGATATTTTGTATGGGCTAACTTCTGAAAAAATATGATTTTCATAGGATATAATTAGTGCCACACACATTTGGAATATTTGAGGAAATTTTAAAAATTACTTACTGGATCTCTTCTCTATTTCAATTAGATGATTTGCTGGAATGCTGAGTTTCATGTATAAGTTATTATTGTTTCACTATACCTTTCACCAGGTTTTGAGGGAGAAAACATCCAGGTTGTCTATGAGATCAATCATTAAACCTGATGGCTTAAAAGAACAAAATGCTGAAGAATGTGAAGAGAACAGTTCTTCAAACCCTGCTGGTTTCCTTGAAGAGGTTCTTGGGATTTTGGCTGACCTCTTTGTGGAGTCAATTACACTTATGTTCAATGTGGGGCAAGAACCATCTCACTTTACTCCATGTTCCCTTCTTTTTCTCTAAGATGTGGATGCCCTCAGAAAGCTTCTACTCATTCAACAAATATTCATATAATACTTATAACGTGCCAAATGCTCTGCTAATTATTGCGAATACTGCAGTGAGTAAATTGGATGAAAAATCCTTTCTCTCATAGAATTTATACTATAGCAGAGTTAGAAAAATAGTAACAAAATAAACAAGTAAAATGTAAAGTGTGTCAGATGGTAATGAGTTCAATGGAGAAAAAGAAAGCAGGAAATAGAATAATATGCACAGGTGTGTGAAAAATTGATATCAATTTTTTATGTGGTAGCTAGGAAAGTTCTTACTGAGAAAGTGGTATTCCAGCCAAAAGTTTCAGGAGAAGGAATATGTCATTATGTTTAGCGGTGGGAAGAATATTCCAGATGAGGAAACAACAATTGCAGAGGTCTTGGAATTTAATCCTAACTGGAGAAATCAAGGAAAGACAGAAAGATCTGTGTAGCATTCCATCATGATCTTCCAGGCTATTACACTGTAAGAAGCCGGCTTATACACGTGAAGCAAGGAGGGCAGAGGCAGCAGCAGGGGCCCGTACTTTCATTAGAAAAATAAGAGATTCATTAAGGCCTGTAACTAAGTGTTGGAAATATGCATGCTGCTTTCCATATAGGGTGTGTTTTTATAATTAGTGTAATATTTTGATTTTCCATCTTCTATTGCATATTCCTCAATCAGATTTGAAAAGAGGCAGAGAAAGGGACTTTATAGTATTACTTAAACACTAACAGTTTTAGATATTAAGTAATCTCAGCAAATAAATGTAATATAATAAGACCTCTTAGACACCTTTATAGGCAATCTATGTGTTTATAATTTATATTTTTATTAATGTAAAATTATTCAAGATTTAAGTAATTTTTATGCCATCGTTTTCGTTCTCTTCCTTTTATTCCTCCCTCCTACATCTTTTTATTTTTTCTCTTTTCTTTTTCCTCTTTTCTTTCCTCTGTCCTATTCTCTTTTTTTGTCTCCTTTGGTAAGTATCCCTAATTTTATCTTTTTTTTATTATTATTATACTTTAAGTTCTAGAGCACATGTGCATAACGTGCAGGTTTGTTATATTTGTATACATGTGCCATGTTGGTGTGCTTCACCCATTAACTCGTCATTTACATTAGGTATATCTCCTAATGCTATCCCTCCCCACTCCCCCCACCCCACAACAGGCCCTGGTGTGTGATGTTCCCCTTCCTGTGTCCAAGTGTTCTCATTGTTCAATTCCCACCTATGAGGGAGAACATGAAGTGTTTTTTTTTTTTGTCCCTGTGAGAGTTTGCTGAGAATGATGGTTTCCAGCTTCATCCATGTCCCTACAAAGGACGTGAACTCATCCTTTTCATGGCTGCATAGTATTCCACAGTGTATATGTGCCACATTTTCTTAATCCACTCTATTATTGATGGACATTTGGTTTGGTTCCAAGTCTTTGCTATTGGAAATAGTCCCACAATAAACATACGTGTGCATGTGTCTTTATAGCAGCATGATTTCTAATCCTTTGGGTATATACCCAGTAATGGGATGGCTGGGTCAAATGGTATTTCTAGTTCTAGATCCTTGAGGAATTGCCACACTGTCTTCCACAATCGTTGAACTAGTTTACAGTTCCACCAACAGCGTAAAAGTGTTCCTATTTCTCCACATCTTCTCCAGCACCTGTTGTTTCCTGACTTTTTAATGATTGCCATTCTAACTGGTATGAGATGGTATCTCATTGTGGTTTTGATTTGCATTTCTCTGATGGCCAGTGATGATAAGCATTTTTTCATGTGTCTGTTGGCTGCATAAATGTTTTCTTTTGAGAAGTGTCTGTTCATATCCTTTGCCTACTTGTTGTGGGGTTGTTTGTTTCTTGTAAATTTGTTTGAGTTCTTTGTAGATTCTGGATATTAGTCCTTTGTCAAATGAGTAGATTGCAAAACTTTTCTCCCATTCTGTAAGTTGCCTGTTCACTCTCATGGTAGTTTCTTTTGCTGTGCAGAAGCTCTTTAGTTTAATTAGATCCCATTTGTCAATTTTGGCCTTTGTTGCCATTGCTTTTGGTGTTTTAGTCATGAAGTCCTTTATGTTTTAGTCATTCAGGCCTATGTCCTGAATGGTATCGCCTAGGTTTTCTTCTAGGGTTTTTATGCTTTTAGATCTAACATTTAAGTCTTTAATGCATCTTGAATTAATTTTTGTATAAGGTGTAAGGAAGGGATCCAGTCTCAGGTTTCTACATATGGCTAACCAGTTTTCCCAGCACCATTTATTAAATAGGGAGTCCTTTCCCCATTGCTTGTTTTTGTCAGGTTTGTCAAAGATCAGGTAGTTGTAGATGTGTGGTATTATTTCTGAGGGCTCTGTTCTGTTCCGTTGGTCTATATCTCTGTTTTGGTACCAGTATCATGCTGTTTTGGTTACTGTAGCCTTGTATAGTTTGAAGTCAGGTAGTGTGATGCCTCCAGCTTTGTTCTTTTGGCTTAGGATTGTCTTGGCAATGTGAGCTCTTTTTTGGTTCCATATGAACTTTAAAGTAGTTTTTTCCAATTCTGTGAATAAAGTCATTGGTAGCTTGATGGGGATGGCATTGAATCTATAAATTACCTTGGGCAGTATGGCCATTTTCATGATATTGATTCTTCCTATCCATGAGCATGGAATGTTCTTCCATTTGTTTGTATCCTCTTTTATTTCATTGAGCAGTGGTTTATAGTTCTCCTTGAAGAGGTCCTTCACATTCCTTGTAAGTTGGATTCCTAGGTATTTTATTCTCTTCGAAGCAATTGTGAATGGAAGTTCACTCATGATTTGGCTCTCTGTCTGTTATTGGTGTATAGGAATGCTTGTGATTTTTGCACATTGATTTTGTATCCTGAAACTTTACTGAAGTTGCTTATCAGCTTAAGGAGATTTTGGGCTGAGACGATGGGGTTTTCTAAATATACAATCATGTCATCTGCAAACAGGGACAATTTGACTTCTTCTTTTCCTAATTGAATACCCTTTATTTCTTTCTCCTGCCTGATTGCCCTGGCCAGAACTTCCAACACTATGTTGAATAGGAGTGGTGAGAGAGGGCATCCCTGTCTTCTGCCAGTTTTCAAAGGGAATGCTTCCAGTTTTTGCTCATTCAGTATGATATTGGCTGTGGGTTTTTCATAGATAGCTCTTATTATTTTGAGATATGTCCCATCAATACCTAATTTATTGAGAGTTTTTAGCATGAAGGGCTGTTGAATTTTTTTAAAGGCCTTTTCTGCATCTATTGAGATAATCATGTGGTTTTTGTCTTTGGTTCTGTTTATATGCTGGATTACGTTTACTGATTTGCGTATGTCGAACCAGCCTTGCATCCCAGGGATGAAGCCCACTTGATCATGGTGGATAAGCTTTTTGATGTGCTGCTGGATTCAGTTTGCCAGTATTTTATTGAGGATTTTTGCATCGATGTTCATCAGGGATATTGGTCTAAAATTCTATTTTTTGTGTGTGTCTCTGCCAGGCTTTGGTATCAGGATGATGCTGGCCTCATAAAATGAGTTAGGGAGGATTCCCTCTTTTTCTATTGATTGGAATAGTTTCAGAAGGAGTGGTACCAGCTCCTCCTTGTACCTCTGGTAGAATTTGGCTGTGAATCCGTCTGGTCCTGGACTTTTTTCGGTTGGTAGGCTATTAATTATTGCCTGAATTTCAGAGCTTGTTATTGGTCTATTCAGGGATTCAACTTCTTCCTGGTTTAGTCTTGGGAGGGTATATGTGTCTAGGAATTTATCCATTTCTCCTAGATTTTCTGGTTTATTTGCTTAGAGGTGTTTACAGTATTCTCTGATGGTAGTTTGTATTTCTGTGAGATCAGTGGTGATATCCCCTGTATCATTTTTATTGTGTCTATTTGATTCTTGTCTCTTTTCTTCTTTATTAGTCTTGCTAGCGGTCTATCAATTTTGTTGATCTTTTAAAAAAACCAGCTCCTGGATTCATTAATTTTTTGAAGGGTTTTTTGTGTCTCTATATCCTTCAGTTCAGTGGGTGCAGCCCAGGGAGCGTGATGAGGCATAGCCTCACCTGGGAAGTACAAGGGGTCAGGGAATTCCCTTTCCTAGCCTAATTTTATCTTAAGGTTGTAGTGTTTGGTGTGAGAGTTAGGGAAAACCCATATGAAAGTAAATAATGATAAAGCTCTGGTAGTCGGCAACTTTATGATTTCAATTTTTAAAAATGTTCTGAGAGGTTTTACATGTAAGCATTTGAAGATCCTGGGTGATTGCTTCATATTTTGTGCATAATTAATTGTTACAATTACAATTTTTAATTGTATTGTTTTTAATACAATTAAATACAATTTAATTTTAATACAATTGTTAGATTAAAGGCTAAGTGAGTTATAATGATCCATTCTGTTAGGCAATAGGAGGAAGATATGTAATTAAATGTTACTTCCCACCCTTCTACGGAAGCCACTAACCTTGCCTACTCAATTACTTCTCTGGATAAATATTTTGACAGATAACATTGGCACAAGCATTGTATTCTTGCTCTTGTTTCTGGCAGTTTGTAACAGTCGTGCAAAAGCTACTAAAAGCTTGAAAGGCAAGGGGTTAAGTGGCTCATGCAAATGATTGTAGATTTGATTTTGGCTTTCCATGTATATGTGTTTAATTAAATGCATTGGTCTTTAAAAGCAAGAACTCTTAATACTGCTCTAAGTATAAACTGACTTAAAATATTTTTGTGTCAACTCAATCAATTTTTAGTGAACTGTTCTATGATTTTCCCCATATCTAGAATAAAGTAAGCATACAAGAAAAATAAATTACAACCTCTAAATTTAAGATTTGTATAATCCAGTTATGAGAGCTAAAAATAAATACATATATAAATAAAAAACGAAGGCATTTGCCTTGTTTTCAGGCCCCTCACAATACCAAGTTCACCTGTTGATCCCTATCATGATTATCCCATATTCTTTTATCCTTTACTGTTATGTTTTGGAGTAATTCAATCAGATATTTAAGAACTTAGTCTGTTATCTGACCTTAGCCTTTAATTATCCGGGTCACATTGACCAGTGGAGAAAGCACAAACCCTGCTCTGACTAAATGGCAAGAATGATACGCCTACATTTGTTTCTGGCCTGACAAAGCACTCACAAGGAATCATTGCTCTCAGGCTCTTGATAGGAGAGTTTCCAGAATGTCTATAATATCTCTAACACTCTAATTTGTTTTGTGCTTGGTTAAAATAAGGTCACTTAAATAGCCTCCATGGATATTATTTATTTGTTAAAAATTGACTTTCATTTCACACAAGTCTATTTTGTTTAAATTTGTTATACGTTGACCTAGCCATGTGTCAAACCACTATACCCTTCAGTAATCTTAGACAGGATGCCTTTGTCAAGGTAAGCTAACATGAAAAGTGTTGCTACTCTTAACACTCCCATTAATTGACTGCTTTTAGTGTTGTGCTCTCTGTGAATTAAAATTGGCAGATTTAGGTCTGAATAAAACTCACTGTGCCTTCTTTGCATATTTTTATCACAGACTTATTCACAGTTGTTTATCATCCCCTTTTTTCCCATTAGGGCTGCTCAGCATACCTCCATACCACACTCTTGTATTCCAACAGAGAGAGAAGAATACTTATCTGAATGACATGCCTTCATGCCTTTACGTTTTCATTTAATTACTCCATTTAAAAGGTTGCACAAAATAATGTAAAGTTGTATCACCTTTCATCAACCTAATCAAATATAATGCCTGACATTCATAGAATGGTATCACAAACTTTAACTACCATTAATTATTTAACTGTCACAATTATCCTGTGAAATAGTTATTCTGTTTGTCAGTAAGAATATTCTGACTTAAAGTAAATGTCTCATTTATGATTATCCCAAGTGATCAAAACTTAGATTGATTCCATGTTATCCGATTCTAAGTAATATCTTTTATCAAATTAGTTTAAAAAGTAAAAAGTGAATGAGAGGAAATCAGATAATAATAATAAACATTTTACATAACTTTATAGCTCAAAAGTTTCTTAATTCAAAAAAGTTAGGTAACAGTTTATGAAGACAAGTTCTACATAGTTTAAGCCTACAACTGTCTCAACAACTAAAAGTAGTCTTCTAAATCCTGGTGGAAACAAGACTCTAGCATCACTCATTCTTTCAAGTAAAAATGGTATTTCATGAAAATAAAAATTGTTCATCTGGAAACATGAATCATCAGATAAGTGCTTTTGTTTTAGACAACCAGCATATTTTTGTAATACAGCAGAAGTGTTCTATTTGCATGTCTCATTTCCACACACAGAATATTAAAAATATGTGTACTCAGGTTAAGATTTAATAAAATCAATAATTGTACTACTATATAAAAGAGAATCTTAAATGAAACTAGCTTTAAGACAAATCTGTAAATATATGACACTTAAAAATATGACTCTTAGTTTACTTTTGTGTCCTTACCTGGATTTGTCTTATGGCACCAGTACACCGTTATTTATGCTCCATCGGTGTAAATGTCATCATAGTTTAAAGGGACAAATGACATCTCAGTATTACTGTGAAAACATTTTTTTTTTTTTGAGATGAAGTTTCATTCTTGTTGCCCAGGCTGAAGTACAAAGACACGATCTCAGCTCACTGCAATCTCCGTCTCCTGGGTTCAAGCAATCCTCCTGCCTCAGCCTCCTGAGTAGCTGAGATTAGTGGCACATGCACCAGGCTGTGTTAATTTTTGTATTTTTGTAGAGATGGGGTTTCACCATGTTGGCCAGGCTCGAACTCCTGACCTCAGGTGATCCACCCGCCTCGGCCTCCCAAAGTGCTGGGATTACAGGCGTGAGCCACCATGCCTGGCCGTGAAAACAGTTTTTAACCTAATGCTCTCAAGCAATATTTCAAACGTAGCCTAAGATACAGGGAGCAGAGTCACTTTTAGTTTTTTGTTTGTTTGTTCGTTTGTTTGTCTTTTCCTAAGACACCGGGAACACAGTCACTTTTAGTTTTCTGTTTTTATTTACACAAAAGGATTTCTAGGCTTCATATTCTACTTATTGAATCAGAAACTCTGGAGGAATATGAACTTTTAGGACGCTCAGAGTCAATGTTTATGGGCACTATTGTTTGAGAACCACTGTTGTAGGAGTTCCCAAAGAGGGCAGGTCATGCAAAAATTTCAAAGTCCAAATTTGCCATTTAGTCTCCTTTCTGCTTTTCCTCTTTGAATTTTTAAAAAATCCAACATGGTGGTATAAACCTACCTTAGGAATCTGAATTTATAATATATCTAATGTATTCAACAAATTCCTCACTGAATGTATCCATAAGTGTAGTGTCTTCTGTCTTCTGGTTATTTCTATCACTATCTCTTAGAAAAATGCTTTCTTGTTCATTGTCCTGCTCTTTTGGAAGGGACAGTGAGGAGTGACAGGAAGGAAGAAACAAGAGAGCAGAAAAAATGGGATTTTTTTTTTTTAACACATTTCCTCCTGCATTCTAGGACCACTAGTCTTTAGGGGCATTCTGCTAGATAGGTGGATTGAGGAAGATTCAGACAGCACTTCTCACTGTCCTTAGTGCTGCATGTCCTGTTTGTCAGATGTCATTCCACAAGGTTATTGGCTTTTTAAAAAATTATTATTTCTCTCTTCAAGGGTTCATTTTCTCAATTTTGCTGAGCTTCCCAGAATATAGCTTTATCTCCCATTGTTTTCAGAGTTAATGTTTTCTCCCATGAGGTTTTCAGCCACAATATAAGAAAGGATGCTTCTAGACACTGTTCAGCTGTTTCTAAACATTCTGTAATATTAATAACTAAGGCCATTTCTACCCAAAACATTCAAACGTGATTAATTCTCTAGCCTAGTAAAAACAAATCTTACCAGACTTCTTATGTCTTGACATTCTTGGTTAATATCTTAAAAGCAAGACTTTGTTTCTATACTAGATTATTTACAAACTGTCTTTGCTACATAAAGAGCTACAGTCACCTTTTGTTATTCATAGGGGATTGGTTTCAGTACCTCCCATGTATACCAGCATCCATGGAGGCTGAAGTTCCTGATATATAATGGTTCACTATTTACATATAACCTGTGCCCATCCTCCTACATGCTTTAAATCATCTGAAGATTACTTAAAATACCAAATACAATGTAAATGCTAGATAAATGGCTGTTATACTGTATTGTTTAGAAAATAATAAGAAGTCTGCAAATGTTCAATATAGATGTAACATTTTTTCCCAAGTATTTTCAATCCACGGTTGGTTGAATCCAGGGATCCAGAACCCATTGAGTAGAGTGTTGACTGTACTTGCCAACACCTCCATTTTCCTTGCTATAAAGAGATCTTTCAATTTTATACCATTTGCTACCATTTTTCATCTCCTTTTCTCTACCCTGTCTGTCACCACCATACCAGAGTATGGTTAGCAAATTGGTACCTCCTCAACCTCTTTATTAACTAGACCTTGAATCTTTTAGCCTTAATTAGTGCTTACATTCTTACCAAGGTCTCTTCCTTCTTCAGGAACATTGCATTTATACCATGCTTCAAACAAAGCCCGTGTGCTGCTGTGAAGCCCAAATATTTTTCTTGATTTTTAGGAATATATGTCCAACCACAACATTCAATACTGTGAACTGTTCCCTTCAAAGTGTAGTTGTAGCTTACCATAATCAGACTGAGGTAGATGCCATTTATTCATTCATTTCTTCATTCACAGACGCATGTATTAAGAACTTACTTTTGGATGTGTCTTAATTTTGGATATGTACCATAAGAATTGTAGGCAATTAAGAGAAAAAGACTCTTTGCACTTGCAGGTTTAATGTAAAGAGTGATTTCTAAATAATTAATTGCAATATAGTGTTACCCTATGAAAGATGGTTATAGACATAGCTGTAAGTTCATGAAGAGTGGAGCATTTAACATAACTTGAATAGATCAGAAGAGTTTTACAGAAAATAATGAATCTTGATCTGTATCCTAAACCATAATTTACAGGTAGTAGTTACATGAATGGAGAAGAAGAAATGTGGAGCCACGGAACTGTTTAAGCTGCCATTGTAATATCATATGCATGCTTTCATCTTCATATTTCAGATATATTGTGTTTTTTACCTGTCTATACTCATGAAAGACACTCTATCTTTTTTTAAAATCCCTGTTTCTGGTACAAAACATGACATATAATAGGCAACCAGTAAATGTTTTTAATTAACAAGTGACTGGGTAGTTTATGTAAGCTTTTAATAGAAGAGCCAGCACAAGAATGCAGATCCTATTATCTCAGTTGATTTAAGAAAAATATGTCATAATTTCTACATATATTGGGATGCTGATTTAAAAGTATGTGACATAGTGTAAACTCTCTTTTAATTTGACCTTTAAATTGAGGTTTAAAATCTTCCACCATTAAATGAGTGCCAAAGGTTGCACATTTGTGGATTTTAACATATTATTTGCAACACCTCAAATGTAATTATGAAATGGCTGAGACACAAAAAAGATGGAAGTTAGACTCCAAAAAAGAACTTTTATCATTGACTGGAGACCCTTATACCTTGATGAAAATTTTTAATGTGGAGCCTTACATTATATTACCCAGAATATTTTCTGATCACAGTTTTAGATGCGTTTGTAAACATTTAGGAATAGAATGCTCTTTAGCTTTTTGAATCAGTTTCTTTATTCCAATTCTGCTTTCATAAATGGTTTTCATTTATTCTCTGTCATGTACCTTTGGCTTGTGGTCATATTTATAATGAGTCAATCAGCAAAGGTGACTGACTGAATTGATTTATGTCATATGGACCTATCCCCTTCACATAAAAGTGGCATGAACTCCATAAATCTAAGTTCTAAAGGTGTTAGCCAGCTTTAATGAAAGCAGAGACATTCGCCTAGAGGAGTGAGCAATGTCTTTCCTCTCTGTTACTTTGTCCTGTAAAGAGAAAGAGGACTCCTAAGATGTAGCTTATGTATTCTAACTTTTCATCATTTCTGGTGGCCACCTGTATTATATGGCTTATACATTTTAATCTTTTAATTTTTAAATATTTTCCAGAATTATTAACATAAAGAGACTCAGACATCAATAAATTAGTAGGTATGAATAAAATGACTAACATGTATTGAGTAATCACTTTATACCAGGCTTTAAGGTGAACAGTTTGTGATCTCATTAGTTTTTCACAAAAATCTTACATGATAACTGCTAAAATGGTCATGTCATTTAATATTTGAAGAAACTGAGGCATTAGACAACTTAAGCAAGTTGATCACAGTCATGTAACAGACAGGCCAGAGCAAGAATTTATACTTCACAGTGTAATTCCACAGTGCAAACTATTAAACACTATACTACAGAATCTTTCCTCTTCTACAGTCAGAATACCATGTAGAAAATTTAGGTTTATAAGAATACTGCAATCTAAATAAGAAAAGGTGCAAATTAGTATCATTGATATTAAGAATTTATTAAATTTTAAAGGGAATATATTTGAAAGTTCAAATAATCACTGGAATTTTAGAAAGTGTTGGTACTAGTGGCAGAGAAAAATTGGAAAAAATATTGAAATAATCTAGGTAAAAGATGAGAAGGAAGTGCTGTAAGACAGTGAAGTAATAAAGAAGTTAGTTGGAATATGAGTCTCACTAAAATATTCATTCCATGATAAATAAGTGTGACTTGTTATGTTCAATTTTGTTTTCTGTCTAAGAAATATAATAATGGGAAATAAAAGGATGTTTAATCTCAGCTGTCAGTATCAGGAATCTCTTCTTCGTAGCCATGTCTCCTAAGTCACAGTCAAAATAGAAAATAGAAACTAGTATGACTCATGAAATCTTAGGAAAAATTACTGGCAGCATTTTGCAAATTGTTCATTTTCACAAAATATTATACATGAGCTCTGTTAATTATTAAAACATTACTTTGGCTTCCAAAACTACTCATTATTATCTTGGTATAACAACTGATTTGCCCTACAATTGTATAGTTATTGAAAATAATATATATGCTGATATGAAATTAATATAGGCTCACATATATATATGTATATATTTAAAGGGAGAAACTTCTGATGTTTGTCTTTTAGCAATTATGACCAATATTTTACTACTTCTTAATGATGCATAATGCACTTTGAATTAAGCCAAGTACAAAACATATGTTCTCACTCATCTGTGGGAGCTAAGAAAATTGATCTCGTGAAGATAAAAAGTAGTTTGGTAGTTACTGGAGGCCAGGAAGTGTAGGGAGAGGAAAGGATAAAGAGAGGTTATTTAAGTAAAATATAGGTTAATAGAAGATTATATTTTTGAACCTAGCGTTCAAAAAATCAGTAGGGTGCCTAAAGTAAACAATATTTTATTGCATATTTTAAAATAGCTGGTGGAGAGTAAGTAAAATGTTCTCAGCTTAAAGAAAAGATAGACATTTAAGGGGATGGATATCTCAATTACCCTAATTTGATTATTACACATTGTATAAATGCATCAATATATCACATAGACTCTGAAAATATGTATATCTCTTATGTATCAATTAAAAAAATATATAATAGAACCTAAATGCCCTGAATTGTCATTTTATCTTTAAAACCTTCTGAATGCTAGTTAGAATATATTAAAGCCATGTGTTTCCCCTAATTCTGTATGTACCATAAAAATGTACCATTTAATTAAGTTTATATAAGATATAGAAGAATTATGAATCTTTAGTCTTTGTCTTATTATAGAGGCCCTTAACATGATAAAATAATATACAAATATACTTTCAGACCAAGGATACTCTCTATGGCTGTGCAGATTATGCAATGTATAACTCCACGAGATTTCTGTATAGCTCAACTCTAGACCCAATCTCCATTGACACTAGAATGGACTCTTCAGAATAAAGCCCAGTTAGAAAAATTCAGACTTGAGGAAATAAAGTTTAAAAAAGGTATATTTAACATGCTTTCATAGATCAGACTCAAGCTGGAATTCTTTTAAAATTTGAGAGTTTTATTTAATGAAACTTGGTTTTATTTGATACTAACAGATTTTGTAAAACTGAGCACCCATTCATGGACATAAACGTATGTCAGCTTTTAATTCTTAAGGTGTACAAAATACTTGCACAGATTAATTTACAAGAGTGAGAAAATGATAGAGTATTTTATGTTACAAATGTGTAATTGATACTTAAGAGTGTGTTTTATTCCTATACTTGTAGCAACACATGGTATTTGCCTTTCATTATTTGTGTACTTAATATAGTTGTAATGGTCAATAAAAAGGATATTTGATTACAGAAATATTAGAAACTATAACAATTAATCTCTCAGTTTAAATTCTCTAGCAGAGAGATATTAGTGAAGAAACAAAAACAAACAAAAAACAGAGTTTTGGGGGAAAAAAGCTACCTTAAGTTATTTGAAGAAAACTGTAAAACATCTAGAGCTACATTCAACATTTACAGAATTTTTTAGTAGGAAAGCAAGCCACATATCTTAGAGCTCAAGAGGGGTATAGAACACAAACATTACTTTCTTTATATTTGTTCTAAAAGTGAATATAATTGATAGCTAAATAGGACGAAATAATGACATGTCATCTAACTTTGCAAGTATCAATCACTCATTTCTACTCTTTCCACTCATGACTATTTAATGTTTTGGTTTTCAATTGTTTTTTCTTTTCTATTTTTAAAATAAATGTTATTGTGTATATTTAAGGTATACAACATGATGTTATGAAATATAGAGGGCTAATAAAAAGATTACTAAAATGAAACAACATATTCATTATCTCATCTAGCTACCTACTTTTTGGCAAGAGTAGTGAAAATCTAATCATTTAGCATGAATCCCGTATTCAGTATAATTTCATTACCTATAGTAATACAATTCATTACTACAATTTCTTTTTATTCTTATTTTATTGCTACATAATAGTTGGACATATTTATATGTTATGTGTAATATTTTGATACATGCATAAAATGTGTAATGATCATATCAGGGTAATTGTGATATCCATCAACTCAAATATTTATCATTTCTTTTTGAAACATGTCTAATTAATTCACTTTTATTGATATATATAAAATATTTGTACATATTTTTTGGTATTATGATACTTTGATATCTATATGCAATGTGTAATGATCAACCTATCATTTCAAAGTTTTATTTTTTCTTTGTGTTGGAGACATTTTAAATCTTCTCTTCTAGTTATTTTGAATTATACAATAAATTTTTGTTAGTTATAGTCACCCTACTGTGCTATCAAACACTAGAACGTATTTCTTCTACCTAAATGTCTATTGTACCTATTAACCAATTTCTTTCATCCCTCCATCTCCCCTACCCAGCTTCTGGTAACCACCATTATACTCACTACCTTCATGAGATCAATTTATTTAGCTCCCATATGTGAGTGAGAACACACAAAATTTGTCATTTTGTGCCTGGCTTATTTCACTTATTTCCATCAGCTTTATCCATGTTGCTGCAAATGACAGACATCATTCTTTTTTATGGCTAAGTAATACTTCATTTTACCACAGCTTTTTTTTTTTTTTTTTTGTATTTATTTGTCTGTCAACAGACACTCAGGTTGTTTCCATATCTTGCGTATTGTGAATGGAGGGGGTGCAGATATCTTTACAAGGTAGTGTTTTATTTCCTTTGGTTGTCTGCCCAGAAGGGGGATTGCCGGGTCATATGATAGTTCTAATTTTATTCCAATGTCTTTAGAAAACTTTATACTGTTTTTCATAATGGTTGTACATTTACATTCCCACCAACAATGTAGAAGAGCTTCCTTTTCTCCATACTCTTGCCCAAATGTGTTGTTGTTTGACTTTTTAATAATAGCCATCCTAATGGGTCTGAAATATTATCAAAGAGTGGGCTTGACTTGTACTTCCCAGGTGATTAATGATGTTGAGTATCTTTTCATATATCTGTTGGCCATTTTAATTTCATGTTTGAAGAAATACCCTTCCAGCTCTTTTGCCCATTTATTTTTTAATTGCACTGCTTCTTTCTTACTGTTGAGTTGTATGAGTTCTTTATAAATTTTGGATACTAATACCTTATCAAATATATGATTTACAAATGTTTTTCCCAATCCATAAACTGCCAGTCAACTGTTACTTGAGAATATAAGCTTAGTATAGAGAGCCACTTTAGACTTATATAAAAGTGTTTTAATGATATGCATAATGGAATTTATTATTCTTATTTAAATAAATACAATTTTGTGGTTAAAAAAGTAGCTTCATTACAAGATGAGAAAAAAATGCTACATAGTTAATCTTGTTAACATTATATTTTTGTTGTTTCTTTTATGATCTTTCATTAAAACCTGAAATTTCTATGTGTAACAAATTTAAAGTCAAGATGATTCTAATTTTGAATGATATTTATGTTACAAAAGTTCCAGTATATTTTTAAGACATATTTACTCTTTATCTCTTTCTAGTTTCAATGCCCTGGGTGCATTCCCTGGGGGTTTTACATAGAAAGGAAGTTTTTTAAAATGTAAGGAAAGAAAAATATGAATTCATTTCACATCTTTAAATAACACATGTCAAAATAATGTGTTAATTCAACTCCACCACCTTCCCCCCAAAATAAATGTGACATTCTAGATAGATAGTTAGATTTTGCCTGCTGAACATCTAAATATATATTTATTTTAATGGGGAAAAATCTTTATTTTATTTTATTTTTTAATTTTTCCATAAGTTATTGGGGTACAGGTGGTATTTGGTTACATGACTAAGAACTTTAGTGGTGATTTGTGAGATTTTGGTGCACCCATCACCCGAGCAATATATGCTGCAACATATTTGTAGTCTTTTATGCCTCACCCCCCCCAACTCTCCCCCACAAGTCCCCACAGTCCATTGTATCATTCTTATGCCTTTGCGTCCTCATAGCTTAGCTTTCACATATCAGTGAGAACATACGATGTTTGGTTTTCCGTTCCTGAGTTATTTCACTTAGAATAATAGTCTCCAATCTCATGCAGGTTAATGCAAATGCTGTTAATTCATTCCTTTTTATGGCTGAGTAGATTCCACTGTATATATATATATACCAACTTTCTTTATCCACTCATTGATTGATGAGCATTTGGGTTGGTTCCATGATTTTGCAATTGTGAATTGTGCTGCTATAAACATGCACGTGCAAGTATCTTTTTTGAATAATGACTTCTTTTACTCTGGGTAGATACCCAGTAGTGTGATTACTGGATCAAATGGTAGTTCTACTTTCAGTTCTTTAAGGAATCTCCACACTGTTTTCCATAGTGGCTGTACTAATTTACATTCCCACCAGCAGTGTAGAAGCATTTCGTGATCACAGCATCCACGCCAACATCTACTGTTTTTTTATTTTTTTGATTATGGCCATTCTTGCAGGAGTAAGGTGGTATTGCATTGTGGTTTTGATTTGCATTTCTCTGATCATTAGTAATGTTGAGCACTTTTCATATATTTGTTGGCCATTTGTATATCTTCTTTTGAGACTAGTCTAGTTATGTCCTTAGCCCACTTTTTGATGTGATTGTTTTTTCTTACTGATTTGTTTGAGTTCATTGTAGATTCTGGATATCAGCACTTTGCCAGATGTACAGATTGTGAAGATTTTCTCCCACACTGTGGATGTCTGTTTACTCTGCTGACTGTTCCTTTTGCTGTGCAAAAGTTCTTTAGTTTAATTAGGTTCCAGCTATTTATCTTTGTTTTTATTGCATTTGCTTTTGGGTTCTCAGTTCATGAAATCCTTGCCTAAACCAATGTCTGGAAGGGTTTTTCCAATGTTATCTTCTAGAATTTTTATAGTTTCAGGTCTTAGGTTTAAGTCCTTAAACATCTTGAGTTGATTTTTGTATAAGGTGAGAGATGAGGATCCAGTTTCATTCTCCTACATATGGCTAGCCAATTATCCCAGTGCCGTTTGTTGAAAAGGGTGTCTTTTCTTCACTTAACGCTTTTGTTTGCTTTGTCAAAGATCAGCTGGCTATAAGTATTTGGGTTTATTTCTCGGTTCTCTATTCTGTTCCATTGGTCTATGTGCCTATTTTTATACCACTACCTTGCTGTTTTGGTGACTATAGCCTTATAGTACAGTTTGAAATCAGGTAGTGTGATGCCTCCAGATATGTTTTTTCTTAGTCTTGCTTTGGCTCTGTGGGCTCTTTTTGGTTTCATATGAATTTTAGAATTGTTTTTTCTCATTCTGTGAAGAATGACGGTGGTATTTTGATGGGGATTGCATTGAATTTATAGATTGCTTCTGGCAATATGGACATTCTAGATACTTTATCATGTTAGATTTTGCCTGCTGAACATTTAAATATATATTTATTTTAATGGGGCAAATCTTAAAAATAAAAAGTAAATATGAGCTTGTAAAATGTTATTCCTACTAGCTTTTTAAAAATACATATTTAGTGTGTATTTTTTAGGAACTGAAAATTAACATAAAAGTACTGATGGAGTAGAAGCTAATTAAGAGTTTGCTTAAATAGCATGTTTTTCTTGTTTGCTTGGGTATTTCCTCATCTACCATACTATTCTGATCCCCAGCTCTACCACACCTCCAATTTAGAAAATGGTAAATCCTTTAGATTTATACAATGCCTATGGAGAAAATAACTGTAATTGAACTATCATATTACATATAATTTATTTATTCATTCATTTGTCATTCTGGAGACTGTTACGGAACACTTAAAGAAGTAAGAAATTCACCTAGACACTGGAGATATGAAGGCTCTGCCCTTAAGATAATGATGCTCTAGCAGAGGAACAAGGAATATGTTAAATATTAAGATAAGGCCAGTCCTGGTGGTTCACGCCTGTAATCCCAGCACTTTGGGAGGCCAAGGTGGGTTGATCATGAGGTCAGAAGATCGAGACCATCCTGGCTAACACAGTGAAACCCTGTCTCTGCTAAAAATACAAACAAACAAACAAAAAACATTAGCCGGGATTGGTGGCAGGAGCTTGTAGTCCCAGCTACTCAGGAGGCTGAGGTAGGAGAATGGCATGAACTTGGGAGGCAGAGCTTGCAGTGAGCCGAGATAGCGCCACTGCACTCCAGCCTGGGCTACAGAGTGAGACTCTGCCTCAAAATAAAATAAAATAAAAAATAAATATCAAGATTAAATTCAGTAAGTACTCTGACATAGATATTCACACAGTATAATAGAAACCAAGACAGGTAGCATCAAAATCAAGTTATAAAATCAAAGCAGGATTTAAAGAATGCATGTGAATTTAAGGAATAGAGGGCTGAATTTTGATGAATTGAAATTGGCCGGATGAAGATACGTGGAAGAGAGCTGTAGAGGTGGGGGATGATTGTGCAAGGCACTTTCAACAGGGGCAATGATGTCTGCCATTATAGCTTTGAAATTTGGAATGGTCAGTCTATAGAACAGGAATGTATGTTGTGTACAGAAACTAGGAAGCTAGGAAGATAAGCTTATTAGTCTTAGAGTTTTGAATTCTAGCCTCAATATTGTGGAAATAATTTATAGGATTCTGGTAAAGGAAGAAATCTGATGGCTTTTCCTGATTACATTTTAGAATTGTGCTAAGTGCAGGAATGTGCATAGGGTAGGGGAAGCTTCTAGGGTGATCTTCTAAAGATCCAGTGAGACATTAAGTACAGTATCTCAGATAAGAAACAATGAGGACATCAACTAAGATACTGACTGTTAAACAATGGGGCCAAGAAACTATGAAAGAGAGGGTGAATAGTATCCCTTTTTCAACAGAAATTGAAGGAGCAAAAGAAGGCTAATAAAGCAAGATGACTAAAGAAGTTAGAGATTATGGACTCTAAATGAAAATCAGAGATTAGTGAACAGTAGGAGGAGCTCCTATTTTAATTAGTGCATATTTAAGGCAGGTGAAATGATCTCAGATGCATTAAATTCTAAGCTGTGGAGTAGAAGATTTAGGGATATTTTATTAATAGTTTTCATTTTCAGTTTAGCAGAATGCAAAATTAATCTATTGTAGTTGAGGAGGTAATAGGAAGGAATGTTAAAGGACATTAGTATGTATTTGGAATGATCAAAAAAAGGAGTGGGATAAGGAGGTAATTAGGGATTACTGAACACCTTTTAGGTCTCACTTGAGGAAGTTATTTTGTATGCTTTAATTTTTGTTTGCTTTTCAAAAAATGTGGTGCAGTAATAAGTAATAATTCTAAATATGGCTGCTTCGCATGGATTGCAAAAGGGAGGGGTGTGGTTAGTTACTTCCTGGATACAATGGGGGTATAGGCATTGGGTAAATATAGCCATTCCAAATGGGAGAAATTAATTAAAACAAAGGGGTTACAGGTCCCATTTGAGTCTGAAATCCAGCAGGGCAGTCAAATCTTAAAGCTCCAAAATGCTCTCCTTTGACTCCATGTCTCACATCCAGGTCACACTGATGCAATAGGTGGGTTCCCATGGTCTTCGGAAGCTCTGCCCCTGTGGCTTTGCAGGGTACAGCCTCTCTCCTGGCTGCTTTCATGGGCTGGCATTGAGTATTGCAGCTTTTCTAGGCACACAGTGTAAGCTGTCAGTGGATGTGCCATTATGGGGTCTGGAGGATCATGTTCCTCTTCTCACAGCTCCACCAGTCAGTGCCCCAGTAGGGACTCTGTGTGGGGGCTCTGACCCCACTTTACTGACCTAGCAGAGGGTCTCCATGTGAGCCCTGCTCCAGCAGCAAAATTCTGCTTGGACATCCAGGCATTTCCATACATCCTATTAAATCTAGGCAGAGATTCCCAAACCCCAATTCTTGACTTCTGTATACCTACAGGCTCAACCCCATGTGGAAGCTGCCAAGATTTGAGGCTTGAAGCTTCGAGACTGAAGCCACGGCCTGAGACCTACATTGGCCTCTTTCAGCCATGCCAGGAGAGTCTGGGACACAGGGCACCAAGTCCCTAGGCTGCAGACAGCATGGGGGCCCTGGGTGTGGCCCACAAAACGACCTTTTCCTCCTAGGTCTCCAGGCTTGTGATGGGAGGGGCTACTGTGAAGACCTATGACATGTCCTGGAGACATATTCCCCATTGTTTTGGGGATTAACATTTGACTCCTAGTTACTTATGCAAATTTCTGCCACCAGCTTGAATTTTTCCTCAGAAAATTAGATTTCTTTTCTATTGCATTGTCAGGCTGCAAATTTTCCGAACTTTTATGCTCTGCTTTTCCTTTGAAACTGAATGCCTTTAACAGCAACAAGGTCACCTATTGAATGCTATGCTGCTTAGAAATTTTTTCCACCAGATACCCTAAATCATCTCTCTCAAGTTCAAAGTTCCACAAATTGCTAAGGAGGGGCAAAATGTCACCAGTTTCTTTGCTAAAACATAACAAGAGTCATCTCTGCTCTACTTCCCAACATGATTCTCATTTCCATCTGAGAACACCTCAACCTGGATTTCATTGTCCATATCATTATCAGCATTTTGGACAAAACCACTCAACAAGTTTCTAGGGAGTTCCAAACTTTCCTACATTTTCCTGTTTTCTTCTGAGCCCTCCAAACTGTTCCAACCTCTGCCTGTTACCCAGTTCCAAAGTCACTTGTAGATTTTTGGGTATCTTTTCAGCAGTGCCCCACTCTACTGATAACAATTTACTGTATTAGTCCATTTTTACACTGATGATAAAGACATACCTGAGACTGGGCAATTTACAAAAGAAAGGTTTAATTAGACTTATACTTTGACGTGGCTGGGGAAGCCTCAAAATCATGATGGAAGGCAAGGAGAAGTAAGTCGCATCTTACATGGATGGCAGCGGGCAAAGAGAGAGAGCTTGTGTAGGAGAACTTCTCTTTCTAAAACCATCAGATCTTGTGAGACTTATTCGCTATCATAAGAACAACACGAGAAAGACTTGTCCCCATGATTCAATTACCTCCCACCAGGTCCCTCCAACAACATGTGGGAATTTAAGATGAGATTTGGGTGGGGACACAGCCAAACCATATCAAGAATGAATCAAAAACAAGAACAGCCAGTGTTCAGCTTAAGCCTCATTTTTATCAGGGTAAACATGCTGATTCCCATATATTGTCCCTATCTGCTCCTCTCATATTACCCAATTTCCTTATCTTATTTACTTTGAATTGGTTATTCATTGTAGATATGTTCTGCTACATTCAAATGTCTAGCAAGACAAAAGCTGTGTTTTATTCAGAATTTTATTTTCACCACCTGCCTAGCTAATCCCGTGACTGACATTTATTTTATGAATGTGTGAGAGAATGAAAGGAACATATGATATGTGCAATTTTTATTTGTTAATTAATAAACAATAGAAACGTGACTTAAAGTTTTTTTCTGTGTGTAAATTGTGTTGTAAGGAAGTGTTTAAACTGTTTTTAACTTTTAATTCATGCATATTAGGAGAACCTTACATTTGCAATCAGAACAACTAGGAAAAAAACCCAAACTTATATATGGTTAATCACTTTGTTGCAAAGCTACCAAAAGGATTTTGTTTTTAAACAAACTTATACAGAAATGCAATTTCCTAAAACATTAAATCTCTCTGAAGAAATGATTTTATATATATATGTATATGTATACATATTATATGTGTATATATATATATGTATATGTATACATATTATATGTGTATATATATATGTATATATATACATATATGCTGTAAAATGGACACTGAACATGAAGTCCTGGTGAATTTGATGAATTAATTTCTTCAAACACAGCTGAGATGGTCTCTAGACCATTTTCCTACTTTTATGTGCAGGTGAACCACTTGGGAACCTTGTTAAAAATAGATTTTTGATTGAGTAGTTTTAGAGTAGGGCCTAAGATTATGTATTCTCAACAAACTTCTAGATAATGCTGATGTTACCAGACTACAGGGAAAACTAGTCTATAGGAAAAACTTTGAATAGCATGGATGTGGCCAGAGCCAGCCTTGGCCTCAAGTTGGTGTCTGCAATATTTAAGTGGTTTCCAGTATAACCGAGACTGTCAAAAGTTGCACTACTGTGATTGCTCAATCACAGATTCTGTGGTATTTTACAGATGGTCAAAAAAGGGATAATTTGATATTCACCCAAGATAGTTGAGAAATATTGTGGTTCAAGATAACAACATGTTCTCTTTGGTTACAACAAGTACAGCCATTGATGCAGTTTTTCTCAAACTCTTCCGGGAAGCTTTTAAGAGATAATGCTTCAGATCAGTTAAATTGGAAATTCTACAGTAGAATCCACTGTGAAGGCAATATAGATTAAGGTCTAATAGTGTTTATTCACCTTAGTAGAGCCAGAAGCCTGGAGAAAAAGATAATAAAAACCTAGGACCCCATTCTCTTCAGTAATTGTGATCACTCAAGTTCCAAGTTAATGAAAGGGACATTGGAAGGCACTGAAACAAAGGCTAACCTGGTTAACAGTACTAAGGGTGTCAAAGAGTAAGTATGATCATCCAAGCAGAAGAAGAAGAGAAGGATTTTGGCAGTTCTGGTTTTCACTGGAATTTCCCATCTGCAAAGGGAGGTGTTAAGATAGCTAGGAAAAAGAATTATTTGTATTAAAGAACTAAAAAATAAGGAGAGTAAAACAGAACTGTAGAAGCATGACCACTGGGTATATTCACATAGCATTAAGTATCTTCACCAACTGTCATTGGTTAGACCAGGTAAGCAAAGGCTTGCATAATTTCTATTCAATGAGGAGAACTTTGATTTGCTGAGCTAAGTTATTCTTACTTTTGTTTGTGAATTGTACACATTTTTGTAAATATAATAAATCGCTCTATAGGTTACAGCAGGACTCTATGAACAATTTTTCAATTATTTTTGTATTATAATTATTAAATTATGGTGCATGGTTTTTTGATGTAAATTTATTATAGCATGAAATCATATTAATAACAGTAACCCACTAAAGTCCAGTCATTGATTTTAATATTTAATATTCCCAGGCCTTATGGAATGATATTGAATATTAAATAGCATAAGTGGTTTAGAATTGGCCTTCACTGGTTTAATTAGTAATCAATCAGTTTCATGTTGAATATTTGTACTTTATAGATAAAAGCTGAGAGTCAAGGCTGTACTTTTCTATTTTGAAAAAAGCATTCTTTTACATTAAATTAACTGTATAGTGTTTATCATTATTAAGTTATTGAATATATTTTCCTGAATGGAATCCCAGATTTTTATCAATTCATTCATTATATTTTAAAAGTTTTTAATATATGATTTTTTGTATGAGTTTTATATACACACACATATACACTGAGGAAACTATCTGTGACTGAATATTTCAGTTCATGTTTCACAAATTTACACATAAGATGTATTACTAATTTCTAATTGCAAATATGTTCTCTATTCTCTGTTGTTTCTTTATGTTCCAGACACCTGCTTGCTCCCTATTATTATAAGGAGTGAATTTTAATGACTATTGTTTTTTATATGTCTATTGTATTATATGCTCTGTTACTAGGAACTATTGTTTGGCTTTTGCAAGTGAATAGAAATTGGACAAGTTTTGTAATTTTTCTTAAAGTACTATGTAATAAGCTGCTTTGTATAATACTAATAAAATATCTGAAGAGAATTTTAAACACTACAGTAGTTTATTTCATATTTGCCTAGTTGTGCTGCATCATATGCTATTGTTTTATTTGTTATAATGCAGGTAATTGCTCAAGGGGTGGGAAATTTGATGGCTCAACAGAGGCAAGTTAGCCTTTATTAACTTTTTTGTACAGAATTTACAAGAAAGGAGACATGATTGTCAAAAGTCTTCCGGACATTGTTGCCACTGTGCAAATTGATCATGAGACCAGGTAGTCATTCACAGGAAAAAATAACTGTTCTACAGGAAAAAAATTTCAAGAGACTAACAACCACTCCTTTTTGTATCTTGTCTGACAGATATTATGGTCAGAAAATAACATAAACATGGGTTGTGCTTCATAAATAAAGGGAATATAGTTATATTCTAAAGATAATCTAGAATATTCTATCCTGAGCTCAATTTTCTAGATAATGTTTAACAGGGTATTTTCTACTTTGAGGGTGCATTGAACTCTTTCCATAATATTACTAGGATATTTGTGTATACGTTTATACCAGAACTTATAGTTTCGTATTTATGTTTAGTTTTTAAAGCCAGAAGATTCCTTAGAATCACGTAATCCCACTCTATAATATTTAAAGTAATAAACCTCAGACCTTAAAAAGTAAAGTCATTTTCTCAAGGTTGGACATAGACAAAGAGAAAAATAATAATTCACCTTATATCTAGTGGCTACAGATACACTTGGCATCAGAGAGCCCTTCCTATATAGATTTATATGGCTGACTCATTTATTCTACCTTTCCATAATTGTGTTGTCAAATATTTCCTTTATGGTATTGAATTAAAAATAAATATTCTGCTTTATAAAATGAAGCACATACTATATTCCTTGACCTAAGTAAAGTGACATAAAATGTAATTTTATATAAAAATTTTGAAAATCAACAACATTCATTCACAATATGGAGGTAAAACACAGCATTCCAAAAATCAGATTGTATATTCCTGAATTATAATCATTTTAAAAGATTTTAAATAGTATAGTCTTTTACTCGTTGTCATACTTTAGTTGTTGTTAATTTTTTCTTCGAATCATATGCACTTGGAATCCAACAGTGAATTAGTTAACAACCACACTTAAACTATGCTTATTGAGAATCAAAAGAAAAACTAGTTAGTATACACTCACACACTCACACACAAACACACACAACTTAAATGGTCATATTAAACCATGTGTTGAAAATATAAGCAATAAATTCTGAATGTCAGGTTTAAGGGCTTGAATAAGTAATTCCAAAATACTGTTTCAGTCAGATTTTATTAAATAACCACAGAAGTCATTTGTATGAGTGATTCATCATCATTACTTTTAACTTCCTGTCACTATGTTAATATAATTATACTATTATTGCTTTCAATAAAGTCTAATCATTGAAAACAATGTTGTTCAAAGCATATGTAGGCACCATTCATACTAAAATAATGAAAAGCACCTAAAAGAAACTCGATGGTAGTACATTTCATCTTTAAGGAAATCAATGAGACTGAATTTTAAAAGATTATCTCTGAAGATTATAGGGATAAATTAAACAAATATTCATATTGAGTAAAATTTTAAAAACTCATTAAACCTGGGATTATAACTGGTACTTTTATCATTCATTACATCAATGGTAGATCTCAAAAACTGATTGCATTTTGTTTAGTTTGTTGAAAATCACTAAGGTCTGTACTGGAGGCAATATTGTCAATTTTTATGATTCAGAAGTAAAAGTTATTTAAAAAACTGAAGGACTTTTCTACCTATTTTCCTAACCACTATGAAACTATTGTTACTTTCTGTGTTGTGAAGTAACTAATTAAATATTATCCCAACTGGAATGGCTGTAGGTAGAGTCAATATGATGTCCATGATGCTGATATTCAGGGCAGGCAATGAAACAAGAACCTAGTGTTTTTGTTTGTTTGTATTGCTTTGCTTTAATTAGTCTCAGCTAATTTTATTGTTGCATGTATATCCAATCCAGGATTCCAGGAAGATATAGTTCATGTTGTACTTTGACATTACAGTTTGTGATATTTTTATAATAGTCATTTATAATAATAGTTTTTAATAGTACCTCTCCAATTAAGTGAGAAAACCTTCTTAAAGAAGTTTCATGATTGACTGCTGTTAAACAGATAAACTTTTTTATAAACTAAAGCATACATACTTTTCTTAGAAATTATATAATGTTCTGTGATTTTGTTGCCTGAGTAAATAAACTATGAAATTCACTAATCCTTAATATTTTAATTGCTACTATAGATCCAGATTACCTTTCTTAACTAAATCATAATGTTTAGTTTTTTTATTTTTATATCCAATAAGATTGCAACATATGAGCTTTCTAGAACTAGTGAAGTGGATCAAATATACCAATGACTATTCCAGACTCTTATATTTTCTGTGTCACTAAGGATGTAAGTTTCTTTTGCATACTTAAATCATAATCACTATAGAGCTGGTACAAATCAAGCAACACTTGAAGCTGTTTATGCACAACAAGCACATGTCACATTGGTAAATTATTATGGTTCTCTAAGGATGAAATAAGAACAGTATTTTTCCTTCAGGGTACATGTATTTTTTTTGTAAACAGGTATTAAAAATTTAAAACATATAGTCATCTCACGGCATAGGGAATTGGTTCCAGGAGCCCCATGGATACCAAAATTCATAGATTTTCATGTTCTTTATATAAAATGATGTAGTATTTGGATATAACCTATGCACATCCTATTGTATATTTTAAATCATCTCTGGATTATTTACAATACCTAATATCATGTAAATATCATATAAATAGTTGCTATACTTTATCGTGTAATGAATCATAACAAGAAAATGTCTGTACATGTTCAATACGGATGTAACTATTCATTAAAAAAAAATGTTTTTTTGAGACAGAATCACTCTGTGGCCCAGGCTAGAACACAGTGGTGCGATCACAGCTCACTGTAACCTCGAATGCCTGCAATCAAGTTATCATCCCACCTCAGCCTCCTGGGTAGCTGGGCCTGCAGGCACACGCCACCATGCTCAACTTTTTTTTTTTTTTTTAATTTTTTGGTAAGACAAGGTCTCACCACATTGCCCAGGCTAGTCTCGAACTCCTGGGCCCAAGTGATTTGCCTGCCTGAGCCTCCCAAAGTGTTGGGATTACAGATGTGAGCCACTGCGTCTGGCCCATTTTTTTAAACTCCACGAAGGCAGAATGTACAGATACAGAGGGCCAACTATACATATGGAGTTGTTTGAAACTAACTGCCTAATAAACGAAACTTGTAGGTATTTTTTTTTTCTGGTCACAAGCACCTTGAAAAAATTACTGAGGCACTAAGAGCACTGTAAACTATAAATGCTTTATATGGTATATGATAAAAACTCTGCATGAAACTTCATTTTGCATGTTGTTAGCATAATTCACTTTTAAAAGACCCTTCAACAGAAATGACAATGACAATGTGACCAAGGAGGAGCACATTTTTGGATAAAAATTAATGTTCTTGTCTAATTAAAGTGTACTTTGGACTATTCTGTAACTGCTTCTTAAGTAAGATGTGGATAATGGCTAAATGATTCAGATATATTTAAGTAACCTAAATAATGTTACCTGCTTTTAAGTGATGTTTTTGTATTTCTTAAAACTGTTTTCTATATCTACTTTTTATTTTATCATAAATATTTTTATTATGGAATATATTTACATTCTGTACATATTTATCTATTTATAAACATTTTTATCACAATTTGCTCCAATCCTTCAAGTCTTACTTTTGTTTACTCGGAGTATTAATATATTTATTAGCATGACTTCAACTCTTTCACCTTATTTCAAAGCAGACTAAGAATATCTTTCCCATTTCACATGATGAACACTAAGATGGTTTAATCATAATCCTTCAATTTTATATTTTCTGTCTACAGTAGACATTCCCTAGATCTCTGACTGAACCCAGGGGAAAATATGTGGGCCTACATATTATCATCCAAACATCTGCTGCTATTTCTGGTGTTGCTCTTCAGCTCCCTATAGAGCTGGACTGTAAGGTGGCCAGTAAAGAACATTGTACGGATCAAGCTTACAAGAGACTCTGGTATGAAATAGAATGACAGTTAGTGTATTTATAACAGCATATATATCTGTCAAATAGACAAGAAAAATAATCTTCCCCCGCTGATTGCTCACTTCATTCTCTTTATGTCAACACACACACACACACACACACACAAGCACAAATTATCTAATAACAATTTATCTCTAGATGTCTACTTATGTCTTCTTATGAACATAGATGAGTGGCTTACATTGAATCAATCTTTAAGATATGACAATTGCATAATCAATCAATTGCTCTACTAGGGAAACAGGCATTCTCTCAACTGATGAGTACCATAAACTCCTTTTAGGATATTGACTTAATACTGACAAACTCTTCATTATCAGCTCCCATTTATGGTCTCCATTGACTCAATCTTTTGCCAAGTGTTTTTAAAAATGTTACATTCATTAGCGTTTTGGAGCCTGCTAAGACAGGTTGAGGAGAGAAGATTGTTAAATATTTAGGAATTTTGAAACCAGTTTGCTTGCCATCATGTAAGACATGCCTTTGTTCTCCCCTCATCTTCTCCCTTCTCGCCATGTGGAACTTTGTCATGGACCCTTGGGTAAATCAACCTAAACATGTCCAGGTGAACCAACTGTGTAACCACAGGAGGAAAAGTGCTTGGATCAAGGAGTGGGAACTAAATTAATAAGCAGATCCAGGATACAAACAGATCAAGCTTTTGCATCACCCCTTGGTAGGAACCAGTCAGATAATACCTCCTGGCATCACCTTATTGCAAGATCCAATCAGGTCATAGCTCATTACCCTATGCTTATAAAACCTGATCCAGCCCCCAGCTTGGGGAAACACTGCTTTGGGAACTATCTCCAGTGTTCTCCTTACTTGTTACAAGTAATAAAATTCTCTTTTTGAAAATAAATAAATAAATTTGGAATCAGTCATGCTGGAAAATTTATACAATAGAAACTGGCAGATGCTACAATTAAAGGATTTTACTCCCCACCTGTTTCACACACACACACTCTGCCCAGAATTTACTAACACCACCACTGGTTCATTATTATATCTATTGATTGAGTATATCTTGAATATTTTAATGCAATTAATTTTCTGACCAAATCTTAGTCAGGTTTATTGCATCCTTTGTTTCCCTACAATTCCTCTGCCCTATTTAGCTGACTTAGAATGAGTTAAATCTTTTTTATCTCACAAGGCTCAATCATATTATAACCCAATGATTAATTATAATGTATTCTGAAGAGGAAAATGTATCAAGTTTTGAGGGTCTATTTTTATCATGTATTTGGAATACAAATCATCAAACAAGCTATAAGGAGGATCAATAATTTATCCAATTTGGATGCTTTTTATTTCTTTACCTTGCCTAATTGTTTTGCTCAGGACTTCCCATACTATATTGAATAAAAGTGGTGTAAGCGGACATCCTTTTCTTGTACCCGATCTTAGAGGAAAAGCTCTCAACATTTTATGAGTGAGTATGCTGTTCACTGTGGGTTTTGCCATATATGGCTGATATTGTATTAAAGTATATATTGCTTGTATACTTATTTGTTGACAGTTTATTTTAATCATAAAAAGGATGTTGAATTGGTCGATTAATTTTTCTACATCTATGAAGATAATCATGTGGTTTTAATCACTGTGTAATCACTCAACAAATGCAATTATAAGTAAAAGAGGGGACATTACATCTTATTCCACAGAAATAAAAAGGATTATAAGAGACTACTATGATCAATTATGTGACAGTGAATTGAATTACCTAGAAGAAATAGGGAAATTCCAAGAAACATTCAACCTACCAAGACTGAATCATGAAAAAATAGAAAACCTATTGGCAGTGTATCACTGTCTTGGTCAGTTTTGTGCTGTTATAACTGCATACTTGAAACTGGGAAATGTAGAAAGAAAAGACATTTGTTTCTCACAGTTCTGCATGTTGGGAACTCCATGATCAAGGCACTGGCACCTGAGGAAGGCCTTTTTGCTATGCCCTCAGATGGCAGAAGGTAGAAGGGCAAGAGAAGAACAAACTCTGTGTCCTCACATGGCAACAGAGCAGAAGAGAGAGTACTCACTCCTACAAGCTCTTTCCATACTGGCATCAATCTACTCATAAAAGTAAAACCTGCATGACCCAAACAGCTCTTAATAGTCCCCACCTACCAATGACCAATATTGTTGCATTAATAATTGAGTTCGTATCCCATGAATTTTGGGGGGACACATTCAAACCATAGCAATTACATTTATCAATTTGCATATGATAATACAACATTGCATCTCAGGGACAAATCTCACTCTATTATAGTGTGCGATGCTTTTAGTGGACTGTTAAATGTGGTTTTCCAGTAGTTCGCTGACATTTTTGCATCTATTTTTATCAGAGACATTAGCCTATAATTTTTTTCTTGTAGTTTTCTTGTGTGGCCTTAATATCAGGGCAATACTGAGCTCATAAAACAAATTTAAAAGGGTTCCTTTCTCTTCAATGTTTTGGAAGAGTTATTTGAAGGATTGGTGTTAATACTTAAAACGCTTTGTAGAATTCACCAGTGAAGCCGTTAGATACTAATTCTTTGTTGAGACATTTTTTATTATTGATTCGATTTTTGTAGTCATTATTGTTCTGTTTAGGTTTTCTATTTTTTCATGATTCAGTCATGGTAGGTTGAATGTTTCTTGGAATTTCTCTATTGCTTCTAGGAAACTCAATTCACTGTCACATAATTGATCATAGTAGTCTCTTATAATCCTTTTTATTTCTGTGGAATAAGATGTAATGTCCCCCCTTTTACTTATAATTGCATTCGTTCGAGACTTGTCTCTTTTTTCTTAGTTTAGCTAAGGGTTTGTCAGTTTTGTTTATCTTTTCCAAAAACCAACTCTTAATTTCACTGCTTTTCCATTGTTTAATCTCTATTTCATTTATCTCTAATTTTTACTTCTTTTCTTCTGCTAACTTTAGACTTAATGTCTTCTTTTTTAGCTCCATGAAGTGTAGAGTTAGGTTGTTTATTTAAGATCTTTCTTTTATCTTAATGTAGGTGCTGATCATTATAAAATTTCCTCTTAGAACTGATTTTGCTGAGTCTCATGAGTTTGGTATGCTGTGATTCCATTTTTGTTTGTCTCAAGATACTATTTGATTTCCATTGTGTTTCTTGCTTGATCTGTTGCTTGTTCAGGAGTTGTTTAATTTCCACATATCTGTGGAGTTTCCAATGTTTCTCCCATTAATGATCTCTAGATTTTTGCCATCATTATCTGAAATGATACTAGATATGATCTCAATCCTCTTAAATTTCCTAATACTTGTTTTGTGGCCTGATACATGTTCTATCCTGGAGAATGTTCCATGTACTGTTGAAAAGAGTGAGTATTCTGTGACTGTTGGATAGAATGTTCTGTAAATGTCTGTTAGGTCCATTTGGTCTAGAGTGAGGTTTGTCTCTGATGTTTCTTTGTTGATTTTCTGCCTGAATAATCTATTCATTGTTAGAAGTAGAATATCAAAGTCTCCTACTATAATTCTGTAGCTATCTCTTTATCCCTTCAGTTCTGTTAATATTTGCTTTATATCTTTTGGTGCTTTGATATTGGATGCATATATATTTAAAATTCTTATATCCTCTTGATAAATTGACCTCTTTATCATTATATAGTGACCTTTTTTATCTTTTAGAGATCACGACTTGCTGTTACCAAGGCTGAAGTTCAGTGGTGTGATCATAGCTCACTGCATTCTCAAATTCCTGGGTTCATGCAAGCCTTCTGCCTAGGCCTCTTGAGGAACAAGGATTACAGATGCACACTAGCACACCTGGCTAATTATTTAATTTGTTGTGTAGATGGGGTCTCACTGTGTTGTGCAGGTTGACCTGAAACTCCTGACCTCAAACAATCCTCCTGCCTCAGCCTCTCAAAGGACTGGGATTACAGGTGTAAACCACTGAGAGTGGTCATGGCTTTATTTTTCTCTTGTGACAATTTTAACTTAAAGTCTCCCCTGTCTGATATAAGTCTAGCCACCCCTGCTTTTTTTTGGTCACCATTTACATGGAGTACCTTTTCCATCTTTTTACTTTCAGCCCATGTGTATCCTTAAAGCTAAAGTCTCTTGTAGGAAGCAAGTTGTTAGTTCTTACTTTGTTTTTAGTTTTAATTTGTTTAGCCATTCTATTTACATTTACATTTAAAGTAATTATTGATATGTAAAACTTTACTATTGCCACTTTAATTTTGTTTCTAATCTTTTGCAACTACTAAAGATTTTTTCTTTGTGATTACTATAAGGTGTACATAAACATACATCTGTTATTTTAACAGTCTATTTTAAACTGATAGCTTAACTTTGATTCTGCACAAAAACTTACTTTTACTACCTGTCCCAAATCTTATGTTACTGATGTCACTGTTTATATCTTTTCTTATTGTGTATCTATTTCTGCAACTATAGTTATTTTTAGTGTTTTTAATGCTTCCCTTCATGGTGGATTTTTTTCCTTGCTCTATTGCAATCTGCAATGCCCTTTCTACCTTCTCCAAATATAAAAATGGCATTGCCTCACCATCTTTCCAGCCTAACCTCAAACACCATTTTTTTTCCCGAATGTTTTATGTAGGAAGAAACCCCTATATGAGATAACATTTCCCTTTTCTGCACTCCTCTCTATTTTGACATGCTTCTATTTCTGTCCAATGTTGCAAGTGTTCCTTCTACTAGTCAGAAAACTTATTGAGAAAATAACCCATATATGGCCAGCAGCATTTGGCACACTAATGATTGCTAATGATTGCTAATCACAATGGGTAGTGCAAATATTCAATAATGATTTGGTAAGTAAACAAATAAAGTTATAATTTGGTAACTAAGATCACATAAATACCATCAGTAGATATTTGCTGCTACATTTTATAGATAACCTATGTTAATGGAATATTTATTTGATTTTATGGGATCCTGATGACCACACACATGTGCACATGCACACATGCCACACAATGTATTTTCATCATTTTTGATTACACATTTGTATTTAACCACTTGAGTGGCACCTTTGTAATATGTAGCATACAGAGGCAGAAATAAATTGCATTGACAAAATATGTAAAAGCTGTTGCTTCCACCTTTCTCTATCTGGGTTGTTAGGATCTTTACTAGAATGGCTCTCTTGGGCTAGCTGCCAATAGTGAACAATAGTTGAAAAGACTTTGATCCCAAGATTTGCACATATGCAAAAACGGATTGTTGCACAAGACTGAAAACATTTATGTAATGAGAAATTACTTTTTTTATTTAGGGAGCTATAAATAATATATGTTGTGTTCTGATACACATCTGTTTTGGCTCAAGAGAGACCTCGTGAAGACCCTTAACCACAGTGGCCTGTTTCATTCTTGCTTAATCATCAGAACTTAAATATTCACCTATTATTGAAGCTCTTAATCTAAACTGTGTTGTCCTTTTTAAACAGTTGCTTATAGTATAGTGTTAAATTGCTGAATATTTTTCAAATGATTCATTCCGAATTCCTTTTTTTCTATATGTTATTTTAAGGTTTGATCCACTGCTTTATTAAAATGACTCTGATTTTATAATTCTCTGCCCCCCATAAACTTTACTCTTATATGTCTTTCTTATCTTTCCTCTGCAACACATTCTCACCTGCATATTGTAGGAACTAGTAATAATTTCTGAAACATTCTTTGACTGGAAGACTTATGTTAAATTTAGGTGAAAAACTGATCTGTCACTTGCAACACCATGTCAACGTCCATGTGACACAGTGAAATGACCCAAAGAGGTAACTAATTAATGGTGTTATTAATTAATTTCATCAATCATAATATTTAAAATGTCGATTTAATCTTAATGTCATACCCTGACTACAAATTTTTATAATAATTCAAAATTCAAGAATTAAATATTTGATTATAGTCTTAGCTCAGGCTGCAATTACAAAATATCATATCCTGGGTGACTCACAATTCTGGATACTGGGAAATTCAAAATCAAGGTTCTGGAAGATTCAGTGTCTGGTAGGGGTTCCCTTTCTGGCTTGTAGATATCTACCTTCTTGCTGTATTCTCATATGGTGGGGAGCAAAGAAGGGCTCTGGCTTCTCTTCTTCTTCTTATAGGAGCATTAATCTAATTATAGAAGCTCCAGACTCATGATCTCATCTAAACTTAATTATTTATTGTATCAGAGAGCTATTACTTTCTGTTTTTATGATTCAAGTTAGGCTTGATTTTACTTGACCTAGCACTTCCTTACTTATACAGATCAAGTAAGAATTTAATATAATTTATTTGTATTTCTCTTTGAATAATGCCATGATTAACTAGCCAATGCCATTGGTCTATATTAATCAGACTATTCTGATTTGTGCTTTGACTCTGCTATCCATTATGGTAACCACGTTCACCTTGCTTTTGGTGGTTGAGTGTCTCCACTTAGACTTTGTCACTCTGAGATCCAATTACTCCCATTGTATTTAGGTCTTCCAGTTGAGTGGCTGCCGTTCCTACTGTATGTTCTAGCCTACAAAGAAGATTGATCTTGCAACACCTCAAGGATTCTGGGGCTCCTCTCAGAAATTTTTTAAAATATTGGTGAAGAGTATGTCTTCTAAATTCATCCAGTGTGGTGAGTAGATCTTAAATGACAAATCCACAGTTCAATCTCCCTAAGCCTTTGAATATGTTTCACTAACTTAACCCAATTTGCTCATGGTGGACCATCTTTTGCTCCATGTTTTAGCCAACTACCTGAACAAACTGTTGAACTCTTTCTGACTTCCTGGGTTGCAACATTAAATGCAGAATCTCTGTCTAGTGAGCCCATGTCATTAAATTCAGCCTGATTCAACTTTAAAGTCTTTCCAAACTTACTTAGTTTACTAATTCAAATGCTAATCTCTTCCAGAAACACCCTGTCAAACACAAACGGAACTAATGTTTTGCCAGCTATCTTAAACATCCTTTAGCCAGTGAAGTTGACACAAAAGTAACCATCACAATGAAATAACAACTTCTTTCCCTTATTGTTACTTCTTTACCAATTACAGCCATAACTCAGCCTCATTTTTCTCATCCACTAGAATAAAACTAAAATTCCAGATTACAGAATTATTCTCATTATCTAATAGCACCTAACCCAGAAAAAGGACACCGTGTCATCTTGAGTCATCTCTAAAATCACCTAAAAGAGGCCCAGTTTTTTAAATAAAAGAGCAGTGAGGTCCCTGTCATGAAAATCTCTCTCTGTGCCCCCATATTCCAATAAGATATAAAAATCTTTGTTGCAGAAAACAATAAAGCCAACTGTGTTTGGCTAAATATGTGGTCCTGGTGGCCTTTAACTGGAGGACATCAGTACTAATAAATAAAACATGTATTATACATTATATTTAATTACAAAGAATGTGGTCCAATATAAAAAACTAGTAAGTCAATTTTTTATACCTTTCTCAAATTAATGTTATATAATGACAGAATTAATTACTTCAAATAATGGCACGTGACATGAAACAGCTTCTAGCCATTAGAATATAGCTGCATGAAGCAATCCTTTTTTCTTTTTTTGTAGTTTACCCCCCAAAATATATATTAATGTTCATCTTACAATAGTAAATTGTGTCTTTCAATATGATGTAAGGCCTTGAAAATAAAGAAGGATCTACATAATCCTCATTCGAAGAAAGTATAAAACAAAACAGAATAGTTTTATAATACATTGTGTCAAAAGATATTTGAAAATATACTGTCCTGTGAAAAATATTTTTTTAAGAAATTCTAGTAGCTAAGATAGTAAACTGACAGAAATAAATAACTTATTTGTCTCAAATGTCCAAATGAACTATATAGAAAATCAATTTTGACTAAACACGAGCAGATGATTAATAATGTAATTACATTAAAATGACTGTTACAGAAATCACCACATAAACATAAACACTGGGGCCGAGCACAGTGGCTCATGCCTCTAATCCCAGCACTTTGGGAGGCCGAAGTGGGTGGATCACTTGAGGCCAGGAGTTCAAGACCAGCCTGGCCAACATGGTGAAACCCGATCTCTAGAAAAAATACAAAAATTAGCAGGGTGTGGTGACGCGCATCTGTAACCTCAGCTACTCAGGAGGTTGAGGTGGGAGAATCACTTGAATCCAGGAGGCGGAGATCACAGTGGTCTGAGATTGCACCACTGCATTGAAGCCTGGACAGCAGGCTTCAGTTGGAATACAGTGAGACCCTGTTCCAAAAAATAAATAAATAAATAAACAAGTAAACAAATAAATAAATACATACTGGGTTGCATTTTCTCACATCTGAATGTTTTAGACTAGAGAAAAGAATTACCACAATGGAATGAGAGTATGTCACATGTCATTTTCTTTTATTACCCTCAGAATAACCAGCATTATTATTATTATCATAAGCAGATGAATAAAGTAGAGCTCCACAATGAGTCATAATAGAAGATCATTTAGAGAAAACATTAACATTGTCATTTTTTTTGAAAAGCTCGAGTGTGAATAAAAACAAAGAAGGGCAATAAATATTTTAAATGAATAGCTTATTTAGTTACCTGAACAAAAAAGATCTATTATCCAATGGCTTAATTGACTCTGTGTGAGTTTTTCTTTTTTTTTTTAACATACAGCATATTGCTGAAAGCAATCTGCAGAATTTAAATTGCATTCTTTATTGTCTTAGGTCTCACAACTCTAAGCAGTAAAATATAACTATTTCTCAGTGGAGCAAAGTGAATGGTAGACAAAATACTGTCACAATATTTAAAATAAGATGTTTAGCTTTTTTATATTCTCATGACTACTTCGGGTATTATTTGGGCTGAAAATTTAATAAAATTTTTAGTTAATCTGAGTAATCAAAATTTTTATATTTTTTCTATGCTTTACATCAAATCAATTATATAGCCCTAAATTTCTGAACTTATAAACTTGGATCACATTCCCTTTTCAACTTTTACTTCCAGTAAGAGAAAAAGAGGGGGAAGATGACAGGAGAAAGAAGATAAAGAGAAGCAAGAGGAAAAAATACACAAGTAAACTGGAGAATAATGAAGTAATTTACATAACTAAAATTTAAAAATAAATTGATATGTTGTATAAGGAAATCACTTACACACAGTATGTCTTTCTCAAATATGCAAAGCAGCCATCAATAAAATAAACAAAAGATAATCTTTGACCTGATTTAAAATACAGGGTATTCACAATTAAAGAACACACACACACACAAATCCCAATAGAAACACTAGTTTATCGTAACATTCCACTGTTTTGCACAGTGAAGAACAACAATCATACATTATATATCTTATTATAGTAGTGAAGAAAACAAAAGAGGACGTGAAGTCTAAATGAGAAAAAAATAACAGAAGAAAGTTATATTTTTATTTATGATTTGGCCACACCTACCTACTCTTTATTTTGTCATGTCCTTCTGTTTAAATCAAGAATTATTTTCTTCTATTCTCAATAGCAAGTACATGAAATCAACCCAAATGCCCATCAATGATAGACTGGATAAAGAAAATGTGGTACATATACACCATGGAATACTATGCAGCCATAAAAAGGAAAGAGATTATGTCCTTTGCAGGCACATGGATGGAGCTGGAAGTCATTATCATCAGCAAACTAACACAGGGACAGAAAACCGAGCACCACATGTTCTCACTTAGAAGTGGGAGCTGAAAAATGAGAACACATGGACGCAGGGTGGGGAACAACACACACTGGAGTCTGTTGGAAAGTGGGGGTGGGAGGAGGGAGAGCATCAGGAAAAATAGCTAATGCATGATGGGCTTAATACCTAGATGATGGGTTGACAGATGCAGCAAACCACCATGACACACGTTTACCTATGTAACAAATCTGTACATCCCACACATGTATCTCAGAACTTAGAATAAAATAAAATAAAACATTTAAAAAAGGATTATTTGTTTGTTTTTTGTTTTCTTCTATACAAAATATATTGTCAAACAACTTCTTCTAAATATATGTTTTTTCCTTAGTTATATTTTAGGAAAAATCTTTACTTCAAATGCATGAAAACAAAAGCTTTGTTTTATATCTTTTCATATTTACTTTATTTTTATCTACCCAATTTAAACTCAGGTAACTCAACTCAAGGAGTATTTCTTGTCTCTTACTACATGCTACAGAATTTCAGTTCTGGCTACAGACTTTTTCTTCCCATCTCATCTTTTCAAAACATCTATTCCTGTAATTCCTTTTTCATTCTCATGACAAAAATAACATAAAAACAAAAATAATTAGCTGTTTAGCTAAACCACAAAGGCAATAAAAACTATTTATTGACCTCCATTCTAAAACAACTCTTTAAATTTAAGTATTACAAGTTTCAAATTAACGTAATGTAAATTTGTTTAAATTTTACTTTGGAAGCTCTTTTAATTCAGCTTCTATTATCCATATTAAAAATATTGAAGATAAATCTGATATCACTGTGATATGTAATTCTTTTTAAGAAGTATCTATATTTAAGTAGAAGAAGATCATATATAAACCACAAAGGGTTATTTCTTGCTCACTCTGCATATTCTTTGCAGCTTGGCTAGGAGGTTTGCTCTGTGTTCTCCCATCTGTATGTTCTGAGCTGAAGGAAGAGCAACAAGCTAAAACATTGCAAAGGCAAGAGAAAACACAGCAATTAATGTTTGGTTTCTAAAGTTTCCACCAAGAAAAATCACATGCCATGGATATTCACATATTGGTAACCAAGACAAGCCAAAGCCTGTCTGACTTCAATGAGACAGGCAATATAATACTATTAATACCAAAAGAGATTTTGAACTATTTTTCGTAGCAACTACTTTTTCTATGATTAAAAATTCCTGGCTGGGCTCAGTGGCTCACACATGTAATCCCAGCACTTTGGGAGGCCGAAGCAGGTGGATCACCTGAGGCTGGGAGTTCCAGACCAAGCCAGGCCAACATGGTGAAACCCCATCTCTACTAAAAATACAAAAAAAAAAAAAAAAATTAGCCAGGCGTGGTAGCAGGCACCCGTAGTCCCAGTTACTCGGGAGGCTGAGGCAGGAGAATCGCTTGAACCCAGGAGGTGGAGGTTGCAGTGAGTCGAGATTGTGCCACTGCACTTGAGCCTGGGCAACAAGAGCAAAACTCTGTCTCAAAAAAAAAAAAAAAAAATCCTTAGTTAGACAATTAATTATGCCTAATAAATTTTGTTCTGTACAAATCTAGGTAATACATTTTAGAACATTTAATGTGAAAATAACCAATAAGAAAATCCTTTTTTTGTGTGTTTAAATTTTAATTCACGTTTGCTTAAAAAAACTTCAGAAATATGTAAATAGGAAGGCAAATATCACTCGCAGTTGCATAAAAAAAATGATGTTAAAATTTTGGCACATATTCCAGAATTTTCCAAGACATGCATATGATTTCCTAATTTTTCATATGGACTCAGACACTCAATATTTTGTTTTTAAGCCAGTATTATTTATATATTTTACATGCTGCATGGGATTTTCCTGATAGCACATATTAGCTAATCCTTGTAATCCAGATGGTTTCTAACAGTAATAAATTACACAATAGTACGAAATCTAAAACCTTTGGTGTTTCAATGTCCCTAGTACACATTTCTTGAAGTAAAATCAAGAGTTCAAACTATATACGTTTTAATGTAAATAATTATTTCTAAAATTCTCTCCTGTAAGTTTATATCAAATTTATATTCTTAATAGCAGTATAAAGTACTCATTGTCCAATATGTTGTCAATACTAGCCATTATCAATTTTTGATGTAAATATAGAACTCATGAACTTGTTGAAAATACACTGCATATAATCACTTATCTATGACTATGAATTTAAATTCATATGAGTTTCCATAACGTAACTGGTATATTTTTTTCTAGCATTTATATATGTTGGTAATACATAAGCCTTTGTAAGAAAAAAATCCTTCTGGGATTTTGATTGGGATTATGTTAAATCTTCAAGCTCATTATTGTAAGTGACAATTCGAGGAGAGTAGTAACCAGCCTGGCAAAAGTAATTAACCTTGATCATCAGAATAAGGTAGGACTAATGTTAAACAAAAAGAATAGAGGAAAATACGTTTGTCAACAATGTGACCGCTGGAGTAGTTCCCGGTGTTTCACTGCCTAGTTTTGATAGTTAATGAAAAAGTGCAGCAGCTGATGACTGAGAAATGCATGGTGACTAGGGATTCCATTCTCCGAGCGATAAGATTGTGGGTGGCCTCACCACATAAGCCACCTCAACCAGCCAAGGTGCTAGTTTGATGTTGAGAGGAATTTGAAATAGGTAATAGAGGCAGAAGATGATAAGTATCAATCATATTTACTGCCAGTTACTGAGAATGAGTCTTCACTTTGCCTAAATATTCTTCCTCATGTAAATTTCCCCAGATAACAGGCAAAACAGAATATTGCAGAAATTCTTCCTGAGGTCAACTTACTGTCTGAAGTGGAGCTCCACGTAGGGTAGCTGCACCAGTTGCTGTGGTATACCACACAGATCACACTTGCTAAGAATTTTCCAGTTAAAGTTTCACAACTGTAGTTCTCCCCAGTTATTTCCTGCAGCCAAAGGGAGCTGCCTATCCCCAAATTTATCTCCCCATTTGATGACTGATTTGGTGGGAATTAAAAGGCTGTGTCCCCTTGCTTCAGTTTTGAACACAGCAGAATGGCAGATCCTACTTCTCAACTATCTGTCAAAAAAAAGTCTTGGTTGCAACTACATCACAGTTCAATCTCTTTTTCAATGCAGTCCTGCTGCCTACATTCCCTCATAGATGTTATTTCTGGGATAACTTTGCAACAATATTCTTCCACACGTACTATGATCTCAGCAACTATTTTCCCAAGAATTAGGCCTCAAATAATCTTCCTTTCATAATCATTTTGAGGACTATGCAAGAGATAACATGATTAGCGCATTTTCTAGCGTATAGCCACCACCAAGGACATGGTAGCTAATATGAGCATGCATATAAAATAATGATTAGGATATCAGCAAGATGGTAAAATAGGAGACATTCTGACATCCCCTCACCAACAATAATTCTGCACCCAACTACAGAAAAAAGTCTTTTTTTATAGCCTCAGAATTTAGGTAGGAGGTTGTGAAAACTTTGTGAAGCCCAAGACTTAAGAGTGTCATTTTGAGAGAGCCAACTGGCACTGAGGTGGCAGATCCTCTGATGGTGCTTCTGGAATTAAGCCTGGAAATAGCTGATTCACCAAGGCGTTTGGCTACAACCCTACTGGACCTTAAGATTGAAACCAAAATCATCTATCTAGTGGCCCAGAGAAATCACAAACATTTGTGCCATAGTGGAGTGGCTTGTCTGCCTGCAGACACTGATCTCAGCAATAAAACTGAATGTTGCTCTATGACCTGCCTCCAAATCCCCTCAGCTGAGATATCAGCTCATAACTGCTCACACAATGACCAGAGGGAGATTCACTCAAATCTTGCAGCCCAAGAATCAGAGCCTCCATGAAGGTCTTGAGGGGACCCAGTCTCAGATCTGGCCCCTCCTGTTGCAGCATCTGCTCTCCTGTCAGGATCTTATGGCACTTGTGCAGGGGCCAGCTAGGAGTTGTATTGATCAAGGCCACTTGGACCAGCTTCCAGGCTTGGGTCCCTGGACAGCATTATCACACAGCCCAGGTATCCACTTTGGGTCTTCCACAGGTCCATCCAAGCTGGCAAGCTTAGCCAACCTTGGAGCCTTTGAAAGACTTGAAGAAAACCTGTGCTTAGCATGCCCCTTAGTGCTGAGATAGCTGCAGTGGTCACTGGCTCAGAGACTACAACAGTGAGTCAAGTTATAATTTCTGGAAGTCCCTGTGAAAAAGAATAGGCACAAAGCCAGACTACAAAGATTGGAATACATACATAATCCCTCATTGTGAAGACATCATTACAGGTCTACAAGCATCAAGAACTTTCAGGAATATGTGAACTACAGACAAAATAATGCACCAAAGACTGATCCTAACGTGATGGAGACATGAATTCTCAGAAAAAGAATTCAAAAAAGCTGTTTTGGAATAAATTTTTAAAACATGGGCAATATAAAATGTAAATTGTGACATCCAAAATTCAAAATTGGAAGGAGATAAAGTTAAAATGCACTTTTTGTTTTATCATTTCTTTGTGATTAAAGTTAATTAGGTTTTAGTATGAAATAACTTTTCACAACTACAGAATTTTTTTTGTAAGCCTCATGGTAATCAAAAGCCAAAACCTATAATATATACACTAAAAATAAAAGTCAAGGATTCAAAAGATACTACTATAAAATGATCACTTAGCCAAAAAGAAAGATAGTTTTGAGAGGTGAAGCCAGCTGGGCTTCTGAGTCGGGTGGGGAGTTGGAGAACTTTTCTGTCTAGCTAAAGGATTGTAAATGCGCCAATCAGCACTCTGTGTCTAGCTAAAAGTTTGCAAACACACCAATCAGTGCTCTATGTCTAGCTAATTGGGTGGGGATTTGGGGAACTTTTCTGTCTAGCTAAAGATTGTAAATGCACCAATTAGCGCTCTGTGTCTAGCTAAGGTTTGTAAACGCACCAATCAGCACTCTGTAAAAACGGACCAATCAGCTCTCTGTCAAATGGACCAGTCAGCTCTCTGTAAAATGGACCAATCAGCAGGATGTGGGTGGGGCCAAATAAAGGAATAAAAGCTGGCCACCCGAGCCAGCAGCAGCAACCCGCTTGGGTCCCCTTCTACCCTTTGGAAGCTTTGTTCTCTCACTCTTTGCAATAAATCTTGCTGCTGCTCACTCTTTGGGTCCACACTACGTTTATGAGTGGTAACATTCACTGTGAAGGTCTGCAGCTTCACTCCTGAAGCCAGCAAGACCATGAACCCACTGGGAGGAACAAACAACTCTGGATGCTCCAGCTTTAAGAGCTATAACACTCACTGCGAATAACCGTAACACTCACTGCGAGGGTCTGTGGCTTCATTCTTGAAGTCAGCCAGACCAAGAACCCACCAGAAGGAACCAATTCCAGACACATTTTGGCGACCCAGATGGGACTATCGCATTTTGCCAAGTGGTGAGTACCATCGGACCCCTTTCACTTGATAGTCTGTCCTATTTTTCCTTAGAATTCCGGGGGCTAAATACCGGGCACCTGTCGGCCACTTAAAAGTGACTAGCACAGCCACCGGACTAAAGACAAAGGTGTCAGCCTTTCTGGGAAAGGGCTCTCTAACAACCCCCAACTCTTTGGAGTTGGGAGCATTTGGTTTGCCTGGAACCAGCTTCTGCTTTTCCTTTACTTCTGAGCTGAGCCGAGGGTCAACAGAGAAGAAAGCCATTCAGCTCCGGGGTCCTGACAGCAAGTTGATTGACCCTGCGGCCATGAGCAGAACTCTCAAAGTCATGTCGCCCAAGCGAGACCCACCATCTATCCTATCTATCCTGACCCTTGTCTCCTGGGTCCTAATTGCCTGTCAGACAAACTTCCTCTCGCCTCTCTTCTCCGAGGCCAGTCCCACTTCTAAAAACCACTCCCTGTCTCTGGTGCTTTTCTAGTTTCTCCTGTAATAATGATTTCTAATATAAACTCCAGGACTCTGTTATCTTCTTTAGGCACCTGGGTTCACCAATCAGAAAGACATAATTTTTGCCCAAAGCCCCGTCAGGGCGGGGGACTATCTGGAATTTTAGGATCCCTCCTCAGACAAGCCCGCCTAACAAAAGCTACTCCAGAAGCTAGGATATGGAGAGCTTCAGAAATGATATCCTTCCTATTCATATGAGTGAGAACAAAAAGGCATCACACTTCCAACTCTGGAGATCCCTCCCCTCCCTCAGGGTATGGCCCTCCACTTCATTTTTGGGGCATAACATCTTTATAGGTCTAGGAGGACAGGCAAGGGTGCAGGTTTTCGAGAATGCATCGGTAAAGGCCACTAAATCTGACCTTCTTCAGTCCTCCTTGTGGTCTAGGAGGAAAACTGCTGCTGCATTCGTAAGCGCAACTATTCTGATCAGCAGGGTCCAGGGACTGTTGAGGGTTCTTGGTCAAGAGGTGTTTCTGCTGCTGCTTCGGTGAGCACAACTATTCCAATTAGCAGGGTCCAGGGACTGCTGCGGGTTCTTGGGCAGAGGGAGAAACAAACCAAAACCACGAGTGGTTTTGTCTTTCAGATGGGAAACACTCAGGCATCAACAGGTTCACCCTTGAAATGCATCTTAAGTCATTGGAACCAATTTGATCCGCAAACCCTAAAAAAGAGGCAGCTCATTTTTTTCTGCACTACAGCTTGACCCCAGTATTCTCTCTCTGATGGTGAAAAATGGCCACCTGAGGGAAGTATAAATTACCATACTATCCTGCAGCTTGACCTTTTCTGTAAGAGGGAAGGCAAATGGAGTAAAGTGCCTTATGTCAAAGCTTTCTTTTCATTGAAGGAGAATAAACAACTATGCAAAGCTTGCAATTTACATCCCACACAAGGACCTCTCAGCTTACCCCCATATCCTAGCCTCCCTATAGCTCCCCTTCCTATTAATGATAAGCCTCATCTAATCTCCCCTGCCCAGAAGGAAATAAACAAAGAAATCTCCAAAGGACCACAGCCCCCACCACCGGGCTATCGGTTATGTACCCTTCAAGCTGCAGAGGGAGGGGAATTTGGCCCAACCTGGGTACATGTCCCTTTCTCCCTCTCTGATTTACAATAGATCAAGTCAGACCTGGGGAAGTTTTCAGATGATCCTGATAGGTACATAGATGTCCTACAGGGTCTAAGGCAAACCTTCGATCTCACTTGGAGAGATGTCATGCTATTGTTAGATCAAATTCTAGCCTTTAATGAAAATAATGTGGCTTTAGCTGCAGCCCGAGAGTTTGGAGATACCTGGTATCTTAGTCAAGTAAATGACAGAATAACAGCCGAAGAAATGGACAAATTCCCTACCAGTCAGAAAGCCATCCCCAGTATGGATCCCCACTGGGACCTCGACTCAGATCATGGGGACAGGAGTCATAAACATCTGTTGACCTGTGTTCTAGAAGGACTAAGAAGAATTAGGAAAAAGTCCATGAATTATTCAATGATGTCTACGATAACTCAGGGAAAGGAAGAAAATCCTTCGGCCTTCCTTGAGCGGCTATGGGAGACCTTAAGAAAATATACTCCCGTGTCACCTGACTCACTGCTAAGGTCTGTGGCTTCACTCCTGAGGTCGGGAAGACCATGAACCCACCAGAAGGAAGAAACTCTGGACACATCTGAACATCTGAAGGAACAAACTCCAGACACTCCATCTTTAAGAACTGTAACACTCACTGCAAGGGTCCGTGGCTTCATTCTTGAAGTTAGCAAGACCAAGAACTCACCAGAAGGAACCAATTCCGGACACAGTTTTAAAAAAAGAAGAAAAAAAAGATACGATCCATAAGGCAACTAGAAAACAAACAACAAAATGGCAATAGTAAACTCCTACACATCAATAATTGCCTTGAATGTAAATGGATTAAATTCTCAGTTAAAAGACAGAATGGCTGAAGAGATTTTTTTTAAAAGACTCAACTATGTGCTGCCTACAAGAGAATCACTTAACCTGTAAGGACATGCACTGGCTGAAAGTAAAGAGATAGAAAGTGATATTCCATGCAATGGAAAACAAAAGTAAGCAGGAGTAGATATACCTGTAACAGATAAATAGACTTAAGCCAAAACAGTAAACAGAAACAAAGAAAGTCATTATATAATGATAAAAGTCAACACAGCAAGAGTTACAACAATTATGAATATACCTGCACCCAACATCAAAGCATCTAAATATATAAAGTGAATATTAATAAACCTAAAGCAAAAAATAGACTGTGACAATTAATATCAGGGGAATTCAACACCCTACTTTTAACAATGGACAGATCATACAGACAGAAAATCAACAAAGAAACCATTGGTAGAAGGGCTGAGACAGGGCTTGCTTCTCTGCCATAATGTGAAACAGTCTTGGAACAGGTCCTGGGTCCAGGGTCTAAAACCCCTCATGGCCTATGGAACACCAAACTCTGTGCCAAAGGGTGGAAGGCTGCCCTGCCACACTACATCTAAGCCCAGGGCACAAAACCCCTTGTGGCTTGGAGAGAACCCAGGGCTCAGGGCATAAAACCCCCTCATAGCCTCTGGAATGTGCCCAGACTCACTGGCCCCTTGCTTCTTGCTCTCCAAAGATCATCAGTTGATTGTATCTTGAATTAGAAGAACCTGTTCTCCCTTATCTCAAGTAGCAGAGCATATGTTAAACCATCACAGCTACATTTGAGGCATTGCTACCTTTCTACCCACACGTCCTCATGTCCTCACCTGTCTACCCCCACGTCCGCATGTCCTCACCACCTGCTTCTTTGTTTGATTACCAATAAATGGTGTAGTCTCCCAGAGCTCAGGGTCTTCGCAGCCTCCATACTAGCATTGGCCCCCTAGACCCACCCTATGTACTCTTAACTTGTCTTGTCCCATTCCTTGGACTCTGCCAGACTTCATAGCCCCCACAACCTGGTGTTGGATCTGATTACCCCAACAGAAATGACAGAGTTTAACCTCACTTTAGACAATGAAACTAATGGACATTTACAGAAAATTCCATCCAACGGCCAAAGAACACACATTTTTCTCAATGACATATGGAACATTCTCCAGGATAGATTATATGTTAGATTACAAAACAAATCTTAACAAATTAAAACAACTGAAATCATATCAAGTATGTTTTCTGATTGCAATAAAATAAAAACTAGAAATCAATAACAAGAGGAACTTCAAAAACTGTACAAATACATAAAAATAAAAAAAAATCCTCCTGAACAGCCAGTGGGTCAATGAAGAGATTGAAAAGCAAATGTAAATATGTATTGACACAAATGAAAAGGGAAACAACACACTAAAACCTATGAGATACAGAAAAACCAGTTATAAGAGGAAAGTTTAAAGCAATAAATGCCTACATAAAATAAGTAGAAAGGTCTCACAATAAGCAACCTAACTTTACATCTCAAGGAACTAGAAAAACAACAATAAACTGAACTTATCAGTAACAGAAGAAAATAAATAATAAAGAAAAGAGCAAAAAAAATTGAAACTAAAGAAAAGATAAAAAGATCAATAAAAGAAATGGTTTTTTGAAAAGATAAACAAAATAAAAAAACATTTGGCTAGACTAAGAAAAAATGTTAACTCAAATAAAATTGAGACAAAAAATGAGACATCACAACTAAGTACCAGAGAAAGCATCATTAGAGTCTGTTATGAACAACAACATATTAACAAACTGTAGAACTATGAAAAAAGTAGATAAATTCCTGGCCACATATAACCTACCAAGACTGAATCATGAGAAAATAGAAAACATGAACAGACAAAAACATAATAATGAGAATGAATCAATAAGAAAGAGTATCCCATCAGGCTAGGCATGGTGGCTTATGCCTGTAATCTCAGCACTTTGGGCAGCTGAGGCTGGAGGATCAGTTGAGGTCAGGAGTTTGAGACCAGCCTGGCCAACATGGTGAAACTCATCTCTACTAAAAATACAAAAATTAGCCGGGCATGATGACAGGTGCCTGTAACCCCAGCTACTCGGGAGGCTGAGGTGGAAGGATCCCTTCAGCTAGGGAGACAGGTTGTTGTGAACTGAGATCAAGGCACTGCACTCCAGAAAACTCCAGGCCAAGATAGGTAAATCAGTAAATGTGATACATAACATTAACAGAATGAAGGACAAAAACTATACGATCATTTCAGTAGACACAGAATGTACCTTAACAGAATAAAGTCACTATATGGAAATCCACAGTTAACATCATACTGAATTGGGAAAAGTTGAAAGCTTTTTCTCTAAGATCTGGAACAAGAAAAGGATGCCAATTTTTACCACTTCTATTCAATGCAGTACTGGAAAACCTAGCCAGAACGAACAGACAGAAGAAAGAAATAAAGAGATCCAAGTTGAAAAGGAGAAAGTCAAATTGTCTGTTTTCAGGTGACATAAAATTATATACAAAAAACCTTAAAGACCCCACTAAAAATAGTTAGAAAAAAATAAATAAATTCAGTAAAGCAACAGGAAAAATCATCACATAAAAATTAAGTGTTCTATACATCAGAAGTAAATCATGTAAAAAAATTAAGAAAGTAATTATATTATTATAGCTACAAAAAATAAATATAACCAAGGTGGTAAAAGACATCTACAGGGAAAACTATAAAATATTAATGAAAAAAATTGAGGAGAATACAAATAAAATTATATCCCATTTTTCTAGATTACAAGAATTAATATTTTTAAATGCCAATTCTACCAAAAGGGATTGACAGATTCAATGCAACCCCTATCAAAATACAAATAACATTTTTTATAGAAATACTGAAAACAATCTCAAAATTTGTATAGAACTTCAAAAGACCCTGAATATCCAAAGGTATCTTGAGCAAAAAGAACAAAATTGGAGGCATTATGCTACTTGTCTTTAAAATATGCTACAAAACAATGATAACAAAACAACATGACATAATAACATGATAAAAAACAACATGACATAACAATATCATAACAGAAACAATATGACACAACAACAAACACATTGACCAATGGACCATAATAGAAAATTCAAAAATAAATTCACACATTTCAGCAACTGATTTCAACAAAGATGCCAAGAACACACGGTATGGAAAGAGAGTCTCTTCAGTAAATGTCACAGGAAAAATTATACACCCACTTTAAAATGATGAAACTATACTAATCTCTCACCACTTACAAAAATCAATTCAAAATAATTTAAACCCTTAAATATAAGACCCCAAACTATGAAAATACTACAGGAACACACAGGGAAAAATTCTTCATGAGATTGATTTGGGCAGGGATTTTTTTAAACAAGACCTCAAAAGCATGGGAAACAAAAGTAAAAACAAATAAATGAGATTATTTCAAAAGCTTCTGCACAGAAAAAAAAAAAAAGGCAACCCACAGAATGGGATAACATATTTCCAAACTATGTATCTGACAAGAGGCTAATATTTAAAATATACCAAGAACTGAAACAACTCAAAAGCAAAAAATGAAAAATAAAATAAAAATAAAGAATCTCATTAAAAAGTGGGCAAAAGATTTGAATAAAAATATCAGAATCTCAAAAGAAGACATACAAATGGCCAAGTACATGGGAAAATTCTCAATATCACTTAACATTAGAGATATGCAAATCAAAACCACAATGAGATATTACTTTACCCCGTTAGAATAACCATCATCAAAATAACAATACAAAAACAGAAACAAATGCTGGCAAGACTGTGGATAAATGGGAACTCTTCTACACTTTTATGTGAGAGTGTAAATTAGTGCAGCTCTTATTGACAATATTATGAAACTTACTCAAAAACTTAACAATAAAACTGCAAAATAATCCAACAGTCTCATAGCTGGGTATATGTCCAAAAGAAAGGAAATCAGCACCTCAAAGAGATACCCGCATTCCCATGTTTATTGCAGCACTATTCATAACAACAAAGATATAACATCAACCTAAGTGTTCATCAATGGATGAAATGATAAAAAATATGTTGTATAAATATACAATGCAATTTAGCCATAAAAAAAGAACTAAGTCTTATCATGTATAACAACCTGGAAAAATCTAGAAGACCTTATATTAAGTGAAATAATCCAAGCAAAGAAGAAAAGTACCACATATCTGGCGTTTAAAAAAGATGATTTCATAGTAGAGAGTAGAATAGTGGTTATGGGAGGCTGGGGAGGGCAAAGGGCTAATGGGATAGGGAGAGGCTGGTAAATAGGTACAAAGTTACAGTTAGATATTAAGAATAAATTCTGGTATTCTTTGCAGGGTAGCAGGACTATCTTTAACAATAATGTAAAAACAATGAAAAGAGACACGGAAAGTCATTATATAATGATAAAGGGGTCAACTCAGCCAGAGGATACAACAATTATAAATTATATGCCCCAACACCGGCTCACCCAGAAATTAAAGCAAATGACATCAGAGCTGAAGAGAGAGATAAACCCTATACAATAATAGCAGGAGATGTCTATATTCCACTTTTAGCATTGGACAGATAATTCAGGCAGAAAAGCAACAGAGAAATATCTGACATAATCTCTACTATAGACCAAATAGACCTAATAGATATTTTAAAAACATGTCATCTAATGGCTACATAATCCACATTCTTCTCCTCAGCACATGGTTCATTCTCAAGCATAAACAATATTCAGGCCACAAAGCAAGTCTTAAAAATTCAAAAATTTGAAATTATGTCAAGTCTCTTCTCTGATCAAAATGGAAAAAAACTAGAAATCGATAACAAGAGGAATTTTGGAAATTATACAAACACATGGAAGTTAAGCAATGTTTTCCTGAATGACCAGGGTGTCAATGAAGAAATTTAGAAAGGAAATTAAACTTTCTTGGTACAAATAGTAATGGAAACACAACATACCTAAACCTATCAAATACAGCAAAAACAGTACTAAGACAAAAGTTTATTTGTAAGTGCCTACATCATAAAGATAAAAAGAAGGAAAAAAAACCCTTCAAATAAACAACGTAACAATGCATCTTAAAGAATTAGAAAAGCAAGAGCAAAGCAAATGCAAAATTAGTGAAATAAAATTAATAATAAAGATAAGAGCAAAAATAAATAAAATTTAAATGAAGAAAATAATACAAAAAATCAATGAAACTGAAACTGCTTGTTTGGAAAGATAAACAAAATTGGCAAACTTTTAGCCAGGCTAAGTAAGAAAAACAGAGAGAAGACCCAAATAAATAAAATCAGAGATAAAAAAGGAGACATTAGAACCAATACTGTCAAAAATTGAAAGAATCATAAGAGGCTACTATGAGCAACTACATGTCAATACACTGAAAAACCTAGAAGAAACAGACAAATTTCTAGACACATACAACCTACCAAGACTGAAGCATGAAGAAATCCAAAATCTGAACAGACAAATAAGAAGCAACAAGATCAAAGATGTAGTGAAAAAAGTCTCCAAGTAAAGAAAAGCCCAGGAACTGATGGCTTCCATTGCTGAATTTTACCAAACTTAAAAAAAAGAAAAACACAATAAATACCAATCCTACTCAAACTGTTATGAATAACAGACAAAAAATATATGCTTCCAAACTTATTCTACGTGGCTAGTATTACACTGATACTAAAACTAGACAAAGGCACGTATAAAAAAGAAAACTGTAGACTAATATCCTTGGTGAACATCGATGCAAAAATCCTCAACAAAGTACTAGCAAACTGGATTCAACAACACCTTAAAAAGATTCATCAGAACCTAGTGGGATTTATCCTAGCAATGCAAGGATAGTTCAACATATGCAAATCAATCAATGTCATATGTCATATCAACAGAATAAAGAATGAAAACCATATGATCATTTCAATTGATGCTGAAGAGCATTTGATAAAATTCAATATCTCTTTATGATAAACAACTTCTAAAAGCTGGGTATAGAAGGAACATAACTCAACACGATAAAAGTCATATATGTCACACCCACAGTATCATGCTGAATGGGGGATAACTGAGTCTTTCCTCTAGAATCTGGACCATGACAAAGATATCCCCTTTCACCACTGTTATTCCACATAGTACTGGAAGTCCTATCTAGAGCAATCAGATAAGAAAACAAAATAAAGGCATCCAGATTGGAAAATAAGAAGTCAAATTATCCTTATTTGCAGATAATATAATCTTATATTTGGAAAAACCTAAACACTTCACTAAAAAAAAAAAAAAAAAAAAAAAACCCTATTAGAACTGACAAAGTAAATTAGCAGGATCCAAAATCAACATGAAAATAACAGAAGCATTTCTATATGCAAACAGCAAGTAATCTGCAAAAGAAATGAGAAAAGTAATCCCATTTACAATAGCTATTAATAAAATAAAATACTTTGAAATTAACCAAAGAAGTGAAGGATCTCTGCAATGAAAAGTATAAGTCAAATTTAGGAAGAAATTTAACAGAACACAGAAAAAATGAAAGCTATCTCATGTTCATGGATTGGATGGATTAATATTGTTAAAATGTTTATACTACCCAAAGTAATTCATATATTCAATTCAATCCATTTCAAAATACCAATAACATTCTTCACAGAAATAGAAATAAAATCATAAAATGTATATGGAACCATAAAAGATCCAGAACAGCCAAAGCTCTCCAGAGCAAAAAGAAAAAGACTGAAAGAATCACATTCCCTGACTTCAAATTATACCACAGAGCTATAGAAACCAAAGCAGCATGATACTGGCAGAAAAACAGACACATGGACCAATAAAACAGAATAGAGAACCCAGAAACAAATTCATACACCTTCAGTGAACTGATTTTCAACAAAGGTGCCAAGAACATCAATTGGGGAAATGACAGTATCTTCAATAAATTATGTAAGGAAAACTGGATATTCTCATGCAGAGAAATGAAATTAGACACCTATCTCTCACCATATACAAAAATCAAGTCAAAATAAATTAAAGTCTTAAATCTAAGACCTCAAATTATGAAACTAGTAGAAGTCCATGTCTTCTCAAGAACACTGGACTGGGCAAAGATTTCTTGAATAATAATATACAAGCACAGGCAACCAAAGCAAAAATGGACAAATGGGATCACATGAAGCTAAAAAACTTCTATGCAGCAAAGGAAACAATCACCAAAATGAAGAGGCAACCCACAAAATAGGAGAAAATATTTGCAAACTATCCAGATGGCAAGGAATTAATAACTAGAATATATAAGGATCTCAAGCAACTGTATAGGAAAAAATGTAATAATCCAATGAAAAAATGGGCAAAATATCTGAATAGATGTTTCTGAAAAGAATATATATAAATGGCAAACACATTATTAAAAGGTGGTCAATGTCACTGATCATCAGAGAAATGCAAATTAAAACTACAATGAGATATAATCTCACCCTAGTTAATCTCACCCAAAAACAGGTAACAAATGCCGGAAAGGATGTGGAGAAAAACCCTTGTACATGGTGAGAATGTAAATTAATACAACGACTATGGCAGAAGTTTGCAGGTTTCTCAAAAAATAAAAATAAAAAAAACCCCTAAAAATAGAGATAGCATAGGAACAAGTAATCCCACTGCTAGGCATGTACTCCAAAGAAAGGAAATCAGTATATCTAAGAGATACCTGCATTCTCATGTTTTTTCCAGCACCATTCACAATGTCCAAGGCTTGGAAGGAACCTAATGTGCAACAACAGATGTTTGAATAAGGAAAATGTGGTATATATACACAGTGAAGTACTGTTGAGTCATAAAAAGAAATAAGACCTGTCATTTGCAACAACATAGATGAAACTGGAGGTCATTATGTTACATGAAATAAGCCAGGCACCGAAAGACATGCCTGGCTTTGCACGTTCTCACTTATTTCTAGGAAATAAAAATTAAAACAATTGTACTTGTGGAGATATAGAGTAGAATAATTGTTACCAGAGGCTGGGAAGGGTAGTAGGGTGGGAAGTTAAGGGAGATTAGTTAATGGGTTCAAAAATGAGAATGATTAAGATCTTGTATTTGATAGCACAACAGAGTGACTACAGTCAACTATAATTCATTGCACATTTTAAAACAACTAAACGAGTATAATTGAGTTGTTTATAACACAAAGAAAGCATAAATTATTGAAGTGATGGATGCCCCATTTATCCTGACGTAATTATTATATATCATATGACTGTATCAAGATATCTCATGTAAATTATAAATATATACATCTATGTCCCTGCAAAATTAAAAATAAAACAATGTTCTGTGTATATAATGAGCATCTATATAACAATATATGAGCATATATTGTATATGTATATATAATAATTTGTGAATATATGCATGAGCATATATATATAATGTGAATATATAGTAATACAGCAATGCACACAGATACATATATAAACTTAATTTTTTTATTAATTTTATTAATATATTTACCTAGTTTTTTAAAGAATCTCATTAATATCTAAAAAGTTACTCTTTTTGTAAAATCAGATTGCTTCAATGAGGATCAAATGACTTACTTTATAGGTTATATTGCCACCAAATATTCAATATGGGCCAACATTTATCAATTTCTTCTACACTTGAAGAAATGTGCAAATGTAAATTTGGATGTCATCATAATGAACCTATGTGGTAACGACAGAGAAAGAAAGGAAAAATCATTTGGGGAAAACAGACTGCAGAAGCAGCTTGCCTGAAAAGTCACAGCAAAAATTAAAACAACCTGGGAAAAATTAAACAACCTGGGAAAAAAACTCAGGCTGCACCTGCACACAGATAAGCAGACAAGGTCCAGCACAGAAGCCCATTGTTCTTTGTATAGCAAATTACTAGGAAAAAGTTTCCTCCCCTTTTCAGGCATATATACAGTGGGCTCCACGGAAACTGGCACAAGGAGGAGGGGGCTTACCTAAAACAAACATACAGTTATATAAACAAGAGAAGTGGCAATTTATGCTTGCCTAGAGACATACTCACAGCTGCATAAGATAAGGGGAGTTCCACAGACAGCTTTAGTGGTAAGAGAAGTTACTGAAACTGCTACAGAGATGAGAGGAGTTTCTTATAAAAAGCTTTTGAATTCAGCTATAACCTGGCATCCCACTTGGACTCCCCTCTTTACTGCAGACAGCTTTCTTCATTCGCTTATTAAACTTGCACTGCAACCTCACCTTTGTGTCCACGTTCCTTAGTTTTCTTGGACATAGGAAAAAGAACCCCGGATATTAGTTCAGAAAATGAGAAACTGCTACATTAAGGTGGATTGGGGAGACTGCAACAGTAGGAATTATTAAAGCCTCCATTTTACAGATGATGAACCTGGGACACAAAAAATTTTTAGTAACTCATCCAAGAGTATATATATCTAGTAAGGTGTTTGACCTTGAACCAACATACTAGATCAGGAGTCATAGAAATTTTTTCTGTAAAGGACCATGTAATAAATATTTAAGGTTTTGTGAGCCACATAGACTTCTGACAAGCGGTCATTTAAAAAAAAATTGTACTACTCTTTGAAAATGTAAAAATCATTCTATGCTTTCAGGTCAAACAAAATCAGGCAGCGGGCTAAATTTGTCCAGCAGTTCATACGTTGTAACTCTTGTGCTAGACTAAAATAAATTATTTCCTTTACCCCTGGTTATTTCTTATAATAGATTCTACAAAAGGATAATGAAATCTCATTATTTAAAGTTCTTTGTACTAAATTATTTGTTGTCTTTGTAAATTGGAGATACTATTACATTGTCTTTTACTTAATATTTGAGTAGTTTATTGTAATACAACTTTAATTATTAGGAATAATATTAAATCACCAAAGCTTAAATATTTGTTTGAAAATAATTTTCTTGAGATAAGGTGGAAATATAAATCTTAACATAAATATGTTATGGTCATGAAGGTGCTTTCATTCAAATAAGGGATATCTTAATGTTGATAATGTAAGACATTTTATAATATGCTTTTATGTGTATACAAAGATAGATTTTTTTTAATCAGAATAATCAGTAGTCCTTCAAATTAAATGCTTCAAGTAGCATTTTCAATTAGCAATAACTCTCTATGAATGTCCAGTTAAATATTTGAAACACTAAATATGATGGAACTTCTACTAGGTAAGATGTAATATTTACACAGTTTGAAGATTCCTGCTGGAGAAAAGAAGAAGCTTTGTGTTATGGAAACCAATTTTTTTTTAATAAACCTATGTTAGGCTAAGAATGTAAATTGTGTTTACTACTGATTGATACAGAGTAAACAAAAGTACAGTCAAGTGGGTATAACTAATCCTGAGAACTGAAGAGAAAACATATAAGCAATTAATTTTTTCTCAATTGGATAAATATTTAATATATAAAGAATGAAAAAATGTTCTGTGTTAGATTGTATTTCATATTTGTCTTTTTGGGTATAAATCAATTTCATGGCCATGCATATTTTATATAGACATTTTTTCAGGTTTTATATTTGGAATGCCCATGGCTTGGTCTTTGGTTTGTTTGTCCTTATGTATGAGCTCCAAATAATCTAATTTACTTTCATGACTTGAAACTCTGACTTCATACTGATAACCTATAAATTTACTTTTCTAGCTCTGCTTTCTCCAATAAAATCCATACTTCATACTGCCAACATTACACTTGACTTCCTTACTTGAGAGAAGTCTTCAAAATCTTAACATGGCCAAAATAAAGTTATTGATTTCCTTGTCCCAATCAGTTTCTAACATCATCTTTCCCATTCTAGTAACACATGAATTTTATCCCCTCGGTCTATCCTTAAACCTATGATTCCTCAGTTTACCTCACCTCCCGTATTCAATTCTTTAGAAAATCACACCAGCTTTACCTATTAAAAAAAGTCAGTTAACACCCTAGTTCAGAGAGTCATCATTTTTCCCCATAATACACAAGCGAGTTAAATATTTATGTGTTATTTCTGCTTCCAAAGTTAACTCAATTTTCCACATAGCAGTAAGAATGATTGTTTTAAAACGTTAATCAACTATGTAACTCCTCTGCTTAAAATTTGCCAATGTCTTCTCAAGAGATTAATAATAAAATGAGCAAACAAAAAACTTTCAATAAGTTTTACAGAAATTTAATGTATTGGCCCCATCAATATTGTAACCCCCCATGTATTCCCATGTTCTCTTTTAATAAATTGGATATACATATTCACCAGTCTTTCTGTTCTTTGATCTTATTGACTACATTCTATCCTTCCCTGTTGCATTAGCCTTTTTTACCTTTGCCTGAATTATTTTTTCTCCAAAACAGGTGTCCCATTTTACTCTCACTCACAGCATCTCAGCATTGTTTTTGCCAAAATTTTTCAACTTATCCTATTTGCTTAATTTTTTATTTTCATCAGTCCCCTCCCCAAATAAAATCTGATTCCAGATAAGCTGTTTGTTCTTTCCATTTCTTCATCTATTATGCCATTGAACAATAAAAAAATTCAATATGCATTTGGTAATATAATTAATCAATATATAAATGATAATAATACTATGCATTTAATTTTAAAAACCTATAGTTTATAGCACAATACTGTGTAGACTGCATATGGCCACAGATTTTTTGTATCTCCTTCTATTCAGCGGAAGAGCCTATGTTATCATCTGTTAAAACTGGTCTGGCTTTGTTACTGGTTTTAACTGTGTGTAACAGAAGTTATTTCTTTTTAGTTTCGGAGTTTAGGCTTCAGGAGGCCTTACAATTTCCACCTATGTTCTCATGAAACACTATCTTCAGATCACTGTGGAAGAAAGCTGGATAAGCACAATGGAAGATAAGAACCTATGTGAACACAGCACCAATTCCCATACATGACAGTCAAGCCTTCTGCCCAACTAACCTTCCGACACAGTCACATTCCACTGAACGCTGCTGCCTGAGATGTTCAAGGGAAAACTGATTTAAAAAAAAATTATTCTAGCTCACATATATATCAATTATGATAATGTGAAGCTCTTACATTTGAGGTAGTTTGTTGTACAGTAATACATAACTAATGCAGAAATTAATACCTAGAAGTAGGGTGCAGGACATTAAATCTAAATATAGGGGACATTGACTTTGATACCATATAGCAGACTGTGGCTGGAAAGGCAATAAGAAGAGTGTAAATGTGATATTTTGGAACACTTGGACTTGGGGGGAAAAAAATCCTGTAAGTGACCAAAAAGCAAAAAGAGTGATAGAAACTGGAGAAAGAAGAAACAAAGTTGTGTGGTTGCAGAACAACTGGCAATTTGCAATGATGTCTCTGATAACATGGCAGGTGGCAAAAAGTACCCAAAGAACTTATGAATCTGGATCAAGAGAGCTCTAGAGAGATTACCTAAAGAAGGAGAGACTCTGTTTGTGAGCAGAACTTAGAGGTTATACAGAAGGCCCAGGATGTGTTGGGCTTGGAAAATAAAGCTATTTCATAGTTTCTGTTTCTCCGTGAAGCAGATTTTTAAAGAAATACATGGTATCAGAGCAAAATCATATTATACTGTGGCTATCCAGATCTTTGTTAAGACCTCAGAAATACGTAGGGTGCTAGGTCCTCCTTAGAAGACTTACAGGAACATTAATGGCTTTGTATCAATCCAGTCTCAACCAAACCTAATGGAGACAGAAGAAGTTTTAGGGTACATGTGCACAACGTGCAGGTTTGTTACGTATGTATACATATGCCATGTTGGTGTGCTGCACCCGTTAACTTGTCATTTAACATTAGGTATATCTCCTAATGGTATCCCTCCCACCTCCCCCCACCCCAAAATAGGCCCTGGTGTGTGATGTTCCCCTTCCTGTGTCCATGTGTTCTCATTGTTCAATTTCTACCTATGAGTGAGAACATGCGGTGTTTGGTTTTTTGTCCCTGCGATAGTTTGCTGAGAATGATGGTCTGGGCTCCAAATTTCTTTAGGCAGGAAGGGAGCTAACAAAGCTGCATGATTGCAAATATAGTACATTTCTTATCTAAAAGGAAATGTCTCTCAAAGGATAGATCTGGGAACCCTGAGGGCAGGACCAAGAGCTCAGGTTAACAATGGATTTGGAAACCATAGCCAGATAGGAGAGTTTGTGGAATTGACAATAGGTTTTTGGCTGGATATCAGATCTTTTGTTAATCAGTGGCGTCCATGTGCGTATCTTCTTCCTCCTTTTGAGTCATAGTGTCTATTGTGACTACGTGTTCCTGTCTCCCCAAACTAAGTTGGATGTGTGGGGGAAAACTTTCCTTTATAATTTAAAAGCTTCTGATCCAGAAGAGCCATGCCTGAAGATTCTGATCAAAAGGGATTGATCTGTATCATGGTCAGAGAAAATATGGTAATAATATAGGGTTGGAGCTTAATGCCATTTTTGGAAGAATCTTGGTTGACTAAGTATTTTTCACGTGTTGGCTAAAGGGCACACTGCGATAGATTAAATATGGCCATTAATTCTTTCAAATACTTTCTTGGAAGAAATGGGATCTATTTATTCACACTTTGAGTTTGGCCGAACTTGTGAATTCATTTTACCAATAGCATGTGACAGAAAAGACATCATGAGTTCTAGAATCTCGCAGTTCCTCTACGGCTCTTGCTGATTTTGTCAACATCCATTTGGAATACTGACCTGAGACCACCATGCAAGGATGGTGACCTAGATCATTTGAGGATAAAAGGCCACATACATAGGATCCAAGTGATGCCAGCTGACATCTAGCCAGAACCAACTGCCACACACGTGAATAAAAAATACAGGACTTTTCATTTCATCTGACTCTTTTGCTGATTGCAGCTGCAAGAGTGAACCCATGGAAGTCCTGCAGGAATCACCCAGGCAGCCCACCAAAGCATGAGAAGTAATAAGCAATAAATTTTCATCTTAACCTACTAAGTCAGAAAGAGTTTTCAATGCAGCAATATATAACTGTCAGGCATTAAGTTATTAGGTAATGATTTTTTATCTTCATTTAGTGATATAAGTATCTAGAAATTCTAAGAATGAACTTATTAAATATTTTAATATTTAATTATTAATTGTTTTAAATGTTTTAAATTATTAAATGTTTTAATTTAATTATTATTAAATTGTTAATATATTAAATTATTAAATGTTTTAAAAATTGTTTTTACCATCAGCTAACGTTGGATTCTTATATTTAATAAATATAGGCCCTTATATTTAATAAATAGGGTTACTGCTCAATTTTTTTATCCACAAATATGTATTGAGTGCCCACCATAGTCTGCAGAAACTGTGCTGGTGAAGCTGGAGCTAACACAAATCAAGAAATACAAATATTTTACCTTTACTAAGAACAAAAGACCCCATTACCCTTTCAATATAATTCCTGACATAAGTAGTCCTGCCCAGTGGAGCAATTTTTCTTAATGAAACAATTCAGCAAAATATTTTCTCTTCAGCTTCCCTTTAAACATTGGCATTATGTGCATCACCCAGGCACATGATGGATTAGTGCAATGGAAGACAGGAAAAAAAAAGGAGCATAGAGGAGAAATGAACATTCTCTTAAGGATCAGACATGGAAGTGATATCCATCATCTCCAGTTATAAACCACACACACACACACACACACACACACACACACACACATACAGAGGCACACACACATATATATATGCAGTGGACCCTTGAACTGCAGGTTTGAACTGCACAGGTCCACTTATATACAGATTTTTTTCAACCAAATGCAGATGCAAATTATAGTTTTTAATGGATGTGAAACCCACATTTAAAGAGAGCCAGCTTTGTATTTAGGTGTGTTCTACAGTGCTAACTATGAAACTTGAATATGTGGATTTTTGGAGACTTTGGTGGAGTTCTGGAACTAGCCTCGCCACAGTCTACCAGGGAATGACTGTACACACACACACACACACGCGCGCACGCACACACACACACACATACACACACGCACACACACGCGCATGCACACACACACCCACATACACACACGCACACACACATGCACACACACATGCACACACATATATATATAATTTTATGTTATGCAGATTTAAGCTTGATTGAAGGATCTTACTTAGTTATTTGTAGTTAAGACTCATCCTAATTGGGGAAACTAATTATTTTCATTAATGTGGAAAACTGCTACTCAAGTTAGAGAGAGGAATATTTAAAAATCAAATAATTGTCAATCTTGTCCTTAAGTATTAAATATGTGTTATGCATATATCTTTACACAGACACATTTACTTATAATTATATATGCATATAGCTATTTAGTTATTTTTAATATATTTATATATTTTAATATATATTAATAGACAGACTGGAATATAAAGGTAAGGAAGCCTGTATTTAATTATTTGCCATAATATTCACTGTCTTGTGAACTATGTCAGGTAAAGAACGTCAGGAACAACAGTAATTATTTTGCAGTAATGCAGTAAAATGGAAAGTGTGCTGGTTATATAGCATGCGTTAAAAAAAAGGTCTTATAAATCAGTATAAATGAGCATACTGGTGAAATGATAAGACTATGTTCTGAGAAATAGCTTAGAAGTTATATAGGCTAAACCAATATCCAAATGAATCCTTACAATCACCTTCCTTTACATATTCTGTCCTTTACAACCAAAAGCAAAATAATTCACTGAAAAACGTGCTCTGCAATGCACAAAAAGTATATTAAGTGTGGAAGAGAGGTACATAAACCTACTGCCTTCATATTAGTGTTTCTTCCAGCTTTATTGCAAATATCTGATAATGTTGAAAAAATAGCAAAAGAATAAAAAGTATCATTTACATCTTTATTAATAACAATCTCAGGAGATGCTGTAAAACCCATGCAATATTAAAATTTTGATCAATATTGTGTCGTAGCAGGATTCATATATAAGGAATGGAGAAATCCAGGTTCTGAGAGTGCTTTGTAGCTTCATTAGCTATACAAATCCCATCACACCTGCTTGATGAATCATCAGGCATACATTTTGACAAGTTCTGAAACTCTCCGAATATTAATTTTACATTCTTGAAAACAATGACAAGATATTAGAGGATCTTTGTGGAACTTTCTAGTTCAGAATTTTCAGGGATGTAGGTATGACTTAAAATTTTATAAGACCAATTTTCTAAAGGAAAAACATTCTCCTTCTACCTCTCATGGAGGTAGATTGTAACCACGTATGAGTTCCCAGACAAAAGCTGAGCCCAGATAGCTGTGCATCCTCCATCAGCCTGATTAGGTCCTTACAGTCATACCCAAATAGACAAATTGGTGTGGCCACATAAAAAGGTTTCTGTTTATGACTGTGAAGTCAAAGTTAATTCATGCTATTCATATGTCTGAAGAACTGCAATTTAGGCAACAAATTATGCTTGTTAGTGAGAAAAGTTGCGTTTTGTGTGGTGACATCTAAATGTATCATTGTATTGTAATTATATTTCTATTAACATAGACTATGAAAAACATACACCTATTACTTATTTACTTATTTTGTTGTTAGTGGTGGTTGTTTTTTTGTGTGTGCGTGTGAGAGGGTCTCACTCTGTTGGGCTGGAGTGCAGTGGCGCCTCTCCACTCACTGCAAGCTCTGCCTCTTGGGTTCAAGTGATTCTCGTGTTTCAGACTCCAGAGTAGCTGGGACTACAGATGCATGCCACCATGCCAGGCTAATTTTTGTATTTTAGTAGAGATAGGTTTTTCACCATGCTGCCCAGGCTGGTCTCGAACTTTCGGCCTTGAACTTCCAGCCTCAAGTGATCTGCCAAACTCGGCCTCCCAAAGTGCTGGGATTACAGGCATTAGTCACTGCACCCTGCCACATATACCTTTAACTTAAATCTAGAATTCTTCATTTTTGTATCCAAGACTCAAAATAATTATAGTACCTAATGCTTCATCGAAGGTTTTCCACATCACCCTGACTCTTCTTCACGTGTGAGTCTAATTTCCTAAGTTTTCAAGGATAGTAGAGTGTGCTTAGGACATATGGCTATGAAATTACAATTATATTTTCATACAACTCAATTTTCAATCAACTCAATCATTTATTATGATTGATGAAAAAACAAAAAATCAAGATTTATGTAAGAAAATCATGGAAGCCTTGAAATTCCAATAGTGAAGAGCAAAATGATGGCTAGATGTTGAGTAATAGCTTTTCATAGAATTCATTCTCTGAATCTAGACATTTGAAAGGAGCCTAATACACATAACTTTATTTTAAGAAAATAAAATATCACTTCTCATTTCATAGTCTGTAACTATATTAAATATGTATTTAATTTCTCATTTCTAAATAAAAATCTTATTTCATTGATAAGAAACTTTTGAAATCTTAAGCAATTTTTCCAAAAGATTGAAACTAATCAAAAGCATTCCAAAAACTTAACCTAGTCTTTTATATGATTTTACTTTAAATATTTTCAAAACTTTTCCATCTTTTGTCTAGACTGTACTAAGTATTACCCCAACAAGATCACAATTTTCTGAATTGAAACGATGTCACTTGTGATATTAAAAATGGGATATATTTTATTCAAGAGTCTATGACTTGCATCTTATCTTTAGGTGCCCATTATAATCAGACTCACTGGTGCTGCCATTTATAAAATATTTATACATCTAAAAAGCAAATTTGGAATGACTACTAGAAGAAGTTGTCATAAAAAAAAATCGTCTAACTAGCTTTTAACCCTTTAAGTAGAGTTTGAAATAAGAGTATGACCAAGTAGAAATATAATTTCTATAAGTAATTTTTTATTAATAAGTTTTCCCAGTGGGTTATTTATTGAATGATAATAAATAGTACACTAAACTGAGGACTTGTTTTATAAAATCTGTTAAGAGAAATTTCTGATTAAACTTTTTTAATAGAAAATTGTGTATTTTTAGTGCTTCATGATTTCAGGGAATTATATGAAAACATGTATAAACTGAACATCATTTATATATGTACAAATATATTTTATTGCTAACAAGATACTATTAATAATACAGATTAAAACATATTTAAACCAGTTAATTATATCAAATTGCCTAAAATAAGACTTGTTTGTATTTTAAAGTTATTTGTGAAATATTGTTCTTCTGTTTCTATGTGTCAAAATAATACTAACATAATTTATCAATTTACATGTTTAAAATAAATTCAAGTTGCTTGGGTATAGATAGAAAAAAATGAGTTCAATAAAAAGGAGGTATTAGACACTGAAATTTAACAACACCGTATACCATGTACCAAACTTCAGTCAATATGTGTGAGTCTAAAATGTGTCAGGAGTAGTGGATTGGCAAATTCAGGGAATTATTAAGATTTAGGACTTGTAGGAGTTTGGACAACATAGTACCAAAGCATTGGGGTGTCTGGCTTCTGGATAAAAACCTATGTGTGATTTTTCAGGCCGAATCATAAGTGATTATGAAGGCTTTCTCTGGCAGACCTCATGGAGGAAGCTGCCCTGCCCTCTCCATACTAGTGCATTACAATCTCAGCTTCAGTCAAGGACTCAGATTCCTCTGGCTATTCATACTCTTGTCCATATCTGCATTTGTAACCCAGGAGCCTTCATTTGGAGCCCTCTCTACTGGGGAAAGGAGGCTTTTGGCAGAGGCCTTATCGGGCTCCTCTGCCTCAGGACTTAGTACTTTTCTACCCCTAGTCTGTCTGCCTTTCCCTCCTCTTCCCCGGCCCATAGGTCTGAAATATCATACAAACCTTTTTTTCAGGGCTCCTTCTGCGGTGAGAGGCTCCTTATGTCTTTGTGCTGATCTGCCTGATCCTTGATTAGAAACATGCCACAGGGAAAAATGGGATGACTGCAGGGTGTGGGAGGTGGGGAAGGGAGATGGTACTGTCTCCAGTTTAGTCTCTTGCAGTAAGTGATTAAAGACTTGACAATTGTTTTTGTTTTGGCTTGTTCTCTTAATCAGGTACTCCAATGTTTGGCAGCTCAGCTGTCTCCAGCTCAGTTGAACTCTGAACAGACACCTGAGTTTGTGTAATATAAGATAAATATAATTTATACAAGTTGAGAAGATATGCTTAAAAAACATCAATGCATACCTTAAAATAAAACATATAAACAAAAGAGGGTACATTAATCCCATTACAATGTCTGTATATAATGAAGAGTTTTGGAGTCAGAAATCCAAATAAAGGAATAAATAAATAAGACAAGAGAGCAACTTTGTGAGGAATAGTAATGACAATGCCATGAACAGGAGGCTGTGATTATCTCAGCCTCCAAAACAGAAAGTGGGGGAAGGGGAAAGGCAAATAACAAAAGTTCTACTCATTATTTTTTTGCTTAGGACTTTTCCTCATACCCATGCTCTTCCCTGAAAGAAATTCAACTTAGTCTTAAGGATTAACTTAAATGTTTCCTTTTGATAAGGCTTTTTCTTTATATTTCACTTGAAATTGCATTCCTCTATGCAAATATATATTCTATAGCATATTCTACTTTTATAAACGCACATCACTCATAATACACACACACAACACACTCATAATAACTTTTGTTTTAATGTGCTTATTTGTCTCCATCCTTCCATGGAGGGAGAAATTGTATTTCTTTTGCTAAGTATTAAACTTCTTCTGCCTATCAATCACAGTGCTTGAAAAATAGATTTCAAATGAATTAATGATTCAAGCAATGAATTACTATAGGTTATAAATCAAAGAAGTTTCCACCTCTCCTTTCTATGAGAAAATGTGTATGGTTTTCTTTTTTGAGGTATGTAACAAAAAATGGTTATGTGAAAATGATTTACATATTTTTTCTGCCTTCTGTCTACATTTCCCTGAGAAAAACCTTTCTCTAACTGAAAAATTAGGGTTTTGAATTTGAAGATCTAAAGTTACAGTCGATAATGGCCATTACACTACTAACTTGCACATGAAGTGGTGTTTTGGTTCCTAGTCTTTTCTTTATAATGGCAATGATTTTAAACCTAAAAAGGACTACTTGAGGTAGTTGCATTTAAAATTTAAATTTCATTTCCATCGAGATATATGTCGAAATCTGTTCCCTTTTCTTTTGTTTTCCATTTCTTTGTAATGGATATATATTTTTTCCCTGCCTGGGTAATTTTCTCACAGGTATTTGTATTCTTCTGCTCTAGATTTTACAAGAGAGTTCCGACCATCCTAGAGAATGTTATTCTTACAGAAATGATGCTTGGTAAAAGTTTGAAAGATCTCTACCACATACAGATGTTTGTATTTGAAAGCTCTCTTACAGTGTGTTTTGGAAAAAAGTCACTGGTGCTGTTGATCAGTCTACACATTTATTATGCCAGAAATGTGTTAAATAATATATCTTCACTCTTATGGTTCCATTTATAATTGTACAGATGTTTCTTTTTCCCATAAAATCAATTAAATAATAATTCATATTAAACAGCAATTTTTAAAAATTGAATCACCACTGGATCCAGGAAAAATGAACATTTATTTTATTTCTCTATTAGAAATTTGGATGCAAGTAGATTTTAGGATAAAAATAATAAGGAGAACTTCTTAGGAGAATTACATTTCTTCTAAAAAATAAATAAGCAGAAATATGACTGTCTTTGTGATGGAATAATACACCTTCCCTCTGTAAATGTCAGAAAATAATAATTTTCTTTCAAAAGTTTTTTTTTTCAACAAATCATAGAAAGCAAAGAAAATAAAAATCCTCAAAATAAAGCAAATATATGCTTTTACAATATTTTATAATATATTTTAGAGCATTTTAGGCCACTTTAGAGCACTCTATATTTTTATCATACAGTAAGCAGATTCAAAAGTGCTTATAAAATGCATACTAACAAAGATGAAAAATTCAATTTAAAAAAGCTGAAACCTTAATAAGGAAGGAAGCTATTTCTAAGCAATTAATCTAAGTGCTCTGTGTCTCGTGTCAATTAATCTTCCTGTGTTAGGAGTTATTAAAAAATTATTTTAGGCAGATAGAAAGGAAAAGGGGTCCTTTGGAAATTTTCATTTTTTAAAGCATCTCCAGAAAAGTTTCTTGTAAAGCCCCAGCTCTTAGAGCCAGGCTGGCAACCTTTGATATGCAAATGCCAGCAGTTAAAAGCTGAGTTCACCCAAACATGGCGATTTCCACAGCCTTCTTGTCCTTTCGCCACAGGATCCTGGCAACATGACTACCCTCACATATCCCCAGGTATGTGGAACACCGTGGTGCCCTGCCTTTGCATATTAAAAGGCTAGGAAAGAGGACCAGCTTTTTCACAGGCTATGTGAATGACATGCCTGGTCAAACCAGTCCCCTGAGCCCTATGCAAATCAGACACCGCCTCCTCCAGCCTCTGTATATATACCTGGTTGGCGTCCACTGCACTTGGGGTCCGTCTCTCAGCTTTGGAGCCCCCCTCCCTCTGTTTCTGTAGAGGGGAACTTCTTGCTTTCTTCCCCTTTCTTTCTTGCCTACTAAACTCCCTGCTCCTTAAAACTACTCCACCTGTGTTGGTGTCGTTTTTTCTAATTCGACTCCAGAGAAAGAACCTGGTGTTCTCCACTCATCGGAGCTGTATCATTCCCAGCAACATCCCCCCTTATAGGCCTCCTCAGCCCATATTAAAAAATTAGGAATTGAGGCTCAGATTATTTAATTTGTTCAAGTCAAATGGACCTGAGAAGTTTCAAGACCACTATTCTAACCAAGAAGTATGGGATTCCCTCCTCTCTGTCGTCTATATACATCTAAGGCTCTGTGCAATCATACATTCAGTCAAGAGATGTTTACTGAGTCTCTTTTATGTTTAACATATTGTTCTCTTCACCAGAATAGCATAGTGAGAGATTCAGTTTTGTGGGCCTACCTTCTCTCTTGTGAAATTGCAGAGAATTGGGTAATTCCTCTTTATTAATGACCTTCCCCAAACTTGATTCTGGACAAACATGGCATCCATGTAGTCAGAAATGCATAAACGGACACATAATATTTATTTTTCTTTTATTGTATATAATTTCCTCACTATTTTTAAAAATAACATCAAATGATTGTCATTAAACCAATGAATTCTCTCACATTTGTTGGGCAAATGTGATCATTAAACAGCTCTCTGACTTTATGTCTGCAGAGAGCCACAAGTTTATGTTATCAAGTACTCTCTATTGCTGGAGATGTTAAAATATCACTCAGAAGGCAGCTGGGTAAGGGCTTTTAGTTTACAAATTGACATGACTTTCTCACTGTAGTTCAAATTGCTTTGAAGTTTTAAGCGAAATAAAAAAATATAAAGAACCAGTTCATCTTCAATAGGATAATAGTTGAAAGCTTAGTGCATTCACCAGTCACTATTGCCAAAAAGCTTTCTGCCTTCTCTTTCTCTACAGATCATCCAGGTGATGCATCTTTGTCCAGCATACAGCATAAAATAAATGCAGGTCAAGTGCTGGATTTTAAAAACAGCCATAGGTCAATTATCTGATGTATTTGTTTGTTGTGACTCTCACTCATACATGAAAAATAAATCATCCACCTGGAAATTTGATAGAAAATCTGTATTATACACTGAAAGACAGGTATCTATAAAACATACATTTTCTTTGGAATCTAGTTATCCATGGCTAAAATTAAAAGCAAATGCAGACAAATTGTATTGCTTTTCAAATTATGCTTCAGTCTATTTGCTTATTTCAGTTTCAATCAGTTAACTATAAAGGAACATATTGCAACTAAAGACAAGCAACTTATTTTTTAGACATAAAATAATTGCATAATTTTGCATAACTGAAAATTATTTGTCTTTATGCATCATTATTATTTTGATTCAGAAGTTCCTTTAACACATTACAGTACAACAGCCGAATAAATCTGTAGCTACAGAACAATATAACGGTACCAAAATATTTAAGAGTGATAAAATAAATTTTATACTAATCACAGCATCCACTTTTAGAACATTAAAAAGTTTAGTCACATTTAGAAAATGAAGCATTTAGGACCTTCCTATTCTCTCTTGTCTTGTTGGAACTAATAAGAATGCATGTGAAATCTACCAGATGAACTCATTATAAAAGGCAGGTGAAGGACTTGTCAATGCAGGGCCTGATCTGATCTTAAATAACTAATTAAGCCCACAGCAGTTTAGTTTGATATCTGAGTTTGTGTTTCCTTAATTTACAACTAACAAGAAAGCTCACACATAAACCTTAAGGTTATCAGTGTGTTTACTCATATTTTTTTAAAAAAAACAATATACTTGACCTTTTATTGATTGATTTCTTGTTAATTTTCACTGTTATTTATTTAGTAATTTATATTTTCAAAGCATTTGAGCCACTGCCTCAATGTCAACATGTAAGCATAATTGTCATATATCGTCATATTAAAATTAGTTTGTGTCAAACCTGAAGCAAATCTCTCTACCTCCGAATATCGCAGTACTCTTAGACCTTATTGATCCATATTAATAAATATAACATTAAAAGTGACTTCCAGCTGGGCACAGGGGCTCACATCTGCAATCCTAGCCCTTTGGGAAGAGTTCAAGATCAGACTGGGAGTATTAGACTGTTTTCACCCTGCTGATAAAGACATACCCAAGACTAGGAAGAAAAAGAGGTTTAATGGATTTATTGTTCCACATGACTGGGAAGGCTTCACAATCATGGTGGAAGGCAAGGAGGAGCAAGTCACGTCTTACATGGATGGTGGCAGGCAAAGAGAGAGCTTGTGCAGAGAAACTCCCATTTTTAAAACCATCAGATCTTGTGAGACTTATCAACTATCATGAGAACAGTGAAGTAAAGACCTGCCCCCATAATTCAATCACCTCCCACGACATGTGGAACCTGTGGGAGTTACAATTCAGAATGAGATTTGAGTGGAGACATAGCCAAACCATATCACCGGGCAACATAGGGAGACCTTGTCTCTATAAGAAATTTAAAAATTAGCTAGGCATGGTGGTGTATGCTTATAGTCCCAGCTACTTGGGATGCTGAGGTGGGAGGATCACTTGAGCCCAGGCCTTTGAGGCTACAGCAAACCATGACTGTGCCACTGCACTCCAGCCTGGGCAACAGAATGAGACACTTTCTAAAAACAAAACAAAACTAAACAAAACACACCAAACTTTCCTCACATTCACCTCATACATCTTTCTATTTCTATCGGTCCTCAAGTTTGAGTTCATAGGTGAATGTGTATGCATCCATTCCAGCAATAATTACATCATAACTCTTAGTATTTTTCTTACATATATATATATACATATATATGTAAGAAAAAATGTATATATAGCAATCACTGTTTATGAACTATATTCTACAAACAAAAACAATGTGTAAATTATAGGGGAAATATTTTTAATTAATACCTGATTTTTTTTATTAAATGGTGATTGTAGTGATGTTGGTGGCTGTGTTTGTGATGTCAGAGGCATTAGAACTAGAGTGACTCCATCTTGCATAGGGGTTGGGTAAAATGAGGCTGAGACATGTTGGGCTACGTTCCCAAAAGGTTAGGCATTCTTAGTCACAGGATGAGATAGGAGGTCAGCAGAAGATACAGGTCACAAAGAGCCTGCTGATAAAATAGTATGTAGTAAAGAAGCTGGCCAAAACCCAGCAAAACCAAGATGGTGATGAAAGTGACCTCTGGTCATCCTCACTGCTCATTACATGCTTATTATAATTCACTAGCATGCTAAAAGACATTCCCACCAGTACTATGACAGTTTACAAATGCCATGGCAACATCTGGAAGTTACCCTAGATGATCTAATCCTCAGTTCCAGGAAATCCCCACCCCCTTCCCAGAAGACTCATGAGTAATCCACCCCTTGTTAGCATATGATCCAGAAATAGCTTTAAGTATACTCAGTCAAGCAGCCCATGCTGCTGTTCTGTCTACAGAGTACCCATTCTTTTATTCCTTTACTTTCTTAATAAACTTGCTTTCACTTTACTCTATGGACTCGCCCAAATTCTTTCTTGCGTGAGATCTAAGAACCCTCTCTGGGGTCTGAATCAGGACCCCTTTCTGGTAACAGTAGCTCTGATAGTAGTAGTTAATAATTTAATGTAGAAAGAAAAGAAAGAAGTAAAAGTAGGAGAAGAATTAAGAAGAAAAGGGAGAAGGGGAAAATAATGGAACAGACGAGGGGAATGAGAAAGAAAAAGATGGAGAAGGAGTAAAGATAAATTAAAATGATAAAGTAACAGCAGCAAATGGCTTGCTTAATAGCAATTATTAGCCATTAAAAAACAGTGTAGGCGGGGCGCGGTGGCTCATGCCTTTAATTCCAGCACTTTGGGAGGCTGAGGCGGGCGGATAGTGAGGCCAGGAGTTTGAGACCAACCTGGCCAACATGGTAAAACCCCGTCTCTACTAAAAGTACAAAAAAAATTAGCTGGGCATAGTGGCGGGCTCCTGTAATCCCAGCTACTCAGGAGGCTGAGGCAGGAGAATTGCTTGAACCTGGGAAGATGGAGGTTGCAGTGAGCTGAGATTGCGCCACTGCATTCCAGCCTGGGCAATAAGAGCGATACTCCATCTCAAAAAAGAAAAAAAACAATAGGGTGTAAATATGTTCGTTAACAATCTGGTACCATTTAAGTAATTAAATGTACATGCAAATAATTCTTTACATTCAAATTCAAGAAAACTGTTTATGTTATATCAGTATGCTTTCTCAGTTGATTACAATTTGTTTTATCTAAATATTTTTTAATGTCTTATGGAATTTATTACTTTTTTATTAGTATACTTTGCTTGTGCTTCTACATTTCAATGTAGCTCATTCAATAAAGAAAGATGTTCGAGATTTTTAATTTTACTGTTGTAGTGGGGCATTTTCAGCACTCTGCCCATATCCATCATGTTTCCTCATACTATTTCTAAGTCCTCTTCCATGTGCTTTCACTTCCAAGGGCCTCATTTACTACTCCTCTTAGGAGGACTGTCCTGTTCTAGTAGAAGAGCAGATAGCTAGCCATGCTTCGGACTTAAGTTCCCCTGGAGCCTGACTCCTTTGCCAGACAGACTCTGTCGGCAACAGACTCTGGGGCAAAAATTACATTCCAGCATCTTGCTGATGCCCGTTGAAGTTCCTTCATGGGAACTTGACCTAAGAAAACTGTAAAATGAATAAATGAATTCAGCAATTGATTTTTTGGATTTTGTGTGTATATGTATGTGTGTGTGTGTGTGTGTGTGTGTGTGTGTCTGTGTATGTGTAAGCCAATATTTAAAAAATTGTATCATGAAGAACAGAAAGTATTTGAGATAAACACATGTAAAACCCAAGCTGATTTAACATTTTTTTCTCAGTTATTGATGTGAGTGTTTTGGGGCTGTGTTTATGCATGCATGTGTGTGTTGTGTGTGTGTGTGTGTGTGTGTGTTTTCAGTGACTGAGGGGTAGAGAGGTGAGTTGTTAGCTTTATTATTACTACAAAATACCCTAAAAGTAGAAACATTACATTTGGAAATTGAGAGTTATGAAAAGGTTGGCATAAATTATGATATCTAGTATATGGCATGAGTAAAATTTAATTATTATTATGAAAAGGTAAAAGAATTAAGTCATTTTAAACAGAGTTATGAGTCATATATATGTGTGTATATGTGTAATATTTATATAAATAACCGGACTTAAATCTGTGTTCACACCATACAATGTGCCATAACTACATATATATATACACACACAGATTATATGTATATATACAGTTTATATATATAAACAGTAGATATTTTGATAGAATGAAATATAAGTGAACTTCCTTCCTTGCTTGTATATGGAGACATAAGCATGGAAAATTTGTCTCCTCAATTTCTAATTTTAAAGTTTTTATAAATTATTTTTTACCAAACTCACATTGAAATAACATTATTAATGTTTGCATTGGCACAGTCTATAAAAACAACTATTTGAACTTACACATGCATTCTCTATTAGGAAATGTAAACCAAAAATGAAATTCTAAGTCCCCCAGTCATCTGAATGGGTCCCTCCTGTCAGCCAAGGGTATTTTCATTAATTTGAAAAACTAGTTCAGGCCGTGATGAGAAGTAGAGGTCATGCCTCACAGCTGACCATCATTAACATCAACACGGATACCTTAAGACTGGTAGAAGAGACTCTTTAAGTCTTATAAGAAACACTTACAGTCTATACTCTCTGAAGCCTGCTGCCTGGAGACTTCATCTGCATGATAAAACCTTGGTCTCCGCAGCCCCTTATCCTAACCCAGACATTGCTTTCCATTGATTTCAGGTCTTTAGATATAACTCTTTCAAAAAATTGCCAATCAGAAAAATCTTTGAATCCACCTATGACCTGGAAGCCCCCACTTCTAGTTGTCTTGTCTTTCTAGACAGAACCAATGTATTGATTGATGTCTTATGTCTCCCTAAAATGTATAAAACCAAGTTTTAGTCCAACCACCTTGGGCACTTGTTTTCAGGATCTCCTGAGGGCTCTGTCTGTGTTTGGCTCAGAATAAATCTCTTCAAATTTTTTGCTGAATTTGACTCTTTTCACTGACAGAAATTTGGAGTCATATGGTTCACATCAATTAGTTTTTACCCAGGAATGGTGAAGGACAGGCTTCTAACTTGCACTGCAATTTTAATAAGAAGGAAAAAATTATTTACCCTATGTAACAAGGAAGTCCGTAGTAAAGCTGGCTTCAAACACAGCTGGATCTAAAACATAACATGTATTATTGGGGCAATATTCCTTTACATCTCTGAGCTCTGCTTCTCCTACCCTGCTTTCAAACCCTTTGATCTAATTCTCAAGAAGGCTGTTTCTAGGCAGTGGTAGAAATGGTAACAGGCAGCACCAAACTTATATTCTAACAGTTAAACAATTCTTTCGAGAGTTTGTGTCTTTTTTTCTACAAGCTCAAAATAAAACTCACATACAATTGTATTATTCAAGAGATCACATAGAGATTTAATAGAGATTTAATCATTATATCGGGGGCCTGTGACTCTGATGGGCCAGGTCTGGGCATGTACCTAACCTAACCTAAACCATATACATTAAGAATTGGAGAAACTTTATTATCAGAAGGGAAAAGGAACATCAAATAGATAAAAGCAAAAAGTATTTTGGACATTGTCAGAACTAGGATGCTACCAGGTTAAAGTCCCTTCTTAAAGTTCCCAGATAAAATTGTTCTCAGGCATCCAACAAATTGATTGGAGGGCAAGCAGAAGTCACAAAGGAGAATTCCAGGAAATAGAAGAAAAGGGTCAATGAATATTGACTCCTTCTAAGTTGGTGTGTTCAATCTTACTGAGAACATGTGCACTCGAGGGAAGCAGATAAGACTGAAGCACAGTTTCTTTCAAACTCTAAAATGACACTCCTTATCCGCTTTATTCATGCTTTCCTCAATTATCTTTATGTACAATGTTAATTGTAACTTACTACAAATTTATAGCATTTATCATAGGTTGAGTGTCATTAATTGACATTAATTCATTATTTTATTTATTAATACATTTATCTATTTGGTTATTGTCTATTTATTAATTATTTGCCAGGTATTAGGAACTATTCTGAAGGGACTGCATGAAAAAATGGTTAGCATTCATTTTCTGTTCTTGAATATCACAGTGTCCAGTTAAGAACAGACACATGTAAAAAATCAGAGCAAGGCTATAATCCACTATTTTCAACTTTGTCATTCATGTATTTCACATAATATCTGGCACATAGTAAATGCACCAAGTGTTTCATAAATATTTAAATAAGTGCACATATACATAATATTAGTAGCCAATATCACACAACTTTTCTATATGAGTCAATAAAAGTATAAATAAAACACTTAAAATACATTTAATCAAATTAAATTCTTCCTCAATTTAGTAGGTTAGGCTTAACACTCATTTACATACCTAATTAAATATCTAGTTAGCCATAAATATTATTTTCTTTATATATTTTAGGGATAATTTTATATAGTGATTTGGATAGCTTTTGTTCTTTTAAAAACCTGTACTAATTTAAAATGATGTAATTATTATTTAAGAAAACATATCCTAGTAGTATGTAGAGATATTAAAATAATTTTACTTTTTTGTAAAAATATTACTGTAGCATTTACTTAAAGACAACGTGAATAAAATGTTTCAGCTGATGGTAGAGAAAACAAATATATCTGGAATTTTACTTTCTCATGCTCAATTTTCTGCCATATTATTTGCATAAAATTAAAAATAAGTGATTTTAAGTAAGTGTGGGCTAAAGGAAAAGTAGGTGGAAATTAACTTCTTTGATTTGATCAGGTAGACAGATGTTAATACATAAATGAATTTACTAAAACAACTGATGATGTAAAATTTGTATTTTTTAAAATTTACTGTATCTAAAAGGAGAGATCGTAGGTGGAGTAAAATGATGAATGGATGGATGGATCAGTAAATGAAAAAATACAGTTAAAAATGAGTTGGGTTAATCAAATTAAATTGAAGGACAACAAGATATAATTTGGAGTATTAAGAAAGGGCAGAAACTGATTTTGGATATGAGAAGTAATTCTAGTTGTATATAGCAAACAACTCTTTTGCTTTGTCTTGGTTTGGTGTATTAGTCAATGTGGGCTGTCGTAACAAAATACCATAGACTTAACTGAAATTTATTTCTTACAGTTCTAGATGCGGGGAAGTCCAAGATCAAGGTCTGACAAGGTTTGGTTTCTGGTGGAGGCTTTCTTCTTGGCTTGCAGACAACCAGTTTGTCCTCACATGGCCTTTCCTCTGAGCATGGAGGGAGAGAGTAGGCAAGCTCTCAGGTATCTCTTATAAGGATGCTATTTCCATAAAATCAGGGCCCCACATTTATGACCTAATTTAAACTTAATTACCTCTTTAAAGGTCTGATCTCCAAATATAACCACACTGATGGTTATTGCTTCAGCAAATGCATTTTGGGGGAATACAAACATTCAGCCCATAACAGTGTAAATAATAACTAATAATAAGATACTCTACTTAGTTGTATCATTGCTTTTCCTTTTTCATAAATTCTTCTTAATGTGGTTACTCAGTCTCAAAATAATAAAAAAAAATCATTTAGCACACTGAATAAAAATTGTAATATGCTATTTTAAAAATAAACAGTGGTAGGAAATATTGTTAATTCCTTCTATATAATGATATTTAAATCCATTAATATTATTTGAAGTTTATCCTCCCTTAAAACTTGTCTTAAAAATATTAGAAAACTTCCATGAAAACTCCACATCTCGACACAGAATAATATTGTCTATAATTACAATTTTTATACTAATTCAGAATTTCTTTTTCTTCTTGGAAAACTAAGGAGTTGTCTTTGTATATTGCACTGAATATTTGAACTAGGAACCAACAAATACAATTTTTAACTCCATATTTATTGTTGCATTTTATACCTTAGAAAAATAATCTCATTTCTCAGCCTTTTCAGTTAAACAAAGAAGCTGGACATACAAAGTGCATTATCTCTTTATTCCCTCATATTCTAAAATAAACCTATGAATTTCCTTTAGATCTTGCTTTTTTTTGCTGTTTTTTGCCCTTACTCTGTTCCTCACAAATGCACATTTTCAACAGATAATTTTTATGGATTCTATTCTGCTCTGATTTTTGTTGTTGTTGTTGTTGTTTTGAGGCGAAGTCTTGCTCTGTCACCCAGGCTGGAGTACAGTGGCGCCATCTCAGCTCACTGCAAGCTCCGCCTCCCGGGTTCACGCCATTCTCCCACCTCAGCCTCCTGAGTAGCTGGGACTACAGGTGCCTGCCACCACAGCCGGCTAATTTTTTTTGTATTTTTAGTAGAGACGGGGTTTCACTGTGTTAGCCAGGATGGTCTCGATCTCCTGACCTCATGATCCGCCAGCCTCCGCCTCCCAAGATGCTGGGATTACAGGCGTGAGCCACCGCGCCCAGCCTCTGCTCTGATTTTTTTAAAGAATCATGACAAAATTAGTAGCCCTGGTTGCCTCATTAAAATTACTTAGGGTAATGACAGTTTCAGAATGTGAATACAGTGGTTCAGCTACTGGTTTTGGGGTTTTTTTAATTGAACTATCCTCTTCCCTAATCTTTCCCAATCAAAAACCTGAGATAATGCACTTATATTTGGTTCATAGACCCTTAGACAGAGAAAATGAAGATTGAAAGAAGCAAATCTTCTTTGTATTATTATATTATTCAGAAAACTACAATAATCACTCTACATAAATTATCCTGTGTTGTACATGAGGAGCTTGAGGATTACAGAAATTCACCAACTGTCAGGATTAAAACTCAGATGTATCTAACTCCAAACTCAATGGTCATTCCTCAAACCATACTGACTTCCAGAATAATATCTTCTATAAATAAATACTACCTTCTCTGACCATTATTCTGGCCTGATTTACAGTTTATGTTTTCTCTTCTTGGTTTCTTTGTCATTGCTGACCATTAAAATTCCCTGCTCTTTCTGGAAAACGAAAGCCCTACCCAGAAATCTGTCATGTCTGGCACCTGATCTCCTTTCTAGCTCTCTCTATCAACAAGCAACAAAGAAATACGTGGTTACTCTACCCTACTCCTCCATCACCATTTCTTCTAACTAACTTCAGATTATTACTGATCCTAAGGGTTCTCTGCCTCTATGCTCTTAACTGCAATATTGTGTCTGTAAGTCTAAGTCTTACCCAGCTATTAATGCTCTTTGGATCCTGGGATGAGCAGCCATACGTAGGATCCTTCTGTGCAGATTCTTCCAGTTCTCAGACAAAATCTTTGCAAATAAGCCCTTGCCTTACTGGAGGGCACTGTGACTTGTTCTTTCCAATCTGCAAGATGTAGGCAGCCTTCTCAAACATAACCGTGTTTAAAATGATGGTATACAAACAAATTATTTGTTGACATTAATTTTTTTTTGTCTTGGATATTATTTCTTTAGAAACAACCTAATTCCACTGGGCTTTGGTTTTGTTTGTTGAATGTGTTTCTCTCTTTCTGGGATCATTTGCTTGCTCTGAGGATGATGAAAAAGATATCTCCAAATTAAAGTTGGTTAAGCAATGCAAAGTATATGAAAATGGATTTTAAAAAATGGTTTTGGTGCCTGTATTTACACTGATTTCTTTACTTTTTTTTGTACTTTTTTATGATATGTAATATGATTGTGGGCAAAATAAATATTATTTTTCATACTCATATCACCTTGTCTCATTTTAAACATGTAGATATTACTTTATTGTAGGTATGTTATTAAAATTTTATAATAAAATTATTATATTATTAGAAAGATATAGACCCAGTGTTAAGAAATGTTTATTTCAGGATAGTGTAATAAAATGTGATTATGGTCTAATTTGCGCCTCTCTATATCTTCCAATTTTCTGCGTGGGAAATAGGTTTCCTTTATAATCAGCAAATAATATGTTTCAATGTAAATAGTCAAGATATATATGAAATTACCATTTCTTGGTAGAATAACTTGCTATAATATATATTATTAGTGGTACTTAAGACCAACTAACACCTTGCAGTAACAAATACTTTTAAATTCGCATTATACAGTTTCATAAGATCTGAAAAGAGAGAATAATCTTTGAGCTGCCTTAGTAGATAAAAATGATAAGCTTCTATGCAGTTTTTACAAAGGATATTTATCTTTATTAGGTAGTGATTCTTTACACTATGCCCATTTTCCAATTTCTTTAGATTTTTTTAAGGCAAATTGACTTTTATATTCTCCAACAATGATAAAGGAATTCATATGGGATATCAGAGAATGGATCTATGATGAACCAAAATGTGAAGACATCAAAAAATGACTTTCATCACAGTGTGACACAAATGTTATAGACATTTATTTTAAGCCAAATATAGTAAAACATAGAGTAAGTAGAACAAGGCATGTAGGATCATGCAGAGCAAGCAGCATTGTAGAAAAACATGCATGCGAAAGGACATAGAATGCTCACAGAACCTAAACATTTCATACCTCACAGGCTTAATATAATTCAGTTGTATTGCTGAAACATATGCTTCCAGTTTGCATAAAAAAATTTTATTAATCATATGAACTGACTATATAAGTTTGCTATGAAGAGAGAGGTTCAGGTATGCATAAAGTGAATTTAGGTTGTTGATGGACTCAGGATATAGAGCTAGCCGATGATCATTTCAAAATACTTTTCTATAGCTTAGGAAGGAGTAGGGAGTTGTAGGTTTGGATAGCTACAAGAGTGTTATTTGATTCCACAATTTTTATTTTTTATTTACCAAGACGAGATAGGTGATAAAGAGGAAACAAAATACTTGCATTCTGAGGACTTAAAGAGCAAGAGAAAAATAAATAGGAAACAAAATTGACTGAAAAGTATCTTCCATAAATGTAGAAGCTGTTTTAGCAGAGTATGGTGTCTGAACACTAAAGGAAAAGATTTCACAAACACAGGCCAACATTGTTTTACTGGCAAAGTGGATATAAACTTTCATCATTCCACACATGAAAATGTGCTATACATTTACTGCTTAATTAGTGTTAATAATTTACGTTTAACATTAAATATTACCTTAGTGGAAATAATCTAAAATGATAGTTGATACTCTATAAAGATTGACCCATGTCGTTAGAGTAAAATAATGTTCACACCAACTGAAGTCACAGATCTTCTAGTACAGAAATCATTGGACAAGTATTGTATTGGTAAAAGGGTGTTCAGGGTCACGTTTTCAGTAACTGTATTGTACTGCAGCTCTTGGCCACTAACTCTACTGGGCCCCTGAGAGGGTCAGCATTAGAACCAAGTGATAAGATTTCAGGATCAAGTAAAATTATCTATAATTTTATACATAAAGTGCAAAGGCAATTTAAATATATGTTTAGTATCAATTAAGAATATATTGTAAATTACATGGAGAGAAACTGGAAGCAAAATTTGCCATATAATTAATAAAAACTTGAATAATGTATGCATTGTTCAGGCTTACTGCCACGTCAGGATCAGTCTGCATACCTTTAGACAAAAAACAGATCTAAAGTTACTAGTCACAAACCATGATGGATAGATGGATTTGGAGAATGCAAGAAATGTGAAGCTACAATATATTGTAAAAAATTTCGCTTTTTTTGTATTGTTGAACTGATAAATTTAGAAAACTAACTTTCCAAATTCCATTAAAGTTAACTAAGGCCTTGGCTGAACTACTGTTACAAAATAGAAATATATTGAATAGTGCCGGGCACGGTGGCTCACGCCTGTAATCCTAGCACTTTGGGGGGCCGAGGAGGGCAGATCACAAGGTCAGGAGTTCAAGACCAGCCTGGCCAATATGGTGAGACCCCATCTCTACTAAAAAATACAAAATTAGCCGGGTGTGGTGGCATGGCCTGTAGTCCCAGCTACTAGTGAGGCTGAGGCAGAAGACTTGCTTGAACCCCGGGAGGTGAAGGTTGCAGTGAGCTGAGATAGCACCACTGAACTCCAGCCTGCATGACAGAGTGAGACTCCATCTCAAAAAAAAAGAAAGAAAGAAAGAAAGAAATATATTGAATGGTACAAGCAAGTGTTTATATGCTTGGGTACCAGAAGTAAGAAAAAAAAAGAACTATTGAATGAAAGAGCAAAGAAGAGATTGATTTTAATGATCTCTCTTGTTTGTGAAATCTATAATTTAAAAATCAAGGCATTTTCCCCTTTCTATTTTATCTAAGGGTTTCTTATAAGAAAAACAATCAAAATGGCAAGATTAACAAAATATGGAGCTGTATCTTTTTTTTCTTGATAGATATAGACGTATGTCCATTGTCAAATGGATGACTCTTCTTTTTTATGTTATTGGCTCTTATTAGTCCATGCATTAATTATGTTATATATTCATTTAACAGTCATTTAAGTCTTCTACTGTAGACATTGCTCTGAGTTACACAAAAACTCAAAACGGGGGCCTGTGAAAGACATATTATGCCTACATAATTGAAAGGCTTTTACCTGTGTCCATTACTTTCCTGGGACAAGTATTGTTTATTACACTACCCTCATCCTTCCTGATGATAAGAACCCCAGTCACTGTTTCAGACATACTTATGTGTGTTTGGGGTAGTTGACAGGGAGCGTGGTTGCCACATAGGTCACAGAGTTTAGCTGTTCTAGGGACATAGGTAGACAGAGCACTGGTTGAAAGAGCTCCGTGAGCTGTAAAGGGAGGCATTGATAGATGTCCTACCTCAGTCAGAAGAAAGAACACCACATGTGTCTTCTCAGCAGAGGCTATGGGTATGTTCGCTCTAACAGGAAAAGATAATCTGCTGATATGTGCTCAGGAATGCTAAAACTGCCACTGCAAAATTGTAACTGAGATATGACCTAACCAACTCCATCTTGCTTCTAGCCTCCAAGCTGTTCTTATTCATTCCTAGGTGTAGGCTGAACTAACTTTGGGAGGAACTTGATTTATAGTTTATAGTTTAACAGCCCTTTCCCAAAACAAACTCCTTCTTGCCTGGGAACTAGACTGCCTTTGTAGGACTAACAAATTAGCCACAAGATTAGAAATTATGGTTTAGGAGTCACACAGCTGGAGCCTACAAGATTCTGACCCTCCCTAAATTGGTCCTAAGATCAGTGCTTGAGACTTTTTGTGGACCCTGTACTTGATGGATCAGCTGGCACCACCCAGATCAAGAAACTGGCTCATCTGATCTTCTGGGCCCCGCCCAGGAACTGACTCAACACAAGAAGACAGCTTCAATTCCCTATGATTTCACCTCTGACCTGACCAATCAGCACTCCCGGCTCACTGGCCCACCAAGTTGACCTTAAAAACTCTGATCCCCAAATGCTCAGGGTGACTGATTTGAGTACTAATAAAACTCTGGTTTCCCACACAGCCAGCTCTGTGCAAATTACTCTTTCTCGATTTCAATTTCCCTGTCTTGATAAATCGGCTCTACCTAAGCAGAGAGCAAGGTGAACCCATTGGGCAGTTACAATGCTGTTCCAGAATCCTGGGGCCCAGTGTCCTTGTCAATACTGGCTCTTTTCATTCCAAGGGCCACTCTGGGTTAGCTGTTTCTCCAGGTCCTAATCTACTGTCTTTAGGGGCAATCCACTCTACTCCGGGCTGCCTCTGAGCACTGGGGCAAATGGGGGAGATCATAGCGATGTCAACCCTGCTCCACATGCCATCTTAGGCCTAGCAAGTACCTGGAGCCCCTGTCCCAGGCAGCAAGGGGGTGCAGTCAGGGCTGCATGCTCCATGGAACTAGAGGGAGCTGGGCACAGCTGCAACTGCCCAAGTCAAGGTTGTGGACCTGGGCCTCCATGTGCTCTTGGGGGTCTCAGGAAGTCTCCCCTCTACCCTTGCAGGCTTGGAAGTGCCTGATACCACTACCTGACTTCTCCCTGCTGTTAGCACCCACTCTGACCTGAGATCAATGTGGGGCCAAAGCTGAGCATTGTTGCAGTCCAGCTGGGGGGGGCATATGCTTGGGGCAGTGCAGAAACACCAGTCCCCTGCCACCTTGGTCCCCTCCAGACTTTGGGTGCCCACAGCCCGGTGCAAGGGAAGCCAAAAGGGGACTGAGGGCAGCTCAGTGCTGGCCTCCAGGTACCCCTTGGTGTGATCAGCCTGGGCACCATGGATAGTGGCAAGAGGCAGATCAGCTCCTGGGTGGAAGGCAGCAGATTCCAGCTAAGGCCCCACCTTCAGGCCAGGAAGGGCCTGAAAGCTGGGGATCAGGCTGCCAGTCCCACAGACCAATGTCGGAATTTGTGGTGTCTTTTCCAGCCTGCCCATGGCTGCACATGGACCAATCAGCACACACTTCCTCCTTCCAAGGCCCATAAAAGCCCTGGGCTCAGCCAGAGCAGAGCAGACATTGGGATGACTAGCTGCAGAGAACAGGTACCCACTCCAGAGCCTCCTCTCTGCTGACAGCTGGGAAGACGATGGGACAACCTGCCTGCAGAGAAGGGCAACCCATTCAAGGGCCTCCTCTCTTCTGAGAGCTGCAGAGACATCAGGATGACCTGCCTGTAGAGAGGAGCTACCCACTCCAGGGCCTCCTTTCTGCTGAGAGCTGGTAAGATGATGGGATGACCTGCCTGCAAAGAGGAGCAACACACTCCAGGGCCTCCTCTCTGCTAGGAGCTGAACACTCAATGGGACACCCTGGCTGCAGAAAGAAGCTATTGGAGCTACCCACTGTGGGTCTCCTCTGAGCTGTTCTATTGCTCAGTAAAGCTCCTCTTTGTCTTGCTCACCTTCCGATTGTCTGTGGGTCGCATTCTTCCTGGTCAGAGGACAAGAACTTGGGACCTGTCAAATGGAAGGGCTAAAAGAGCTATAACACGAATGGTTGAAACATGCTTCTTAGGGCCCTGCAGTTCCTGGCATCCCCAAGCTTCCAGGCACCACCACATTCCCCTGTGACAGATGGGGAAGCTGCTTGTGGTGCACTTGATTCAGCTCCTCGCAGACACTCATGCCAGCACCTATAGCTGCCCACCCCACGGCAGCAGCCAGCATGTCTGACTGCACAGTGGCCAGACCCCATGCTCGTTTCCACACTTCTCGTTGCTCCATGCCTGATTTGCAGTCTCCCTTAGAGGAATGGGATACAGGCCAGTAGTGTAAGTTGTGCACAACCTGCCAGGCTGAGTGGGTAGAATGAGCCCAATGGGCCCAAGAAAATTTGGACAAAGACGCCACCAGCCACATGTTTCCAGCCAGAATAGTGACACCCCAAAGATCCTGAAACTCTAACACCAAAATTTTTTGAACATGGATCCCATGGAGGAGCATGAAGCTCAATTGAACATGCATATGTTTCCCCTTTTATAAATATTCATGGTTCCTCCTATAGCTTATTGAATATGTATATTTGGCCACACCATTCTGCATACATTTCTGTTCCCTTTGCCTATCCCTCAAAGTGTCTTTCTGGCTTCTGGAAGGAGGCTATGCTTTCCAGCCTATCAGAATGGCAACCCTGCAAGCTGTAACCCTTTATAAGAAATGAAGCTCTCCTTTCCAAATTTATAAACCTCATCATTTTTCAGTTGACGTATACATCACTTGTCTTTTAAGTCCATAAATACTAATCTGACCATGTTGTAGCCTTGGAGTCTCTCTAAACCTGTTCTGGTTTTGGGGGCTGCCCGGATACACAAATTAATCTTTGCTCAATTAAACTCTGATAAAATTAACTTGTCTAAAGCTTTTCTTCTAACAGAGGGCATTTTGAATGTGTGTGGAATGATTTTGATTACTAAAATGACTAGATCTTCCATTAGCATTTAGTGAGCAAAGATACAGAGTTCTAAAACCCTTACAATGTGGACAGCAGACAAGAAAAATTATCCAAACCAGAATAACAATAATACCCTTATTATAAAATGTTAAAAGGAAAGGGGTTGCTTATAGGAAAGAAAAACACAATGACTATTTCAGAGTATTTCTGTATATATCATAGTAATTTTGGTACAATGTAGAAAACTATACAGATCACTGCATACATTATAATTTTGAAGACTAAAAGAGGTAGAAATTCACTTAATTTATCTAGTAGAGTAGAAAAGCTCATAGAAGCATAAATTTAGAAAAGCTATTGACAAAAAGAGAATATCGTTTTTATTCTTTAGTGTGTCAAACATGAGAGACAGTGAACAAACTTTAACAGAAACCTTGTACATTGCTGATCATAGTTCCACTATAATTATTTTTTAACTAGATGTACAAAGTAATAAAAATATTAGGTTGGTGGAAAAGTAATTGTGGTTTAAGACCATAAATTTAAGTCACTATAACTAGGCTCGAACACATCTTTATTAATCAAAATAGGAACCACTACAATAAAGACATTTTTGCCAATGAGAAATAAATTTGTTTATTCCTGTAACATAAAAATCTGTGCTTTGGAATTTGACAAACTCTTGGAAAGCATTTTCTGTATCCTGTTGGTTGTGGAACCATTTTCCCTGCAAAAAGTTGCCAAGATGCTTGAAGAAGTGTTAGTCCGTTGGCAAGGGGTCAGGTGAATATGGCAGATGAGGCAAAACGTCATAGGCCAATTCATTCAACTTTTGAAGCATTGGTTGTGTGACATGCAGTCAGGCGTTATTGTGGAGAAGAATTACACCCTTTATGTTGACCAATGCTGGCTACAGACATTGCAGTTTTTGGTGTATCTCAACATTTTGCTGAGCATACTTCTCAGCTGTAATGATTTTGCCGGGCTTCAGGAAGCTGTAGTGGATCAGACCAGCAGCAGACCACCAAACAGTGACCATGACCTTTCTTGATGCAAGCTTGGCTTTGGGAAGTGCTTTGGAGTTTCTTCTTGGTCCACTCACTGAGCTGGTCATTGCTGGTTGTCATATAAAATATACTCTTTGTCACACATCACAATCCAAACAAGAAATAGTTCATTGTTATGTACAATAAGAGAAGACAACACTTCAAAACAACAATTTTTAAAAAAATTTTACTTAGCTCATGATGCAACCACTTATTGAGCTTTTTGACATTTCTAATTTGCTCAAATATTGAATGACCATAGAATGATCAATGTTGAGTTCTTTTGCATCCTCTCACTTAGTTACAAAAGGATCAGGTTTGTTGATTGCTCTCAATTGGTCTCTGTCAACTTCCAATGGCTGGCCACTATACTCCTCATCTTCAAGACTCTCGTGTTCTTAGCAAAACTTCTTGAATACCACTGCACTGTACATTCGTTAGTAGTTCATAGGCCAAATGCATTGCTGATGTTGTGAGTTGTCTCCGTTGCTTTACAGCCCACATTGAAAAGAAAATTGCTCAGATTTGCTTTTTGTCTAACATCATTTCCATAGTCTAAAATAACTATAAAATAAACAGCAGGTAATAAATCATTAGCGAAAAAAAGTGAGAAATATGCATTAAAATGATGTATAACATACCTACATTTATTTAAGAATATATTCCAATATCAAGCAGCAAATTTAAACAATACAAAAACCGCAATTATGTTTGCACCAACCTAATATTATTAAAAACATTATTAAGCATAAGTATAGTGCATACCATGTATACAAATGAAATGTTTCCAAGTTTATGAGACATTGAAAAATATGTATCATAATCATTTTGGGAGGCGTTAATCTTTTTAATCTGCCACTTACTTTTCTTGTCACAAAATATTATGCTGTCATTTTCTATTACTGCCAAAATTTTTATTTTATTTTTCCTCTTTTTATTTATTTTCTTCAAGAAAAGATAATGTAGCTCTTTATGCTATTTGTGTTAGCTTCCAGGAGCTAAACAGTCAGTTAATTATTCAATTCACTCTTCCTCATTTACTCCAACATGTTTAAATAGCACTGATAGAATGCCGTTGCATAAGTTAGATTTGGTGCTTACCAGAGGAAACCATCACCAATTAAAGAAACATTTTGGGCCATTAAAAATTAATGAAGTACCAAACTTACTTTTAAGGAAGACTATTGGCAGCTCAGTTGTTAAATAAACAATAAGTCCTTAAGAAGGTAAAATATAAGATTAATGCTTTTAGGTTGTTTTTAAAGATTTAAAAAAAGCCCACCTTTCTGATTATGGCTTCTTTGCACACTAAAAGGTTAATGTTCCTAAAGATGTTATTCTACTTTAGCACATTTGAGTAAACAGAGAAAAGAATAAGAAAATGCAAAAGTGTAAATTTAGCACAAATATGATCTACACTATAGTTCCTATATCACAATAGGAAGTAAAGAAAATGGAAAAAACAAAAAAACAACTTTAAAACATTGATTAAAGAAAAAACATAAAAATATGGAAGCACAGTAAAATCTTGACCTCATGTTTCTTAAAAACAAGTTAAAGTGGAAAATGTCTTAAGATCTCTCATAACATTGAAACTTGATGGTTTTATGTTTTTAATTAACTGTAACTAGACAACAATAAAGAGCTTGCATCTTGTCTCACAGTAAGTTTGCTTTTTTGGATAATAATGGCACACAACCATGAAATGATCCATAAATTTAATATACTTTCTGTATTCTGACCCTTTACTCTTATGTGATTTTATATCACATGTATTGTATTAGAATTATTTTTGTGTGTTCATTCATTTCTGATAGAGAGTAATCCCTTGAGGGAACAGAGTTAATCAGTTTTTAATTTCTTGTGTCTAGCACAGTAATTGGCACAGAGAAACTGATTAATCAAAACAAACAACTAAAATTTGTAGAACTTGTAATGAGTTTTAGGCAACAGCTAGAATTACTTTCAGGTAAAGAAATGGAAAGTTCTTGAAGTTGTCCAAAATTAGACTAGAATCATGGTAACTCCTATATTAGGTATCACGTGGAAGTTCTGTTTCTATTTGCTGGTGTGCTTGATTTGATTTGTTAAAAAAAATCCAGCATTTATTTTATCTTTAGTTTCAGAAGAAGAAAGAAAAAGATCAAGATAAATAGAATTTAAGCTAAAGAGAAGAATACTGTATCCACAGGGAAGTTGGGATTTAAGATTGATTACAATCTGGAAGACAGGAAAAGGGCCCTGAGTATCTGGCAATGGTTTAGTTTGAATGTCAATTCCATAATACACAGACATTTGTTTACAAAGTTGTTTTTTCCTAAACCAAAATAATATATCAAAAGTGAATTGTTGTGGCACCAACATATTATAAAGCTTGCTTTTGAGTTTTGATAATTGTAGTATTTATTTCTAGCTCATTCATTATCATAGCAACATCCAACACCACTTTCCCAGAAATGGAAACAGAGTTGGCAAAATGTTCATGAGTATTTATGTTCTTCTATGGAATGCACAAAATGTAATATTATCTATTTTAACTACTATAATCTTACTATGAATTTATTTTTTATTTATTTATTTTTTGAGACGGAGTCTCGCTATGTCGCCCAGGCTGGAGTGCAGTGGCGTGATCTCGGCTCACTGCAAGCTCCGCCTCCTGGGTTCACGCCATTCTCCTGCCTCAGCCTCCCAAGTAGCTGGGACTACAGGCGCCCGCCACCACGCCCGGCTAGTTTTTTGTATTTTTAGTAGAGACGGTGTTTCACCGTGTTAGCCAGGATGATCTCAATCTCCTGACCTCATGATCCACCTGCCTCTGCCTCCCAAAGTGCTAGGATTACAGGCATGAGCCACCGCGGCTGGCCTACTATGAATTTATTGAACCTGTCACACAGAGCTTTGAAATGTGAAGGACTTTAATGAATGACCCCATATTAAAAGAATATATTTGTCAGATACAATGAACATTCAAATTATCTTCCTAACTTCAATATTTTAAAATGCTTTTTCTTCTGGGATGAAACTGGAGATTCCCCTCTGTGTTGGAAGGAAGGGTTTGGGCTAGGGGGTGTGAGCAAAAGTGACTGTGAGCCAACTCCAGACAGATGTTTTAAATGGCATTGCATAATTTTTGGCAGATTCTGCTATTTTCCTTCTGCCACAAGAGTAGCATTCCCAAAAGAAGCATCTCCTTGATCGTGGACCCCACAATGAGAAAACCTGTGGAGTAGCCAACCTGCAGCATGCAACACAAGAGTGAAATTGTTGTTGCAAGCCATTGAGACTTTGATTGTTCATTACTGATAAAGATAACTCTGACTGAAGCTGGATTCTGTACATCATGACAAGTGGGTCTTATTTAAATTGTATTAACATGTTCCCAACCTTTACTAGAAAGGACAAGGACATCAAGTTATTTTTTTCACATAATTTTTCTATTTTCATCCATTAAAAAAAAAAAAGAATGGTCATTTGAGTCCCCTAAAGTTAAAATAAGGTGATAGTAGTATGGGATATGCATGATAAATCCTGTCTTCCCAGAAGTATGAGATTTGCATTCCTTTATGCACATGATATATTTTAATTATTTTTTCTAAATATGGTCTAGTTTCCTTCCTTACTGCCTGCCCTCCTGCCTTTCTTTTTTTCTTTCTCTTTTTCTTCCTTTCTTCTAATTTTTTCTTGGCTTACTTATGAGTAGATTGTTTAATTTCCAAATATATGAGATTTTTGTAAACATCCTGCAGTTTTTGTTTTCTAATTTAATTCTTTGTTGGTAAGAGGATGTGTCAGACTTTTGACATTTCCTTTATGGCAACATGTAAAGACAAACTTGGCGAATGAACAATGTGTGCACTTGAAAAGTGTGGATTCTATAACTGTTGGATGTTCTGTTCTATAAATGTCAATTAGATCAAGGTGGTTAATAATATTGTTTGTATGATTGTGAATTTGCCTTTTCTTCTTTTATTTTGTTAAATTGTATTTCATATATCTATAATGATTTTATCCAAGCATTATTTATAATTAGGTACATACATATATATAATTGTTAGCTTTCCTAAAAAATTGGTACTTTTATAATTATAAAATATTCTACTTGTCTCTGATAATCTCTGTCCTGAAGTTTATTTTTCTGATGTTAATATAACCACTCCAGCCTCTGTGGATTATTGTTTGTCTACTATATCTTTTTCCACAGTTGTATTTTCAATCTATATTTTTATGTTTAAAGTGCCTCTCTTGTACTTAAAGTGCATACCTTTGATGACTGCTTTGTCTGTGGCTCTTTTCTTGCAAATCACCATATTTTACAGTCACCAAATTATACAGTGTAGTAGAGTTAACTATTTAAAATGATATAGTAGAGAAGTAAGAAGTCAAAAGTAACTATGAAGTATTCGTTCTTTTTCTTTCTCTTTCTACTCTCTCTCCTCCTCTTTGTGTGTATGTGTCTCTATTTCTCTTATCAATATGATTTTTTTTCCAGGAACTTTGTAAACTTAGAAAGAATTCAGGACTTTGAAAATAAGTTAAAATTTAGGACTCTGAGTACATAAATATTTTGGCATAGATGCAACTATCACTAGTTGGTAATGTAATGATTCAGTTTTAGGCATTTGACCATATATTTTCATAATTTTATTAATTTTTAAAATTGATAAATATTGCCTACTTAAATATGACGAAATATTATATATGTGTGTACATGCATAATATCACCTATGTACATCCTCCTGTACATTTTAAATCACTAGATTACTTATAATACCTAACATAATGTAAATCCTACATAAATAGTTGTTATACTATATTAGTTTTTATTTGTATTTCTAATTTTTGTGTTGTTATATCTTATTTAAGTATTTTTGAACTGCAGTTGGTTAAATCCATCAATGTGTAACCCACACATATAAATGTTAAGTGTAATATTGTAGTAGGCTGGATATTTTATTTTTCTGAAGTGATGACTTTTCTGACATTGAGGTTAGAAACAAAAGCATTTCTCTAAGTAATATTAATGTTTCAAAAAATATTCCACTTATTATTTACCTCAGAAAGTGCTGCTGGATAAATATGCTTGAATAAAATCATTATGTTGTGAGGTTTTATTAATGTTATAACATAGATTTTGGAAAAACAGACATGACTGTGAAATTTTTCATTAGCTACTTTGTAATGTTATTTATTGTTGATGCAGCCTCAACTGAATTTACATTTAACTTATGCTACTGTCTTGATAAAAAGAATAATATATTCAAAGTATTTTCTTCTTTAGATGTTCTAAGTAAAATGTTCACCATGTAGTTCTTGCATACTTCAGATCTGAGGTTAGTTTTCCAAAATATATACTAGTAATTAGTATTGGCAACACAAGGAAAAGTAAGTGTTCTTTATCGAAATGGCATATTCACATAAAGGATTTGGATTTAATAGCTCTGAACATAAGTCAAAAATGCAAAATTTTACAGATAACTAATTTCACTTGACTTCTCATACTTTCTAAGGTATACTTCATTTAATTGTTTGCTATTATTTTAGTTTTTGTAGATCAACACTATTGTATTACCCTTTTACAAGTTAATGAAATACTTCTACAAACAAATTGAGGAGGAATATCTTTATTTGATAGATCTAATTATTTACATTGTTTCCTGAGACATTACAAAATAATTTTTTAGCTAACACTGTAAAAAAACCTTTATGAACCCAATCTTTAAAAAAATTCTTAGATTCAATAGACATAAAATTAATATGTGAAAATGCTATGAAACTTTTCATTTCTATACCTATCCTGCTTGGAACATGTAGTTAATATTTTGGGAATAGCTCCAATTCATGGGTCTTAGAAAAGTCCTAGGATATGATGATTTACAAAGTCTGCCTGCTTTCTTAAATCACCCTCCAATATTAAGTTTTTACATATGTTTTAATAAAAATATTATTTATACTTCAAGTTATAGCATTATCTATCTTCTTATGGATTTAATGTTTTTTTTTTTCAGAACGTTCAAATTTACACAGAATACCTAGAATTGAATTATTGTTTATTCCATTATGGTGATCGTCAACACTATGAATAACAGATTTTCTTATATTTGACTTTATCAAATTAAATGATTGGCTAAATAAGTACAAAACTTCAATGAAACTTTTGAATAAAAAACAAAGAAAACCCATCCAAGCTTGCATTAAAGAGTAGAAGACAGTGTTTGGGGAAAAAATTCTTGAGTTGCTAGTGTCTAAAGAAATGTGTTTTTGTTTTATTTTAAACTTTTATTTCTGGTTTGGGGTACACGTGCAGATTTGTTATATAGGTAAACTCATGTCATGGGGGTTTGTTGTTCAGGTTGTTTCATTACCCAGGTACTAAGCGTAGTACCCAACACTTATTTTTCTTGCTCCTCTCCCACCTCGCATCCTCCACCCTCAGGTAGGCCCCAGTATCTGTTGTTCCTTCTTTATATCTCTGTATTCTTATCATTTAACTCCCACTTATAGGTGACAACATACAGTATTTGGTTTCCTGCTCCTGCATTAGTTTGCTAAAGATAATGGTAAAAGAGTATGTTGTAATGGAGTTGGGGTAATTCATGGCAGGGAGAAATTTATTATAGAGTACCTGAGGGCTTACCTTTGAATGGGGAAGAGGTTGAGGACCTTACTTCACTTTGATGTAGACAAAACCATAATTTAGCATAGTGCCCTCAAAAGAGATTATAAATGTATATTCTAACAAAGGTACAATTTGAAGGCTATGGTAAAACTCAGTTCTCAGAGAAGGCTCCTCAAAACTTTTCCAGGATTTCTCCTTGACACATATTTGTACAATTTAGAGGACATAATGTCTCAGCATGTGATGTGTATATTTTTGAGTTTGGTTGCCTCAATGTTAACTTAAATAGTAAATGGAGTTATATATATCTGGAAATAGACAATGGAGGCCACAATATGGATAGAAATAGTTAAATATTGTTTTCCAATTGAACAACAGAACAAACAGAACAAATGTGTGAACATTTGACTCCTGGGCTTTTGGTCAGCAGATCAGAAAAGAGAACTGAAAATGCCTTTAAGTATTTCAGTTCCAAAATGAATAATTACAACTCCAAGTAGAACCAAAATTTAATTACATAAAAATATTCCCAACTGGATTCCAGATCAAAAGATAAACATCTTTATAAGTGGTGGTACAAGTGCTAGGCCTATCTGATTTAGAGTAACAAATCAATATAAACAGAAAGTTTTATAATTATATATTTCAAGCAAACTTCTTTTCTTTGTTTTTATTTTTTTCTACTATATTAAACTTAAACAGACCTTTAATTCAGAATCTTCTTATACAGTGCAATATGTTTCAAAAGAAAATGACCTTTCTAAAAGACAAGGCACTCTAAATTCCTTAAAAGGAAAAAATAGTATATCATTCTAATGTAAGTACGTCAATTGTATTATAACATGATATGTGTTAATGGCAATAAAGCTATTATTAGTAATGACTATTTTATTTTCAATAAAAATATGTTAAAGGCCATTGATCAAACATGACCATTGTCAGCATTCCACATTAAGAGAATGAACATTCATGACATAAAATTATAAAAATCCCCCAAATATAAAGTATTTCTATCTTACAAACTAATATACGAAAATGACTTTTAAATCACTCCTAACCACTTAAATTACTTTTTAGTGTCCACTTCACGCATTACATTGTAAGTTCATTATCGCTGAGACTTATGCTCTGCTGAGTGCAATATTAACATCTAGGAAATAGCCTTTTAAAATTTATAGTGGAATCTATTTGATGACTCACTGTGAATATTTTACTAACAGATAACGTAAATCTAATGGTTTTAAAGTAGTACAATTTCGAAGTGGTAGTTTAGACAATATTTAAATTAAATTAGTAAAACTTTAAGAATAAAAAGTGTTCTTAATAAAAACTTATTTTACATGTTTTTCAGATTTCAAAATATTCTATTTTCTCTTTGATTGAGAAAAGTAATTCACATTTTCTAAGAATTGGTTCACATTGTCCCTAAATCAAATAATTAATGTTAAACCTTCAAATTATCCAACATCATATTTTAGTTTTATACAAATATTGTTTATAAGAATAATGTAGCATTAAATAATGTTGTGTGTGAATCACTGGAATAACAAGTAAATATCTACACTTTTCTATTTATATCTCTAAGCAGAAATGGAAAATGCCATTATCTAATATTTATCATCCAGCATCATAATCTGTATTAAAGAGGTAATTGGTGATAACTTATCACTAAAACAACAAAGTTTCTTCTCACTGTATTTATAGTGTGGGTGCATGTATTAGAAGTGGAATTATCTCATAAACTGTTGCCATCGTGGTGTGATACTAAGGGAGATTTTGGAAGATCCTCCAAAACTGTCTTGCTGCTTCATTGGAAACAGAATATAAAATTCACTATGAGTAGATTTTTGTTTTGCCATTCAATATAATATTTTAGCAGGATCCAGAGCACTGGAAAGCTGGGTATTAATCAAGGACTTTTTTATCCTTAAAAAGTCTGTTACATTAAAATTAAGCATTTTTAGCTGAAGAATGTTATTGACTACATTGATAAACAATTGAATGAATGTGAGGAGATATTTTCACAAGCTGAAACAAAAATAAATTAGTTTCTAGAATGTTAAGAAACTATTAAAAACTCAGAAGAAAAAAACAGCCACTCAAAAGAAAAAATAACAAAAGATACAAACAGGGAATTTTTAAATCTAAAAACTAAAAACACTGACAAGAATATGACACGATGACTGAAAGTCACTGCTGTAGTGGAATGACTGGTGGGCCTTCAAAAGCTATATCTATATCCTAACCCCTGGAATCTATTAATGTGACCTTATTATAACGGTTTTGCAGATATAAATAAATTCAGGATCTTGAGATAAGATTATCTTGGATAGCTGGGTGACCTCTAAATCCAATGACAAGCATTTTTATAAAAGAGGCGAAGATACATGAACAAAGAGGAAAAAGCCATATGAGGGAGGCAGAGATTAGAGTTATGTAGCCACAAACCAAGGAATGCTTGAGCCACCAGAAGCTGGAAGAACCAAGGAAGGTTGCTTTAGTCATGAGTTCAGAGAAAGTGTGGCCCTATTGACATCTCAGTTTTGTACTTTTGGACTAAAGAACAATGAAGAAATAAATTTATACTGTTTTAAGCTACCCAGTTTGCAATTGTTTGTTTTAATAGCCCTAGGAAACTAAAACAATTGGTGGACAGAAAAAAAAAGAAACAAAATTTAAAATAAGAAGGAATAATTACACATATTAAACTGAAAAAAAATGAAACTCTAGAAAATTCTAAGTGTTAACAGTAATGTAAGGGCATAGTAATCCTTCTGTCTATCTGATTGGAATGAGATTCCAAATGACTATACTAGTTATTTGGAAAGCAATATCCCATATACAGATGACTCAGATATTCTAGTTCTGGCTGAATGTCCTAGGGAATGTTTACATATTTCCCGAAATGGACATGTTTAAAGATGTTTGTGATAGCTTTGTTTAGAGTGGTGCAGAAAGTGCAAAGTTGGAGGCAACATGAATACCCATTACTGGGACGGTGGAAAGAAACAATGCACTCTAATGTGGTTGATATGGATAATGAAAACACTATACTTTCTCTCTCTCTCTAATATATATAGACAGATATATGCATGTATATTGTAATGCATATACACACATACACATATTCATACACATATGTACATACATACTATATACACTTACTTAGACAACACAATGTGTAAGAATATATTTACATGAAAAGATATGGATTAAACACATTAAAATGGTTTCCTACATGTTAGATAAGTGTAGATAGATGGTGGTCATAAGAGAAAATGAATGAATCAATATGTTTAACTGAAGGAGGCCCCCGAATGCATCAATGAACATAATATACAATGAGCAACTGAAGATTATGATTAACTTAACCCTCTGCATCTGAGGTCTTTCTTCAAATACAGTATAGTCATGTATTGCTTAATTATGGGGTTATACTCTGAGAAATGAATAATTAGGTGATTGTGTTTTGTGAACATCATAGAGTGTATAAACTTAGAAAGTGTGGCCTACTAAAGACCTAGGCTATATGGTATAGCATATTGCTCCTAGGCTACAAATCTGTTCAGTATGTTCAGTATGTTAGTACTAAATATTGCAGACAATATAACACAACTGTATTTGTATATCTAAACATAGAAATGATACAATAAAAATATGGTATTATAATCTTATAGGACCATGGTCCCATATGTGGTCTGTCATTGTCTGAAACATTGCTGTGTGGTGCATGACTGTAAATATATACCTTAAATTCACTGAGCCCTTCTGTATGCAAAGCACTAATATATATAATTTATTGATGACACCAGCAATTAAATATTTTTTGGCTTATAATCCAGTGAAAGAGACACATATACAGGAGTATATTAGAGAGTAAATTGTGATAGATGTACAAGGAACAGACTTATGTAAGTAAAGAAATGGAAACATTAATTCTAAGCTAGTCATTGGGAAGATTTATGGAAGAGTTATAATTTGAGCTGCACCTTCAAGACTAGAATAATCTTGAAAGGTTGGGGGAGAAGAGAATGAGCAAAATGTCAGATATAATTTAGTGTATGCTGTTTTGAGAAGTGAAAATACAGTAGGGGCTACCAGCTGGATAAAAGAAGAAATTAGAACTAAATTGAACAAGAAGTAGCAGGTGAGCAGCGAAAATAAGGTTAGCATCTTATTTGAGATATTGGTGTATGTTGGCCAAGAGCATCATCTGTGGTCATTTTCTATGACTGCCATTCCGAAGGACTTGGATAGATTGAGAGATATCTATTCAAGGGAATGGGGGGTCAGAAAAGTGCAGAACAAAGACAGTAATCTAGTACTAAGAATCAAGTTCAAAGTGACAGGCAATGCAAAAAGGAAAATCAAAGCAAAAACTGAGAACCAGGTGTGGGATAAGAGGTGTTGTAAGCATAGATTTTGTTAAGAATGTGGCAAAATAGAGAGAGACTTAGAGACTCACATAGTAGATATGTAAATAATATTAGCACATGACTTAATACCTGAAAGAGACAGGCATATTTGAAGCCACTGCGTTTAAGAATGAAAAAAGAGGCAGAGGTGGAGAACATTACTGTGACAATGAGGGGAAAGGTGGTCACAAAACCCTAGGCTGGTGGTCATTAGACCAGATCTACCATTGTTTGAATATTATTAATCAAGTTATAACCATACAAATTACAGCTTGCCAGTCTTTAGAGACAAACCTGTGGTTGTAAATTCTCCACCGGACAAACTACCAACTGGCAAAGATTTATAAGATAGATTTTCTATAAATCAACAATTATTAAATATCAGAAAATTATATTGAAAACTCAATGTCTTATAGCACTAATATCAACAGAGACTGAAATCATTTAGGCAAGAAAAAATGTTCATTTTAATGTAATTCAATGTAGAAAATTAATAAAGCCCCAGATGTTTCAATATGTTTAAATTGCTTTTTATTAATCTCACTGAAGAAAGAAAAATTTAACTGGAAAAGATCATATGTATGGGTTAAAATTTGAGTTTCCATCTATTTAACAGAAGAGTGAAATCTGTGAAAAGATGTATTTTTATGTGTTTCAGTGCCAAAGAGTTTTGATTTACTGAAAACATCACTATTCAGGAAAATTTTTACAACTAAAAGTTTTCCAAAGAAAGAGACTTCTTTGCAAAAATAGAATGCAAAAGTAACAAATTAAGGGAGAGTTAACATTTTCTATACATAGATATGTACAGTGGTTTTTATTTCAAAGTCATCTTTAACAACAGTATTTGTAAGGTTTATGTGAAGAGTTTCATAAATTAGCTGTTTATATACCTACCTCCCTACCTAATAATCATCTGCAAATTTAACAACAGTGAAAACTCAATAGGAGTTATTAATTTGCTGAGAAATGGTTACTCTTAATTGTAAGAAATATAATTTAATAAAATCAGTTTATGTGTGACATTCTAATTTATCTCAATTCCTTGATTTTTTCATTTTTATTTTTAAAATTTATTTTATATGTAATAAATTCCAAATGAGTTAGGTTTTGGATTTTTTATTTCCTTTGAACATAGTAAGTGTATATTTGCCCAAGAAAAGTAATCTGCCTTTTATGCAATTTATTTAATCTTAATTCAGAAGTATGAAATATATATTATATGTAACATTAAAAGTGTTAAATATATATTTATCAGACTATATCTGAATAAATAAACATTTACTAGATTCTATCTTGTATCAATTTAATGCAAAGTATCAATCTGGGTTATCCAGAATATTTGAGTTATACACTTACAAATACATTTAGGTGGATAAGTATTTAAATAATGGAAACAAATGAATACATATGAATAAATACTTAATGTTATATATGTTTAATGTATTTGTTCATATATCTATTTGTATTCATGTATGTATGCATAAATTATGCATATTTATGTATTGTATATTTCACATATCTATTTATATTTATGCACACGTGCACATGTACTCATGTGTCTATAACTAGAAAAAACTATGATTTATCACAGTTAGTCATTTGTATATTTGTATAAAAATGTATGCATATATTTCTAAATATTGTATTTGTTGTGTGTAGTGTATCTCTCTCTAGATAGATTGATAAAAATAGATGTATGTAAATAGTATACATCCATTGAGAGACAGCTTATAATTATCTGAGTAGATATTTTTCATTACAATCATATCTATTATGAATTATAGTCATTTTTAGAGTTACATAATTATGAGACATATTGTAATACTTTTGTTAGAATAAATAATTAAATTGTCATTTGGTATTTAACAGGATCCAATACTATATAGCTCTATATTATAAGAAATATACTTTCATGTTCATTTTTAATAGTAAAATTAATATTATTTCTTTTTAATATAGTATTCCTTGTGGCCTATATTATACTGTAAAAGAAGCCTTGCAGTACAGATGAAATCTCATGTTTTTCTATATTTTAATTGATATTTCACGTTTGTGTGTCCTGCATTAAAAATTTGATCCTAGAAAAAAAAAAAAAAAACGTGTTTGACTGTCATGCAGCCATTATAGAAAACATTAACCAGAATTTTAAAAATTCTGCCCCTATTTGTATTTCATATTTGGAAACATTTATATCATTTGAGTTCAGCATTTTGCCCCAGAAATGTGTATGTTTATGCAGTGTGTGTGCAATGTGTCTGTGTGCTATGTGTGTATGTTTGTGAGTCTATACTGTGTGTCTATGAGATATGTGTATGTGTCTGTAAGTGTGTTTATATTACTTATTGATCATGTAACAAGTCAGTAACACTAGACTTTCTTATATGATATGCAATTTCAAAATTTAAATATTTTATGCTCCTAGATATTTTAATGTTTTGTAAAATATTACTATTATATGTTAATATACTATAAACATTTTGTAGAATATTGGGTTATAGAAGAAATTATATGTTGATGACTAAAGTGAACTAATTGGATAATAAAATCTGAGAGTTTGAAAGACACTAAATAACTCATTTCTTATTTTATTTTATTAATCTCCAAATCCTCCTCTGAGTGTTTATTCAGACTCTTCTCAAAGATTGCTATTGAGAGAAACCACATAATTTTCCAAGGCAGTTTATACATTCATTCTTTTGCTGTGTTCCAAATGCTACTTTATTTTGACTGTAAATTTACATCTGAGATTATTTCAAACAATAGTAATCATGCATAATTTTTGTTTTCTCTCTTTCACATGCTAATCTTGTAGTTATTTGCAGAGAGTTGGCCATAGATCCTCAGACCCTTATAATCAATGCCTAAACACCATATCTCATAAACAACAAATGTGATTCTACGGAATTTGTCCTGTCTTTTTTTCTGATTATCTCCCTTTATTTGCAGAATTGCTGATGGGTGTTGTCAATAAATTAACAGAAGCTCCAGAAGTAGAAAAGTGATGTCAGCCAGATGGCAGAATAGGAAGTCCCCAGTTCACCCATGAGAATGCTTTCGTGAGAATCCCAGAACCTAGAGGAGAGATTTCAGCATTCCAGTAGAGCATAAAAAACAAAAGAAACCACCTTAATAACGATAAGATAAACAGTTTCACTTTGTCACTTTGTCTGCAGTACTCCTCCCAGCACAACATAACATCAAGAAAAATCCTCTTGGCCCACAATTTACCTGGTGGAAAAGAGACAGTGAGTCACACATCCAACTTTCATAGCATTTGTGGGCACTGCCTGAGAGGCCCACTTCTCTCATGCCTCATATGGGAATTGGCACAAGTAGACCATGTGGGGAAAAAGGGAATAGAAAAAGGCGCAGGGGCTCACAATGGCCCGTGTGTATTATCTTGATGATTGCCCCACATTGTGGCCTCACTTTACCAGGGACTTTGATGGTGGCCTTGACAGAATGAGATGACCCCCAAAACACATCTGCCCAACTAGGGAGTGCAACTTGTGGCCCTGTCTCAACAAGAAACCCAGCCATCAGCTCTATGTGACCAGACAGCCAGAGCAGTAGCCTCTTCCAATGGCAGAAAATAGCTAGCAGCCTTGCCCAGCCCAACTTAGTAGTCCAGCCTGCAGCTTCAACAGGACAATGAGCTCAGTCAGCATCCTTTATTACTGGCAGAGCCCAGTCAACAGTACTACTCCACTTTGAACCCAAGTCATGAGCCCTGCCCAAGCCAAAGCACAGCTAATGAATTCACTCAGCTAGAGCCCAGTCAGAGGTTCTCTCTGATCATGGAGCCCAGCCACTAGCTCCGCTCTCTGCAACTGTGAAATCTTGCAAGCAGTTCCACCCAATTTCAGAGTCTAGCTGGTAGCCTTCACGGATCATAGACACTAGCCAGTAGTCTCACCAGCAACCCTTCCTACCCTTGGTGCTACCAGATGGCTTACCCAAAATCCCAGCCTGGGCTGACTAGTGGAGATTTTTGTCTGCTAACACTAAACTGTAAAGAAAGACTGAAGAAATGACCCCTTCCTCAAATACACGAACATCAATGTAAGAATACAAGGACCTTGAAGAATCAATAATTATGACACCACTGAAGGAAATTAATACAACACCAGTAAGTGACTCAAAAGAAATAAAGATATTTGAATTGTCTAAAAAAGAATTCAAAATAATTCTTATAGAAGCTTAGATAACTACAAGAGGATATAGAGAAGCAACTAAATGAAATGAGGAAAACAATGCAAAATTAAAATTTCCACAAAGAAATAGAAACAATTTTTAAAAAGAGAGAACTTAATTATAGAGCTGAAGGATACAATGGCTGAACTGAAAATTTGATAGACAGCTTCAATGGCAGACTCAATAAAGCAGAATTAGTAAACTCAAACAAAAGTAATATAAAATGATCCAGTCAAATGGGAAAAGAAGAATGAAGAAAGCCTATGGGACTTATGGGACCCTAAAAGGAGAGATAATATGTATATACAATAAATGTTTCATAAAGACAAGAGACTAACAAAATGCATAAAGTCTATTTAAAGAAATAATGGCTGAGGCTGGGTGCAGTTGCTCACACCTGTAATCCCAGCACTTTGGGAGGCCAAGCAGGGCAGATCACTTGAGGTCAGGAGTTCGAGACCAGCCTGGCTAACATGGTGAAACCCCGTCTCTACAAAAAATAAAAAACTTAGACAAAACTTAGCCTGGCTTGGTGTCACATGCTTGCAATCCCAGCTACTTGGGAGGTTGAGGAAGGAGAATCACTTGAACCCAGGAGATGGAGGTTGCAGTGAGCCAAGATTGCACCATTGCACTCCAGCCTGGGCAACAGGGAAAGACCCTGTCTCAAGAAAAGGAAGTAGTGGTTGAAAACTTCCCAAATATGTGTAGGAAAATAAGCATACAAATACAAGAAGCCACAGTCACCAAATGGGGTCAACCTAAAGAAGCCTACACTGAGATTCATTATAATCAAACAGTCAAACATCAAAGACAAATAAAGGATTTTGAAAGCAGCCAGAGAAGAGCAACTCACCACATACTAGGGAATTTTTGTATAACTATCAGCAGATTTTTCAGTGTAAATCTTGAAGGACAAGAGGGAGTGGGATTATATATTAGAAGTATTGGAAGAAAAAAAGCTGTCAACCAAGAATACCTGAAAAACTTGTCCTTCAAAAATGAAGGACAAATGAAGACTTTCCTAGATAAACAAAAATGAGAGAGTTTTTCACTACTATACCTGCTTTACAAGAAATACTAGGGAATTCTTCAATTTTAGTTATTTATTTATTTATTTATTTATTTATTTTTATTTTTTTTTATTTATTTATTTAATTTTTTTTATTATACTCTAAGTTTTAGGGTACATGTGCACATTGTGCAGGTTAGTTACATATTTCAAAATAATAAGAGCTATCTATGACAAACCCACAGCCAATATCATACTGAATGGGCAAAAACTGGAAGCATTCCCTTTGAAAACTGGCACACGACAGGGATGCCCTCTCTCACCGCTCCTATTCAACATAGTGTTGGAAGTTCTGGCCAGGGCAATCAGGCAGGAGAAGGAAATAAAGGGTATTCAATTAGGAAAAGAGGAAGTCAAATTGTCCCTGTTTGCAGGCGACATGATTGTTTATCTAGAAAACCCCATCGTCTCAGCCCAAAATCTCCTTAAGCTGATAAGCAACTTCAGCAAAGTCTCAGGATACAAAATCAATGTACAAAAATTCTTCAATTTTAAATGAATAAATTTTAAAGAGTAGCACCATAGCATATGAAAATATAAATATTACTGGATAAACAGGCATAGAATATTGTAACACTTTAATGGTGGTGTGTAAATTAATTTTAACTCTAGTATAAAAATTAAAAGACAAAAGTATTAAAAATAACCATAACCACAAATCTTAATGGATGCAAATTAAAAAAAAGAAATAAACCGTGACACCAAGTGTGGGGAGGGATGAAAAGTATAGAGCTTTTGTATGTAATCAAAGTTGTTTCAGCTTAAAATAGACTATTATAGTGATGGCAAGTCTGATACAAGCCTCATAGCAACCACGTACACACACAAAATTCTGTTAATACATGCACAAAAGCTGAAGAGAGAAGAATTGGGCCAGCATGATTGTTCGTACCTGTAATCCTAGTGCTTTGGGACACTGAAGCAGAAGGATTTCTTGAGGCCAGGAGTTCAAGACCAGCCTAGGCAACTTAACAAACCCCTGTCTCTTCAAAATAAAAATAAAAATTAAAAATAAAGAGAGAGAGGAATAAAAACATATCACTATAAAAAATCATTAAACCACAAAGACAGCAAGAGAAGAGAGAAGAGGAAAATTATAAATCAGACAGAAACCAATGACTAATAGCGATAGTAAGTTCTTTCCTATCAATAATTACTTTAAATATAAGTAATTTAATCTCAGTAGTCAAAGATATACAGTGCTTGTACTTAAATGAATTTTTAAAAAGACCCAATAATATGCTGCATCTAAGAGACTGATCTTATATTTGAGGATGAAAATAGGTTGAAAGTGAAGAGATTGAAATATATAGTTCACAGAAATAGTAATCAAAAAGGTGCAGGAGCAGAATTGATACCTAATAAAATACATTTATATCAGGCAAAATAGATTGTAAGTTAAAGATTGTCATGAGACAAAGATGGTCAGTATAACACAGTAAAAGTGTCAATTCAGCAAGAAGAAACAAGAATTATAAATATAAATGCACCAAAAACCAAAGCACTTCAGGATGTAAAGCAAAGATTGACATCTGAAGGATGAAATAGGCAGCAATACAATAACGGAAAGAAGCTGAGATACCTCTGTCTAAATAATGCATACATCATTTGCAGAGAAAAAGTTACTGTGAATCTACTCTGCCTATGCCTTATAAATGGAAAAACAAAGCCTGAATGATAGTGTATCTGTTTGCAGCATGTTTTACTGAACAATTTAAGCCGACTGTTGGGATCTACTGCTCAGAAAAATATATTTCTTTCAAAATATTACTGCTTATTGACAATGTACAATGTCATCCAAGACCTCTGATGAAGAGGTACAGGAGATAAATGTGCTTTTCATGGCAACTAAGACAACACCCATTGAGTAGCCCATGGATCAAGGAGTAATTTTGAGCTTCAAGCATTACTTTTATTAAAGAAATACCTTTCATAAAGCTATATTGCCTAATAGATGTTATTTATCTGATGGATTTATTTATCTTAGTGAGTTACATGTACTTAAAATTAGATAATGCTGGATAACATAGTAGACATCTAATTTGTATTCGATCTGATAGACTAGGACAAGTGAAGATATTGACTTTTTTACTATTATGTTGAATAATTACATATATGTATGTAAAATCTCATAACTCTGTGAAATAGGTATGCTTATTACGATCATTTAATGGATGATGAAGTTGATGATTGAAACATTAGCTGTTATCAAGTGACTTCACTAGAAGGAACAATATCCAGTTTTTTTCTCAAGGATACGAGTTATATTCCGCCTGCATTTACAATTATTTTTAAATTAAATTTTACGATAACAATTGTTATGATAAAATTTTACTCATATTTCTCTATTTTGCATTATAAGACTCATAAATTTTGAATAATTCCAATAGACTTAAAGCATGATTTTCCCCCCAGTACCTTAAATGCTGACAACCTACTTACTATTACAACTAAAGCTACTTTTGTGTTACATGAGATTGATTTGCAAATTAACTTGTTTGCAACAGTGGAGAAAATGATTAAAACACGATCGAGATAAAAGTGAGAGCTACTGACCTACCAACATGTGATCGTATGATACTGCTTTCTTGAAACTATACAGTCTTCAAATATACAGAATGATTCCATAAGCATGAAGAAAATAATTTGTGTGTTAGTATATATTCACATTAAATCCCTAAACAGCTTTCATCAGCGTTAAGTTTTTGGCCTTTTATCTTAATCACAACCTAAAAATTCAAATAACACTCAGAATTCTACAATAATATTAGTTGCCTTCCTAATAATCTTTAATGTATAAAAATCTGCTTCATAGGCTGGGCACAGTGGCTCATGCCTGTTATCCCAGCACTTTGGGAGGCCGAGGCAGGTGGATCACCTGAGGTCAGGAGTTTGAGTCCAGCCTGACCAGTATGGTGTAACTCCATCTCTAATAAAAATATAAAAATTAGCTGGGCATGGTGGTGTGTACCTGCAATCCCAGCTACTTGGGAGCCTGAGACAGGAGAATTGCTTGAACCTGGGAGGCAGAGGTTGCAGTAAGCCAAGATCACACCACTGCACTCCAGCCTGGGTGACAGAGCGTGACTCTGTCTCAACAACAACAACAACAACAAACTCTGCTTCTTAGTTTGTTAAGAATCTTCATAAAATAATCTCAGAGTTATCATGGTTTTATTGGTTTCTTATCTTCATGATTTCATAAACTATGGTGACTAGAACACTGAACAGAAGTATACTAGTTTAACAAGCCACAATTACAAATGACTGAAAGAAAACACTATTTGCTAATGCTATAGAGCTGAAAATAACTTCTGATACACAGTAGTTTATTTCCTAGATTCACTTTCTCTTTAGAGACATTGCAGAATCTAGTTCTTCTAAAAAATTATTATATTTTAGAATTTATTCTGAGGACAGCTTAGTAACTACACATAATGACTAAATAACAGACCACTTTGTCATTATCGTTTCAATTTAAAAGCCGATGTTCCCCCATTTATCTAAATAACAAGCCCAATATTAAGACAAATTCTGCCTCAGTTAAATGTATGATGACTTCAACTAAAGTATTTTTAATGATTCGTGTGTAGTAACTCTCTCCAGTGAATGTCAACTCCATTTGTAAAAAACGTTTGTATAATGAGAAGAACAATATTTTATGAAAATATTTAAAGAGTACCTTTATGAAAAAATGCCTGTGAAACATCTGAAATTACTCTCTATTTGAATTATATATTTATCTATTGATATTAAAATGTGATGCAGTACACAATTACTGATAATTTTAAAGTATGATGACGTAATTTGGAATTCTGCATTTTAATATTATACATATATTTTATTAATTATTATCGATTCACATTAGCTGCACATTAAAATGGGCAACAACATAGTTTTTCATTCTTTAAAAAAAGGTCCTGGCCGGGCGCGGTGGCTCACGCCTGTAATCCCAGCACTTTAGGAGGCCGAGACGGGGGGATCACGAGGTTAGGAGATCAAGACCATCCTGAAACCCCCATCTCTACTAAAAATACAAAAACATTAGCCGGGCGTGGTGGCGGGCGCCTATGGTCCCAGCTACTCGGGAGGCTGAGGCAGCAGAATGGCTTGAGCCCGGGAGGCGGAGCTTGCAGTGAGCCGAGATTGTGCCACTGCACTCCAGCCTGGGAGACAGAGCAAGACTCTGTCTCAAAAAAAAAAAAAAAAAAAAGAAAAGAAAAAACAAACAAAAAAAGAGGTTCTTCTGTTTTAAGCATATTAGAATTACCTAGGATCCTTTAAAATGTATAGTCATGTGCCACATAATGATGTTTAGGTCAAGAACAAACCATATATACGATGGTTGTCCCATAAGGCTAATACCATATTTTTATTGTACTTTTTCTATGTTTCTGTGTTTCTATAGTATTCAATACGGTAACACGCTGTACAGATTTGTAGCCTAGGAGCAAAAGGCTATACCGTATCACTTTGTTTTGTAATGGGTAATATTGTCTAGATTTTTGAAAGTAAACTCATGGACAAAGACAAAATTACCTAATGATGCATTTATCAGAGTGTATTCTCATTGTTAAGCAATGCATGACTACAGTTATGATCAGGCTTCCACCCAGTTAACTTGAATTAATATCTCAAGGGAAGTTGAACTAGATCACATTAACTTTATTCACCTTAATGATCTTAGTGGTTTTGAGAGTGTCTTTCCCCAAAAAACATGTTTTCTACAATAGCATGAAATTTAAATGAATAAATGTAGTTTATTTACATTTTATTTCCATAATGAACACTTTTTCCATACCTTCTGTGTGATGTCATTTGATATAAAAGTGTTAATATATTTATAAAAGGATTTAATGCCAAAAACACAATATATTATTCAAGTTCTAAATTGCTAGGTGAACAGGAAAGCTTCACACATCTGTGACAACCAGATCAATTGTTTTAGACCAATAATAAAAGGTTTATTATTAATTAAAAGAATGTTACTAATAAATTAGAAACAAATGGAATAATTACTTGCTGACTACTTCTAAAACTATTGAGGCAGTTAAGCAGGTTCTTTAATGAATAACATCTTTTAGAGTTTATGAAATAAAGCCCTTTGGAATATTTCATAAAATTTGAACCAAATAACTTATTACTATCTGAATTCATGCACTCTTCAGTATTTACCTTGGTTTTTTCAAGATCTTCCCTAAGAAGTCAATAATCCATACATGATTTTAGTATTCCACTAAAAATGCATATTCTTCCTTAGATCTTCTACCAAAATGAATTGAAAATAAAAATTTTAATTGATAAACAAAACAATTAAATTTGTAGAAGAAAATAAAGTACCTATAACTTTGGTTTTAGAAGGAACTTTCTCAGCATGATTATAAAAGCAACATAATTCATAGTTTTGCAGTAATGTCCACATCACAGCCCATTGCTTAATTGCTCGTTTTCCTTGGGTAGATACAAGGTAGCATGGTAGATAAGAGTGAGATGTATATTCAGACTCTTTGCTCATGTCCTGTTTGTGCCATTTACCCAGCTTGAGACCCTGGATATGTGTCTCAGTCTTTATTGTATCTAATGTAAGAGACGACAAAAAGATTTATGCCTAATGTAGCTCTGAGGAAGGAAAATATTGCATGTCTATGAGACCTTAAGTGCTCTTTAAATGTTACCATTGTTATCTAATACCTTGAAGATTTGCTGGATTTATCCATAAAGATAACCCTCTGAATCCTGCTCTCAGTATTTCTAGATTTCAACTATGGATGGTGCCATCCACTGAATAAATTAAATTTTATATTGTATTCAGTTTTCTTACATGAAACATTTCACATTCAATTTCATTATTTGAAATGTAATATTGAAGTATTTTATTAGTGGCCTATCAGAGAATTTGAGAATATCAGTTCATGGAGAATGAATCATCGGAACATTTTGTGGTAAATTAATATATTGTTGCTTTCAACACTTTGTCCTTTTTCATTGTATTTAGATAATTAATCAATGAGACAGAGCAGAGTGTGAATCATGTGGCATTTGTTTACACATGGTAAGTTATTACAGTCAGAAGGCTAAAAGACAAATGCTATCAAATGAGTGAAGTGTGAATTAGGAAAAGTATGCCTGGGCTGGCATGTCTAAATGCATTATGAAATGTGACTCATAAAGTCAAATTAACATATGTAGAAATGCTTTAAAATAATAAGCTGAATTAATGTCAGCAAAACCCATAGCTAAGGATTTTGTGACTTGAATGGTGTTAATTAAAATACAAGTTCTGAATGCCTGTTGAAAACACACATATTTGAGATTATTATTCATTTGTCTTTGTTGGAATTTATAACTCATTTGGCTCTTATGTGTGATTTGTTAACATAGGTAGTAAAATAATGTGTCAAATAGTGAAATCTAACAAATAGAGAGTTCACAATACAGCTGTTTTTATGGCTTCAGATTGCATGGTTTGTTTACTTTTTCTATAAGCTTCCTTAAAAATTCTCATACCAATACCCATCTGGAGTTAATATTATTCCATTGTATACTAATTATCCTCAGGGATTTAGTTATTAATAGCTCTCTGTCCTACTGTACATTAGTACTACACATACGATTTGTACATATGTACTATTGCTATGTGTATAATTTGTAGAAAATTTTTTTTTATTCATTCTTTTCTAGGATCTAGAAATGTCTTCAGCAACTATATCTTCATTTAACTCGACTCTCATAACTATCATTAAAAATGCATAAAAAGAAGTTTAGGCAATATTTTCTGTTATTCTTTCTGCTTTCAGAATTTTGTTAAGAAAAATATAAACTATATTTCTCAAGAAAATTAACTCTATCTTCATGACTTCAGAAGTAATAAACACATATACAAATATACACACAAATCTTTCTCATTAACCTTCACAGTATATAAGAATCAGACCACTGCCCGATACCTTCCATTACAGAGTACCAAATACCCTTTACTCAGCTTCCCCTTACATTAACATGCAATTTGCCTTCCCTATGCCCCCTTGTCTGCTTGATGTTTGAAAAAAATTACATATAGCAAATTTCACTTTTTGTTTTGTACAGTTCTATATCTTTTGACAAATGCAGAGTCATGTGTCCAACACCACAGTTCCACACAGAACAATTTCTATGCACAAAAAAGAAGAAATTCTTACTCCTGTAACCCTTTAATAGATAAACCCTCTCCCCAACCCTAAGAAATCGATCTATTTTCCTGCCCACAATTTGTCTCTTCCAAAGGGTCATATAAATAGAATCATGCCATAGGTAGCCCTGGGATTTGACTTCTTTCATTTAGCAAAACATATAAATTTTGTCTATGTTTTCGTCTGCGTCAATAGTTTATTCATTTATTAAAGGATGTAAGTGGGCTGCTCCCAATTTGGGTGTTTATGGGTTAACTGCTAAAAACATTCGCATACAGTTTTTGTGTGAATATATGTGTTCTTTTCTCTAGCGAGGATACCTATAAGCAGAGTCACTGAGTCGCAGGTAGGTACTCGTGTATATTTAACTTTACAGGAGTCCACCAGGCCGGGCGCGGTGGCTCATGCCTGTAATCCCAGCACTTTGGGAGGTCGAGGCGGGCAGATCACGAGGTCAGGAGATCGAGAGTTTCCTGGCTAACACGGTGAAACCCCGTCTCTACTAAAAATACAAAAATTAGCTGAGTGTGGTGGCGGGTGCCTGTAGTCCCAGCTACTTGGGAGGCTGAGGCAGGGGAATTGCCTGAACCGGGGAGGCAGAGCTTGCGGTGAGCCAAGATCGCGCCACTGCACTCCAGCCTGGGCAACAGAGCGAGACTCTGTCTCAAAAAAAAAAAAAAAAAAAAAAGCCAGGCGCACTGGCTTACACTTTGGGAGGCCGAGGCAGGCGGATCACCTGAGGTCGGGAGTTTGAGACCGGCCTGGCCAACACGGCGAAACCCCCTCTCTACTAAAAATACAAAAATTATCCAGACGTGATGGCACGCTTGTAATCCCAGCTACTTGGGAGGCTGAGGTGGGAGAATCGCTTGGACCTGGAAGGCGGAGGTTGCAGTGAGCCGAGATCACGCCACTGCATTCCAGCCTAGGTGACAGGGCGATACTCCCCCTCAAAAAAAAAAAAAAAAAAAAAAAATGTTTTCCAATGTGTCTGTAGCATCATCTTCCGTGGACAGCAGCAATATATGAGAGTTCCATTTGCTGTGCATTCTCTCCAGTATTTGCTATTGTCAATTTTCTTTAATTTTAGACATTGTAACAGGTGTACCATGGTATCTTATTGTAACTTAAAATTGTAATTTTGTAATAATTATATTGAATATACTTTCATATATTTATTTGCCATCTGTTTATATATTTTTAGTGATGTTTCTGTCTAGATCTGGTGGCTAGGTTTTATTTTTTGTATGTATCTTGTTGAGCTTGGTAATTATTTATGTTTCCAGAGTGCAAGTTCTTTATCACAAATGGATTAGACAAATATTTTCTCTCTGTCTTTGACTTTCCTTTTTATTCTCCCAATATTGTCTTTCATACAAATTATTATTTTTAAATTTAAATAAATTTAACATATAGTTTTTTATGAATCATACTTCTGGAAATGCATCTCAATATTTTTGTTAGAATATTTAAGTTTGTTGGCTTGCTATGGGAACGGTGCTGGTGATGGGTGCACAGCTTCCGTTGTTTTGATTAAACCTTAGCCTTAGGCAGGCAATCTGTCCTGTTTCTCAAGAGATATGTCCTTCTCTATTCACCCCCACTGGTTGTGGAGCTCAGGACATAACCCTGACCCTGCCCTAAGAGTAAACTTTTATTGTCCCTGTAGTGTTCCCATCTCCCCAGCTATAATGAGTTCCCATCAATATCCTAAAGGCAGGAATACTTACTGCCTCCCTTCTTTTGCAAGTCTTTTGTTCCACAATGGAGACGAGGGAAATAGATTCAGGTGAAGCCTTTTGTTTTCTGCCACAGGCACAGCTGTTAGAGACCCCATGCCAACATCATGGGCACTTCTTAGGGCTTTTCCCATTATTTTCTTTGGGCCTGCAGTGGAGTTCCTAGACAAAGTGCCAGTCTGTAGCATACTTGCATTTCACCAAATGTCTGCTCTTCCAGTAAACTCTTGTTAGCTACTTCAGTTAGGTTGTATATACCCCAAATGAATGCTTGCTCATATTCCCTTTCTTCCTGCAGATCAATTTTTTTGCTTTAGATTTTGCGCCATGTGGCCATTTAGGGGTTATTCAATCCTAGGTCTTCAACAGATTTGAAAAACGTTATGAATTTAAAGTTGGACCACTTCTGTTGATAAAGGCAGGTATGGACCACCCGTCCACTCCTCCTCTCCCGCTTATGAGGATGAGCCTCAGGTGTGAAACATTTCCCAACTGGGAGATATAGAGCCTTCGCAGTCCATGCTGGGCTTTTTGCCTTCTATGGGAATAACTTTACCTGTTTCGGGCTCAGTGTGGTGTAGTTTGTTTTGCTTAGGTGTGAGTTCAGTGGCCCTCAGGCCCACACTCAGCTTTCCATATTTCATGCCTTACAGGGGAGGAGTTGAGGTCCTCCCGTTGCTGCAAAAAGTGAGATAATGCAGTCACACAACTTTTGACTGCTGGGGAAGAATCCTACTGCATGACTGTGGGGGTCCGACCTAATGCAAGAGGCTGAATTTCATGCAAAGTCTTTCTCCCCTCTTGCTGTAAGTAGGAAATGTAACTCTTGGGTGTTCTGTCTGTTCTCTAATTGTGGGTTGGTATCTTCCCTGGGTGGTGCTTATCTGCCTTTGCACCTGCTTGTAGTCATGTAATATTCTATCCAGCAGCAGAACCTGACTACCCAGAGAACAGGGAAACAGCATCTCTTTTATTGGAAGCTGGGAGCAACACTTTCCAGCTTTTTATACCCTGGGGCCACAATCCTGAACTTCAGTCATGATATTAAGGGTGGATTTTTTTTTTTCTAAAATGCAGTACCTTGAAGTTTTCTTTATTATAAAATTGTGATCATTCTTTAAAGTTTTTTACATAATGCCAATTAATGTGGAATTCAGCTTCAGTTCTGAAAAGGCATTGAATGGAACCCAGGATTTTACTTTCTATAATAACAAAATTGTCATTTTTGATGATTTTTCAAAACTAAAAATTTAAGTGTAATATTATGGACGTCAGCTATATTGTCTCAATTGTATAAATAGGTTAAGTTGTAAAGAAGTATTTCACTAACACAATAATGATATCGCATTTTTCAACTCCGCTAAGTAAAACAGAAAAATGTTTTAGTCTGCCATCAATCTTTGATTCTATTCTTCGTGCTAGTCCCTGGGAACAGTAAAGATGAAGGAAAAACTATCTTCATCCTTGCCTTTGAAGTTGTGTTCTGAAACTAAAATTTCTTCATCAGTGTACAGTGTACAGAACATTTCTTAGCACGAAGTTGGCTCCCTCAGTGGTTAAATTAATGGTACCTTACCCACAGGCACATTTACCCAAATATGAAAGGTTAAGTCTACATAATGCTAGTGGGGTTGGCTGGAGCTGGGGAGAGATTTACCCTGAACGCGGAGCTCCTGAGACTGCTGCAGGCAGAACGCTCACCTCAACTTAGTAAAGCAGCATAGTGGGAGAAAGTAGACCATAATCAATTAGGAAACTAAAGCATGAAGGGAGAAAAATGGTGTTCTAAGTTGGATTGGTGGTATAAAATCAAGTTGTAAAGAGAAAAAATGAATAATAAATGTATAATCCAGGAGAAATAACATTGAAGGGAATAGGCAGTGTAAAAGAGTATAAGTAGTGGTTCCATTCCAGAGCTGTTTGTCTTTCAAGTCTCCTTTGCTCCTTGTCTTATGTGGTGTCAGTTACATGTGACACATTCAAGACTAATAGTTTATTAATGAAAAGCACCAAACTAGGCATGCAATCTCTGAAGATGGCCAGTCTCTCTCTACCTCCCTTAACTTCAAGAGATAAGCTCAGATAAATTAAGATTGATCTCAACATATTATTTTAATTATTAACTTTGGGAAGTATTTTTTTCAGAATTCTGAATATAATTAGGCTGCCATACACTCATATCTTTTTCTAATATTTCTTATTGATTAAAAATATCTTTGGGATTTTGGAAACCTATTACTTGAAAATATTAAATAAGAATTCATCTTGATAATACAACATTAATTTTATTCTGAATTTAAATAATTTATACTTTTGATATTAAGCCAAAAGTAAAATGCAAATGATAACTTTTATTTATTTTTAAGGCACTAAAAGCAGTGACATAAAAATGTTCAAATTTTGACCCATACCTTTCATAAAAATACAATAAATTCAGTAACCATTAAATCCTCAATACTGATTCAAAATTTAATTAAGTAAAGAGTTTGCTCATTCATTGTTGTATGTTCCTAAAACTTCTAAAAAATTATAGCACAAAAATACCCTAAAGACTTGTCTGCATTTTTCAATATGCATGTAGGTAAACAAGGGTAATCAATGGCCAGTGATAAAGGAAGGAAATTTATATTAAAATAGAAATGAATGAACTATGCCATTAAACTACTATATAATGAATTGGATTTAATAACACTTAGAAAGCTATGTACACCAATCTGGAAATAATTCATATTTTAATATTGATGGCAAACATTTTTGCAGTAAAATATGTATGAAAAAGGGAAAGAGCCTATTAAAGATGTATGTAAAAAGAAAAAGTTGATGACATTTGGAAAATGGCATGTCAACTATGATTTTCTTAGAAATCTCTTCCTTTTAAACCTGAAAATCAGAATGAGAAAATCAGATTACAAGAAAAATTACTATTTTCTGACACATTGTTTTAAATTGTTCTGGTGACTTTAAAAAGGGAAAACTAGGTTGGGTATATATAGCATTTTAAATAATGAATGAAAGAACCAAAAGAACATGTACAATAAAGGATTGAAAAACCAACATAAATTATAAATTACTTCTCTGGACATTATTGAAAAAATACTCCTTCAAGGCTAATGGCTATACTAGTTCTAATAATACACAAAGAATCATTACAATATGCCTTCTTTTTCTGGATATATTATTTAGTGAGGTAAGTTCTTATGAGCATTAAAACTTAAAGTCATTAACAGACAACAGGATTCTGAGGACATAGTGAAAATGTCTCAATGGTAAAAAACAAGGATTCTTAAAATTTTGTATATATCTCCTCCCTAAATTGTGTATACCTCCTTATTTCCCTGAAACTACATTCTAAGGATTGAAAAATTACATATGTTTTCTTCATTATTGAGTTAATTTTGGAATTATTTTGCATACAATTTATCAAAGTAATCTAAATATATTATACATGTTGATGAGTAATTATGAAGTACAAAAAGTAAATTCTAAGTGAAGAGATATTTCTTCATGAGATAGATTGGCTTTAAGTTGTGAATAAAACTACATTCAAATAAAAAAGACGATTGTTAAAGGAAGTTTCTGTATTTTTAGTTTTTTAAACAATAATTCCATTCAATACTTTGAATTTCTTCTGAGTAATATGCTAAAAAATACATAGTGATCTATCATTAAAATTATTTATAACAATTTCATCTAGCAATTCAATGACTTCCAATAATAATAAAAATAAAATTACCTGATCTGCTAATGTAGTTTTCACCTAATCATTGGAGTCATTCATTTTCTCAGAACTTCTCGATTTTCCCTCTGTTAGGTGTCCTGGGCTTTTTGTTTGTTCATATGTTTGTATTTGTTAATGCTGTTATTTGTGCATTGTTAACAGTTTTATTGAGATATAGCTTATATATCACAAACTTCATCCATTTAAATTGTACAATTCACTGGTTGTTAGTGTATTTACAGAGTTGAGCAACCATCACCGTGACATAATTTTAGAACACTTATTTAGAAACACTTATCTTTATAAAGAATAAAATCATGTGTCCCTTAGCAGGCCTTTCTAGCACAAAGTGACAGTCAAATTTGGTTTGGGTGAAAGGTAATGTGTGATTGGGTTGTGATTTTTATAGGCAGTGGTGAGAAACTGCTGTTCATCCAGGTCCTTCCCAGGCAGATATTGTTAAGGATAAAGCACACATGAAAGTTGACTATCTGGAAAAGGATTCCCTTTAAATTCTCCATGCCTTGGTACTTTTGAGAAAATCTTTGTATGTACCAAGAAGTATGTTTGCACAGAAAAATTGCATGATATACAGCCATTATTTAATTTTCAAAACCTATTTATCTACTGAGGAAAGGATAATAAAGGCAATATGTAAAATTACAATAGGAAAATTTATAGTTAGAAACCCATGCATTTAATCAACATAGTTTTGTTGTGGACATATAAACCAGTACTTTGAATATTTTATCAAAATTATTTAGAAATTCCTTGAGCCAAATTGTGACTTTCCTTCCCTGAATGATTTGACAGCTTGTGGGTAATAAAAGCATTTTCTTGAAATATCTTTCCATCAATAGGTAAATGTTTCAGGTTCATGAGTTCCAGTCATTTCTTTAAGGTACTTCAGCCTTTTATAAAGTTTTACCATATTTGAGCTTGGCACCTTAGCATTTACTAAAGAACTTAATGCTATGGTTTGATATCCGTATTCATGCTACATGCTGAAGGTAACTTACTGATTGTAAGTGAACTTATCAGGGCCGTGGTGAGCTCCAGAATTGTAACTAATTATTTTGATGCCTCAGATAAAATGGGTAGCTTGTGTTTAGTTTTAATATTTCCCCAAATTGTATGAATTGTTAGCACTAACTTTATTATAGTTATATGACTTTTGTACAGTCATCTGAGAAAAACACAGATCCACAATTCGTACCTAGGCTTTCTTGGGGATTGCTCAGCCACCGAATGCTAGTAAAAATACCTACTTCATGTTTCCTCCTTTGCTTTCTATTGTTCACTCCAATTCACGCTTTCTCTTCAACATCATGTAATGTGGCTTAAACAGAAGGGTTGTCTTATAAGAGACTATTCTGTAGAGATCCATTATGTCCATACATAAGATAATTTCAGTTAATTTGGTGAAATATTTAATCCATAAGCCATGTTGGGAAGTTCTTTTATGTGCATCTAGTTCAATCTTGTACTCAATGATGGAACTTTTACAACTACATATTCTTGATCAACTGACATTCACTCTGTTAAAAGACATAGATTATTAGAGAATAGGCTACTTTCAGAGGCAGCTCTTTCAGATTTGTAGATAAATGTTGTTGTCACAAAAACTTCTTAGTTTGACCTACTAAGTATATCTGGGTAACTTCATTCTTTTGGTCCTATATCCAATTTATAGATGAATATCTGAAATATTTTTGAAACTAAACTTTTATAATTAAAGAGAAAAGTTAAACAATAAAACAAAGATTATTGAGATATTCTTAGTCTATAAGATTATTCAAATTAAATCAAGTGTTCAATCACAGCCATATATGGATAATATGTAATTTTATTCTATTTATTCAATTAGAAAGCATTCATTTGGTTCCTTTTGTTCATCAGTTACTATATTTAGCCATCTTTTCTGTAAGATAGCTCATATAATGGCACAATAATTCATATTTTTGTAAAAATGTGAAAAGTAAACGAACAGCAAAATTGAAAGCATGAAAGAAACAGAAGAAAATGTATATTTTACGTCTTTTCCCCCACATGATAGCTATTCAAGTTCTAAGCTATCTTAGAACAATCAGATTTTCTTATGGAAAATTAAAATGATAAAATGAGTACAAACCCAAATGTATGCAATGTAGGCAAAATGAAATTTATCAAAACTCTATAATATTTTGAAGAAATAAAGAGAAAAAATAACTGAATTCATGGTTTTATTTTTATTATACTTTAAGTTCTGGGATACATGTGCAGAACATGCAGGTTTGTTACACAGGTATACACGTGCCATGGTGGTTTGCTGCACCCATCAACCCATCACCTACATTAGGTATTTCTCCTAATAGTATCCCTCCCCTACCCCCACCCACTTACAAGCCCCGGTGTGTGGTGTTCCCCTCCATGTGTCCATGTGTTCTCATTATTCAACTCCCATTTATGAATGAGAATATGCAGTGTTTGGTTTTCTGTTCCCATGTTAGTTTGCTGACAATGATGGTTTCCAGCTTCATACCTGTCCCTGCAAATAACCTGAACTCATGCTTTTTTATGGCTGCACAGTTCTCCATGGTGTATATGTGCCACATTTTCTTTTTCCAGTTTATCAATTGATGGGCATTTGAGTTGGTTCCAAGTCTTTGCTATTGTGAATAGTGCTTCAAAAAACATACATGTGCACATGTGCATATGTATTTTTTTTTTTTTTGAGATGGAGTTTTGTAATTGTTGCCCAGGCTGGAGTGCAATGGCATGATCTCAGCTCACCACAACCTCCACCTCCTGAGTTCAAGCGATTCTCCTGCCTCAGCCTCTGGAGTAGCTGGTATTACAGGCATGCAACACCACACTCAGCTATTTTTTTTTTTTTTTTTTTTTGTATTTTTAATAGAGACACAGTTCCTCCATGTTGGTCAGGCTGGTCTCAAACTCCCGACTTCAGGTGATCCACACACCTTGGCCTCGCAAAGTACTGGGATTACAGGCATGAGCCACTGTGCCCGGCCACATATATCTTTATAGTAGAATGATTTATAATCCTTTGGATATATACCCAGTAATGGGATTGTTGGGTCAAATGGTATTTCTGGTTCTAGATCCTTGAGGAATCGCCACACTGTCTTCCACAATGGTTGAAATAATTTATACTCCCACCAACAGTGTAAAAGTGTTCTTATTTATCCACATCCTGTCCAGCATCCGTTGTTTCCTGACTTTTTAGTAATTGCCATTCTAACCAGCGTGAGATGGTATCGCATTGTGGTTTCGATTTGCATTTCTCTAATGACCAGTGATGATGAGCTTTTTTTCATGTTTGTTGGCCACATAAATGTCTTCTTTTGAGAAGTGGCTGTTCATATCCTTTGCCCACTTTTTGATGGGGTTGTTTGTTTTTTCTTGTAAATTTGTTGAAGTTCCTTATAGATTCTGGATATTAGCCCTTTGTCAGATGGTTAGATTGCAAAAATTTTCTCCCATTCTGTAGGCTGCCTGTTCACTCTGGTGATGGTTTCTTTTGCTGTGCAGAAGCTCTTTATTTAATTAGATCCCATTTGTCAATTTCAGCTTTTGTTGCCATTGCTTTTGGTGTTTTAGTCATGAAGTCTTTGCCCATACCTATGTCCTGAATGGTATTACCTAGGTTTTCTTCTAGGGTTTTTATGGTTGTAGGTCTTACATTTAAGTATTTAATCCATCTAGAGTTAATTTTTGTATAAGGTGTAAGGAAGGGGTCCAGTTTCAGTTTTCTGCATATGGCTAGCCAGTTTTCCCAGTACCATATATTAAATAGGGAATCCTTTCCCCATTGCTTGTTTTTTAAAGGTTTGTAAAAGATCAGATGGTTGTAGATGTGTGGTGTTATTTCTGAGGCCTCTGTTCTGTTCCATTGGTCTATATATCTATTTTGGTATTAGTGCCATGTTGTTTTGGTTACTGTAGACTTGTAGTATAGTTTGAAGTCAGCTAACGTGATGCATCCAGCTTTGATCTTTTTGCTTAAGATTGTCTTGGCTATACAAGCTCTTTTTCAGTTCCATATGAAATTTAAAGTAGTTTTTCTAATTCTGTGAAGAAAGTCAATGGCAGTTTGATAGGGATGGCATTTCACTTTGGGCGTTATGGCCCAATATTTCACAATATTGATTATTCCTTTCCATGAGCGTGGAATGTTTTTCAATTTGTTTGTGCCCTCTCTTATTTCCCTGAGCAGTGCTTTGTAGTTCTCCTTGAAGAGGTCCTTCACATCCCTTTAAGTTGTATTCCTAAGTATTTTATTCTCTTTGTAGCAATTGTGAATGGGAGTTCACTCATGATTTGGCTCTCTGTCTATCATTGGTGTATAGGCATGCTTGTGATTGTTGCACATTGATTTTGTATCCTGAGACTTTGCTGAAATTGCTTATCAGCTTAAGGATGTTTTGGACTGAGACGATGGGATTTTCTAAATATACAATCATGTCATCTGCAAACAGAGACAATTTGACTCCCTTTCCTCCTATTTGAATATGCTTTATTTCTTTCTCTTGCCTGATTGCCCTGGCCAGAACTTTCAATACTATGTTGAATAGGAGCAGTGAGAGAGGGAATCCTTGACTTGTGCCGGTTTTCAAAGGGAATGCTCCAGCTTTTTCCCATTCAGTATGATATTGGCTGTGGGTTTGTCATAAATAGCTCTTATTATTTTGAGACACGTTCCATCAATACCTAGTTTATTAGAGTTTTTAGCATAAAGCAGTGTTGAATTTTATCGAAGGCCTTTTCTGCGTCTATTCTTATAATCATGTGTTTTTTGTCATTGGTTGTTTATGTGATGGATTATGTTTATTGTTTTGCGTATGTTGAACCAGCCTTTCATCCCGAGGATGAAGCCAAATTGATAGCAGTAGATAAGCTTTTTAATGTGCTGCTGGATTCATTTGCCAGTATTTTATTGAGGATTTTCACTTTGATTCTCATCAAAGATATTGGCCTGAAATTTTCTTTTTTTGTTGTGTTTCTGCCAGGTTTTCGTATCAGGATGATGCTGGTCTCATAAAATGAGTTAGGGAGGGTTCTCTCTTTTTCTATTTTTTGGAATACTTTCAGAAGGAATGGTACCAGCTCCTCTTTATACCTCTGGTAGAATTTGGCTGTGAATCCGTCTGGTCCTTGGCTTTCTTGGTTGGTAGGCTATTAATTACTGCCTCAATTTCAGAACTTGTTATTGGCCTATTCAGGTATTCGACTTCTTCCTTGTTTAGTCTTGGGAGGGTGTATGTGTCCAGGAACTCATCCATTTCTTCTAGATTTTCTAGTTTATTTGCGTAGAGGTGTTTTTAGTATTCTCTGATGGTAGTTTGTATTTCTGTGGGATCAGTTGTGATCTCCCCTTTATCATTTTTTATTGTGTCTATTTGATTCTTCTCTCTTTTCTTCTTTATTAGTCTGACTAGCGGTCTATCTATTTTGTTAATCTTTTCAAAAAACCAGCTCTTGGATTCACTGATTTTTTTGAAGAGTTTTTGTGTGTGTGTGTCTTTATCCCCTTCAGTTCTGCTCTGACCTTAGTTATTTCTTGTCTTCTGCTAGCGTTTGAATTTGTTTGCTCTTGCTTCTCTAGTACTTTTAATTTTGATATTTGGGTGTCGATTTTAGATCTTTCCCACTTTCTCTTGTGGGCATTTAGTGCTATAAATTTCCCTCTAAACACTGTTTAGCTGTGTCCCAGAGATTCTGGTACATTGTGTGTTTGTTCTCGTTGATTTAAAAAAACTTATTTATTTCTGCCTTAATTTTGCTATTTACCCAGTAGTCATTCAGGAGCAGGTTGTTTAGTTTCCATGTTGTTGTACAGTTTTGTGTGAGTTATGTCTTAACTATTTGAGGTCTATTTGGTTCCAAAGATTGTAGAATATAAAATATAAAATATAATTAAATAGAAATGCTATTGTAAACAGGATTAGAGCAAAAGAAGAAACTTTAGAAGAAATGAATACTAATTGTACAAACATTTAAAATCAGAAACATTAAGTTTACAAAAAATAACATGAAAATGAAAATAATAGATTGTCAAAAATATGCTAGCATTATTTAAAACAATTAATGAATTATGTAAGCATATGAATACATTAAGTACCAAATAGATAAATAGACAGTGTATTTTTTTTTTTTCTTTGAGATGGAGTTTCACTCTTGTTGCTTAGGCTGGAGTGCAATGGTGAGATCTCGGCTCACCGCAACCTCCACCTCCTGGGTTCAACTGATTCTCCTGCCTCAGCCTCCCAAGTAGCTGGGATTACAGGTGCGTGCCGCTACGCCTGGCTAATTTTGTATTTTTAGTAGAGACGGGGTTTCTCCATGTTGGTCAGCCTGGCCTTGAACTCCCAACCTCAGGTGATCTGCCTCGGCCTCGCAAAGTGCTGGGATTACAGGAGTGAGCCACTGCACCCTGCCTGACAGTGTATTTTACAACATGCATTGCATAAGAACAAAGACATTATTTTATTCACTACTGTGTGTTCACATGCTAAAAGAAAACATGACAGAAGCGCACTCATCATAACAATTGCAGAGTAGATGATTGGATGGATCATTGAATAAATAGAGACTGAGATTAATTTCCTCCTGATCTCTCTCTGGTAAGATTGCATGAAAGTTTCTGTGATATTCTACTAATGAAACCCTGTTTATTGTTTGACAAATTACTTATGCACGTTTTTCAAATTTGACAATAAACCACTAGTAGAAGATGTGTACGTGTAAAAAAATAAAAAAGTTATATGAACAAAATAGACTTTCCATATAGGTACACGCTGATATTTTGTGTTCTTTTTATTTGATTAAAACATATTTGATTGAGAGTTACCAAATGTATCCTATGACCTGGTAATGAGACACAACTTCAATTTAGAGCAATCTCCAGATTTTATAGTTGAGATCAGAAATACATAACTTGCCATAGCTTCCTTATCTCTGTTAAGTAGGAAATCCAAGCCAGTAAGTGAAGTTTCCTGATACCTAGCAGAGAACTTTCCATCACTGTATTCAAAACGTCAGTATTTATAGCCAGGTTCCAAATAAGGAAATAAAGCTATAACTAAAAAATATAAATAACACCTGTTGTGAGTTCTTAAACACTTCATAAGTAATCCTGAACTCAATTGATATATTTATTAAACTGTAGCATGTGATTATGAATAAAGGAAAGAGTTTGTAAGTCCCTTATTTGTTCACATTTTGAACAAGCCTGAAAAAAATACTGTGGTACATGTCAATGGAGCTGAATTATAAATAGGTTTTGGGGGAATTTATGTAACTTCTCTCTTTTCTCTCCCCTATCTTCTTTTTCCCTTTTCTGTCAGCCAGAACATTTAATTCATCTTTCCTTTATGCACTTATCTGTACAACCACATAAGCTTATATTAAAAATGCCAAGCGATTATTTAAACTTACAAGTCTAAAATTTCTATTGAGAATATCTGATTAATTTAAAGATACCTATATTGTCTTATAATGTTTATGCTGATTTGTATGTAGTTCTTCAATGTGAGAAACAGAATTTCAGATAAGGCATTTAGATTAACAACTTATTCATTAAACACATGTTCAGAAAAGGCTGTCTATGTAATTCATGTATTTATTTATACCCATATTTTTTAGAAAATGAGTTAAATGTGTAAGTTTATTAATATTTAATGTTATAATTTCAACAGTTTTTATTATAAAATTGAATAAAGGTAAATATTATATAATGTGTATAATATAATAAACTATATGAATATACCCAAATAAGTACAGTAATGTATTATAATACCATTTTTAAGAATGAAGTTTATTAAATTTATTTGACAATTAAAATTTAAAATTAAAAATTAAAAATATGAGAGATTCAGTTAAACTTCGTTTTATTATTACAGATCTAAAACATAATTACCAGACTATCAACTTATTCTATTTTACTGTTCAGAGGATTCATTTACTATCAACATGCATTAAGTTAGATTTAAAATTCCAGACCAATCTAAAACTCAGCTGCAGCTCTGTCAAAAAAATTAAAGTAGGAAATGAGGCATTTTTATGACATAAATTAATAAAATTAAAGAAAATCTAATTTAAAGAAAAAGAGAAATGACAATCAATTACACTATTACATAGCATCCCTTATTATAAAACTATATAAAGTAATTTTATCCATTATTTTACTATTTTCTAAGGAATGTAAAGTGTATAACATCTGTAAGTTCGATATCTTAAAATATTATAAAACATTTAAACAGAAACTTAAGGCATTTAATAAGCCTGTTTATTAGTGTATAGTATTTCTTTCTGTATATTAATTTTCAGAAAGAAGAAAAAGCACTAAACAGGTTTTGAATAATTTGTTGATATTGCAGTGAGTATGCTTTCAGTACACACTTCATTATTTCTTCAACCATTAACAATAATGGCTAGAAGATACAAAATTAATACAGCTACTGATTAGACATGCATCTCAAAACACTTGGCATTTAGATTTGCTGCAGCTTTCACAAAACTTATTAAAAATAATTTTGAATTTTATACTCTGAAAATTAATATGTCATGAGAATAGTTTATCTTTTGAAAAAGAAATGTATTCATTCTCTCCTTTTTGAACATGGGTAATTTTAATGTTAAGACCCTTTCCATGGAAACACTTGTTTATTTAGGAAATAAAGGAAGACTGGATCCATGTGTATGTACCCATTTACATCTTACTTTTATTATTCCCTAAAAATGGGAAACATAAGAAATTTGTTTCAGAGCATACATACACACTGAGATTATTTTTGGCAAGGATGTGATTTAAAAATTATTTTTTCTTTACTGACTACTGTACAAAAGCATTCACATATTGGCAGATTTATGCATATTGCAAAGCAGACAAGAATCATAGATTAACAAAGGTAAATTCTTATTTGATGGTATATTCTATCTTTAGGAACCAGGGTTCTTTCTGCATTTTGCTGATGGGAAATTTCCTGAGATTAAATACTTACAGTCTAGTGTGTGACTGTGACACATTCTGCTCTACAAGATCATCTGTCTAATAAGACAGCAAACTGCAAAGAATTGAGAAATTGATTTTCCCAAGTTTTAACTTAATGAAAAACAACCAGGTTTCAATCACACTGGAAGGTGAGATACAGAGTTGCTTATTAAGACCTAGATACTTGGAAGTCAAGCCCCTTTCTGTCTTTAGAGATAAAATGTAGCCGAGAAGATTGGTTCTCGGCTACAAAACAAAACAAAACAAAATAAAACACATCAACAAGAAAGATATTGTTACATCAAATGTGTATTTTGAAATTTGCCAATATGTCAACGTAAGGAAGTCACATCAGAAGCTCCGTATTATGTTTACTTTCTAGTTCAGCAAAGCAAAAGACAACAGGTTTACTGCATCTTTCTTTGATAAGCTAGGAGAGATGTCTGGATATCCAAAATGTTTTCCTTTTTAAATATTCTCTTTCTCTCTTGTTAGTGAAGAAACCTTACATATCAAAACCTGATTAATGAAGATGTCTTAATGAAAAACTCTAGATTTTTGTCTCTCCTGGGTGAAAAAAAGGAAGCCACTTCCTCACCAATGAGTTTGTTTCTCTTTAGGAAACATGCTTTCTTCTTCCTTTTATGATTCAGCCTAAGAAATTTTAAATTTCTTTACTTACTCCACCTGCATGTAGAAAGACTTTTAGTGACAGTTATGCCCAAATTAAGTGAATAGTAGTAGGTCGTTATAAAGCTAAAAAAAAAAATGCTTCTTAGAGGTCACTAATTGGAAAGTTTGAGACAAATTCTTCATCACTTGGTGAAAACTCAGTGCATGTAGGCTTCTGCAGACCCTCCAGGATAGACTATTGGCCTAATGAGCAAAGAATTCTACTTGCTAAATTTTCTTAACCTGAGAATATATTATTTTTAGAGCAGACACATAATTTATCCTTCTTTTAAATCTTTTCTACCTAAAACAATTTTATGGTTTATGTTAGTTAAATTTTTAAAAGATTTATGTCATTATGTTAAAAGAGATTGGAAGGTAGTTTTTGGTATCTCTTTCAATAGTGCACTGTGCAGTGCATTTGAAACCAGGGATACTTTGATATTTATGGATATGGATCTGTCACTTTAAAACATGAGAGAATATAAGCGCTTCAGTGATACACATAATCAGATTTTCTTGTTTGTTTTTAAAACTTTAAGGTTCAATGAAATGTACAAAAATTAATCCCTGTTTGGTAGGGATTGCATTTAATTTCCCTAGTCATTAAATCAGAGCTAGCAGTTGCAATAGTTTTCACTGATAAAAGAGTGATTTACTAATCTTGCATAAGAAACATCTGGAGCATAATATGAACAATATTATAGACAACAGATTTGCTTTCCAAAAGAAGTCCAATACCTCATTCATTTATTTTCATTGAGTACCCTTCCCTGCATTAGAGAGTTGAATGGGAGCTGACAAGTTGAAAACAACATTAAGAAAAGGATACTATTATAAATTATATCCAAGCCATTCCAAGGAACTGTGTCCATAGGTCATTAAACTTCTCATTTATTCTAATGAATCCGTTACTGTTGCTTAAAGAACTGAAAAACAGGCTACATTTACTTTGATGTGTTCTTCAATATATTCCTTAACGTCAAGATCAATTAAGGAAGTTTTATTCATGTCTTTGAAGTATAGAATCAAATGTAATCAAGCAATTATTTTAGAGTTAGTTGCTCCTTCTTTATCTTTTCTTTACTATTAAAGCTACAAATACATAGAAATATTCACACCAGAATTAGACCGATAGTGTTATTCAAATTGAGCAATATTCTGAGGATTTTTGAAATCATTGATTAGAATTTTAGTTTACAGGCTGGGCACGGTGGGTGGCTCACTCTTGTAATCCTAGCACTCTGGGAGGCCGAGGTGGGAGAATCACCTGAGGTCAGGAGTTTGAGACCAGCCTGGTCAACATAATGAAACTCTGTCTCTACTAAAAATACAAAAATTAGCTGGGCGCGGTGGCATGTGCCTGTAATCCCAGCTACTCGGGAGGCTGAGGCAGAACACCTTGAACCCAGTAGGCAGAGGTTGCAGTGAGCCGAGATCATGCCATTGCATGCCAGCCTGGGGCAGAGCAAGACTCCTCAAAAAAAAAAAATTAGTTCATAAATTACGTTTTAACATTTTACTTTTTGTTAAAGCTGTAACTAAAAGATAAATAAATAGCTACTCAGACATACATATGCCATGAAAGAAAGGCTAACACTTTGCTAAATGTTGTAACACACTCATTTTGGTGCAGAGTTCACGATAAACTTTATTTGTATGCACTCTGTACCTTCTATGAATACATCATTGATTTGAAAGATTATTGCTCTACACTGGAATTTATTTATTTGCTTATTTTAATTTAGACTTAGCTAATTGCACCAAATCATACAAATGACTAACTTCTATGTATGTGACAGACTGAGTTACATGCAAGCTAAATATGTATGCTCTCCAAAAGTAAATGTTAGAAAATAGCAACTGAACTTCAGACACTTTAGGCAGTTTGAGGGTTGATTTTAAGAGACTGCTTCTTATAAAATGTTTTAATAGTAATAAAAATGAAAGCAATAGTTACATTTGTGTTTAAACTCTAAGAAAATCACATTCTTCACTCAATCTCAGGTAGTGCTTATATTGTTACAGTAAAAGACAATTGTATTCCTGAGGAGTTTTTAAAAATTACTATTTGAAATGTTTGTCTGTACTACTAAAAACTTTTTACACTAGTATGTCATCAATATAAAATACAGAAATAAATTTGTTGCTGATATTTCAACATTTATTCCTAACTGCAAATGTAAATATCTATATTCAACCTAATTGCCTTATTTGTATTGCTGACTTGCTTTCAAAATAAAAAATTAAAGTTTGTATTTATAAATTTAAGTAATATCAATTATAAATATTAAATAAACCAAAATGTACATCTTTATTTGGGTTATTAATATTAACAGAAAAAAATAAATACGATATTTGAGACTTTAAATTTACATTTAAAACAGCATTCTGCTACATACAAATTCTGCAAATCACTTCTTTAATTAAAATTTTTAAGCTTTTTTTGTAAACGCTTTGTATTTAACTGCGTGTAAGATACAGTTACAATTTACTAATTTATATGTAATTTACTCAAAGTAGAATCAAGGAGAAATGCAATGATGGCCAGTGTTTCTGAATATGTAAACCCAAATAATGTAGACTATACATTATACTAACTAATATAATGTATAATAGTATATTACACAAATTTTAGAGTTACTTGAAACAGAAAGAAATTTTGTTTTTCTGTGTATGCATCTATACTTTAAAAAATAATACTATGAATCAATCAGAATTCAGCAGGTTTAAAAATGCATTTTGATGCACATAAAATTCTGGAAAAGATTAATTTCTCTTTTAAAAATGCTAGTATGTCAAACATTAGAAAGGAAATAGTTTTCCATTTTATTTTAGTGCCTGCTATCAACACTTAAAGAAAATACCAGTCTAATTAGTTATACTCAAAAAGTGGGGGATTATCTTACTTTCCAATCAGTTTTCAGAATACATACCAATTTAGAGTAGAATTTAGACCATTAAAATAAACAGAAAGACCTAATCTTTTCACATAATAATCACAGGTATATTATCCATTATAATTCAGCTTTCACTAGTAACTCTTCTAAGACAATTACTTTTGTATGCTTTTTTTTGATAAGAGTAACCAAGTCAGTGTATGTAGAGCAGAAAGTTTTAGCATTTCTCTTGTTATAAAACTATTATGTAAGGAAATTGTAGAAATTTTTTAGAATAAACTTGTTTTTTTTATCAATTATCCTTTTTCTTTGTATACGTATGTGTGAATATAATAAATGTATTTTGGTCTTAACAGTTTTGCTTTTATTTGATTAATAATACATAGGTAATGTGTACATTTTATGTTGAAAATGCTTCTAAAATATTTGGTTGACAATTGCATTGTATTATATGCTATAATATACTTTATTTAAAAATATCATCTTGTGGACGTTTAGGTTCTCATTTTTCATGATTGCTTAAAACAATGTGATGAACATAGGGAAATGTTTGGACACAGACAGCCATGATTATTTCTTAAGAATAGAATTTAGAAGCCGAGTGGTGAATGGAAGAATATGGAGTGTTTAAACATTAAAAATGCATATACCTATTCATATTGTGTTTAAAAGTTTTTATTTTTCTTATAGATTTACGTATTGCTTTACAAATAAAAGCTGTTAATTTTTGTTGCTATTTTCCTAACTGTGCTATGTCAATTGCATTTTTATTTTGATAATTTTCAAAGTAAAATTATTGAAAAAATAAATTTTGCATAAGAAAATTAATATGATTCTTAGAACTGACTTCTGCACAAGAAAAATATGTTAATATTTAACTAGATTTTCTTCTATAAGATGTTGGGTTTAATGTTTTTTAATATTTAGAATTTTAACTCCCATGGAATTTATTTTGATGTATAAGGTAAGCATCAACTATATGTTTCCCAAATGGTTAGGCTTTTTGCCAAATCATTTCATTGAATTATGACTTTGTCAAATGATTAATCCTGTTGTCAATTATTATGCTCTTAGAAATGTTTCTGAAGTTAGCCATTATTGATCGTTTATTGTTCTGAACTTCAGAATCACTCTGTTAATCAGGAGTTGGATATATTTATTATTATTTTTTATTTTTTTACTACACTTTAAGTTTTAGGGTACATATGCACAATGTGCAGGTTTGTTACATACGTATACATGTGCCATGTTGGTGTGCTGCACTCGTTAACTCATCATTTAACATTAGGTATATCTCTTAATGCTATACCTACCCCCTACCCCCACCCCACAACAGGCCCTGGTGTGTGATCTTCCCCTACCTGTGTCCATGTGTTCTCACTGTTCAATTCCCACCTATGAGTGACAACATGCGGTGTTTGCTTTTTTGTCCTTGGGATAGTTTGCTGAGAATGATGGTTTCCAGCTTCATCCATATCCCTACAAAGGACATGAACTCATCATTTTTTATGGCTGCATGGTATTCCATGGTGTATGTGTGCCAATTTTCTTAATCCAGTCTATCATTGTTGGACGTTTGGGTTGGTTCCAAGTCTTTGCTATAGTGAATAGTGCCGCAATAAGCACATGTGTGCATGTGTCTTTATAGCAGCATGTTTTATAATCCTTTGGGTATATACCCAGTAATGGGATGGCTGGGTCAAATGGTATTTCAAGTTCTAGATCCCTGAGGAATCACCACACTGACTCCAGAATGGTTGAACTAGTTTACAGTCCCACCAACAGTGTAAAAGTGTTCCTATTTCTCCACATCCTCTCCCGCACCTGTTGTTTCCTGACTTTTTAATGATCACCATTCTAACTGGTGTGAGATGGTATCTCATTGTGGTTTTGATTTACATTTCTCTGATGGCCAATGATGATGAGCATTTTTCCATGTGTCTTTTGGCTGCATAAATGTCTTCTTTTGAGAAATCTCTATTCATACCCTTTGCCCACTTTTTGATGGGGTTGTTTGTTTTTTCTTGTAAATTTGTTTGAGTTCATTGTGGATTCTGGATATTAGCCCTTTGTCAGATGAGTAGATTGCAAAAATTTTCTCCCATTCTGTAGGTTGCCTGTTCACTCTGATGGCAGTTTCTTTTGCTGTGCAGAAGCTCTTTAGCTTAATTAGATCCATTTGTCAATTTTGGCTTTTGTGGCCATTGCTTTTGGTGTTTTAGACATAAAGTCCTTGCCTATGCCTATGTCCTGAATGGTATTGCCTAGGTTTTCTTCTAGGGTTTTTATGGTTTTAGGTCTAACATTTAAGTCTTTAATCCATCTTGAATTAATTTTTGTATAAGGTTTAAGGAGGGGATCCAGTTTCAGCTTTCTACATATGGCTAGCCAGTTTTCCCAGCACCATTTATTAAATAGGGAATCCTTTCCCCATTTCTTGTTTTTCTCAGGTTTGTCAAAGATCAGATGGTTGTAGATATGCGGCACTATTTCTGAAGGCTCTGTTCCGTTCCCTTGGTCTATATGTCTGTTTTGGTACCAGTACCATGCTGTTTTGGTTACTGTAGCCTTGTAGTATTGTTTGAAGTCAGGTAGCGTGATGCCTCCAGCTTTGTTCTTTTGGCTTAGGATTGACTTGGTGATGCGGGCTCTTTTTTGGTTCCATATGAACTTTAAAGTAGTTTTTTCCAATTCTGTGAAGAAAGTCATTGGTAGCTTGATGGGGATGGCATTGAATCTGTAAATTACCTCGGGCAGTATGGCCATTTGCAGGATACTGATTCTTCCTTCACATGAGCATGGAATGTTCTTCCATTTGTTTGTATCCTCTTTTATTTCATTGAGCAGTGGTTTGTAGTTCTCCTTGAAGAGGTCCTTCATGTCCCTTGTAAGTTGGATTCCTAGGTATTTTATTCTCTTTGAAGCAATTGTGAATGGGAGTTCACTCATGATTTGGCTCTCTGTTTGTCTGTTCTTGGTGTATAAGAATGCTTGTGATTTTTGCACATTGATTTTGTATCCTGAGACTTTGCTGAAGTTGCCTTTCAACTTAAGGAGATTTTGGGCTGAGGCGATGGGGTTTTCTAAATATACAATCATGTCATCTGCAAACAGGGACAATTTGACTTCCTCTTTTCCTAATTGAATACCCTTTATTTCCTTCTCCTGCCTAATTGCCCTGGCCAGAACTTCCAACACTAAGTTGAATAGGAGTGGTGAGAGAGGGCATCCCTGTCTTGTGCCAGTTTTCAAAGGGAATGCTTCCAGTTTTTGCCCATTCAGTATGATATTGGCTGTGGGTTTGTCATAGATAGCTCTTATTATTTTGAGATATGACCCATCAATACCTAATTTATTGAGAGTTTTTAGCATGAAGGGTTGTTGAATTTTGTAAAAGGCCTTTTCTGCATCTATTGAGATAATCTTGTGGTTTTTGTCATTGGTTCTGTTTATATGCTGGATTATGTTGATTGATTTGCGTATATTGAACCAGCCTTGCATCCCAGGGATGAAGCCCACTTGATCTTGGTGGATAAGCTTTTTGATGTGCTGCTGGATTCGGTTTGCCAGTATTTTATTGAGGATTTTTGCATCGATGTTCATCAGGGATATTGGTCTAAAATTCTCTTTTTTTGTTGTGTCTCTGCCAGGCTTTAGCATCAGGATGATGCTGGCCTCATAAAATGAGTTAGGGAGGATTCCCTCTTTTTCTATTGCTTGGAATAATTTCAGAAGGAACAGTGCCAGCTCCTCCTTGTACCTCTGGTAGAATTCAGCTGTGAATCCACCTGGTTCTGGACTTTTTTTGTTGGTAAGCTATTAATTATTGCCTCAATTTCAAAGCCTGTTATTGGTCTATTCAGAGATTCAACTTCTTCCTGGTTTAGTCTTGGGAGGGTGTATGTGTCGAAGAATTTATCCATTTCTTCTAGATTTTCTAGTTCATTTGCGTAGAGGTGTTTATAGTATTCTCTGATGGTAGTTTGTATTTCTGTGGGATCGGTGGTGATATCCCCTTTATCATTTTTTATTGTGTCTATTTGATTCTTCTCTCTTTTCTTCTTTATTAGTCTTGCTAGTGGTCTATCAATTTTGTTGATGTTTTCAAAAAACGAGCTCCTGGATTCATTGATTTTTTGAAGGGTTTTTGTGTGTCTCTATTTCCTTCAATTCTGCTCTGATCTTAGTTATTTCTTGCCTTCTGCTAGCTTTTGAATGTGTTTGCTCTTGCTTTTCTAGTTCTTTTAATTGTGATGTTAGGGTGTCCATTTTAGATCTTTCCTGCTTTCTCTTGTGTGCATGTAGTGCTATAAATTTCCCTCTACACACTGCTTTGAATGTGTCCCAGAGATTCTGGTATGTTGTGTCTTTGTTCTCGTTGGTTTCAAAGTACATCTTTATTTCTGCCTTCATTTCGTTATGTACCCAGTAGTCATTCAGGAGCAGGTTGTTCAGTTTCCATGGAGTCGATTGGTTTTGAGTGAGTTTCTTAATCCTGAGTTCTCGTTTGATTGCACTGTGTTCTGAGAGACAGTTTTTTATAATTTCTGTTCTTTTACATTTGCTGAGGAGAGCTTTACTTCCAACTATGTGTCAATTTTGGAATAGGTGTGGTGTGGTGCTGAGGAGAATGTATATTCTGTTGATTTGGGGTGGAGAGTTCTGTAGATGTCTATTAGGTCCGCTTGGTGTAGAGCTGAGTTCAATTCCTGGTTATCCTTGTTAACTTTCTGTCTCGTTGATCTTTCTAATGTTGACAGTGGGGTGTTAAAGTCTCCCATTATTATTGTGTGGAAGTCTAAGGATCTTTGTAGGTCTCTAAGGACTTGCTTTATGAATCTGGGTGCTCCTGTATTGGGTGCATATATATTTAGGATAGTTAGCTCTCCTTGTTGAATTGATCCCTTTATCATTATGTAATGGCCTTCTTTGTCTCTTTTGATCTTTGTTGGTTTAAAGTCTGTTTTATCAGAGACTAGGATTGCAACCCCTGCCTTTTTCTGTTTTCCATTTGCTTGGTAGATCTTCCTCCATCCCTTTGTTTTGAGCCTGTGTTTGTCTCTGCACGTGAGATGGGTTTCCTGAGTACAGCACACTGATGGGTCTGGACTCTTTATCCAATTTGCCAGTCTGTGTCTTTTAATTGGAGCATTTAGCCCATTTACATTTAAAGTTAATATTGTTATGTGTGAATCTGATCCTGTCATTATAATGTTAGCTGGTTATTTTGCTCATTAGTTGATGTAGTTTCTTCCTAGTCTTGATGGTCTTTACAGTTTGGTACGTTTTTCCAGTGGCTGGTAGCGGTTGTTCCTTTCCATGTTTAGGGCTTCCTTCAGGAGCTCTTTTAGGGCAGGCCTGGTGGTGACAAAATATCTCAGCTTTTGCTTGTCTGTAAAGGATTTCATTTCTCCTTCACTTATGAAGCTTAGTTTGCCTGGATATGAAGTTCTGGGTTGAAAATTCTTTTCTTTAAGAATGTTGAATATTGGCCCCCACTCTCTTCTGGCTTGTAGAGTTTCTACTGAGAGATCAGCTTTTAGTCTGATGGGTTTCCCTTTGAGGGTAACCCGACCTTTCTCTCTGGCTGCCCTTAACATTTTTTCCTTCATTTCAACTTTGGTGAATCTGACAATTATGTGTCTTGGAATTGCTCTTCTCGAGGAGTATCTTTGTGACATTCTCTGTATTTCCTGAATCTGAATGTTGGCCTGCCTTGCTAGGTTGGGGAAGTTCTCCTGGATAATATCCTGCAGAGTGTTTTCCAACTTGGTTCCATTCTCTCCATCGCTTTCAGGTACACCAATCAGTCGTAGATTTGGTCTTTTCACATAGTCCCATATTTCTTGGAGGCTTTGTTCATTTCTTTTTATTCTTTTTTCTCTAAACTTCTCTTCTCACTTCATTTCATTCATTTGATTTTCCATCACTGATACTCTTTCTTCCAGTTGATCGAATTGGCTACTGAGATTTATGCATTCATCAAGTAGTTCTCGTGCCATGGTTTTCAGCTCCATCAGGTCCTTTAAGGACTTCTCTGCATTGGTTATTCTAGTTAGCCATTCGTCTAATCTTTTTTCAAGGTTTTTAACTTCTTTGCCATGGGTTCGAACTTCCTCCTTTAGCTCGGAGTAGTTTGATCTTCTGAAGCCCTGTTCTCTCAACTCATCAAAGTCATTCTCCATCCAGCTGTGTTCCGTTGCTTGTAAGGAGCTGCATTCCTTTGGAGGAGGAGAGGCACTCTGATTTTTAGAGTTTCCAGTTTTTCTGCTCTGTTTTTTCTCCATCTTTGTGGTTTTATCTACCTTTGGTCTTTGATGATGGTGATGTACAGATGGGGTTTTGGTGTGGTTGTCCTTTCTGTTTTTTAGTTTTTCTTCTAACACTCAGGACCCTCAGCTGCAGATCTGTAGGAGTTTGCTGGAGGTCCATTCCAGACCCTGTTTGCGTGAGTATCAGCAGCAGAGGCTGCAGAACAGCGGGTATTGGTGAACAGCAAATGTTGCTGCCTGATCGTTCCTCTGGAAGTTTTGTCTCAGAGGAGTACCTGGCTGTGTGAGATGTCAGTCTGCCCCTACTGGGGGGTGCCTCCCAGTTAGGCTACTTGGGGTTCAGGGACCCACTTGAGGAGGCAGTCTGTCCATTCTCAGATCTCCAGCTGCGTGCTGGGAGAACCAGTAGTCTCTTCAAAGCTGTCAGACAGGGACATTTATGTTTGCAGAGGTTTGTGCTGCCTTTTGTTTGGCTATGCCCTGCCCCCAGAGGTGGAATCTACAGAGGCAGGCAGGCCTCTTTGAGCTGCGATGGGCTCCACCCAGTTTGAGCTTTCCAGCCACTTTGTTTACCTACTCAAGCCTTGGCAATGGCGGGCGCCCCTGCCCCAGCCTCGCTGCCACCTTGCAGTTTGATCTCAGACTGCTGTGCTAGCAATGAGTGAGGCTCTTTGGGTGTAGGACCCTCCGAGCCGGGTGCGGGATATAATCTCCTGGTGTGCTGTTTGCTAAGACCATTGGAAAAGCGCAGTATTACGGTGGGAGTGACCTTATTTTCCAGGTGCCATCTGTCATCCCTTTCTTTGACTAGGAAAGGGAATTCACTGACCCCTTGTGCTTCCTGGGTGAGGTGATGCCTCGCCCTGCTTCGGCTCATGCTCGGTGCACTGCACCCATTGTCCTGCACCCACTGTCCGACACTCCCCGGTGAGATGAACCCGGTACCTCAATTGGAAATGCAGAAATCACCCGTCTTCTGCGTCACTCACACTGGGAGCTATAGACTGGAGCTGTTCCTATTCAGCCATCTTGTCTCCACCCTCAGGAGTTAGATTTAAAATACCTAAAATTTATGTGACAATCTGGGCCCATAAAGTACCATCAAACCATCAAAGATATTGAGCACTCTCACCCACATATTGTTCTCAGTCTTTCTTTTCAGTATTTATGGAATGTTTGCATACTTTGGATATTATTTCTGTTGCTCTGGCACTTACCATGTAGGAAATAATAAAAAAAATACATATGAGGCTGGGTGCGGTGGCTCACGCCTGTAATCCCAGCACTTTGGGAGGCTGAAGTGGGTAGATCACGAGGTCAGGAGATCTAGACCATCCTGGCTAACACGGTGAAACCCTGTCTCTACTGAAAATACAAAAAATTAGCCAGAAATGGTGATGGGCGCCTGTAGTCCCACCTACTCAGGAGGCTGTGGCAGTAGAATGGAGTGAACCCAGGAGGTGGAACTTGCAGTGAGCAGTGATCGCGCCACTGCACTCCAGCCTGGGCAACAGAACAAGACTCTGTCTCAAAAAATAAAACAAACAAATACATATGAAATTATGAATGGAGATACTACCTACGAAAGGAAAAATGAAGTGGCTGGGATCCTAAAATGTGTGTGTGTGAGGGTAAGATACATTGTAGCGTCCTGGGAAAGAAGACGCCCTAGGGATGTAAGATTTAAGGAAAAACTTGCAGCAAAGCTAGCAATACAAAGAAACAGTTTATGTAACAGAATTCTAAACAAAGAGAAGAGACTATGAAAATGTCATGAAGTTGAGAAACAGCTTGTTGAAGGAATGGAAAGACAGCCAGTGAATCTGAAGTTTAGTGGGGAAAGACAGGCAGGCTTAAGTTGATGTCAGAGACTTATAAAGATAATTAGGTAATGAAGTGTCTGTGATAAAGTGTTTGTGTTTTGTTTTTCATAATATTCAATCAAGATTTACAGCTGAATTTCTTTTGTTTATTTTTACATGTCCTTTTGAAAAGGAACATTTTCCAATTAAATATATTACAGCTAGTATACAGAAACCTTACTAATTTTGCAATTTAATTGTATAGGGGACCACCTAATTGAATTTATTACATTATCAATAGCTTCCAAATGATAATATGCTGTCAATGGGCATTTTTGTTTTGTTCTTCACTTTAATGGAAATGCCTTTACCATTTACTTATTACATATTGACGTTGAGTGTTAGCTTAAGACATTTAATCATTACCATGTTAGGAATACAAAAACCTTTTTTTCTTTTCTAATTAAGGTTTAGTGATGAATTTTACTAGAGTTTTAAATTTAATTCCCCAATTGATGAATTTTACAAAATGCATTTCTAGTATTTTTGAAATAATTTTCTTCCCCCCACTTTGTTTTATTGATATTCTCAGTACATTTCAAGTAATGAATCATTATTTTCCAGAAATAAGAATTACTTAGTAATGTTTTACTATTCTTTTAATATCCTTATGAATCTAATTTTTTATTTTATTAAGGTTTTTAAAATATATATATAGTACTTATTTCATCTCTGGTGATCCCTCAATCTGGAATACATTTCATGTATCTGTTATCTCCTCACTCTATTCTTATCTTCCTTTTTCATAGTTTAACTTCTTGCCCTTTTTTTTACATCCCGGGAGCACCTCTCCTTTGCCTCTCTCCTCACTGATGTTAGTTTTAGAGAAGCATTCTGATCTTCAGCATCTCAATATGGCTTTCAGTCCTGTGTGAGTTCTAGCTCCACCCCTTGTTTGTTTTTATTTTTCTTTAGTATTATATTATGATCCCAGCTGCGCTATTGTTAAGACTTCCTACTCTGTTTCACAAAACCATGTCTACTTGACATATAAAACAATGAAGTGACTTGGGTCTAGTAAGCAATCAGAATTTTTTGAACATATACATTTAACAATATATCAGTAGATTACATTTCAAAACATGCTTTTCTGATCATTCAGGTGCTGTTCCTACTCTTCAGTTACTCAAGATTTTTCCAACCTTCAATTTGTTTTGTTTTCTCCTAACTTACCTTTGACTAAAATAAGATACATCCAGACTATCGGGTGATGAGAGCTTTGGTCAATGTAATCTCCTTAACCACAAATTTCCCATGAATTGATAAGTTTCCTTCTCAAAGTTATTACTGGATCTCAGGATCCTCTGAGCAGCTCTCAAAACATTCAAAATCTTCAATTATTAACAATTTTAATCCTAGTGCCTATCTATGCTCCTAGATGGCATTCTCTCATAACCAATAGACTGACTCCTAGCATTTTGAGTAACTGAAATATGAAAAATGCCAAGTGCCAATATGTAAAGCTATTCAAAAGTTCTACTGCCTATGCCCTATTTATTTGGGAAATAAGAATTGCAGAATCCTGCAATTTTATCAGACATTTCTTTATCCATCTCAGTTTTTGTTTTGTTTTGTTTTGCCTCCCTTTCTATGGATTGTACTCTTTTCCTTGGGATTATTAGATAGGAGTAGGAAGGTGGGAAAATCCAATAATATTTCACAATGTATTTTGTAAGTTGTTGTGTGGAACTACAGTACCCCAGTTTTCTTCATCATATAGTTCACATGTCTCCACATTAAGTATATCATTTCTTCTTCTACATAGTAAAGTGAGTTTTTCCTTATATGCATGAGGATTATTGATAAATATAACCCTTGGGAGATTTTTTTTCAATCCAGCTCTATCTGCCTTAGAGTAATGTGTTTTCCACCTAGTGTGTAATATAGTGTTCTTCGCCAGTTGTCACTATGGGTACAAGTGTTGTTTTTTAAAAAAATCTGTATAAGTATAGACATTCAAGAAAAGTTGGAAATGATTATATTAGTCCTATTCAGTTAAAATTGGAGAACTGGTTTTTTCTTGTTCAAAATTATGTTCTCTATTATTTTTATTTTTTTATTACACTTTAAGTTATTGGATACATGTGCAGAACAGGCAGGTTTGTTACCTAGGTATACACTTGTCATGGTGGTTTGCTGCACCCATCAACCCGTCATCTACATTAGGTATTTCTCCTAATGCTGTCCCTTCCCTAGCCCCCCAACTCCCTAAGAGACCCCATGTGTGATGTTCCCATTGTTCAACTCCCACTTATGAGTGAGAACATGCGGTGTTTGATTTTCTGTTTCTTTGTTAGTTTGCTGAAAATGATGGTTTCCAGCTTCATCCATGTCCCTGCAAAGGACATGAACTCATCGTTTTTTATGGCTTCATAGTAATGTGCCACATTTTCTTTATCCAGTCTGTCATTGATGGGCATTTGGTTTGGTTCCAAGTCTTTGCTATTGTGAATAGTGCCACAATAAACATACATGTGCAGGTGTCTTTATATTAGGATCATTTATAATCCTTTGGGTATATAACCAGTAATGGGATTGCCGGGTCAAATGGTATTTCTTGTTCTAGATCCTTGAGGAATTGCCACACTGTCTTCCACAATGGTTGAACTAGTTTACAGTCCCACCAACAGGGTAAAAGTTTTCCTATTTCATATCCTATCCATCTGACAAAGGACAAATATCCAGAATCTACAAGGAAATTAAACCAATTTACAAGAAAACAAACGAACAACCCTATCAAAAAGTGGGCTAAGGATATGAACAGACACTTCTCTAAAGAAGACATTTATGCGCCCAACAAACATGTGAAAAAAAAGCTGATCATCACTGGTCATTAGACAAATGCAAATCAAAACCACAATGAGATACCATCTCACGCCATTTAGAATGGCGATCATTAAAAAGTCAGGAAACAACAGGTGCTGGAGAGGATGCAGGAACTGTTCTTTTCAGTAACTAAACCCCCTGAAATAATTGCCAGTACATTTTGCTGTAAGGTAATGATTACAATTTGTATTAACTAGCATGTTTAAAACTCTCCTTGAGTCTTAATGGCTACATGACACTATCTGAAAAAATCAGCAGTAAATGTTTTGTTAACAGGGAAATTTAAAATATTACTGATATCAGAGACCTCAAGTTCCAGGAGGAGATTGGTTTGCTGTGACTGAGGGTACAGTTTAGGTAAAATTAGGTTAGTGAGGACAAATATTATAGCATTGGAAGGAAGTGGTGAATACTTGTTATTATCCTTTGAAGTATGTTAAACATTGTGAGATTTCTAACACGTACACAAACACAAGTGTTTAAATTCCTTAAGATGGTATATAATTGGCAAAACTGTTTAGCTATGTAATCAAGTTATCCTCTGCAGCTTGCTTAAGGTAGCCCCTCTGATGCAATATTGTAAAGGAGGTGTCACTCTCAAAGTATTTCTTCAAATTGAGATTAATATCCAATTGGCCAATACCTGCCCATGTGAGAGTGTTTTTTGCTTTGTTGTTGTTGGGCTTGGCTTTCTTTTCCTATATTTATTAGCTATTTTTACTCTCTTTTAAAAAAATGAACTGCTTGTTCTTATTACTTGGTCATTTTTCTTTTATTTTGATTCATAAAAATGATTTCTATAGTGAAAACAACAAACAAAATATTCTAGTTATTCTCTATTAAATGTTATATATATTGTTTCTTTTCTGTCTTTTGACTTTGTTTATGGTATTTCATTCTTACAGAAATTTTATGCAGGTAAATTACACAATCACTTTTGTTGTGTTTCTGTTTTGCGATCAGGCTTAGAAAACATTCCCCTAGTCTAAGATAAAAAAATGCATCCCATATTTCTTCTATTTATTGTATGATCTCATTTTATAACATTTAAAATGTTAATCCATCTAACATGTAAAGTTAATGAAGATGAAGGAAAAGGCTATGTTGGTTTTATTATTTGAGGTGTGGACTTTTAGTATTTGTACCTTCGTTCTGGTACCTTTTGTTGGTTTGTTTTCAATATTTTTATTTGATCAGATGTAAATATTTGTTAATTTCCCACCAAAGATAAAAATCTGAAAGAAATGTAAAAAATATTCCTTGATTCATACATTCCTAGAGCATTCAACATTTGAAAAACTACTGGTGAAATGCAGTAGCCCAGGAATTAATTAGGAAATCTGGTTTCTATTTCTTTTTTTTTTTTTTTTTTTTTTTTTTGAGACTGAGTCTCGCTCTGTTGCCCAGGCTGGAGTGCAGTGGCGCGATCTCGGCTCACTGCAAGCTCCGCCTCCCGGGTTCACCCCATTCTCCTGCCTCAGCCTCCGGAGTAGCTGGGACTACAGGCACCCGCCACCATGCCTGGTTAATTTTTTTGTATTTTTAGTAGAAACAGGGTTTCACCATGTTAGCCAGGATGGTTTCTATTTCTAAATCTGCTAGTTACTAATTTGTTGGACCTTTGGCAAGTCCCAAAGGACTCCAAACTTAGAGCTTGCATACCTTATTATAAATATGCCTCACTCAGACAGGACAAGGGCTCTTTAAAACCATATTGTTTTATTGTAACTTAAAAAATATCAATTAATAGAAAATTGACTGCTAGTTTAGCTCTATTTTTTGAGTGCCACCTCCCAGAGAAATTGACCTTATCTTGCTGTGTCTGATAACACAAGTCATTTGCTTCAAACTCAAGACAATATCAGCCACCCAATTCTTGCATTATTGTTTGTTTTTCTCTTCTCATCAAGGACTTGCTTCTATATCTGGTTCTTGGCATTTATAGTACTGTAAGTAGTAAAATTCACTTTTACTAATTTCTCTTTTGTATGCTGAACTTGCCCAGAATCCTGAATGTTCCTAAGCAACTGAAAGATATCTGGGGTTCTCATGTGTTGTTAACATTTGCTTTGAACATAAACAACTCCTTTCTGCTTCTTTCAGCTGACCAAGTAGGCTTTGTTTTAGAAAATTAGACTTCATGCCTCTCACCTATGCAGACTTTCCTTGGATTTATTTGTTTATTCAAATGTAAAATTAGAAGTTAAATTAAATGATTTTCAAGCTTCCTTCTGCTCTGGCATTTTATGGTCTTGTAAATCTATATTTGAATCAGTGTCTCTAAGCTTTTTTCTCCTAAGGCAATTATGGTTTTATTATTCCCTTTAAAGAACAGTTCATCTTGGGCATTTATCTTATAAAATTAAGAGGGTGATATTTAATCACAAAATTTTCATTCTTCTACATTTCATTGTCTTTATTGGTAATTGTACCCACTCTGTGTTAACTAAATGAAATCTATAATTCATTGAGTGGACAAAGCTCATTGCTAGCATTCTTTGATGTAAGACATAATTGAATAAAACTATTTAACTTTAAGAAGATTATAATATATTTAACTATCCAAAATTAGATTATTCTTTTTCATTCATTTTATGCATTTTTGCCAATTTATTTTTATTTTAAGGTATTCCACATATTAATTTATTATATCATTTCCTTTATCGTTTTGCTGGAGATCTGCCATAGACTATATTTCTGTTTATGTCATCCTAGTTAAATATAACATTTTCACAGTTCAAAAAGAAGAAAAATTATTCATTTGGAATTCATCTAAATCTTCCAGGTATAAAGGTTCCTTCACTTCACATTCTTCTGAGGCTGCTAATATTTGTCTGTGACCTTGTTAGACAGAACATAGCATTAGTTTATGGCAGAGTAGTAGGACCCTACTAAATAAGAAGCTGAAGGGAAAGAATAAGAAGGAGAGGGAGAAAGAAAAAAAGAAAACACTAGTGGATATTAACAAATTATTGACTAGAAGAGACAAAATGTAATTTTACCTTCTTAAAATTTTTGTTTTGACACATGAAAAAATGCTCATCATCACTGGCCATCAGAGAAATGCAAATCAAAACCACAATGAGATACCATCTCACACCAGTTAGAATGGCAATCATTAAAAAGTCAGGAAACAACAGGTGCTGGAGAGGATGTGGAGAAATAGGAACACTTTTACACTGTTGGTGAGACTGTAAACTAGTTCAACCATTGTGGAAGTCAGTGTGGCGATTCCTCAGGGATCTAGAACTAGAAATACCATTTGACCCAGCCATCCCATTACTGGGTATATACACAAAGGACTATAAATCATGCTGCTATAAAGACACATGCACACGTATGTTTATTGCGGCATTATTCACAATAGCAAAGACTTGGAACCAACCCAAATGTCCAACAATGATAGACTGGATTAAGAAAATGTGGCACATATACACCATGGAATACTATGCAGCCATAAAAAATGATGAGTTCATGTCCTTTGTAGGGACATGGATGAAATTGGAAATCATCATTCTCAGTAAACTATCGCAAGAACCAAAAACCAAACACTGCATATTCTCACTCATAGGTGGGAATTGAACAATGAGATCACATGGACACAGGAAGGGGAATATCACACTCTGGGGACTGTTGTGGGGTGGGGGGAGGGGGGAGGGATAGCATTGGGAGATATACCTAATGTTAGATGACGAGTTAGTGGGTGCAGTGCACCAGCATGGCACATGTCTACATATGTAACTAATCTGCACAATGTGCACATGTACCCTAAAACTTAAAGTATAATAAAAAAAAAATTTTGTTTTGAATGCAATTATTCTTAAAGTCATCATAGTGCACTATATAAAGCTTTTCTGATATATATGTATATTATGTATAATAACCTTACTGCATATCATTTTTCTTCCTCTCTATAAGAGCAACAGAACTTCGAAGCCCCTTAAACTTGATAAAAAATTTAATTATATTTTGTCATCGATAATTTGTGGTTCCAAATTATACTAAATTGGCAGCTGGTGATGTGAAGTGCAAATGAAATCAGGCCAATTCTAACCAAATCAAGCATAAAATTATATTTTAATAAACTCTGATTCTACTTCCTATTACCCTTTTATCTTTATCATCCATGCCTGAGCTCTATGTGTAATCTGTGTACACAGATGCTGAATTTTACTGCTTTGGTAATTTAGAAATCTGAATGTTGAAAAGAAGATATTAGTATACACAGGCAGAAACTAATGAGAGCTTTTTGTTGTTGTTTTCTGGTTTTGTTTTTGTGTGTGTGTGTGTTGCTCTTTTTTAATGCTGATGGAAATCTACTGCTTAAGACATAGCTAAAGAGCCATGGTAAAAAGAGAACATATGCCTTCTTAACTCCTCTCTTACTTTTTTTAGGAGTAAAAAATGTAGCTAGTCTACTGGCTTGTACACTAATTATTTATATAACAGGAGGCAACAAAAGAGCCACAATGGAGAACATAGCCTTTGGGCCAAAGAAATATAGTAAAATAAATTCAACATATCTATTTTATAGAAAACGGGAATATGGAACTGAGTATCAGAGAACTGCAGTACCACCTTCTAAAATATTCTTACTGTCTTAGAAATTGTGGGTAGCTAAGTTAATGCTAACAGAATAAATCTAAATCTCTTACGGAATTATAAAAATTATAGCAACAAAAGTAACATATGAGACTAAATAAAATTCATTGTTTGGCATAACTGAAAGAAAGAGGATGGCTAACTTTGAATTACCCATACATGGAATAATAAACACCAACTCAATTTATTGCTCAAATTCTTCTGTGGAAACCTTTGAATCTCACAGAGCAAGAGGAGTCAAGGAAAACCTACATATAGGGGCTAATAGGAGAGTAAGATGCAGTATTAAGATTGACCTGTGTTCACTAACAGAAAGAGAAAGACTCATCTACATGGAAAATGGTGAAAAAGATTCTTTTTAGATCAGAAGGGGGAAAAAGCAGGGAAAAAATTTTACAGTGTGTGTGAATTTTGAGAGAGCAGTTTTTTTTTAAAGCAAGTTTCAGGCAGAAGAGGAGAGAAAGCAATGGAGATGATTTATTTGAGGGAATAAAAGAAAATTTAGTAAAATGAAAAACATAAAAGGCACAGAACCCCACCCCACTTCTCTTGCCTCAAAAAGTCACTCAAAGAGAAATCATATTTTGTTATACTGGAATGCACTTGTAAAAATGGTGTCTTGTAAACTGCCCCAGACTATAAACCATTGCCACAGAAATGCAAAAGAACAAATACTTTTCATCTATACAAACTGCAATAAGAATTAAGCAGACAATGGGAAAGGAAACAATTCAGTTCACGGATTAAAACTACTTAGTGATTTGTATATACTCCATCGAGCCTTTTGGGGTTACTTAAAAATGAATTTGAACAATCAATAAAAATATTAGGAATATAAATAGTGGAAAAACAAGAAAAAATAGTTCTGGCTGAACTCAAAAAGGAAATAGACAAAAAATAATACTATCAAAATAATAAATGAATTATACATTTTTAAAGTATAAGTAGATCTGAATTTAAACATAATAAAAGCAATTAAAGGAAAGCAGTAAAACAACCCAGAGAATGATGTAGGCAATGAAATAAAAAATGGTCAGAGATCTTACTTGAAAAGAAATACAAGTGAAAAAGATCTAGGACATGGGACATGAGTCTCTGAAGAAGGCAACCAAAACAATGGAATAGCAGTATTACTGAAAACTCACTGGAGAGAATAAACCTAAAGTGACCCATTTCTAAAGGAAACAACAACAGTTAAAGGAAAAAAGAGACTAAAGGAACTACTTCTTCCAAAAAACATCTACAAAACAAAAACAGATCAAAAAATGTTTCGCAGTATTAAAAATAAAGGAAAACTTCCCATGATTTTTATGAAGTATAACATTTCTACGTATACCTATTAAAGACAGTATCAGAGAAAGAAAAGAATGTCACTTAAAATATCAATGCAAATTAGTAAATTAAATGTAAACTAATATATCTAATACCATATTATAAAAATGACATACCATGACCAAGTGGAATTTATTGCAGAAATGGAAAATGTGTTAATATTAGGATATTGCTAACATTATTTACTGGTTTCACAGATATAAATACACTTGACAGAATTTACACTCTATTTTTGAGGAAAATACTTCAAGAAAATAAGATCGTGTGTGTGCGTGTGTGTGTGTATACTGATATAGGCTATATATTCTAAATTTAAAACCATCATCTTATTTAGCAACCAAATATTCAATGCACTTTCATTAAGTTTAAGAACAACACAAAGATGTCCACTATTGCTTAAAAGAATTAATACTTTCTATAGGTATTAGCAAATACAATTAGAAAAAAAATCAATTAGAATAATTGAAATTGGAAAATAATAAACTGCCTCCGCATGAGATATGATCATATACCTGTTACATCATAAAAACAATATCCAAACCTAATACTAAAATGATAAAATAATTTAAAAAGTAGAAAATTATAAAATTAATACACCCAAATTAATGTCATTTATATATATAATCGATAACTAGGAGATTTGATAAAGAAAACCCTATTTACAACAGCAAAAATAAAAAAATAAATTTCTTTAAAAAAATTAACTGAAAAAAAAAACCTATATGTGGAAACACTTAAACACTATAGAGAAATCCACAAGGAGATCTGAGCAAATGAAAACATAGCATTTGTTTAAGAAAAATCAAGATCATAAAAATGCCAGTTCCCCATATTTTAATGTATAAATTTAGCAAAATAATGATAAAACTACCAACAAAAAAAGACAAGTTTATACTAAAGATCTTAGTCTAATGATAAAGCCATTATATTTCATGAGGCAGAATGTATTAGACACTGATGAAATAAATTAGAGAGCTCTAGAAACAATATATTTATATTTTTAAATATAAAAATGTATGATATAATGAAGGTGTCTTCTCAAATCATGTGACACATTGGTTAGCCATTTGGAAAATAGAAAATTACATCTATGCCTCCTATTATGCACAAGAATAAACACCAAATACTCAAGAATATTAAAAACAATCAGTGATATTAAATGAGTGAATGAATCAATGAATAAGTAAGCCATACAGTTTCTTAAAAAAAAAAAAAAAAAAAAAAAAAAAAAAAAAAAAAAACCCAGAAATGGAATGGATTCATTTATAATCTGAATATAGGAAAAGCACTTAAAAATTGATCGGGTGCAGTGGCTCACCCCTGTAATCCCAGCACTTTGGGAGGCCGATGTGGACAGATGGGGAGGTCAGGAAATCGAGACCACCCTGGCTAACATGGTGAAACCCCGTCTCTACTGAAAATGCGAAATAAATTAGCTGGGGGTGGTAGTGCGCGCCTCTAGTCCCAGCTACTTGGGAGGCTGAGGCAGGAGAATAACTCCAACGTATGGGATGGAGGTTGCAGTGAGCCGAGATCGTGCCACTGCACTCCAACCTGGTGACAGAGCAAGACTCCGTCTCAAAAAAAAAGAAAAGAAAAAGTACTTAAAAATTAAGAGATGATTAAAGAAAAGACTGATAAATATGAGTACATAAACATAATTATAAAACTATCACATGGCAAAACAACAAAATAAAAAAGATAATAAAAAATATTTGCAATCACAAATGAAGGACAAATAACTTTTATATATAAAGAACTCCAAAATTTTTCAGGAAAAAAGACTAACAACCTCATTGGAAATACGGGGAAGAGGCAAGATCAGACAATCGAAATAAAGATGAAAAAATGGTTCTTTAACACGTGACAAGCTGCACAAACTACTTCATAATTAGAGAAATAAAAATAAGCACTATACAAAAATTACATTTCTTAACTATTAGCTTGGCTAAAATTTATATTGACAACATATTCTCTTGGTAAGTCTTGAGGAAACAGGTATACTCATATATTATTGGTGGGGATGCAAATTTGCACAACAGTCTTGGAGAGAAATTTGTGACTCTATAACAAAACTATAGCTATAGTTACACTTTGAGTAGCATTCTATTTAAAAAATTTACCCTGAATTTACTCTACCTCCAACAGCATGAAAATAGATATTTCTAAGATTATTCATCACAGCATTATTGGTAATCACAAAGTACTATATTGCAAATAACCTAAGTAGCCATAAATAGGACAGTGGTTTAATAAACTAGTATATCCACATATTGTAGACCTATTCAGCCATAAAAAGTACTGTTTGAATTGGTAGGGGATGATTCCTAGAATCTATTGCTATGTAAATAGAAACAAAGCACAAAAATGTGCTTATAGTACATTAGCTTTTTATGAAAAAACAAGAAAATATACATATGTTTGATTATTTGTGTAAAAACAAAGACAGGATGACTACATGAGACAAAAACAAGATTAGTTATTAACATGGATAGATTGGAATAGATGGAAAAACTGGGTAGTTGAGACAATCTACAGTGCATGGGAAAATGACATTTCTGAGAATAACTTTTTGTTTAGTTTTGACTTTTAGAACATAGTTTTTGTGTGCTCAAAAAATAAAATCAAGAATAAAAGAAAATGAAATAAATGAGAACACATGGACACAGGAAGGGGAACATCACACTCCGGGGACTGTAGTGGGGTAGGGGGAGTGGGGAGGGATAGCATTAGAAGATATACCTAATGCTAAATGACGAGTTAATGGGTGCAGCACACCAACATGGCACATGTATACATATGTAACAAACCTGTACATTGTGCACATGTACCCTAAAACTTAAAGTATAATAATAATAAAATTTAAAAAAAAGAAATCAGACTACCTAATTTCAAATGACTAAAATAACTATACCAAAGCGGGGGAGGAAAAAACTAAACCAACCACTTCATGAACATATTTTGACTATACACCCTGTGTATAGTCTTTGCCTGTGACCAAAGGCAAAAAAAAATGTGTAAAAAAATCAAACACTGGCCATTTGTTCTGTTTTTCACACTAATATTAGTTGGTAATTCTGAATTACTTAATGTGTTTTCAGGGAAGGAGCAACAGGTAAACCTATTGTGGATATGGTGTTACTGCCAAGAACACTTCACAAAACTCTGAGACTATGAGGTCCTTGATTTTAATTAGGTCTTTGAGGATTCTATTGGCCTTGGGATATAAATCTCTTCTTAGCTGTTGAAAGCTGTTGTCATTTTTATCCACACATGATAGCATTGCTCTAATGAATTACCCATAGGGAACTAATCAGTCTTTGGGAAAAGAAATATATATGATCTTGGAAGTAAATTATCGAGTATAGGTTTAACCATTCAAAACACTTGTTTTATGCTGATATCTGTTTCCAGTTTCAGAAGAACAACTAGTGTAGCAAATTGTATTTCATAGAACTTTGCTTTCAAAACACATATGGTAGTTTCATCTATACAAGAACAAATAAATCAAATCAAGTAAAATTAATTTAAGTAATATGCATCAGTGTTTCCCAAAGTTAAGTACAATCAATTGGGAAATTTATTTTGCAAGTTAAAGTGCTTGTGCTAATTTTTTAAAATGGGAGTAACTGAATAAATTAAGCTTAATGAATCTGAAACATTATACTAATTATATTCATTTAAATACATTTCTTTATGATGGGAATTTCATAAAAATATTTATGGAATATAAATAATCACCAAAATGCTATGATTGCCAATGAACATTTAATCCATTCTATGTAATGTATTTTTAAATGTCTGAATAAATAAGGCTTAGAACACTTTGCTGGACAAGGAAGACTTCATGAGTAAGTTTTTTTTTTAAGTTAGGAATGATGTATGTATTGCCAGAGGTTTAAGACCTACAGATAGAATAGCAGTAATGCTACATATACTTTCACATAAATGTATAAAGCCATATTTTAACACACGACATAAAATTTTCTAGTTAAAAACTTGCTGATAATCATTGCTACTCTAAGTTTTCCGCTGAAAAATATAATATTTTTGTGGATACATTTATGTGCTAAACTGCTTCCCCAAGTAAATGGCAAATACCACAGTCATATTTAGAATGAATTAGTTACAGCATCATGAATTTTTTAGGTGTCTCTTAACAGAATTCCTATTAATAGTTTAGTTATTAGTGTAGTCATAGCTCTTTATTTATAATAAATATTCCAGTCTGGAACAAGATTTATCTACTGTCTTCCAACTTTAATCCAGGACATTCAATAAATCATGACGATTTTTCCCTATCAGGCATTTATCTTAGTTTTGTCAGCAATATTCCTGTCCTTCAATACAATGGACATACTGTTTTTGCTTGTCTAGCAACTAGTTAAAAACATCATTCTGGTTTATTTGGGGGATGATTTTTTTCCTCCCCAGTACAGAGTTGTATTTCCTTATCTCTGGTAGGACCAAGCACACTTTGTTTTTCTAAGGATGGCTACAAGGCAGCCCACTATTTCTATTGCTTCCTCCCACTTGCTTTATAAAGTAAGTTTACCCCTTGTGTAAAGTGAATTCACCCTAGTCCTCCAGGAGTTTGGTAGTTTTCATTTCCTGCAGAAACTTTTAAGAGAAAAGTTAAAAATATACATATATATACATAGTCCCTGTCACAGCAGCTGGCCTACCTTCTATACCACTCATTCTAGGTTCACATCGCCTTTGAATAGCATCTCTCCTGATCTAGGCGACTTAACTGATGGGATACCTAGATTCTCTGAGTGATCTACTTCTCTGGTGGCCCTTGGTAACCAAAGTTCTTTATAGTTTCAGGCTGCTGTACTTGTTACATTTAAGGAGGGGGACAGCAAGAATAGTTTTACTAGATGATCTTCAAGCCGAATGTATTATTTCCTTCCACATTAGATAGGAAAAACTTCACCTCTTTCTGAAGAATAGAGTTCTTCACCCAGTCAGGATAGAATTTATTTCATTTGCTGGTCTCTTGGCACAAAGAGCCCAAGGCGAAGGGCCCATAGCCATGGCTGAAAGTTTAATGGAACTTTTTCTATTTTCCCTGGTGAATGAATTACCCCCCATTCAATAGGACTTCTAGAGCCAAACAGCCTAAAGTTGTGGAAACAAGAATATATTCTCCAAGTTGTTCATTAGGAATAATGATAAGTAGGGCCATTCCTACTCCATTCCTTTGGTTTTCAGACTTATATACTGTGTAATGAGAGGGAAATGGTGATCATAGAAACTCTGTTGATGTTTCTCATAATAATATGTCTCAGTTTTAAAATAGGAAGAGCAAAAAAAAATTGGTTTTAATATTTATAATGGGCAAGGTAATGTTTTAAAAGCTTTAACTATAAAATCTTATTGAATATTTAAAGCTATCTTTGAGTATCCATACCTCCATTTGTTGGATAAGTGAGTTGCCTAAATTATCACAGCTAATAAGTTACTGAATATGACACTTCAACAGGTTAGGTCCAGAGATCTTGAACCAAACCACTATATTATACTGCTGCTTAAAACAAATATCTTTTTTTTTTACACTATTATGTTAACAAAGAATGTTAGCTATATTAGGTTATATTAGCATTATATAAATTTCAAATATATCTATAATGGAATTGGTAGCATTTTAAATAGTTAAAAATGTGTTTTTGAATATAAATTAATGGTGTTTCTATTTTGATGAGGACATAAGCCACCAGATAGACTTTATTAAAATATAGAAAGAGCATACTATTAATTTGCTTTTGCTTTTTACTTTCAAAAATTGTGGTTATTATCAAAAATAGGTATTTGTCAGAAATTAACTTTGCTGCAGTCACTTTCTAAGTATTTATATTCAATAAAACTGTGAAAGTATAAATCTATATTATGGTATTAAAAATATACTTTTTGTTAGAATGGAGACATGATTTTATGTGTCCTCCACAGATTTTGAAGATTCATCAAATGCGTAGGGCAAAAAAAGCAAATGAGACACTATTCTGAGATTTGCTTTACAGACTGCAACATACAAAATGACAACATGACAGAATTAATTTAAAAGAAAACTCTAAACCCTACTCCAAGTAAATCTGATTCATGAGGTTTCCAGTTCTCAAATTTCAGTTTTCTCAGAATCAACTGTGAATGTTATAGAGATACCCATTTTGGGTTCCACCACCAGAGCATCTGAATCAATTGTTTTAAGGTGAGACCAGGGCAATCAATCTTTTAAAACAGCTCCTAGATACTTCTAATGTGCAGTTAGAGATTGGAGAATCCCTGTTATATAATGAAGTTCACATCCAAAACTTTACTTTTTGGATTTTTAAATTTATATATCACAGTCGTACATATTATGCGGTTACATGTGTATTTTGAAACATGTATATAATGTGTAATGATGAAATTAGAGTAATTGGAATATCTGTTACTGCAAACATTTATCTATTCTTTGTGGTGGGAATATCAGAATTCTTCTAGGTGTTTTGCAACATGTCATAAATTATACTTACCTATAATTTCCATGCTGTACTATTGAGAACAAGAACTTATTCCTTCTACCTAATTAAATTTTATATCCATTAAATGTTTTCTCTTTATTTTTCTCTCCCCTCTTCCTTTCTGAGCCTCTGATTACCACCCTTCTACTCTCTACCTGCATGAGATCTACTTTTTTAGCTCCCGCATATGAGTGAGAACATGTGATATTTGTCTTTATGTTTCTAGCTTATTTCATTTAACATAATGACCTCCAGCTCCATCTATGTTGCTACAAATGACACAATTTAACTTCATTTTATGTCTGAATAATACACCATTGTATGTGTATATCACATGTTTTCAACCCATTAATCCATTAATGAACACTTAGGCTGATTCCATGTCATGGCTATCATGGATAGCGCTGCAATAAACATGGGAGTGCAAAAGTCACTTTGAGATTCTGATTCCCTTTTTTTTTGAATATATACCCAGCAGTGGGCTTGCTTGATCATATGGCAGTTCTGTATTAATTTTTTGAGTAACTTCCATAGTGTTTTCCATATTGGATGTACTACTTTAAATTTCTACCAACAGTGTATGAGCATTCCCCTTTCTCCACATCATCACCAGCATTAGTTATTTTTTATTTTTTTGAGAATTGCCTTTCTATCTCAGTTGAGATGATATCTCATTGTGGTTTTGATTTGCACTTCCCTGATGATTAGTTTATTTCATAAACATGTTGGCCATTTGTAAGGTTTTTCTTTGAGAAATATCTATTCAGGGTTTTATCAATTTTTTAATCAGAGTATTATTATTATTTTCTATTAAATTTCTTATATATTCTAGTTATTGATTCCTTGTCAGATGGATAGTTTGCAAATATTTTCTCTCATTCTGTAGATTGTCTCTATACTGTGTCAAAAAGAAGCTACCTATCAATGCTTGGATTTACTTCTAGGCTCTCTATTTTATTCTATGGGTCTATGTGTCTGTTTTTATGCCAGTATCATGCAGATTTGGTTACTATAGCTTTGGTTACTCAGATTGGTTACTATAGTTTGGTTACTCATTTTGAAGTCAGGTGTTACTCTTGCTGAGAAATGTTTTAAGTATTTTAAGTCTTTTGTGGTTCCATATAAATTTTAAAAATGTTTTTCTATTTCTGTGAAGAATGTCATTAGTATTTTGTTAGAGATTGCATCAGCTCTGTAAATTGCTTTGGGTAATATAGATACTTTAACAATAATAGTTCTTCCAATTCAAGGGCGTGGAATATCTTTCTCTTTTTGAATGTGTGTTCTCTTCAATTTCTTTCACCAGTGTTTTATATATTTCCTTGTAGAGATTTATCACTTCTTTGGTGAACTGTGTTACTAAGTATTTGGGGAGTTTTGGCTATTGTAAGTGGTATTGCTTTCTTATTTTTATTTTTCAGATTGATCACTATTAGCATATAGAAATGCTCCTGATTTTTGTATGTTTATTTTGTATCCTGCAACTTCATTACATTTATTTATTCATTTAAGTGTTTTTTGGTAGAGTCTAGGTTTTTCTAAATATAAGATCACGTCATCTGCAATCAAGGATAATTTGACTACTACTTTTCCTATTTGGATATTCTTTATTTCTTTCTGTGGCCTAATTGCCCTGGCTGGGACTTCTGATGCGATATTAAATAAAACTAGTGAAAGTGAACATCCTTGTTTTGTTCCAGATCTTGGTAGAAAGGCTTTCAATATTCTTCCTGTTCAACATGATGTTAGCTGATGTTGTCATATATGACCTTCATTGTGTTGAGGTATTTCTTTTCTATATCCGTTGTGGAGGGTTTTTGTCATGACGGAACATTGAATTTTATCAAATGCTTTTTCAGAGTTCATGTGACTTATCACATTTTCATATTTGCATGTGATCAGCCATCCTTGCATCCTGGGATACACTAAAAATTAAAACAATAAACTAAAACATATTTACCAAAAAAACTACTTAAGTACAACAGAAGACAGCAAAAAAAAGTTACACAACAGCTTGGAAACAAGTAACAAAATGGCAGTAGTAAAGCCTTACCTATCAATAATATATTGAATGTGAATGGATTAAGTTCTCCAAGTAAAATTCATAGAGAGACTGAATAGATTAAACATACAAGACATATATATATATATATATATATACATATATACATAGTCACATATAGCACCATATATATGCTGCTAATATTATATATATATATGCTGCTTGTATTAAACATATAAGATCCATATATATATTTATCTGAGTGAGTATATAAGCAGACAACATATATATGTGCTATCTATAAGAAACTCCCTTTACCTATAAAGATACACATAAACTGAAGCAAAAATGATAGCCCATGCAAAATGATCAGGAGTAGCTATACATACATCAAATAAAATATACTTTAAGTCAAAAACTGTAAAAAGAGACAAAGAAGGTTATTATATAATGACGAAATGGTCAATTCAGCAAGAGGATGCAACAATTGTAAATAGATATGGACCCAACACCAGAGCCCCCAAATATTTTATACATTAATAGCTTTAAAGGGAGAAATAGACTTTAATAGTCATAGGATAATTCAACGCACCACTTTTGACAATTGACAGATTGTCCAGAGAGAAGATCAAGAAAGAAACATTGAAATTAAATCGCACTCTAGACAAAATAGACCTGACAGGTATTACAGAACATTATATCCAACTGCTCCAGAATACACATTTTTTTCTTATCAGCACATGAAACATTCTCTAGTATTAACTATATTGTAGGCTATAAAACAAGTCTCAAGAAATTAAAAATAGTCAAAATTATATCGAGTATATTTTCTGACCACGACAAAATATAATAAGAAATCAATAACAAGAGACATTTTGGAAATTGTACAAATACATGGAAATTAAACAATATGCTTCTGAATGACCAATGGGTCAATGAAAATTTTAAAAATTCTTGAAATCAAGTAAAAACATAAATGTGGAGCAGAATTTATGGTATATAATAAAGACGGTATTTAGAGGGAAGTTTATAGTAATAAATGTCTACACCATAAAAATGGAAAGACTACAAATAGCCTAACATTGCACCTCAAATAGCTAGAAAACCAAGAACAAATCAAATTCAAAATTAGTAGAAGAAAAGAAATAACAAAGATAAGAGCATAAATAAATGAAATCGACGCTAAGAAAAATACAAAAGTTCAACAAAATAAAAATTAGTTTTTTGAAAAGATAACCAAAATTGACAAACCTTTAGCTAGATTAACTAAGAAAAAAGAGGGATGACCCATATAGATGAAATCAGATATGAAAAGGGAAATATTAGAAGTGCAGAAATACAAAGGATCATTAAAGACTGTTACACCAACAAATAGGAAAACTTTAAAAAAAAGGATAAATTTTCTGGACACATTCAACCTGCCAAGATTGCACCATAAAGAAATAGGGAACCTGAAAAAAACAATAATAATTAATAAGATTAAAGCAGTAATAAAGTGTTTCCCATCAAAGAAAATCCCAAAATCTGATGAATTCACTACTGAATTTCATGAATCATTTAAAAAAGAACTAATGCCAATATTTTAATACATTTTATATGATTAGTTAAATGTTTTAAAAATTAATGGAATATTGATTTAAATTGAAAATTGAAAGGTGCGATGTTACTAATTTGAATGTTTTTTTTTTTTGCCTAGGAGAAAAAGTATGTAATTCTGCATGAGTTGAGGCTTTAAGTTGCTAAAGACTACCCACGTGTCACCCTTTCAGGAAAAAATGGCAAACTCAAGATATTGCAAAAGTTATGTTTAGTTGAGGCTTTTAATTTTCTTCTTTAAAGACATAGCCACCTAAGGCCAACTTTTTGATGTTTGCTTCATGCCATGACTCTCAGACATAAGAAAAACTTTTCGAAAACTGTATATAAATAAACATAAAGTTCCCAGATAATATTTTCAGAAGATCAAGATTAAATAAAGTTAATCAATTTTTAATCTTTGTAAACTTGTTTCTTAATTTTCAGAACAAACTACTTCATGCAATTATTTTGAGGTTTTAATTAGGCATTATATTTTAAGTACCAAGTAAAGGTTCTGAAATGTATATATTTAATATATTTTTAATAAATGACAGCCATTATTAATGTTGTTATTGTTGATGGTAATTATTCACCAGGTAGATATTTAGTTAGTGATAAAGAATTCAAACCTTAATATATCACAATAAGTTTTCCATCTATAAAATAGAAGTTTCGTCAGCTACACAAGTTACAAGTTTAAAATTTTAAACATTTCATATGACTTCAAATGTAACTTTGTATTTGGAATTCAGATATTCCTATAAACTGTTGTTCAGTTTGGCTCAACTCTTGCTCGTAAACCTAAAATAAAACAATATTACAAAAAGTTAAAAGTGTTGGCATTAATATTCCGTAAGAGTTAGGCTAGTTTTGAAGTATTAAATTAGTTTTCACTTCTTAAAAAATAATTATTTCTAGAAATTTCCTGTAGATTTTGATTATAACACTGAACTATAATTATGGTTCAGATGGTACTGCTATTCTTAGCTCATATTTTCATTTGTATATAACTTCATGACAAGCACCTTTTCAGACTAGAATTTCTAACACTTTTCAAGCAAAAAATAGAATTTTTTTTCTGTAGATTGTTTGCATAAGCAACAATTCACCAACTGTTAGGATAAAAAGAGTGTTTTAGAAGTGCTGTGAGAAAGTTTCACTTTACTTGTTTTTTATAACTTTTAACAGTCCTTGCAATTTATTGGTTTTACACTTTTATTTGTATAGATATTTTAAACTTTCCATAGTCTACTATAAAAATAATTTGGTAAATTTAAAAATATATTACATTAGAGATTACAGTGGTTCTTTAAAAAATAAAAATTAATAAGACTTCCAATCTGGTGCCCATATCTTGAAAGAAGAATGAATAAAGCAAACTATAGGATTTTTTTTTTGGTAAACCAATCTAAAATATGTCATCGATTGAATTCTATGCTTATAGATGCCTTCTTGGCAGTTATTCTCTGAAGAATCAATTCATTTGTGGCAAGACTCCATTAATAGGCAGGTGTTCATGATGGTGATAAAGCTGGCACAAGCCCAGAACTATGTCACATGGATAAATGCAGCAGTTTGGGTTTGTAGGTGAACACCGAATTGAGAGAAAGTTGTGCCTCAGGTTCTCCTTAGTCACCCTGTGGGCATTAGGGCCAAGACCTGATTGGCAGCCACCAGTCACCCAGTATTGCTGAATATTAAACTCTGAAGTCTGTGTCTGGATTGGTAGAAAATACCATTCTGAGTAATGAAATTGAGTCTGCTGATGCACTTTCTGCCTTTATTATCAGCTTTGCTGTGGCATCTGTGAAGGGACCTTTTATACTTCTTCATGGAAAAACTTTCCTATATTTAGTAGTTGCTCTTTGCAGATACTGCTTGTATTTACTGTTCTACATATTTGTCTGCTGGAAAATATTTGCTCAAAAATGCACAGTCTTTGATTTCTTACAAGCTATCCAAATGCTGTTTCCCCTACTTTACACAGCCATGTGGCCAGACTAGTCATGATGATGATGACTTCATTCTGACCGCTTCATCAAATTATGACCACTTTGTCAAATCTCTGCTAACTAGTACTGTTCACCTCCATATAATAATGATAAAGACAACAAGAATGGTAATGATATAATCACATTCAATTATTAAGTACTTAGTCTTTACTTACTGGATTTAGCATGTCCCCATTTAGAATCTGTGTTCAGACAGTCCTTGGATTGCAGCCTGTGGTAGGCAGAATAACCCCTCCTTTTACTGGCAAATATGCCCATATTCTAATCCTAAGAACTGTTGAATATGTTATGTTACATGGTAAGAAAAAATTAAGAGTGCAAATGGAATTAAGATTTCTAAGGTGACCTTGAGATTGAGAGATGATCCTGGATTATCTGTGTTGGCTCATTGTATCCCAAGAGGCAGGGAAGAAACAAAGTGAGAGTGATGCAGCATGAAAAAGACCCAACCATTGCTGGATTTGAAGAGAAAATGAGAACCAGGAAGTCTCTAGGAGCTGGAAAGTCAAAGACGTGGATTATCTGCTACGTATTACTGGAAAAACAGTCCTGCTGACACCCTGATTTTAGCCCACCCTGATTTTGAGCAAATAATTTAGCCCAGTGAGGTACATTTTGGACTGCTGACTTCCAGAACGGTAAGAAAACAAATTTTTGTGATTTTGATTCATGAAGCTTGTGAAAATTTGTTATAGCAGCGATAGGAAGCTAATACAACTCATCTACACTGTGTCTACTATCTGCATAATGGAAGAAAGATCTATGATTGCAGGAGAATGTGAACTCTCCTTAAAATGATAATTTGTTAGATTATCAATGAATTGATGGGCATTGCATATATACTTGGACAAAATTGATGGCTCCTTTATGGAAAGGAAAGCTGGCACAAATTGAATCTGAACTGAGGGAATCAAAAAATAAATAAAATGAAAATTTGAGTGGGTTAAAGGAGAAGAAAAAACACACTTTGATAACAGCATTCTCTGCTGCTACCATACATAGTATATTATTTATTTACCTGAACCCTAAAGAACAAGACTTTCAAAAACTACCAAATATCCTAGGAGATGATATCATTTTTGAAGTTAGGTAAGCATGTGTATGGCACATATAAACTGTTAAATTAATTAATCAAGGCCTTAACAATATGGCTTCATTGCAAAAATGTGTCTGAGCACCACAATTCTTGATCCTCAGATTAAAGTATTTTTTTCATTGCAGGCTTTGATTAAATTTTTCTTAGGTCACTCCAAACCTTCCCTTTTAAATGTCATCTCTATTTTGTGGTAGTAAATTTGACACTGAAGGATAACCTAGGTGTTATGAGTTCAATCGTGTCCACCCAAATGATCACATGTTGAAGCCTTAATCCCCATAACTCAGAATGTGATTGCATTTGGAGACAGGGTCTTTAAAGAGGTCATTAATTTAAACTGATGTCATCAGAGTGCACTCTAATCCAATATGGTTGTTATCCTCTGATATGGTTTGGATTTGTGTCCTCACCCAAATCTTATATCAAATTATAGGCTGGGTGCAATGGCTCACACCTGTAATCCCAGCACTTTGGGAGGCTGAGGCAGGTGGATTGCTTGAGGCCAGTAGTTTGAGAGCAGCCTGGCCAGCATTGTGAAACACTGGCTCTACTAAAAATACAAAAATTAGCCTGGCATGGTGGTGAGTACCTGTAATCCCAGCTACTCTGGAGGCTGAGGCAGAATTACCTCTTGAACCTGGGAGTTGGAGGCTGCAGTGAGCCAATATCATGACATTGCACTTTAGCCTGGGTGACAGAGTAAGATTCTTTCTCAAAATAAAATTAAAAAATTATAACAATAAAAAAGTATAATCCCCAGTGTTGGAGGAGGGGCCTGGTGGGCAGTGATTGGATGATGGGACTGGACTTCCCCCTTGCTTTTCTCATGATAGTGAGTGAGTTCTCATGAGACCTGGTTGTTTAAAAGCATGTAGCACCTCCACCTTTTCTTTCTTCCTCCTGCTCCAGACATGTAGGAGGTACCTTCTTACCCTTCGCCTTCCACCATGATTGTAAGTTTCCTGACACCTCCCCAGCTGTGCTCCCCATGCAGCCTCTGGAACCGTGAGCCAATTAAACGTCTTTTCTTCATGAATTACCCAGTCTCAAGCAGTTCTTTATAGCAATGCAAGAACAAACTAATACGTCCTCTTAAGAAGAGAAAATTTTGACGCAGATACATACAGGGCCAAGACATTGTGAGGACACAGAGAGAGAGAAGACAGCTATCCATAAATCAGGGGTAGAGACCTGAAATAGACACATGCCTCATGGCCCTCAGAGGGATCCAACTTCTAGCATCCAGAACAGTGAGAAAATAAATTTCTATTGTTTAAGCCACCCGATCTGTAGTACTTTGTTACAGCATCCTCAGCATACTAATACACAGGTCCAGTTGATCATATTAAAATATCAGTGCTGGGTTTTTTTCCCCTTCATAGTCTTAAAAAATTGTTGTTGAAAGAATGACCACAATCAGTTTGATTGAAATGTGAAAGGAAAATAAATCTCAGAACCCCAAACTCAGTAAGCCAAAGAGAAAAGTCAAGCTGGGAACTGGGTCATGCAAACCTGACTCCCACTTAGTTCCTAAATAAGATAGATATAAAGATAAAAAGCTACATGCCTTCCTAACATTTAGATCTATTACCCTAAAACAGTTCCTTTGAATTTCACCCTGGAAACATAAATAGATAGCTTATCTTCACAGGTGTGGGGCACAGGACAAAACTCAGTCATCCGTCTGCTCACCTGAGACAAATGCATACCTGATGGCTTTCTCTGCCCCATTGTCTGCACTACCCTATGAAAACTTCAGATTCACTGAGCCAGACAAAGGCATGAGTGACACTTCCTCTACCCACCTCCCACATGAAAATTGTATATTCAGTGAAAAGCTGATCAAAGACTACAAAGCATGCAAAGTTTTGTCTTTTTACCTACTGAAACATTTTTAAAAAATACTTATTTTCTCCCAATATCCACCCTTTCCTCTTTAAATATGGAAGTCCTAAAAATCATCTTTGGAGAAAGGCAGAGACCTATCTCCTGGGCACACATCCTTAACTTTAGTAAGAAAACCTCCTAAAATGATTTAAGACTTGCCAAGGTCATTTTCTTTGATTTACAAATATGCTAAGCAAACCATAAGATCTCACAAAAATTTAAACAGTTCTAAATCAATAATAGAAATGTAAAGAAAAGTAAAACATTAGGTATATCTCCTAATGCTTTCCCTCCCACCTTCCTGCACCCCGCAACAGGCCCCGGTATGTGATGTTCCCCTTCCTGTGTCCATGTGTTCTCATTGTTCAATTCTCACCTATGAGTGACAACATGTGGTGTTTGGTTTTTTGTTCTTGCAATAGTTTGCTGAGAATGATGGTTTCCAGCTTCATCCATATCCCTACAAATGACATGAACTCATCATTTTTTATGGCTGCATAGTATTCCATGGTGTATATGTGCCACATTTTCTTAATCCAGTCTATCATTGTTGGACATTTGGGTTGGTTCCAAGTCTTTGCTATTGTGAATAGTGCCACAATAAACATACGTGTGCATGTGCCTTTATAGCAGCATGATTTATAATCCTTTGGATATATACCCAGTAATGGGATGGCTGGGTCAAATGGTATTTCTAGTTCTAGATCCCTGAGGAATTGCCACACTGTCTTCCACAATGGTTGAACTAGTTTACAGTCCCACCAACAGTGTAAAAGTGTTCCTATTTCTCCACATCCTCTCCAGCACCTGTTGTTTCCTGACTTTTTAATGATCGCTATTCTAACTGGTGTGAGATGATATCTCACTGTGGTTTTGATTTGCATTTCTCTGATGACCAGTGATGATGAGCATTTTTTCATCTGTTGTCTGTGTCTGTTGGCTGCATAAATGTCTTCTTTTGAGAAGTGTCTGTTCATATCCTTTGCCCACTTTTTGATGGGGTTGTTTGTTTTTTTCTTTAAATTTGTTTGAGTTCTTTGTAGATTCTGGATATTAGCCCTTTGTCAGATGAGTAGGTTGCGAAAACTTTCTCCCATTTTGTAGGTTGCCTGTTCACTCTGATGGTAGTTTCTTTTGCTGTGCAGAAACCGTTGAGTTTAATTAGATCCCATTTGTCAATTTGGCTTTTGTTGCCATTGCTTTTGGTGTTTTAGACATGAAGTCCTTGCCCATGCCTATGTCCTGAATGGTATTGCCTAGGTTTTCTTCTAGGGTTTTTATGGTTTTAGGTCCAACATTTAAGTCTTTAATCCATCTTGAATTAATTTTTGTATAAGATGTAAGGAAGGGATCCAGTTTCAGCTTTCTACATATGGCTAGCCAGTTTTCCCAGCACCATTTATTAAATAGGGAATCCTTTCCCCATTTCTTGTTTTTGTCAGGTTTGTCAAAGGTCAGATGGTTGTAGACGTGTGGTATTATTTCTAAGGGCTCTGTTCTGTTCCATTGGTCTGTATCTCTGTTTTGGTACCAGTACCATGCTGTTTTGGTTACTGTCGCCTTGTAGTATAGTTTAAAGTCACGTAGCATGATGCCTCCAGCTTTGTTCTTTTGGCTTATTGTCTTGGCAATGCAGGCTCTTTTTTGGTTCCATATGAACTTCAAAGTAGTTTTTTCCAATTCTGTGAAGAAAGTCATCGGTAGCTAGATGGGGATGGCATTGAATCTATAAATTACCTACAATATCATTTTCATGATATTGATTCTTCCTACACCAACATGGCACATGTATACATATGTAACAAACCTGCATGTTGTGCACATGTACCCTAGAACTTAAAGTATAATAAAAAAAAGAAAGAAAAGTAAAACAAAAACAGAGGAACAGCAACTATGATTTTCTATGAAATCCCTCAGAAATGAGAACATCGTAAGCCTAGGGCAAAATATTACATCAAGAACTTTACGGGAAACCTATTTGGGGGAAAAGAGACAGTAGGTTGGAAACAGAAGGGAAGACAAGTGCTGGCTGCCAGATTGAAATAAGAAGTCATAAGTCTGGAACTGATAGATAAGAAAGAGTTAGCCTAGAAAAAAAAAATTGTTGCAAAAGCAGCAGCACCTCATAAAAGAAAATTTCTATTACAAGCTTTATTTTTCTCAGAATTTTACTTTAGATAGCTGATGGATATCCATTGCACAACTGAAATCAAAAGATGTACTTTATTTATTGCATGTAGTAACACAACGGTTTCCTTACATTATAAAAAAGCAAAACAAAACACTGATAGATTTTGTTTCACTTTTGCTTCAGATTGTTCTTTTCATATTGCATTTTCCAGCATTAACAAAGCAACATCTTTATTTATTGTGATGCTATTTTTCATAAGCTGAAATAAAATGTGCTACCTTTATTCACTGAAATCAATACTCATTGTTAGTATAATCTTATTCACCTGGTTGCCATCATGAGTCTGTGTGTGTGTGTGAATTAAGTTCAAGGATCTTCATACTAGGGGATAAATATATGTAATTTATTTGTACTTTTAGAAAATGTACATATGAAAAATATTAATAGTAAATGTATACATGATAATATATAAAAGTAAAAAAAAAATAAAAGATATAAAAAAACTTTCCTCCATTGTACAGTTTTTCTTTTTTTCTATTTTTTCAATTGACAAAGAAAAATGTTATATATTGATAATGTTCAACATGATGTTTTGAAATATGTAGACATTGTGGAATGGTCAAATAGAGATAATTAAGATGCATTACTTCATATCATCATTTTTTTTTATGATAGGAACACCTAAAATCTACTCTTAGTGATTTTTTAAATACAATACATTGTTACTAACTATGGTCACCATGTTGCACAGTAGATCTCTTAAACTTAACCCCATTGTCTAAATGAAATGTTGTATCTTTGTTGAATCTTTCCAAATCCCCAAGCCCAGTGACTGGTAATCCCCATTCTGTTCTCTATTTAAATGAGTCCAACTTTTGCAGATTCCACATGTAAGTGAGAGCATGTAGTCTTTGTCTTTATGTCCTTGGTTTAACATAATATAATGTGTTCCAGAATCATTGATGTTGTTGCATATGATAGGATTTCCTTCCAATCATGTTCCAAGAGTATATATATATATATATATATACCACATTTTCTTTATTCATGCTTGCATTGATGAATATTTAAGTCAATTACATATCTTGGTGATTATGAATAATGCTACAATTAACACTGGAGTGCCAATATGTCTTCAAGATACTGATTTCATTTTCTTAGTATATATACTCAGTAGTGGGATTGCTGTATCATATGGCAGCAGTTCTACTTTTAATTTTTGAGGAAACTCAACACTGTTTTACATAATGACTGTACTAATTTACATTCCCACCTACAGTGTGCAAGAGTTTCCTTTTCTCCACATACTCACCAAAACATCTCATGTATCTTTTTAATTGTAGCCATTTTAACAGCTGTGAGGTGATATCCCATTATGCCTTTAATCAGCATTTCTTAGATTGCTAGTGATAATGGACATTATTTTTATACCTCTGTTGGCCATTTCTATGTCTTCTTTTGAGAAATGTCTATTAAGGAATTTTGCCCATTTTTTAAAATCACGTTATTTGTTTTCTTGCTACTGAGTTGTTTGAATGTTTTATATATTATTAACGTCAACCCCTTATAAGATATATGTTTTGTAAATATTTTCTCCCATTCTGTACATTGTCTCCCCACTCTGTTCAATGTTAACTTAGCTGTCCAGAAGCTTTTAAATTTGATGTAATACCACATGTCTATTGCTGTCTATTGTCGTCTGTGCTTTCAAATTCATAACCAAAAAAATAATCACTGCTCAGGTCAGTGTCAAGAAGACCATTGACTCAAAATTGACTCATTTTGCTCAACATCTTCCAAATTAAGATATCTTACTCTGAATAAAAGCCATAGCTTTTCCAAAAGCCCTATGTAATCTGTCCTGCTTTTACCTGTATAAATTCATTTTCTATTAATCTCCTCTTCATTCTCTCTGCTTTCTTCATAGGTGCTTTCTTGCTTTTTCTTAAGGATGCCAGGCCACAAGACCTATATATTATCTCTTTTTTTATGCCAAGAATCTGTTTCCCTGCAAATTGTGGAAGGTTACTTTCTCTCCCTACTTTCTTTCCTCTGTGAGTCTATTCCAAAGCACTAAATTTTTAGTGTTACCCTTACTAACTTCATTAAAAATTTCCAACACTGTAGTTCGCACTCCTGATTCATTCCCTATTCTTTTTTATTTAAACAAGTTTTTACACAGAACTCATTATAAACACATAATTTATAATTTACTCATTTTTAAAACATTTTTCTCTGTCTTCTACCACTAGATTATAAGATCTATTATGGCAGAATTTTTGTCTGTATTTTTTACTGATGGATCCCAAGCACCAAAAACAGCTTAATAATTTAAGCACTCAATAAGTATAAAGTGAATCATTAATGGGTCAAGTCATGCCATTTTCAATGATAATTTTGCACATTTGTCCTTGATATGGTTTGGCTCTGTGTCCCCACCCAAATCTCAGCTTAAATTGTAATCTCCATGTGTCAAGGGAAGGAGGTGATTGGATCATGGAGATGGTTTCCCTCATGCTGTTCTCATAATAACGAGTTAAGTTCTCAAGAGATCTGATGTTCTAGAAGGGGCTCGTCCCCCTTCACTCTCCCCTCTCTCTCTCTCCAGCTGCCATGTAAGACAAACCTGCATCCCCTTCTGCCATGATTGTAAGTTTCCTGAGGCCTCCCCAGCCATGTAGAACTATGAGTCAATTAAACCTATTTTCTTTAAAATTACCCAGTTTGGGGCAGTTCTTTATAGCAGTCTGAGAATGAACTAATACAGTCCTAAAGTGGCCGGGTGTGGTGGCTGATGCCTGTAATCCCAGCACAGTGAGAGGCCAAGGAAGGCGGATTGCTTGAGGTCAGGAGTTCGAGACCAGCCTGGCCAACAAGGTGAAACCCCATCTCTACAAAATACAAAAATTAGCTGGGTGTCATGGTGGGGTGCCTGTAATCCCAGCTACTCAGGAGGCTGAGACAGGAAAATCATTTGAACATGGGAGGTGGAGGTTGTGGTGAGCCAAGATCGCACCATTGCACTCCAGCCTTGGAGACAGAGCAAGACTCTAAAAAAAAAAAGAGTCTAAAAGTATAGTTTTCTCCAAACTCTCACTAAAATTTTATATTATTAAATATTTTAATCTTTCCATCTAAGAGAAAATTGAAAAAGAGGGAGAAAGAGAACAACGAATCACATCCATTAAAGAGGTTGTTTATGCTTCCTTTTTGGCCCACATGAACCATGACTTTATTACCATGGAAAACTGGCTTCCTAAAAAAAATTGTAAAGATCAGTGCATTGGAAACTGGCTGTATTAGTTTTCTAAGGCTGTCACAACAAAGTACCACAGACTGGTTGGTGTAGACTACAGAATTTTATTTTATCATAATTCTGGAGTCCATTAGCCTGAGATTAAACTCTTGGAAGCAGTGGATTCTTCTGAAGCATGTTTCCTTGGCTTGTAGACAGCAGTCTTCTCACTGTCTTTACATAATCTTTCTTTTGTGTATTATGTCCACATTTCCTCTTCTTATAAGGTCCTATTGGATTCATGACAAGTCAAATTAATCTAATTAATCATTGGATTAATGATATTATGCCAACTTAATGACCTCATTAAATATCTCTAGATATAATAACATTCTAAGGCATAAGGGATTAGGACTTCAACATATAAATTTTGGTGGGGACGCAAACTCATAACCTTGTCATATGAAATTAATTCTCTTGCCTCTTAAGGATGGTCATAAAGACTTTTCCTTTTTACAGTAACTACTTTTCTGGCAGTCAGAATTCTAAGATGACCACTAATGACCAATACCCTTGTATAAACTCCTCTTCAAAGTGTCGTGGAGTTTGTGAACTTGCTTCTAGACAGTGGAATATGACAAAGGTGATGGAGAAGTCATCTTTATTAGGTTATAGATTATGGCATATGTTATAGTAGTGTCATTTCCATAATAATTTTAACAGATTGGAGTGAGAGATTCTCCTGATACACTTGAAGAAGAAAACTCCTATGAATACTATAGCCACATGGAAAGAAACTATGCTAATGACCTGAGAGAGCTTGGAAGGAGATCCTTCCCAAGTCAAGCCTTAATAGGAAAGCACTACCCAGAGGACACCTCGATCTTGCCTTGTGAAACCCTGAGCAGAGACCCAGGCAAGCTGCACCCAAACCTCTAATTTATACAAACTGAAATAATAAATTGAAGTTGTTTTAAGCCACTGGTTTTGTAGTAGTTTGTTGTGCAGGATAGAAAACAAATACATAATTGGCAAAAAGCAAAAATGGAGATGAAGAAGACTTAGTAAGTCCTGAAGGCATCTGCAGCTGCTCACTTGTCAGTGGATCTCCAGGTCCTTTTTAAATTCTCCCTTATTATTATTTTTTAATTGGTCTCTTTGGTTCTTTCACAAAGCATATATGATATATCACAATTTGTTTATTTCTGAGCAGATTTCAAATTTTTGCTACTGTCCCAGTCTCACTATTTTATGAATTTTTTGTCAGCCTTCCTCATCTAGCTCCCACCCTGAGCATTATTTTGTAAGGTTATAATTCAGGAGGTATGATTGCTGCAATGCAGAAATGATGTATTCTTTTCCCCTGTCTAAAATTCTATCCTAATGCCAATTAAAATCTCATTTCCTTGTAACCCCTAAAAATAAATAAAAATGTAAAAGGAAATTATTAGAAAAAAACTTCAAGTTTTGAGGTCTTTGAGGGTGTTTTGCCTTCTTGACAATCCCTGAAAAAAGTCTGTGTTTTTTCACTTGAAATTCCCAATATTTAAGGTAAAATTTCAGACAAGTGTTTTTTCTACTTATAAAATTTTCTCCAAAAATTTAGTTATTTTGTGGAGGTATGTTAATTACTAGTGGGACAGTGAAAGTTAGGGGTCAGGTTAGAGTTAGAAATGGGGTTCTTAACATGTTAAAGTTGTTTTAACGAAACTATCATAAACTAAGTGGCTTGTGAAAAATAGATTATTTCTCAAAGTTCTGGAGGCTGAGAAGTCCAAGATCCAGGCACTTACAAATTTAGTGTCTGGTGAGGGCCCACTTCCTGGTTCATAGATGGCCATTTTTTTAGCTGTGTCCTGACATGGTGGAAAAGGTGAGAGATCTCTGGGGTCTCTTTTATAAGGGCACTAATCCCATTTACGAGGACAACACTTTTTGACCTGATTATTTCCCAAAGACTCTACCTCCTATTTCCATCAATTTGCGATTAGAATTTTAACATATATGTTTCAGGAGGACACAACATTTTGACCATAGCATGGGGTAAATGATATAGATCTGAAAATTACAAGTAGACTGGCCTAAGGAATGGGATGTGACAGCGAAAAGGGAAAGGCAGAGCAGGAAGAGATGGAGACGAGTAAATAAGAACAATGCATAGTTTATAATTTTTTATCTATTTTACAATTTTTATTAAGTTAAATCAACCAGCATCAATTTTATAAGTTCTATGAATTCAATAATTGGGATCTTTATTTCTTACTTTCTGTGGCTTCTATATCATCAAAATCCTATCAAGTACTTAGAACTGCTCTATGACTATAGAAACATCAAGTTCAAAAGTGGTTTGAGAATCTCAATAGAATTATTTTGTTGTGAGGGAGAGGGGAGTTTGAGATGTCATAGTGTTCAAAATATCCATCCAATGTAGATTGTGTTGATAACTTAGATGAGATGTTTAAAATTATTTTCTAATTAGATCTTTGCAAAATGTTCTGATTAGAATGCCAAGATGGTATAGACAACATTCATTGATGCATTATCTATAATAAAAATTAATCTCTGCAAATTTTTTTTTATCTTATTGTATGTGTTTCCTTAGCAGATGGTTCTAAGCTCCCTCAAGTTTTGGGCTTGTAAGCTCACTATTGTCTTAATATTCTTTCTGCTTATAAACACAACATTGCTTTAACATTCTTCTGCATTTCATATATGGAGTATTATGAAATGCTATTGTTTTATCTACCTATATCACAATCTTCATCTGGATTATTGGCTGAAAATATAAAAGTTTACACTTATATACCTTCAATACATGATATCTAAGTATTTGATCTCATTGGTAAGTGGTTTCTTCAATTTTAATTTTTCTTTGTATTTCTTAATTTCCTCAGGATTATCAGATATTAGGTCAAATATTGTTCTTACTGTTTTTCAGGCTTTAAGAGTCTCCATTTAATTTCTTTAATAGATACATAAATATTATATATTATATATACACATATATATGACATTTGTATCATCATTTGGACAATAATATTAATTCAAGTTATTTTACTTCTGATAATATAAGGCTGTAAAAATATTCACAGCTACATGAACAGTATGTGCTAAATTTATAACATACAAAGGGAATTTCAATATGATGTCTTTGATTTTGGGAATATAGCTAGTAGGAAATAGCTCGGTTTCCTCAAACAAATATGCACTTATTTTCAAATATTTTAATGTTATTACCTGTTTTTCAAAAGTTATTAATATAAAATATTATATTTCTAATAGAAAACATGATCTATTATGAGCCATAGAGGATTATAAGAATAATGAAAACAATACTTATAATGTAGGTAATCAGATATAAAAAAATGTTCATTTTGTGACCACAATGATATCAAACTACCACATATTCAGTTAGAAATGTGTTTTTTGCTTATTAGGCTGTTATTTAGTTCTACCTATGCCAATTTATTTTGTATTTGATCAGTCAAGTCTATATAATCTTTTGGTTCAAAGTTTTAATTATGCATGATTTTAACTTCTGTCATTTCATACTAACAAAATTTTATGGAAACACCATTAAATAAAAGAAGGTGTAGCTTCAGATTACATTTGTACAGTTATACTTTCGTAAATATTTCTGTAACCAAGTATTTTGTAATGTATTTTTTATGAAAATGACCTGAGAGTATGCATGGTAATAAAGTTCAAAAGTTCATCGTGATTCCAGGCTGGTGAATGCATTGAAGTGCTGTGAAGTGGGGGTGCCTGAGAGCATAGATGTTCTTAGCTCCTTCCCACATACATTTCCCTATGCATCTCTCCCATCTGGTGGTTCCTAATTTGTATTTATTTATAATAAACTGGCAACCTAGTAGTAAAAAACAAAAGGGGGGGCATCATGATTCATCAAATGTGGGAAATATATATAATGTGAGTAGATTTAATATATGGAAACACATGACACTAGCATAAGGGCATTAATGCCTATAGGCTTTTGGATTTTAGACCTTTCCTTTAGGTATTTATTAAAACATTTCATGTACATGCCATCAGGTGGTTGTCTGTCCTGAAGTAATATAATCATTTTATCTAGCTTACTTTCCAATTATACATATAAGTGACTCATTTTAGACCAAAGATAGCATAATTTAATTAAATAAGCCTTAAATAAAAATTAGAGCATAGACATATGTTGTTTGAAAAAAAATGACATTTTAAGGTAAAAAGTCATCCTGTATTTGATTATTAACAATATTTAGCAAAGCTTTTAATCACGTATGTTTTCAATGGATTTCTTAAATACTATAACTTGTTCAATTGCTGTCAAACTCACTTCCGGGAGATTCCCAAGGCTTGTTTCTATTCTGAGGGGCATTCCTTACATTGGAACTTCCTTGAAACTCTCTCTCCAGTTACCATAAATTATTGAAATTTCTGAATTCAAAGGCATAAACTTATTTCATTCTGATATTTTAATAAGTGTTTACAAACAACACCTTTGTTAAAAGCTTTACACTTGTAATTACTCCTAGTAACAGAGAAATGTAAAGCCATATTTCTACTGTTTTCTCTAATGATCAATCATAATACTTAATTAGATATTCATTTCCATACCTTAGTTCATAAGATATTTTTAATATCTGTTTCTACCTCAAATTAGATAGGATTCATCTCTATGTCTCTCATGTCATTCATGTTATAATTCTCATTTACTGACTTCTGTCTTCAGACATGATAAAAAAGAAGGAAGCAAACAATCTTAGCCATTCCTCATTAAACTTTATCCTCTTACCTCACTTTCTAGGCACAATTTTAGAATTGTGTTTTCTATTTCCATAAAGAATGCCATTGGTATTTTTATATGGACTGCATTGAATCTGCATATTGTTTTGGATAGTATGGACATTTTAACAATATTATGTGTTCCAGTTCATAAGCATGAGCTATCTTTACACTTATTTGTGTCTTATTCAATTTTTTTTATCAATGCTATATACTTTTCATTGTACAGGTCTTTCTCAACTAAGTTTATTTTTAAGTGTTTTATTTATTTATTTTGGAATATATTATGAATGGGATTGTTTTCTTAACTTTTGCAGATAGTTCATTATTAGTGTATAGGAATGCTACTGATTTTTGTATATTGATTTTCTATCCTGCAACTTTACTGAATTCATTTATTAGTTCTAATAGTTTTTTGATGGTGTCTTAGGGTTTTCTATACACAAAACAATGTTGTCTTCCAACAGGAACAATTTAACTTCTTCCTTTCCAATTTGGATGTCTTTTATTTAGCTTGCTTTTACTTTAGCTAGGACTTCAAGTATGGTGTTGAATACAAGTGGCAAGAGTGAACATCCTTGTCTTACTCCTGATCTTAGAGAAAAAACTTTCAACTTTCCACTATTGAGTATGATGTTAGCTATAGGCTTGTGACATACGGCCTTTATTACATTGAAATACATTCCTTCTATATCTAATTTGTTGATAGTTTTATCATGAAAAAAACAGTATTATACTTTCAAAGTGAAAAATATGAGATCAAATAAGAGTAAATATCTAGAATTTAACCCTTAGATACTGTTTTTGTATTTATAACTTGAAAAAGGGTATCCACTGAAAAATATGAGCAACTGCAGCTTCAGAAAGCAATTTTTTCGATGTTCAGCAAAATATTTGAAGATTTTGTTTTGTTTAGCTTTTAGTTCAAGTTAATTTTTTTATGGCTTATATTTACACTATGGGAAATGTAAGCATTTTCCACTCTACTAAACTCTTTAGAAAATGAGAAAAATTTAATTAAATATGATCATTCATTTAAATTTACTGGTCATTAAGAGATATTGCCAAATGTTTATATGTAATGTTACATGTATATTATAAATGTTGCCTCTATTGAATTGATTCATATGTAAATTGCCTCAGAGTAAAATTAAATTGTCAACTCCTATAATTATTAATTATACAATTATTTTATAGGCAAACAGTAAAAAAGAAAACTAATATGAGATGTAAATAATGCCAGAAATAAATTGTAATATAATTTACTATACAAGTAATTATGGTTTTGATCTTCATTTATTTTACTGTAATACTATATTATCAAAATATATAATTAAATATATTAATAATTCATTACATAAGAGAGAGATGCATGGAACAGCTAAATTAAGGAAACCACACATCATGTCAGTGTTTTTGTAATATGGTAATCACTTCCAATGTCAAGAGTATGGTCTCTGCTTTCTTATATAGTTAATTTATTGTTTTGTTTATGATTTACCATCCCTTTTAGGACACAACTCCTATTTGTTTAAAAAAAGGGATTTACAGTTTGCAGATATTATACTTTAAGGCATACGCCGTCCAGTTTAAGGTTCCCATGGTCTTTATGAAATGCGATAAATTGTGTTTAGAAATATTTCTGATGACCTTTAGCAGTAATATCTTGAACTACCACATTAGTTATGGCATATATAACTAAAATATTTGTTATGCTATTGGAAATCATAAAACACCAATGTACTAGTCTGAGAAAATGTTTCTATAATGAAGTTTAAAGAGCATGGTATATTCAAACAGACCTGCTTTCAACACAGCAGTCTTTCAAGTATCAGCTTCGTGTTACTTAATCTAAGCCTCATCTTCCACAAATGAAATCACTTAGAAAATGTTGTGAAAATTAAATACTTATATAATGTGGTCATAGCTCCAGAACCTTTAAAATCTTATTCAAATGCCACTCACTCTGTGACTGAAGATTTCCCTTATCTCTGCAAAGTGAGAATGAATGATCTATCTTCCTATCTGTATTCATATAGTGCTTTTAACAAATCACCCTAATTGTGCTTATCATCTTCAACTTCAAATTATACCTCTTTTGTATTATATGACATATTCCATGGTGAGTTTTAGAAGGGGTCAGAATATATTTTATACAAATATGTGAAAAATACATAAATAAATAAGTAAATATAAAATAAGAGTAAAAAAAGAAAGGAAATGTGAAAATTAGAGATAAAGAATGCAAAGCACAGAGACTTATTTATAAGCAGATAATAACAAATAACTATGTTAATAAAGTAAGATAAAGTAGATTTAAAGTTCACAATTATTAAAAATTAAACTGGAATATATACTTGGGATCTAACTGTTCATATACATAAAAATTACATTAACTTGCTTTTATAATAAAAGGTATCACATATTATACAGAAATAAATATAATTAAGAGTTAATTAACTCTGTAGTTGAAAGCATATTGTCTAAATTATTTTGCAATAATAGATTCTGAATATCATTAAGGTGTAAATATTTCTTAATATTAAAGAGAACTGCTTTGTTTTATGGTGTATTTATCACATATATACGATGTCTAATACTGTTTTAATATAAATCTCTCAGATAACAATATCTACCCTTAAGCTAACCTGAAAATAGAGTTCTTAACTTTGAAAACTCATGTTTACAATTTTGTTGATAAATATAATCCATGAAACTATATTTCAAGTGATTTATATCATTGCATTTTATGTTTGTTGTTTCTAAGGGTAATGCAAAAAATATAGTTTCTAACTGTCAAAGCGATACAGTGAATAGTTTTACCACAACGAAGGCTTACTTAAACTTTAATTTCTGGAGATCAATTAAGGTAATTGTGGGTATATTGCAGAATTTGTAGTAGTTGTTTGACACATAATTATAACATTGATTAATTTTCCTGGTCTACTTCTGTGGTCAGTGTAACCAACAGAGAATGTGCTCTATAACTAACAGAAAAGAGTGTCTCTCATTCAGGCAATAAAGTGTAACCCACTGCAGAATAATATTGCTTATTCCGTGAGCAATAGAAACACTTTCTTTTCCAGGTTATTATTATTTAATTACGTTTTTTGACTACTTTCCCCAAAAGAAGGCACCTGGCACCAACTACAGCTCAATGCATCTTCCTGGATATATTTTTGGCCTTCTCAGAAAGATTAAAAATATGTTAACAAAGGTATATTTTGGAGTACATTTATTTACTAATGTAAAGAGCATATAAGCAAGAAGAAATGAATTTTTTCTACCTTTAATTTTCAGATATGTAAAATTAGAGGCCACATATTTAAGAAAATCATGTAAACTTAAATATAGCATGGTCCAAAATGATTTCAGAGTAGGTAAATATCAAATGAATAAAAATGTTATTGGAGCTCCTGTAGTCTGATTTTTTTTTTTTTTTTTTTTTTGAGATGGTGTCTAGCTCTGTCGCCCAGGCTGCAGTGCAGTGGCCCGATCTCGGCTCACTGCAACCTCTGCCTCCCGGGTTCAAATGATTCTCCTGCCTCAGCCTCCTGAGTAGCTGGGATTACAGGCACGCACCACCACACCCAGCTAATTTTTGTATTTTTAGTAGAGATAGGGTTTCTCCATGTTGGCCAGGCTGGGTCTCCTGACATCATGATCCGCCTGCCTCAGCCTCCCGAAGTCTTGGGATTACAGGCGTGAGCCACTGTGCCCGGCCTAGTCTGATTTTATTTTTTAAGCCAATGTCTTAGTTTGCTCTTGCTGTAGAAAAATTATTACATATTTTAATTCAGTATATAATTTAGTAATATTGCCTGGGGCAGTGGCTCACGCCTCTAATCCCAGCACTTTGGGAGGCCTAGGCAGGCATATCACCCAAGGTCAGGATTTCCAGACCAGCCTGGCCAACATGGTAAAACCCCGTTTCTACCAAAAATACAAAAATTAGCCAGACATGGTGGTGTGTGCCTGTAATCCCAGCTATTCGGGAGACTAAGTTGAGAGAATCACTTGAACCAAGGATGCTGAGGTTGCAGTGAGCCGAGATCGCACCATTGCACTCCACCTGGGCAACAGACGGAGACTTAGTCTCAAAATAATAATAATAATTACATTATTATTATTTAGTGATATTGATAAGGTCTGGCTCTTTGTCCAAACTCAAATCTAATTTTGAATTTTAATCCAAATTGTAATCCCCATGTGTTGGGGGAGGGACCTCATGGGAGGTGATTAGATTATGGAGGGAGTTCCTCCAGGCTGTTCTCACGACAGTGGGTGAGTTCTCATGAGACTTGATGGTTTCATAAGGGGCTTCCCCTGTTCACTCTGCATCTCTCCATCCTGCTGCCATGTGAAGAAGGACATGTTTGCTTCCCCTTACACCATGATTGTAAGTTTCCTGAGGCCTCCCCAGCCCTGCGGAACTGAAAGTCAATTAAACCCCTTTCCTTTATATATTACCCAGTCTCAGGCAGTTCTTTATCTCAGAGTGAGAATCGACTAGTATAGATTTCAATATCATATAAATTTCCTTATCAAGCTAATCACCTTGATATTAGAATGAAAACTATATTGCTAATTATTTTCAAAATTTTCAAGAACAAACATTACTTAGTTAAAAATATATTGTGAACATATGAACATCATTATCTTTGCATTACAGTGAGGCAATGAAATAGGTTAAATATGAAATCACATTTTTAAATCTAAAGAATAAGCACATAACCAATAATATAAATGTGACTTTTTCTTATATAAATCTATTTTTAAATTTCTCTTGCAATTAAAATTTAATTCACATATTTGTAAAAATGGGAATAAATGTGATTTTATATGCCTTAAACCCAATCAAATGGAAAAAAAAGAAGTAAAAAAGCATTATCTTAGAGCTTATTTCTATGAATTCAAGGACAATAATAATCTTAGTACATAAGTAGAAGCATAAATACTCTTAATTATTGCTTATAATAATAGACTTTAATTATATTGTGAAAGGCAGCAATGAATCTTAAGTAGAGTGACTCTGTGAATGTCCATTATGAAGACTAATTCTTAGTTTGAATCTAGCACTAAATTATTTTAGTTTATCTATACAATGATGATACCGAATATGATGTTGAAAATCCTCTCAGGTTCTAGATTTCTGATTTTTATATTTACTCATTTGAATACAGCATCATATTATTTATTATAAATATAAAACTTGTCCTATGCTTTCTTTCCACCAATGGCTCATTATCTTGCCTTTCTAAAATCTATGATTACCTTTGTAAAATGCACATGGAGAAATTGGGTAATGTTTAACGCAAAGAAACAAAAAAATACCACTCTTAGCCAGCCACCAAAATGATTGATCTATGATGTGCAGCTAGTATAAAGAAGCCACATATTATATATAGCCATTATATTTTGGATTGCTTACTGTTAGAGACTAGATGAGATAAGCAATTATTTGAGCCATAGGAAAATAACTATAAACTCCATATGGTTTATTTAAAACCATTTGTCTGGAATTCATTCAGTTGAATCCTATGCAGACAAAGAGTGTCCTAAATAAATAATAATTTACGTGCCATATCTCTCAATCATGGATGCTGATAATGGTGTGGCCATTAAGAGAAAGTAAATATGTTTTTAATATAAAATTCACATCTTGCTTTTGTTTACATGCCCATTATTTCTATTTAAGTGCTTTTACATAGTAAGAATTGTAATGTACTCTTTAAATAATTGAGTGTTCATCAAGTTTTTCTATACTGATGTCTGTAATATAGAAGCATTTAATGTCAATTTTATAATATTAATTATGAACAAAGCTACCAGATTGGTTACTAAACATTTGTATTGCAATTATCTTGCATGGATGGATATATTGTAATTAGTTAAACATTTACTGTCAGAAGTTAATTGTGTTTATCTGTGAAATACAGACCCAAAACCTTATTTGAATATATGATAGCTTGAAAATGGTTTTAGTTACATTGGACAGATGCACTATTAAATGTCTGTGAGAGATGATTCCTTGGCATATAATTATACCTGCATGTATCAGAAGTCTTAACTTTAAACTTTAGACAAATCAAGGCATGGTGAAGATACTACTAGGGTGAGTGTTATGTAAAAAAAAGAAAAAGCCAACAAAACAAAAACAATAAAAACTAAAATCCTCAGGATTAATAGAATTGAAACAAAGGGGTAGAGATGTTTGAGATTGGGATGAGTCACACTGAGTCCAGAAATATCTGTCAGTCACATCATCCTTCGGCCAATTTACTTTAAATTTATACCTGAGACTTAAGAGAAAACGATTGAAAGTATTTTTAGAAATATTTTAGGTAAATTGAATACCTATTTATTAACATTGGTTCCAAAAGTCTTGGCAGGATTAGTGGATAATTATGGCCAATATATGTGACCTTCACACAGATGGACACACAGATTACTCACCCACTGTGAAGCATTAGCAACCCATCTGAGTTTCAAAAATATCATCAATTTTGGAGGGCATAAATAGAAAATGTAATTTATTTGATTGACAAAGTCTTATGATATATGTTATTATTACTGTTTGTTTGGTATGAGCTCTTGCTCTAACACTCAGGCTGGAGCGCAGTGGGGCAATCATAGCTCGTTGCAACATGAAACTCCTGGGGTCAAGCTATCTTTCCACGTCAGCCTCCTGAATAGCTGAGAGTTTAGGTGCTCACCATCATACCCAGCTAATTTTTTTTTTCAATAGAGATGAACTCTTACTATGTTGCTCAGGCTGGCCTCCCAGCTGGCCTCAAGCAATTCTCTCTCCTCAGCCTCACAGAATTGTTGTTTTTTCTTTTTTAACAGGAGAAACAATAGGAGCTATCTTTTAAAAAGACTGAGTAAGAAGAGCTAGATCCACAAAGAAAGCATAGTTTATCTAACAGATCAAAATGTAAGTGAGGACCCCCCCCCAAATCAATTTAAAATAAAGCTGGTTTACATGAATGGGGAATGGGATTGCAGGTAACACCAGAGATACTATTCTGTGACTGTAGTAGGACAATTTTTAAGCCTAGGCTAATGTGAATTTGGGGGTGCTAATTTCTATTTAGTGTAGAAATTATTTGTAAAGTTGGATCCAGAAAGATGAGTAAAAGTTTTACAGAAATAGCTAAGAAATCACAAAAATGTTTGTGTATGTATGTGAGTGTGTGTGTGTGTGTGAATTTAATGATCTATGGATATTATTACATTCCTATTCATAGAAAATGTTCACATTTACCTTTTGCAAATTCTTTTAGAAGGTTTAAGTCTATTTCACTAAACAGGAATGAAATATGAAATTGTATTAAGTTTATATGTACATATTCAATCTCAGTTTTGAAGTGCAATTATCTACAATTTGCTTGATGAGGTCATAAGAATGAAAATACATATTCACTCTCACTTAATACCATGAAGGATAGGCTTCTTTGTGGAATCCAGGTTATTCTTATGGAACAAGCTGAGAATTTCTGGATGAGTTGCCAGAAATGCTGGATATCTTCTGTTTTTATCCAGATTAGTCCAATAAAACAAAAACAACAAAAAAGTGCACACATGTATCCTCAATTTCACAGAGTATAACTTAATCCTGAGATAAGATAAAAATAAATGTAATGTATGCATAAGAGTTCTGACCAACCACTTGAAAATATTAGCAGATTTAATCAAATAATTTCTTCTCTCCTTTTTCTTTCAGTTTCATTTATTTTTTCTAAAAATCTTCAGATAGAAACAAATACCCTTTAGGGTTTCCTATAGAGAAAATTACATGTAAGATTGAGTTATGCTCATTCTGATATATTTGCTTATCTTAGTAGTAGGATTCAATCTTTCTTCTTGGTTCATTTCATTTCTCAATGATCTCTCCCAAGAATTTTAGCATATACTGAATATGAAATGTTTAAGGGAAACAGACTCCTATTAGCTTATTGTACGTAGCTTACATTTTTGCTTTGCATGTAGCTCTTGTATATATCTTCTCCTTTACGTATCTTATCTTTTTCAGAAATAGTTTTAAATAGAATAAAACATTAAAAACTACCTACATGAAGAAGATTGAGCCAAATTCATATTACCCAATGGAGATATGAACAATTTTCAGGAATATATTATATCATTGTTTGTTTGTTTTAAGAAAATATTGTCTTATTGACAAAAAGAGTCAAGCCCTGTGAAATATTTGAAGAGATTTATTCTAAGCCAAATATGAGTGACCAATGGTCCATGACACAGCCCTCAGGAGGTCCTGAGAACATGTGCTCAAGATGGTTGGGGCGCAGCTTGGCTTTTTACATTTTAGAGAGGCATGACACATCAATCAAATACATTTAAGAAATACATTGGTTTGGTCCAGAAAGGGGGACAACTCAAAGTAGGGGCTTTCAGGCTATAGGTAAGTTTGAACATTTTCTGATTGACAATTTGTTGAGTTTGTCTAAGACCTGGGATAGAAAGGGAATATTCAGGTTAAGACAAAAATTGTGGAGACCAACGTTCTTTTGAAGTCTTATAGTGGTTGCCCTTAGAGACAATAGATGACAAATGTTTCCTATTCAGATCTTAGTTAATCTCTTTAGGATTGTGAGGGTCTGGAAGGAAAAGATCTAGCCATGCTAATATTCTCTACAGATGCAAATTTCCCCCACAAAACAAAACAAAACAAACACACACAAAAACAGCCTTGCACGGCTATTTTGAAATATGGCAAAGAAACATGCTTTGGGGTAAAATATTTTGACTTTATTCCTTGTCTCGTAATGTTATGCCAGAGTCAGGTTGGAAAATAAGTCATGATTCATAGGGTTAAATAAAATCCATCTGATGAGAATTTATGATTTGTGGGGCGTGACTCCTCAGACCACTAAGATAGGAATTTTGGCAAGATAAAAATTTCAGAGTTTAGTCCTCAGTCTTATTTTCTGTAATTTTTCCAGGCAATTAATAATCTTCATTTTTTATCGGTTTTGTACTCCAAAATGTTTAAAGAGGATATTTGAAATGGTAAAAATACATTAAACTTTTTTTCAAAATGACAATTTAAGTCAGATAACAAGTATAAGAACATGCTGACACTGTCTTTGCAAAAATTATAACTGAGAAAATTATTACAGTGAAAGAGATCTGACCTAACCAACTCCATCTAACTTCTAACCTCCAAGCTGTCCTTGCTTATTCCTGGGCATATGCCCAACTAACTTTGGGAGGAACTTAGTTTATAGTTTAACTTTGAAACAAAGGTGATAACAGTCCTTTCTCAAAAGAAGCCCCCTTCCTGCCTGGGTACTAGACTGCCTTTTGTAGGACTATCAAATTAGCCACAGGATTAGCAATTTTGGAGTTATGCAACTGGAGGCAACAAAATTCTGACCTTCTCCAAATTGTTCCTGATAATAACATCACTATTGTAAGACCTAAGGTCAGTGCTTTAGATACTTTCCAGACCCTGAACTTAATGGATCAGCTGGAACCACCCAGGCCAATAAACTAGCTCATCTGGTCTTGTGGCCCTGACCCAGGAACTGACTCAGTGCCAGAGGACAGTTTCGACTCCCTATGATGTTATCTCCCACCCAACCAATTAGCATTCCTGACTCACTGGTGCCCTACCCACCAAATTATCCTTGAAAACCCCAATTCATGAATCTTCTGTGAGACTGATTTGAGTAATAATAAAACTCTGATCCCCATACAACTGGCTCTGCATGAATTACTCTTTCTTTATTGCAGTTCTCCAGGTCATGATGGGCTCTGTCTGGGCAGTGGGTAAGAAGAACCCATTGGATGACTGACAATACATAAAAAAGTTTGCAAACATTTGTGTAACCCAATTAAATAAGTTAGTCAGGTTTTATTAAGTAGATCAGAGAAAAGCTTTTATGTGAAAATGTTTAGAGCATTTTTTATTGTGTTGGGGCTCAGAAAACAATACCTTAAAATATGGCACTTTGACTTGCTGAACTAAAGAAGCAGGCTGGAGGTCTCTCTTCCCTCCCTCTCCTGCCTCTCAGTCCCCTGTCTCTCCCCAGGAAAGAAATTAGGCTGTTCTCTGAAGTTTACTTATTTACGTCGAAACCAGACACACCAAAGAAGAATACAATTGCCTTCAATCCCCTCCCTGAAATGTCATTAACAAGAGAAGATTAAAACTCAGATCACAGAGGAAGAAACTGAAAATTAAACACAACACCCAAAACTCAAATGAACTCTGTTCTCTGGTCCCATTGAATTCCCCAAGAAAATTATTTATCAACTACCCTCTGAGGATTAGACTCATTTATTCCCCCTAAAAATTATTTACATTTCAAAATGGACATCTCCTCTTCCCCTATTAAGAGGAGTATACATACATCTCGACCTCATTAGCTTATTGGGTAATTATCCTCCTGTGATTCCTCCATGCTTATGTACATTAAATACATTTGTATGCCTTTTCCTCCTATTGATCTGCCTATTGTCAGTTTATTTTCAGGAAACCTTTACAGGGCAAAGAGAAAGCTTTCTTTTGATCTTTAGAATTGTTATATAGCCTTTTTTTTTTTTAAATGCTCTGCAGATAGATTTAGTTCTTCGCATTTCTGGAAGGACTTTACTAAAGCCAAGTCTACATAACTTTATGAAAAAATATATACTTGCAAATTAATATTACAGTGGGTCAACCAATAAATGAACAAGCCAGGGAGAGTAGGAATATTGAGTGATGATGGGAATGCCAATACTACCTTTGATTTGGGGAGAGAACTAGAGATAGGGGCAAACAATAGTCTTCTAATTTATATGTTCATATCATAGAAAAAAAAATTGTATCAGAATTGAAATGCAATTGATTCTAGCTAACTAAAACAATTTATGCCCAGTTTATTAATAAATATATATTTTAAGTTATTCACTTAAGAAATTAGACATTTTGTTACATAGACAAAAATTATTTGTAATTATTCTAGTTTCATATATATGAACTGATAATTATAATTATATATATACATATATATATATATATGTTTTTCCCATAAGAACTGTTTCTTATCTTTAAAGGATTAAGAAGAAGAATGTTCCATATAACATAATATTGCTTTGGGTTCAAAATAGGAGCTTCTTGTATGTATATGTGTATGTGACTGTGTGTGCAGAAACAGTAAATATGACTGACAAGTACTATTTATTTTCTCAAGCTTAGATGTATTCTAAAACAATATTTTTTTCTAAATGGCAAGAAGTTATCACATATTGTGGATTTGAATCTCAAGTATTTTGAAGAAAATAATTTTAGGTATAAATATTCAAATGTTTGTTTAACTTCAAGTCCAATTTAACATTTCTTTTTGCCTTCATGTGCATGATATCTGGCACCAGACTTACAAAATCTAGGTAAAGTCTTGATAGTATGCAAAATTAAATAACAAGTTCCATATGAAAACTCATAAAACAATTCCAAACAACCTAGTGACTATTTTTTAGCCTTAAAATGTATCAGAAAAATAAGCTATTTAGACTGGGCATCTTCTGTATCTTTAAGTGGATTTATTGACTTTTTAACCTGGGTGAAGGAAAAGATACTGACAAATATCTCAGAGTTGTTCTACTGTTTAAATAACCAAGGACTTCAAATGTAAAATGAAATTAGTTTTAATAATATCTCTGGTTTATAAAAATTATTTTATTTCTGCCAATTTTTTGAAGAAAAATGCTACTTAGAGAATACTGAGGCTACTATGTTGGAAATTAAATGTGTGGGCTGCCACTTGGAAGGGCCAGTATAAAGGCCACATATCTTTTTGAGTAGGCTGTGCAGCCTACAAAATTGATCTGTTTAGATCCCAAATTTGAATAATCTTGCAGATGACTCAAGCTAACAAAATTCTCAAAAGTTTATGTATAAAATCAGAATACTAATTGATGTTTTGTTTTTTCCCCCAGTAAGAACTACAAAAGCCAAAGCAGCTTGATTTTTCTATCAACTGGCAAACATGATCTTTCTCACTGTGAGTGAACTCAATGGAATTTGAAGCTTTCTTGTTGATAAATTATAAACTATAGGCTGATTTACATGGTTTAGATCAGTGGTTCTCAAACCAGTACCTGAAGGGTTGAGAGGAAATCCAGTTCTCAGGCTCTGCTAATCTAGATGGATCAGAATGAATCAGCAACTGAATCAGAACTAAATGGTAATTCAGTGGTTACGTTGCCAGAACCTGTGCTGTAACAAGCACTCTAAATTATTCTCATACATGCTTAAGTTTTAGAACCACAGTTTTAGATGGTTCAGACCTCCGGATCAGTATAGGTCTAAGAATTCATCTTCTTGAATGTGGAATAAATAACGAAGGGATAAATTATTACATATCCCTGGCCTCATATGTCTTTGATTAGCACTTTAGCTGTTTAAGTACTGGCAAGAGCAGCCTTTAGGTTTTGTTATTAATTAGCTGTGTTAATAGGTTCACTCTACTTGCACTGAAGATGAGTTACTATGATGTCTTTTGTACAGTTTTAGGTGATAGAATATCTCTGGTTATGTCCATTATGTGTTGATTTAGAGCTGTCTTCCCTATGTCCAATGGCTAATATGAGCATGTTATCAGGGACCTCGTTATTACAACTTTATTTTTTTGTCTCTCTGTTTCTGTCTCTATTTTTCTCCCTTTCTCACATTTTACAGTTTTGGGCTGTTAAGAAATAATCTGGAGATCTATAGTTAATGCACTTTATTGCATTAAAATATATTAATAGACAAGATATTCATAATGTTTAATCAAAAGAACTTTGACTAGGCCAAAGCATACAAAGCCACTCTGTCACTATCTCAGAGTCTTACAATATAGAACATAGAAGAACTTTAAAAACAAATTTTGAGTAACTACAACCGGCAGGCTTGACCAAAAATACATCACGAGTGTGGCTTCTGGAAAAATGAACTTTTAATTCAAACTGGTATCTGTGAGAATGCTGTCAGTGGCATAAACGTAGGTCAGCCCTTTGTGACTAATACAAATAAATATAAAAAGACAAAAGCAACTTCAAAAGGAGTTGTCAGTACTCCATTCCCAAGAGATTATAGACTTTTAGCTCTTCTTGTGTAGACACTTCTGTTGAGTTTCATCCTCACAGGGTAAACCATGCAATTTACCCCCTTTTTGACCCATAAGTAACTAGATAAATTAACATTTCATATGCAGTCACTCTATATAATCACATTTATAATTTAATCATTTAAAAGTTTGATGTATTTTTGTATATCATAATTTTAATCTTTGCATATGTGTTGCATCAACTGTTTATGGCCAAAATGTTTAAAACTATTTTAAAGTGTTCCCCATTTCTCATAATATTAATAAAACCTATTCTTATCATAGATAAAACGTCTGCATTGTTTATGGAAGTTCAACATTCATCAAATGTGTTTTACTAATTCATTAAGTTTTTGATATGCAAATTTTAAAAGACATAGTTTGACAGTCTGATTTTATAACCTTGACAGCACTTGTTTTCACAATTCTTAATTTGGTATTTGTATGATATTAGAAGTTTTGAAAAAAATTAAGAATCTATTATTTGAAAATATAACATTTTCATAATAATAAACATCAAATAGGTTTTTCTCTAATAACAAAGACCAGTTACATTTTAACAGTCAGCAAAGTTATTTCTTTGAATATATTTTTGTGGTGAAATTAAATTTGATCTGTTAATTCGTCTATAAACAATGGTTCTGAAACACAACTCACTGTATAACTCATATATGAGGCTGCAGATTCAGGTCTGTGGCTATATTAAAAAAAGACAAAAGGGAGAGAGAGACAGAAAGAAAAGAAAAGTCAATGCAGCATTTTAAAGATTGTCTAGGAAAATAAAGGGTTTATTCTTGCGGGATAATAGTGTGTTTCCAGTTTGAAGAAAAGTAGACTGTACTTTGAACCTATCCTTTGGGATCTTTGTTTGAAATGTTAATTAGAATAACTGGTTTAGCAAGGATTAGGACAAGAGCTAAACACCACTGACAGCAGTATATCCCCCTCTGGGAATCTTTTCTGTTTTAGGGACTGCTGTGGTGTTTAAAGTGGATGGAGCAACAGCATCCTAGCCAGGAAAAATGTTGCAAAATACAGACCATCGTGTTTCTGAATGTACTCAAAATTCAGGTGAACAAGAAATATTTAATTTTTAAAATCATTTATATTTTGAAAATGTAAAAATTTTAAATTTAGATTACGTTAAACTAATTGCTTATCTCCATATACATTGTGAAATGATTACTAAAATCAAACTAATTAATATATCCACTCTCCGTGTGTGTGTATGTGTGTGGTGAGAACACAAGATCTACTCTCTTAGCAACTCCTGATAAATTGTGTATCTTGTGATTTCTTTTATTTATTTACTTATTTTTATTTTTTGGACACAGGGTCTCTCTCTTTCACCCAGACTGGAGTGCAGGGGTTTGATTACGGCTCACTGCAGCTTCCACCTCCTGGGCTCAAACTATCCTCCCACCTCAGCCTCCTGAGTAGCCAGGACAACAGGCACATGCCATCAAGCCCAGTTAATTTTTGTATTTTTTGTATATCTGGGGTGTCTCCATGTTATCCAGGCTGGTCTCAAACTCCTGGGGTCAAGCAGTTCGCTCACCTTGGCCTCCCAAAGTGCTGGGATTATAGGCCTGAGGCACTGTGCCAAACCATTGCAATTCTTTACATAAGCAGTATCTATAGAAACAATATCATCTTAGTTATTGAGATTCAGATATACTATTAAATGAAGTTTTGACTAAATCTGCCTTCTAAGGTTCACCTAAAGGTTTCTCTACACATAGTGAACTGTGACCTAACTGGACAAGCAAACAGACTGTAACCTACTCTTGCAACAAGTAGCCAAGTCTCAGCCAGTCAGATGAGCCATACTTTAACCACTCACAGGTGTCCAACTGTTCAAACAGTATTCAAAGAAGGCAAACACTGAGTGGTAAGAAATCAGGCTGTTTCTATAACTCCCTTCTGTTTTCTGTATGTCACTTTCCATTTTCTGTTCATGAATCTTGTCAATCCATGTGACAAGACAGAATCTCTTTGAACCTATTATGGTTGGGGAGGCTGCGCAATTAGAGAATCATTCTTTGTTCAATTAAACTTCGTTAAATTTAATTTTTCTAAGATTTTTTTCTAACAAACTCTAAAGGCAATTTCAAATATTTAATGTTACATTAATTATTTTAACAATTATTGAGAACTTAATATGGACCATATATTAACAGTATACTCATGGACTCTAACCTCATGGGGTTGATACCAGTAAAGGTATAGATATCATCATAATATGGTGTGATACGTGCTTCAGTGGAAATAAAGAGAATGATGGTATGTATGTATATGGAGGTATTCCTAACACTAGTTGGGAGACATCAGAAAAGCTTTTTCTGAAAGACATGGCATTGTGAGTAAAATATGAAATATGAAATCTGAGTAAGAATTAGGCAAAGAAGGAAAGAAGTGGGGTGGAGAAAAGTCACTGTAAAAAGAAATCAGCTTTTTTGAGTCTATGTCATAAAGAGTATATCATATTTTAGGAACTACAAACAGTTGAATCTGGCTAAAATGTTGAGTTCAGGGATAGAGGAATAGGAAACATAATTTAAATCATAGGGATCTTGTTAAGGAACCCACACTTCATCTAAAAGCCAATGGGAAATTATTCACATATTTTCCATATCAGGGAACATCGTGTTGAAATTTGTGTTTCAGAAAATCAAATTCTGAGTCCACAGAGAGAAGATGAAAATACTGAAGACAGACAGAGCTGTCAATAGACATTTGAAGTAAGCTGGTAGAGAGACAGCAGTGTGGAGAAATAGGTAGACACACTTGGGGACAGAAATAAATGGTCATACATGAGAGACATGTAGTTTAAATCAGTTTAAGTCAGGAGTTTAAATCAAGAAGTCTTGCTAACTCTGTTATAGAGGCTTAAAAGATAATAATCAAGAAAATTTGGGAAATATGATGGACTTATATAGTGTCAAATATGTCGGAAAATATGAATATATTTGCATATATATGAAATACATATTTTATATTACATATATAGTATACATAAATGTATAAATCGTGTTTCACAAACCTTTCTTCCTTAGCTGAAATAACAGGCCACCAATAAAAACATGCAATACCTTACTAGTCCTTTGTTTGTTCATTTATTTTAGGTTTATTGAAGTATTATTTACCAACAGCAATATTTACTCTTTTAAGCTATATAATCCAATAAGTTTTGACAACTACAAGGATAAATTATGGAACAATTTCATCACCTGCAAAAGTTCCTCCACTTCCCTTTGTAGTTAGCATCTCACCCCACCTTTGCCCAATTGTAGCAACTGATCTGATTTCACTTCCTTTAGTTTAACCTTCTCCACACTGTCATATAAATGGAATTATACAGAACGTGGGTGTTGTCTTTTTAATTTTAACTTAGCATACTGCTTTTGAGAGCCATCCATGTGGCTACATATGCACATGTGTCCCTTTTTATTACTGTCTCTTTTTATTATATATTCAATTATATAGATAAACAAATGCTTTATTATCTTAAAATCATTTTATTTTTTATTTTCATTATCTCTTTATTTCTGTATTTCACATTTTGGATTGTATCCTATATGTAAACAATAGATATAAGAAAAGACTTAAGGTTTACTTGTAATGCCAAGATGTCTTGTCAAGTGGAATATCGTAATAGTCTAGAAATCCTGAGGGGAAAAAAAATCTAAATTTGGATAAAATAACCATATATGACTTCGAAAAAGTGTTAATTCAAAGTAGTTTGAGTTTTTTACAATGTACCTTTATTTACTTTTCCCATTTTGAGGGGGAGAAGATCTCCCTTGTTACTAGAAGCCATGTTGGAATTTGTCCCATTAAGTTATCGACGGAATACTTTTCATCCAGGGACCTCAACTACCAAAGGGGAATTAGAGTGTTAAAGAGAGTAGATTGGAAGGGGTGTAGAAGAAAGAAAGAATTGAGCATTACAGGTGATTTTATGTAGTGGGCTTTTAAGTGTGCTATTCCCCAAAATAGGAAAATAGAAAGAAGGATATTTTAGATAGAGATGATTAATACTGTTATGAAAATGCTGTTTTAAATGGCTACTGAAGATTTATTGGAGTTAGGCAGTAAATAGTAATACATAAGAGCCTGAAAGTCAGAAAAAAACTTGGATTTTACATAAATGTCAACTTGGGATAATAATTGAAATACTATTAAATAATTTAACTACATGTAAAGATATTGACAATGAATAAATATTACCAAATAAAATATTAGCAAACCAAATACAGTCCTATCTTAAGAAAGAGATAGCTTTAGGAAAGTGTATAGAAAAGGCATGAAAAAGACACCAGAACTGATCAATGAGGTTTGTCATCTTCCTGGAGTAGGGCTTAGGTGGAGTGAATGAATGAATAAATGAATGGATATTCTGTACAAGCTGATGGCATCCAACTGTCCTACCTGGTTGACAAGCATGACTTAATTATTGACTGAGGTTCTCACACTGAAAGATCCTTGGAATTCTTTAAGCCAATATTCCTGTTAAGATTCTTGGGGATTTGAGACACAGACTAAGCCCATCTGTGTGCAAAGATGGAGCTATGAAGAGTTTGGGTCATTTAAATGTCTCTTAGGCTTTCTATGCTTGCCTGCATTCACTTGATTTCACTGCTCCGTATTGATTCCCTTCATATGAAAACCTTTCATTAGTATACACTGTGCAGTGTGGTAAATCCTTTCAAATATTTAAACTGGGGAAAAAAACACATCTGACTTATTATTTTTACTCATAAATATGGAAAAGAAAGCACTTGCTAGGTCAGTAACTGCATGGCAAATGCAAAGAGCTGTGATGACTTTCCCCAGGATTGGTAATAAATCCAGAAATGCAGTTATGATTGGCTGATGATCAGCTTCAACACCTGACTGAGTTTGTAATTATATATAATATTTCATTATAGACAATCTGGCTTTTGTACTAGCCAATCAGAGGTAAATATATGTTGTGGGAATCACAACCTTTACAAATTTCAAGTGCTTGGTCAGCACTCATCTCTAATAGTCTAAGGAATGTATTACCTACTGATTTTGCTTCCTATCTTTGTAAGGCGAGAGGACAGTTGCAGGGGATTTAAACTTGGGTCTTCTTACAATATTATCTCTCAATTCATGGGTCAGGGAATCAACACAGTTCTTTTCTCAGTGATTAATTATATTAATTCCCAAGTGGAACTGGGAGAGTATCAAGTTTCCACAGCCCCAGTCAACTCACTGTGAGACAACTAGGGAAAAATTTAATTTCTGACCTCCCAAGACTTTACCCAAAGTACCACAATGTTGTTTTAGGTCTCCAGGAATTAAGGTCTTTTTAAAGACAATATTTAACAATCAGCATTACATTTGTATACTATCCTTGCCCTTAGTACATTATGACATAGGGATTTCTTGGAGGCTAGAAAAGAGTCACTTACTCCTTCAGCCCATTGCAGGGCACTTCAACAAAATGAACCAGAAAGGAGGCTCTGGCACTGTGAACTTCATGAAACGACTTGAGGGTAAATTGCCAATATCATGAATTCTTAAGCCACAAAGAGTTTATATTTTGTGAGTGCAAGAACATACTCTTAGGCAACCAATGTAAATTTTTCAAATTCAAAATATTTACTGTTAATGCAATGCTATGAATTAATGGGCAATTCCTAGTAAAATTTTACTGATGTTCCAATAGAATCACATAGAGCTTTAAAAAAATACTGGATCTAATCCAGCAACACATATCACATTCATTTGTCACATGACTTTAATTTTCTTTAAAGAATTGTTCAGCCTTTTTTTTTTTCTTAACATTGTGATCTTTAGAGTAGAGGCCATTTGCACCATATTGGAATGTGGAACATTGTAAAACTTTCCATAGTTTGTGTGTGCCTGATTGCTTTATCATGAACAATCATGCTGTGGTCAGAAATGGAGTGGCTGAATCCATTTATTCCCAGTCTTTTAAGCATTCAGTCTTTAGACTGTATTCCCCGTAGAAAAGCACAGAGATACTTACATAGCAATATCAATGCATGGAGGCAGTCACTGAGTCCAGGTGTCAATTAACCCATCTAAGAGACCCTGCAAACCAGTCCCAGATGATTGAGCCAACATATTAAATTCTTATTCTCAGTCAGGTGCACCATGTCAATACATTCAACATAATCAAGAATTCTATTCTGTCTTCAAATTTAAAATCCACGCTTACCTATACATGCTTCCCAGACTTCTGCCCATAGAGATTGTTACACTTTCTGTCAATAGATCTTGTAACACTTTCAGTGCATAGGCTCTCTCTTCTGGGAATTGCCTTTGTGCTTCATTGTGTGGGAATTGTTGGGCACTGATTTTCATTATATGCCTGGAGTCAATGAGAGATAGCAGAGGTCATCCCTGGAGAGAATTGACACCAATTTGTAAAGAATGCTGGAGGTTCAGTCGTTGAAAAACTTTAATGCAGGGGAATCATGCATTCTTTAGAAAGCTGAATACTATCCTCTTTTATTTCCTTGAGCAGTGGTTTGTAGTTCTCCTTGAAGAGGTCCTTCACATCCCTTGTAAGTTGGATTCCTAGGTATTTTATTCTCTTTGAAGCAATTGTGAATGGGAGTTCACTCATGATTTGGCTCTCTGTTTGTCTGTTGTTGGTGTATAAGAATGCTTGTGATTTTTGTACATTGATTTTGTATCCTGAGACTTTGCTGAAGTTGCTTATCAGCTTAAGGAGATTTTGGGCTGAGACAATGGGGTTTTCTAGATAAACAATCATGTTGCCTGCAAACAGGGACAATTTGACTTCCTCTTTTCCTAATTGAATACCCTTTATTTCCTTCTCCTGCCTGATTGCCCTGGCCAGAACTTCCAACACTATGTTGAATAGGAGCGGTGAGAGAGTGTATCCCTGTCTTGTGCCAGTTTTTAAAGGGAATGCTTCCAGTTTTTGCCCATTCAGTATGATATTGGCTGTGGGTTTGTCATAGATAGCTCTTATTATTTTGAAATACGTCCCATCAATACCTAATTTATTGAGAGTTTTTAGCATGAAGGGTTGTTGAATTATGTCAAAGGCTTTTTCTGCATCTATTGAGATAATCATGTGGTTTTTGTCTTTGGCTCTGTTTATATGCTGGATTACATTTATTGATTTGCGTATATTGAACCAGCCTTGCATCCCAGGGATGAAGCCCACTTGATCATGGTGGATAAGCTTTTTGATGTGCTGCTGGATTTGGTTTGCCAGTATTTTATTGAGGATTTTTGCATCAATGTTCATCAAGGATATTGGTCTAAAATTCTCTTTTTTGGTTGTGTCTCTGCCCGGCTTTGGTATCAGAATGATGCTGGCCTCATAAAATGAGTTAGGGAGGATTCCCTCTTTTTCTATTGATTGGAATAGTTTCAGAAGGAATGGTACCAGTTCCTCCTTGTACCTCTGGTAGAATTCGGCTGTGAGTCCATCTGGTCCTGGACTCTTTTTGGTTGGTAAACTATTGATTATTGCCACAATTTCAGCTCCTGTTACTGGTCTATTCAGAGATTCAACTTCTTCCTGGTTTAGTCTTGGGAGAGTGTATGTGTCGAGGAATGTATCCATTTCTTCTAGATTTTCTAGTTTATTTGCGTAGAGGTGTTTGTAGTATTCTCTGATGGTAGTTTGTATTTCTGTGGGATCAGTGGTGATATCCCCTTTATCATTTTTTATTGTGTCTATTTGATTCTTCTCTCTTTTTTTCTTTATTAGTCTTGCTAGCAGTCTATCAATTTTGTTGATCCTTTCAAAAAACCAGCTCCTGGATTCATTGATTTTTTGAAGGGTTTTTTTGTGTCTCTATTTCCTTCAGTTCTGCTCTGATTTTAGTTATTTCTTGCCTTCTGCTAGCTTTTGAATGTGTTTGCTCTTGGTTTTCTAGTTCTTTTAATTGTGATGTTAGGGTGTCAATTTTGGATCTTTCCTACTTTCTCTTGTGGGCATTTAGTGCTATAAATTTCCCTCTACACACTGCTTTGAATGCATCCCAGAGATTCTGGTATGTTGTGTCTTTGTTCTCGTTGGTTTCAAAGAACATCTTTTTTTCTGCCTTCATTTCGTTATGTACCCAGTAGTCATTCAGGAGCAGGTTGTTCAGTTTCCACGTAGTTGAGCGGCTTTGAGTGAGATTCTTAATCCTGAATTCTAGTTTGATTGCACTGTGGTCTGAGAGATAGTTTGTTATAATTTCTGTTCTTTTACATTTGCTGAGGAGAGCTTTACTTCCAACTATGTGGTCAATTTTGGAATAGGTGTGGTGTGGTGCTGAAAAAGAGGATACAAACAAATGGAAGACCATTCCATGCTCATGGGTAGGAAGAATCAATATCGTGAAAATGGCCATACTGCCCAAGGTAATTTACAGATTCAATGCCATCCCCATCAAGCTACCAATGACTTTCTTCACAGAATTGGAAAAAACTACTTTAAAGTTCATATGGAACCAAAAAAGAGCCTGCATCACCAAGTCAGTCCTAAGCCAAAAGAACAAAGCTGGAGGCATCACACTACCTGACTTCAAACTATTCTACAAGGCTACAGTAACCAAAACAGCATGGTACTGGTACCAAAACAGAGATATAGATCAATGGAACAGAACAGAGCCCTCAGAAATAATGCCGCATACCTACAACTATCTGATCTTTGACAAACCTGAGAAAAACAAGCAATGGGGAAAGGATTCCCTATTTAATAAATGGTGCTGGGAAAACTGGCTAGCCATATGTAGAAAGCTGAAACTGGATCCCTTCCTTACACCTTATACAAAAATCAATTCAAGATGGATTAAAGATTTAAACGTTAGACCTAAAACCATAAAAACCCTAGAAGAAAACCTAGGCATTACCATTCAGGACATAGGCATGGGCAAGGACTTCATGTCCAAAACACCAAAAGCAATGGCAACAAAAGCCAAAATTGACAAATGAGATCTAATTAAACTCAAGAGCTTCTGCACAGCAAAAGAAACTACCATCAGAGTGAACAGGCAACCTACAACATGGGAGAAAATTTTCACAACCTACTCATCTGACAAAGGGCTAATATCCAGAATCTACAATTAACTCAAACAAATTTACAAGAAAAAAACAAACAACCCCATCAAAAAGTGGGCAAAGGACATGAACAGACACTTCTCAAAAGAAGACATTTATGCAGCCAAAAAACACATGAAAAAATGCTCATCATCACTGGCCATCAGAGAAATGCAAATCAAAACCACTATGAGATATCATCTCACACCAGTTAGAATGGCAATCATTAAAAAGTCAGGAAACAACAGGTGCTGGAGAGGATGTGGAGAAATAGGAACACTTTTACACTGTTGGTGGGACTGTAAACTAGTTCCACCATTGTGGAAGTCAGTGTGGTGATTCCTCAGGGATCTAGAACTAGAAATACCATTTGACCCAGCCATCCCATTACTGGGTATATACCCAAATGACTATAAATCATGCTGCTATAAAGACACATGCACACGTATGTTTATTGTGGCATTATTCACAATAGCAAAGACTTGGAACCAACCCAAATGTCCAACAATGATAAACTGGATTAAGAAAATGTGGCACATATACACCATGGAATACTATGCAGCCATAAAAAATGATGAGTTCATGTCCTTTGTAGGGACATGGATGAAATTGGAAATCATCATTCTCAGTAAACTATCGCAAGAACCAAAAACCAAACACCGCATATTCTCACTCATAGGTGGGAATTGAACAATGAGATCACATGGACACATGAAGGGGAATATCACACTCTGGGGACTGTGGTGGGGTGGGGGGAGGGGGGAGGGATAGCATTGGGAGATATACCTAAGGCTAGATGACGAGTTAGTGGGTGCAGCGCACCAGCATGGCACAGGTATACATATGTAACTAACCTGCACAATGTGCACATGTAACCTAAAACTTAAAGTATAATAATAAAAAAAAAGCTGAATACTAATATTTCTCATTCCAGTGAAATACCACCAGTTTCTTCCTTGCCTTGTCTCTTGTGTCACAATTGTTTCTCCCTTTTATTTGGCTTCTAATCTTAGATTTATCTGAATGTTAGAATTCTACCAATATTAGACTGAAGTTATTTGAATTCATACAGCATAATATGAATTGATTCCTAAAAAGAAAATCCAATCACTAAATGTTATAAATCGCATCTGAAATTTTGGATGTGTTGTGTTTGGGAAGAATTTACAATTACCCGTCTTATTATCAATAATTCAATTATTTGAAGAAGTTAAAAGAAAATCATATTTCTTTATACCTATCTAAAATGATTTTTAGAATAACCTAATCAATGGACATTCCTCCTTAAAATGCCAAACTGAGGAATTTATCAATATGTACAATTGCAGTCATTGTCCAATCTATTTCATATGGTATCCTATGGTATTACAAAATCTACTGCTGTTTCTTTAAAGGTAATCTTCAGGTCTTTCATATTATAAGAATGTTGAAAAGCAATGACAATAATAATAACCACATCCATGCAGCGCCAAAAGCAATGTCAATAATAATTGCTACATCCATGCAGCTCCAAAAGATAAAATCAAACTAAATTTTGTCTCTTGGCACAGTGTTTGTTTGCCTTAGCAGAAAGAAACCATGGTTGTAGGTGCTAATTTTAGTAATTTCTATAGTCAGCCTGCTGATGCTGGTATCTATATTAGCTATTTTCTTTGTAAAAAGTTAATCCTTAGTAGTATGATCTTTTTCTTTTTTTTTTTTTTTTTGAGACGGAGTCTCGCTCTGTCGCCCAGGCCGGACTGCGGACTGCAGTGGCGCAATCTCGGCTCACTGCAAGCTCCGCTTCCCGGGTTCACGCCATTCTCCTGCCTCAGCCTCCCGAGTAGCTGGGACTACAGGCGCCCGCCACCGCTCCCGGCTAATTTTTTTGTATTTTTAGTAGAGACGGGGTTTCACCTTGTTAGCCAGGATGGTCTCGATCTCCTGACCTCATGATCCACCCGCCTCGGCCTTCCAAAGTGCTGGGATTACAGGCGTGAGCCACCGCGCCCGGCCAGTAGTATGATCTTTTTCTGCTTATGTAAAAGAATTAAAAGGATGAGAACAATGTACAAATCAAAAAGACACAAACAATTAAACAAAAAGATTTATATATGTCTAATTATTTGGATTTAAAAAATCCACTGAATCTTAGAATAAAATAATGTGTGTTGATACTTTGCAAAGGATTATCTAAAGGTGAATAATTTCTAAATAACATTGGAAAGTTGTTTTTCATTCTGATAAAGTTATAATTTAATAATAAATATAATTATAAGTATCTTGTAAAACATAATTACTTGATGTGATTATTCAATACATTTTACAATAGTAATATGGATAACTAATAAGTAATTAAAAGTCTGGAATTAATTTTTTTCTATAGAAAAATTAACATTACAATTTAGAATTCATGAATTTGAGATATCTTCATTGTTGCAACAGGTAATAGACTTTTAATACATATATTTAATATCTACATTTATAATATTTTCTGTATCATTATGTTTTACAAATATAATTATTAGAAAATATGTACTATATTTTATAGAAAATAAGTAATTTATTTTCTTTTCCTTGGAAATGCAACGGTGTGGTAAAAGTCAGCATGGAATTCATCTGATTAGAGGCTTTTCTTTGTTAGCAGGCTTTTTTTAAATTATTGATTCAATCTTGGAACTTGATATTGGTCTTTACAGGGTTTTAAATTCTTCCTGCTTCAATCTGGCCAGGGTTGTAGTTGTCCAGTAATTAATTCATTTTCTCTAGATTTTCTAGTTTGTGTGCATGGAGGCTTTCATAATAGTCTCTATGGAACTGTTTATTTTTGTAAAATTGTTCATAATGTCATCTTTTTCATTTCTGATTGTTCTTATTTGGATCTTCTCTTTTTTTCTTTGTTAATATAGCTAGCAGTCTATCAATCTTCTTTATCCTTTCAAATTACCAACTTCTGGTTTCATTTATTTTTTGTATTGATTGTGGTGTCTCAATGTTGCTCAATTCTGCTCTTAGTTGTTTCTTTTCTTCTGCTAGCTCTAGGGTTAGTTTTTTCTTGTTTTTCTAGTTCCTTTAAGTGTGACGTTAAACTGCTAATTTGAGATCTTACTAATATCTTGACATAGGTGTTTGGCACTATAAACTTTCCTCTCAACACTGCTTTTGCTGCATCCCAGGGATTTTCATATGCCATGTCTCTGTTTTCACTTATTTAATTTAATTTAATTTAATTTTATTTTATTTTATTTTATTTTTGAGATGGAGTTTCACTCTTGTTGCCCAGGCTGGAGTGCAATGGCACAATCTTGGCTCACCACAACCTCCGCCTCCCAGGTTCAAGCGACTCTCCAGCCTCAGCCTCCCTAGTAGCTGGGATTACAGGCATGTGCCACCACGCTCAGCTAATTTTGTATTTTTAGTAGAGATGGGGTTTCTCCATGTTGGTCAGGCTGGTCTCCAACTCCCGACCTCAGGTGATCCGCCCGCTTCAGCCTCCCAAAATGCTGGGATTACAGGCACGAGCCACTGTGCCTAGCTTGTTTTCACTTATTTTAAATATTTTTTTTAATCTCTGACTTAATTTTGTCATTTACAAAAAATTCTCTCAGGAGAAATTTGCTTAATTTCCAAGTAATGGTGTGCTTTTGAGAGATCTTCATGATATCAATTTCTATTTTTATTACACTATGGTACAAGAGTATGGTTGGCATGATTACTTTTGTTGAATTTATTGAGCCTTACTTTATGTCTGAGCATGTGGATTATTAGACCTAAACCACATACTTAAATGAGATAAATGTATATTCTGTAGTCAATAGTTGTGGTATTCTGCAGATGTCTATATGGTCCAATTGGTCAAATGTTGGATTTAAGTTAAGAAGTTCTTTGTTAGCTTTCTGCCTCAATGATCTGTCTAATGTTGTCAGTAGGGTGTTGAAGTCCCCTACTATTATTGTCTGGCTGTTCAAGTCTTTTCCTAGGTCTAGAAGTACTTATTTAGTGAATTTGGGTGCTCTAATGTTGGTTTTGCATATCTTTAGGATAGTTTGTCTTCTTTTTGCATCAAATCATTGATTAGTATGTATTCTTTTCTTTTTCTTTTTTTATTAGTGTGTTTTGTTTAATGTTTGTTTTATCTGACATAAGAACAAAGATCTTTTCTCTTTTTGTTTTCCATTTGTGTGATAGGTCTTTCTCCAACCTTTTACTTTTATCCTATGGATGTTGCTAGATGTGAAATGGGTCTCTTGTAGGCAAACAGGTCTCTTAAAGAACAGAATAGTCTTGTTTTTTATTCGACTTGCAACTCTTTGCCTTTTAAGAGAAGCATTTAGCCCATTTACATTAAAGGTTAATATTGATATGTGGAGTTATGATCCTGTCAAAGCTTGTTGCTTTGTAGTCTCCATTGTCTAGTTGTTTTATAGGCTCTGTGGGCTGTGTACTTAATTGTGTTTTTGTGATGGCTAGTACAGTTTTTGTTTGTTTGTTTGTTTGTTTCCACATTTAGAACTCCCTTTAGAATCTCTTGTAAGGCTTATCTAAAGGTAAGAAATTCTGTTAGTGATTGCTCATCTGAAAAAGATTTTCTTTCTTGTTTGCTCATAATACTTTGGCAGGATGTGGTTAGTGGTTTTTTCTTCTTCTTTTTTAATATTGTAAATAAACCCCTATCTCTTCTGGATTGAAAAGTTTCTGCTAAGAAATCTGCTTTTAGCTTGATGGGTTCCCTTTGTATGTGATCTGAACTTTTTCTTCTGTAGCTGCCGTTAAGATAATTTTCTTTAGCATTGACCTTAGACAATCTTAGGACTATGTTCCTGGTGATATGTGTTTTGTATAGTATCTCACAGGTGTTCTCTTTATTTCTTCTATCTGGTTTTCTGCCTCCCTAGGAAGATTAGAGAATTTTCTTGAATTATTCTCTCAAATATATTTCCATATTGTTTAATTTTTCTCCTTCTCTCTCAGAAATGCCAATAATTTGTAGGTGTGGTGGCTTTACACAATTCTGTATTCCTGAAAGGCTTTGTCTTTTTTAAAAAATAATTTCTTTTCTTGGGGTCTGTCTGACTGTGCAAGTTGAAAAGACTGATCTTCAAGTTATGAAATTCTTCTGCTTGGTCTAGTCTATTGATAAAACTTTTAGTTGTATTTTGAAATTTCTTAAGTACGTTTTTTATTTCAGCAGCTCTGACTGATTGCTTTTTTAAGATGTTAACCTGTTCTTTATTTCCTGGATTGGTTTAGAAATTTATTTGTGTCAACTTTCAACCTGGTCATGGATCTTACTAAACTTTCTTGCAATCCATGCTTTGGATTGTTTATTTGTCCTTTCTGGGTTTCCATTTTGGTTAGGGATCATTGCTGGAAGGCTAGTGTGATCCATTTGTAATGTCACAACATTCAGATTTTTCATGGTGTCAGAATTCTTGTGCTGGTTTCTTTCCATCTGGAGAGGTTGGCACTTCTAATTTTTATAATCATTTTTGTGCAGATAGATTTTTTTTCTTTGCCAAGAAAAATCTTTTTTCCTTTCTTCGCCCTGCCAGCAAGGGGTGTAACTATAGAGTATGTTAGGTAGTGTCTCTTGGGTTTGCTTCTATAGCCCTCTTCACTTCTGTCAGTAGGTTTTATACTGGACTATGTGTTTCAACCTGCAGGTCAGTAGATTGTGCTCACAAGTGAGAGCCAACTGTGGTGCAAGCAGATGGTGGACAGTAGAGTTCCCAGTGTCCTGAGCTTCCTGCTCTACAGAGATTGGGTAGACACAGCTAGGCAGAGCTGGAGCCCCTGCCTTGCCCACAAGGACCCCTATGGTGAGCACAGGCACAAGCCTTAATGAGGGTGGATGGGAGGAGCTCCTGGTGAAATGCACTGACATCTCTGTAGGAGTCTGGGGGTGCTGTATCAGCTCCTTGTCCTAGATAGGCAGCAACCTGGACTGTTACCTTACCGCATCCCTGTTCTGGGGCTTGCGACTCCTATTTCAGACACACACTGTGGTCTATCTCCAGACCACAATATGGTTGAGAGTCTCAGGAAATGCTTGTTTTACGAATCTCCATGGGAGTGATTTGGGAGCAGAACTTACATCACTCTGCCTGATACAGATAGCTTTCTGGCTTTCCTGTTCTCTGATGTGGTAGCACTGCTGTTTCGTGTAAAACAGGGGGCTCCATTTTAAGCCTATGTGGTTGGGTGTTGGTTGTGGTTGTGCTGGATGGTTGAGTTGGCCTGACCTCAGGCCCTGTGGGAAGTGGTCAGGTACCATCACAGTTAAAATGGGGTAGTTTTCCAGTTCACAGGCTACTAGATGGCACTCTGGAGAGCATGTATGTGTCCTGATAGGGCATGACCAGGTTGGGATAACCCAGGGTTTAGGTGCTGGTTGTGATTGGGAGGGGCAGGCTGCTTCCCAGGTCACTGGCTGAACCCTCAGTAGGTGGCAGGCAGCATGGTTAGGGGATGGGAGCCCAGGAGAAGATCACGGGTCTATACGTGTGTGTTTTTCAGAAGGGCTCTAATGGTGGTGCTCAGGTGGGTGGCTGCAAAGCTTTATTCTTCTCTGCTCTTCCTGGGCCATGTTGCTTCCTTGGTGAATACCAGCATGATTTCTTAGATGATCCAATTGAAGAGCTAGTATTTACTCACCAATTTGTTTACTCTCTGTGAGAGTGGTGTGCACTAGCTGCTTCTAGTCAGCCTTCTTGAACATGCAACCTATGGTTATGATTCCAAACTGAGAGCCATCAAGCTTTGAGATTGGCATAATTTCTAAATACGCACCTTCAACTATTGCTTTTATATAATTATTGCACCAATTTATGAACATTTTAATAAGATTCTATTGTATGTTAACACTTCAGAAATACTACAGAATCTGCTTTATACTTAAGTGGACTAGTAAAGCATTTTAGTGTTTTGAATAGGAAAACCAAAAGTATTGAAAGTTTAGGCTGACTTATATCTCATTTAAATGTTAAGTCAGAAACTACAAGGCATCTGAGCTGTTAGCTTACATGCACAGTTACATATTCATATATATGATACAGACAATTACAGATATAGATTCAGATAAGGAGGTAGATGTATACAATGTAGATGTAGATAGATACTAGCAGAAATGCCAAATCTTTGGGTCAGAGTTAAAACTTTATTTACTCATAGAAATAAAGGAGGACAGAGAATCATGGCAGCATTGATCTTGCTATGCCTGGCACCCTTCAGGCAATACGATGAGAGACACGTGAATGAACAGGTTTTTTTTTTTTGTGTGTGTGTGTGTGTGTAGGAGACGGATGCAGAAATATAAATATCTCTACTTACATTATATTGAAAAGGGACCATTGTACCCCCTTTTCCTCCTGAGAGAGGGAGATAATTTTAGCATCTTCAATGTAAATGATTTCTCTTCTTTGGAAAAGATGGGTAAGATCCTGTGTCCTTTGAAATTTAAATAAATCTCTGCAAAGGAAAGATATATAACTATCTCCAATTTTATAACACAGGGTTTTATCCCTTTTGAAATGTAAACACACAGGACCCTAACTCTGTAAATCCCTCCAGTGACCACCCTTTGTGTTAATCCAGGTCACTACCCGGCAATGCAACCATTTAGTTCTTGGAGGGATGAGAGAAGTCTTATTCTTTGAGTGAAATAGTAAGACAAATGGCTGCAGATCTCATACTCATGGCATGTAAAAAGCAAATATTTCTGGAGAAATTAAAATCAAGCACCCTCTATTTTTGTAACATATTAATTTTTATGTCTTAGGAAGCTAGGACTTTGTAGGAATACTGAGCAATCCAGGGAAGATTTATCTTCTTATATCAAGTACTTTTTAAGGTCTCCTGTAATAACTTTATTTGTATTCATTTGTGAATTCATGAGCGTGTAAAAAACACAAAATGTCTCAAGTTGAACATAAACTCTCATGACTGTGATTATTAAGTTGATAGAATATTTGCTTTGAGAAAGGCTACAGTGTATTTACAGCTGTATTTAGAATACAGCTCTATTTGTTCCAGGTTGATTAGGTTAGTAAGGATGGATGGGCATCATGCTAATTCCTGCATAACTATAATCTACTATGGCAGGTTACTTCTCCCTTTATTTTGAGTTTTGTTTTTAAGAAACAAAATTATATTATATGTTCAGTATTTTTCTATGGAGAGTAAATTCCATTATTCAGGTTGGTGCTATGAATAAGTTATCATTTGTTAGCAAAGAAAGAAGGAGGGAAGGAAGGGAGAAAGGAAGGAAGGAAAGAAGAAAGGAAAGAAGGAAGGAAGGAAGGAAGCCAGGACAAAAAGAAGAGAGGAAGGAAAACTATCTGAAAGCCGACAGCTGGCAACTGGTTGTCAGGAGCTAAGTTATAGTATTCCCAAATAAACATAAACAAGCTTCACAGAATATCAACAGTATTCAGACAAGGCCACTGATAACAGTAATAATCAGACAAGACTGCTTCCTGATAGAACAAAGGACATTCTGTGATTGCTAAAATAAATACCATTTTTCTCTCTCATCTAATATGGATGACTCCTTTTTTTTTTAAACTAATGACACTTCCATTTTATGCTTTTCTTCTTTTATGTAAAATGTGTTAAAATATCAAATTATGAAATATCTGAACTTCCTTAAAGCATCCACTTCAGAACACACCTATTTTTTAAACCTTCTGTCAAATTAACGTGTTCTCCAATTGCCTATTATATATTTGTACAGTTAAATAGTAAATAGTTGTTTATATGCACAAAATGTAATAGACAAAATGGCGGTTACCTTTGATGAGGGTTTGGAAATATACAAAGACTTAAAAGTAGCATAAATGTGGCCTCTAGTGTTCCGGTAACTTCTATAACTTGATTAGAGTAGTGATTGTGTACTTGTGTTCATTTTGTAAAATTAAAATTAAGTGTGCTCTTATTTGTGTACTATATAATAGTTCAGATACTAAAGTGAAACCCTTTCATCTCTGTTTTACCGAGAGGCCATAGGGATTCCATGTTGTGTGTTCTCCCTTGCTTCAGCAAGCTAATAAACTTAACTTTGAACATTACGTACATTTCTGGTGGATTTTGTCTGGTGTGAAGCAGTGAAAATTTCAGATAGCAAAAACAGTAAAATTATAGGATCTGATATGAAAGTGTGCTTAGCATGTTTGAGGAAAAGGGGGATGTCAGTGTAATCGAGGCAGAGCGAGTGATGGAAAAAGCAGTAAGAGATGACATCAGAGAGCTAAGCAGTGACCAAATCAATTCGGGATAGAAGCATGAAATAATAATGACTTTGAAATTTATTCTGAATAAGTTGAGAAACCATTTGAGGATTTTGAATAAAGTTTTGGTATTTGTATCTGTGGTCAGTTTCAACAAGGTCACTCAAACTATGATGGAATCATGTAAAGGTAGAGGTATATAATCAAGGACATTAGCTGGGAGGTTATTGTGGTAATACAAGTGAGTTGGGCCAGATAGTCAACAGTTGTGATGGAAACATTCAATGTAACCAATAAACTTGTATCAGATTTTATTTCCCACTTCTAAGACATTAAATGCCAATGAATTGTTCTCATTTCTTTGTATAGAAACATTTCTGAATAAATTTCTCTCCATATTGTTGCAATTAACATACATAATGAGGATAAAATACTTCCAAGTTTTTTAAATTATAAAAAAGTAATAATTTACTGTTATCAGCTAGTAATGGCTTTATCATTTAAAAACTTTGTGATCAATATTATTCAATACTTTTACCTATATTATTGGCATTTTGAAATTTAATTTTGTAGAAAAACTAAAATGATTAATAAATATTTAGAAGGGAATCATATATTCATGCAACAACTTTGTCCCTCAAGAGTGTAGACAATTTTTTTAAAATTAAAACTTCTTTATTAGCGGAGATAAAATAGTCTCAAATTTTCAAAGAATCTCTTCTTCTGTTGGATCAAGTCAAGATGCTTATCATATTCTTCAGGATCCTCATTCATCAGGTTCCAGCCTCCTCTCTTGGCTCATCCTCATAATCCATGACTTCCACTCACATCACCATCATCAACGATGTCCTATAGGCCTGTTTTCTGAATTTTTTCTTCCCCAAACAAATCCAGGCCCCTTTACAAGTTTAGTCAATTAACATACTATATTGTCCCTTTAAAATAACATTAAATATTTTTAGACAAATGTTATTGTTGTAGTATAGCTTATATATCATATAGTACCCAAATAAGAGCACACTTAGTTTTGATTTTTACAAAATGCATACAATTATATAATCACTAATCAAGTTATAGAAGTTACCGGTACCCTAGAGGCCACGTTTATGCTACTTTGAAGTCCTTACATATTCCTGAACCCTAATCAAAGGTAACCACCATTGTGTCTATTAAATTTTGTGCATATAAACAAATATTTACTGACTATTTAACTATACAAATATATAATAGGCAATTGGAGAACAGTTATCCGAATGAACCTATTAACTCTATGTACATAAATATAAATATCCTTGCTCCCAAATAAGAACTACTTACATTGTCATTTTTCAGTTTTTTCATCAAGGACGGGGCAAATCCTAGTTGTATTTCTATTCATTAATTTTTCTCTTATTACTGATAAACATAATGTTACCCATCAAGAAATTGTGATATTTAGAATGTAGTATTCTTATTTTCTGTGACTGTCTATTCAGCTGGCTTTTTTGTCCTTGAAAACTACGGTTGTTGATCAGTTATAGCAAGGTTCTTATAACTCTGAATATATCACTTTAATTTACTACTCGGCTTAAGGGGATTACATTTAATGAAAACATTAGTGACAGTTTCATACATGTGCATTATTTTACCGATATATTTTTGAACTTAGTTTTTTATCTCATGTATTAGTTCACGCCTATTTTTTCATTATCTATGTTACCAACTCCCAAATGTCAATAAAACAATATTAAACATTTACCTTTGATAGTGTTTTTTCCCAGTGATGCTCAGAATACATTTATTTTACTTCTGTAGCTTTTAAGTAACAGGAAGCCAGAAAGCTTTCAAGAACATCATGACATTCATAGCTTATTTCTCCTCAAATCTCTCCATTAATTTCCAGCAGGACATTATGTTTCTATAACTATGGTGGTTTATTTTGTAGTTTTTTTTTTTTTTGGAGAATGGCATCAACTTTGAAAAAAATAATTTAAGATAGAAAAACCAGGGAAAACCTTACTAAAAGAGAAAAGTATGTTCATTTTTGGTATGTAAGATGAGGAAAAAAATAAATAAATGTAGATAGGTTCTTTTTGTATTTATATAAATTCTGAAATGGAAAGCTTTTTTAAACATAATGATAAAATGGTGCAGTTTATATTTTTATTTATAAAGATTGAAGGTATTGTTCTACAATTTAATTTCACTAATTTCCTAAAACATTTTGTAATAGTAATATAATAATAAACATACTTATACTATAAATAAGTACTCAAACTCTTCTGTATATAAAATTGATGCATACCTGTTGCAAATAACCACACAATTCCAGATATTTTGAATAATTAAAGTTAGATAAATTCTCTGTTTGCTCTTTAAAACAGTAACTCATGAAATTATGAATTTTTATTGCCACTGCAAACATAGTAATCTTGGGATAAAATATAAATTGCCAATAATCATTATTGATAAAATGTCACACATGTGTACACACACACACACACACACACACACACACACACACACATCCCAACAAAACCTTGGCCTTTAATCCAATCTGGCAGTCACATCTCCTCATGGAAACTGTTGAGTAAAACTTGTTTCTGAATTGTATCCTCAAGGTCAATTGATCTGAAATATGTAGTCTGTTCCATTTGAAACATCTAAAAATTCTTAATGAAATGTCAAAGCATGTCATTCTAGAAATAGAATATTACGTAGAAAATTTATTTCATCTATGAATTTGATTTCTGTGTAATATTTCTACTTTTTAATATTATGTCTCTTTTTCTTGTATTCATCTAGGTGTATAAAGGACTTCAGTTAATTGTATGTGTTAACTTGACTGGGCAAAGGGATACCCAGTTAGCTGGCAAAATATTATTTCTGGGTGTGCCTATGAGGGTGATTCTGGAAGAAATTAGTATTTGAATCAGTAGACTGAGACCCACCCTACCCAATGTAGGCTGGTATCATCTGACCCTTTGAGGGCTCAGATAGAATAAAAAGGTGGAGGAATGACAAATTGTTTCTCTTCTTGAGCTAGAACATTCATGTCCTCCTTCATTCAGACATCAGAGCTCCTAGTTCTCAGGACTTCAGACTCACACTAAAATTACACCACTGGTTTTCCTGGTTGTCCAGCATGCAGATGGCCTACTGTGGGAATTCTAAGTCTCCATAAATGCATGAGGCAATTTCCATAATAAACCTCTTCTTATATATCCATATATTTCCTATTGGTTTCGTTTGTCTGAAGAACCCTAAGGATTGGTTAACAAAAAAATAAAAATAAAAATTTCCATTAATTTTTGATTGGTCTCTGATTTTTTTTTTGACTTGAGGGTATTCATTTAATTGGGAAATGTATTCTTTAGGACATTATTGCCGTGGTCTAGACTTTTTGCTACAGGTTGTTGATTCAGTGGTGAAAACTGTTTCTTTAAACTATGAAGTTTGTCTCTAAGAAATAGTAATTAATAAATACAAGTTGTAATAAGTGCAATAAAAGAAAATTCCAGGTCACTATTAGAAGTGATTATATTAACATTCTACCAAAAAGACACATGCTCACTCCCATGTTCATTGCAGCACCATTCACAATGGCAAGATATAGAATCAACCTAGGTGTGCATCAGTGGTGGATTCAATAAAGAAAATGTGGTACATATACACCATGGATTACTACACAACCAAAAAAAGAATAAAATAATGTCTTTTGCAGCAACATGGATGCAACTGGAGGCCATCATCCTAAGCAAATTAATGCAAAAATAGAAAACCAAATATCACATATTTTTATTTATAAATAGCAACTAAATATTTGGTACACATGCTCATAAAGATGAGAACCATAGACACTGGTGACTCCAAAAGGAGGGAAGAAGAGAGGGGAACAAGGGCTGAAAATCTTCCTATTGAGTATTATGTTTACTATCTGGGTGACAGAATCATCCACACCCCAAACTTCAGCATCAAGCAATATATCCATGTAAGAAACCTGCACGTGTACCCCCTGAATCTAAAATAAAAATGGAAATTTGAAAACACAATATGATAATGAGAATGGTACATTTAATTTTGTTATAAAATAAATCTGTTAATCTTTTGCCATCTGTTTCATATTTTATTTGACATAATGTTAAATAAACTACAATTTGTTTTAAATTGGAAAAAGTTTACAATTTAAAAAAAGAAACCATGACATGGAAATTTATGATTTTTGTTTACTTTATAGTTCTTTATTATGTGTTAAAATGAAAATTAAGTTGCAATTCTGAATCTGTATGAAAGACTTCTAAAATAGTACGAATTAAAAGGAAGAAGCAAGAGACATAGTAAAATACAAATCTAGAAAATTGGACAAAAAAGAAATATTTTCTATATTTTATTTTAAGGATTGACACATGCCAACTAGGAGAATCTGAAGAAGTTATTTCATGCCCCAAGACCCAATATCTCAATTGGTAAAGTGAGGATATGCCTGTGATTTCCAAGAGACCTGTGGATCATCAAGTGAAACGTATACATGAATAATCTGTGTATTTTAAGGCATTAAGCAAATAAAAGAAGTTAGCTTAAAGGCTTAGTTGTTTTCATAAATATAATGTGTAATTTTTATTTATTATACATTTGAGTCATTTGAAAAAATATCCCTTTTTTAATACAATATTTATTTTCACAAAGTGCTTTACATTTTCTCAGTTGCAAACTAATATATCACCAATACCAGTATCAGCTGTACACAGTTATTTTGATGCACTAAAATACTTTTAAGTTTTCATTTTAACTCAGATACTCCTTGAAACTGTTAATGTATTAAGCCCATAGATTTTATTACTGTTGACACTGAATTGTGAGATAAATGGCATGCCAGTTCTCATCAGGATTTCCGAGTGTCTGGCAAAGAGTGACAGCTGCTTAGAGCTTATAATTTGATGTCACATTATCTAAATGAATGGAGCAATTTTCACAGCAAAATACATATGGAATCAAACCTTGAAGATCTAGACAATACTTTTACTGATTTAAAATGAGACCAAGTATGAAAGGTATACATTTAACAATTCTGACACTGTGTTTGAAGAAACATGGAATGGACAACTGAAAACATTTCTGAGAAATTGTGAGCACCTCATTGATCTCATAGTAGACCATTATATATATAAATATATGTGAACCATACTTTAGTCTAAATAATATTCTGGGATTCACACATGGTTGTTTTTCTTGTATTTCTATGTTTCATTTCTTTTCAGTATTGATCAAAAATGACTTTTAAATTATTTAATTGTACTTAATTTTGTTTCAGATTTTTTTCTATTATTGATGTAGACATTCTCCAGAAACTGTTTGTTTCCTCCTGAGATTTTATTCAAGCATTTCTTGAAGTTGATGCCGTGCAGTGATGACACTATGCGTTGTGTAAGTGTAGCTGAAAATAAGTAGAATGCTATTTAAGACAAAAATAATTATAGCTGATTATTTTGAATAGGTGGGTGACTGAATGGAAGTTCTTCTAAAATAAAGAATACATTTTATAGAGATAAAGGGAAAGAAAACCCATATTTAACATTGGCTCTTGTCAAGGAAAGAACGAAATGTTAAAAGCTCTGCTAGTTCTTTTGAACAACTAAATGCTTTGAGGCCTGACCTAGTTGGCCTTTTTGTTATCACAATACCTTAATTTATTTTTGGATAAAGAAATAGAGATCTTGAGGTTGGTGCAGGTTAGTGAGCCAGTGGTTCCCATAAAATGAATACAATTCTGAATTTTGGGAATGAAGCCAGAGAGAGAAAGGGTGAAGTTCTGTATCCTCCTGGAAGAAAAAAAAAAAAAAAAAAAGAGGAAAAAGGAAAGAGATCTGAGAAGTCCTAAATAACAATGAGGCAGACAATTTGTCTGAAGATCAAGTTAATTCATAAAAAACTTTGGATGTGGAAACTCAGGAGTAGCAAAACACTTTAAGAAAACAGATGCATGGTGTACTTACTGCTCTGTTGTTCCATATAATTTCTCTATTAACAAAAATCTTCCATTAATATCCTGCTGCAAAAAAATACCTTCCTGACACTGACAGTGTTTTGTAAAACTCTGTAGAAGTGTTTCACTATTCTGTTCCATATTTGTTGAATAACATGTAAATGTAAAATTATCTGTACCAACCCCGGTAGACAAGGCAGGTGATGTGAAGAATTTAGAAAGAAGATAACATCAAAACAAGAGATAACAAGAACTATAATTAACTCTGTAATATACCTAGAGTTTAGGGGCAAAGCTGGGTTTCCATTCTTTTGAGGGATGAATAATCAAATAATTTGTATTAAGTCTTAAGAGAAGGAGTTATTTTCACAGTCTGGAGTCTCTGGAGATGTCTGAATAGCATAGTTTATGTATGCAAAATAGTGTCTCTAATAATTTGTGGCAGAGATGATTTAAATATAGCTACATGATCAGTTATTGCACTTATTTTTTTCTGAATATAGACTATATTTTTTTTCTAAAGAGAATTCTTCAGATAAGTGTAAGATTATGGATTAAGCATGACTTACATCTTCATATTAAATTCACGGGAACATGTGTTTTGAACAAGAATTTGTAGAGGTGGAAAAGAAGTGATCCCTTTCCTCCCCATTATAAAGGGTTATGGCTTACACCACTATAACAACAACAAAAAGTTAGCAAGAGAAAACTATAACATATTTATTGCATGCACACATATGCATGAGAGTAATACAAAATATTAAAAACTCCAAAAAGAGGGCCAGATGTTTGATACTTAAATACCGTCTCCACTTGGAAGAAGGAAGTGGTGAGTAATGATTGGGCCCAGAGTCCAGAAGATGGTTTGTAAATGATTCTCTTGGACACTGAATAGGAGTGAAGGACTAACAATAGTTTGTGGACAAATTATGAAAAGGTGGGGGAAATGTGGAACTGTATTGTGAATAAAGTTTGTCTTATGCAGATCCGGATCCCCCAATGACTTCTCAGAGCTGTCTTTATAAGGACAGATGAAAAGTCTGTAAAGGCATGGTGAAGACTCCTTGTCTCTTCTTTTCTCAGATGATAATGTTTCCTGGTTGTTGAATGAGATTCCTAGGGATCGGGATTTAAGAAAATCGCATTTTCTCAGTCAGGTAATGAAACTTCCAGAGAGAGCTCATCTTGGTGCTTTGGAAAAGAAAGAGGATCAGAGAGAGAGGGAGGCAAGGGAAAGTCAGAGAGAGACCTTGAGATCATTTCTTCAGTTCAACATGTCAAAATACCACCTTTTGGAGCATGTTTTCTGAGCCCCAACAATTTTACAAAGCAGAATAATCCAAAGACATAGATCAACTTTCATAATAATTAGAAGCCCCTCAACTAAAACTTCACTATAAATTATTTTCTAATAAAACCTTTCACATTGAGATATCTCTGATCCCTGGCTTTGACATTGAGTGACATTTCTAAATATAATCTTAATAAGTCAATGCAGCAGATAATCAGAGATAGGCAACAATTAATGACGTCTTAAACAACTTCTTATATTTCCTGTTATTTTCTTTTTTTTTATTCTTTTTTTTAAATTTTATTATTTTTGTACTTTAAGTTTTAGGGTACATGTGCACAACATGCAGGTTTGTTACATACGTATACATGTGCCATGTTGGTGTGCTGCACCCATTAACTGGTCATTTAGCATTAGGTATATCTCCTAATGCTATCCCTACCTCCTTCCCCCACCCCACAACAGTCCCTGGTGTGTGATGTTCTCCTTCCTGTGTCCATGTGTTCTTATTGTTCAATTCCCACCTATGAGTGAGAACATGCGGTGTTTGGTTTTTTGTCCTTGCAATAGTTTGCTGAGAATGATGGTTTCCCACTTCATCCATGTCCCTACAAAGGACATGAACTCATCATTTTTTATGGCTGCATAGTATTCCATGGTGTATGCATTTGACCCAGCCATCCCATTACTGGGTATATACCCAAAGGATTATAAATCATGCTGCTATAAAGACACATGCACACGTATGTTTATTGCGGCACTATTCACAATAGCAAAGACTTGGAACCAACCTGAATGTCCAACAATGATAGACTGGATTAAGAAAATTTCCTATTATTTTCTAATGTATTTGAGGCTGGAATAATCACAAATAAACAATAGAGAAATTATTTTGTAACTGCAGTCCTAATAATAAAATAAATCAAAGTCCCCAAAGAACATGGATAGGGTATATTTATCATTTTTTTCTCTTCTGCAATCTCTATTCTCCTCTACAATTTATACATTCAAAAACATGGAGACCTATTCTGTGATTTAGGAATAGCTGTGAGCCAAACAAGTAACAATCTCTGGTTCAAGGAGATCATATTCTGGTGAGGTAAACAGATATTAAATATAATAAATAGGGAAATCTAAGTTGAGAAGTTCTATGGAAATACAAGCAGCTTAAAAATGTTGTTTCTGTTTTCAGTGACTGGGCAGTGTAAATCTCAGTGATAAGGTAACATTTAAAACAAGAATCTGATCCAGTAATCCTTTAAGTTAAAGTAGAAGCTCAGCAACTCCTCATACATATTCTTGTTCTGTTATGTAATAATGTACATATATAGTCCTCATTTTTTGTATAGAAAGAAGATCTGGGCAAGAAATTATATCCTATATATCCATTATGTTCATGGTTTATCATTGCACACAACATTTCAGTTGATTTAAGCACATCATGATATATTTAAAGAAGTAGGGAGTTCAGAGTCACCTGAAGAACTGAAGAAATTTTATCTAAGCTGATATCCTGAGAATGATTTTATGTATCACACAATAAACTTTGCGATTTTCCTTAAATGCTTAAATATTGTCCTAGCTAGACATGAATACATAATACTGAAAATGAATTTTGAAACAAGAACACTTTTAATACTAAAGCTCACCGGGCAAAGAAGCTAATTTATTAAAGTTGCTCTTAAATATATGTATATTTCCTTATTTTGTCGGGGGAGATTGGCTAATACAACTATAAAGGCTCCATTCTGTGTTCTGTATCTTAGCTATTAGATTTGGTATTCAGTCTTATTTAATTTTACTATAGTCATTTACATTTTACATTGAGAAGAAGTTCATTCATTATCCATTTCCTTCTATTCTAGAATACTGAGAGAAACAAACATATCCTTTTAAAATGCCCATTCATCTTTTCAGTGAGTGGCACTGAGTTAATAAGATATCCTTATGGAAAAAATATTTTCTCATACTTCATGCTGTACAGAAAAATCAATTCCAAGTAGATTGCAGACATAAATATGTGTTAAAATAGAGCATTCTACAGAGGAAAATATATGGAACATCTTACTCACCATAGAGTAGGCAAATGCATTTTTAAACAAAATGCAAATATATCTCACTAAAAATTTAAAAATTTATATGCTGGACAACCCTGTGAGAAACTTCTGTTCATCACAAGGCAGCATTAATGACAGAATGAGAGAGTGCTTCATCACATAGAATAAAATATTTCAAGAATACATGTATCTGACAAAATCATAGCCCATAAATATATGTATTTATATATAAATATATAACAGTATAAAAATAAATGTATTTTATAAAATATATATTATATTTAATATATATTTTGTATATTATATTTATACTTAATATAAACATATAGTATAAAATATATATTTATACTATAAATAATAAATATACTATAAATAATATACTATAAATAATAATATATAATAATATAGTATAAATATGGTATAGTTATATATTTATACGTTATAAATATATATATATTTATACGTTATAAATATATATTTATACGTTATAAATATATATTTATACGTTATAAATATATATTTATACGTTATAAATATATATTTATACGTTATAAATATATATATATTTATATGTTGTAAATATATATATATTTATATGTTGTAAATATACGTATATTTATATGTTATAAATATATATATTTATATGTTATAAATATACGTATATTTATATGTTATAAATATACGTATATTTATATGTTATAAATATACGTATATTTATATGTTATAAATATACGTATATTTATATGTTATAAATATACGTATATTTATATGTTATAAATATACGTATATTTATATGTTATAAATATACGTATATTTATATGTTATAAATATACGTATATTTAAATATACGTATATTTATATGATGTTATAAATATACGTATATTTATATGATGTTATAAATATACGTATATTTATATGTTGTTATAAATATACGTATATTTATATGTTATAAATATACGTATATTTATAGTAAATGTGAAAAAGAAGATAATACTTCTACAGGACCTACCTTAGAAATATATGTAGGAGCTATGGCCATATTCATGAGACTGAATACTGGATCTACAACTTTAGACTCTGGAGTTTGGAAGTCTAGACTCTTAGAGGGATAATGTTTCAATTATAATGCATAACAAAGTTCTGTTTAAATTTCAAGTTATAATGCCACCCAGTCAAATCAGCAACTAGATGCCAAGGGACCAGGACAGGGAAAGAGTAGAGTCTCAATCCTAGCTTGGAAAATTGACTCCAGTCATTAGAGTGAAGTCAGGCTGATGTTACTCAATGGGAAGGGGTAGAGTATGGTACCAAGATAATAACTTAGAAATCTTTCAATAAACCTTTGACAAATTGTCAAGGTAAATGAAAAAGTGCAGTAGCTATGATCCAAGAAAAGCATGATGATTTGGGATTAGATACCTAAGAAATGAGAATCTTCATCAACCTACAGATAACAACATAGATACTCGGGACTGCCACCAGAAGTCAATGTAATCTAGAATGAGTGAGAGAGGAGGTAGACTAGGAGTATCATTTATAGCCTTGAACGCAGTTGGAATGGCATAAACTTTAGTTCATTTTACATTTCTTTTGCAAGGTTTTTCTAAGAAAAGTGGCAAATAGAATCTTGGAGGATAATCCTAGAACTTTTTCTATGAAATCACTTGAATTGAGAAACAATTTTAGGAATAAAGATGTGGAATATGATTGTTATGATGTGCCATCGTGATGCTTCTCCTACACTGTGCTTGATGAAGATCTCATAGATGAATCCATATCTGGGGCTTCCTTTTTGCTGAAGAGATACAGTTTGTCCAAAGTCTCCAGGTTACAAAGGTCCAGCACCCTCATCCCAGACAGATAGTATTATGAAGTGCCTTCCCAGCTGCAGAGTAACCTTGTAATATTGGCTGAGGCCTTTATGGTACTTGAAAATCTGTTCAACTTCCCTTTATTCCCAAACCTCTCCTATCTAACCTACTTTAGAGATAAAGGAGGTAAGATTTTATGAGTGCCTGACTACAAATCTACATCCTAGAGTCCATTTTCCAGGGAACCTAATGTGTGGCATTAAAAACACACTGTGGACACGTGCACACACACACACGCACACACAGATATAAAAACAAATTGTGGAATTGATTTGTAACAAATGGAAGTTTCATATTCATTGGTGAAAGTGTCATTTTTATAACTTTAACAAACAATTTGTTAGTGTATCAGTCCTTTCTCATACTGCTAATAAAGACATATGTGAGACTGGTAATTTATAAAGGAAACAGGTTTAATGGACTCACAGTTCTACACGACTGGGGAGGCCTCACAATCATGGCTGAAGATCAAGGAAGACCAAAGTGATGACTTACATGACAGCAGGCAAGAAAGCATATGCAGGGGAACTCTCCTTTTTAGACTTATTCACTATCATGAGAACAGCACAAAGAAACCCACCCCCATGATTCAATTACATCCCACTGAGTCCCTCCCACAACACGTGGGGATTATTACAATTCAAGGTGAAATTTCGGTGGGGACACAGAGCCAAACCATTTCACTCTACCTCTGGCCCCTCCCAAATCTCATGCCCTCACATTTCAAAGCCAATCATGCCTTCCAAGAGTCCCCCAAAGTCTTACCTCATTGCAGCATTAACCCAAAAGTCCAGGTCCAAAGTCCCATCTGAGACAAGGCAGTCCTCGGTCTATGAGCCTGTAAAATCAAAAGCAAGTGATTTACTTCCTAGATACAATGGGGATACAGGCATTCAGTGAATACATGCATTCCAAATGGAAGACATTAGCCAAAATGAAGGGGCTACAGGCCCCATGCAAGTCTGAAATCTAGTGGGGCAGCCAAATCTTAAAGCTCCAAAATGATCTCCTTTGACTCCATGTCTCAGATCCAGATCACACTGATGCAAGAGGTGGGTTCCCATGGACTTGGGCAGCTCCACCCCTGTGGCATTGCAGGGAACAGCCTCTCCCACCCCAGTTGCCTTCATGGGCTGGTGTTGAATGTCTGTGGCTTTTCTAGGTGGATGGTGCAAGCTGTCAGTGGGTCTATCATTCTAGGGTCTGGAGAACCTCTTCTCACAGCTCCATTAGGTAGTGCCCAATGGGGACTCTGTGTGGAGACTCCAAACCCACATTTCCTTTCTGCACTACACTAGCAGAGGTTCTCCATGAGGGCCCTTCCCCTGCAGCAAATTTCTGCCTGGACACCCAGGAATTTCCATACATCATCTGGAATCTAAGTGGAGGTTCCCAAACCTCAATTCTTAACTTTTGTGCATCCACAGGTTCAACACCATGCAGAAGCTTCCAAGACTTGGGGCTTGCACCCTCTGAAGCCATGACCTGAGCTGTACCTTGGCCTCTTTTAGTCAAGGCTGGAGTGACTGGGATGCAGGGCACCAAGTCTCTAACCTGCACACAGTAGGGCAGCCTTGGGCCTGGCCCACAAAACCATTTTTGTCTCCAAGACCTCCATTTCTATTATGGGAGGGACTGCCAGAAAGGTCTCTGACATGCCCTGGAGACATTTTCCCCATTGTCTAGGTGACTAACATTTGGTTCCTTGTTATTTATCCAAATTTCTACAGCTGGCTTGAATTTCTCTCAGAAAATGGGTTTTTCTTTTCTATTGGATCAGGCTGCAAATTTTCTGAATTTTCATTCTTTGCTTCCCTTTTAAATATAAGTTCCAATTCCAAACCATATCTTTGTAAAAACATAAAATTGAATGCTTTTAACAGTACCCAAGTTACATGTTGAATGCTTTCCTGCTTAGGCATTACTTCCACCAGATGCCCTAAATCATCTTCTCAAGTTCAAAGTTCCACAAATCTTTAGGACAGGCACAAAATGCTGCCAATCTTTTTGCTAAAACATAGCTAATAGAAGTGGAAACCTTTATTTCACTTCTCAATGAGTTTCTTATCTCCATCTGAGATGAGCAGCATTTGGTCAAAGCCATTCAAGAAGTGTCTAAGAAGTTTCAAACTTTCCCACATCTTCCTATCCAGTTTGGAGGTCTTCTGAGCCCTCCAAACTGTTCCAACCTCTGACTGTTACCCAGTTCCAAAGTTGCTTCCACGTTTGTGGGTATATTATTTATTTATTTATTTATTTATTAATTTTTTATTACACCTTAAGTTCTAGGGTACATGTGCACAACGTGAAGGTTTGTTACGTATGTACACATGTGCCATGTTGGTGTGCTGCACTCATTAACTCATCATTTACATTAGGTTTATCTCCAAATGCTATCCCTCCCCCCTCCCCGCACCCCACAACAGGCCCCAGTGTGTGATGTTCCCCTTCCTGTGTCCAAGTGTTCTCATTGTTCAATTCCCACCTATGAGTGAGAACATGTGGTATTTGGTTTTTTCTCCTTGTGATAGTTTGCTGAGAATGATGGTTTCCAGTTTCATCCACGTCCCTACAAAGCACATGAACTCATCCTTTCTTATGGCTGTATAGTATTCCATAGTGTATATGTGCCACATTTTCTTAATCCAGTCTGTCGTTGATGGACATTTGGGTTGGTTCCAAGTCTTTGCTATTATGAATAGTGCCGCAATAAACATACATGTGCATGTGTCTTTATAGCAGCATGACTTAACAATCCTTTGGGTATATACCCAGTAATGGGATGGCTGGGTCAAATGGTATTTCTAGTTCTAGATCCCTGAGGAATCACCACACTGTCTTCCACAATGGTTGAACTAGTTTACGGTCCCACCATCAGTGTAAAAGTGTTCCTATTTCTCCAGCACCTGTTGTTTCCTGACTTTTTAATGATTGCCATTCTAACTGGTGTGAGATAGTATCTCATTGTGGTTCTGATTTGCATTTCTCTGATGGCCAGTGATGATGAGCATTTTTTCATGTGACTGTTGGCTGCAAAAATGTCTTCTTTTGAGAAGTGTCTGTTCATATCCTTCGCCCACTTTTTGATGGGGTTGTTTGTTTTTTTCTTGTAAATTTGTTTGAGTTCTTTGTAGATTCTGGATATTAGCCCTTTGTCAGATGAGTAGATTGCAAAAATTTTGTCCCATTCTGTAGGTTGCCTGTTCACTCTGATAGTAGTTTCTTTTGCTATACAGAAGCACTTGAGTTTAATTAGATCCCATTTGTCAATTTGGCTTTTGTTGCCATTGCTTTTGGTGTTTTAGACATGAAGTCCTTGCCCGTTCCTATGTCCTGAATGGTAGTGCCTAGGTTTTCTTCTAGGGTTCTTATGGTTTTAAGTCTAATATTTAAGTCTTTAATCCATCTTGAATTAATTTTTGTATAAGGTGTAAGGAAGGGATCCAGTTTCAGCTTTCTACATACGGCTAGCCAGTTTTCCCAGCACCATTTGTTAAATAGGGAATCCTTTCCCCATTGCTTGTTTTTGTCAGGTTTGTCAAAGGTCAGATGGTTGTAGATGTGTGGTGTTATTTCTGAGGGCTCTGTTCTGTTCCACTGGTCTATCTCTCTGTTTGGGTACTAGTACCATGCTGTTTTGGTTACTGTAGCCTTCTAGTATAGTTTGAAGTCAGGTAGCGTGATGCCTCCAGCTTTGTTCTTTTGGCTTAGGATTGACTTGGCAATGCGGGCTCTTTTTTGGTTCCATATGAACTTTAAAGTAGTTTTTTCCAATTCTGTGAAGAAAGTCATTGGTAGCTTGATGGGGATGGCATTGAATCTATAAATTACCTTGGGCAGTATGGCCATTTTCACGATATTGATTCTTCCTATCCATAAGCATGGAATGCTCTTCCATTTTTTTGTATCCTCTCTTATTTCACTGAGCAGTGGTTTATAGTTCTCCTTGAGGAGGTCCTTCACATCCCTTGTAAGTTGGATTCCTAGGTATTTTATTGTCTTTGAAGCAATTGTGAATGGGAGTTCACTCATGATTTGGCTCTCTGTCTGTTATTGCTGTATAAGAATGCTTGTGATTTTTGCACATTGATTTTGTATCCTGAGACTTTGCTGAAGTTGCTTATCAGCTTAAGGAGATTTGGGGCTGTGACAATGGGGATTTCTAAATATACAATCATGTCATCTGCAAAGAGGGAAAATTTGATTTCCTTTTTTCCTAATTGAATACCATTTATTTCCTTCTCCTGCCTGATTGCCCTGGCCAGAACTTCCAACACTATGTTGAATAGGAGTGGTGAGAGAGGGCATCCCTTTCTTGTGCCAGTTTTCAAAGGGAATGCCTCCAGTTTTTTCCCATTCAGTATGATATTGGCTGTGGGTTTGTCATAAATAGCTCTTATTATTTGGAGATACATTCCATCAATACCTAATTTATTAAGAGCTTTTAGCATGAAGCACTGTTGAATTTTTTTGAAGGCCTTTTCTGCATCTATTGAGATAATCATGTGGTTTTTGTCTTTGGTTCTGTTTATATGCTGGATTACATTTATTGATTTGTGTATGTTAAACCAGCCTTGCATCCCAGGGATGAAACCCACTTGATCATGGTGGATAAGCTTTTTGATATGCTGCTAGATTTGGTTTGCCAGTATCTTATTGAGGATTTTTGCATCGATGTTCATCAAGGATATTGGTTTAAAATTCTCTTTTTTTGTTGTGTCTCTGCCAGGCTTTGGTATCAGGATGATGCTGGCCTCATAAAATGAGTTAAGGAGGATTCCCTCTTTTTCTATTGATTGGAATAGTTTCACAAGGAATGGTACCAGCTCTTCCTTGTACCTCTGGTAGAATTTGGCCGTGAATCCATCTGGTCCTGGACTTTTTTTGGTTGGTAAGCTATTAATTATTGCTTCAATTTCAGAGCCTGTTATTGGTCTATTCAGAGATTCAACTTCTTCCTGGTTTAGTCTTGGGAGGGTGTTTGTGTCCAGGAATTTATCCATTTCTTCTAGATTTTCTAGTTTATTTGCATAGAGGTGTTTATAGTATTCTCTGATGGTAGTTTGTATTTCTGTGGGATTGGAGGTGATATCCCTTTTATCTTTTTTTATTGTGACTATTTGATTCTTCTCTCTTTTCTTCTTTATTAGTCTTGCTAGTGGTCTATCAATTTTGTTGATCTTTTCAAAAACCCAACTCCTGGATTCATTGATTTTTTGAAGGGTTTTTTTTTGTCTCTATCTCCTTCAGTTCTGCTCTGATCTTAGTTATTTCTTGCCTTCTGCTGGCTTTTGAATGTGTTTGCTCTTGGTTTTCTAGTTCTTTTAATTGTAATGTTAGGGTTTCAGTTTTAGATCTTTCCTGCTTTCTCTTGTGGGCATTTAGTGCTATAAATTTCCCTCTACACACTGCTTTAAATGTGTCCCAGGGATTCTGGTATGTTGTGTCTTTGTTCTTGTTGGTTTCAAAGAACATCTTTATTTCTGCCTTCATTTCGTTATGTACCCAGTAGTGATTCAGGAGCATGTTGTTCAGTTTCCATAGAGTTGAGTGGTTTTGAGTGAGTTTCTTAATCATAAGTTCTTGTTTGATTGCACTGTGGTCTGAGAGACAGTTTGTTATAATTTCTGTTCTTTTACATTTGCTGAGGAGTGCTTTACTTCCAACTATGTGGTCAATTTTGGAATAAGTGCGATGTGGTGCTGAGAAAAATATATATTCTGTTGATTTGGGATGGAGAGTTCTGTAGATGTCTATTAGGTCTGCTTGGTACAGAGCTGAGTACAATTCCTAGGTATCCTTGTTAACCTTCTGTGTCATTGATCTGTCTCATGTTGACAGTGGGGTGTTAAAGTCTCCCTTATTATTGTGTGGGAGTCTAAGTCTCTTTGTAGGTCTCTAAGGACTTGCTTTATGAATCTGGATGCTCTTGTATTGGGTGCATATATATTTAGGATAGTTAGCTTTTCTTGTTGAATTCATCCCTTTACCATTATGTAATGGTCTTCTTTGTCTCTTTTGATCTTTGTTGGTTTAAAGTCTGTTTTATCAGAGACTAGGATTGCAACCCCTGCCTTTTTTTCTTTCCCATTTGCTTGGTTGATCTTCCTCCATCCCTTTATTTTGAGCCTATATGTGTCTCCGCACATGAGATGGGTTTCCTGAATACAGCACACTGATGGGTCTTGACTCTTTATCCAGTTTGCCAGTCATTTGCAGGTATTTTTGCAGCAGTGCCCCACTCCTGGTACCACCTTACTATATTAGTCTCTTCTCATGCTGCTAATAAAGGCATACCTGAGACTAGGTAACGTATAAAGGAAAAAGTTTTAATGAATTCACAGTTCCACCTGACTGGGGAGGCCTCACAATCATGGCTGAAGATGAAGGAAATGCAGAGGGACATCTTACATGGCGATAGGCAAGAGAGCATGTGCAGGAGAATTCCCCTTTATGAAACCATCAGATTTCATGAGACTTATTCACTGTCTTGAGAACAGCACAGGAAAAACCCACCCCCATCAATCAATTGCCTCCCACTGGGTCCCTCCCAAGACATTTGGGGATTATTACAATTCAAGGTGAGATTTGGGTGGGTCACAAAGCCAAACCATCTCAGTTAGTATCTATTAAAGCTAAACATGTGTATAATATATGACCCAGTCATTCACTTCTATAGAAATGCATGTACATCACACATGCTCACCAAGGTACATTCACAGTCATGCTGATAGCATGTTTTATATATTAGACCAAAACTGGAAACTACTTAAATACCTATCTATGGTGTAATGAATAAATAAATTTTTGCATATTTACAAATGCATACTGTATAGTGAAGCAGGAAATGTGAAAAAGGAAATCACATTTTCCTTTCTCCTTTGGTATGAGTAAACTTCCCTCTGGAATCCCTCCCCACTTTGTGTGGTTGCACCCTCCTCTGCAAGTTTTGTGAGTGTATAGATTCCTATTTTCTATAACTAGTGATTGTAAGTTTCTGTTTTTTATGTGAGTAGCACAGTGAAGGTCATGAGACATGCCTGAGCAGGCCTAGATTGCAGCCATCTGGGCACCATAGCGAAGGATATAAGATAAGCTTGTGAAAGGCTCCTAATGAAGCTAAGATAACAGCCATCTGGGACGCATAGCAAGAGTCATATGAAAGCCTGAGTTATAAACCTGTCACAATTTGATTAACCGCCTTAGTTCTGCTTCTGTACACTTGCTTTCACACAACTATGCTTCATGCCACTGTAAGCTTGTTTCAAACTAGCCAACTGTCTTTCAGAAGTGTGTATAAAAGTCGAGCCCTGTCTTTGTTCAGGGCCCAGCCTTTGGATGTTAATCTGCTGGGCCTGAGTGCATTCAATGAAATCCTTTGGTTCCACCTATTAGTCTCTCCAGTCTCCCGATTCCTGCAACAATAGCAGTGAATATTAATAAACTACAATTACACACAATATGGATGTCTCACATAAACATAGTGATGAATATTGAAATTGAATATTGGCTATACTTTGAAATTTACAACTAGAATGGAGTATAATGGGAGAATCTGGAGGTCTGTTAGTGTTCTATTTTTGTTCTGGGTGTAGAATACATGGTAGTTGTTGAATTTAAAATCTCTATACTATTCTTAAAAAACAAGTTTTTTTATATATATATGGGGAGAGAAGGCACAACTCAAAAATAATTGTTGGTATAACTATTAGCACATAAAGATTGCTTGACTGAAATATTTAAAATCAGATATATTTCAGCACTGCACCACCAGAAGTCTTACTAAATTTAATAAAAATACTGTGATTCTTTAAGGCTTAAAATGAAATATGGACACCCATCTACCATGAGCATGAAGCAAAATGAGAAATCTTTCTCTCTTCCAATGACATTTTCAGATAAGGCCACCGAAATTAATGATAAAAGATGCACCACCAAGATGGCAGCATGAGAGCCATGGAAGAAAGAAGATTGGGGAGCTGCTCTCAGGGAGCAGAAGATGGCCTCCTCAAGGCCATCTTAATCTTCGAAGCAGGAAACTTTTCAATGTCAACAAGGGCCTTAGAAGAATTTTAAAATTACTATGGATGAGTCAATATTGTGCATTCTTACTTTACTTATTTTCAAAAAGAATTATTTGCAGTCTTTGATTCTTACAGTGGTATACGTGCTAGGGAGTAAGTGTATTTGGCAAGTAAATGTGAATATTTGCATATTGGGGGACATTTGATAGATTCTATTATTGTTTTAAATTATTTATAGACAATCTCTGTTCAAGCATAAATATACTTTATTGCTGCATGTAACGTGGTATTTTATGAAAATTGATTTGACCAATGAAATGGAAGTAGAAATGAATTATGACACATTTGAAGTTAACTTTTAAACTATTTCTTCAGTCCAATAATGTTTTATTTTTTGTGTGTGCTGTGAGTGTAGAATATCCTCAATATTATCTGCTTCTTCACCTTAGGCCCTAAAATTACATATAATGGGAAACAGAGCCTCAACCAGCCCACAAACAATATTAAACAGTATTGAGAAATACATTTTGGTTTTGCTTATTTCCATAAAGTCATTTAAAGAAGGTTGAATACTAGAGGAACTTAAAAAAAATTGCTTAACAAGTTGAGTCCTCTGTCCAAAGTATACAAAATATGCAGTCATAAAGTAACAATTTTATCAGTGTAACTTTTCCAAAAAATCACTTTCATTTGTAGTCTAAGGATTTCATCAGAATAGCAACTTTTTGTGGTTGTGATGAAAAAACTATTCTGAAATTCCTACAGAATTCATGTAGAGCCAAAAAGACCCCCAATAGCTAAGGCAATCCTAAGCAAAATTAAAGTCAGAAGTATCACATTACCTGACTTCAAGCTATACAATAAGGCTAGTGTAACCAAAACAGTATGATACTGGTGCAAAAACAGACACATAGGACAACAGAACAGAATAGAGAGCCCCAAAATAAAACCACACACCTGCAAACAATTGATCTTTGACAAAGGTGACAAAAATAAACAATAGGGAAAGGATACCCTTTTCAATAAGTGGTGCTGGAGAAGCTGGGTTGCCCCATGCAGATGAATGAAACTGGACTTCTACATCACACCATACACAAAAATTAACTCAAGATGGATTAAAGACTTAACTGTATAGACCTCAAACTGTAAAAATCCTGGAAGACAACCTAGGAAATACCCCTCTCAACACTGGCCTAGTTAAGTAACTTATGACTAAGTCCTCAAAAGCAAATACAAAAAAAAAATTGACAATGGAGACCTAATTAAACTAAAGATCTTCTGCATATCAAAAGAAACTATCAAGAAAGTAAACAACCTACAGAATGGGAGAACATTTTTGCAAACTATGCATCCAACAAAGGCTAATATCCATAATCTATAGGCAACTTAAATCAAATAATAAATAACCCCATTTAAAATGGGCAAAGGACATGAATAGACACTTCTCAAAAGAAGAGATGCAAGCAGCCAACAAACTTATGAAAAAATAACCAGATAAATGCAAGTCAAAACCACAATAAGGTACTATGTCACACCAGTCAGAATGGCTATTAGTAAAAAGTCAAAACATAACAGATGTTAGCAAGGTTGCAGAGAAAATGGAACACTTATACACTGTCGGTGGGAATGCAAATTAGTTCAGCACCTGTGCAAAGCAATCTGGAAATTTATCAAATTACTAAAAATACAGTTACCATTTGACCCAGCAATCCCAGTATTGGGTACATATTAAAAGGAAGGCAAATCATTCTACCAAAAAGACAACGGCACTTACATGTTTATCACAGCACTATTCACAATAGTAAAGACATGGAATTAACACAGATGCCAATCAATGTTGGATTGGATAAAGAAAATGTGGTATGTATACACTGCAGAATACTATGCACCCATAAAAAGGATGTAATCATTTCCTTTTCAGCAACATGAATGCAGCTGGAAGCCATTATCTGAAGTGAATTAATGCAGAAACAGAAAACCAAATACTGCATGTTCTCCTTTATAAGTGGAGCTAAACATTGGGTACACACAGACACAAACATAGGAACAATAAACTCTTGGAATCCCAAAAGAGGGGAGGCACAGGGGCAAGGATTGAAAACCTATCTATTAGGCATTATGTTCACTTCTTGGACTATGGAATCATTAGAAGCCCAAACTTCAGTATCACACACATACCCATGTTACAACCCTGCACAGGTACCACATGAATCTAAAATAAAACATTTTTTTAAAAGAAGTAAAAAAAAAATTCTGAAGAACGGTAAGCCCAGACTGCTAATAAGGACTCCTAGCGTGTCTCCTCTCTTGATAAGTAGTGCACCTGCAACTTCTTAATGCTTGGCTTTTTTGATTTTGGCTTTTACTTTTTTTTTAAACACAAATAACATGCAACAGTCAAGGGAATTATTGTCAGAACAAAAATGCATTGCTGCTCACTATCTGAGTAAACAGTGAATAAAACCAGAGAAAGTAAAATTCTATGAATTGGAACATATTTTTAGTACAGAACTGGCACTCTGAACAAGACTGTCACTTACGTTTCTATTCATTATGTAGAAAAATGTGTTTCCTTCTTTTATGTTTTCAATAAGATTTTTATTTTAGTCAGAACTGGGGATTTAAAATCAGAATAATTAAATTCTTTGCTAATAATTAGATTTATTGTTTTTAAGTTTTTTCTTTTGAAAATTACCTTACAGGTTTATTCCAAGAATAATCAGATCCACTGTTTCTCAACTGTCAACATGACAAACCAAAACTCTATGGTGTGTTTTATTTCTATAAAACCTTGTAAACAATTTGAGATAATTAGGTTTCCTTTACTGTTCTCTGAGAATAAAACAATGCACAGAAAAATTTTACAGCATACTTTCTTAAACTAAGGCGTCTTAAGAAACATCAGATTTTTTTACAAAACAACAATAAATTGAAATCTATATACAATTGATGTACAACTTTTTCAGGCTTCTCTAAAATCCAGACACACAGGTACATACATACTCACACATATGTGCACCCATGTGCACACAGACACGCACACACACACAAAGTTAGAACTAAGAAGATGCCCTCTTATATGTAATAGAACCCTTGTATTAAATGGGGCAGGAAATAAGTATTATACTCACAGGGATTGACCATAACTAATTTGGAACACTTAGTATTTAACAGGGCACGCGTAGGACCCATTTAGGAAATTACAGAAGGAGAGGGGCTCAAACTTTCATACTGCTCTTACAACAAGGCCATATTGTAAATTCTGTTTGGAGATTCAATCCTTTTTCTTTGAAAAAAGTATTTTTCAATTTTTTTCTCAAAGGCATTTTTATAAAAGAACTATTTTCTTGCTTTTTAAAAATGCAATATTGATAAGTGCAGCAAACCATCATGGCACATGTATACCTAAATAACAAACCTACATAGTCTGCACATGTATCCCAGAACTTAAAGTAAAATTTAAAAAAAAATTAAAAAAAGATGGACAAAAGACTGCAACATTGTTTACACATTTTCTCACCACATTCTTTTGGATTGACTTTCTTCTTAATAAGTAAAAAACACAAAAGGAATTCAGAATATAATCTAGTAACAAGGGAATGACAAATGTATATATTATTTGGTAGATACTTATCGATGACCCTTATAGAGTCACACACTATTTCTCAGACTAGCTCTAGACAGAAAATTAGTAAACATAGGCATACTTCATACAGATTTTTAAAAACCATACATGACTTTTATTTAGTGTTTCCATGCATTCAACACCATAGAGGTAAGATCACCTTACAAATATATTTAAGATCTGTTTTGTCTATGTGTGTTTTCAAAGTGTGCTCTCTTTCTAGAGAAATTATAATTCCTCAAAACATTCTAAATTTTCTATTGAATTTGCAATTTTTAGAGCTCAACTGTTGATAAAAGGAAATATTTCTAATACACAGATGAGACTACATTGATTCTAAGCCATTGTTTTCACACTTATGCAAGAGGTGTACCTGTACAAAAAGTATGAACTTAGACTAGAATATGCTCAGAAGCAGAAACACTAGAGTGGCATTTAAGAAAATATATAGACAATAGGGAAAAGCATACATTGAGGTCTCCCTCAAAACTGGCAAAACAAAACAGTATTTAGTTGTCTTCAATATTAATGACCAGAAGGCTCTACCTAGTCAATATTTGAGTTCCATCAAGAAAACTGAGTTTAAACTGCCAAACATTTTCAGATACTTATTGTTTATAAATAAATAATGACTCATCAAATACAAGTTAGAATCTAAAACTTTTCTTAAGGTATTTTGTATTACACTTTAAGTTCTGGGAAACATGTGCAGAACGTGCAGGTTTGTTACATAGGTATACATGTGCCATCGTGATTTGCTGCACCCATCAACCTGTCATCTACATTAGGTATTTCTCCTAATGCTATCCCCTTCACCTCCCCCAACCCCCGACAGGCCCCTGTGTGTGATGTTCCCCTCCCTGTGTGCATCTGTTCTCATTGCTCAACTCCCACTTATGAGTGAGAACATGTGGTGTTTGGTTTTCTGTTCCTGTGTTAGTCTGCTGAGAATGATGGTTTCCAGCTTCATCCACGTCCCTCCAACATCAACTCATCCCTTTTTATGGCAGCATGGTATTCCATCGTGTATATATGCCACATTTTCTTTATCCAGTCTATTATTGATGGGCATTTGGGTTGGTTCCAAGTCTTTGCTATTGTGAATAGTGCTGCAATAAACATATGTGTGCATGTGTCTTTATAGTAGAATGATTTATAATCCTTTGGGTATAGACCTAGTTATGGGATTTCTTGGTCAAATGGTATTTCTGGTTCTAGATCCTTAAGGAATCTCCACACTGTCTTCCACAATGGTTGAACTAATTTACATTCCCACCAACAGTGTACAAGCATTCCTATTTCTCCACATCCTCTCAAGCATCTGTTGTTTCCTGACTTTTTAATGATTGCCATTCTAACTGGCATGAGATGGTATCTCACTGTGGTTTTGATTTACATTTCTCTAATGACCAGTGATGATGAGCTTTTTTTCATATGTTTGTTGGCTGCAAAAATGTCTTCTTTTGAAAAGTTTCTGTTCATATCCTTCACCCACTTTTTGATGGGGTTGTTTGTTTTCTTCTTGTAAATTTGTTTAATATCTTTGTAGATTCTGGATATTAGCCCTTTGTCAAATGGATAGATTGCAAAAATTTTCTCCCATTCTGTGGTTGCCTGTTCACTCTGATGATAGTTTCTTTTGCTGTGTAGAAGCTCTTTAGTTTAATTAGATGCTATTTGTCAATTTTGGCTTTTGTTGTCATTGCATTTGGTGTTTTAGTCATGAAGTCTTTGCCCATGCCCATGTACTGAATGGTATTGCCTAGGTTTTCCTCTATGGTTTTTATGGGTTTAGGTCTTACATTTAAATTTTTCATCTATCTTGAGTTAATTTTCGTGTAAGGTGTAAGGAAGGGGTCCAGTTTCAGTTTTCTACATATGGCTAGTCTGTTTTCCCACCCATTTACTAAATCCTTTAATAAATCTCTTTAAATTCAATGGAGAATCCTTTCCTTATTTCTTGTTTTTGCCAGGTTTGTGAAAGATCAGATGGTTGTAGGTGTGTTGTCTTATTTCTGAGGCCGCTGTTCTGTTCCATTGGTCTACATATCTGTTTTGGTACCAGTACCATGCTGTTTGGTTACTGTAGCCTTGTAGTATGTTTTGAAGTAAGGTAACTTTTAAATAAAACAAACTAAAGTAAAGTTACAACATGATCTACAAAGGCCTATTAAATATAAATTTATCTCTAAAATTTTTTAATAATATAGGTAACTGAGAGGAAGAGAAATTCAATGATGTTATATCAAATATATGTTTAGTGTAAAATACATGGCCAATAATAATATTTTGCTATTTCCTGTCTTGGACTTACTCCATAAAATCTAATTAACCAAGAAGCATTTCCGTAAGCTAAATAAGAAGATTTTCATAAAGCGTTTTTAGAAATTAATTAAAACATTGTGATATGTACTCTTATGCATATATAAATACCTTATTGGAAGCCATACATACAGCCAGGTTAGAAATAATTCATTATTATCCCACTATTATTAGATAGGAAAGTACACAAATGCTATTATGAATGTTCTGTAGCTTATGCCCCTCTTTGTATGTCAAAGAACATAGAATTACTTAAAAGTTTTAGAGTTATTTTTTACTAAATGTTTTACAGAAAAAAATAAGTTAAAAGTATTTACTATACTTTTAATCATAATCTTCACTGTCATGTTATGAAAGTTTTTAAAATTTCCAAATTTTTTTATGACTATATAATTTGTTCCACACCTATAAATGAAGCTAATTTTTAAAAATTAATTAATTAATTATTTTTTTTTTAGACATTCTTGCTCTGTCACCCAGGTTGGAGTGCTATGGTACTATCTCAGCTCACTGCAACCTTCACCTCTCTGGTTCAAGTGATTCTTGCGACTCAGCCACCCTGTAGCTTACCAGCTACAGTACTACAGGGATGCGACACCATGCCCCACTAATTTTTAGTAGAGATAGGGTTTCACCATGTTGGCCAGGCTGGTCTTGAACACCTGACCTCAAGCAATCTGCCTGCCTCGGCCTCCCAAAGTGCTGGGATTACAAGTGTGAGCCACAACACTCAGCTGCTACATGTTACTTTTACTGATTTAAAATTTTATTAATAGCTAAATATAATATAGAACAATATAATTTTCTTAAAACCTAAGATTCCATTTTTCTTTGTAGGACAGAAAAATATTTCATTTAAAATATGAACTTTTTTGAGCTTTTTGCTTCAGATTATAGTGAAGGTTGTTAAAATCACTTTCATATAAGCATTCTAATAACACAAGATTAACCTGTTTATACAAAATAAGTATCAACTGAAGATCACTTTGGTTTTAATTAAAAAATTGAAATAACTCTTAGATAAAACTTTCAAGTTGAGTTCAATACTTTTAATGTTTCTTTGCAAAATCTCCTTTAAAAGAGTCAAAATTTTACAGGAAGTAATTCAAATATCTGACAACCTAGAATTTTCTCATTTTTATATTAGTTTTTGAGTATGACATATTAAAGTGAGATAGAAACAAGACTTCAGAAATTCATAATACATTGTCTCTTCCTATCCCTTTATCAGCTAAGTAGTGTTCTGTGTTTATTCAGGGGATTTCTCCACATCTCAACTTTTCAAGATAAAGATTCTCGCTTCCTAGAATTAAGAGGCCAAGTCTACCTTCCTTGCAAGAAAAAGAATTCAGAAGAAGAGGAAATTATTCACGGCTAAGGTTAGGGTTAGAATTTGGGATTTTGATAAAGAAGAGCTGCAAAGAAACTGGTACTTTAAAGGAAGTTAATTTTAAATATTACTGCACTGTATAAATCATGTATTTTTAATGTTCTCAGAGAAATATAAGATTTGAATAATTTTATTACCTCTTGAAAACTGTGTTCAATCCATTTTACCACTCTGAGACCAGATGAATTTCATGGTTTATAAGTATTATCTAATACACATTTCCATGGCATTTGATAAATTATATATTATTAAATTGAAAATAAGTTTATTTGCAGATTAATTGAAAAATTTTCATCACACTTTCGTTTTTCTATTTTTACTTTTATGCCATTAGTTAATTAAACAGTAGGTCCTCATTGAATGTCTTATTGTGTACTAATTAGATGAAAGAAACAGGTCCTTAAACCCTATGGAGATGTGTGATGATTTTTAAAAAATGAAAGCATGGAAGTAGAAGGAAAAAAAAGAGAAAGAAACAGGTCTTTATGGGAGCTATCTATATTTTAAAGCAACAAGTGAGATAAGTACACTTCTGTTTTAAAGGTTGATTCTTTGAATTTATTTTCAACTTTTAGTATTGTAAGTTTCATAAACTTGAGACTTTACCGATACTTTTTCAGGTTTAGTAATTGAGAAATCTACCTTTGCTATAGGAGTCTAAAATTAAGAGATTTTTTTAATTTTTTTTTTTTTTTTTTTTTGAGATGGACTCTTGCTCTGTCGCCCAGGCTGGAGTGCAGCGGCGCCATCTCCGCTCACTGCAAGCTCTGCCTCCCGGGTTTACTTAAGCCATTCTCCTGCCTCAGCCTCCCAAGTAGCTGGGACTACAGGCACCCGCCACCACGCTCAGCTAATTTTTTGTATTTTTAGTAGAGACGGGGTTTCACGTGTTAGCTAGGATGATCTCGATCTCCTGACCTCATGATCCGCCCGCCTCGGCCTCCCAAAGTGCTGGGATTGCAGGCGTGAGCCACCGCGCCCAGCCATTTTAAATTTATAAATTATATTTTTGTAAGAAGCTATAGACAATCACAGAATCTCATAAAATCATTTTAGAAGAACTGTCATTTGTCCTTAAAACTCATTTTGTTGGAGACAATTTTCAAAAAGTGTACTGAGACAGACAATTTAAAAAAAGAACCTTATTGGTAGCAACCATGTTATTGTTCTAGCTACATCAATGTGAGGTGAGTGATCTGGGTTATTTAGTTGGTAATGTTATCTGTACTTTACTTATGATTTTTAGGATCAAGTTAAATTTTGTAGGGTGAGACAGAAAAATTAAATGAACTGGCCAGAGTTTCATTTCTCTTCATTATCAGGGACATCCTAGGAATGAAAGAAGATAGATGATCAGATCAAAGCTCCTTGTAAGCATAATGATAATGGGCTAGTGTATAGAATATATTTGTTAAAAGAAGATTCCTTAAATAAGAAATGTTTTTGATATGATAGTCTTGGTATATAATTACTTTTTATAAACAAACCAAGAATATATGGAACGCTAAGAAATATTAGGCAACATATGAAACTACTGGAACCTGCAGATATTTCATACCCTAAAACTCTTGTGTGTTGTAATCTGCCCACTTGTTTTAGAAGCCTATTATTCTTGTCTAAAATGTGAATCTGATGTGGGAAAGAAGATGCTAGCAGCTGTGGTCATGATGCCTGGCGTCTATTCACTTTGTGTTTCTTCATTTTTTATATTCTTGAATTTATTATAAATACTTGATACTTATTTGTGTTAGTCTGTTTTACCATTCTTATTCAGTGTTTCGCTCATTAGGAAAAATCTTGAACCTAAAAATATATAAAACATTAATAGTATATTTGCTTTCCAAATATTCTTCCATTTTATTTTAGAGATAGGGTCTCACTCTGTCGCCCAGGCTAGAGTACAGTGGTGAGATCACAGCTTACTACAGCCTTGATTTCCCAGGCTCAGGTGATTCTCCCACCTCAGCCTTCCAAGTAGCTGGGACTACAAGTGTGTACCACCATGACTCACTAATTTTTAAATTTTTTGTAGAGATGGGGTTTTGCCATGTTTCTCAGGCTGGGCTGGAACTCCTGGACTCATTAAGTCCACTCACTTCGGCCTCCCGAAGTGCTGGGATTAAGGCGTGGAGCACGAAACCTGGCCTATTTTTCCATTTTAAGGCACCAAAAACCTATTTTTTATTTTCCGAAACATAAAATTACCTGTGAAAATATTACTGAATATTTTTAAAAGGTCATTTTGAAAATTCAGAAATGAACTAGAAAACATGTGTCACAATATCTGTGCTTTATTTTCAGCATCACTGGTTTTAGATTTTTTTTTCTAAGCTCATTTTCTTGACAAGTAGGGACTTAAGATAATAATAAGCACTGGAATTTGTACTTTAAAAACTCATAGCATCAACCTTGATTAAAGTGATCAATTTCTATTTTCTAATGAAAAATATACTGAGAATTTTCCAATTTGCAAAGAAGCATGAGGTGACACTGGAACAAGAGTAATAACTGTGGGCCAGGCGTGGTGGTCACGCCTGTAATCCCAGCAGTTTGGGAGGCCGAGGTGGAGGATCATGAGGTCAAGAGATCCAGACCATCCTGGCCAACATGGTAAAACCCCATCTACACTAAAAATACAAATAATTAGCTGGGCATGGTGGTGCACGCCTATAGTCCCAGCTACTTGGGAGGCTGAGGCAGGAGAATTACTTGAACCCGGGAGGCAGAGATTGCAGTGAGCCCAAATTTCACCACTGCATGGTCCTAGAGATACTGAAAATTAGAACGATAGAAAAAAATATATATATATATAAGAAAGCCAGTGGAGGAAGAATATATTTGACTCAAAGTGAGAAATTAGAATGTTTATAATATCTGGAGATTCATCAGCCCAACTTAACCATGTAGCAACAGACTAAGGCCTAGACTACATTAGGACTGGGATCCAGAAGTCCACAAGCAGGCAACATAAATGTAAAAGTTTAACACTATTGCTGGGGATATTTTCAGTATGCCCACAGTATTCTCGTGTACAGGAATCTCTAACACATTATATAATAGAGACATAAAATTGAAAAGTAGATCTCAAAAAGGGAGTGTCCCACAGAAATGGATAATCCAGACAGATAATATTTGGACAGTCATAAAGGTACTGTTTTCAGTGTCTGTTCATGGTTAATATCAAACCCAGTTATCAATCTTAGGGTTATTAGAGGATTCTAGGTGTCAGAAAACAACCTTTCATTTCCATAATACATCAAGAAAAAATGAGAATTAAATAAGTTATTGTAATGGGAATTGGCTATGAAGGAGAAATTTTTTTAAAAAACACACAACAGGTATGATTTCAGCATGAACACAGGACAATTTATGCTCAATTCTGTGTGGACTGGGAGTACTGATATTTGAACGTGGGACATCCAGAACAATACAAAATGTTTGCACTTTGTTCTACATGCCAACAAATCAATGATTTGAAGATAAATGATATGCATCCTCCAAGATGTATCTTCCATATTTTAAATCATCTCTATCTTTTCAAATTGTGTTATAGGCTATGATTTCATTCTGTTACGACATGTTATTTCCTTTATTGCCTATTTTTGGAAATAAGTCAATTCTCTATAAAATTATGGCACCTACAAAAATAAAACCAGCACTTTAGACATGGCTGCCAAGTATGTTCAGTAGCAGAAGTGTCCTATTTCTCAACAGAATAGTGCCGTATCTACTCCCCTAAACAACCGTTCTGTGTGTTTGACTTCAAATATGCCTGTCTCTTTAACTTTGATGAGAATGTTAATGGTTTTTCTAATAAGTATGCTTTTAAACATAAGGCACGATTCAACCTGTTTGCCCTTCACTGACTTCAATTTTTAATCTTTTAAAATTCTGGCCAGTATTAGATCAATTAAATGTCATGATGGACTAATAAGTGACATTTATCAAGACTCATCATATTTAATTATAATACTATAGTACAGTTACTTAGCATTAGCATCTTATTTCATGAAGTCTTAGATTATCTTTATCAGAATTTCTAATACATGCATACTGCAGGGTATCTAGACAGCATACATGGTTGCCTTCCTACAGAAAATCATCAGTAGAAATCACTATGGATGAATCAGTGAAAAAGGAAGACACTACACAGTTTCTGAACTGTGGATTTAATACTTTAAAATCTGGATTAAAATCTTGCCTTCATTATAGGACACAGAGGAACCTGCACCTTCCCTTTTCAACTTGTCCCAGTGGTTCTTATTAGTGGCCTCTGCTGCCACTTGGAAGCTACAACTATTACTCAGGTGGAGATTTATAAACTTTGCTAAAATCATGGTAACTTTTCATCTAAATGTAGCTTTTCAACCCACTGTTGCAAAATATATGTTTCTTTTTTACTCTGATCTATGCATGTTCCTCTGTTCTCCAAATCAAAATTTTAACCACATATTTTTATAAATGAAATGTAGTGTTAATGGTTGGGAAACTTTAGTCCTAAATTATGGGCTAGATCAAAAGTGACATCTCTTTTAGTCATTAATTTGGTTAGGAGATATGAAATATTGCAGAGTTTTAAACTGATTAGGTACATTTACATTGAGTTGCACTGTGTACTGTTACAGTTCTGATACTATTCTTAGTATAACCAAAACAGTTACTGTGCATGTTAATGATAGTTATATTGATTGGACAGAGCTTTTGAAGTCATAAGCCTAGAATTTTACTACTGGCTTTACCTCTGTGACCTTACTTATGTCAGTTTCTTAAATGGAAAATGGTAGTGATACTTGTTTTTGTAGAGCTGAAATATTAGTGGACGATATACTTGTAAAACAGAAGTAAAATCAAGCATTATTTTACATTTTCCTATAGACTACTTTATAACATCCCTGCATAAGCTATTAAGATAGCTTATGAAAAAGAGGCTGCTTTATACGATTTTTTCTTTTGTAAGATAAAGTTAAGTTCTCTATCCTGTTTTTGAAAGATGAGAGACTTAGAAAAAGTACACTGTCTTACAAAGGGACAATGATAAAAAAAACACATTCAAGGATATTTCATTGTGCATATTTTCAGTGAAACATAGAGAATAGCTCATTTCTTATTATGTTTGTAAGTATAATGTGACTTATAAAGCTAGTAGCATACTAGAAAAAAAATTGTTCTCTCATCAGATAAAGTTCTATGAACTATTATTCAACAAAGTAGTATATAATTTTGAGTATTATTGAACATTAAAGACATTATATGTTCATAGCTTTAAAATTAGTTGCTGCTCAAAATTATAAGTATGAATATTAAAAGTAAAGAATGCATTAAGATAGACTAGTACATTTTTTGTTTTTTTGTATATTTTATATTTGTAGTACTTCTGAATTCTCTGTAAAATTATCACCTTAATAAAATTTAGAGGTTTACCGCTTAGGAACATTTTTGTCTCTCACCTTTTGGTTGCTTTTCACAACACCTCAGTAGAGAAGGTTGGTAAGGTATTATTGTAATTTTTGAGCAAATGTAGAATCTAAATCCAGACAAACCAAAAAATAAAGTAACATAATGCATAAACTGCAAATATATATCTTGAATTCAGTTTGAATTTAAAGTTGGAGAAATTTAAATTAAATCTACTGACCAAATTAGACTGAGAGCAAAATCTGAAAAATAACTGCTAACAACTAGAATGATGTTGATAATAGAAGTATCTCTGAGAAATTGCTAGAGGTCAATAAGAGTATTTATATATCTATCTATGCACAATGCTAATGAGGGGGGAACTATCATTGTTTTCATTCAATAAGTGTATTAATCCGTTCTCATGCTGCTATAAAGAACTGTCCAAGACTAGGTAATTTATAAAGGAGAGAGGTTTAATTGACTCACAATTCTGCAGGGTTGGAGAGGCCTCAGGAAACTTACAATCATGGCAGAATGGGAAGCAAACATGTCCTTCTTCACATGTCAGCAGGAAGAAGAATGGAGTACCCAGCAAAGGGGAAAGCGCCTTATAAAACTATCAGATCTTGTGAGAACTAACTCACTATCATAAGAACAGGATGGGGGATACCCTTCCCATGATTCAATTATCTCCACTTGATCCCTTCCACAACACATGGGGATTATGGGAACTACAATTCAAGATGAGATTTGAGTGGGGACACAGCCAAACCATATCAATAAGAAAATTGTTGTTTAGAAGATTTAAGTAATTTGCTTAGGAACTGAGGTTCAAGTTAGTACTGGCTAACTGTAGAGCCAGGGAACAACTATTAAAGCCAGTGATAAAAGTAGCTTCATTTTAACTTCAATTTCCAATGTCAATAGTTTCAATTAAATACTTCATTTAAATGCATCCTAAGAAACACTAATACTCTTGTCCGGGCACAGTGGCTCATGCCTGTAATCCCAGCTTTTTGAGAAGGTGAAGCAGGTGGATCATGAGGTCAGGAGTTCCAGACCAGCCTGGACAATATGGTGAAACCTGTCTCTCCTAAAAATACAAAAATTAGCCAGGTGCAGTGGTGGTGCATGCCTGTAGTCCCAGCTACTAGGGAGCTGAGGCAGGAGAACTGCTTGAACCTAGGAGGTGGAGGTTGCAGTGATCCAAGATTGTACCACTGCACTCCAGTCTGGGCAACAGAGTGAGACTCTTTCCAAAAAAAAAACACTAATACTCTTTAAGTATAATACATACGATATTAAAATATATACTTCTTTGCATTGTTTATGTTCTTATTTACTTACAATGTCAGAATCTTGATTAATTTCATTAATACTTTTAGAAATATGGCAAAAATACAAAAATACAAACATAGTATGTCACAATCATAGTCCCTGAATAAAAACATGTATTTGGAAAATTGTTGTATAGTAAAAGTACAATAAAATGCCAAGCACATTATTACAAGACAAAGTCACCACAGAGACATTTAGAACTAGTCATGTATCCTGTATAATCTGAGACTAGCTTAAGATAAAAGATAAAACTTTCATTTGAGACAATCTTTATTATACAAAATTGAAATTCAAAAAAAGTCATGAAGAGATGTTGGATGTTATTGGAAACTTTTTCTTTGTCTATTGAGATGATCATAGGATTTTTGCTTTTAATTCTGTTTATATGTCAAGCCACATTTATTGATTTGAATATGTTGAAACAGCTTTGCATCCCAAGGATAATGCCTACTTAATTGTGGTGTGTTAACGTTTTGATATGCTGCTGGATTTAGTATGCTAATATTTTATTGAGGATTCTTGTGTCTATGTTCATCAGGGATATTGGCCTGTAATTTTATTTTTTGTGTGTGTTTTTTTGCCAGGTTTTGCTATCAGGCTTATGCTGACTTTACAGAATGAGTTAGGAAGGAGCTCTTCCTGGCATAGAAGGAATACACCTCAAAATAATAACAGCCATCTATGACAAACTCACAGCCAACATTATACTAATGGCAGTGGCAGCCACCACAAAGAAAAGCAGGCTGCAGCAGGAAAGGCACAGCCAGGGCTGTGTGCTCCTGGAAGCCAGTGGGAGCTGGGGACGGGCGAGCTCCCCCCACCACCCCGCACTTCTGACTTGGCAGGTTGGGAGCCCTGCCCTCCTGGGCACAGCTGAAGCCACCTAGGCAGCTGCAGACCCGGGCATCCTTGTGCTCTCAGGAACCTGGGAAGCCCCCCTACACCCACAAGCTTGGAAGTGCCTATCCCCACTGCCTGGCCTCTCCCAACTACTGGCTTCTGCTCTGGGGCAGAGCAAAGTTGTGGCTGAGCCTGGGTGCTGTGGCAACCCAGCCAGATGTGCATGTGCTCAGGGTGGGGTGGTGCTGACATGCCAGCACCCAGCCGCCTCAGCTCCCTCCAGGCTTTGGGCACTGACGAGCATGGGAGGGAGGCCAAATGAGGGGCTAAGGGTGGCTCAGTGCAGGCCTGCAGGTACCTTTTTGCACAAGTAGTGTGGGTACCATGAATGACATATAGATGGTGGCAGGAGGCAGACAGGGTTGTGGGTGAAAAGGGGCAAGCTCCCAGTGAAGCCCCACTTTCAAGCCAGGGGAGTCCTGAAGCCTAGACTCTCAGTTCTGGGAGGAATCCACTGCCCAGAGGGAGTACTTAAAGGTGCTTTTTCTGGGCCCATCTATGGTCACCCATGGACCAATTAGCATGCATTTTCTCCCTTCTGAGGCCCATAAAAACCCCAGTCTCAGACAGACTCACAGAGACATGAGGACAACTTGCCTGCCAGGCCTCCTCTCTGCTGAGGGGTGCATTCTCATCGGGATGACCTGCCTGTTGAAAGGAGCTACCCACTTTGGGTTTCCTGAGAGCTGTACTGTGGCTCAGTAAGTCACCTCTTTGCTTTGTCCACCCTCTAGTTGTCCGCATACCTCATTCTTCCTGGATGTGGTACGAGAACTCAGGCCCCACCAATTGGTGGGACTGAAAGAGCTGTAACACAAAAAGGCCTGAAACACCCCCCCCACACACACATACACACAGTCACCATGTTGCAGGCAACAAGTGAGAAGAGCTGCAACCCTTCCAGGATCCCAGACCTGGGGACTTCCAGAGGCAAGGTTGTGACACCCGTTTTGGGGCTCTAGAGTTTCTGGTGTCTTCAAGCTTCCAGGAACCAATGCTTTCTGCTCATCCAGATGCAGGTACCCACAGTGAAAGCTGCTTGCAGTGCATCTGATCCAGCCACAGGCTTCCACAGAGCCAGCACCTGTGCCAGCACCTGGATTTGCCTGCTTCTCTACAGCAGCTGGCATGCCTGGCTGTGCACAGTGGCCAGATCCCGCACTCACTCATTCACACACCCCTTGCCACTCTTTGTGTGGCTCACCCTTGGCAGGCATAGGATCTGAAGGAGTAGCACGAGCCAAGCGAAGCCTGCAGGGTGGGTGGGAGGCATGAGCCCAGCAGGCCTGAGTAAAGAACTTAAAAGAGAGTTATCATTTGACCCAGCAATTTCACTACTGGTTGTATACCCAAGGGAAAAGAAATTATCCTACAAAAAGTCACATGTACTTGTATGTTCATCACTACACTATTTATAGTAGCAAAGACATAAAATCAACCCAGGTGCCTATCAGTGATGAACTGGATAAAGAAAATGTAGTATTCATATACCACACAATACTATACAGCCATAAAAACGAATGAAATCATCTCCTTTGCAGCAACATAGATACAGTTAGAGGCTATAATCCTAGGCAAACTAAGAAATGAACAAAAAACCAGATACTGCATATTCTCACTTATAACTGGGAGGTAAACATTGAGCACACATGGATATAAACAATGGAAACAATGGACATTTCAGACTACTAGAGGGAGAAGGATGGGAGCAGGGCTTGCAATGAAAAACTACCTATAGTGTCCTATGCTCACTACCTATGTGATGAGGTCTGTACCTGAAACCTCAGCATCATGCAATATTCCCATGTAACAAATCTGCACATACACCCCTTTTATCTAATATAAAAGTTGAAATTTAAAAAAGTATGATATTGTAGATGTGTGGTATTATTTCCGAGGGCTCCGTTCTGTTCCATTGGTCTATATCTCTGTTTTGGTACCAGTATCATGCTGTTTGGTTACTGTAGCCTTGTAGTATAGTTTGAAGTCAGGTAGCGTGATGCCTCCAGCTTTGTTCTTTTGGCTTAGGATTGACTTGGCAATGCAGGCTCTTTTTTGGTTCCATATGAACTTTAAAGTAGTTTTTTCCAATTCTGTGAAGAGAGTCATTGGTAGCTTGATGGGGATGGCATTAAATCTATAAATTACCTTGGGCAGTATGGCCATTTTCATGATATTGATTCTTCCTATCCATGAGCATGGAATGTTCTTCCATTTGTTTGTGTCCTCTTTCATTTCATTGAGCAGTGGTTTGTAGCTCTCCTTGAAGAGGTCCTTCAGGTCCCTTGTAAGTTGGATTCCTAGGTATTTTATTGTCTTTGAAGCAATTGTGAATGGGAGTTCACTCATGATTTGGCTCTCTGTCTGTTATTGCTGTATAAGAATGCTTGTGATTTTTGCACATTGATTTTGTATCCTGAGACTTTGCTGAAGTTGCTTATCAGCTTAAGGAGATTTTGGGCTGAGACAGTGGAGTTTTCTAGATATACAATCATGTCATCGGCAAACAGAGACAATTTGACTCCCACTTTTCCTAACTGAAAACACTTTATTTGTTTCTCCTGCCTGATTGCCCTGGCCAGAACTTCCAACACTATGTTGAATAGGAGTGGTGAGAGAGGGCATCCCTTTCTTGTGCCAGTTTTCAAAGGGAATGCTTCCAGTTTTTGCCCATTCAGTATGATATTGGCTGTGGGTCTGTCATAAATAGCTCTTATTATTTTGAGATACGTCCCATCAATACCTAATTTATTGAGAGTTTTTAGCATGAAGGGCTGTTGAATTTTGTCAAAGAACTTTTCTGCATCTGTTGAGAAAATCATGTGGTTTTTGTCTTTGGTTCTGTTTATATGCTGGATTATGTTTATTGATCTGTGTACATTGAACCAGCCTTGCATCCCAGGGATGAAGCCCACTTCATCATGGTGGATAAGCTTTTTGATGTGCTGCTGGATTTGGTTTGCCATTTCAACCATCTGATCTTTGACAAACCTGACAAAAACAAGAAATGGGGAAAGGATTCCCTATTTGATATATACTGCAGGGAAAACTGGCTAGCCATATGTAGAAAGCTGAAACTGGATCCCTTCCTTACACCTTATACAAAAATTAATTCAAGATGCATTAAAGACTTAAATGTTAGACCTAAAACCATAAAAAACCCTAGAAGAAAACCTAGGCAATACCATTCAGGACATAGGCATGGGCAAGGACTTCATGTCTAAAACACCAAAAGCAATGGCAACAAAAGCCAAAATTGACAAATGGGATCTAATTAAACTAAAGAGCTTCTGCACAGCAGAAGAAACTACCATCAAAGTGAGCAGGCAACCTACAGAATGGGAGAAAATTTTTGCAATCTACTCATCTGACAAAGGGCTAATATCCAGAATCTACAAAGAACTCAAACAAATTTACAAGAAATAAACAAACAACCCCATCAAAAAGTGGGCAAAGGATATGAACAGACACTTCTCAAAAGAAGACATTTATGCAGCCAAAAGACACATGAAGAAATGCTCATCATCACTGGCCATCAGAGAAATGCAAATCAAAACCACAATGAGATACCATCTCACACCAGTTAGAATGGCAATCATTAAAGAGTCAGGAAACAACAGGTGCTGGAGAGGATGTGAAGAAATAGGATCATTTTTACACTGTTGGTGGGACTGTAAACTAGTTCAACCATTGTGGAAGACAGTGTGGCGATTCCTCAAGGATCTAGAACTAGAAATACCATTTGACCCAGCCATCCCATTACTGGGTATATATTCAAAGGATTATAAATCATGTTGCTATAAAGACACATACACACGTGTGTTTATTGCGGCACTATTCACAATAGCAAAGACTTGGAACCAACCCAAATGTCCATCAGTGATAGACTGGATTAAGAAAATTTGGCACATATATACCATGGAGTACTATACAGCCATAAGAAAGGATGAGTTCATGTCCTTTGTAGGGACATGGATGAAACTGGAATCTATCATTCTCAGCAAACTATCACAAGAACAAAAAACCAAACACCACATGTTCTCCCTCATAGGTGGGAATTGAACAATGAGAACACTTGGACACAGGAAGGGGAACATCACACACTGGGGCCTGTTGTGGGGTGGGGGGAGTGGGGAGGGATAGCATTAGAAGATATACCTAATGTAAATGACGAGATAATGGGTGCAGCACACCACCATGGCATATGTATACATGGGTAACAAACCTGCACGTTGTGCACATGTACCCTAGAACTTAAAGTATAATAAAAAAAATAAAAAAATTAAAAAAAACTAAAAAGAATGATATTTATATAATTTCCAATCAGAAAGTAATATCACATCACAAAACCTTTTTTTTGTTTTACTTGGTTTAAAATTAAGTTCCCAAATCAAGCATATCTCTTATGTTTCTTTTTTCTCTCAGTGAGACATAAATTATATAATTTTGAAACTCTCAAGTAAGATGTACTTAGACTGGCCTGATTTTTAGTGAATACAAAGAAGAGCTCAAGAACCTGTAATTCTTTTGTTCCAGGAGTATAAGCAGCTTAGTTTAGTTTGAAAAACAAACTGTCTTCACCGATATTTAACTACATTTATCATATGCAAAAATTTTTGGTAGGACTGAAGTAGTTTATGTGCATTCTAAGGGAGGAAGAGGGCATCAATTATTTCACAATCTTAATTTACTTAAATCCTGGGAGCTTCTGAAATTAACCATGTATTTTTTCAGATTTTCAGAAGCCCTAATATTTATTATTTTTGTATTCTTCCATTATATTTTTCAACTATTTACCAATAAAATGAATCTCCATAATTATGTTTACTTGGGGAAATGCATAGGCTTAGTCAATTCTCATTTCTCTTTAATGTGTCATGAAAGATATTATAAAACAATGTGATTATTTAAAAATGTTATTTTACAATCATTAGGTGAAAAAAATATAGCTCTATATTTTTTACTATGTATATGACCCTGAATTGTGTTTCATGGAGTCTCCTAAACATTACATTATAAATCAGGGGAAAAAAAAACCTTACCAGATATATCAAACTTATACATTTAGAAAATACAAACTTTACTTCATACTTAAAACAAATTGTTAAAAATTCTCTAAATTTCAGGTAATCTTTCCGGTGGCACCATTTTAATGGAAGACCACTGTGAACATAATTAATTTCATTGATTTTTACTTTGTGCGTATAGTCAACTGACCAAATGTCAAATTTCAAAAGATATTGTTCCATGAATTCTCAAGTCTTTAGTGTTTTAAGTTTGAAATTAGATACCTAAACTTGCACTAAGCTGCCAGTTTAGTTTGGTTGACATTAGTTGAGAGTGGACACATGTCACCTCTCCAAAACTCAAAGGAGCATTGTTTACTTGAAATGCCTGACTTCCTCTCCTCAGGGTCCTATATTGTTCTTAGTTTACCAGTGTCACTTACCTCTATTGATTTTTGAGTAGAGTGTGTATTCTGCATGTGGTATATGCGATGTTCTGTACAGGTCTGTTAGTTCCTTTTGCTCTAGAATGTAGATTAAATTCCATGTTTCCATATTGATTTTCTGTCTGGATGTTTTGTCCACTGCTGAAAAGTAGAATATTGAAGTTCCTCACTATTATTGTATTTCAATTGACCTCTCCCTTCAGATCTATTAATACATGCTTTACATATTTAGATACACTTATGTTGGGTGTGTATATTTACAATTACATCCTTTTTCTAAATTGACTCCATTGTTATTATAAAATAACTTTATCTCTTTTCACAGCTTTTGACTTAAAGTTTATTTTATTTAAGTATAGCTATTACTGCTCACTTTTGTTTTCCATTAGCACGAAGTCTTTTGTTCCATCCCTTCACTTTTAGTCTATATGTATCCTTACAGGTTAAGTGAATCTCTTGTAAGCAGCACATAGTTTGCAGCTAATTTTTTATCCATTCAGCCACTGTTTTTTGATTGGATAATTTATCCCATTTACATTCAAAGTAATTATTGATAGATAAAGACTTACAACTGTTATTTTGTTAACTGTTTTCTAGTTGTTTTATACATTATTTATTTGCTTTTTTTTCTTACTGTCTTCCTTGTGGCTAGGTGATTTTTCTTTAGTGTTATGTTTCGATTCTTTCTTTTTTTACTTTGTTGTGTATCTATCATAGGTTTTTGCCTTGTGGATAAAATGAGGCTTACAAAAAATTTCCTTGTTATAACAAGTTGTTAAACTGATAACAACTTAATTTTGATCACATAAAAATTGACACTTTTACTTCCCTGTCACCATCATGTTGAATTTTTGATGTCACAATTTGTATCTTTTTACATTGCATATCTCTTAACAAATTATTGTAGGAATTTTTTGATAGTTTTGTATTTAACCCTCAGGTTAAAGTTATAAGTGATTTATATAACAGCATTGTAGTGTTAAAGTATTCTGAATTTAACTGTGTACTTTTACCAGTGAGTTTTATACTTTCAGATTTTTTTGTTATGCATTAGCATGTTTTTCTTTCAGCTTGAAGAACTCCTTTCAGCATTTCTTGTAAAACAGGTAATGGTCCCCCTGAACTTATTCTCCTGGGAAAATCTTTTTTTTTTTGTCTTTTATTTCTGAAGGACAGATTTGCAGAGTATAATATTATTGGTTGTCATATGCTTTTTATTTTTCTTCATCAAATATCACTTTCCCCTGTCCTCTAAGATTTCTGCTGAGAAGTCTGCTGCTAGTCATATTTGAATTCCCTTATATGTTATTTGCATCTTATTTTCTTGCTGCTTTCAGGATCCTCTCTTTGTCCCTGATTTTTAACAGTTTTATCATAAAACGTCTTGGGATAGTATTATTTGAATTGAATCTGATTAAAAACATCTAACCTTCCTGTACATGGATATGTATATCTTTCCCTAAGTCTGAAAAGTTTTCTGCTGCTATTTACTTTAATAAGCTTTTATATCTTTATCTTTGTCTTCCACTTCTTTAACTATTACTCAAATATTTGCTCTTTTGATGCTATGCTATACCATTAATTCCATAATCTTTCTTCATTCCTATTTATTCCCTTCCTTTTTTTCCCTCTGAAGGTATATTTTAAAATCCCCTTTTTGAGTTGACAGATTTTTCTGCTCAGTCCACGTGCTGTTGTTGATGCATTCTGTTGCATTTCTCATTTTGTTCATTGTATTTCTCAGCTCTGATTTCTGTTTCATTTTTTAGAATTATTATTTCAATCTCTCTATTAAATTTTTTGTTCTGTTAACGTACTGTTTTTCTCATTTTATTGAATTATTTCTCTATATTTTATTGAAGTTCACCGAGCTTCCTTAAAACAGTTGTTTTGAATTATTTGTCAGTCAATTCATAGATCTCCATTTTTTTGGAGATAGACACTGTTACCTTATTTTGTCCATTTGGTGATGTCATGTTTTTCTGATTATTCTTGGTCCTTGTGATTATATGCAGATGTCTACACACGTAATGAAGTAGGTGCTATTCCAGTCTTCACAGACGGGCTTTGTCTGGGAAAGCCCTGGAGCAGGTATGGCACTAAGAAGTGTCAGAAGTGTGGGGCAGCTGTGTATGGCCTGATGCTGCAACAAGCCTGGTACCCATTACAGCAGCCATGCCACTAGGGTGTGCCAGAAACCTGGGGCAGATGCAGCTAATAGAGCACTTGTGCCAGAAGCCTAGGGCTACTGAGAGCTGCCTACCACTGAGGGTTCTCTGGAGCCCAGGACCACTGAAATCAGCCCACCTGAAATGCAGCCTGGATATTGAGACTATCATACAAGACTGAAGCCTTGGGCTGTGTGGTTCTGTCTGGTACCAGGGCAGGTCTAGAGGTTTTGTCCATAGATACTGTCCTGAAATATGTGGGCATAGGGATCTTTGCAATACTGGATTTTACTGTGTTGATCCAGTGTTGGGTTCTAAGGCAAAGTACTGTGTTCATTTCCCTCTTTCCCTCAAGTGGAAGCTATTACTCACCACTTTGTACTGAATGTGCCTGAGGAAGAGGTAATGCAGGTAATATAAGTCTGTCTTTCCTACTCCTTTCAATGTATTTTTTTTTTTTTTTTACTGTGCTGCAGCTAGGTTTTGTGATCTCTCACTTGGTTTTCTGAATGCTTGTGAAGGTAATTTAGGCTGTGGATAGTTGTTCAAATTGATATTTCTGTGGGAAGATAATCACAGGAGAGTCCCCTCAAAATCGTAAGTCATATCTTAATTATCTTGTGTCTGTGCCTTTTTTCTGCCCTAAACGTGGGATAGTATCTACTGTAGCAAAGTCTCTGTCCTGCTATGCGAGTCATTTCCCTGTTGGTGGCACTGATCCATATGAGAATTATGTAAAAGTACAGGGAAATGTGAACAGATGTATCCTATTATCATGACTGAATGTAGAGCCTCCTTTTTATACCTCTTTTTCAATACCAACTATTAGTACCACCAAAATCTGAAACCTAGACTTTGTAACACTTGAGCTTCTGTCTTCACTTTCTAAGTGGAGACATCATGCCTGCCTGCAAGTTCTGGCATTTCTTTGCTTTCTCCAGCTAATGTCTAATGTGTTAATGATTTTAATAATTTTACAATTTAATTTTAAAATGTTAGCATTCAGCATGCCAAGTTTAAATCAATATTTTATATATCTCAAAAAGTCCTGTTTCCTTCTCAATATCCAGATGTATTTTTGAATCCTGACTTCACACAAATTAGATTAATTAAATTAGGGCATGGAACATATAACCTCCAATATGGCAAGTTCACTTAAAAATATACATAAAATATAAAAAGTATATTTTTGTGCTTTTTAAAAAGTATATTTTTATACTTTATAAAAATATAATACTTTTTATGTTTTAAATGTAATAAATTTATGTGTATTATAAATAACAAAGATATATATTCTTATGTGGTCATCGAATGGAAATTGCCAAGATTGTAGAATTGACTTGTATTTTGGCCTTTCCCTCCTGCATACTGTGAGATTTGAACTGTCATTTTACTACTCTGAAATTTAATATCTTCTGTAATATGGATAAGTAATCTTGCATAAATTATTTTTCAAAATATTTCAAGTTTCAAATAAATTAATGAATAGAAAATACTATGAAAAATGTAAATTATTAACCAACATTAATTTTAAGATGAGTAATGGTTCTCTAGTACATTCAGCTTAATTACTTTTAATGAAATTTTATTTCATGTCTATAGGATATAAAATGAGCACAATACTACATAAATTAAAAAAACCTAGTGAGCATCGGCTCTTAATTTAGGAGTTGCGGCTTTTCTGGACAAAGTATCCTAATTTCTAACCTCTCCCACACACTGTTTATAAGTTACATACTGTTTATAAATTACAACTCTTTTGTTCTGAACAATGGTATCTAAAATAAAGTTATCTCAACCCAAGACTCTAAGTTATGGCGTAAATGAAAATATTTTGAGCCATGAGTCATGTTTAGAAAAAAAAAACACAGTTTTAAAAAATTAAGCAACAACTATATTGATGTGATATGTGGTAAAAAATTATATATGCCTTCCCACCCCCCAAATCCCCAAAAAGTTTTGCAGTCGTTGCATATACTGCAGTTCAATTCTATTTAACTAGATGGCTAGGTGTCTAGTTACCTATTATCTTACACGTTGATAATTTACACTTTACTCAGTAGAAGTCTGGCAAATCCGCTGTGTTTGTGGCTGAGCCTTGCACAGCTGGTGCAACAGAAGATTAAGTTAACCCAACACTAAACTGAATGATTGATGGCCAAGGTTTTCAAATAGCAAAGTGCAGTTTTGTTACATAATTACCAGAATTATATGCAGCACTCTATCTATTCCTGACTATAAATTGAAGGGTTGTTCTCTCTGAGTTATGAAAGAAATTATAAACTAATTTGTGGAAACAACATCTGTTGTGAATGGGCAAAAAGCTCTGGTAAGAAAGGAATTTTTTTCCTTCTGTTTTGCAGCTATTTATAAAATCAGGACAAAATAAAAGTTTTTTCTTAGAGTACTTTACAAAAATATTTATGTCTGCACTTCTATATTATGTAAAAACACAATGGTACATTTTTGTTATGGCCCCAAAAGAAGTAATAAAGTAAAATATTAACTTTCCTATAAATGCTTTTCCTTTTAACTTGATATACAATAAACCATTAATTTTATTACATTTTGCATGCGATGCAGTACATTTTTATCTTTTCTAAAATATTACAGTTCTTAGAACACAAGAAAAATATTACAGATATTTGATCATTTCTTCACAAGAAGGATAATAAATAAATTATTGCCCTAAAAACCCATATGCTATTTCTAAATCAGTTCCTTTGAAATCACATTTCTTTCTGAACTACTCCTGCAAATTCTAACACTCCAGCAAGCCTCACTTTAAATAAGATTTCTTCCTGGGATTGGGTGAATTGAGATTGGTGTAAACATAAGAGACAGGAGATGGAGGTCTTGGCCAAATTAAGGAATGCATGTTTTATCTAAAAGTCTTCATATTGTCTTACACACTGTTCAGGCAAAATAACAGATGGCTATGGGTCTCTTGACTGTCCATTGGCGTATTTAATTGGTAGGAAATTTTCACAGATGTCTCTGAAATTACTCTTAATCTAGTGATACCTTCCTCTTTATCATAATTAAAAACAAGTTATAGGTGTGGGAATTTGGTTTTCAATCCATATTCTAGGTATAAACAATAATCCCAGTTAAAATACAGTAATACTGAACATGGCGGTTAATGTTACACATCATCTTGGCTAGGCTGTGGTCACTCAAATAATTGATCGAATGCTATTCTAGATGTCATTGTAATATCTTTTAGAGAAGACCATTTAAATCAACAGATTTTTAGTTAAGCAATAGATTTTTAGTTAAGCAGGTTTCATTCTATAATGTGTGAAGCATTGTCTAATTAATTGAAGATTTTAAGAGAAAAAAAGCCAGTTTTCTAGATGAAGAGGGAATTCTGCCTTCTGATTGATTTTGGTTTCAAACTTCAAGATCACACTTCCCTGGGTCTCCAGTCTGCCGGCATGCTCTTCAAATTCAAGACTTGCCAATCAATTAAGTCAATTGTTTAAAATCAATCTTTTTCTCTGTCTCTTTGTCTCTGTCTCTCTGTTTCTGTCTCTCTGTTTCCCTGTCTGTGTGTCCACATCCTATTAGTTCTAATTTTCTGACTAATACATTGAGCCAATGTTTAATTTCTAGCATTTATAAGATTCTGAACTGAGATGAAATTATATGCAGTGTGCAAAAACAAAAAGTATGTATTTTTTCTATTTTTTCTTTACTATTAATGGCTCAATATTTTTGGACGTTGAGATAATCTACCAATTTTATTCTAATTTCACATTTATACTTATGAAATGTGTATGTATGTGTGTGTGTTTTATATATATAATTCCATGTAATTTATTTGTGTATCCAATGACATAATATACCAAACAGTTTGATTACTACAAGAATCCTTTTTTCTTGCCCTTTTACTATCACTTTCTCCTCCTTTTGCAACTACTGATATGCTCTTCATTTATAAAAACATAATACAAAATATTATACAATGTAATCATAGAGTACATACACTTGGGATTAGCATTTTTCACTGAGAATAATTATTTGGAGATTGATTTAGATGATTGCATGTATCAATAGTTTGGACCTTTTTATTGATAAGTAGTATTCTATAAAATGTTGGACCATAGTTTATCTGTGTGCTACATACCGTAGTGGAGTCATTCATCTGTTGAAGGACACTTAGCTTGTTTCCAGTGTTTGACTGTCCTGAATAAACCTATTGTGAATATTCATGTACAGGTTTCACTTCTCTGTGATAAATGCCCAAAAGTGTAACTGCTGGGTTACATGATAACTACATGTTTAGTTTTGCAAAATATCACAAAATTATTCCCAAGAGTGATTATATAATTTTTCATTGCCACCATCAATACATAATTAATTTCTCTACATCCTTACCATCGTTTTGTAGCTATTTTGTTTTAGCCTTTCTGATACACGTTTAGTAATATTTCATTGTAGTTTTAATTTGCATTTTGCTGAAGGCTAATGATGTTGAAAATCTTTTTATTTTCTTATTTGCCATCCGTCTTCTTTATTGAAATGTTTCTTCATATCTTTTGCTCTGTTTTTTAACTTTTCAGTTTCAAGAGTTCTTTATGTTTTAGTTACTAGTCCTTTTTAAATACATGGTTTGAAAATATTTTTTTCCAGTCTTTGCCTTTTTCATTGACATTACATGGGCTTTTATGGAGATATGTTTTAAATTGTGTCTATTTCTCTATCTAGGCTCTTATGGATTGTGATTTTGTTTTGCAGTCCAAGAACTTCGCTGGGCACGTGGCTCCTACCTGTAATCCCAGCACTTTGGGAAGCCGAGGCAGGTAGATCATTTGAGGTCAGGAGTTCGAGACTAGCCTGGCCAAAATGGTGAAACCCCATCTCTAATAAAAATACAAAAATTAGCCGGGTGTAGTGGTGCATGCCTGTAATCCCAGCTATTTGGGAGACTGAGGCAGAAGAATTGCTTGAGCCTGGGAGGCGGATGTTGCGGTGAGCCGAGATCGCGCCACTGCACTCCAGTCTTGGTGACAGAGTGAGACCCTGTCTCAAAAAAAAACTACTGTCTTGGCCTAAACAGACAACATCCTCCTAGATTTAAAAAAATTATATCTTTTTATTTAAATCTATGATCTATATAGATATACATATACCTCTCTCTCTTTATATATATATGTGTGTGTGTGTGTGTGTGTGTCCATATGTATATGTTATACATAAAAATTGATTATATATTGATGATGGCAATGAAAGAATATATAGAGCCACTCTGGGGAATGATTTTGAGATATTCTGTAAAACTAAACATATATATATATTTCCCAAAATGCTGGGATTACAGGCATGAGCCACTGTGCCTACTCAAGGTCTTTGATTTCTTTCACACCTTCTAAAATTTTCAAGATGCAGATCCTGTAGTTGTTTTATTTTGTTAAATGTATACTCAAGTAATTCATTTTTAAATATTTGTTTGTGAATATTATTTCATTTTATTTTATGTTTTGAGATGGAGTCTTGCTCTGTCGCCCAGGCTGGAGTGCAGTGGTGCAATCTCGGCTCACTGCAAGCTGCGCCTCCCGGGTTCATGCCGTTCCCCTGCCTCAGCCTCCCGAGTAGCTGGGACTATAGGTGCCCACCACCACTCCCGGTTAATGTTTTGTATTTTTAGTAGAGACGGGGTTTCACCGTGTTAGCCAGGATGGTCTCGATCTCCTGACCTTGTGATCCGCCCACCTTGGCCTCCAAAAGTGCTGGGATTACAGGTGTCAGCCACCGCGCCCAGCCTGTTTGTGAATATTATTGTATTTTTTTCAATGTCCACATAATCATTGTATGTGGAAATAGAATTTATGTTTTTGTTGAATTTGCAGTCTGTGACTATGATAAACTTGTTAGTTCCAGGAAAACTTTTTCTTTTAAAATTCCTGGCTTTTTCTACATAAACAATCATGTCATCTAAAAATACTATAATTTTCTTTCTTCCTTTCTGATATGTACACCTTTTATTTCCTTTATTTTCCTATTGCACTACCTAGATTTCCAGTACAATGTAGAATCAGAATTGTGAAATAGACATGCCATGAATATCTTGTCCTTAATCTTAGGGAGAAAATATTCTGTCTTTCACCATTAAGACAATGTTAAATATAGACTTTTCATAGCTGTTTATTATTAAGTTGAAGAAGTTTAAATTTTTTCCCTAGGCTTCTGATAGTTTTTTTCCTTAATAATGAATGATTGTCAAATTTTGTTAAATGTACTTTTGTGTTAATTTATATATAATAATTTTTCTTCTTTAGCTTGTTTATATGATAAATACATAAATATATGATTTATTTATATGATAAATAAAGCAATTGAATTTTGAATGTTCAGCTAACCTGGCACACCTGGAATAAATAACATTTGGTCACGGTATATAGTTATTTTTATATTGTTGCATATTTATTAGAAACAGTTAATATTTTATTTAGAACTTTGCATCTAAGTTCATAATAATTTTAGTTTGTCTATTTCCTTTTTTGTACACTCTTTTTATGATTTTGACATCTGGAATATACTGGTTTTATAAAATGAGGTGGGAAGTTCTTCCTCATCTCTGGTTTCCTGGAAATAATTGTAGACAATTTGTGTAATTCTTCTTTATATGTTTAGTAGAATTCTTGAGTGACACCATCTGAATCTGATTATTTTTCTTGGAAGCTTTCTAATATAAATTTAATACCTTTTAATGGTTATTGGACTATTCACATTATCTATAAAATATGTTGAGTCTCAGTTATTTCTGGCTGATACGGTTTAAAATTTGTCCCCACCCAAATCTCATTTAAAATTGTAAACTGCAGTGCTGGAGATGGGGCCTAGTGGGAGGTGATTAGATCATAAGGAAAGATTTCCCCCTTGCTGTTCTCATGATACTGAGTGAGTTCTCATGATATCTGGCTGTTTATCTGGCTGTTTAAAAGTGTGTAGCAGCTGGCCGGGTGGCGGGCTGAACCCCTCACCTCCCTCCCGGATGGGGCGGCTGGCCGGGCGGGGGGCTGACCACCCCACCTCCCTCCGGGGTGGGGCGGCTGGCCGGGCGGGGGCTGACCCCCCCCCACCTCCCTCCCGGACGGGGCGGCTGGCCGGGTGGGGGGTTGAACCCCCACCTCCCTCCCGGATGGGGCGGCTGCTGGGCGGAGACGCTCCTCACTTCCCAGATGGGGCGGCTGCCGGGCGGAGGGTCTCCTCACTTCTCAGATGGGGTGGCCGGGCAGAGACGCTCCTCACTTCCCAGACGGGGTCACGGCCGGGCAGAGGCGCTCCTCACATCCCAGACGGGGCGGCAGGGCAGAGGCGCTCCCCATATCTCAGACGATGGGCGGCCGGGCAGAGACGCTCCTCACTTCATCTCATACGATGGGCAGCCGGGCAGAGACGCTCCTCACTTCCTAAACAGGATGGCGGCTGGGCAGAGACGCTCCTCACTTTCCAGACTGGGCAGCCAGGCAGAGGTGCTCCTCACTTCCCAGATGGGGTGGCGGCCGGGCAGAGGCTGCAATCTCGGCACTTTGGGAGGCCAAGGCAGGCGGCTGGGGGAGGTGGGGGGGTCAGACCCCTGCCCAGCCAGCCGCCCTATCTGGGAAGGAGGTGGGGGGGGTCAGCCCCCCGCCCAGCCAGCCGCCCCATCTGGGAGGTGAGGGGCGCCTCTGCCCGGCCGCCCCTACTGGGAAGTGAGGAGCCCCTCTGCCTGGCCACCACCCCGTCTAGGAGGTGTACCGAACAGCTCATTGAGAACAGGCCATGATGACAATGGCGGTTTTGTGGAATAGAAAAGGGGGAAAGGTGGGGAAAAGATTGAGAAATCAGATGGTTGCTGTGTCTGTGTAGAAAGAGGTAGACATGGGAGACTTTTCATTTTGTTCTGTACTAAGAAAAATTCTTCAGCCTTGGGATCCTGTTGATCTATGACCTTACCCCCAACCCTGTGCTCTCTGAAACATGTGCTGTGTCCACTCAGGGTTAAATGGATTAAGGGCGGTGCAAGATGTGCTTTGTTAAACAGATGCTTGAAGGCAGCAGGCTCGTTAAGAGTCATCACCACTCCCTAATCTCAAGTACCCAGGGACACAAACACTGCGGAAGGCCGCCGGGTCCTCTGCCTAGGAAAACCAGAGACCTTTGTTCACTTGTTTATCTGCTGACCTTCCCTTCACTATTGTCCTATGACCCTGCCAAATCCCCCTCTGTGAGAAACACCCAAGAATGATCAATAAAAAAAAAAAAAAAAAAGAAAAAGAAAATTTGAAAAAAAAAAAAAAAAAGGACACATTCAGTCCATAACATTTTTACTGCAAGCAATTCAACTAATTCAAATAAATAAGTACATATTAGCTAAGAAAAAAAAAAAAGTGTGTAGCATCACCCCATTTGCTCTCTTCTTCCTGCTCCAGCCATGTAGGCTGTGCCTCTTTCCTCTTTGCCTCCTACCATGATTGTAAATTTCCTGAGGTCTCCCCAGCCATGTTTCCTGTACAGACTGAGGAACTGAGAGTTAACTAAACATATTTTCTTTATGGCCTAGTCTCAGGTAGTTCTTTATAGCCATGTGAGAACAGCCTAATACAGAAAATTGGTACCTAGGAATAGAGCATTTCTATAAAGATACCTGAAATTTGGAAGCAGCTTTGGAAGTGGGTAATGGGCAGAGGTTAGAACAGTTTGAAAGGCTCAGAAAAAAAACAGGAAGATGAGAGAAATTTTGCAACTTCCTAGAGTCTTGTAAAATTGTTATGACCAAAATGCTGATAGTGATATGGACAATAAAGTTCAGGCTGAGGTGGTCTCAGATGGAGATGAGGAACTTATTGGGAACTGGAGTAAAGGTGTCTCTTGTTGTGTTTTAGCAAAGAGACTGGTGGCATTGTGCCCTTACCCTAGAGATCTGTGGAACTTTGAACTTGAGAGAAATGACTTAAGGTATCATCTGGTGGAAGAGATTTCTAAGCAGGAAAGCATTCAAGAGGCTTATTCTGAAAGTATTTGGTTATAAGTATTCACAAAGAGATGGTTTGAAATTTGAACTAATGTTTAAAGGGAAACAGAGCATAAAGTGTTGGAAAATTGCAGTCTGGCCATGGTCCCAGCTACTCGGGAGGCTGAGGCAGGAGAATCACTTGAACCCAGTAGGTGGAGGTTGTGGTGAGCCAAGATCGTGCCATTGCACTCCAGCTTGGACAACAAGAGCAAAACTCCATCTCAAAAAAAAAAAAAGAAAAAGAAAGAAAACCCATTTTCTGGGGAGGAATTCAAGCCCGCTGCAGGTATTTGCATAAGTAAAGAGGGCCTGAATATTAATAGCTAAGACAATGGAGAAAATGCCTTGAAGACATTTCAGAGACCTTCACAGCAGCCGCTCCCATCACAGGCCTTGAGGCCTAGAAGGGAAGAATGGTTTTGTAGGCCAGGCCAGCCCAGGACCCTGCTGCTCTGCTCAACCTGAGGACACTACTCCCTGCATCCCAGCCACTCCAGCTTCAGTCATGGCGAAAAGCGTCCTAGATATGTCTCATTCCGATGCTCCAATGGGTCAAGCTGTAAGCCTTGGGAGCTTTCATGTGGGTGCACAGAAGACAAGAGGACAAGAGTTGAGGCTTGGGAACCACTGACTCGATTTCAGAGGTTGTATGGAAAAGCCTGGATGTCCAGGCAGAAGTCTGCTACAGGGGCCGGGTCTTCGCTGTGTACCTCTACTAGGGTAGAGCAGAGGGGAAATGTGGGCTGGAACCCACACACAGAGTCTTCACTGGAGCACTGCCTAAAGGAGCTGTGGGAAAAGGGCCACTATCCTCCAGACCCCAGAATAGTAGAACCACTAACAGCTTGCACCATGTGCCTAGAAAAACCTCTGCGCTAAAATCCAGTCCACAAAAGCAGCTATGGAGCCCGTACCCTGCAGAGCCACAGAGAAGGATATGCCAAAGGCCTTGGGAGCACACCCTTTGCATCAGTGCAGCCTGGATGTAAGACACGAAGTCAAAGGAGATGATTTTGGAACTTGGAGATTGAATGACTGCCCTGCTGGGTTTTGGACTCGCATGGGGCCTATAACCACTTTGTTTTGGTTTACTTCTCCCTTTTGTAACAGGTGTATTTACCCAATGCCTGTACCTGTATTGTATCCTGGAAGTAACTAACTTATTTTTGGCTTTACAGGCTCATAGACAGAAGGGACTTGACTTGTATTAGATGAAACTCTGGACTGTGGACTTTCAAGTTAATGTTGAAATGAGTTAAGACTTGGGGTACTGTTGAGAAAGGATGGTTGTATTTTGCCCTGTGAAAAGGAGATGAGATTTGGGAGGGGCCTGGGCAGAACGGTATGATTTGTATTTGTGTCCCTGCTTAAATCTCCTGTCAAATTGTAATCCCCAGTGTTGGAAGAGGGGCCAGGTGGGAGGTGATTGGATCATGGGGGTGAATTTCCCCCTTGCTGTTCTTATGATCGTGAGTGAGTAATCATGAGATTTGGTTGTTTAAATTTGTGTAGCACCTCCCCGTTTGCTCTCTTCTGCCTGTTCAAGTCATGTAGGACATGCTTTCTTCCACTTCACCTTCTGCTGTGATTGTATGTTTCCTGAGGTCTCCCAGCCATGCTTCTGTACAGCCTGAGGAGCTGTGAGTCAATTAAACCTCTTTTCTTTATTAATTATCCAATCTCAGGTAGTTCATTATAACAATGTGAGAATGGATTAACACAGCGGCTTTCAAGAAATTGATTCATTTCTCCTAAGATTTTGAATCATAAACCATTTTTTATAGTATTCCATTATTTTTATTGACTTCAGAATTTGTCACAGTATTTCCTATTTTAATCTACATATGGGTGATTTGTATCTTCTCTCTTTTTCTTTTCGACAGTGTTTCTAGAAGTTTATCAATTTCATTTATTTATTTTTAATAACTAGCTTTATTTTTAGTGATTTTCTTCATTTTCCTATTTTAATTATATTGATATCTACTTTTATGTTTGCTATTCCCTTTTACTTTTTTGCTTTTTTTTTTCTAGTTTATTGAGATTGCAACTTAACCTACTGATTTGAGGCCCTTTCATGTTTCTAATATAAGCATTTATTGCTATACGTTTTCAACACTGTTTTTGCTGCATCCCACATATTGTGCTGAATATCATAAGATATATAATTGCATGAATTCATATTTCTTTCCATTGGCCAGTTTTTCAGGGTAAGTCTGTTAACAACAAATTCTTTTATATTTTCTTTATCTAAGAGTGTCTTTATTTCAACTTCATCCTGAAAATATTACTTTACTAGATAAGAATTCTGGCTTGAAAGTTTTTTCTTTTCTTCTGGCTTCGTTGGATTCAAATTAAAAATCCTTTGTTATAAAATTGGTGTCCCCCGTAGTTAATGATTGATTTCTCTCCTGCTTTCAGCATTTTTTATGTCTTCTTTTTTTCGAAGTTTGAATTGTGATATGTCTTGGCATAGAATTCTTTGAATTGTTCCTGTTTGACATTTGCTTAGCTTCTTAAAAATCTCTTCTGTATTTTACCAAATTTGGAAATTATTGGTCATTTTCTTCAAACACTCTTTCAGCCCAATTCTTTTTCATTTCTCTTTCTGAGATTTTTGTGATAAAATATAGGATCATTTGTTAGGTCTTCACAGGTGCTTGAGTCTCTTCACTTTTTGTAAATCTGTTTTCTCTGTTATTAGATTGGGTAAACTCTATTGATTTTTCCTCATCTTTGCTAATTTCATTGTCTGTCATTCTGTGTCTACTATTGAGTCCATGCAGCATGTTTCTTTTTAAATGTCTGTTATTATATTTTTGAAGTTCTATAATTTACTTTTGTTTCTTTTTGATCACAACTTCTATTTATTTGCTAAGGTCTTACATGGTTGGTGGTGAGGTAAGGCTTCTCTGGTGTTTCTGTGGGACTCCAGTTCCATCCTAGAAAGGAATGAACCTACTTAAGATGCCTTCCATTGTTAAATTTTGGATCAGAAAATGTCAGGCCTGGATTGCCTTCTTCCATTGGGTACAGGGACAAAAACAAAATCAAACCAAACCAAACAAACAAAAAAACCCTTGCTTTTATGTTATTCCTGAAGTTCTGGGGTCTCACTTCAGTTTGCATCCCTCTTTCTACCACCTAGAGTTCTCCTTTGGTTTTCTTTTGCATTATTTCTAGGATTTACACTTATTGGGTGAGAAAAAGAAACAGGTCTATGCCATTGTCCAGATTAGAAGTTCTCAAAAATGTTTTAAATTAAAATTTTATATTTAGTTTTGAGAGTATCATACTAAAACACACTTTTGATTTTAAATTGTTTATCTTCCGTAAATTAAAATTGAAAACAAATAAGCTGGGACTGATTTGTCAAAACATTACAGAAAAAAAATTAGAAAAAAATATTGGAGGAAATAACAAGACTTAAATAAATAGAGATATATCATGGACATGGATACATGACTAAATGTAATGTAGATGGAAATTGTCCCTAAATTAATCTACAAATTAAGGGTGATTTTTAATAAAATTTCTATATAATTTCTACAGGGTTTTTTAAATAAAATATATGCTGACTTTAAAATTCAGAAAGAAGTGTAAGGGTTAAGGATAGCCAGGGGAATATAGGGAATAGAAGGGAAGAAAGAAAATTAGAAAGTAGATGATAAGAAAAAGAAGAATAAAAATAAGAAAAAGAAGGGAAATAGAAATTAAGAAGAAGGAGATATGGCAGAGGATATAAGTATAGCAAGTAAAGACATAATAATTTTAAAATTTTGTATTGGTACAAGGTACATCATTTGTGAAAAACTGAGAATTTTAAAGTGCTATGTTATATTTCAGAGATGTTATTACAGCATATTAAGAAAATAATAGTCTACTAAATTAATGTTGCTGGAAAAATTAAATATTTTTAAAATTTATTTAATTATTATGTATTAAACACTTATTTTATGGAAAACATGAATAGTGAAACAAACATATATAACCAACAAAAGTTTCTTTTCAGTATATGTATATGAAAGTCTTATAAATCAATTAAAAAATGACCAAAAATACCAAAGACCACTGGGCCAAAGACATAAATAGGCACATCTCAAAAGATAGTTTCCACACAGACAACTGGTATATATATAAAGATGTACTCAACAGGAAAATACAAGCAAAAAAACAATGCTTTATAATTCACATTCTAACTGAAATTTTAAATTCTTTTTTTTGTGATTTAAATAATGTACATAAAAGTATAAGGGCAATATTCATGCCTTTGTACTGGCATATAATTCTATACTTACTTTCAAAACCAAAGATTTTATATATACTAGGTGTCTAATTTTTATCAAATGTCTGAATTAATATGATTCATAGTGTTCAATAAGTATATATATTTGTTGAACAAATACAATGCTAGTTAACTCTATTACTATTATATGTACATGACAAATTAATAATTCTCAATAATCCTTTTATAACATCGTATCAAGAAAAAAACAAAGGAAACCTTCAAATAGTATATATGTACAATATTTCTCTACTCATTTATATTTAAAAACTAACTTCCATAGGGCAAATATTTGAAAATTTTTACTATGGTTTTGCATTCCTCCATTAAGCTACATTTATTTGCATATCATAGATGACTTCAAGATTAGTTATTATTTAAAATACGATTTATATATTCAGGTACTGTGGAGACAAGCTACTTAAAATATGCACACACACATAAACACACACATGTGTAGACAGAGTTAGTGATTTTAAATGATCAGATAAAAATCAATTTGCTCAGTTATCTTTTGCTAACAACAGTATAAATAGAACAACTGCATTAAGTAATAGTTGACTTGTAGAAGTTAAACAAAATTTCTGATTAAGTGAGGTGTTGGGCTCTATGGTTTCTAAGCTATTTTACAAGCTACATAATTCATAATCCTATAATAATAATTGTGGAAAAAAAGATTAAAACATTTTCATATACATACTAAGACCTGCTTACCTGGAGCAGAAGCCACTGAAGCTACAACTGGTAGAAACACTTAAATGATAACTATAAATTGCTGGACGATAAGGATGGAACAGCTTCAGAGTAAGGAATTCCTGAGATCACAGTCTTAGGGGAGCCCCCATACTTTCATGGGCTTTCTCTCCTGAAACCATATCAGGTTACAATGTTGATCAAAGAAAGATCCCCTATAGGCTATGGCTGGCACAGGGGGAAAGTAACTGATGTAAAATACACATAGAGTCTTCTACATAAAAAAGCCTACTCTCCAGGTTAAAGCACCTTGACAGAGGACAATTGTGAAACTTACTCATAACTGAGGAAGGACATTCTTCTCCGTTCCAGTCACCTTCAAATTTTCTGTCTCATCTGGTGGGGTTGGCAATGATCAACAAGTGTGGGACTGCAAGGATATAGATTGAGAATGCTTTAGTCAGAAGAAGAAGCAGGCAGAGGGAAGAAATCTACATGAATAAAGATACATTTGTGAATGTCACAGCCCTGGCACACATATCCACTATAAGACTGAGATTTAATAGACTTCACTGGCAGATTATAGAATGCTCCTATACTACAACTTATCACCACACAATGTGACTAGTTATATTATGGATAATAACAAATGGATTTCAGCCGAAAGAACTGCAAGACACAAACTCTCTCTGACTTTATTAGGTAGTATTTTATTATTTATATGTTTTATATATTCTTAATTCTCCCTAGTTTTCTTATTTAAATATGTTAGAACACAGATGGTTACTTACAGCAAGATAACGTATAAAAAGTTCAAGAAAATTAATGCTGGTGCTGAAGGAGGGAACCATCTAATGTCAGGGTTGAATATTTTTAAAGGTTATAATAATCTCCAGGCAAAGAATCAGGATGTTCAGTTTATTACCACCAACATCATCATCATTATTATCAGTAGCACGATTTTCACACACTGAGTGTCTGCCATTATGTATATTATATATTACATGTCATAAGTTATCTATTCTTTATTTCTAAACACATCATATTATCCCTATTGTGACAAGTTTTAAGTTATTAATCTCTCAGCTTCCAACCTTCACCTTTCTATACTCTGCTCTGTGATGCTGCATAGAATTTTGCAGCTAAATTCTGGATAAACTACTACAATGTCAAATGGCTGGATATCTTTCTTCCTAATATTAATCTATGTTCCCTGTCTTTGTAATAATCAGTGTAGTAATGCATGATGAAAATAACATCAGTTTTAGAGAGTTTCATACTTGTTTGCTGCAAACCATAGTTTTGTTTTTCCAGATGGCTCCTTGTTAGTATCTGAAAATAGGGGATCCTCAAGGAAGACTGGAAAGCTACAGAGGAAAAAAGTTTCTTTCCATTCCCTTTCAGCTTTGTATGCATTTTCTGTGGGCTTTCTGACTTCATTCTTCGGAGTATCACTCCACCAATGCTTACTCATCCTTCATATCAGTTCTTTTCTGTGGCGGGAGATGAATCCAATTGCATGTTTTACAACTCTCACAGACACTTATATTCAAGATGTTAGCACTAGCCAGCTTGTGCCTCTTCTTCTAAGGTCTATGTCCCAAGCCAACGAGGCTCCTCGGAGTTGAGATACCTCATGGAAAAAGTAATACCTTCTCCTCGAAGGACAGTTTGAGCTCCATAAAGTACCGCTCTTCATTCCTAAATTTTCCACCCTCTTACCAACTTTTTCAGATCTAGGAGGGTACCTACTCCCTGCATTTGCCACCTCTGTAATACCTTAAGGTTATCTTCTTATCTTTGAAGTCATCTAGTTAATAATTTTATCTAATTGACACATTTTAAAATATTGATTTCTGTCTTTTAGAAGAATTGGTATGGTTTCTTTTTTCCTTTACTGAATGCTAAGTGATACACCCATCATCCTAGAGCTTGTTCTCACAACTAGAGACCAGAGTGGAGAATTAGACTTAGATCTGACTCACACTAATTCAGATGTTCTTTCACCCAAATGTTACTATGCTGATTATTGCAAAGACAGAGGATCTGGACTACTGATATTTGGAAGAAAAAGCAACCAGCCATTTGACATTGTAGTCAAAATGCTATCCATAGATAGACACCAGAATCTTAACTGCCAAACTGGTTCAACGGAAAATAAGAAAAAAGAAGAAAAAGAACATGAGAAGTAGATCAACAAAATAGGCTCATGTTAGAATCCCAGTTATAAGAATTGTCGTGCTTATGAATGAGTTAATATTCAGTGATTGTTTTTGAAGCTTTGGTGTACAAGTGAAATAAAATCATGTGCTCTGAAATGTGGCATTGCAGCAGATTAAACACCTGCCACTTAAATCAATATAATTGTGAAAACCTAGAATTGGAACTGTGAGTGCAAACTTCAAAGGAGGCAGAATCTCAAAGCTGGATGGTTTTTTAAATTAATAGATGTATTTTTTTAATGGAGATGGGAAACTCTGAAAATCTAAAAAGTAAGTTAAAAATAGCTTATATAAACCAAACCTCTTGTATTTTTAGTTTATTATATCTTTGAGTCAATTCTTACATGTAAAAAATATAGCCCCATCCCACAGAAAAACAGTTAAATTAAAAAACATCCTTTCATATAATGCAACAGGCAGCATGTTTGGTTAGAATAACTTAATTTAATAAATGTCATTTGCCAGTATTTTATATAGGCAAGAAAATGAGCAAGCAGCCAATATGAGACGTGCATCCTTTCACACTGAGAAGAGCTGGACAGCTAATTAAAAGAATGGAAAGGTCTTTTGAGGGTCTGTGACCAGTCACAGCCTTACAATTTTATCATGGAGGCGAATCTCCTAATTAGTACTTGCTGAATGAAATTGTTTCCTCTCATTTCTTTTCAGACTGCTTTGCTAATGGCAAGTTTTATTCATGACATACGTTGGAACATGCTTATTTAACTGCTCTTAGTGGTCTATTTATTTCTCCAATGTTAGAAGTTGAGTCTGTTTTATTTTTGAATCAACTACTGCTTAGCATAAAAATTTGCACATAGATTCCATTCACATTAGTTGAAATGTTGCTTTCTTTCTTTGCACTACTAATTAGCAAAAAGGAAGCTGCAAGGTAACATAATTTACTAAACTATTTAATTCTAAAGAAGAAAAAGTATATTCTAAAGATAATATTATGTTACTTAGTATCTGGCCTACAATCCATTCTCAGATCATTTTGGCTGACTGACAAGGCAAATCCTTGCCCAAGAATACAGTCATTTGACATGTTAATCATTAGTGTATACACAAAAATAATGTTCACATTTGAGCATATCTTTCCATGTGTAATTCTTTACATTTATATTTGAAAGTGTCCCTCTGCCTCAAATTAATTATATAAATTCACAATAATCACAGTTTAGAATTTGAGTTAAAATATTAGTAATTTGTGGCTATTACTCAAAAGAGAAAACATAGCAAGTGTTGGTGAGGATGTGAAGAAAAGGGAGCCACAACACGGTGTTGGTGAAAATGTAAATTATTGTAGCCATTATAAAAAACAGTAGAGAAGTTCCAAAAAAAAAAAAAACAGAACTATATATGATTCAGAAATCTCGTCACTGGGTATATATTGAAAGGAAATGAAATCAGTATGTTGAAGAAATACCTGAAGTCCCATATTTATTGTTACACTATTCACAGTAGTCAACACATGAAATTAACTTGTGTTCATCCAATGAACGAATAAAGAAAATGTGATATATAAACATTAAAGTACTATTCAGCCATTAAAAAATGGAATTTTGTCCTTTGCAACAACATAGATGAAACTGGAGGACATAGAGTTACGTGGAATAAGCCAGACATGGAATGACCAATGCCACATGTTCTCATTCATATGTGAAATCTAAAAAAATTACTCTCATAGAAGTAATAAATAGAACAGTAACTACCAGAGACTAGGGAGGGGCAGGTAGGGGAGATGCAAGAGGATGGTTAACGGGTACAAAGTTACAATTAAAAGGAAAGGATAAGTGTTCATTAGTCATGCATAGCAGGGTGATTATAGTAAAAATAAGGTATTTTATGTCTCAAACAGGTAAAAGAGTAGATTTTGTATGTTTCTACAAAAAAGAAATGATGAATGTTTTAAGTGATAGATGTGTGAGTTTTAACATTTGATTATTAGAAGATATGTATATGTATCCATATATCAAATTGTAACCCATAAATATGTATAATTATGTCAATTAATAAAATAAATGTTTGTGCTCTGTTCATTCATTTTCATGCTGTATTTCTATAAGAACGGGATCCACTATACATTTTATTTTTGCAATTGGATTTTTTAGTTTAAAATATAACTATTTTCCAGATTAATCACCATAGAACAAAATCATTTTGGAATATTAAGCATCTTTTAATTATATTTTTCTCTTTGATATAAAACTTACTCCAGTAAACCTACTAGAAACTGCAACTTATTATTAGTACTACATTTCCTTGATAAATTCATAGAATTAAAATTTCTAGGTCAAAGTGTTCTAAAATTTAATAGATACTACCAAACTTCATAAAGATTATCAATTTACTTTTTTATATATTTCTATAATATATTATATATATTATATATATATAGTTGTATATGCCAGGATGCTCCTATCTTTTCAGATTTTGGGAATGGTGATTTGCTCTATGACCTCAGTTCTTGAATGTATCCAGAAACAGTGAGCTTTTTCTTCTAAGAACAGGAAATTGTAAGCTCTTTACATGTTAAAGCTGAAACTAGAAATGAGCACATTTATTTATAAGGTGAAAATAAAAATAGTTAATGTCAGGAAGGTAACTGTAATAACACAGTAAACCACAGAAGCAAAAAGGAATTGTATTTAATTGGTCACTTATAATGTGGACAGATTTCACTAATGATTTATAAGCTTTATGTTTCATTCTGTTTACTGGCAAAATTAAAAATGCAAACTAGTTAATATCCAGAGTCCAGTGTTCTTTGAAGCGTCATTTTTATGTCCTTAGAAATCTGAAGGAGATTAAATGGAGAGTATTATAAATAATCATATATAAATATACATATATTTTCTAAATTGTGCTTAACACTCACTACTGGAGGGTTTTATTATTAATCTTGATTTAAAATATTTATTTCCCACTTGATTTATTGAATCAGAAAATGTAATTAAAACATTCAGAAGTGTGTTTAACATACTACATTGTCAGCTCATAAGTTCACTCCTTTACCTTGACATTTATCTTTTTGTGTATATTTCAAAATAACTTTCTATGTTTGAAAATCTCGTGCTTAAAGTAAGCTCAGTGTAAGCAAATAATATTTTAGAGAATTCTATAAATATGGTGGTTCCAATCACACCTATTATCTATTGTCTTTTACTAACAGATTAAAAGTAATTAGTGAAGTGTTATTTTCTTAAATAGCTAAACATTAAGCATTTAGCTCTAATTGTATCTTTTATGCAATAAGCATATAATGAATTTCTTTTCAAGGACAAGGCTTAGTGAAAATGAAAATTCAATTTCATAAATGTAATTAAAAATTAAAATTAAACTCAATTCAAATTTGTTTTTTAAAAATATAGTGTCTTATATAAAACAAGTAATTATATTTAATATAGAAACTATTTTCAGAATTACTCTGGATTTGTTAAGATGTAATAGGTATCAGGTATAGCTTAATATCAAAGGTTTACTTCTGCAATTCTAACATTCCTTGTCTTTCATTCCCAACATTATGTAGTTATTAGAAACAAGGGATTTTTGATAATGAAACACTTACATAAAAATTATGTGTTAAAATTTCTTTATTTTTACTTTTTCTTATTTCTTTGATTTATTATATTTTTTCTAGACCTGATTAGTTCTATAGAATGGAATTTTCTTCTTCTCCATTGTGCTACTGAAGAAAGGATCCATTGTTTTGTTTAGCCTTAGTAATTTATACTGTTTTCCTTTTGGCTAAGTTTGTAAGTGAGTACAAATATTTTGTGGGCTTCTTTTCTTAGGGAAAGGAAATTGATTCCTTGCTTCATGATTCCACTGAGCCTGGGTTGTCTTCCCTAGTAATATGGCACATAGAGATGGAAAGAAATAAATCTTAGGGCCTTTCAGTCCAATAAGTGACCACTAAATTATTTAATCAGGCTGTTAATGTACTCTTAGAATTTTTGAGTGATGGTATCTGCCACATGTGATTAAGAGACTATTATATTTTGTTTAAACTACTTTAAATATCATTTAGTTTGTTTACACATATAAGACATATGCCATTATTTTTGTGTTTATTTTGTTTTATCACTATCCCAACTCTGGAAAATGCTAGCGGCTTTGTTATAGAGACCATGGTCAAACTTTGAGTCTCTTTTGGGGCCAATTACTTTTACACTGTTTATAAACCTATTGAATTCAATCAACAAATTTATGAAACTGTGAATCATTAGAAAACTGGGTGAGTCAGATTGAAATTCTATTTTCAGTAGAAGAATGGGTTTCAGATGATTTCATTCTAGAGAAATGTAGAAATATCCTGAATTTGTGGTGTCTCATGAAAACTTATACAAGAATAATTCTGTCTGATAAGCTATGTGAGGCACACTGTTGAAATTCAGGAGGGTTATACAAGATCTACTCTGAACATGATGAGATTAATTTCAAAATCTATGATGTGATTACCCTATATATAATCTAACAAGGATATGTTGTAAAGCAAAGATTTTACTTTTGCAGTGCTAGATGTCAAAATGCTTACCCATATTTTATGGCTTCTCTTAGAATAAGAAACTCAGATATAAAAAATATTTTAGATATTTAGATGATGGCATTTGATATGAAGGTAAAGTACTCATTACAATATTAATTTTAAAATGTGATCATCTCAACAAAATTTTAAAATTACATGTTTTATCTTCTCCTGGTTCAAACATGTAAAGTTAGTTTTATGTCTGCTTTGAATATGGGGGTTCTAAATTTAACATGTCTTTTTCTCTTCCTAGAAATTAAGCACAAAATAAGAAACCCAAACAAAATTTAACTGGAACAAAATAAAACGCCCAGAGAAAATAAAAATATAAACCAAAATATCAAGAAAATGTGGTGGTAGAATAAGGAACATGAATTCAGTAAATAAATGCAGTTATAAGTGAATTCAGTAAAGTTACAGGATACAAAATCTTGTAGCATACAGAACTCTGTATTATTTTATTCACTAACAAGGACCTATGCAAAAAAAAAAAAAGAAATCAAGAAACTAATCATGTTTATCATAGCTACAAAAAAGAATAAATATGAATAAATTTAACGATGGAGGTGACAGATCTGTATGCTGAAAACTATAAGACATTTATGAAAAAAATTTAAGAAGACACAAATAAATGCAAACATCTCATGTTCATGAACTGGCAGAATAAATATTACTAAAGTATCAATACTGCCCAAAGTGATCTAAGATTCAGGGCAATCCCTATCAAAATTTCAATGACATTTTTCACAGAAGTGGTTAAAAACAATTCTCAAATTTATGAGACAACAAAAGATCCTGAAATAACCAAAGCAATCTGGAGCAAAAAGAATAAAGCTGGAGGTATTACACTGACTATCATAATCAAAACAGCATGGCACTGGCATTAAAACAGGCACAGAAAAATGGGACAGAATAGAGAGTCCAAAAATACACCCACATACTAAAGGTCAATTGATTAGGGACAAAGGTTCCAAAACACACAATGGGAAAATGACAATCTCTTTAATAAAAGGTGTTGGGAAAACTGCATAGCCACAAGTAAGAGAATGAAATTAGACCCATGCCTCATACTATACACACAAAAAAAACTCAAAATCGGTTAAAGACTTATACATAAAACCTGAAAAAGTAAAACTACGAGAGGAAAACAAAGTAGAAAATCTCCATAACATTGATCTGGGTAATGATTTTTTTTAATATGACGCTGCAAGCAATGACAACAACAGCAAAAATAAACAAGCAGGATTACATCAAACCACAAAGATTCTGCACTACCAGGGAAACAATCAACAGCATGAAGAAACAACGTAAAAAATGGGAGAAACTATTTGCAAACCATATATATGATGAAGGGTTAATATCCAAAATGTATAAGAAACTCAAATAACTCTAAATTAAAAAAATAAAAACCCAATTGAAAAATGGGCAAAGGACCTGAGTAAACATTTTTCCAAAGAAGGCATACAAATGGCCTTCTTTGTATATATATATATATACATATATATATATATATGTATATATACAAATATATATATATATATGTATATATATATATATATTTTTTTTTTTGAGACAGAGTCTTGCTCTGTCACCCAGGCTGGAGTGCAGTGGCACGATCTGGGTTCACTGCAAGCTCCACCTCCCGGGTTCACACCATTCTCCTGCCTCAGCCTCCTGAGTAGCTGGGACTACAGGCGCCCGCCACCATGCCCGGCTAATTTTTTTTGTATTTTTGGTAGAGACGGGGTTTCACCATGTTAGCCAGGATGGTCTCGATCTCCTGACCTTGTGATCTGCCCACTTGGGCCTCCCAACGGACATATATTTTTTAAATGCTCAACATCACCAATCATCAGGGAAATGCAGATTAAAACTATAATAAAGTATCACCTCACATCTGTTAAAATGGCTGTTATAAAAAGACAACAAATAAGAAGTTTTGATGAGCACATGGAAAAAAGGGAATCCTGATACACTGTTGGTTGGATGTAAATTACTACAACCATTACAGAAAACATTATGGAGGCTCCTCAAAATTAAAAATAGAATTATTATATGATCCAGTAATCCCACTTCTGGGTATATATACAAAGGGAATGAAGTCAGTATGTCAAAGAGATATCTGCACCTTCATTTTCATTTCAGCATTATTCATGATAATAAAGACAGGTAATCAAGCTATGTCTAGCAGCAGATGGATTTATAAAGAAAAAGTGATATATACATATATATATATATATGCACAATGTGATATATACACAATGTGATAAATACACATTGTGCATATATATATATGCACAATGGAATTCTATTCAGCCTTACCAAAGAAAGAGATTCTGTCATTTGCATCAGTATGGATGAACCAGAAAGATGTTAAGTAAAACAGCCAGGCACAGAAAGAAAAGTAAAACATAAATTTACTTATATGTGGCATCAAAAAGTAGAACTCACAGAACCAGAGTAGAATCATGGTTATCAGAGGCTAAGGGGTAGGAGGTTTGAGGAAATGATGGTCAATGAATACAAAATTTTAGTTAGATTAAAGGAATAAGTTCAAACAGTCAGAATGGCTATTATTAAAAACTCAAAAAAAAAAAAATAACAGATGCTGGCAAGGATGCAGAGAGAAGGGAATGTGTATATACTTTTAGTGAAAATGTAAATTAATTCAGCCACTATGGAAAGCTGTTTGGAGATTTCACAGAGAACTAAAACAAAACTACCATTTAACCCAGCAATTCCATTGTATTTATTATGGAAAATAAATTGTTCTACAAAAAAGATGTTAGTCACTGCACTATTCACAATATTAAACACCTGAAATCAATTTATGTGCCCATCTACATTGGATTGGATTAAAAACAGTGATACATATACATTACAGAATATGCAACCTTAAAAAAGAATAAAATCATGTCCTTTGCAGCAACATGGATGAAGGCGGAGGTTATCATCCTAAGTGGATTAATACAGAAACTGAAAACTGAATACTGCAAGTTTTCACTTAAAAGTGGGAGATATATTGAGTACACAATGAGTAACATTGAGGACACAGTGATATAAAGATAGGAACAGTAGTCACTGGGGACTATTAAATGAAGGAGGGAGAGAGGGAGACGTTGGCTGAAAAACTACCTATTGAGTACTGTATTAGTCCGTTTTTATGCTGCTGATAAAGACATACTCAAGACTGGGCAATTTACAAAAGAAAGAGGTTTAACGGACTTACAGTTCCACATGGCTGGGGAGCCCTCACAATCATGGCAGAAGGCAAGGAGAAGCAAGTCACCTCTGACATGGATGGCACCAGGCAAAGAGCGAGCTTGTGCAGGGAAACTCCAATTTTTAAAACCATCAGATCTTGTGAGAATCATTCACTATCATGAGAACATCATGAGAAAGACCCTCCCTCATAATTCAATCACCTCCCATTGGGTTCCTCCCATGACATGTAGGAATTGTGGGAGTTACAATTCAAGATGAGATTTGGGTGGGGACAAGCCAAACTGTATCAGCTACTCTGCTCACTACCTGGGTGATGGGATTATCTGTACCCCAATACTCAGCATCACACAATATACCTATGTAATAAACCTGCACTTATACCCCTGAATTTAGGATAAAAGTTGAAATTGTTTAATATATACATGCAATAATATTAAAGTCTACCATATTTCCACATATTCTGTTTAAATCCCAAATTTTGTTTCACAATTTGACAGGATCTTTTGTTTTTACTTATAATTCTTCATAAAACATAATTTAATACTTACCTAATTACAGAAACTTCTTTTCATTTGAAAACCCTTGAAACTGTACAGTAGCATTAGAAAGTAGCTTCATATTTTTTTATTTCAACAGAGAAAAAAATTCAGCATTTGTTAGAAATGTAAGTTGCAAATATAGTTTTTGTGCAACTATGTATTCAATAGCATATTTTCAGTTCTGTCTGTTTGGATATGTAATGTAAATCTATAGGTTTTAGACACATTTGTGTAACATATATTTTGTAGATGTGATATAGGCCAGTATTTCTCAATCATATTTTCTACATGTGTTTGTTAACTCTGTTTTCATGAGTACACATTTTTAGATAACCAAAGTCTCCAAATAGTCTATTTGTAGTTGTTTTAAGTTGCTCAATGGTTGCTTAATAAATTTGGAAAATTTTTTTGGCTCTAACAAAACAAATAAAATATAATTTTTACTAAAATTGTTCATAATAAAATGAAATAGGTGAAAATAATGAAATCAGTAGACTCTGTTTTAACATCTTGCATTACTTTATAATATTTAGTTAAAAATATTATTTTTACATACTAAATATAGGATAAGAGAACAAGAGGTAGTATCTACCACAATTTCTGACACTAATTTTTTAATAGTAAATAAATAGCATTTTTGTTTTTGTTTGGGGAGAGGGTTTGTCAGCATTTGATTATTAATATATACATACATTTAAGAGTGTCATTTGATCATTGAACTAAAAGACACTACTTGAAACTCTGTAAAATAATTCCCTAAAACTTCCTAAAATACTATCTTCAAAGTAGAGATATGGAGTTAATTTCACTTTCTAACATGCCTGCAAGTTAAAAGCCATGAGTACTGTGTGCAAATTACCATAAATCAAAGTTGGCTACAACACATTTTAAAGTATAAACTGACATAGTAAATAGTTTTTTTTAAACTCTATATTCAATGTTATATCTAAGGATTTGAAAATAAGAGTAAATATCTCACTGAAGAAATTCCTCTTTGATATAAACCTGAAGTTACTTCTTTTCCCTTCACTGCACTGAGACCTTATCTCCTGGGAAGCTCATTCTAAAACTAGAGTCACAATTCCTGTCAAAGCTTCGTAATAAGTAAGTAGGATCAAACATCTTGGGGAACTATAATCCATTATTTCAATGATTATGAACAGTTTTATTGCCAAGGGAATAGCAGGAAAGTGTTTGCTGATTTTTTTTTTAGTATAACAAATTCACTAAGTTACTGTAAGCTTTGGTAGAAAAGAACAAAGAGATATCCTAAATATATCAGCTGTTAATGTTTTCTAATTCAATCAGAAGACTATTCTGTTACTTACTAATGGCATTTTTGAAAATACATTTTTAACATTAATTTATGCTATGTAAAATTTTAAAATCATAAAAATTACCTCTATAAAGCTTAAGTACCAAATCTTTATGTATTACATCATATTTTTGAATGCTGTTAAGATAACTTCATGATTTCATCCATGCCATGTACCTTGGAGGTTTCATGGCAATAGCTACATCATTTGAAATTCATAAAGAAGTTTCACTTAGATTCTTCTTTATTTGTTACATATGATAGCTATTATTAAATCTAAAATGGGAAGATATTTCCTTCTTTTTAAAATTTCAGGTTGACTAAGATTTTCAAAAAGTTTGCAAGTACACTGTTGCCAGAATGTAAATAAGCTATCATGCTCAAATAGCTTTTTGGAAAATTTAATTGTTATAGCATTTATGGATGATAGTTTGGTCCTATATATCAACATATATATGCATAAATAACTTATACAAGAAATTACCCATTCAGGACTTCATCCTACAAGTGCACTTGCCCATATGTCAAAATAACTGTATAAGAGTATTTATTAAGGCCCTGCTTATGATAGCTAGATTGGAAACACTGCAAATATGCATCAGTTTTAGATACTTAAATGGGCTATACTGTAGTCATACAATGGAATGCTTATGCAGCAATTTTACAGTGAATTTGACATTTTTTATGGGGAAGAAACTCTCCTCAAAGTATATTAAATATTATAAATTTAAGGTAGTAAATATAGGCAAGATAGAAAATAAAATAATACGCAGAATAGGAATTTATATATAGAAAGAATTCCTATTATGTGTCTTTTCTAGCAACTATTATTTTCTATGGAGGTGAATGAGGCAGCATAGGAAGGGGATGTGCTTTGCAGTCACACCTAATAAGTTAAGTGAAATATTTCTTCTGTAAGAAAGGTTGGCTGGTGTCCTTCTTTGTAAGCTAGGAATAATAACACTTCATTGAATTTTTAAAATCCAATATGCACATAAAGTTATTAGCACACATGAGGCATTTATATATTAAACCCACCTATATATATATATACTTACATATAAAATGTGGGTGTATGCATACATATTATATAAATACCAAAAATATATGCAAAATATTAAGTTGATCATAAATTAATGTAGTTAATATACATGACACTAAAGTAATTGAAAAACAAGGACATGAAAATATATGGTCAATACACATTTTAACGTTCTATAAAACATGTATCATAAGATGATTTTTAGTATAAAAAATTAGCAAATCATCATATTCATCCCTGCTGACACAATTTACATTTTTAGGAAAATAACCACATGAAATATATCTCTATGACGCAGTGCATGCACATGTACCATGAAGCAAGCATTAAAAAAAATGCCTGGGAATAAGAAAAAGACAATTTTACAAATTTAAAAAATTGTTATTTGTATAGTCACTTCACGATTCTTTTTTAAAATTTTTCTGTCACAAAAATTTTAATACAAGTATCTTTTCTAATATTTCTAATATATTTACGTATATCTATAGGTGCCTATCTATCTATATATGATGTATAGTTTTTCTAATAATTGAATCTCAAATTGCTTAAACAAACCAATAAGGACAGTTTGCTATAATTTAAATTTCTTCCAGCTTCATAACCTCTAACTGGGCCTGAACATGCAAATTCCTTATATACATTTTAGTTTTAGTTCCAGGGATGGGGGTGTGTGTTTGTGTGTGTGTGTGTGTGTGTGTATGTGTGTGTGTGTGTGTGTGACAGAGAGAGAGAGAGACAGGGAGAAACATAGAGAAAGGGATTGAAATGACACTCTGGGTTCACAAAGATGAGAATGAAGAAATCAAGATAACCTATGCTAAGTGCCAAGTAAAGATTTAAACTGAAATTCATCCCGTACTAGTAACATAAATGGGAAAAATGTGATCCTTCTTTCATGATCCCCAAAGAAAATGGGAGAGATGTGGGCTCCATTAGCAGATGGAATATCAATAGAATTTCTTTTAAGGATCAATATACTTTAGTTAATCTGTAGATGAATGCTGTTATTTTTCTATAGTGAATGATTTGAAAAAGAAAAAAATTCCTTTTTTTGCCTGATTATTCTCTTCTGACATCACCCAAATAACCAGAAATGTTCAAAAGAACTACTTGTTGGCATTTAATATCTCTTAAAATGATACTTCTATGGTAAATGGCAGAAGGGATATTTGTGTCATAATATTAATATAAAATTATTTTGAGGTGACACTTTACACAAAAAAGTTGTGCAAAATTGACCAAAAACATTATTTTTATCCATTTTATGAATTAGGGTTTTAGAATACAAAAAAAACCCATAGTGATAAAAATTAAAATAAAAAACGACAGCTGTTAAAATAATTTATTTCACAAGAATATGCATATTTAGCATTTCTGCCATATAAAGCATTTTTGGTGATATTTTTCCACCCAAGTTATTTGTATAAAAAAGAATGAGGTTTGTTACATTAAGAGCACTGCAGTGACAAATTGGGAAAATCTGCCTGCTATATTAGCACATTTTTATTAATGTTATCTAACTTGAGAATTTGATTAGCATCACTAGAGAAATTAAATTTGGATGAACATTTACAAGGCAAGGGAAGAGTAGGAGAAAATTAAAAAAATAAGAACCACTTCACAATTGAACTTAAATTTCTGGGATCAATTTCAAGGTTACCTTAAATAATACATTTAGTGTCCACTTTTCTAAGCTAATATGTCAGAAGAATTATTAGCTAATTCATGTTTAATAATAGTATTTTAAAACTCTGATATATAATAATTTGTACAGTATATATGGTGGTAACATTGTTATTAATACAAAAGTCAGTGAGGCTAAAAATAATAAATACATGTCTGTAAAAACAGTATGGATTTTTAAAAAATTCTTGTGATTCAAGAACTATTATTAGTCAAAACATTTTATTTAGGCTTCCTCTGACTTATTTACACCATAATATTTATATTATTCATGCATGAATATTAACAAAATAAAGTATTTATGTCAGCAACACATTCATATTTAACTTTAATTGGAAGTATTTTTACTTCCCCAGGTTTTAGTGTCATTGGTTTTCATAAATATAAATTTCTTTTAAATTATTGAATTTATATATTTATTTTCATTATCCAATTCACATTTTTTTGGGAAAACCTTTTTAATCATTTTAGAATATTTGGAAAGAAAATTGTATCTGAAAGAACAAAATAAAATAAAAACATTAAAAACTGTGTAAACAAAACAAAGGAACTATTTCATCCTATGGAACAACTTTAATCTGTTTTTGGAGCACAGAATTTCAACAATTTTACAATACTTAGCATATTTATTATTGTAAAATTTTATTCCTGTGCTAAAATTTTAGCAGTTATAAGAGCTACTCTGATATTTCTCCCTGATCTTTCCTTAACTTTTCAACTACATTATTCAAAATTTATTAAATACCCATGATTTCCAGCATTAGGTTGCTTATTTTTGAAACAGTGAAAACTGTACAATAGCAAAACCTGCTTTTTCCTACTGTACATTTATGGTCTTGTTTATTAAAAGTGTACTCTTCGTAGAAACCCAAATAAAACTAAGGGGCTCTCAAGGGAGATGCTTTTAAGTCAGAATATCTTGGTCTATCAATTTCTTTAGTGAGTATTATGTAAAACGGAATTTCAAAACCATTAAGTGTAGTCAAATTTTGAAGAATTCTTAATTGAGATTCACGGCGTATATAAAAAAGTTCATGAATTTCAGTACTGCCAGATTTGTTATATTATTTTAAATATTGCTTATCAGGTGATCAGGTGCTAATGACCTATGATGGTTATAATCATTTTCATGCTGAAGAAAAAACACACAATGGATAATTTCATAGTGAAATATTCATCATGAGATAAAAGCATATTTCTTTTGAAAAATCAGTAAAATTAGAAGGCAAAATTAAAAAAAAAATATTCTATTTTAAAGGTTTACATTATGGAGTATAAATGAAATCATTCTTGTAATATAAAGTGGATCTATAATCAACAAGTGTTACTTAAGTTATTTATAAAGTAAATAATTTACATTATGGAGTATAAATGAAATCATTCTTATAAAGTGGATCTATAATCAAGAAGTGTTACTTAAGTTATTTATAAAGTAAATAATTACAGATGTACCTTTATTTTTCACTTCTTTGTTTTAATTAAAGCATCCTTTATGTAATGTTATGAGAAGAGATATCTTACCTTCTTGACATAAGTACTATTTCAAAGAATCTTTGACTATAGCATAGTTTCTTAAGATTTACAAGGATTAACAGTGTAAAATATTTTAACATCATGGTACAAAAGTCCCTTACTTGAGGCCATCTCAAATGCACTTTCCCTGTTCTGACCTTTTTTTTTTTTTTTTCATCTAACTGAAACTGAAAGAAGAGCGTGGGTTGGTAGCCTCTGGGAAGTATTACGTAATATTACTACCAGTCTCAGGTCATGATTCAGTACCAATAGCAGGTCATTTCTTCAGAAAATCATTTGGACTGGGTAGTTCCCTAGCAACAAAGGCCATAGCAACACCAAAGAAGACATCAGTAAGGTGAGCCTTCTCAGGGAACTTTGATTGATATTACAGAATCTGTATTGCCTGTGGGAATAAGACTCCTAACAGTGGCTATGACCTTTATCATCTTCTTTCTTGATTTTTCTTTGAGTCATTACAGCTGCTTTTCCACGGAGAGGAAACCTATGTCGGTGGGATCTTGAGATGAGATGTTTGCCCTGAGATATAGAAAACAGGAAAATAAAGTTCAGCAAAATGCAGAAATAAGGCTTTGTTAGTTCTTAGAAGCAAAGGGCTTGATTTGGGACTATATACATACTTGCTTCCCAGGGACTTTCTGAATTTTCTGTTTGTTGGTTTTAAACCAAGAAAATAAACTTGGTAATACATTCATATTGGTAACTACCAATTAATTATTAATAACAATTATTTTATTAAGTTTAATTTTAAAATAATTGATTTTGAATAGCTTATAAGGGAAAAATACAAACATTACTTGAGAGATGAGTTGACTAAGTTAATTCCCAAACTCATTTTACAGTAAATATGTGGCATTTCAACATATATTATATTTTCACACTTTCCTTTTGGTTTTAGATTAAGAACAAAGCCATAAATATTCTCCATGATTGCAAATTTGCCAAGCTTTGGGTCTGCAATTCTTATGTGGGAAATTAGTTAACTTTTATCAATTATGCCACCCCTTTTAGATAAACATTTAAATATAATTCAGATAAACATTCTTTCTCAATTGAAAGCAGCATTCTCAGTTTCCTTTGTAAACTATGGAATACATATAGCTATTCGTAGTAGAAACTTCTTGGTGACCAATTCAATAGAGTTTCAACTATTTTCCTCACCGTTACTGCACTATTGTGGTTGAAAATCTAACTAATTGCTTCCCCATGCTCCCTATGCATTGCACTTCTGACCACTAAAATGTAACCAGAGGTAGAGTGTATGCTTCTGCTAACAATTTATGTTTTTCTTGATAAAAGAGAATGGTTACTACTGGCACAAACACCACCACACTGCCTTTTTACACAAACACCACCACACTGCCTTTTTACACAAACACCACCACACTGCCTTTTTACCCTCTGCTATCTTTTTTTTTTTTTTTTTTAGGCAGAGTCTGTCTTTGTCGCCCAGGCTGGACTGCAGTGGCGCGATCTCTGCTCACTGCAAGCTCCCCTTCCCGGGTTCACGCCATTCTCCTGCCTCAGCCTCTCCAAGTAGCTGGGACTACAGGCGCCCGCCACCACGCCCGGCTAATTTTTTGTATTTTTAATAGAGACGGGGTTTCACCGTGGTCTCGATCTCCTGACCTCGTGATCCGCCCGCTTCTGCTTCCCAAAGTGCTGGGATTACAAGCGTGAGCCATTGCGGCCCGCCAATCTTCTTGCATGAAGGTGCAGCAAAGGTCTTGAGTCCCTGAGGCAGAGACACAGGGGCTGCCCTAATGCTGGCACTGCTGAGCAGCTAACCCAATATCAACACTGATTTCTTCTTAACAAGGGAAACAATGTGCAATTTAAGTTTCTCAATACTTGATGCTCCTCACTTGAAGGCTAAATCTGCTTTATTAATTCAACATAACTATTTGGTTTATAAAGAATTATTGTCTTATTTTTTCCTGAATATTTGTTTATTCTTCTTGCATAAATGGTCATTTGAGAAAAGAATTGTAGTTTCCTTCGGTTTTTCTAAAGAGCAATGTACAGGATTAGACGTTTGGCAAATGTAGTAAATAGCTTCATATTAGTTACTCTGTGCAGGGTTTCTTCATCTCAACATTATTAACATTTGTTGGTGGAGAAGTCTTTATTAAGATGGGGTAGAGGAGCTGTCCTGTGCATTGTAGAATCTTCTTAGGAGCGTTCTTGGTATTTACTCACCATGTGCCAGTAGCATTCCCCTCCCAGTTTAACAATCACAATGTCTCCAGACACTGCCAAATATCCTCTGGGGGCAAAATTAGTCAGTCAGGTTGAGAACCACTATTCTAAAGCATTTAAGTGAGACAAATTTAAAGTGTGGAAATTCACCATCATGTTTTCATTATTTACTTGTGTTTTACATACTTTCTGTATAGGAGTTGCAGTGCATATATTTCATTTTTATTTATGAAAATGCTTTTCAAGAAATGACATGAAGTAAACTTTAAATAAAACTTGCAAAGATTGATATTGGAAATACTGTAGAGTAAGACTTTGTTTATGTAATGTGAAAACCACAGGTTAAGTTAGTTAAAAGAAAACAGTGAAAAAACATAACAAATAGATGTTTAGCATTACATAACATTCAGAGGTCACAAACTTATAACCTCCAATGGCGTCGATGACCAAATAGGAAAAGGAAATCTATGAAGCAACTTTAGAATTTCCAAAAAGAGAAATTAGCTGTGGTCGGTTGTGTTAAAGGTGAATATAAACACTTTATTACAGCTGCAGTCATTTAAATTCGAAGAGTTGTAAACATTTGACAAGTAAAAGAAAAGATAGGTTTAGGCATATCAGCTGCTGTTTTGCAACCCCTAAATAATTTTGTCTACAGGGGACCAAATCATTTCATGTTCCACCACCGGATGCATCAGCATAAAACGTCAACCTTCCATGTTGTCTTTGAGTTGGCTCCCCTGCACGTTCAATATATTTAAATTGTGTTTTAAACTTGGTACCAGGACAAGGACTCTCTTTTACATACTCGGCTGAGTTTTGGTCAGAGACAGGCAAAAATTCTTAAACCAACCCCACTATTATTCTACTCCACTTCAAAGAAAATTAAGATGCTTATCTGGCAGATGATTTAAAGTAGCTGATAGAGATGATTGCTTGAGGCCAGGAGTTTGAGACCAGCCTGGGAAACGAGAATAATGAGACCCTTTCTCTAAAAATAACTTGAAAAGTAGCCGAGCATGGTGGTGTGGGCCTACAGGCCCACTCCTAGCTACTCAGGAGGCGGAGGTGGGAAGATTGCCCTAGCTCAGGAATTTGAAGCTGCAGTGAGCTATGGTGATGCCAGTGCATGCCAGCCTCAGTGACAGAGCAAGACCCTGTTTCTAAAAACAAATAAATAAAGTGGCTATTGGTTATTCATTTTTTCTTCTAACATTTAAAAATTATCCATTATCTCTTTGGAATCTAGACATCAGATTCTGAGGTTACAAAGAATAATGATAAATATTTTTGGCCTTAAGGCTCCCATTATCAAGTAAAAGTGATGAATAGAGAGAATTGTATTATGTGATATTATATGATAATAGTGGAAATATTCCTAAAAATGATAAGAATTTGGTAAAAACTAGCTCATTCGTTCATTAATTTTTATTTGTTCAAATGCATATAGTGTTATTAGTTGTAAGAAGCTCATTCAGAGGTCAGACAAAAAATATACAAAATGATTTGGAGATAAATTCTGAAATAAAACCATTTTGAAAATCAGCAAGATTCTGTGAAAAATAAATTCCTTTTAATAAATCACTTAAGCAAATAATATTAACCATAAACAACTCAAATTGACCAATATGGACATATTTCAATTTTATTACTATGCAAAGTAAGGGTTTTAAAACAACTAAAATCAATGATGTGGTTAGCTTCCTTGTCTATCTTCATCCATTGTCAGGAGAAACTTATGAGGATAAGTTAATGACTTTAATTTAAACATTAAATTAAATTAATGATATTAATAATTAATATTAAATTAATTAAATTCTATTAAAATTTGACTTCTAACAGGAATAGGCAAATATGAAACTGCACAGGACAGAAGTGCATTTTATACATTTAAGCTTCTATTTTACTATTAACCCCTTAAATTGAATGTTTATTTTTACAAATCAGCCAGATTGGCTCCTCTGCTATGGACTCTTAAGATCCCTATTGTTGAAAGATCATCGGAACCACAGCTTTTCTTTCCTTATTTTTTTTTATTAGTATAGCTTCTGTTGACTCCAAGAAAATAAGTCGTGTCCCCCTATACTTTTGATGCCATAATTGCAGACATTCTTGGTGCCCAATTCGTATCTCTTTAGAATTCACTATTCCAGTGCCTGCCTGTATTTGGGGGATATATATCCCAGCTTTTTCCTTTTTTAGGCAGAATAATGTTGAAGCATCTTATACATGTCTGCCAAATGTTCACATTAAGGTAAAGCTTCAGTTTCATACAGCGGTGATCTGTTAATAACATATCCTTCATTGGCTTTGTTCCCTTCCCTGGCGCCTTCCCGAAGTCCGTTTAGTGCTTCCTGAAGTCTCCATTCAAATAAATTCTTTGATTCAGGAATTTGATATAAGTAAAGATATAACACTTTATTATTCTGTAAGAAAATATGAGCATTTCATTAAACCTACATTCTATTTTTCTACATGAGAATCATAGCTTATAAATTATGATTTATAAAGTGATTCTGAGTGATGATTACTTATAAATCTTGCATTCTGAGATGGGGATATTATAATAATAATAGTAAAATATTCAGCTAACATGAGCACAAAGCAACACATTAAAGTGTTGTAAGTGGTAAACAATAATTTAAGCATTCATAAAAGAAGAGGAAACTTCTGAATGGAGCATCCAGAAAATCAGGGAAATATTAATTCATTACTTTATTCAACATTTGTTTAATATTTCATATGAGTCAGGCACAAAGGAGGTGTGAATAAAAAGATGATATATAATGAAGTCATTTTCCTCTTTTATGTGTGTCACAAACTGGCAACTTTGTTTCAGGATGCACATGCATATATTTAAATATATTTTTATGATTCATTTAACAGAAATCACTCATTTGACAAGTTAAAGAGAAAGGGACAGGGCAGAGCAGAGACACAGGAATAAGAAAGGGACAATGAGTAACTTTATAATTTATCAAGATAAGAAATTCAGCATCTCATTTTTGAACTACAGCCAAAGCACTAAGATGACTTTTTAACTTATAAGTCAAAAGACCTGCTAGCATTTTCAAAGAGTCATGGGACTGCAGAGAAAATAAATTTGCTGCTGTGTTTTTTTTCAAAATAAAGAGTAATATGGATCTTAGATATTTTACCATCACTAAATCACATAAACCTGCAAAAACTAAAGGTAAGAAAAAGAGCCCTCTCTAGTGAATTTCACAGCAGGATTGGCTAATTTACATCCCCTCTAACAAAGTTAAAATTTGAAAGAAAAAGAGATAGCTGAATATAAAGCAAAGCTGGGATCAGTAGTTAGGAAAACACTAGTGTGGTGAGTGAATCCTATAATTTTCAGTGATTTAATTAAACATGAATACAATCCCTTTTAGAACAAGTTGTATGAACCAGGTCAAATTATTTGAAACCTGAACTTTCAGGTTTCAAATAATTGATTAATCTTAGATGTATTCCATGAAGACTGGCAATAGTATTTCTGGATCCCCAAAGTTCTCAGACCTATCAAAATGGAACACATTAAATCAGAACTATTAAATCTTTTAGTGACATTTAATTTCTCTTCATGATTTGGGCAGTTCTTATTTTACACCTCTGATCAGATATCATCAAAGGTAGTAATTCCAGCTATTCTTTTGTTTTAAACTTCGGCTTATTTATTTTTAAAATGCTAATAATAGGATCATTCAAAGTTGTTCTCTTGGATATTAGATATGCTTTAAAATTACATAAAGTTCTCAGCCAAAAATAGTAATAATAATGATGATTATTATAACAATGCATATTTGCTAGGATTTAATACCTTCAAAGTACTGCATGACATAATTAGAAACTGTATACTTTATGATATTTCAGTAGAACATTTCTTGGTATAATTTAAGATATTACACTTTTTTAAAGTTTTCCATCTTTTACACTGACCTCCTCTCTAATTTTGTTATTTTCTTTGGTAGTTCCTGTTTATTTATTGATAGATATCATCTAGTCAGAATGTGTATCTCATAATAAAGAGAAATTACATGCAGTAGGGAATATGAAAGCACCTAAAATATTTATAACGTCCTTTGGTTGCTTTGCAATTTTTTTTTTTATATTTGAATCAGTTTATTTCTTGGTAATTACTAAACCATAGTTGGGAGGTGTTAGAATTTTGAGGACAAGGTTTGAGAAGTGTTATCCTATATAAGGTACTATTTAAAATTATTAAAATCCTAAATTAAGAGGAAAATAAAACCCTAACTTGGTAAAATTCTATTTTAAGCTGTATTTCTCACCAATATTAGTTTTTACTATTACTTTTGAAGAGGATGATAAAATTATTTTATTTTATTTTATTTTATTTTATTTTACTTATTATTATTATTATTATACTTTAAGTTTAGGGTACATGTGCTTTGCAATATTTTTAAACGTCGTATGTTTTTAGATTTTAGGTATTGTGACATATGTTAACACAATGAGATATCTAAAATGGTGTGTTTTTCCATAATGATACCATCACATAAACTCCAAAAAGGGCAAAGTGGATTCGAGGTGCAACAGTGAGTGCTATGTATTAAAATTCATCAAAAATTATTTGCTTTAAACCGATTTTAATAGAGAAGTCAACTCTCAGAAGACTTCTGAGGCTCTTGCATTTAAATGTCAAGTCAGGCTGCTAAATGCAAGTTCGTGTGGGCATTTGGGAATTTAAATGAACAATTCAAGAGAGTAAACACTTAGCCTCAGTATTGACTGATAATGAATATAGCTGAAAAAAAGTAAGAGGAGGGAACCCTGCATACCTTTTGTCTTTAATGGCATGATTGAGTGACAGGATTGCACATTGTCACGGTAACACAAATGCTGCCCTGTAGTCATTGACCTCAATCCAAACACACCATAGTGAACCACATTTTCAGACAAGTTGTTGATTATACCATTAGTTATTTTCAAGGCTTGTTAGTTCAAATACTGTTGATTGCGTTTAGATGGGCTGCTTGGCTTCCTAGCAGTATACTTAAAAAAGCTTTTTTTTTTTTTACTAGATAGGCATTCTTTATTAAGGTGAAAAATTCATTCAGGTTTTACTTCTCTACTCAGGATCAGTCAATATTCCTTGAAACTGAGAGAGTAAAATGATATTACAGTACTGCATGTTTCAAGTTGTATTATGGGGTGTATGTGTGTGTGTGTATAGAGGGAGAGAGAGAGAGAGAGAGGAAATATGGCCAATTAAATCTATAATTTATACCACAACTTTGGTTCTAAGAATTATTGCGTGTTTGAGAAACATATTTTAATATAGTATGAAAACATGATATCAATAGTTGGTTTTTATTTTAGAGTTTTTTTATTTTGAGAATTTTTACACCTACAAAAATATTAAACACTTGTATATCCTTCTCACAGATTCATAAATTGTTAACAATTTACCAGATTTTTCTACATTTTGTCTCTATCCACATATTATTTATTCTTCTTGCTGAAAAATTTGAGAGTAAGTTTCATACTTTATTATACTTCACTGTTTAATTCTTTAGAATACATTCCTCCATTACCCTACTACTATGATCATTCCCAAGAAATGTACCACTATAAATATATATAATTGTTCACTATATAGTAAAAAATGTATGTATCTATACATAGCACATATATTTATTTTAATTTTTAAGTTCCATGGTACATGTGCAGCATGTGTAGGTTTGTTACATAGGTAAACATGCGCCATGGATATTTTTCTTTTTTAATGTTATTTATGACTATGACAATATTTTAGAGTCCGGGACAATGACCTTATTGGTGATATATGTAATCTTCTTTTATTGTTTAGGCATTACAGTCAGGATACACAGAGACACAGAGACACAGAGACACACAGACACACACACACACACACACACACACACACACACGTTTTTTAAAAGAATATCCTATACAAAGTGTGGATTTTTCTTTGCATCACATCAGAGGGGACATGAATATCAGAAAGTTCCTAGTATTGGCATGCTAATTTTGATCACTTTTTTAAGGTGATATCCACTGATCTGTCAATTTGAAGATATCATTTTACTCTTATAATTAATATGTGATTTATAGATGGTGATATTATTGAGTCATTTTATCTAAGTTTTCACATTTATTTGCATAGAGCTGCTTAAACTAAACTTTTTATTCCATTTGTAAATTTTCATCGTTAAAAATATTAACAGTATAAGTTTTCCTCACACCACTCCCTTAAATGCTTCTAATAAATTCTGATATGTAGTTTTTGATTTTTATCTTTTGTCAGAAATTCTGCAATTTCAGTTTATATTTACATTACTTCTAGGAGTAACTTAGTAAAGATATCACAAATTTCAAAGAGAAAGAATTGTTTTTCTTTTGTTACTAATACAGAGTTTATGGCCTTGTGATCATGTTATTTTTAATGTTTATAATTGTAAAACTTGCTTAGGATTTTCTTAGGTGACAGAATGTATATTCAATTTTCAGGACTGATTCAGATGAAATTGATTGAAACACAAGAAATGAAAGTATTTCAAATAAGATGAGGAGAAAATGAGCAAGATGGTGTATGTACACATAACAGATTTACCATTTTCCCTCCAGGAAGAGGGATTCTTATAGAGATGGTATTATAGGGTTATAAGAATATGACTGTCTCCTGGTTACGAAGTTCTTTTGGAGTTTTGACAAAAGGTTTCTGTCTGTTATCATGGCATTATTTATCTATAACATATGGAAAACACATATTTACAATTTATGTGACAAAATTTTGTCCTCACCTTGTATGAGCCCATATCTGGAACAGGAGGAATGACCTAACCAAAGAATATGGTTAATGCCTCTGTTATGCCAGAATATGTAGATGCCAGATTTTTGTCATGTAAATGTCATAATACTAAGGTCATACCTAAATATTGAATTGATGGGATTGACCAAATTTTTCTATAGTTCTCAAACACTTTGACTCGAATGTATTTGATTGTTTTTATAGTGAAAAACAGAATAGTTGAAAAATGATTTCAGAGACTGAAAGAAAAGCAAGGGATAATAATATACATTGTAATCAATATGATATATTCTTAGCAACCAGGTATTCTGGTAATCTATTTCTGAAATGGTAAGCTTCACTATGACACTGTCAAATAATCTGGCCTCTCAAATCTGAATATATGATAGTTTAAAAAAATAACAATTTTTAATGAAGTCATTGATATTAAAAATGAGCAACAATAGAGTTTTTGGTATCATGTGGCCATTCAAGTTAATTATTCATGAAAAATGTACTTTGCCAAGTGATATAAATGATTCAAGCCAGGTGGCTGCCCAGGAAACTTTAGTATATCTGACTAGCCAATTTTCATGAAAAGCACATGTTTTATTATTAGTTTTACTGATTTTGTAAATTCACTTTAAATAATAACAGTGTCTCGTGCTTATATTTTCTTCCAAAACTACATAGGCTATTACTTCTGAGAAATCAAATGGCACTGTGCCATCTATAATGCAAATATAATAGCATGACCATACCAACAAATCTAAATAAATTTCATATTAATAAATTAATTTAAATATAAATATAATTCATTTAAAAATTAATAAATTGATACTGTTTATTCAGGGTCTTTACTTGCATTTAACAGATTGCAGGGAGTTTTCCAAGAGATGCGTGTTTCTACTATCCAACAATTATTAATGGGTTGAAATTAGAATGCTGTTTAATGAAAAAAATTAAAATCATATTGTATCTTTATATATAATACACTGATTTAGTAATAATATAAACAAAGTCTTCAAATTCACCATTATTGGTAACACCACATTATTAGTCACAGAAAGATAATTTAAATATGATAAATATAAATTATTCAAGAAAAAAGTACAATGGGAAAGACCAGCTCCTCCTTTGAAGCTGGGTAAATAAATCCCTCACTTTAGCATTTCCCAGATGATATCCAAGGCTCCATAAGTCTGAAATCAATTTTACAATATGGCAATATTCGTGACAACACAATTGTTTGGGGAATACCCTTACTGAAACTTTGGTCACAGTTATTCAGTATGGTTCATCTCTGTCAGTGAATCTTGACCGTTCTGGGGAAATTTCTTTGAATTATTTCCCCAAAGCCATGAGATCACAAGTGTAAGGATGAGAGTTATATTCTTCTAAGTAACAAGAGAGTGAAAGGACCTGTGGGTGGCTCCATTGTCTGCTTAATCTACCAACTAATTACACAGAGGATTTTAGATAAAATGAGAAGTTCATGTAACCAATAACTTAGAGATTTGTATGGATGATTTGAACATTGGGAAATCAGTTTATGTTGGGGAACTTTACATGAAGTAAAAAAGACAGTAGGAAATACAAAGTATTATTCACGCTCTTCAGTTGTAGAGGGTAAAAGAGCTTTAAAACTCAAGTATATGTAACAATATATATGTAACTGTTTAACACATATACATAAAAACAAACTAGTAGAGGTGGGATTGTGGTGAGCAAAGTGACTAGAGCAATGTAACTCCCTTCCACCCACCTTCAAAGTCTCAGGAACATTATGAAGTGAAGAAATGAGAAGAGGTTCTCAAATCATTTATTAAGATATTAGAGGTAAAGATAGCCATGGAAGATTTGAGCACATGGAGATGTTTGAGATATAAGTGACTTTAAAAGCATTTACTTGTGCTGAAAATAATTTTTAATATGAAAACATTTATTGAATGAGCATAATATCATATAAGTCATCATGTGAGGTACATATTTGTGTTAAGGACCAAAACAAACTGCATTGTCCAATGAGTCAGAAGTATTCTCTCTTTCTCTCTCTCTCTCACACACACACACATTCACACACACATACACAACACAGATTTTCTCAAAAAAAACTTGTAAAATTAAGTTAACATGAGAAGACTTCCTTTTGACTTTTTAATAGGCTTTAGTTTTTAGAGCAATTTTAATTTCATAGTAATATGGAACAAAAGGTGCAGAGATTTCCCGTATAACCCCTAGCCCCCATATGCACAGCTTCCCCACTTATCAACATTTCTCAGTAGACTGCTAGATTTGTTACAATTGATGAACCTACAATGATATATTATTATCACCCAGAGTCCATAGTTTACAGTAGGGTTTTCTCCTGTGCATTTTATAGGCTTGGATAAATGTATGATGACATGTATTCACCATTACAGTTTTATACAGAGTAGTTTCAACACTATAAATTCTCTGTGCTTTGTCTATTCATCCGTCTCTTCCCACAGTCCCTAGCAACCACTGAAGTCTTTATTGTTGCCATAGTTTTGCCCTTTCCAGAATGTTACACAGTTTAAATCAAACAGTATGTATCCTTTTCAAATTAGCTTCATTTACTCAGTAATGTGCACATACATTTTCTTCATGGCTTTACATGGTTTCATACTGATATGGTAGTTAAGAAGAAATTACTTAGGCAGATAGTAAGGGCATGGGAGACTTCGGTAAGTCTGTTCTTTTTAATAAAATTATTTTTCTTTCTAACAAAGAGCAGCCTGTAAAATCGAGCTGCAGACATAGATACCAGCAGTTGTGCCAATCATGTTCAAGATGGTGGCTCCATCTTCCCTTCTCTTTGTCAGCCATGTTTACAGTAAGAAGCAAACAAGATGGTGCCAATCAACTCTAATGTCCATTAGCATAATAACATTAGGGTGGGGTGACCAGCCTTCCCCAGGCACTATGTAGATGCCATAACTAATCATGAGCCCTATGTAAATCAGACACCACCTCTTCAAACTGGACTATAAAACTTGGCACATTCGCGCCAGCTGGTCCTTTATTCCACTCGGAGACCCTCTTTTGGGCTTTCTCAACATGAGAAAGCTTTTTCCTTCTCTTTTCTTCTTTTTCTGTTAAACTTCCCACTCCAGAACCTACTCCTCATGTGTGTCTGTGTCCTGAATTTCTTCTCAATCAAGACCAAGAGCCAGGGTACATACCCCAGACAATGGAGCCATTTCAAGAGCTCATTTTCTTTTAGCGCTGACTAATATACCATCGTCTAGATATAACTACAGTGTAGTCATCCATCCATTATTAAAGAATATCTGGTTATTCTTTGGTGTCTTTTTATAAATTATACATACCATTTGTACATTTTCATGGTGTGCATGTGATATTTTGTTACATGCAAAGAATGTATAATGATCACATCAGGGTATTCAGGGTATTTATCACATGAAGTACTTATCATTTCCATGTTTTGGGAACATTTCAACTCCTCTCTTCTAATTATTTTGAAATATACAGTTCATTGTTAAATTCACTCTACTCTGCTATTGAACATTAGAACTTACCTTTTCTATTTAACTGTAGGTTTGTGTCCACTAACCAACTTCCCTTTTTCCCCATTTCCCTCTTCATCTCCACACTCCCATCTCAGTTTCTAGTGACTATCATTCTATACTGCACTTTCATGAGATCAATATTTATTAGCTCCTGCATATGAGTAAGAGCATGCCATATTTGTCTTTCTGTGTCTAGTATATTTCACTTAATGTAATAGTCTCTAGTTCCATCCATGTTGCTTCACATGAGCCTAAATAACCAAAGCCATCAAGAGCAAAAAGAACAGAGCTAGAGACAGACATCATATTGCCTCACTTCAAAATATATTACAAAGCTAGCATAACCAAAATAGCATGCTATTGGTATAAAAACAGAACATAGACCCATGAAACAAAATAGAAAACTGAGAAATAAATCCATATATTTACAAGCAAATGATTTTCAACAAAGGCTCTGAAAATATATATTGGGAAAAGGACACCTTCTCCAATAGTGGTGAAAAAAACTGGATACTGATATGGAGAAGAATGAATCTAGACCCCTTATCTCTCACCATGTACAAAAAATCAGCTCGAAATAGATTAAAGACCTAAAGATAAGACCCAAAACTATAAAACTAGTAGAAGAAACCATAGGAGAAATAATATAGGATATTGGTCCGGACAAAGATTTTATGACTAAGATCTCAAAGGCACAGACAACAAAAACAAAAATAGAAAAATGGAACTATATGAAATGAAAACCTTCTATGTAGTAAAGGAAATTATCAACAGAGTGAAGAGACAACCAATTGAATGGTGGAAAATATCTGCAAAGTATTCCTCTGACAAGGGACAAATATCCAGAATATACAAGAAACTCAACAGAAGACAAAAACATAAACAAAAACCCCTAATAATCCCATTTAAAAGTTTTATAAGTGAGCAAAGAACACGAATAGACATTTCCCAAAAGAGGATATACAAGTAGCCAACAGATAAATGAAAAACGGTCAACATCACTAATCATCAGAAAAATTAAAATCAAAACCACAATGAGACATCATCTTCCCCAGTTAGAATGGCTATTATTAAAAAGACAAAACATTTCTGTAAGAAATAACTTCAAGAATAATTTTAATATTTTATTTTCAAACTGAAAATCAGTTAGATATTTTTCAGCCTCAAAGAGTGTGTTTATGTAAAATTTTAAAAGTGCTGGCTGGGCGCGGGGGCTCACGACCGTAATCCCAACACTTTGGGAGGCCGAGACGGGCAGATCACAAGGTCAGGAAATCGAGACTATCCTGGCTAACATGGTGAAATCCTGTCTCCACTAACGTATCAAAGAAACTGGGAAAAGGGATTAACCCTTTTCTTGTTTTGAAACAAAAATTTCAGCTCACTGCCAGTACCTTATTGATTGATTGATTGATTGATTGATTGATTGATTTGAGACAGTCTCGCTCTGTTGCCCAGGCTGGAGTGCAGTGGTGCGATCTCAGCTCACTGCCAGCTCCGCCTCCCGGGTTCATGCCATTCTCCTGCCTCAGTCTCCAGAGTAGCTGGGACTACAGGTGCCCGCCACCACGCCCAACTAATATTTTTTGTATATTTTAGTGGAGCTTTTATGATCTGGGAGGGATCCTGGTTAGCTATAGCATATGACACTCCTGTGAGCGTGACTTCATATGCAAATGAATGAATCAAGAGTTCATAACTTCCTCGTGTATTGAGATCTTACACTCTCAATCATTTTCCCTTGCCCTAATTTCTCCCCTACTGGATTCCATGTCAGATGACTAGGGACAGTCCCTCTACTTCAAAACCTGCTGAATTTATTTGAACTAACCAACTGTAAGCCTGCTTAGACGGCTTACTGTGCCTCAGCTATTTCTTCCCACAGGAAAATATAATGAAGGCACTTTCAGATCTCCCCACTCTTTCTCTGCCTGGGACTAATCTCAGTGTTCCATTGTGTGGCCCTGGATGGTGTGATGTGGCATGATGCCTTCTTTTTGGAAACTATGAATAATAAACTTGTCAGTGGCAATTATCTCCTGCTCTGTTTACATCGCCATACCTGAATAATAATAAATTCTGCATTTTAAAACGAACCTATTTTATATAGATTAATAAAGAAAAAAACCATCTAACTACAGTATTTAACTATTTCAGGCCAATCAACTGATCCTCATTGCTCTTAGAAGCAATACAAAAGAGTATATATAAATAAGGTGTAAAATTATATACTGGGTATCAGTTAAAAGAAAGATAGCTGAGAAATGGAAAATAAAGGGCAATTTCTTTCATTTGAATCAAAGTGACACCTTAGCATGATTTTTAACAGCCATTTTTGTCTAATAAGCATTTCGGTGAAAAGAATAAAAAAATGTGCAAGTGTTGGTCTATATGGGTTTAGAGGTTGAATGTGAAAAGTTTATTTCTCTTGTTAATTAGAGTATAGACTGGAGGCATGCTATGGGGAAATGCTGATGCAGAAATCTGATTCTGGATGCTGAGGAGAGCAAGATATTTAGAAAACGGGAACAGTTAATTAAATTAAAACTATTATTTGAACAAAGGCACTATGACATGAAGAAGTAAGGCTACTGACGATGAATGCTTAAAAATATCTTAGGTTAAAATTATTTTTTGTTATGAAGCAAAATTATTGTTAAAAATGTTTATATTATGCATTTGTCATTTTTAAAACTTTTTTAGTGAATAAATTAACACTGAATTAATGACCAATAGTAAGTGAAGTTCTAAATAAAGATATAACATAGACAGTTCTTAAGATCAAGATCATCCCAGAATCAGAGAAAAATAATTCTTATTCAATTCATCCATTTAAGATGCCTAAAAATATTGCTAATTCATGACTGAGAATGCCTAAGTTGTGGCAGAATTACTGATTTTCTTTCAAATGTAGTTTTAATGAGATATGAAATGTTTCCTTCAAAACTATCTTTCCATAAAGATTATTGTGAAAATAAAGCAATTTCTGTGGGTAAAATATTTTAAATACTCCAATATTGCCATAGAGATTTATCTAAAAGTAAAGAGAATTGTCTCTATTTCATAGCAATGCATGCATTGTATATCTTGGTTGCCTATTATTTTTTGAAGAATTTTCAAATAACACTAAAGGAAGCAAACGAAATCATTAATATTGGTCTTAAGTATTAAATTAATACATTATTCAAAAGCTAACTCTGATCACATTAGTAAGAGTACACTTCAACAGTTACTCTTGGCACTCTTTAAAAAAAAAAAAATGGGGACATAAAATTTTCCATCATGAGAATCTATAGAAATCACATGAACTATAGAGTTTAAATGCAGTAATATGTCCTGAAGTTTCTCAGTATTAATCCCACCTCTCAAAATTTATTAATTAATTTTGAAAGAGTTATTTTGAGATGAGAAGTCTTCTTCCAATCAAAGGTTTTTCTCAATCGAAGGGTTTGTGGTCTCATAGGCTTCAAGGAATGAAGCCGTGGACCGCGGCGGTGAGTGTCACAACTCGATTAGAGAAACATGCAGACCCAAAGAGTGTAGGCAGCAAAATTTACTTAAGTGAAAGTGAAAGTAAAGCAAAAGCAAAAGTAAAGCTTCCACGCGGTGGAAGGGGACCCAGAAGAGTTGCTGTTTCTGGCTTGGGTGTCTTATGCTTATATCCCCTTATGGCTCCTCCCCTTTTCCTTTTTCTGCCCTATAGGATTAGCTTATTTTCTATCTGCTTGTGGGTTGGGGGGCCTGATTGATTAAAAACATCAGACTGCAGCTAGAGCTTAAACTCCCTATATGATTGGTTGAAGTTTCAATCCCTTAGCTTGCAGCTATGACTCATTTTGGCTTAGGGGAAAGTCCCCTTAGGGAAGTCCAGCCAACTTAGCCACTTAGTCCTTCAATTTAGCCTATTTTAATTTTCTCCTCTTCTAAATAAAGATCATAGAGGTATCTTTCTCCTAAGTTTCTTGTTACGTTTAAAGGGAAAATAAAATGTAAAGTACCAAATAGCTAATTCTGTTTGAGCTCTGTATTAGACTGTTTTGACATTGCTATAGAAAAAATACCTGCTCTGGCATCAGCTTCTGGGCAGACATTAGGAAGCTTACAATAATGGCAGAAGGCAAAGTGGAAGCAGGCACTTCACAAGGCAAAAGCAGGAGAAAGAAAGAGAGAGACTCGGAGGTGTCATTCTCTTTTAAATGACTAGATCTTGTGAGAATTCACTCACTATTGCAAGGACAGCACCAAGGGGATGGTCTAAACACTTCAAAATAAATCTGTCCCTATGATCTGATCACCTCCCTCCAGGACCCACCTCCAACAATGAGGAATACATTTCACCATTAGATTTGGATGGGGACAAATATCCAAACTATGTCATTTTTCCCCTGGATCCCCAACCTCATGTTCTTTTTACATTGCAAAAAACAATCATACCCTCCCAATAGTCCTCCAAAGTCTTAACTCATTCAAGCATTAACTCAAAAGTCCAAAGTTCAAAGTTTCTTCTAAGACAAGGCACGTCCTTTCCACTTTTGAGCCTGTACAATCAAACACAAGTTAATTACACCCAAGATACAATGGGGATACTTCCATTGGGTAAACATTTCCATTCTAGAAGGGAGAAATTCACCAAAAGAAAGGGGCTACATGCCCCATGCAAGTTTGAAACCAAACAAGGCAGTCATTAAATCTTAAGGCTCCAACATAGTCTCATTTGACTCCATATCCTGAATCCAGGTCAAACTGGTGCAAGAAGGGGGATCCCAAAGCCTTGGGCAGCTTTGCCGCTGTGGCATTTCAAGCTGAGGTTGTAAGCTTTTAAGTTACTGGTGGCTCTGCCATTCTGGGGTCTAGAGGACAGTGGTCCCCTTCTCACAGCTCTACTAGGCAGTGCCCCAGTGGGGACTCTCTGTGGAGGCTCCTACCCACTTTGCCTTTACACTGCCCTAGTAGAGGTTCTCTTTGGGGGCTGCACTGCTGTAACAGGCTCTTTCCAGGCACTCAGGCTTTTCAGTAGATCCTCTGCAGTCTAGGAGGCTCCCAAGTCTCAACTCTTGCACTGTGTGCACCTGTAGACTTAACATCACATGGAAGCCACCAATACCTATGGCTTGCACCATCTAGAGCTGTGGCCCAACCTGTACCTAGCTGCTTTTGAGTCAAGGCTGAAACCAGAGCAGCCAGGATATAGGGAGCAGTGTTCCAAGGCTGTGCAGGGCAGTGAGGCCCCAAATCATTCTTCTTTATTAGGCTTTGGGTATGTGATAGAAGAGGCTATGAAAAGTTCTCTGAAATTTCTTCAAGTCCTTTTTCCCATTGTCTTAGGTCTCTGCACTTGTCTCCTTTTTTAGTTATGCAAATTTTCTAGCAAGTGGTTGCTCAGCAAATTGCTTGAATTCTTCTCCTGAAAATGGGCTTTTCTTTTCTATCACATGACCAGGCTGCAAATTTTCCAACCTTTTATATCCCACTTCCCCTTTAAATATAAGTTCCAACTTTAGGTCATTTCTTTGCTCACACATGTAAGCATAGGCTGTGAGAAGCAGTTTTGCTAAATCTTGAACACTTTGCTGCTTAGAAGTTTATTCTGCCAGATACCGTAGGTAATCACTGTCAAGTTCAAACTTCCACATATCCCTAGAGCATGAACAGAATGTAACCAAGTTCTTTTCTAAGGCATACATGAGCTGTATTCTAGTTCCCAATAAGCTCTTCATCTTCATCTGAGACCTCCTCAGCCTGGACTTCACTGTCCATATTACTATCAGCATTTTGGTCACAACAACGTAACCAGTCTCTAAATAGTTCCTAACTTCCCTCTGCTTCCTGTCTTCTTCCAAGTCCTCTAAACTTTTCCAACCTCTGTCTGTAATATGGTTTGGCTCTGTGTCCCCACTCATCTTATGTCAAATCATAATCCCCAGTGTCAGGGGAGGGACCAGGTAGGAGGCAATTGGATCATGGAGGCAGATTTTCCCCCATGTTTTTCTCATGATAGTGAGTGAGTTCTCTTGAGATCTGATGGGTTAAAAATATGGCACTTCCACCCTCACTTACCCTCACTCTCTCTTTCTCTGCCATGTAAGATGTACCTTGCTTCTCCTTTGCTTTCTGCCATGATTATAAGTCTCCTGAGACCTCCCCAGCCATGTGGAACTGTGGGTCATTAAACCTCTTTTCTTTATAAATTACCCAGTCTCAGTTAGTTTTTTATAGCAGTGTGAAAATAAACTAATACAGCCTGTTATTCAGTTCCAAAGTTGCCTCCACATTTTCAGTTATCTTTATAACAGTACCCAACTCCCAGTACCAATTTTCTGTATTAGGCTTTTCTTACATTTCTGCTATAAAGAAATATCTGGGACAGGGCAATTTATAAAGAAAGGAGGTTTAATTGGCTCAAGGCTCTGCAGGATTTACAGGAAGCATAGCTTCAGCATCAGCTTCTGGGGTAGCCTCAGGAAGCTTACAATCATGGTGGAAGGCAAAGCAGGAGCTGGCATATCACATAGCAAAAGCAGATGTGAAAGATAGAGAGAGTCAGAGGGGAGGTGCCACACACTTTTTAATGACTAGATCTCTTGAGAATTTACTCACTATCACGGGATAGCACCAAGAGGATGGTGCTAAACCATTCATGAAAATTCTGCCCCCATGATTTCGTCACTTCCCACCAGGCCCCACCTCTAACATTGGGAGTTACCTTCAACATGAGATTAAGGTCACCCTGTGCCACCATGTTTCTTAGTCAAAATGAGAGTATGCCAAAACCAGGTAGTAAAAGGAATCCTAGCTGAAGTCGGTATAACAGCAGATACAAAGGTTTCCCACAGAATTATACAGTATTTATTTCTCTAGTCTCTGAGCAGCTATTGTGTAAGGATAATTTAGCTGCTAATATAAACATCACATTGCTTTGCTAACCTGTGGAAGAAAAGTCATCATAGTTGGAAAGTCAAGTGTATTCTCTACCCCATGCAAATTGCAAATCAGAAGCAATATGGTATCTCAGGTGGAAGGGTGGAGATAAGTGATGCTATCCATGAGACTTAAGTCATGTAGAATTGCTTGTCTCAATCTTACTGTCATTTAATTCATCATTCTGGCTTCAAATAAAGACAGATGGATACTGGCAAATTATGGTGGTCTAGAATCAAATTAATAAAGAGATATTACCAAATGTAATTGTTGACTGGATTTGGTAACTTACCAAAATAGAGCAATTCAAAGATGCTGTACCGGGAAATGCAAGTCAAAACCACAATGAGATATAACCTCATACCTGTTAGGAAGGCTATTATAAAAGAGAGGGGGGGGGGATCACAAGTGGGAGACAGAGAGAAGGAGAGTGCAAGAAGGAGAGAGAGAAGGGAACAGAGAAGTGTTGGCAAATATGTAGAAAAATTGGAAGACTTTTATACTGCTGGTGAAAATGAGAAATAGTGCAGACACTATGGAAAACAATATGGAACCTTCTCAAAAGGTAAAAATGAGACTATCATATGATCCAGCAATCTAAATTCTAAGTATTTATCCCAAAGAATTAGAATCAGGGTCTTCATTATCTTCCTGTAAGCCACCAGTACAACTTAGTACAAACAGTGATTTTCACTGTCCTTATTTATCATTTCCTCTGTATATTCCAAATCCCTAAATTATCAAAGGTGCCAGTGCTTTTTCCTCTACTTTAGGAATGGGTCTTTCGTACTGATAAGGCAGTTAGTGACCCATACCCCCAAAATTGATTTACCACCTGCTTTTCAGACCATTCCTAGACAACTATTAGACCGTTATTGGACAACTCAAACATATGACAGCTTAAGTCGTCTAATATTCAATGCTGAGATGTAATTAGGAGTTCAAAATCATTATTGGGGAAGAATATGAAGCAAATCAAGATTGTGTAGAGGAGCAGTCTTGCTTCATTGTAGATATGACAAAAGTCTCTAATAACTAATGCAGAGCTCTAGAGAAAATGTTGCCTGTTTAGAGGAGTCCTTCACTGGGGCTTGCTTAGTTATGGCTGATTGGCTATTGTCAGTGAGAAGAGTGAGGCATCAACTATTTTTTTTTATTTTTAGTTTTTGTGGGTGCAGGATGGGTGTATATATTTATAGAGTATATGAGATATCTTGATACAGGCATGCAATGCATAATAATTACATCATGGAAAATGAGGTATTCATCCTCTTAAGCATTTATCCATTGTCTCACAAACAATCCAATTACACTTTTAGTTATTTTAAATGTGCAATTTGGTTATTTTGACTGTAGTCACTCTGTTATGCTAGTAAATACGAGGTCTTATTAATCTTTTCTAATTTTTTTAATGCATTAACCATCCCCAACCCCCCACCCCCAGCCTCTGGTAACCATCCCTCTGCTCTCTGTGTCCATGAGTTTAATTGTTTTGATTTTTAGCTCCCTCAAATAAGTGAGAACATGCGATGTCTGTCTTTCTGTGCCTGGCTTATTTTACTTAATGTAATGACCTCCAGTTCCATCCATGTTGTTGCAAATGACAAGATATCTGCTTTTTTTCGACAACTAAATAGTACTCCATTGGGTGTAAGTATCGCTTTTTAAAATCTATTTATCTGCTGAGGGACACTTAAGATGCTTCCAAATCTTCGCTATTATGAACTGTGCTACAACAAACATGGAAGTGCAGATATCTCTTTAGTATAATTTCCTTTCTTTGGAGTATATATCCAGCAGTGGGATGGCTGGATCATATGGTAGTTCACTTTTTAGTTTTCGGGGCAACTTGCAAACCATTCTCTATAGTGGTTTTACTAATGTACATTCTCACTAACAGTGTATGAATATTCCCTTTCTACACGTTGTCTCTAGTATTTGTTATTGCCTGTCTTTTGGATATAAGCCATTTTAACTGGAGTGAGTTATCACATTGTAGTTTTGATTTGCATTTCTCTGATGATCAATGGTGTCAAGCACTATTTCACATGCTGTTTGTCACCTGTGTGTCTCCTTTTTGAGAAGTGTCTATTCAAATATTTTGCCCATTTTTAATCAAGTTATTAAATATTTTTCTATAGAGTTATTTGAGCCCCTTATATATTCTTGCATTAATCCCTTGTCAGATGAGTAGTTTGCAAATATTTTCTCCCATTCTGTGGGTTGTCTCTCTCTTTACTTTATTGATTGTTTCCATTGTTTCCTTTGCTGTGAACGAGCTTTTTTTTTTTTTTTTTTTTTCTGAAATGGAGTTTTCACTCCATCACCCAGGCTGGAATTCAGTGATGCAATCTAGGCTCACTGCAACCTCTGCCTCTCAGGTTCAAGCTATTCTTGTGCCTCAGCCTCTGAAGTAGCTGGAGTTACAGGTGTGTGCCTGGTTAATTTTTGTATTTTTAGTAGAGACAGGGTTTTGCCATGTTGGCTGGGCTGATCTCGAACTTTTGACCTCATTTGATCCACCCATCTGGGCCTCCCAAAGTGTTGGGATTACAAGTGTGAGCACTGTGCCCAGCCATGTGAAGAAACTTTTTAACTTGATGTGATCCTATTTCTCCATTTTTTTTTTTTTTTGGACTGCCTGTGCTTGTTGGGTATTACTCAAAAAAATTTTCCCAGATCAATGAGCAGACTATCCCCAAAGTTTTCTGGTAGTAGTTTCATGGTGTGAGGTATTAAATTTAAGTCTTTAATCCATTTTGATTTGATTTTGGTATATGGTAAGAGATAGGGGTCTAGTTTTATTCTTCTGCATTTGGATATACAGTTTTCCCAGCACCACTTATTGAAGAGACTTTCCTTTACCCAGTGTATGTTCTTGGCTCCTTTGGCAAAAATGAGTTCATGCTAGGTGTGTGTATTTGTTTCTGTGTTCTCTATTCTGTTCCATTGGTCTTTGTGTCTGTTTTTATGGCCACTACCATGCTGTTTTGGTTACCATAGCTCTGTAGTATAATTTGAAGTCAGGTAATGTGACTGCTGGTGGGCATGTAAATCAGTACAACCTAATATTTTCCATATGGAAAATAGTATGGAGATTTCTTGAAGAGCTAAAAGTAGATCTACTATTTGTTATAGCAATTCCATTACTTGCTATGTACTCAAAAGAAATCATTATATTAAAAAGACATCTGCATACAGATGTTCGTCACAGAGCAATTCACAATTGCCAAGATATGGGATATATCTAAGTGCCCATCAACTGATGTGTGGATAAAGAAAATGTGGTGTATATACACCATGGAATAATAGCCATAAAAAAGAATAAAATAATGTCATTTGCAGCAATTTTTATAGAACTGGAGGCCATTATCTAAGTGAATAATTCAGGAATGGAAAACCAAATGCTGCATGCTCTCAGTTGTAAGTAGGAGCTAAGCTATGGGTACACAAAGGCATACAGAGTGATATAACGGACACTGGAGTGGGAGGTTGGGATGGGAGTGAGGGATAAGAAACTACCTACTGGGGAACAATGTGTACACTACTGTGGTAATGGTTATACTAATAGACTTCCCAGTGGGATATATTGTATCCCACTATACAATTCATCCATGTAACCAAAAACTACTTGAAACCCTAAAGCTATTGAAAAATAAAAAATAGCTGATATGTGACAAAAAAAGTTTTTAGACATTTCTTCAAAAATTTGACCTTGAGGATCCAGTATGTTATCATTAAATAACTTTAATAAAGTAGCAATTCTTATTCTTATATTAATACTAAGTAATACTGTTTGGAAGGCATTAAGAAATCAATACAATAAAATGGTGCATAAAATTATATTTGGCTTTACAAAGTTCACATTTAAATTTATGGAGATTGTGGGAGGGCAGTAAAAATTTGCATACACAGATAAGAAAAGTCACCAATAATTATTTATAGTCAAGATGGGACCTAAAGGAGAGAGAAGATCATATTTGGTATTTATTCTTGGAAATAGAATTAGAATAACAAAAAAGGAAACCCAAGAGGATGAGACAATTGAGATGGTTTTGAAGTGTAATTTCTGGATTCAGCGATAGCAGAATGAGAGCAAATCAGCTAGGAAAATAACACAAACAGAATGAAAAGCAAGGATATTGGCAAATATAGTTCAGGTCACCTGTATGGATAGGGCCATGTCCTTAGTGGGAAGAATGATTAATAGAAAGTAAATTACAGCCAAAATTTGGAAGCAATTGACTCTGAGAGTAAAAATACATATATATATCTTGTTTTTGACTGGCGAGAGGAGCTACTTTTGTTTTGAGAGCAGCGAAGTCATTGAACTTTTTCTTCAACACAATGTCTTACTCATGTGACACTCCACAAATTTGCCTTCTAAACTGAGTAACAGTATAGTGAACTATAATTATACAAGTTAAAATTATGAAATAGTCTTCAACTCCAGTATAACCTTAACATAAACATGTAATAATTTACAAAAGCTTGACTGTTTTACATATTAATATTTTCACCACTCCCTTAAATCAAATAATAGTGTCATCTGAACCATTACTATTATTATCTACTTTATTTCCTTTCTTTTTGTTTCTCTCTGTCTCAAAATATCATTCTCCCTGTCACTTTTTTTTCTTTTTTGAGATGGCGTATCACTCTTGTAGCCCAGGCTGGAGTGCAAGGGCTTGATCTCGGCTCACTGCAGCCTCCTCCTCTCAAGTTCAAGCTATTCTCCTGCCTCAGCCTCCTGAGTAGCTGGGTTTATGGGTGCCTGCCACCATACCTAGCTAATTTTTTGTATTTTTAGTGGAGACAGGGTTTGCCGTGTTGGCCAGGCTGGTCTCCAACTCCTGACTTCAAGTGATTCACCTGCCTTGGCCTCCCAAAGTTTTGGGATTACAGGCGTGAGCCACAGCGCCCTGGCTTCTTATCACTTTTAATCATCTCCCTAAAACACAGTAAAAAGCCTCATAAGTAGCTAAGTGCCAAACATTACTTTTCCTCTGAAGTTTTTCTAATCTAATAATAGTGTGTTGAATAATTTTGTAAAATGATTAATTTCAATTCGTACTGGATTCCCTTAGTTATTTTTCTAAAAGGTATATTTGGCAATGTGATTCTGTATGCAGAATCCATTATTACTGCCTTATAGTCAACAGTCTGGATCCTGTATAAACATCCAGCTCAGTCTTCGTACTTCTCCAGTACTCATCTCACATTGCTTTCATCTTAGTTTGTTTCCTGAAGCATTTTACCTTGTTTCAGACCTTCATGTTATTATACTTTCTATTTCTAATGTTTTCTTATTTCAGAGAGAGACATACAGCTCTTTTTGTTTAAATTTCTGTTAAATTTTATTACTCTGTGAAACTGTATTGTTTCCTTTAAAGCAGTATGCTATTTTTTCTTTAGTACCACTCAAGAGCTTTGAATATGCTTTTTATTACTTATTATGTAACTTAACTTGATATAATTCCCTCCCCATAAAGTATCCAAACTCTTAGAAAATGACTATGTTTCTAATCATTTTGCTTCAAACCTGTAGCAAAATTAATGCCTCATGATTGATGTTAAAGAAATGTTAAGTAATTCACATAATCAACTAATTTGGTAGGCCACATATTAAACCCTTCTATGTAGAATTTTTTATTTTATCTAGAGTTTTTATTCTGTTTACCCTGCTAAGAAGTCATCCTTCCAGCATTTTGTCTGGTTAATTCTGTTTGTCCTTCAGGGCTTGGACAAAGTTGCTCTGCCACTTTGATGCTTTTGCTTAAATCAAAGTGTGATTTTAGATGCCTAGCTCTCATAACTCGCATGTATATCTTCATCAGAATTGTAACATAGAACTATGTCATTCTTTATTCCTACTGTAAAATTTTGTGGGATATGGGATTTTGTCTTATTCGTGTTTGTCTCCAAGGTCAAGCTTTGCACCTATTACATAGTAAGAGCTCTGCATATTCATTATATGGATGAAATCCATATACCTACAATGGGCCTTCCCCATAGTTCCATGTGTAAAAATGTATCTCAGATAAACACTTGTTTAGATGACCTTCTTTGAATCCTTAAATAACACTAATCTCTAGCTTCTCAGTACATTTTATATAGGTACAGGGGTAGATTCTATATTTGTGGGGCCTAGAGGTTATATAATTGAGAAGTCAACTTAAATAAAACAAACATAAAACTACCTAAAAATACTGAAAAGGGTAATGAAAGTATGAAGCAATGAGAGTTTCATGGGAAATTTCATCTTTCTGATGTAAGTGATAAAAAGTTCCAGATTTTTTCCATTTTGATACTTAAATGTTACCATAACTGTTCCTTTATTTTTCTTTTCCTGAAAGTAAGGTTTACAAAAATCTTCTCTGTTCTCTATTATTAGTAATGAGTGTGCTGAACATTTTTTTTCAAGTGGTCTGTTTTTCTAACCTGCAGTTCCAAAGAGTCCATCAATAGATGTTTCCTTATCAAATAAGCATATTGTATCAGTAGGTATCTCCAACCTCAGCTATCCCTCATGCCACAAATATTTTCTTCCTATGACCCATAGGCTCATTAAGAATAGACACAAAGTTGACTTTTGCGTTCCTATCATTATGGCATACAACTCCATGACTCTTCATCTTATCACCCAACCTGCCCCCTATCAAATGAACACATGCTACCATTTTTTGTAGGTGACTTGTTTTAGTTTGTATCTCCATCAAACAAGGAACCCCTTTTTTGTAACATTGACTTTGATGCCATCTCTGACATTCACAGCTGGTCCTACCAATTTTGAGAATTAACATGTTAGGGAAACCTGAGAGCTGCCTGGTGGGAAACATATTCTCAATCTCATGCATGTAAATATACTTACCAAGATCCAGTTTAAGAGGTATCCCTAATATCCTAAGCATTGTGCTAGGCCTTATGGATTAAAAGAAGCTTGAAGAACTGCCTAAACCATAAAGGAGTTCTCATAGTAGGAGAAAAAATATTTATGCAAAATAATTTCAATAAACTGTTATAAATGTATGTGTAAAAGGTTTCAGAGAATGTAGTGATAGCAAAAGAAAAAAAGTGATATATAACCTAATGTGAGAATACTGGAAATGTTCAAAGGAAGGCTAAAGTAAAGAATTCATATTTAAATCGAGCTCAGTAAGTCCATGCCCTTTAATGCATGTGAATATATTTAGACAAAAAAGAAAAAGGTAACATCTAACAGCATGACTTGTTAGGAAGCTATATAGACCTCACAATTGCTGGTCTATAGGAAGTAAAAGATTAGTGGTAGAAATGAACCTGAGCAGGGAGGTAATGACAAAGCTGCCTGGGTCTACTATGCATGATAAGGAGTTTGGACTTCATAAACGGAAGAGGATACTAAATAACAAAACATATGTTTTGTTGCCTAAAATGTGTGAAACAGTATGCCACCCACTTAATACTTTCATTACATTTAATATTTTTTTTAACTTTTATTTTAAGTTCATGGGCACATGTACAGGTTTGTTATATTGGTAAACTTGTGTCACGAGGGTTTGTTTTACAGATTATTTCATCACTCAGGTCTTAAGCCTAGTATCCATTAGTTATTTTTCCTGATTCTCTCCCTCTTTCCCCCTTCCACCTTCAGCCAGGCCCCAATATCTGTTTTTCCCCTTTGTTTCCATGTGTTCTCATCATTTCGCTCCCACTTATAAGTGAAAATATGCAGTATTGGGTTTTCTCTTCCTACATTAGTTTGCTAAGGATAATGGCTTCCAGCTCCATCCACGTCCCTGAAAATGACTTGATCTCATTATTTTTTTTGTTCCTACATATTATTCCACGGTATATATATACCACATTTTTTTTCCATTCTACCATTAATTAGCATTTGTTGATTCCATATCTTCGTTACTGTGAATAGCGCTGTAATGAACATACATGTGCATGCATGTGCCTTTATGATTGAACAGTTTACAAAGGTCAACTCAAGATGAATTAAATATTTAAATGTAAAACCAAAAACTATGAAAACCCTGGAAGACAACCTAGGCAATACCATTCTGGACATAGGAATGGGCAAAGATTCCATGACAAAGATGCCAAAAGCAATTGCAACAAAAGAAAAAAATTGACAAATGATATCTAATTAAACTAAAAATCTTCTGCACAGCCAAAGATACTATGAATAAACAGACAACTTAAAGAATGGTAGAAAATTTTTGGAAACTATTTATCTGACAAAGGTCTAATATCCAGCAGTTATAAGAAACTGAAAAACAAATTTAAAAGAAAAAAACAAACAGCCCCATTAAAAAGTGGAAAACGACTTCAACAGGCACTTTTCAAAAGAAGATATATATGCATCCACCAAGCATATGAAATAAAAGCTCAACATTTAATCTTTACAAAGATCATGCAAGTTAAATATCTCCATTTGGAGATTTGTTCAAAAAAGAATATTTAGGGGAAAAAAAGCTTTGAAACTACTAAATGCAGACAAAATAATTTAATCTAATTCTGATTGTTTTAGAGGTCTCCGTACCTCCAAATTAAGAACTGTAAACTAGCATATGGTTCACGTACTGATATAAATATATTTGTGTTATATAAATTGATCTGGCCATATGGAAAAAGAAAAGAACTTGAGATATTTCAAGCAAGAGATGCTGAGCATGTGAACCAAGGCTGGATAGCACATAGGGCAATGAGAAGACACGAATATTTAATGATACACAATCTATAAGAATTGCTATAATGCAACAATTTACAAATATCAATGGAAATATATGAAAAAGAAAAGCAGAACAATATGCCAAGACTTCTTAGAATGTTAAATAATATTTTTCAGTCCGTGTTTAAGACAGAGTGATGCATAGGTATTTGTCAAGTGAGTGAGTAGAGTGATATCATTCTACACAGAAAAGATCTTCAATGTCTGTCCAACAATAGTAAATTCTGATACACTAAGACTGTGTATGGAGTTCCATATGTGAATGACAACTATATGTTGATGTAGCTTACTTGCATTGTTAAACAAGTAAACATTTACGTTGAAATATATGTCTCTGGTTTGCTTTACTGACATTGTCACATTCTTAGGAGGCTATGTGGATATAATATTAACATCTGGATTTTAAAAAGTGCCATTTTACTTTTCTGAATATTTGAAAGACTGAGTTTTTAAATATATCCTTGCTGTTATGTCTATAAGTCTAGGCAAAATATGTATGAAGAAGTATTCTGCATTGGAACTGTAACTGCAAAACATTTCCAACTATCGCCTGAAAGAGAAAATAAATTTTAATTTGTTTTATATCTATAAGTAAAAAATATTTGTAAATGTAAAGTTTAGCTTGACATTTCCCAAAAGAAAATACAGTTCAACTTTCCTAATATTTTATTTCCCATGTATATGGCCAATCTTATTAGTGTGGAGTCTTGCTTATGAGAAAACACATCAAGGAAAATTTTAAAGACTCAAAAAAGAAGAAAAAGTAAGGAGATTAGGAGAATTTTGTGTGTGGGGAACAACAACCAAAAAAACCTGAAGAACAGATTAATATTAATTATTATTTTTCCCTCTGGTTTGAAGTACAGGAGGTACTATATAAAGAAGACAAAAATTAAAAACCAAACAATGTGTAACTATGAAGCAGGATATAAAGCATTTCTTAAAAAGGAGAATTACTTTTACTTAGAAGAAATAAATAGATTATATATGAAACACAGCTGGATCATGTGTTAACTAAAATAATTATTGTGGCTTTTTTTGTACTTTATACAACTTGAATAAAGTCAAAAAGCTATGAAAACTGGATAATACATATTAGAAAGATAAAGACAGAAGTGTTTCTATGTGAAATTTCATCCCCAGTGCTAGCACAGCACTGGATCAAATAGTCATGTACCATGTGCCATGTCTGGATTCCACAAAATCAGAGCATGAGGAAAGGGTTCACCTAAAGGGAATTTATTTGGAAATAAATGATGGTTCACTTATTAGCACACATGAATAACTAGGAAGTGTGTGAAATGGGAAAGGAGGAAAAGGGAATTAGGAAAAGCCAATAAAGGATTAAAATAAACTTGGCTATCACTGTGGGTAACAGGTGATCAAGCCTACTGATAATGTATAAGTAGACTTATAAAATATATTTTACAATTGTTTATCTGAGTAATGCAAGGAAGAAGCTTTAGTGTATTTGTCTTAACTTCTATTGTTTAAGGATGGTCTTGGGGTGGCAGGGGTGAAAAGATATTAATCCACCTTAGTTCTGTGTTAGGTGTGGTGCCACTGAGTGGGCTCCAGCAGACATCCACACGTTTGGGATCATAAAATCTCTAAGGATAGAAGGAAGAGGTGCATGTCAGATGTTTAAAGTAAGTCAGTGTAAACCCCAAATGGCACAAAGCCTAGGCAGAGCTATTGTTAAAACCTGAGGCTGAAATCAGATAAGGTCTCAGTCAGATGAGGCCAAGATGACGTGAAGTCATGCAGAGGTGTCCATTAGAGCCCACTTCTTTGCAGTACTGCTCAGGTCTGCTCCTACCCCAAATCTACCATCACCACCTACCCCAATTCAATTAAATCCATCACCAGGTCTTCACTGTGGGAATATCAATAAACTCTATGGAAGACATAATTCAGAGAACCAATGGAACAAATTATATTTACTTTTAGTGTATAAAATCTAGTCAATATTACCTGAATTATTGTTTTAGCTGCATTTTTCTCAAATTTGTTACTTTTAAATCATAGGTGTAATTATATTTTGAAATCATTATACTTTCTCTGTTCCAACTATTACATATATATATTATATAAATATATATATATATAAAGGTGTCTTCCTAATAAGGATAATTTTAATTGCTCATTTTTAAAATGATTTCTTATTTTAATTTATTTGTATGTCTGTATGTATGTGGTATGATATCTGGCCTTTTTTTGTTGAAACTTTATTGATTTTATAACAAGAAATTTACTTACAAAAACATTGCCAAATACACGTACAAATCTAATGGAATGCTAGACTATGGAGATAAATCACAAACTGGATGTTACAGCTGGATTAATAGAGCAGTTCTGTGGACAAAGTATTTGGATGTGTCAATTTTTGAAATCACCATTTTTCCTTTTTAAAAAGTTTTTTAATTTTTTTCAACTTTTATTTTAGAATCAGGGTGTACATGTGAAGGTTTGTTACAAATGTATATAATGTGAACAATAGACACTGGGGGATACAAATGTGGAAAGAGAGGAAGTGTCACATTTGGTGTTTTGGGTTTTGTTTTGGTTTTGTTTTTTGAGGCAGCATCTCACTCTTTCACCCAGGCTGGAATGCAATGGTGTGATCACAGCTCAATGGAGCTTTGACCTCCTGGGCTCAAGTGATCCTCCCATCTCAACCTCCCAAGTAGCTGGGACCACAGGTGCATGCACTACATCCAGCTGGTTTTTTTCTTTAATTATTTTGTATAAATGAGGTTTTGCTATGTTTTCCAGAGTGATCTTGAACTCCTGGGCTCAAGCAATCAGCCCACCTTTGCCCCCAAAATGCCAAGAATACAGGCATGAACTACCACGATGGGCCTGTCCCATTTTAAATAGTGAATCTCAGAACTGCAAAGGCAATGCTTCTTGGAAGTTACCTTTCAGATTCTGAAAAGTATCATGGTGTTCTCCGTTGAGGCTTGCAGACACCCACAGTATTAATGTTAGATTGAATGATCAGGTACTTGATGAATGCCTGTATGCTTTCAGTATAGCAGAGATTTTCAGAATAATTTGTTATGTTAGCACAGCAAGTAGCCAACACACTTAGCAAATATTTACATCATACTTAAAAAAAGTTGTTAAAAGATTCATTGCATTTGTATTAATGTATTTCACATGTATAGAGCACTTAATATACTTTTCATATAGTATTTTATTTAATTCTCCTAACAAATGCAAGTGTTGGTAATATTTTCCCAGCTTTATATTAAAAAAAAAAAAAAGAAGCTCAGCTCTGTGAAGGTACCTCTCCAAATTCCAACAGCTAGGAGATATTACAGGTGGATGTCAGCACAAGAAATATGACCTAAGGTTGGTGCTCACCTATATGTTGCATAGATACATATTTATGGCAAAACCAACTAAATATTTTTTACTGCAATGTGATAAAACATTTTTGTATAAAGTATAGGTTTTTACTATGTTACATTTCCAGCACATCAGTTATGTAATGGAAGTAGCCTCAATATTATGTGCTAAGCATATTAGATATAATTCTCTTTTCTCAATCATGATGAGTATTTTCCACCTTTTAAAGATATGGAGCACAAAACTCAAAAAGTAAATTGCCCAGAATTACAATAGAAAAGAAAAGAGTCCCACATGCTTTATCTTATATCACCCTGGCAATATGAGGAGATTCTACACTAGGTGTAGGTATTCCATGCACTATCTTTTGCCTCCATGCTTTGAGGAGTGGAATGACAGCACAGGCGAGATGGGCAACCATCCAGCAGAACAGCGAGCATGAAGGAGGTGCTACCAAGTCGCAATACCAAATCCATATTATGAGAGTAATTCTACCCTATCACAAACCTATAACCTCTAGCTACGGTACATATGATTCTGCTCCATTTTCCTTTTCAGAATTCTCCTTGATATTCTTCAGCATGTTGTCAAATCTTATGGCCATGAGCCAAAGGGAGTACATAGAGTTTGATCTCAAGAAGAGCCAGGACAATAGACGTGGCTCTGATTGAGAAATACAGTTTATTTTCTGACATCATGGTTTATTATAATGCTACGTTGAGCATTATATATAAAATGCTAATTTTTCTGACTTCTTTTCCAACTAAGAAGTGACAAAAATCTACAAGTTAGAAAGAAGTTGATATTCGTTTTGTCCAGTTCCAACTCAATGGTCTGGGTTACTCTATTAACCATGAGCAAAGCCGCAATCACCTCACAGTAATTCAACATAGCAGAACAATTTGTGTTCAATAACATTAACCAATTAATCTATTGGAAACGTTTCATTTGATTGGCTTTTTATTGCTCCAATTTAAAAGCCATGAGTCTTTTTGTCATTGCTATTTATGAGACTAGTCAGCTCTATAAAATCTTTATCTGAACAAGGCAGAATAATTTAAAACAGGACTCAGGAAACTCTTTCTGTAAAGGATCAGAAAGTAAATATTTTCTGGCTTGGAGGACCACACCGTTTCTTTCACACCTACTACACTCTAGTGTTATGGAACAGAAAACACTGCCAATGTGTAAATAATTAACTGTGGCTCTCTTCCAATAAAACTTTATTCCATAAAATATTTTATGCACACTGAAATTTGAATTTTATCTTCATATGTAGTAAAGTATTATCTTTCTTTTGATTTTTAAATTATTAATAACAATGTAAAAACTATTTTTAGCCTGTGAGCTGTACAACAGCATGTAGTTGACAGGTTTTGGCCCATAGGTCATAGTTTGCTGACCCGTAAATTAAAGAATAGCATAAAGAAAGGAGACAAACAAAAACATTATTAAAAGGGACAATTGCTCAATATTAACAGTTGTTGCTTTATCATTTGTCAAAAATAATTTAAAATAAGAAACATTTGTCATGCGATTAATAAGTCTTTGGAAGACTGATTTGCTGTCCAAAAAAGATCAAATATGAAGTATGAGCACATTTATGCAAGTTGTAGGTATTTTATCAATTCCATCACTGACAATATTTGTAAATTTAAGCAGGGACATCATGTTTATACATTCTTATTAATCCTCCTTATTTATAAGAATGGTGCTCAGATCCAACTAGAAAATGTTACAAAAATGAGATTATGAATACTTCATGAATAAGTGAAAATTATGTCTCTGTCTTTATAATATAATCCATAAAATTGTAAATTGGTTATTTGTACAATGTTTATATGGGTAAGAAATAGGTATCATTTTGGAGATAAAGGATAAAAGAAGCATTATTTAAAAAAACAGTCCACCTCTGTAAATTCTCATAAAATTAGGAAGCAAATATGTCTATGATGAGCATAATAGATGTATATATTTGAATATTCATTAATTTGATTATTTTTGAGGAAACTTAAAACTTGTTTTGAATGAACTAAATTGTTTACAAACAAACTTCATCTTTTATGGCAAAATGACATCATAACACATCAGAAATTACAATAAAAGTCACAAGCATTTGTCCTGTTTTGAAGCAGATATTTCATACAAACTGCAAAAAAAAATACATACGTGTATCTATTGATTGAAAAATAAGCTTTATATAATATAAATAAATGATCACAAGATCCAAAACTCTTCCAAAATCAAAATAGAATACTAGTAATTACATAACTACCCAGTGCAAGGTCTTCTAATAAGCCCAAAGAAGATAAACGAAATATGTAACAGAAATGTTATGATATTTTTGTTTTCCTCTTTGTGTTAAAAACCAGTATCCAGGTACCTCAGATTTGTTAAAAAATAATTATTCTGTATTCATTTAGATTTGTATATTTATTTATTTATATTAAAATAGATGATGCTCTTAGTTCCCTAAATGTTTTTGAAAATGATCAATTGATGTTTGTGATGATATCTATAAAAGACACAGTAAAGGATTTTAATTTTGTCTAGTGAATGTGTAGGTTAGATAGACATTAAAAGATTGCCTTTAGTTTAGGATTCTGTAGCCACAGAAAAATAAGGCAGGGAACAAATACTGATTTAAAAAAAAAAAAAAGAAAAAAAGGTATTTATAAGAATACTAGGGCCAGGCACGGTGTCTCGTGCCTGTAATCCTCTGAGGTCAGAGCACTACTTAAGCTCAGGAGGTCAAGACAAGCCTGGGCAACATAGTAAGACCCTGTTTATACAGAAATACTTTAAAACTAGCTAGACATGATGACATGCACCTGTAGTCCCAGCTACTCAGGAAGCTGAGGTGGGAGGCACACTTGAGCCTGAAGGATCAAATGAGCTCAGGAGATAAAGCTGAAGTAAGTCCTGATCACACCATTGAACTCCAGCCTGTGTGACAAACAAGACCATGTTTCAAAACAACAAAAAAATTCTGAGGCCATCGTGGTGGTAATACAGTTTTTGAATCCAAAACTTCTTGTGAAGATAAGACAGGAATATCTGGATATCAAAACCAAAAATAACATGGGCAACATCTGCAAAAATCCTAGCCAAGAAGGTATTTTCAACAACGCTAAAAAACAAATGAGTGGCAAAAATCACTAACAAGCAAGCACATGATATTTATAAGATCACCTTCTCTTGGAGAGAAACAGGTTGAAAGCAATGAGGTGTCTGATGGACCTGAGAACAGGAAAAATACATACATAAGCAACAGATATTTCTAGAAAACATTGAAGTCTAATTTGAGAATAGCATCTGAATTTTGGACGGGTTTCATCCAAACATTGCATGAGAGTAAGGGTGGCTATAAGGTCAGAAGGAATTTGAATAGTTTAGTTCAAATTTACACTCAAAAGTGACGAATCAAAGAGCAATATGAAGTAAGGGCTACACATTTAAGAGAAATGTCTGGAAATTAAATAAAAATTGTACTGAAAGGACAGCAAAGAAAAAGACGATCCAGCTAAATATAAGAGACAGGAAAAGAGCCAGGAAATCTCATAGAAAATCTCCATAATTTTTCAGACTATAGATAACAATGGAAGATCTGTGAAATCACAAAATTATCTTGAAATGAAATTTCTAAATTTTTAGGGAACCAGATTTTATATAAAAGCGAGCTACCAAAAATAATCAAGGTCAAGTTTCATACAACACTTTTTTTTTTTTTTTTTTTTTTTTTTTTTTTTTTTTTTTTTTTTTTTTTTTTTTGTCGCCCAGGCTGGAGTGCAGTGGCGTGATCTCGGCTCACTGCAAGCTCCGCCTCCCGGGTTCACGCCATTCTCCTGCCTCAGCCTCCCGAATAGCTGGGCCTATGGGCACCCGCCACCACGCCCAGCTAGTTTTTTGTATTGTTAGTAGAGACGGGGTTTCATCATGTTAGCCAGGATGGTCTCGATCTCCTGACCTCGTGACCTGCCCGCCTCAGGCTCCCAAAGTGCTGGGATTACAGGCGTGAGCCACCGCGCCCAGCCCTTACAGCATTTTTATTAGGAAACAGAATAACAGAGTTGCAAGATAAGGAATAGCAGAATGGCATTTCCACAGACAATAAAAACAAACTTACCAGTGAGATAAGCATACAAAAGCGATCGGATTATGAAACTATAATCTACTATTCAAATGAGCTGAAAAAACAAATTGTATGAAAAATATAACGTAATTAGAAAACTCAAATTGGATTGCAGATCTTTGGAAAATAAAAGAACAAAATAAAGTGAGATTTGAAGATTAAACTGCAACTAACACAAGACTGTTTATATGCAACAGATAATTTTGTTTCAGAAATGGAAGAAAAAGAAGGAACATTTTTTAAATTTTCAAAATATAAGAGAAAACATAAAGGGATTTAAGTAAAATGAACAACGAAGATTAATAAAGAATATGCAACATTTCAACGTAAAGAAACACTGAAGATGAAAATAATAGGGAACAGAATAAATACTAAAAACTATATTTTAAGCAAACTTTCCAGGATTAAAAAGATATGAAATTACTTATTAAAGTAGCTTATAATATTCCTGAAAAGAATGGCTAATAACATATATTATCATAAAATTATTGATATTTAATCACAAAGAAAATAAAGTTTCTTGGGAATCTAGACCAGGAGTTGCCAAACTTTCTTCATGGATGGCCAGATAGTGAATATTTTAGTATTTTAGGCAGTCTGCCTAAACAGACAGTGAGATGGATTCCAGTTGAGACCACTGTTTGTCAATCCAGATCTTGTTACCCAGGCAGTAAGCAAAATACCTGATAGGTAGTTTTTTTTTTTTTTTTTTTAACCAAACACCTCCTCCTCTCTCCAGTAATTCACAGTGTCTGTTCCCAAAATGATAAAGTGCATAGACAGTCTGTTATTATCAATGCAGAATCAACAGAGAATATTGCTTTCCTTAGGTCTTTAGAAATCTACTAGAAGATGTGCTTAACAAAACCGAAGTGACTAGAGACCTAAGGAACACTGATAACTCTTAAAGATACAGTCATTTGCAGACTGAAGCAAAGTAGGAGATAGATATATAGATATATAAAGAGAGAATACGTAAGTGCTGTATGCTCTGACAATGTGGTTTTACTGGTTTTGTTGTTGTTGTTGTTGTTGTTGTTGTTAGTTTGTTTTTTGAGATGGAGCCTCGCACTGTCAACCGGGCTGGAGTGTAGTGGCGCGATCTCGGCTCACTGCAACCTCCGCCTCCCGGGTTCAAGCGATTCTCCTGCCTCAGTCTCCCAAATAGCTGGGATTACAGGTGCCCGCCACCAGTCCCAGCTAATTTTTCGTATTTTTAGTAAAGACAGGGTTTCACTGTGTTGGCCAGTCTGGTCTAAAACTCCTGACCTCGAGATTCGCCCACCTCGGCCTCCCAAAGTGCTGGGATTACAGGCGTGAGCCACCGCCCCCAGCCATGGTTTTACTGTTTCATAATAGTGGTTATTCTCTATAAATATAACACATAAAAATAAAAATATGAATATATATTTATATAAATTAAATATAAATAAATATTAGAAGTATCTTTATGAACCAAGATACACACACACACACACACACACACACACACACACACATACACACACACACATGGACCTGGACCTGTGCCGGTGGTGATTGTCATGAAGAGCTTCTTTGATGAGGAGCGGAATGCAGAGCAGTTGAGTCTATGGAGACATAGCATTCTTAGCATGATGCTGCCACGATGCATGCCAGTCTTCAAAGCTTAGATTAGGGTGAAAGGCCAGCAATGATCAATAACGTGAGAAAAATGTGGGTCTTATTGTTGTTCTCTTCAAATCACAATAATAATTGTTATGGGCAAAATACGCTATATTCCTATGAGGCTAAATAAAGTAGACAAGAGGCTACCAACATGGATGCAGTTAAAAAATTATTTTCAATGACAATTACCGTTATGGAACCTCTGTGGTATTTACTGACATAAAACAAACAAAACACAAAAGGTGCCAGAAATTTAATATAGCAATAGTTGAAGAGAATATAGACCATTTTACATCAGAGGAAGAAGTAAGTCTGCTGGAGAATGGAAAAGTTCAAAACACTAGTGTGCTCAATATTCCTCATGGTTGGCAGAGACTGGTCATTTGAATGCATTTGAAGAAAGGAGCCCGGAAACTCAGAAGGTATATTGTAAAATGCTGATAAAAGCCAGTAAGTCTTACCAAATGGCATAGCAAGTGGTATTTTCTTTTAGCCAAAATCTATGAAGCAATATGCTAGTCTATCTGTTTATACATTGTGTGAAGACCAAAGGTCTGTGATCTGGGCATTTTCTTATTCTTTTTTCATTATTACTTTAGAGACTAGGTCTTGTTATATTTCCCAGATTGGTCTCAAACTGCTGGGTTCAAGTAATCCTCCCACCTCAGCCTCTGGAGTAGCTGGAACTACAGGTGTGTGCCACCATGCCTTACTGAAGTGGATAATTTGAAGTACCAAAGGATGTAGTAATCGATGGTTCTACACATTCAAAAGTATAATGTTCTATTCTCAGTTATAAGAACAGAATGAAAAAATTCAATTAATGTAATAATGAAATATGTATATTTGATTAAAAACATTGTTGACATGCGCAGTGTATGGAATATCATTATGTCATAAGTAATGACATCTAGTCAATTGTGATAATTTATTTTAAAAGAGTAAGGTTCCAATTAAATCAGAAAAAATCTTGCTGGAGATGAAAAAGCATCCAGATCATATAAGAGATTTCTGTCTGAAAGAAACATTCAAAAGCAAGTGTTTAGTGAATAATTTATGAATAATGAAAAAGCTGACACTGAAATCTCAAAAAATCTTCCATTTCTCTTGAAGAATAGGGTGAAGATTCTTAAGAGTAGTGTCTCTGTCACTCCTGCTGTTGAAAAAATCTCCATGATCTTCTTTTAGAAAAAGGACCTTCACCTAACTCAATGTGGTCTGAAGTGCCTGCAAAAACTTTGATTCCAACTTTTTTTTTCGTCATTTAAATCTTGAATGGGAACACATACGGAAGTGAACATAATTGTGACTTGACACTTTTAATTTTAATTGGAATGCTAGATGAAAAACTAATCAAGGAAATCCAGGAGGCTTCTCCCATTTCTGAAGAACTATCTAGAGATGTTTGGAACCACAGTTGCTTTTGATCTGTGCCATTTTGAGCCTTCTTTGATGAATGATGTCAAATGCCTTTTTTGTTTCACTCCCTTTGAAGAACCATGCCATTATTCATCAAAGCCCAATTCAACCCTGATGTTTTATTCCAATATGTGTGCCAAGAAGAGATCTGGATGTTGGATAAGTGCCTCTCTTTATTCTAAGTGTGGGAGGGGATTTAAAATATCTTGAAAAAGAGCTCCACAACTTTTCTACATTTGGGGAAGCCTCAGCGATGAGCAATTACCAGTAATTTTTTTGTTATATATCCTAAAACATTCAGTTTCATAGCATTAATGCAATCGACTGTAAGGTGCAATTTTACTCATAATTTAAGAAAAATGCCAAGGAATGACAGAGTTATTTTGTAAAAACTCTCCTCCCATTCATGTGGGGATACTTCATTTGTTTGGAAAGAACATATGTCTTTGATGTAAGTCATGATAGTACATCTTTAATGACAGTTTTCATGATGATGCTTTTGGCTCAACCCATAGACTAATCCAGCGATGAAAGTTACAGCTATCATGTTTATGTCTTCTGCTTTTAATGAGACTCATGTGTCCAGAAATGCTATCTCTGAAATATTCACTGGGTCTTAAGAAACATTTGGAAATATTTCATTGAGGAACAGCAGTCTTGCTGTCCTCTTTTATTTACCTCGTCTGATGTTACTATTAGAGTATCTCACCTTTCAATAATTATGGTCAGATGTGTCATGTTTTTCATTTCCTCTGAGTTCAGTAGCCATGTTTTACCATGGATTGGTCTATACATTTTATAGTCTTGGAAACTGGAAAACCATCTCAGTTAGCTTTTTGTGACATTCAAGAAAAGTATTTATTCTAATCTATTCTCAAACTACAAATAGGCTTTTCCCTCTCCCCTCACCCAATCGTGGATGAAGCAAGCTCACTTGGATGGAATTGCTTGCTCTCTTCCTTCTCATTCAAGAAACCTTCTGAAAATTCATTTCTTCATTGTGGTGGAACAACTCCAATTTCCTGGATATTATGTAAGTACATAAGTATATACCTGTTTGTCATCACTACCCTAATAGAGTTTTTCTTACAGGTACCTGCTGATGCATAAAGCCTGAATAAATATCAAGCCTTTTAAGGAATTTCATTTTTATAAAAAATTGTATGTACTTCCAGATTTTAAATATATTTTACTTTGATTAGTGACACTGTCATTTGTTTTCAACTTACTTTTCCTTTTCCCCCCAAAATTGTGCATTTTTGAGCCAAACAAACTGTAAAGTTCGGAAAACAAAAATAAATTTTTTGGTTACAATGCAGAATACCTTTTAAACAGTAGATAGATGTCTGTATTTCCTGTAGCATCTAAAAATATCTTTTGGTTTTATTTCAGTTAATTTACCAATTATGGAGATTAAATTGTTTACATTGTCATAAAAAGTGTAATTTTTTTTTCTAATTCATAAATTAAAAAGTTATGCCAAGTAAAGAAGAAAAAGGAGGAGAAGAAAGAGGAACTAAAGATTGAGTAACAGGATTATTTACAAAAAGTATCCGAATGTTAATATCAGTCTTTCTTACTTTACATTTCAATTTTGATTTCTCATAATTACCTTAAAGAAGCTCCTCTATGTTATCAGATTTATTTTTTCAATCCCTGTGAAAGCAAGAAATTACTTTGCATCTAGATTCCCTGGACATATGAAATAATATGAACACAGCAAATATCTTAGAATATAAATTATTTAAGAATGAATATTCATGGTTAATTTTTATTTTAAATCATTAAGTATTTAATATGTTTTATTTAATTATTGCTTTAGATGTGGAATTTTGTTCAAAATGTAACTTCGTAAAACTGACTATTATAAGAAAGTTTATGCAATGAATGTTTAATTACCACATTTTCTTAAATTTATCTGAAATAATATTTCTTCAAATATTTCATCAGAAAATCATTTGTAACAAATTGAATCTCATAAACCCTATAGCACTTATAATCTTATAAATCTATAGCACTTATAAGATTCTTATGTTTAATTCTGGAGATAATTTAATAGGTAAAACTTCTTGTGATTCACAGAATACTGTAAAATATCTTATACACTCTCAACTTTTTTTAATTTATTTTTTCTCTTTTTGTCCTGTTTCAGTAAATTGTCTTTTCTTCTTATAGAGTAAGTATAAGTTTATATTCTATTGAAATATTTTATTGCAATTTTACATAAAAATCAAGGGTCACTAAATTAAAAGTCCAAGAGCCTATGGGAATAAATATTTTTATTTATAGAGGTAAATTTTTTTTCTTTTTTTTTTTTTTTTTTTTTTTTTTGAGACAGAGCCTTGCTCTGTCCCCCAGGCTGGAGTGCAGTGGCGTAATCTCAACTCACTGCAAGCTCTGCCTCCTGGGTTCCGGCCATTCTCCTGCCTCAGCCTCCCAAGTAGCTGGGACTACAGGTGCCTGCCACCATGCCGGGCTAATTTTTTTTTTTTTTTTTTGTATTTTTAGTGGAGACGGGGTTTCACTGTGTTAGCCAGGATGGTCTTGATTTCCTGACCTCATGATCCACCTGCCTCGGCCTCCCAAAGTGCTGGGATTACAGGCGTGAGCCACCGCTCCTGGCCTGACAGAGGTAAATTTTTGTAATTCGCTAAATTAGTTCCCTTCCTTGGAAACTTTTTTGCAGTATGAGAAAAAAACAACAACAGCAGCAAACAAAAACAAAAACAAAAACAAAAACCCTGTTTGGTTTGGTGACTTCTTATGAAGGCAGAAGAGTTAGAGACAGAATGTCTTTTGGTATATTTTTGGAAAACACTTCACTTTAACATTTTTCAGATCCTCAGCTACTAATAAGTCTTCTTTTTTGCAAAGTGTGTGGTGACATTTTAGACGATTGATGATCTGCATGCCTTTACCTCTCCATTTGAGCCGCACAGAATGACTGTGATATTGTACTGGAGAAAAAAGACTTAGTATTACCCACTCATCACACTTTTATTTTAAGACAACTTGGCACAACAATTAGATGCATTGTGTATTATCTCATGCATATAAATTACCTATAAATTAGGAAGATTTTTATGATTGATTTTAAAACTTAGAAACATAAGTTGTTTTAATTTATTGGCTTCAATGTTTGGAATTCTTAGACTCAAACATAGCAATATTTTCTACTGAAATTAAATTGTAAGTTAAGAATATAATTATGAACTCTACCTTAGAGGCAAAAGATTATTTCTGATAAATATAGATATTTTGAAAAAGTTATTTTTTCTTCATAAAATTTATAAACTTTTAGTAAATAAATATCTGAATGTTCTCAGAATTGTAACCTTCAGTAAAGTATCTGTCACTTTGTTACTGCATATCACTTCAATATAATTTAAGGTCACTTAGTTTTGATAGCTTAGAGCAAAGATTGATAACCCTTAATCTTTATTAAGCTGTTTTATTGAAGACCATCAAGATTTAATTTTTAAAAATCTTACCACTTGTTAGATAAATGGCTTATGAGTCCCGTTCTTTTCGAACTTTTCTAATTAATCTGAATGTCATTTGAGAGGGCAGGGAATAGAAGAGTTGGGAAAAAAAAGTCTTGCAGGCTAACTCTTACAAATATGATTTTTATCAATGTGAACTCCCAGATAATGCCATCTGTGCTAATCCCTAACCCTCTCTACTGTAGTGCTTTAAGTTATCTTTCACTTTGATTTATCAGACAGCTGACCCTAGCCTAGCCCTGTCAGCTTTAGTTCAGAGGAACTCTCACAAAAGATAGTCCTCTGATCTGACAAATTGATTGGCTACAAGGAAGTTTAACTGGAAAGGAATCTCCCTAGCAAGTGATAAAGTCCTCTTTTTATTCCCAGCTTACAGCTTTGGGTATGTGGATAGAATTTATAAAATGGCCAGCAGAAGATAAAAAGCATTATGAGTAATTTGGAAAGCTAAATATAGGGGATGCAATAAAAGGCCCACAGGTTTCTGTTTAATGACAGGTCTGAGGGTTTCAGCAACTATATTTTATTTAAGAGCTTTAAGTGGAGGCTAATTGAAAATGATCATCCTAATTAGAAAACAAATATTAAAATTCTCTTAGTGTTTCCCAGCTGGCTTCAACTGGAGCATAATTATTAGGTGTGAGGATAATAAATTACAATCTATAGAAAAGCTATTAATCAGATTAAGAAACAGGTTGACACAATATCCTTTCTCTGATGAAGCTGATGAGTAACTTCTGCCTATGACACTTTGATTCTTGTCACATAATCTTACTATTCTCAATCAATACTCTAGTACATTTTTATCCAAAAGGTGTATGACATTTATGGTTGAATTTCCCTCAGGTTTTAAGAAGAAAAATGGAGTTTTTAAATTTTAAAAAATTGAAAAAGTGTTAAAAAGCCAATTTCAAATCTAAAAGATCCATTTTCTAAACTATTTTGCTATTTTAATTATACCAAGCTGCAAAAATTAGGGTTTGCTCTTCCTTCCTTCCTTTCTTCCTTCCTTTCTTCCTTCCTTCCTCCCTCCCTCCCTCTCTCTTTCTCTCTTTCTCCCTTTCTCCCTTCCTCCCTTCCTCTCTTCCTCTCTCTCTTTCTCTCTTTCTCTCTCTCTTTCTTTCTTTCTTTCTTTCTTGTTTTGATGGAGTTTCACTCTTGTTGCCCAGGCTGGAGTGCAATGGTGTGATCTTGGCTCACTGCAACCTCTGCCTCCCAGGTTCAAGCGATTCTCCTGCCTCAGCCTCCTGAGTAGCTGGGATTACAGGCATGCACCACCATGCCGGGCTAGTTTGGGAATTTTAGTAGAGATGGGGTTTCTCCATGTTGGCCAGGCTGGTCTAGAACTCCTGACCTCAGGTGATCTGCCCACCTTGACCTCCCAAAGTGCTGGGATTACAGGCATGAGCCACCACTCCCGGCCATATTATTGATATTTCCTTCCTGCCTTCCTTCTACTTTATCTATTTTCCCCTTATCCATTGTACCCTTTCATTTTTTTTCCATATTTTCAATCCATGAAAGGTATGTACAAAAATGAACATCAGCCTATAACTTTTTCTTAGGGATATTTATGATGACTCATCTCCTTCTCATGATGTATTCCTAAAGCAGACCAAAATCAAGGATAGAGAAATTGATTTCATGTTTTGATGGAAAGAGCTTACATCACTGATTCAACATTGGGAGGCAATAGAATATATATCTTCAGTCCTCATTTATGCCAGGAATGGAGATGTGGAGCCCAGAGGAAAGGAAGTCATCCTGACGTGAAACAGTTAAAAATTATCCATGATGATAACATCAAATTGAGAGTCCAGCTGTGCAGCAGCAAAGATTACACCAAAGCAGTGCTAACCCTACTCCCAGTAAAATCCTGTGGCCATCTGAATGGCCATGCTAGGAATGACATGACTTTGTAGGTTTCCTCAGTACCTACCCTGCTTTTATTCTAACTTGATCCTCTCACCTTCCTGGCAATCATGTTAGCCACATGGTGACATTCTGTTTTATTCTACATCTGCCAAGGTTATCCAGAGTAGGTTTGCATTATATGTAGTTTTCTCATAAGATGTTGTTGGATGAGGGAAATAAATACTTTAAATTGACAGACTCTAATTTTAAAGTTAGGTATCTGAAATAATATTGGAGACATTTTCCAAGAATGAATACAGGTCTATTACTTGTAAGGACACAATTATCCTTTCAATGATGATGTTAAATAAATTTGTGAATAGTTTAATAAATATTATAAATAAACAACTAATAAATAAACCCTCTATTTATAGTACCTAGCATTGCCATGCATAGAGTAATTTTTCAATAATTTTTTAAAGATTGGCAATAACCAATACATGTAATTGCATATCTTATTCAAGTCAGATATGAGATTCTAGGATAAGAAAAAAATTGACTGGAAATCTTTTAATTTATATTCTAAATTAAATATATAAAAACATATTAATATTAGCTAAATTCTTTTTGTAAAATATTTTTATACTTTAACACATTTTAATGTGATTTCTTCTATCTTTTTAATGTTCACCACTTTTTAAAAACTACCAAATATTTATAACTATTTACAGCTTTATTAAGTAAATTACTACTTCCAGGAAACTGCTAAGGGTAGTAATATACACCCTTCATATTTTTAATTTTTTAATTACCTAATATGTTACTCATAATGCTTTTTTGTTAAGGATGATGCTAGATATTGGTTTAACAAAAAGAAAATAAAAGGAATTTGACAAAATAAAGCAAGGAAAAGGAAATAAAACCTCATCAATAATATGACCTAGAATTAAGGAAAAGTTAAATTATATTTAACATTTTGAAATATACTAATTGTATATTTAAAAACAAAGAAAAGAAAATATGTCTAATAGAATATGACCCCTCAACATACTTCGTATCTTAAAAGTCAGGTTAGATTTTGTCTTTTTCTTCGCTATATTAGGTGGAGTTATTTATTCCAATATTCAGATATTAAGGGCTGGTGAGAAGGATCAAACTGAGACAGTAAACCATGAGTGTTTATGTTGCTGAGAGTCCTTGTCTGCTAAATATCTCCACTTCATGTGAGTGGAAATTTCACCAAGGACTTCATAATTTCACCTAAGTTACTATTTGGATGGAAGCTGCCATTGTCCACCCCCAACATCTAGTTACGCAGAAGTATCTGAAGTCCGTGTGTTCAGTCTCAAAACAATGACAAAAGCAAAGGACCCTTAGACATACAGCATTTGGGGAGAAGGTACTTTGGAATTGAAAAAAAAAAAAATAGAGCACTCCAAGCTAATAAGGTAAGAAATGGTCAGTTCTGTTAGATGTATGCAATGTTTTAGAAACAAGGGTTGTTTTAAATTTGTTTGTTTTAAATAATAATGGCAAAAGTTTCTGAAAAAGTAAACTTCAATTGTCAAGGCAATCTATTACTAGGAATAACATTTTCCCCGATAATTTATTTTAATGACGAGAAATTGGGTTTATATTTAGCTATAACTTATGTCTGTCTTTGGGACAATCTCACTAAACATTTGATTATCTCCTTTTTGATTTATTTCTCAGATCTTGCTTCTGCCTTAAAACCATGGTGAATATTCACCTTCCTGTGCTGCTTCCAACATCTGCTCACTGCATTGTGGCACAGCACTTCTCTGCCCCCACTCTATACCTGATATTTCTAGCTAACGATTTCTTCCATTCCTCATTTTACATGAAATAATCATAGCCATTTCTTTCTAACAACATTTGTGTTCTGTCTCTCAATTTCACAACTGTTCTAGGTAAAAGTAACAACAGTCATAGAAATAATAATAAAAAGAGTGAATATTCCCTTTATGTTGTTTTAATTTAGCGTTCAGCTTAGACCAAGAAACACTGATGTTCTCAAAGAAACTGATCATGAAACTCCTTTTTGTTTATAGATCCAACTGGAGACATTTCAGTATGCCAATCTTAACAAACGTGCTATAAAAAAACAAAGATATTATAAGAGTAGCAGGTTTGTCAAATAATGTTATTGAAAATGCTACGAAATCTGAAAATAAAGTACTATACTTTCCTCTTTAAATTTTTGATTAGGCTACATGTCAAGTTGCACTTCTATATTTAGCAAGGTATAGAGTAACTCTTGATTTAGTAAGTGAAAAGATTTTTCATTGACAAGCTTTTTTTGAAAAAATCTTCTATACATAAATCATTATAAAAGTAGCTTGAACTACAGAACTCTAATAAAATGTTATTAAATTCGAAAATATTTTGGTATATATTTGATATACATTTTTTATTTCTTTTAATGGAAAACTGAATTGAATCACCCATTTTTTAAAAGTATCTATTAACCACTATAAAAGCACAGGCATCAAAAGCACAGACTAGATACCAATATTAAAGGTAAATTTTTAAACATCTTTGGTATCCAACTGATGTTTACAAGAACTGGCATTTTTGCATACTTTAAAATAATGTTTGCATTTTATAAGCTACACATTTTTGTTTCAATCTGCTTTTAGTACGATGATGTATCATGTTGAATCATTCAGTCATGCTGGTTTTGATCCACATGGTTTTCAAGCCAGTTGAGTTATTTTAAGCACAGCATGAAAGAAGAATTTTCTCTTTAATCCAAACCATTTCCTTCACATAATGTCAATGTATACATGAGAGAATTAGCAGAGATTTTGCCAAGTATGCTATGATACACAATAAACAAAAGGCAAAGTACAAAATTATTTTGTTTTTCAGTTAAAATTATTCCACCTTAGAAAGTGTTTTGAAGTAATAATTCTTGAAAAAATTTTAACTATAGTTGCATATAATAATTTCATACAGGTTTAATATTTGCTTATAATGCTACAAATAGGAGAGTATTTAAACAGAAATGCCATTTATTTCTGTAGTTCTTGATGATCTTCTAGGTACACATAATAATATATCCTGTTCTCTAACAATTATGAAACTAATTTTTCATAATACTGTTATTAAATTCATACATTTTTTTCCTCTATCTAAAATCAGTCTTGAACTATTTATTGTCACTCGTTTCACATTTCACTGGAGGGGAAAACACAAATAGTTCTGCTATCCTGTTTTGCCTATGAAATATTTCCTAACAAACATTGCCATGTCAAATATAAGTGGATTGGCTTTAGAAGATTAGTCAAACTGTTCTACTATTTACCTGTGAAAATTGAGGTCATGAGTTCACATAATGAAATGAATTCCCTTACACAGTATTTCTGCTAGTTGCTAAGTCATAGCTAAATGGATCCTTTTAGAAACAAAATAGCATGTTTTTGACTCAACACATTTTTATGGTTTAAATGTGTCCCTCAAAGCTCAGGTGTTAGAAATGTATGCCCAATGCATGTTTAAGGTATAATTAGGTCATGAGAGTTCTGCCCTCATGAATGGATTAATACCATTATTGCAAGTGCAATTTAGCTATTGTGAGAATGGATTCCTGATAAAAAGCGTAAGTTCAGTCCCTTTTGTCTCTCTCTTTCTTGCCCTCTCTCACACTCTCACCTTCCACCATAGGATAAAGCATCAAGAAGGCCTCAGCAGATGCTAGTAGTGTGATATTAGACTGCCGAGCCTCCAGAATTGTGAGAAATAGTTTTTTTCTATAAATTACCCAGTCTATGGTATTCTGTTTTAGCAACACAAAATGTACTAAAGCAGAAAATTAGTACCAGAAGTGGGTTTATTGCTATAACAAATACCCAAAAAATGTGGAAGCACCTTTGGAACTGGGTATTGGGTACAGACTGGAAGAATTTGGATAAGCAGACTTAAAAAACTTAAATTGCTGTGAATTGAGTGTTAAAGGCATTTCTGGTGAGGGCCCAGAAGGAAAGAAGAGCTGCAGGGAAACTGAAATTTCCTAGAGGTTACTTAAATTGTTGAAATGAGAATGTTGGTAGAAATATGGACACTAAAGGCCAGTCTGATGAGGTCTCAAATGAAATTGAGAAACAAGATACTGGAAGTTAGAGTAGAGGCCACCCTTGTTACACAGTTGCAAAGAACTTGTCGGAATTGTGTTTCTGACTTAGGGCCTTATGCAAGGCAGAACTTAAGAGTGATGAGCTAAATTATCTTGTAGAAGAAGAAATATCTAAGCAGCAAAGGGTAGAAAGTGCTACATGGCTTCTTTAGGCCATTCACCGTAAAAGGAGAGAACAGAGGAATGATCTAAAGATGGAATTTATAATTAAAAAGGAAGCAGAAAGTAAAGATTTTGAAAATATTTAGGCTAGTCATGTAAAGAATGAAAAGGCATGTTTAGGAGAGGAAACCAAGGGTGTGGCCAAGTGACCCTTTGCTAAAGAGATTACGATTGGGTAGAAGGGAGCCAGGTAGTATTCATCAGGACAATGAGGTAAAACTCTCAAGGCATTTCAGAGATATTAGGCTGCCCCTTCCGAGGCTGGTCCAGAGCAGAACCTTGAAGGCAGTTTTCAGAGAGGAGCCTGTGGGACCTCAGGATTCACCATCCTGTGCTGCTTCAAACATTGGCTCACTGCATCGTGGTGGAGCACTTCTCAGCCCCCACCACTACCCATAGCTCAGTGGGCCTAGTTGCAGCTTGGCTCACCACACTGGAGGGCACAAACAGTAAGCCTTGGCAGCATCCATATGGTGCTGACTCTGCGGACACACGGAGTGCACAAGCTGTAGGGCTGTGGTGGCCTCCACCTGGATTTCAAAGAATGTATTGGACAGCCTTGGGGCCCAGGCAGGGCAGAAACTTGATGCAGGAACAGAGCCACCACAGAGAGCCCTCACTGGGGCAATGCCCAGCAGAACTGTGGGGTCAGGGATATTACATAAACTCTAGAACTGTAGAGCTATCAGCATAAAACTTCAGCCTGGGAGAGTTGCAAGCCTGAGATTCCAACCTGTGAGAGTTGTGGTGTAGCCTATGTCCAACAAAGACATACAAGTGTGGCTGCCTGAGACTTTGAAGGCCCACCCCCAGTCCAGCATGTCCAGCTATATGTCCAGGAGGAGGAACATAGAGTCAAGAAATATTATTCTGGAACTTTACAATTTAATGTTGTGCGTATTGTTGTTGTGTTTTGTACTTGGGACCTGTTACTCCTTTCTTCTGAATTATTTCTCCTTTTTTGAATACAAATGTCTATCCTATGCTTGTTACACCGTTGTATTTTGGGAATAGATAATTTGCTTTGATTTCACAGGCTTACCTCTGGAGGAAAATTTGCCTCAGGATGAATTGTGCTTTGAGATTCACTCATATCTGATTTAGATGAGACTCTGGACTTCGACTTTTTTGAGTTAATGCTTTAATAAATTAAGAATTTGGGGGTATTGGACTGGAATGAATGTATTTTGCATGTGAGAAGGACATAAATTTTCAGGGCCAAGGGTGGAATGCTGTGGTTTGAATATGTCCCCCAAAGTTCATGTGGTGGAAACTTAATCTACAGTGCAGGAGTGTTAACAGGTGAGACCTTTTAAGAAGTAATTTTAAGAAGTAATTAAGAAGGCAGAGCCTTCATGAATGTAATAATGCCATTGTTGTGGCAATGTGTTCCTGATTTTTAAAAATGAGTTTAGTTCCCCTTTTGTCTGTTTCTCTCATTCTTTTACCCTCTTAACATCTTAACATGGGATGATGCAGCATAAAGATTCTTGCCAGATCCTGGCACCTGGATACTGGGCTGCCTTTCTTTTAGAACCATAAGCAATAAGTTTCCTTTCTAAATAAATTACTCAGTCTGTGGTATTCTGTTCAGAAACACCACAAAAAGTGTTCACAAAACAAACTCATTAACCCAGGTATTTTCTGGACTCCTAATAGCATGGCCTTAAAATGTATAAATTTATATAAAAATGGACCCATAATAATACTTTGCTAAACGTTTTGTTATCTATTATCTATAGGTCAGAAAGTGTTTTATATTTAGTCTTCTCTGGATATTTGTAACATGGAGAAATGAATACAATTATTATTCTTTACAAATGGAAAAACTTGAAGTTGGTTTTCAGATGTTTAGTAATTTTTAAGGTTATTTTTGACAGATGACTTTTAGAAGAGCAGCAACTAAAGTAAGAGTAAATATCACTTAAATGTCAATTAGTGACAGATAATTAACCAGATGCTCCATGGGGAAAGCACATACAAATTACAATAATTTTTATAAGTTGCCCAACATACTTTAGAGATAAAACTTCAATGAATTACATATGTTCTCAAAATTCTATGAGGGTAACAAAATGAAATGCAAAGATATTAAAAATATATTGAAAACTATTAGTGCAAGTTTTCTTCAAATATAACTGATAACTTTAAATTTGTAATTAACTTACTGACACGTACAACAATTATTGTTAGTTGTGCTTGAACATTATGGCTATGATGCTTTTTTATGTTCTGGTGTCGCATGGAAACAGTCTAATTAATTAATTTATTTTACTTATTCTGATAGCTCTTGCTTTCTAGTAAAATGTTAGCAAATAGTTGATATTGGCTTTTTGAAATCACATTGTTAGGTACCTGCCTCCTATAAAAAGCAAATAGAAAACTCTTCTATTCTTAAAAGTCATCATGATATCAGAATCATATATTACTCTTCTAAATAATAGATACATATTTCTGAATAATTTTATGTTAAATTACATAAAGACGGGACTTATTACATCTAATGCGATATCTCAGTCACAGGTTAAACATCACAAAAATTATTTCTTGATAAATTAAGCAGCTTTAAATCTTCTGTCATCACAATTCAAGGAGACTTACCTTCTAAGAAAAGCACACATTCAATCCAAAGTCATTGCGTGACTAGTTCTCCCTCGGGTAATGCAATGCCCAACGAAATGTTAAATACACTAGCGTGTCATGGTAGCAAGTAGGACTAGAAAAAAAAATCGTAGTTAAAAGGCAGTAACAGTGTTGTAAACATCAACACCTTTAGGTTTCTCAAAGGTAAAAGACTTGCTGTCATAATCAATAATAACTGTGAGCACATATGGCTCCACTAAAATGGCATCAATAGGAATAAAATTAATAATACAGAGACAACAGTAAAAGAAATAAAATTGGACTTTTCACCAATTATACAAAGTCCACTGATTCTGCATAAATAATCGCAAGCAGTTTTTCGGCATACTCTTACTACAGATTGCATCACTCAGCTATGACCTTTTAATGAAATTGAGATAAAATTGCAAAGCAGACATTTAACTTATTTCAAAGACACAATTGCATTTTCTTTAAGAAAAAAATAAAACTCCTAGTCAGTATTGTTGTAAAGTCATTTTACCCTTAGCATTTACCAGGTTATGCTATATTTTGAAATATTAATACATCGGGAAGGCAGTAGACTACAGTAGACTGCTTTTGTACAATTTTCAGTCCCACCACTTACTAGCTGTGTGAACATGGACAAAGGAAGGGAGTGTTCTAACCTTCGTGTCCTCATTTGCCAAATGAGGATAATAATGGTATGACTCTGGTAGAACATGGGTGAAGATTGACTGGAATTTGGTAGCATGATACCAGGAAATGATAAAAATTTATAAAGAGTGTCTGTCACAAAGGGCTTCTTTTATTTTATGTGGAAAAAACAGGTATATATTACATAAGCACAAACTTACTTGTTTAGGTTATTATTTTTGCTTTATTGTGTGCATTTCCTTCTGGCCACTCTGCTTCCCTGTTTCCCCAGGCAGTATAGAATAACAGTAGAATCCACCATAATCTCTTATTGACATATATCTGTAGAGTTTTATATTCCTGTACACCCATATATACATTACTTTTTTAAGTTTTACAAAAACAAACTGTTGTTTGCAATATGCTATTTTTTCAAAGATAATTTCTATAAATTATTCCAAGTCCTCTGAGGTAGCTCTTACACCTTTTTGAATGACTGCATAATATTTTCTAGAATATACATAATTAGTCCTTTATTGAAGACTGAGCATTCGCTTGGTTTTAAGGTGATTTCCCTATTACAAAATTATATACTAAAATGTTTAAATGTCAATAAGTTATGCCTTTATTTTTATGGGTTATAATATCAGGTTTGGAATTTCTGTGTTGAAATGCACATGCTTATTTGAGTTTAGAGACTGTACTAGAATACGAGCTCTGCAAAGAGCTTTGTTGCCATCCAATAATATGTCCCAAGGATCTAGAAGAGTGCTTAGAATATTTTATTGTTCAACAATGTATCCAAAATGCTTAGATATGTGACTACAATTTATTAAGCTCAATTTGTATTTCTCGAATAAATGAACAAAAGGATATAATAGTTCATATTTTTTAGACCAATGTGTCATTTTCTCTACATCCCAATCACCAGTAGATTCTGTAACTAAATATTCTGTAATTAAATATTATAATTTTTTAATGAATCTGAAAGGAAGAGAATCTACCTTATTGTATTTAATTTAGATTTTCATAATGTATTTTATCATCTCATTTCTTTGATAATTTGGGTTGCTCTTTTGTGAGTTATCAATTAAAATCCTATCTGTTGTTTTATTTTTTCTTAATTTGTAAGAGATCTCTGTATTACTATAGAAATGGACTCTTTAATCTTTCTTCTGCTTTATAAATATATTTCAGATCTATCATATATTTACTTTGTTTATCATACCGTATATTTTCTTTGCTATTCTTTGCTAAGTAAATGTTTTGTTAATATTATAAATTCTGAAGCACACTGAGTGAAAATGTTACATATAGAGTTCATATTTTTCTTCAGGATATTTTACTATTTTAATATTAAGTCTTTTGTCTGTTTTATAAGACATAAAATAATATAAACTTCTTTATTTTCTTACAGATAAATAGCCTCTTATATAAAATACTCTTTAATAACTAATCTTGATTTTTCTCTTAGAAGGTAACTACTTTAGTCATAGCTGTAGTCTGATAAATATAAATATAAAATGGGATCTAAGTACAAACTCTTTATTTGGTTCCATGGATTGTTTTTCTATATCTGTACCAATATGATTAAATTAGTATGGCATTATAGATTTTTCTGATACTAGGAAATCTCGTCACCCATTATTATTTATCTTTGCAGAAGATTCCTTATGTATCTAGTATTCATTTATTCATATGAAATTTAAGACAATTTCATCCTACTTCATGTTTCACCTCCCAAACAATCCTATGTTGGCATTCTAGTAATAATTACATTACATTTTTATACCTCCTGGAACATAAGGAATATTCTACAATGGATGTATTGACATTTTTTCCTAAACTTAAGAATTTTTCAGTGGTGAACATTTCTATTAGCTAACTAACTTAAACCACTAAACCCTTATAAAAAATCCATACTTATTTAAGTTCTCCTTAAATTATTTACCTTAGAAATTCAACCCCAGGCCTGGCACAGTGGCTCACACCTGTAATCACAGCACTTTGGGAGGCCAAGGCAGGTGGATCATGATGTCAAGAGATCGAAACAATCCTGGCCAACATGGTGAAACCACGTTCCTGCTAAAAATACAAAAATTAGCTGGGCTTGGTGGTGTGAGCCTGTAGTCCCAGCTACTCGAGAGGCTGAGGCTGGAGAATCGCTTGAACCCGGGAGGCAGAGGTTGCAGTGAGCTGAGATCGCACCATTGCACTCCAGCCTGGCGACCGAGCGGGACTCCGTCTCAAAAAAAAAAAAAAAAAAAAAACAAAAAAAGAAAGAAATGTAACTCCAGCCTCTGATGAAAAACGTAAGTTCTTACTAGAATAAAATTAACAATTTCAATTAGTTTTCTTCACTGGATTCAACATCTCTAGCTAGCAACATAACTTCAACTAATTTAACCAGTCATTGTTAAATATGAGTTATTAATATACTTAAATTTTTATGCAAGTCTTATTTGCTCCTCACAATAAAATGACTTTTTTGTGTGTGTTATATCTTTGGTTCTGATTTTCTGGATTTTCTGAAGCAAATAGATTTGTCAGCTTCATTTTATTGGCTGAAAAACTACTTGAACAGATTGTACATAAAGTTAAGAGTCATGTGGAAATACTTTATATTTTAATTGTATAATTTAATACAATAATAAATAAAAGTTGAGAAAAAGATGTAGCATGATCTTGTACTATTCTTTTAATTTTATTCTAAATTTACATTTTTGGAATTAATAGTTTCCAATTGAACTATAGTTAAATTACCATCTAAAATTTTATTTTTACACATTGAAATTTTTAAGGGCCAATGGACCTACAATCCACATAAATGTAAACCTATTAATTGATCTAGCTATCTATCCATACTTTCACTTTTAAAGACACTCAATAATGGTGATAACATTGAATTTGAATTAATAAATATTAGCCTGCTCTGTCTCAAATGGTCTCTTTTCATATTATTAGCTTTGTTTCAGATATACTGCATTTACTAGTTTACGTATCTTCTCCATTTTTGGTATTTCTTTAGATACCTTCTGCTACAATTGCACATAAAAAGAAATAAAAGATGTCAGAAGAATAAAAACACATAGTAAAGTTCATGTGTTTAAAATTGAGTGGTATCATCACTGGAAAAACATAAGATTCATAGACTACAAAGATGTTACTGTTGTCACTAAAACAATGTGGTTTTATCTATCTAAACTCATTTCCTTAACCCTCAAAATATCTAGCTGTGCTTTATTTTACTTACCCATAGTTTGATAGTAAAACCCCAGAATTGAATAGATATTTCTGAGACTTCTAGGATTGTGATTTTTTAAATTCATTATTTGTTATATAAGCATTTATTGAAAATAAGCAGTGTGCTTCTTTTGGAAATATAATGGTGATCAAATCATAGAAAACCATATAGCATAAAATCTAGAGGATTAAGCAGAAAAATGTATTTAATGGAAGAAGTAAACATTGTTACCATCCCATATGGAAGAGAAACCACATCTGGGGCGGTGATCAGGAACCTCCCTACAGGGAAATAAGAAGTAGAACAAGTTTAGGTATTGATCAGGAATGTTGAAGGATGGGAGAGAAAATGGCTTTACCTTCTCTCTCTTTCAAGAAGAAAGAATTAGTAAATGCTGATGATAAAGAGGAAATATCAGATAAACTGAAACAGTATGACAAATATAAACAGCAAACTGAAGTAATACGTGTAAAGTGAAAAATAATCCATGTAGCCTAAAATGATAAACTGAGCAAATGGTACAGAGGCATTTTGATTCTATCATAAAAGCAGTGTGATATCATTGGTAGAACAGATATGGTCAGGCTTGTATGAGTCACACCTCTCAGTTAACAGTGTGGAAAAAGGATTAGAAATAGTAAGAGTGGAATATGTGCTGTGAAATATAGAGAAAGCATAAAAGCGTATCTTTTTTTATAAGCTCCCCCATATGTATGTATGTATGTATGTGCATTTGTGTATATATATCCTATATATATTTCTTATTTTAGTCTACCTATGGAATGGTATATTGCTTATTGTAATCTATAGAAAAATGATACCAAATATACAACCTCTTCAAATTGTGCAACACAATTGTTTCGTTAATAAGTTCCACTTTGTTTTTTTCAAAGCATGCAGTTTTGGGATTTAAACACCCAGGAAAGTCATCTTGCCAATTAAACTTGATTTTGTCCTAAATTCACGGTTATAATTAATCCATTAGCCATCACTCATGCCAAGCAGCAGTCAGTGGATAGAAAGCAGAAAAATTATGTCAAATACATTAATTTCTAAATTCCATGAAGTTGTTTAATGCTACAGTTACTTTCTCAAAAACACTTTGACATTTTGACAAATTTGTGGAATGATCTCTATTTCTCTTGCAAACAAAATGCATTTTACTCCAATAATTGATCATTTCACTCTAAATGATGATCAGTTCTGGTTGAATAAATGCAGTTATTTGACATCTGCCAACACTAATATTTTTCTTCCAGTTTTATCTTTACATCTTCTAGTCCAGCTATGGACTTTTTAATCTTCTTAAAAATAATACCTCATAATTAAAATAAGTTTAGTTGCCATATATTGTTTGCTATATATTCTTTTAATGGTCTTTAAATGCATTGTCTCTTTTAGGCAATTCATTTCTAGAAACTTGAATTGAAGCCTTACACGTTCTTTTTTTCATTTACATAACTGAATAGCTTAGTAAGTGTTGTTTTTTACATTTTGTCTCATTCCTTCCTATTGTATCTGGGTTGCTTATCTACCTAGTGCCATCCTTGACTTTTTAAATTCATCTCTTTTATACTATTGCAGATTTTGAAAATAATGTATTCTTGTTAACACCTATCCACAGTTTGTGAGACATATAAAAGTTAAGCTCTCCTTTAAAAAGTTTGTTTTATACAAAAGTATGAGACGCTGCAGTCTTGCTGTACTTTCATACTCATTTGGATATTTTTATATCCAAGTCCTCTCATGAGCTCTTATATATATAACTTAATACTATCACAAAGTCATTTATATCAAATTTTCCAGGCAATTTTTAAACAATTTGTTTTATAAAGAAAAGACTGAAACTCCAGGAATGGAAAGGAGTGTAGACTGAGAGAATGGTTGCAGGGTGGCCATGGTGGAATAGTTTTGGAACATCGTTAGAGCGGAAATTCTGTGTTGTAAATGCAAAATTACTCCCTGATACATAGCACATAAGATCTTTAGTCAAATGGATACTTTTCATAAATGTTAATTTTCCCTTAAAGAGTGCAATATATTTCCTAAATATAGCCTTATCAGGTAATCATTGTGTGAATAGAAGTGAAAATATACAAACTAGATGAAGTCGAAGGCTACCATTCAAGTATTTACTAAGAGAGGACTTTGCTTATTGCAACTATCCAAACTACTTGACTTTTATTAGTTTAAACAAGTAAATTTTATGAACTGGTTTTATCATAAATTTAGGCAAGCAGAACACTTTTCTCAACCTCTCTGCCATCAGTCTGCTATTTAAAATCTGCAAATACAGAGAATCAATTCAATGGGAAGGCACCTAACTGTTGTATTAAAATCCTCTGTTTGTGTCTTAAAATTTGAACTAGTATTTAGTATTGAGAACACGTAGACTATATAAAATAAGATGTTCACATATTATTTGTATTGAAATATGAAGTTTCTCAATATTTCACTTCTAAAAAAATGATCAGGGAACTGTTTTTACATTTTCAGTCTTTGTTAGTGACTTATTCTCTTGGAAAGCTCTTAAGGTTGTAATAATATAATTGTCATCTTATTAAGTTGATTTCCTAGAACGAGCCACCTCACTTTAGCAGCTACATTTGTATTTTCTAGATACTAAGTCTCAATATTTGCAGTTGGTTTTGTATACAAAATATTACATTTTGGAAAGAAATGAATGTGATCCCTTCAGTCAGTATAATGACTATAGTGTCATCTTACATGACTCACATACCTAGCCTTGGATTTACTTTCCAAATCAATTCCAAATCCAAGCTTTGACTGGATTTTCCAAAATAATAAACCCATCTTATGGTGTATCTGTCTCCAAAGAATTTTTCTATGCATTTTGATGTGCTTTGTGTCAATGGATTTTTAGAACATATGCCAATATATATACTTTATCATCTCCGAAAGTGACTAAGCAAAGCAAAGACTGAGTCTGATATCAAACATGTGAAAATAACTGTATTTGATTATAAAACAAATGAAAAAGAATTTAAAAAGTGACTCTAGTGAGTAGGGCAACATAACTTGGCAATCATCTCTATTTAATTTATAAAATGATATCTTGCATGTCTACTTATGTGTATCATTACTCTAAAGCTGTGTTGTTCAATATATTAGTCACTAGGTGTAAGTTGATATTGAGCACATGAAATGTAGCCAGTTCAATGGAAAAATGGAATTTTCAATTTATATTATTGAATTGACTATTTAAATTTGAAAACAAATTGTGTAAAATAAGTTTTTGATTAAACACAAGTTTATTGGTTTGGTATAGCTACATTTCACTTTGATCATTGCATTCTGCCAGATTTTATAGTTGTAGTTCATGTGGCAGATGCATAAGCAGTTTCTGGTATTACACATAAATACATCACTCTTCTAGAAAATGTCATTGTATTGTTTCAGTTTAAATGAATCTTTTCAACACAATGATTTAATGTTGTAATGTGTGTATTTGAACATTTCACATAGCAGATTAGAGTGATATCTATGTAAATTCTCAGATTTTGATAATGCAATTGTAAGTACTAAGTACTTTAAAGTGTTTCTTATACTTATTTTCTTTCAAATTAAATTATTTTTCTCATTGAAGTAAAAAAGTATGGTCACATTTATAAATTTAAAACAAACCTTATTTCTGCTACAGAATTGAGTGGGGATACAGAAGCTAGTACAGATTGAGCATCCCTAATCTAAAAATGTGAAATCTAAAATTCTCCAAAATCTGAAGTTTTTGAATGCCAACATAACACCACGAGTGGAAAATTCCACACCTGACACGTTATTTTTCCACTGTCTTAATGGCATGTCATATTTCTTACTGTTAAGTACTTATGTCTGAATATGTATAAGAAAATAATTGCTTATCTATAGCATAAAAATTCAGTCAGGAATGATGGGGATGTCAAATAACCAGAAGTGATCCAGATCGGTAGCTGAGATAGACACTTTTGCTTTCTCATGTTTTAATGTATGCAACTTTGTTTCATGCACAAAATTATTTTTAACTTATTTTTAAATAGTGTTTAAATAAAATTCTATTCAGGCTCTGTGTGTAAGGTTTTAGGTGAAGTGGTGGTTAAATAAATTATTATACCTGAAATAAGTTATTATTTCAGGTAGGGATCGGAACCAAGATGGCCAAATAGGAACAGCTCCGGTCTACAGCTCTCAGCATGAGGGACGCAGAAGACAGGTGATTTCTGCATTTCCATCTGAGGTACCGGGTTCATCTCACTAGGGAGTGCCAGACATTGGGCGTGGGTCAGTGGGTGCGTGCATCGTGCGTGAGCCAAAGCAGGGCGAGGCATTGCCTCACTTGGGAAGTGCAAGGGGTCAGGGAGTTCCCTTTCCTAGTCAAAGAAAGGGGCGACAGACGGCACCTGGAAAATTGGGTCACTTCCACCCGAATACTGTGCTTTTCTGATGGGCTTAAAAAACGGCGCATCAGGAGATTATATCCCACACCTGGCTCGTAGGATGCTACGCCCATGGAGTCTCACTGATTGCTAGCACAGCAGTCTGAGATCAAACTGCAAGGTGGCAGCGAGGCTGCGGGAGGGGTGCCTGCCATTGCCCAGGCTTGCTTAGATAAACAAAGCAGCTGGGAAGCTCGAACTGGGTGGAGCCCACCACAGCTCAAGGAGGCCTGCCTGCCTCTGTAGGCTCCACCTCTGGGGGCAGGGCACACACAAACAAAAAGACAGCAGTATCCTCTGCAGACTTAAATGTCCCTGTCTGACAGCTTTGAAGAGAGCAGTGGTTCTCCCAGCATGCAGCTGGAGATCTGAGAATGGGAAGACTGACTCCTCAAGTGGGTCCCTGACCCCTGACACATGAGCAGCCTAACTGGGAGGCACCCCCCAGCAGGGGCAGACTGACACCTCACACAGCCGGGTACTCCAACAGACCTGCAACTGAGGGTCCTGTCTGTTAGAAGGAAAACTAACAAACAGAAAGGACATCCACACCAAAAACCCATCTCTACATCACCATCATCAAAGACCAAAAGTAGATAAAACCACAAAGATGGGGAAAAAACAGAGCAGAAAAACTGAAAACTCTAAAAAGCAGAGCGCCTCTCCTCCTCCAAAGGAACGCAGTTCCTCACCAGCAACGGAACAAAGGTGGACGGAGAATGACTTTGACGAGCTGAGAGAAGAAGGCTTCAGACGATCAAATTACTCCGAGCTATGGGAGGACATTCAAACCAAAGGCAAAGAAATTGAAAACTTTGAAAAATATTTAGAAGAATGTGTAACTAGAATAACCAATACAGAGAAGTGCTTAAAGGAGCTGTTGGAGCTGAAAACCAAGGCTGGAGAACTACGTGAAGAATGCAGAAGCCTCAGGAGCCAATGCAATCAACTAGAAGAAAGGGTATCAGCGATGGAAGATGAAATGAATGAAATGAAGTGAGAAGGGAAGTTTAGAGAAAAAAGAATAAAAAGAAACGAGCAAAGCCTCCAAGAAATATGGGACTATGTGAAAAGACCAAATCTACGTCTGATTGGTGTACCTGAAAGTGACGGGGAGAATGGAACCAAGTTGGAAAACACTCTGCAGGATATTATCCAGGAGAACTTCCCCAATCTAGCAAGGCAGGCCAACATTCAGATTCAGGAAATACAGAGAACGCCACAAAGATACTCCTCGAGAAGAGCAACTCCAAGACACATAATTGTCAGATTCACCAAAGTTGAAATGAAGGAAAAAATGTTAAGGGCAGCCAGAGAGAAAGGTCGGGTTACCCTCAAAGGGAAGCCCATCAGACTAACAGCGGATCTCTCGGCAGAAACCCTACAAGCCAGAAGAGACTGGGAGCCAATATTCAACATTCTTAAAGGAAAGAATTTTCAACCCAGAATTTCATATCCAGCCAAACTAAGCTTCATAAGTGAAGGAGAAATAAAATACTTTAGAGACAAGCAAATGCTGAGAGATTTTGTCACCACCAGGCCTGCCGTAAAAGAGCTCCTGAAGGAAGCGCTAAACATGGAAAGGAACAACCGGTACCAGCCGCTGCAAAATCATAGCAAAATGTAAAGACCATCAAGACTAGGAAGAAACTGCATCAACTAATGAGCAAAATAACCAGCTAACATCATAATGACAGGATCAAATTCACACATAATAATATTAACTTTAAATGTAAATGGACTAAATGCTCCAATTAAAAGACACAGACTGGCAAATTGGATAAAGAGTCAAGACCCATCAGTGTGCTATATTCAGGAAACCCATCTCACGTGCAGAGACACACATAGGCTCAAAATAAAAGGATGGAGGAAGATCTACCTAGCCAATGGAAAACAAAAAAAGGCAGGGGTTGCAATCCTAGTCCCCAATAAAACAGACTTTAAACCAACAAAGATCAAAAGAGACAAAGAAGGCCATTACATAATGGTAAAGGGATCAATTCAACAAGAAGAGCTAACTATCCTAAATATATATGCACCCAATACAGGAGCACCCAGATTCATAAAGCAAGTCCTGAGTGACCTACAAAGAGACTCAGACTCCCACACATTAATAATGGGAGACTTTAACACCCCACTGTCAACATTAGACAGATCAACGAGACTGAAAGTCAATAAGGATACCTAGGAATTGAACTCAGCTCTGCACCAAGCGGACCTAATAGACATCTACAGAACTCTCCACCCCAAATCAACAGAATATACATTTTTTTCAGCACCACACCACACCACACCAATTCCAAAATTGACCACATACTTGGAAGTAAAGCTCTCCTCAGTAAATGTAAAAGGACAGAAATTATAACAAACTATCTCTCAGACCACAGTGCAATCAAACTAGAACTCATGATTAAGAATCTCACTCAAAACCGCTCAACTACATGGAAACTGAACAACCTGCTCCTGAATGACTACTGGGTACATAACGAAATGAAGGCAGAAATAAAGATGTTCTTTGAAACCAATGAGAACAAAGACACAACATACCAGAATCTCTGGGATGCCTTCAAAGCAGTGTGTAGAGGGAAATTTATAGCACTAAATGCCCACAAGAGAAAGCAGGAAAGATCCAAAATTGACACCCTAGCATCACAATTAAAAGAACTAGAAAACCAAGAGCAAACACATTCAAAAGCTAGCAGAAGGCAAGAAGTAACTAAAATCAGAGCAGAACTGAAGGAAATAGAGACACAAAAAACCCTTCAAAAAATTAATGAAGCCAGGAACTGGTTTTTTGAAAGGATCAACAAAATTGATAGACTGCTAGCAAGACTAATGAAGAAAAAAAGAGAGAAGAATCAAATAGATGCAAGAAAAAATGATAAAGGGGATATCACTACCGATCCCACAGAAATACAAACTACCATCAGAGAATACTACAAAAACTTCTATGCAAATAAACTAGAAAATCTAGAAGAAATGGATAAATTCCTTGACAAATACACTTTCCCAAGACTAAACCAGGAAGAAGTTGAATCTCTGAATAGACCAAAAACAGGATCTGAAATTGTGGCAATAGTCAATAGCTTACCAACCAAAAAGAGTCCAGGACCAGATGGATTCACAGCCGAATTCTACCAGAGGTACAAGGAGGAACTGGTACCATTCCTTCTGAAACTATTCCAAGCAATAGAAAAAGAGGGAATCCTCCCTAACTCATTTTATGAGGCCAGCATCATTCTGATACCAAAGCCGGGCAGAGACACAACCAAAAAAGAGAATTTTAGACCAATATCCTTGATGAACATTGATGCAAAAATCCTCAATAAAATACTGGCAAACCAAATCCAGCAGCACATCAAAAAGCTTATCCACCATGATCAAGTGGGCTTCATCCCTGGGATGCAAGGCTGGTTCAATATATGCAAGTCAATAAATGTAATCCAGCATATAAACAGAACCAAAGACAAAAACCACATGATTATCTCAATAGATGCAGAAAAGGCCTTTGACAAAATTCAACAACCCTTCATGCTAAAAACTCTCAATAAATTAGGTATTGATGGGATGTATTTCAAAATAATAAGAGCTATTTATGACAAACCCACAGCCAATATCATACTGAATGGTCAAAAACTGGAATCATTGCCTTTGAAAACTGGCACAAGACAGGGATGCCCTCTCTCACCACTCCTATTCAACATAGTGTTGGAAGTTCTGGCCATGGCAATTAGGCAGGAGAAGGAAATAAAGGGTATTCAACTAGGAAAAGAGGAAGTCAAATTGTCCCTGTTTGCAGACGACATGATTGTATATCTAGAAAACCCCATTGTCTCAGACCAAAATCTCCTTAAGCTGATAAGCAACTTCAGCAAAGTCTCAGGATACAAAATCAATGTACAAAAATCACAAGCATTCTTATACACTAACAACAGACAAACAGAGAGCCAAATCATGGGTAAACTCCCATTCACAATTGCTTCAAAGAGAATAAAATACCTAGGAATCCAACTTACAAGGGATGTGAAGGACCTCTTCAAGGAGAACTGCAAACCACTGCTCAAGGAAATAAAAGAGGATACAAACAAATGGAAGAACATTCCATGCTCATGGGTAGGAAGAATCAATATTATGAAAATGGCCATACTGCCCAAGGTAATTTACAGATTCAATGCCATCCCCATCAAGCTACCAATGACTTTCTTCACAGAATTGGAAAAACTACTTTAAAGTTCATATGGAACCAAAAAAGAGCCAGCATCGCTAAGTCAATACTAAGCCGAAAGAACAAAGCTGGAGGCATCACACTACCTGACTTCAAACTATACTACAAGGCTACAGTAACAAAAACAGCATGGTACTGGTACCAAAACAGAAATATAGATCAATGGAACAGAACAGAGCCCTCAGAAATAATGCCGCATATCTACAACTATCTGATCTTTGAAAAACCTGAGAAAAACAAGCAATGGGGAAAGGATTCCCTATTTAATAAATGGTGTTGGGAAAACAGGCTAGCCATATGTAGAAAGCTGAAACTGGATCCCTTCCTTACACCTTATACAAAAATCAATTCAAGATGGATTAAAGACTTAAACATTAGACCTAAACCCATAAAAACCCTAGAAGAAAACCTAGGCAATACCCTTCAGGACATAAGCATGGGCAAGGACTTCATGTCTAAAACACCAAAAGCAATGGCAACGAAAGCCAAAATTGACAAATGGGATCTAATTAAACTAAAGAGCTTCTGCACAGCAAAAGAAACTACCAGCAGAGTGAACAGGCAACCTACAAAATGGGAGAAAATTTTCACAACCTGCTCATCTGACAAAGGGCTAATATCCATAATCTACAATGAACTCAAACAAATATACAAGAAAAAAACAAACAACCCCATCAAAAAGTGGGCGAAGGACATGAACAGACACTTCTCAAAAGAAGACATTTATGCAGCCAAAAAACACATGAAAAATGCTCATCATCACTGGCCATCAGAGAAATGCAAATCAAAACCACAACGAGATACCATCTCACACCAATTAGAATGGCAATCATTAAAAAGTCAGGAAACAACAGGTGCTGGAGAGGATGTGGAGAAATAGGAACAGTTTTACACTGTTGGTGGGACTGTAAACTAGTTCAACCATTGTGGAAGTCAGTGTGGCGATTCCTCAGGGATCTAGAACTAGAAATACAAATTGACCCAGCCATCCCATTACTGGGTATATACCCAAAGGACTGTAAATCATGCTGCTATAAAGACACATGCACATGTATGTTTATTGTGGCATTATTCACAATAGCAAAGACTTGGAACCAACCCAAATGTCCAACAATGATAGACTGGATTAAGAAAATGTGGCACATATACACCATGGAATACTAAGCAGCCACAGAAAATGATGAGTTCATGTCCTTTGTAGGGACATGTATGAAATTGGAAATCATCATTCTCAGTAAACTATCGCAAGAACAAAAAACCAAACACAGAATATTCTCACTCATAGGTGGGAATTGAACAATGAGAACACATGGACACGGGAAGGGGAACATCACACTCTGGGGACTGTTGTGGGGTGGGGGGAGGGGGAAGGGATAGCATTGGGAGATATACCTAATGGTAGATGACGAGTTAGTGGGTGCAGCGCACCAGCATGGCACAGGTATACATATGTAACTAACCTGCACAATGTGCACATGTACCCTAACACTTAAAGTGTAATAATAATAATAAAAAAATTGTTATTATTTCAGGTGTGGAAAACTTTTCAAACTTTTCAAAAACTTATCAGGAAAAGACCAGAAAATAATATTTTACAAAACAAAAGGTCTCAAAAAGCTATCAAACAATTGTCTATAGTATACAAGATCTTTCTACTAATATCAAAAATCAATTGATTCGAATATTGAAATAATATAAGTATTTTTCTTTAGCCTAAAATGAAACATGAAATAAAAAGCACTCTTCAATTAATACATCGGTTATGTTTTATTTCAATTTTTGCAAAGAAATGCTGTCAATTTGTGGCTTATTCAACTTTTGTCATATATTATGTCATTCACATATGTCAAAGAAGATAATCTGCTAGATATAAAGATGTTATTTTCTATCACAACGGTTGGTCCTCAGCTCCAACTAGACAAAATTTTCTATTAATTAGAATTCTAAAACAGACTGCATTCCTCTTCACATTTTGTTCTGCTATTAGAAACACACTGAAAATATCCATACATTTTCTGATCAAACTTAATGAAAAGTTTCATGGATGTTCAGTTGTTAAAACCATTTAATATGTGTATGCAAGTGTATAAATCATCAACAGGTTATGCAAATTTTGAAAGAAAAAGAAGGCAGTCAATTAACATTTTTGGGGTTCTTTTTGAGACAGAGTCTCACTCTGTCACCCAGGCTGGAGTGCAGTGGGGCAATCTCAGTTTTCTGCAATCTCTGCCTCCCAGTTTAAGCGATTATCTTGCCTCAGCCACCCTAGTAGTTAGGATTACAGGCATGTGCCACCATGCCCGGCTAATTTTTGTATTTTTGGTAGAGATGGGGTTTCACCATATTGGCCAGGCTGGCCTCGAACTCCTGGCCTCAAGTGATCCACCCTTCTCAGCCTCTCAGAGTGCTGGGATTACAGGCCTGAGCCATCGTGCCCAGCCAATTAACTTAATGATACTGTGTTCTCTACCAATGATTGTTGTTTGAATGGCAAAAAGTTTCACACAGATTTTCTGTACTGTAATTTCCAATTAAATATTTCCTTGAAACAAGAGAAATGCATGCCAATATTCGATAGTTAAGACCCCCCGAAATTCAAGTGATTTATGCTTTCTCACCAATATCACAATATATGTTAACTAATATGAAGCTAAATTTAGTAGAAATTGAAATTTTTCACAATACAAATCTATGATAATAACATATTCCTCTAACAGGATAAATATGTAGAAGGTGTTTATTGTAATTGACAGTGTCATGTAAATTGGCTGCAAAACTACTTTTTTTCTAAGAAAACTTTGAGGAATGCTTTGCTGATATTAATAAACAGTTGATTTTAATTTATCAAATGCCTATTTAAATTTAATGTTAATGCTACTGAGTTGACACAGTCAGTAGATTGATTTAACTTAGGAAGCGGTATTTTTGGAACTGTTACACATTTGCCTCTAAGTTAAATTTCCTCCTTCCAGGCATAGGCTATGGCTGTGGCTTCCCTCATGTCTGCGTTGGCTGCCCAACTGCTCTGTCCCCCGCAGAGCTGCCGCCCGCGCTCTCGCACCTTCCACAGCACGGCATTTTGGAATCACCAGTGAGACAATTGTGAAACCAGCTTCAATTTCTGAGGAAGAATTGTTGAAGTTAATAAATAAACTGAGTAATGTTGATAATTAGATAATTAGATGGCCACCTTGTTCAGCTGCCTCTTCCAGAGCACACTGATGAGAGAAAGATCTGCAATGCTTTTTCTCCAGACAAGGATGTTGATGGCTTTCCTGTAATGAATGTAGGACGAAAGTGTTTGGACCAATATTCCATGTTACCGGCTACCCCATGGGGTGTGTGGGAAATAATTAAGCGAACTGACATTCCAACCCTAGGGAAGAATGTGGTTGTGACTGGAAGGTCAAAAATTGTTGGAATGCCCATTGTAATGTCACTGCACATACGTGGGGTGCATGAACGTCCCAGAGATGATGCCACCGTTAGAATATCTCATGGATATACTCCCAAAGAGCAGTTGAAGAAACAAAATATTTGCAGATATTGTAACATCCGCTGCACGAATTCTAAACCTGTTCACAATAGATATAATCAAGGAAAGAACAGCAGTTGTTGATGTGGGAATAACTAGAGTTCAAGATCCCGTAACTGCTCAACCCAAATTGGTTGGAGACGTGGGTTTTGAAGGAGTCAGATAAAAAGCCGGTTACATCATGCCACTTCCTGGAGGTGTTGGCCTCATGACGGTGGCGATGCTAATGAAGAATACCATTACTGTTGCAAAAAAGTTCTGAGGCTTGAAGAACAGTAAGTGCTGACGTCTAAAGAGCTTGGAGTAGCCACTAATGAACTATTGTGTCTTCTATGTCACAAACAGCACTCCAAGCCAGCTCAAGAAGCAAAGCAGGCCAATAGAAAGACAATATTTTTTATTTATTCTACTGAAGTGGTTTAAAATGATGCTTTGTATTTATTGAAAGCTTAAATTGGAGGGTGTTTGTGCACAATAGCTCTGCAGTACCTCACCAGGGAGCATTCCACTATGCAGGGGCGTGTATCTAGCTAACAGCAGCCATTAACCCAGTGATGAACCTGGGAGACATTTGTCATATTGAGATGGATATTTAACTCTGTCAAACCACCTCGGTTGAATATTTGCCTTCATTAGGACTGCGTTTCCCAAATGCTATTTCAATAAGAGTTGATACTCATTTTAGGCACCAAAACTTTTGGATTCAACTGATCAAACCAAAGGAAAAGTGTTGCTAGACAAAATTAGGGAAAAGGTGAAAGAGGAAAATATGGTAGTAATCGAGTAGAAAAAAATTCCTCTAATTTATATATGCATTGATTAGTAACCAGATTTATCTAAGTAGGACTGAATTGGCTAGGATAAAAAGAAAAAATACGTATTAATCCTTTTCCTAAGCTGTCTTTTTGAGGCTTAGTCAGTCATTGGGAAAATGTTTAAGATTGTTCCTTGATATTTGTCCTCATTTTATGTATGCTACCCTTCAGTACGTTCTCCCCATTTTAGATTTCTAGGATTGAAAGGCTTACTTTATAAATTAGTCATGTGTATTGTCATATTTGGCTTTGCTATATACTTTAATTTCATTGTTAAAATTTTGTACTGTTAGGGAATATCTGTATAGTTTATTTAATTTATGTTAAAACCTATTTTTGAAAAACAAACTTGCCTTGATAATCATTTGGGCAGCTTGGATAAGTATGCAACTTACTTTCCACCAAAGAATTGCCAGCTTTTCTGAGATGTATCCTGTTGATTTTTTCAGAATTTTTTTTTCTTTTTTGAGAAGGAGTCTTGCTCTGTTGCCAGGTTGGAGTGCAGTGGCGTGATCTTGGCCCACTGCAACCTCCGCCTCCTTGGTTCAAGCAAATCTCCTGCCTCAGCCTCCCGAGTAGCTGGGACTACAGGAGTACACCACCATGCCCAGCTAATTTTTGTATTCTTAGTAGAGATGGGTTTTCACCATGCTGGCCAGGATAGTCTCGATCTCTTGACCTCATGATCTGCCTGCCTTGGCCTCCCAAAGTGCTGGGATTACAGGCTTACAGGCGTGAGCCACTGCACCCAGCCCGGAAGATTTTTAACAGTCTGAGTTAATATTAAATTTAATCACACTCTCTGAATGTTATCTATTTCTTTTTTAATCAAACAAAGAAAAAAAAACAAACTTAAATTTCATTTTAAAACTGAAACTCATTTTGTTCATGTGGATACAAATACTAAAGCAAAATTTTTTTCTTCATATTGATTCATTTATTGGAAAACTTTTGAGTATATTTGCAACAACTCGTGTATGTGAAATTACTTTTTCAAACGTAAATTCATAAAATCTAAATACACATAAAATGCTTCCGATGAAAATTTAGTATCTGAATTAAAATAAGCTGTACATATAAAATATAAAGTAGATTTCAAAGAATTAGTATTTTAGAAATCATCTTGTTTTATGTCTTGATTTAAAAATATAACATATTAGGCTAAACACAAAATAGTATTAAAGTTGATTTTAAAAATTACATATATGGCTCAGGTTACACTTCTATTGGAAAATGCTCTGATCAAGCATGATTATCAGGGTGAGATCAATGCCTACATAAAGTATTCCAATGATTTTCTTAGACTTTTTGACTTGAACATGATTCCCAGGGCTCTAGGAATCCAGAAATATGCTGTGACACAGGGTTTGGTTTTTATTTTATAATTGGTTGGCTTCATAATCATGTGTATGTGAAGACTATATAGAATTTAAACCAAAAGCCTCTAAAAATCTATATGAATATAAAAGATGAAATTGTTTAGCTTAGTCAAAAGAAAGGCAAATGATGAGTTATGCTCATTTACTCATTGTCCTCACTATTTTAATGAAGAAGATTGGTTATCAGTATGTTACCATAACCATATTTCTAAGCCAAGAATAGAAGAAGTAATGTTTGGCACAGTAATCTTTGTCTTTTTTCTTTTTGAAGAACTTAACAATGACCATAGATCATAGGCTAATTACTGAAAGCATTTCTTGGTAAATTTCAGTTATGATTCCATTCAAATAGGAAATATGTACGTACATTTTTCCCTTTTTTGTTTTATTTGAAGAACATTTTGTTAGTTCTTTTGAAATTATATGTTTTCTAAATAAAATTTCTTCATAACAATTTATATGTTTTAATTTTTATTCTATTATTTTTAATGTTTACTAGATGGAAACATGCAAAAAAAGAAAAAGAAAAAAAACCTCGTCGTTTACTACATGTGAGAAGAAATAGGGAATTAGGGCTGCAGAAAAAAAAGCAATAAACTTTAACCTATGTAAGAATAATAAATCAGGTAACTCACTTATTTGCTATTTCTACATGAAATCTTAATAGAAAATGTTATTGCCTGAATGAAATTCACCAAAGCTTGATAGAATTGTTCCTTCTAACTTCTAGTATTTCTAGGAGTCACTATACTCCCACCATGGTCAGCATAACACATAAATACCTTTTAGGGAATATAGATGCTCATTAAAAACAGTCTGAATATCTCTCTAAAATTTTAATCTATGAGTCTTACGTCAAATAATTATATTTTTAAAAAGTAACATATAAAATAAGTTTTAAGACAATAGTTTCTTTTTATATCAAAGCAAAATATAATTAAAATGTAAAAGTCTAAACCTGGGATACAACAAATTGCACTTGGATAATTTTTTAAAGGACAGAAGATTAATTTGACATAAAAATTAACAAAGCCCAAAGCATTGCTGAAAAGGGTCTTAAGATTTCAGTTTAGATTAACACCTTCAAAGTTAGAATCAACTTAAGTTTTCTTACATACTTTGTTAAAATTTTTGTAAAGGGAAGAATATAAATTTTTATAACCTTTTAAAACTTTGCTTATCAAAAGCATTAAACTGTACTTATTTTCATCTGTGGTGATATTTTTAAATGACTGAAAATGAATATTTTGACTTCAAAAGCCATATAACTCCTTGGCGGCATTACTGAATGTGAAAGGCTATTTCAAGGAGTCTAAAAGAAATAGACTATTAAAAACTCTAAATTTAGTTATTTATTATATCTTCTTCAGGGTAGTTTCAGTAGTAATAATATGGAGTTAACTTATTTTTGCACTAGATGTAATTCATTTCATTCTGTTCATAATAATAATTTAACATTTTTTGTAATAGGAAGGAAATAGACCATGATCAATTTTAGTTACACATTAATGTCAATATTTACTTTATTAACGATAAGCAGAGCTTTTGAAAATAGGTTTATCAATTGAGGTACAAGGAGAGATACATGCTCACTCCTTTACCCACAAGGCCTGTGAGCACATATGTATATATGAACATGTATGTCCCCATATCACTTCGTAATATGAAAACTGGTAGGCAGAAAATAATAATTTGACAAATACAGAATCTCAGCAACATAGAACTAGGAACACAAGTGACTTAGAATCACACATATCCCTTGCCTGAAGCTAAACTAAGAGCCAAAATTATGCTCCAAAAACTTAGATGAATAGTATAAGACACAGAATTCAGTATTTGTAGAAAGATCAATAAATTCTTATTTTTTTTATTATTATACTTTAAGTTCTAGGGTACATGTGCAAAACGTGCAGGTTTGTTACATGTGTATACCTGTCCAATGTTGGTTTGCTGCACCCATTAATTTGTCATTTGCATTAGGTAGTTCTCATAATGTTATCCCTCCCCCATCCCCCAACTCCACGACAGGCCCTGGTGTGTGATGTTCCGCTTCCTGTGTCCAAGTGTTCTCATTGTTCAGTTCCCATCTATGAGTGAGAACATGTGGTGTTTCGTTTTTTTGTCCTTGTGATAGTATGCTGAGGATGATGGTTTCCAGCTTCATCCATGTCCCTACAAAGGACATGAACTCATCATTTTTTATGGCTGCATAGTATTCCATGGTGTATATGTGCCACGTTTTCTTGCTCCAGTCTATCATTGTTGGACATTTGGGTTGGTTCCAAGTCTTTGCTATTGTGAGTAGTGCCTCAGTAAACATACGTGTGCATGTGTCTTTACAGCAGCATGATTTATATTCCTTTGAGTATATACCCAGTAATGGGATGGCTGGGTCAAATGGTATTTCTAGTTCTAGATCCCTGAGGAATCACCACACTGTTTTCCACAATGGTTGAACTAGTTTACAGTCCCACCAACAGTGTAAAAGTGTTCCTATTTCTCCACATCCTCTCCAGCACCTGTTGTTTCCTGACTTTTTAATGATCGCTATTCTAACTGGTGTGAGATGGTATCTCATTGTGGTTTTGATTTGCATTTCTCTCATGACCAGTGATGACGAGCATTTTTTCATGTGACTGTTGGCTGCATACATGTCTTCTTTTGAAAAGTGTCTGCTCATATCCTTTGCCTACTTTTTGATGGGGTTGTTTGATGTTTTGTTGTGAATTTGTTTATGTTCCTTGTAGATTCTGTATGTTAGCCCTTTGTCAGATAAGTAGACTGCAAAAATTTTCTCCCATTCTGTAGGTTGCCTGTTCACTCTGATTAGGTAATTTCTTTTGCTGTTCAGAAGCTCTTTAGTTTAATTAGATCCCATTTGTCTATTTTGGCTTTCATTGCCATTGCTTTTGGTGTTTTAGTCATGAAGTCCTTGCCCATGCCTATGTCCTGCATGGTATAGCCTAGGTTTTCTTCTAGGGTTTTTATGGTTTTAGGTCTAACATTTAAGTCTTTAACCCATCTTGAATTAATTTTTGTATAAGGTGTAAGGAAGGGATCCAGTTTCAGCTTTCTACATACGGCTAGCCAGTTTTCCCAGCACCATTTATTAAATAGGGAGTCCTTTCCCCATTTCTTGTTTTCATCAGGTTTGTCAAAGATCAGATAGTTGTAGATGTGTGGTGTTATTTCTGAGGCCTCTGTTCTGTTCCATTGGTCTATATCTCTGTTTTGGTATCAGTACCACGCTGTTTTCGTTACCGTAGACTTACAGTATAGTTTGAAGTCAGGTAGCGTGATGCCTCCAGCTTTGTTCTTTTTGCTTAGGATTGTCTTGGCAATGAGGGCTCTTTTTTGGTTCCATATGAACTTTAAAGTAGTTTTTTCCAGTTCTGTGATGAAAGTCATTGGTAGCTTGATGGGAATGGCATTGAATCTATAAATTATCTTGGGCAGTATGGCCATTTTCACAATATTGATTCTCCCTATCCATGAGCATGGAATTTTCTTCCATTTGTTTGTATCCTCTTTTATTTCCTTGAGCAGTGGTTTGTAGTTCTCCTTGAAGAGGTCCTTCACATCCCTTGTAAGTTGGATTCCTAGGCATTTTATTCTCTTTGTAGCAATTGTGAATGGGAGTTTACCCATGATTTGGCTCTCTGTCTGTTATTGGTGTATAAGAATGCTTGTGATCTTTGCACATTGATTTTGTATCTTGGGACTTTGCTGAAGTTGCTTATCAGCTTAATGAGATTTTGGGCTGAGACAATGGGGTTTTCTAAGTATACAATCATGTCATCTGCAAACAGGTACAATTTGACTTCCTCTTTTCCTAATTGAATACCTTTTATTTATTTCTCTTTCCCGATTGCCCTGGCCAGACCTTCCAATGCTATGCTGAATAGGAGTGGTGAGAGAGGGCATCCCTGTCTTGTGCCAGTTTTCAAAGGGAATGCTTCCAGTTTTTGCCCATTCAGTATGATATTGGCTGTGGGTTTGTCATAAAGAGCTGTTATTATTATTCTGAGATATGTTCCATCAATACCTAGTTTATTGAGAATTATTAGCATGAAGGGCTGTTGAATGTTGTTGAAGGCCTTTTCTGCATCTATTGAGATAATCATCTTCTTTTTGTGTTTGGTTCTGTTTATATGACGGATTACGTTTATTGATTTGTGTAGGTTGAACCAGGTTTGCATCCGAGTGATGAAGTCAACTTGATCTTGGTGGATAAGCTTTTTGATGTGCTGCTGGATTCTGTTTGCCAGTATTTTATTGAGGATTTTTGCATTGATATTCATCAAGGATACTGGTCTAAAATTCTCTTTTTTTGTTGTGTCTCTGCCAGGCTTTGATATCAGGATGATTCTGGCCTCATAAAATAAGTTAGAGATGATTCTCTCTTGTTCTATTGATTGGAATAGTTTCAGAAGGAGTGAGACCACCTCCTCTTTGTACCTCTGGTAGAATTCAGCTGTTAATTCAGCTGTTAATCCATCTGGTCCTGGACTTTTTTTTGGTTGGTAGGCTATTAATTATTGTCTCAATTTCAGAGCCTTTTATTGGTCTGTTCAGGGATTCAGCATCTTCCTGGTTTAGTCTTGGGAGGGTATATGCGTCCAGGAATTTATCTATTTCTTCTAGATTTTCTAGTTTATTACTTAGAGGTGTTTACAGTATTCTCTGATGGTAGTTTGTATTTCTGTGGGATTGGTGGTGATATCCCCTTTATCATTTTTTATTGTGTCTATTTGATTCTTCTCTCTTTTCTTCTTTGTTAGTCTTGCTAGTGGTCTATCTATTTTGTTGATCTTTTCAAAAAAATCAGCTCCTGGATTCATTGATTTTTTTGAAGGATTGTTTTGCGTCTCTATCTCCTTCAGTTCTGATCTAATCTTGGTTATTTCTTGCCTTCTGCTAGCTTTTGAATTTATTTGCTCTTGCTTCTCTAGTTCTTTTAATTTTGATTTTAGGGTGTCCATTTTAGATCTTTCCTGCTTTCTCTTGTGGGCATTTAGTGCTATAAATTTCCATCTACACACTGGTTTAAATGTGTCCCAGAGATTCTGGTATGTTGTGTCTTTGTTCTCGTTGGTTTCAAAGAACATCTTTATTTCTGCCTTTATTTCTTTATGTACCCAGTAGTCATTCAGGAGCAGGTTGTTCAGTTTCCCTGTAGTTGTGCAGTTTTGAGTGAGTTTCTTAATCCTGAGTTCTAATTTGATTGCACTGTGGTCTGAAAGACAGTTTGTTGTGATTTCTGTTCTTTTACATTTGCTGAGGAGTGCTTTACTTTCAATTATGTGGTCAATTTTGGAATGATTGTGATGTGGGGCTGAAAAGAATGTATATTCCGTTGATTTGGGGTGGAGAGTTCTGTAGATGTCTATTAGGTCTGCTTGGTGCAGAGCTGAGTTCAAGTTCAGGATATCCTTGTTAACCTTCTGTCTCATTGATCTCTCTAATGTTGACAGTGGGGTGTTAAAGTCTCCCATTATTATTGTGTGGGAGTCTAAGTCTCTTTGTAGGTCTCTAAGGACTTGCTTTAAATCTGGGTGCTCCTGTATTGGGTGCATATATATTTAGGATAGTTAGCTCTTCTTGTTGAATTGATCCCTTTACCATTATGAAATGGCCTTCTTTGTCTCTTTTGATCTTCGTTGGTTTAAAGTCTGTTTCATCAGAGACTAGGATTGTAACCCTTGCTGTTTTTTTTTTCTTTTCATTTGCTTGGTAGATCTTCCTCCATCCCTTTATTTTGAGCCTATATGTGTCTCTGTCTCTGAGATGGGTCTCCTGAATACAGCACACTGATGGGTCTTGACTTGTTATCCAATTTGCCAGTCTGTGTCTTTTAATTGGGACATTTAGCCCATTTACATTTAAGGTTAATATTGTTAAGTGTGAATTTGATCCTGTCATTATGATGTTAGCTGGTTATTTCGCTGGTTAGTTGATGCAGTTTCTTCCTAGCATCGACGGTCTTTACAGTTTGGCAAGTTTTTGCAGTGGCTGGTACCAGTTGTCCCTTTCCATGTTTAGTGCTTCCTTCAGGAGCTCTTGTAAAGCAGGCCTAGTAGTGACAAAATCCCTCAGCATTTGCTTGTCTGTAAAGGATTTTATTTCTCCTTCACTTATGAAGCTTAGTTTGGCTGGATATGAAATTCTGGGTTGAAAATTCTTTTCGTTAAGAATGTTGAATATTGGCCCCCACTCTCTTCTGGCTTGTAGAGTTTCTGCCAAGAGATCCACTGTTAGTCTGATGGGCTTCCCTTTGTGGGTAACCCGACCTTTCTCTCTGGTTGCCCTTAACATTTTTTCCTTCATTTCAACCTTGGTGAATCTGACAATTATGTGTCTGGGGTTGCTCTTCTCAGGGAGTATCTTTGTGACATTCTCTGTATTTCCTGAATTTGAATGTTGGCCTGCCTTGCTAGGTTGGGGAAGTTCTCCTGGATAATATCCTGAGGAGTGTTTTCCAGCTTCGTCCCATTCTCCCTCTCACTTTCAGGTACACCAATCAAACGTAGATTTGGTCTTTTCACATAGTCCCATATTTCTTGGAGGCTTTGTTTATTTAATTTTACTCTTTTTTCTCTAAACTTCTCATCTCACTTCATTTCATTCATTTGATCTTCAATCACTGATACTCTTTCTTCCACCCTATCAAATCGGCTACTGAAGTTTGTGCATGTGTCGTGTAGTTCTTGTGCCATGCTTTTCAGCTCCGTCAGGTCATTTAAGGTCTTCTCTATACTGTTTATTCTAGTTAGCCATTCATCTAATCTTTTTTCAAGGTTTTTAGTTTCTTTGAGATGGGTTAGATCATCCTCCTTTAGCTCAGAGAAATTTGTTATTACTGACCTCTGAAGCCTACTTCTGTCAACTCATCAAAGTCATTCTCCATCTAGCTTTGCTCTGTTACTGGCAAGGAGCTGCAATACTTTGGAGGAGAAGAGGCACCCTGGTTTTTAGAATTTTCAGTTTTTCTGCTCTGTTTTCTCCCAATTTTTGTGGTTTTCTCTATCTTTGGTCTTTGATAATGGTGACCTACAGATGGGGTTTTCTTGTGGATGTCCTTTTTGTTGATGTTGATGCTATTCCTTTCTGTTTGTTAGTTTTCCTTGTAACAGTCCGGACCCTCAGTTGAAGGTCTGTTGGAGTTTGCTGGAGGTCTACTCCAGAGCCTGTTTGCCTGGTTATCACCAGTAGAGGCTGCAGAACAGCAAATATTGCAGAACAGCAAAGGTTACTGCCTGATCCTTCCTCTGGAAGCTTCATCTCAGAGGGGCACCAGCTGTATGAGGGGTCAGTCAGCCCCTACTGGAAGGAGTCTCCCAGTTAGGTTACACATGCATCAGTGACCCACTTGAGGAGGCAGTCTGTCCATTCTCAGAGCTCAAACACCATGCTGGGAGAACCACTGCTCTCTTCAGAGCTGTCAGACAGGGACGTTTAAGTCTGCAGTTTCTGCTGCCTTTTGTCCAGCTATGCCCTGCCCCCAGAGGTGGAGTCTACAGAGGCAAGCAGGCCTCATTGAGCTCCAGTGGGCTCCACTGAGTTCGAGCTTCCTGGCCTCTTTATTTGCCTACTCAAGCCTCAGCAATGGCAGACGTCCCTCCCCCAGCCACGCTGCTGCTTTGCAGTTTTATCTCAGACTGCTGCGCTTGCAGTGAGCAAGACTCTGTGGGTGTGAGGCCCACTGAGCTAGGCACAGGATACAATCTCCTGGTGTGCTGTTTGCTAAGACCATTGTAAAAGCAGAGTATTAAGGTGGGAGTGTCCCGATTTTCCCAGTAGAGTCTGTCACAACTTCCCTTGGCTAGGAACAGGAAATCCCCCAACCCCTTGTGCTTCCTGAGTGAGGAAATGCCCTGCCCTGCTTTGGCTTGCCCTCTGTGGGCTGCACCCACTGTCCAACCAGTCCCAGTGAGATGAACCAGGTACCTCAGTTCAAAATGCAGAAATCACCCATCTTCTGCGTTGATCATGCTGGGAGCTGCAGACCAGAGCTGTTCCTATTTAGCCATCTTGGAAGGGAAGACAAGATCAATAAATTCTAAAATTGAGGACAACAAGTGAATTATTGGGTAGACATCCATGTTTGAGAAGGACTAGAATATGAGGTAGGGAATTAATGGGGTTTTAGGGACACAGCCTAATTCTGCAGATTTTATTAATGAAGTAGGATTGTAATCAAATCCAATCAAAGATTACATAAGCAACTCCCCAAAATGTAACTGGAGTGCAAATTAAATGTATGCAGGCATACAAACAAACAAGCATGCGTATATACAAACTTATGTAAATATATAATGATATGGTTTGGCACTGTGTCCCCACCCAAATCTCATCTTGTAGCTCCTATACTCCCGATATGTTGGGGAAGGAATCTGGTGGGAGATAATTGATTCATGGGGGTGGGTCTTTCCCATGCTGTTCTCATTCTAGTGAATAAGTCTCACAAGATCTGATGGTTTTAAAATGGGAGTTTCCCTGCACAAGCGCTTTCTCTTTGCCTGCTGTCATCCATGTAAGATGTGACTTGCTCCTCCTTAGTTTCCACCATGATTTTGAGGTCTCCGCAGCCATGTGGAACCATAAGTACATTAAGCCTTTTTTTTTTTTTTTTTTTGGCCACATTTCAAGTCTCAATTGCCCAGTCTCACGTTTGCCTTTATCTGTGTGTGAAAATGGACTAATACAGTAAATTGGTACCAGGAGACTTGGGTGCTGCTGAAGATACCCAAAAATGTGGAAGTGACATTGGAACTAGATAACAGGAAGAGTTTGGAGCGCTCAGAAGAAAGAAAAATGTGGGAAAGTTTAGAATTCCCTGGAGATTTGTTGAATGGCTTTGATTAAAATGCTGATAATGATATGGAGAATGAAATCTAGGCTGAGATGGTCTCAGATGCAGATGAAGAACTTCTTGGGAACCGGAGCAAAGGTTACTCTTGCTATGTATTAGCAAAGAGACTGGTGGCATTTTACCCCTGCCCAGGAAATTTGTGGAACTTTGAACTTGAGAGAGATGATTTAGGGTACCTGACAGAATAAATCTCTAAGCAGCAAAGCATTCAAAAAATGACTTGGGTGCTGTTAAAGGCATTCTATTTCATAAGGGAAGCAGAGCATAAAAGTTTGGAAAATTTGCAGCCTGACAATGTGATAGAAAAGAATCCCATTTTCTGAAGAGAAATTCAAGCTGGCTGCAGAAATTTGCACAAATAACAAAGAACTGAAAGTTAATGCCCAAGACAGTGGGGAAAATATCTCCAGGGCACGTCAGAGGTCTTCATGACAGCCCCTCCCATAACAGGCCCAGAGGCCTAGGGAAAAATGGTTTCATGGGCCGAGCCCCGAGTGCCTCTGCTGTGTGCAGTCTGGAGACTTGGTGCCCTGTGTCCCAGCCATTCCAGCCATGACTAAAAGGGGGCAATGTATTGCTTGGTCTGTTTCTTCAGAGGGTGGAAGCCCAAAGCCTTGGCATCTTCCACATGGTGTTGAGCCCTTAGGTACACAGTAGTCAAGAATTGAGGTTTGGGAACCTCTGCCTTGATTTCAGAAGGTGTATGGAAATGCCTGGATACCCAGGCGGAAGTTTGCTATAGGGGCAGGGCCCTCATGGAGAACCTCTGCCAGGACAGTGTGGAAGGGAAACGTGGGATCGGAGGTCCCACACAGAGTTCCAACTGGGACACTTCCTTGGGGAGCTGTGAGAAGACAGCCACCATCCTCCAGACCTCAGAATGGTAGAGCCACTGACAGCTTGCCCTGTGCATCTGGAGAAGCCACAGACACTGAATGCCAGCCCATGAAGGCCGCCAGGAGGGAGGCTGTACCCTGCAAAGCCACAGGGGCAGAGCTGCCCAAGACCATGGGAACCCACCTCTTGCATCAGCATGACCTGGATATGAGACATGGATTCAAAGGAGATCCTTTTGGAGCTTTAAGATTTGACGGCCTCACTGGATTTCAGACTTGCATGGGGCCTGCAGCCCCTTTGTTTTGGCCATTTTCTCCCATTTGGAATGGTTGAATTTACCCAATGTCTGTACCCACCATTGTATCTAGGAAGTAACTAAATTGCTTTTGATTTTACAGGCTCATAAGTGGAAGAAACTTGCCTTGTCTTAGATGGGAGTTTGGACTGTAGACTTTTGAGTTAATGCTGAAATGAGTTAAGACTTTGGGGGACCGTTGGGAAGGCATGATTGGTTTCAAAATGTGAATCCCATGGGATTTGGGAGGGGCCAGAGGTGGAATGATATGGTTTGTCTCTGTGTCCACACCCAATTTTCATCTTGTAGCTCCCATATTTCCTATGTGTTGTAGGAGGGACCCAGTAGGGGATAACTGAATCATGCAGGAGGGTCTTTCCCATGCTGTTCTCATGATAGTGAATAAGTCTCACGAGATCTGATGGTTTTTAAAATGGGAATTTCCCTTCAAAGCTCTCTCTCTTTTTGCCTTCTGTCATCCATGTAAGATGTGACTTGGTCTTCCCTGCCTTCCACCATGATCATGAAGCCTCTCCAGCCATGTGGAGCTGTAAGTCCATTAAACCTCTTTCTTATGTAAATTGCCCAGTCTTGGGTTTGTCTTTATCAGCATCATAAAAATGGACTAATACATATCCATATATAAGTTAATGAGTAAATTTGAAAAAAAAAAATCAGTGAGATAACCAGAAGTCATGAAGTGGCACATAGTGGAGGCTCAATAAATGTATTCCCCAAATTTACCACCGTTGTGCCTCTCATAATACTATGAAACTCCAATATAAAATATTGGTGACTTACTGTGTTAGGTGGAATAATGGCCTGCCAAACACATTCTCATCCTAATTACCAGAACCTGTGTGTATGTTATGCTAGGCAAAGGAGGATTGAAGTTGCAGATGGAATTAACTACCTTGAGATAGAAGATTTTTTTATTATCTAGGGATCCCAAATGTAATTAGAAGGGTCATTGTAATGAAAGAGAGAGGAAAAAGAGTCAGTCACAGTGACATGATATGAAAAATATTTATCAGCTATTGATGACTTTGCAGATGCGAAGGCGTCACAATCCAAGCTATGTGGGCATCCCATAGGAACTCGAAAGTCAAGAAAGTGTATTTATCCCTAGTGCCTCCAGAAACGAATGTAGCCTGGTAGATACCTTGATTTTAGCACATTTCTGATCAATGAGCCTTAAGATATGAAATTAGAATAACAAACCCTGGAAAGACTGCATCTTTCTTAAAAAGAAAGAGATTGACAAGAGAAACGCCAATCTTCTTTAGCAGAATATGGTCCTATCTATATGAGCATCTAGAATTATGAAAACTGAGGATGAAGAAACACAAATATGAACCAACTGTACTGATGAGTTTCTTTTTATGAAGGATAATTGTGTGCTCTTACTACATTTTGACTTCAATATATTGCACATGGACACTAAAATAAATCCAACTAACAAACTGCCAAATACTGTCCGGGCGCAGCGTCTCACGCTTGTAATCCCAGCACTTTGGGAGGTCGAGGCGGGCACATCACGAGGCCAGGAAATCGAGACCATCCTGGCTAACACGGTGAAACCCCCGTCTCTACTAAAAATAGAAAAAATTAGCCGGGCGTGGTGGTGGGCGCCTGTACTCCCAGCTACTCGGGAGGCTGAGGCAGGAGAATGGCGTGAACCCAGGAGGCGGAGCTCACAGTGAGCCGACATTGCGATCTGCACTCCAGCCTGGGCCACAGAGCAAGACTGCGTCTCAAAAAAAAAAAAAAAAAAAAAATCTGCCAAATACGTTACTGGAATAAATATGTCTTTTGAATTCATTTATCTCAAATACCAGTCTGACATAGTATCCAAAAATAAATTAATGTTAGTCTGCCATTGCTTTATTTTACTAAGTTGTTGCTCACCCCTGATTTTCATGATAAATTTATATGTTTTTAATCCTTTGTCTTAAAACCTTGCAAAGGGGTTCCAACGAATCATAGATTCACTATTCTCCTTTGGAAATTGGAATATTAACTACTTTTGGTGAAATCCTGTCCCAAAGATCTTCAAAGTTTTCTGTATTTAGTTACCTAATTTATAAATGTATCTTTTCTCTTATAATATTGTTTGATGAACTAACATACCTGAACTAATTTGGACTCTATATGAGACTTGTTAAATATCTTTACCTATTAAGGGTTTCACAAAAGGAAGTTGGCGCATATACATAATGAGAATGTTGACAAGAATCTACAAATGTTGGGGTAGTTTTGTAAGTTTTCATTTGAAAATTTTATTTTAAGCATCATTTGCTGACAAGTTTTGCTATTTTCTATGGGTTTAAGGAAGAAATTATCATCTTTAGTAGAGAATTTTCTCTTCCTTCCTTAGAGGATCTGGCAGTGAAATTGATCAAGGTCTGATACAAGGCAAAAATGTTCCCAGTTACACCATTCCAAATGAAATTAGAAATGATGTATACTAGACTGCCACTTTAAATGTGGATTCTTAGCAAGGCCAAGTTTATTCTTGGAATCACTGTGGAGCTCAAGCCAAACTATCTTATTGTGCAGTAATATAGGCATCAGTCTCCAAATCTAGTTACAACTCAGCCGACAGGTAGTTATTTAGGGAGACCATCCACAGGGAGTGATTGTCGTCCCATCTGTTTAAGGACTGGCTGCCAGTGATAGCAAAAGATAGGAAAGATCCATCATTCTAAATGGCGGATCAATGGCTGAGAGCATACTGTGAGAATGAAAGTCAGGAGAGTGTGATTTTGTATTGGGGAAAAGTCAGAATGATATTGACTCTCTCTAAGTCATGTAGAATTGGATTTAGAGATACAGTTCTTACAGTGAGTGCTCCATGTAACGTGTTAAAGTCATTCAAACAGCTGTTAGACAAGGCACTTCAAGTCAGTACCTATCATTAAAAAGAATAAAAGTATGTGCATTTAACCACCCTCAGAGAAAAAGTAAAATGTCAATGTTGTGTGACTCCCAAATCTCTCCTCTAGTATCTTTTGAGGTGAAACACGCAAGTGAGCATTTAATAGTAAAACACAATTTTCTCCCAGCAAGCAGATGGGTTGTCTACTTAAACAAGATATAGTTCAATCAATCATGAAATAATAGACTATCAGGAGGGACCAAGACATTACCTAGTAAAATCTTCTCAAATTAAATGTGACCTAAAGAAACTAAGTGACTGTTTCCATGATTAAACAAACAAACAAACAAAAGCCTGTTGGAGGACTAGGGTATAAACGTATTAAATCTTGTGTAATTTAGTATTTTGTTTTCCTTCTACAATATGACAGCATCTCAGTTAGCTATTTATCAAGTAATTATATATTTGGGAAGACATAATCATTATGCATCAAACAAAAACAAAGTAATAAAATATAATAATCCACTTGTGGAGAATACATTGAGTCCGTACCTGATATTCATCCCTCCTTTAGCTATACTACATAAACTAAAGACTAAAAATTCAATTCCTCAGAGTCTTTAGCATCTCTTGTTTCATATGTTGTAAAAGCTCAGCCCACTAAATGAACTCCTGTGTTTTGGAAGTTGAAAGTAAAGAAAACACTGAACTTTTGCAAGCAGTATTATGGAAGCATTTGATTTTTCTTCTATCCCATTGCCAATGTCCTTGAATCTATCCCTGGGTACTGGGATGAAGGCTTCAATTTTGTGTAAATCTAACGGGTACAGTACAGTTTGCAGTCAATAGATGTGGTAGGTTCTTTATCATGCCCAGTTTACTATTAAAGTATTCCTGTGGTTAGCAACAATGCTATGGCTTCCGGATTCCCCTTGACTGTAGCAAAGTCAGCAGCTTCTCCAGCCTTACAATTTAGTGGTATTTTTTTATATCATTTCCAGAAGCCCAATCAATGGAAAGTCTGTTCTTCTTCTCTTCTTTCAATGTAGTAAGCACTTTTCCTTTACTAAATCCTTTTTTCTCTTTCTACTTGAAATGATGTGTTTTTTAAAACCTGTAATGAACCATGACTAATGTATACTTGTTTGATATAAGCTATGTTTCCTAAATATTCAAACAAACGGAGTATGAATTAAGACTTGAATATTGAAAGGTTTCATAAAGGAAATGGAGCTAAAGTTAGATTTAAAACCATCTAAGATTCTGATAGCCCAAAAGATAAGAAAATGAGAATTCAGATGTGAGAGACAACCTGAATTTATGACATTAAGAATGAACTTGCATACATCTAATTTTCCACTATGTCCTGAATGCCCACCATAGGCCAAGTAGCAAGAATATGATGGACTTGAATCACTGTAGACACTGTCTTGAATACAGTGAAGATTATGTTTGGGGAAAATATTGAATAGACTATTGAATTAAAAGGGGGGAATTAAAATAGTGGAAGCCTTTAAAAAGTGGAAGCTATTGAAAGAAATCATCTTTGAAGGATTTGGAAAAGGGAGTGACATGATAAAAATGATGTTTAAAGCATAACATGGGCAGTAATATATTAGACAGTAGAGGAGCTGGACTAGAGGAATATTAAGATTAATGATGCTGGAAAGGAAGGCATAAATACAAGAGCAAGGTCTTTTAGGGAGGGATGAAGTCTATAAGCATAGGGATTCATTTTAGTGAGCAGTTAACTCTAGAAGATAGACATTAATAAAGGTTTTCATATAAGACTATAAAGAAGATGAGACCGTTGGTATAAATAAAAACTGTATGGAGCTAGAAAGGGGGAAAATGTGTCTTATATGACAGAGGACTTCTCAGAAATGAGAGACGTTCTCCTCTGCAGTCTGTGGGCTGTTGCGGGGTGGAAAGGTATAGTAATTGGAATCCAGTGAAATAGAAGTAGGTTTACGAGGGTTATCTGGGGAGTCCACTAAGAAAATGATAAAGGACAGAATAAAGCTAGACTGTAAATTTAATATAGATCAAGTCTACCTATGGGGTTCTATAGTCCAGAGTATAATTGAGAAAAAAATGTAGATACTGTTTAAACAATGTGTGTAAATATAATGTTAGACAAATTGGAAAATAAATAAATTATAATAAATGATAACGTCAAGATTTCTAAACCAACTTTAGGTTTAATATAAATGCAAATAACCCCCAAGAATGGCACATACACGACTCTCTGGTTTGTTTCCTTTTTTCTCTAAAGTTTCAAGGTGCAAGACAATTTGCTCTAAGATGGCAGCCCAGATATTCTGAAGAGACAGTTGCTCCCATGTGAGAGGGGACAGAGTATACTCCCTAATGGGAAAATAGTTCTCTCCCTGCTGCATCTAGTTAGCCTTCCAGTAGAGGCATCTTTCTTGGGCAGACATTTATTTCACAGGCTCAAGAGTTATCTTGCCCCCATCCTCCCTCTGCCCACATAAGATATGGGGCCTGAACGAATGGGCCTGAAGAGTGCTTTTCTGGACAAGGGAGTAGGCTATTCCTTCTCAAAGTTCTCAAACCCTGGCTGGATACAACTTTTTTTTTTTTTTTTTTTGAGATGGAGTCTCTCTCTATCGCCCAGGCTGGAGTGCAGTGGTGTGATCTGGGCTCACTGCAAGCTCTGCCTCCCGGGTTCACGCCATTCTCCCTTCTCAATCTCCCGAGTAACTGGGACTACAGGCGCCCGCCGCCACGCCCGACTAATTTTTTTTTGTATTTTTAGTAGAGACGGGTTTTCACCGTGTTAGCCAGGATGGTCTCGATCTCCTGACCTCGTGATCCACCCTCCTCGGCCTCCCAAAGTGCTGGGATTACAGGCGTGAGCCACGGTTCCTGGTCCTGGCTGGATAAATCTTAAAGGAAAGTTGCCAAGAGTGGTCATTCATGCCAGTATCATAGAGTTAATAGAGGAAACTGTAGTAGTACATCTGGGGTATGAAAGGGAGCAGGGATTGAATTAGGAGAAGAGAACAATAAAAAAATAAATAGAGACTTTTACAGGCAACAGTTTCAGGCTTCCTACTAGGAGGAGGAGGAATTAAGCTAATCTTGGTCCTATCTCCCCTATAAGCAGAAAGTAGCTCTTTCAGTATTTTCTTCACAAAGGAGGAAAGACCTGCTTTCCGTCTTCATAAACCCCAGTTTGTTTGGAGCATAGAAACTGCTCTAAGGCCTCCCTTCCCTTCAACATCCTTCATTTTGATGGTGACTAAGTTTTTCCTGTTTCTTACAGAGACATTTACAGACACGTAAGAAGCTAGACATCTATGCTAGGCAGAAGACAGAAGCCTGGAAGTTGGGAATCTTGCCTTAATGGAGTCTTAAGACAGCCGTATGAGCTGAGCCTGAGAACATTTAGCCCAGAAAGTAACTAATGTTGTATTGGGTTCCCATTTCTACAGAAGGAAGGAGATGCATCTAGCTGTTGCTACCAATTGCTAACTATTCCCCTGCTGCCCACTACCCACACAAACACTCCGCACAAACACTCCACTGTGGACAATTCTTTTGAGGGCTTGAGGGACAGACCAGGGCTTGAGGGAGGAGGGAGTTTCTTAAGCAGAAGGGCTTAGATAGCGGGTTATGGTGCAATTGTCTTCTAATACTGAATTTGACTTGTCATTGGCTTAGGAATGGCAGGGGAAATCAATGATTCAGAATTTCCTCCACTCACATCTATCCTTAAGGCTATGGAAGTTGTGTCCCAGGAAAAGTTATGCTTCAAATGAGGCTGGAGCCATAAGCCCTCTCTGGTGTCTCAGGATCAGGAGTACCTGAGCAGTGACAACCTGAGTGTGACAAAGAAGACATAATTGACATATGTTTTGCCAAACCTCATCTTGGACAGAGGCCCTTGGCATCATAGGCTAGTTGTGGGCATTATACACTCAGGAAGCTCCTGCTTGCCCCGTGCCAAGAATTTTAGGACTTCTACATAACACAAGCTGCCTGATGTGGGAGAAAAACAGAGGGCTGGGTGCTATTCACATCTAGTTATTAGCCTGATTTTCAGATAAGTCAATGAAGCAACATAGATTGAGAAGTTTTTACATGTGTTTTACAACTTAGTAAATGAGCTGAGATTTGAACCTATTTAGAAATGAGGTCTGATACATCTGATTAATTTTCTCAATGAAAACATACTGTGGATCTCTGCAGGTCAGGCACTGAAGTAATAGTAAATAAACTGGCTCATATTGTCAGAAGTTTATAATCTAATGGAGCAGACAGATAATACAAAAGAAAATAAACCAGCAAGAGGTCTATTGTATATAGAGGCAAGGAAGTAAAATCATGGTAAGAGAAGTATGGTCTTATAATGTAAAAGGAGGCTATTGTGGATATTGTATTTGGCATTTGGCATCTATTTCAGCCTTCCTCTGGTGTACTTTTTGTTCTACAGAGGCTATAAAACTTGCAGTCAGGGACTTAGATGCAAATTGAATTAAGTTAGAAGATCCAAAATGAGATATTGAAGGCAGAAGTGAGACTTTTTGAGCTTATGGCTGCTTTTAAACATGGTTGTAGGGTTGATTTTTTTTTCTTAATTATAATTTCAGCCTAGTCACTTGCTTTGTGGAAGTTCAGGGTCTGTGGCAGTTAGGAAGTGCAGGCCAGTGTTGCCATAATTGTAAGTTCTTGATGTTAGCCATTCCAGTAATGGCCTCCTGATTCTCCCTCTTCCTGATTATGACAAAGGCAGACACTCTCTCGGTTGGCAGCCACTTGTGCCTGTTCTTGGAGCCATTACAGGTTGTCTACCTGAGTGCCTACCCTTTGTAACTGATGCCTAATTGATAAAAAGTACTAATTTAAATTGCATCTTATTAGGAAAAACATTTCTCAAGAAATAACTCACGTTGATAACTGAAGGATGAATAGGAGTTAACCAGCTAATGACTGGGTAATAGAACCTTTCAGGCAGAAGAAATAGCATGGGCAAAACCCTGACACTGGAAAGGATTGATATCTATCCTGACATCAACCCTGAGAAGAAAAATAAACTTATTTTTTAAATATTATCAACCTTAATTAAATCTAGGATCTGTTAGTAAGGACTTCATTGCAAAAATGGTTCTAGTGGTAAATTTTCTCTAAAGTACTGAGGTAATCCAGGCTGACTGGTCTGTGGAAGGAATGAGGAAGGGTAATGGGGACTCCTGGTATATGTTGCTATAGAAGTAATCGAGTGTTTATCATGTAGGGTTGAACAATTTGAAATTTCTCTAAAAGTAAGAGAAAGTGATTGCAGACAGCAGAGAAGAAGAGTAATGAACATATTTGGAAAAGAAAGTCTCAAACTGATTTTAAGGACAGTATTAAGAAGGAGCAAAAACAGGTACAGGGAATGCAAGCAGAATACTGTTGTGATAGTCTAGGCAAAAGTTGATGACAATATGTAAATATAAAATGTGAGATAAATTGGCAGATATAAGATATTGCTAAGCCATGGAACTTAGTCGATATGTAGTGGAAAAAGAAGGTAGAAGGATTTTAAACATTTCTTATTTCCTGGAAATAAGATGTATTGTCAAACCTGAATTCGAATCTTCAAACATTTGATGTGTATGTGTCAAAAACAGAAGAAGCACATTAAAAAATTCCTGGAATTAAATTTTTAGCTTTTAATTGTATTTTTAGAATTGAAGCATTATCTTCTATTCTGAGAATAAAAATAAACTTTTTTTTGTATCATCACCCTTAATTAAATCTAGGATTCATTAGTAAGTTCTTCATTGCAAACGTGGTTCTAGTGGTAATTATTTTCTGTTGCCCAAAGTACTATTCTTTTGTCACAGATTATCTTTGTTACAATTAGCACATCACGAGCCTTTCTCATCATGTTTACTGGGTCACACACAAGCATACAATTACAAAGGCAGGGGTGCATGGAGAATGCAATGTGAACTGTCTCATGAGACCAAGTCTTCAGTGAACAAAAGTTGGGGTCTAAATTAAATAGTTGCTATAAAATTATAACTGAGAGAATAGAATGTTTATGGTTCCTCTTTTCTTTTCAGTGCAAAAATGACTATAACTGCAGATATTGTAAAATAATGCCAAGAGCTTTGAATCAGAAGTCAAGACTAATCTCTAGCTCTTTCACTAATGTTATCCAAGCAGTTCTCCTTTAATATCTGTTAACCTGAATTACTTCATTTGTAAAATGATGTGCTTGAGCCAAATATATTAAAGACTGATATGTTTAACTATCAGTAAAAGATTTAGTTCCCATGCACTAAAAGGGTTCGTATGCAATAATTATAAAATGTAATTATGGAGGATGTTCCAATTACATGATATTCACAGGAAAAATAATTTGCATCAATTAAAGTCATTGTCATCAATATTTTCAATTGTTTTGTGTAAACTTGTTTTTATATAATTTGAGAGTTTATTATATTAACTGCCTACACACATAAAATAAATACTTCATTCTAGAAAACTGAAATCACTGTTCAATTGCCTTCTTTTTATCTGAAAATGTCTGGTCTAAAAGAACAACTAGCCTTATATTAATATATGTATGTTTCTTTTTGACAATCATCTTTTCTAAAAACTGCATCTTTTCCAATTTCTTTTCAACATTTCTGTAACTACATGTTTTAGATATAGTTCATGAACAAAACACATTGTTGGATTTAAAAAAATCTAATCGTAAAAACAATTGTCTTTTGACTGGATCATTTTATCTATTTATATTTACTGTAATTAGTGATATACTGGTTAGGTACCCCTTATCTGAAATACTTGGGACCAGAAGTATTTTAGGTTCGGGATTCTTTAGAATTTAGAATATTTACATTATACTTACCAGTTGAGCATCCTAATTCTGAAACCCTGTCTCTACTAAAAATACAAAAAAAAAAATGAGCCAGGTGTGGTGGTGCATGCCTGTAATTTCAGCTACTTCGGAGGCTGAGGCAGGAGAATTGCTTGAACCCAGGAGACGGAGGTTGCAGTAAGCTAAGATTGCACCACTGCACTCCAGCCTGGGTGACAGAGCAAGACTCTGTCTCAAAAAAAAAAAAAAAAAAAAAGAAAAGAAAAGAAAGAAAATACAAAATCTGAACTGTGTCATGTTGACACTCTTAAAAGTTTCAGATTTTAGTGCATGTTGGATTTTGAATTTTTGAACTTTGGAAGCTCAATCTGTATTGAATGTGTAACTATCATCCATTTCTGTTCATTTGATTTACTTCTAATATTTCTGTTTCTTTTCTTGTTTTCTTTTGTGTTTGTTAATTAAGTTTATCATTCCATCTTTTCATCAATTTGTTGTAGTCAACCCTCTTTTTTTGGTATATCCAAAACTTTTTATTATTCTTTTCATGGTTAATTTAGAAATTAAAATTTGCATTCTTAATTTTTTAAAGTATAAAGTCAATTATTGTATTTTTTCTTCTCCCTAATAAAAAATTTTAAACACATTAACTATATTTAGCCGATTTTGTATTGTATTATATGATATTTAATTTAATTATTTCTTTGTAAGTCTATATTATTGGTTAGAAAGCTAATGTTGCTTTCTGCTGGTTGCTTATTTGACCTTTTTCCTTTTTCCGTCTCATGTCTTCTTTCTTGGATTACCTTCCACATCATTCATATTTTCTTTAATGAAAATGGTAGGAAACTCCCATAAATTTGTCTGTTAATATATTTATTTTACTCTTTATTAGGTTTTTAGATCTTCTGTAACAAAGTAGCACAAGCTGGGCAGCTTAAGCAAGAGAAATGCATTGTCTCACAGATCTGGGAGCTAGAAGTCTGAAATCAAAGTGTCTGTAATGTTGTTGCCTTCTGAGGGCTCTGAAGGAAGGATCTGTTCCAGGCCTCTCTCCTTAGTTTGTTGACGACTGTCTTCTTTTTCAGTCTCTTCACATTATATTCCTTCTACGTGTGTCTGATTCTGTTTTCAAATTTCCCCTTTTTTAAATTGGATTAGGGCCCATCCTAATGACCTCATTTTAATTTGTTTATCTCTCTCTGTAAAGACTCTATCTCCAAATAAGAACACATTCTGATTTACTGGGGGTTGGGACTCCAACAAATATTTTTTGGGGGATACAATTCAACCCTCACCCCCTTGCTTAAAAACTGGTATAAAATTCTAAGTGAACATTTACTTTTCTTTATATTAATGGTGACCATTGGCTTGTGGCTTTTAATGTTCTATTTAGAAGTCAGCTTAAGGAAACTGGGAACCTTCCTTTTGAGATGTAATCATCAAGAAAGGTAGCATCTGTATCTCCCAGTTTCCATGGGACTATGTGTCTAACTTCAGCTGGCACCTAGCTCCAAGTTGCAAAGACGTGAGTAGTTCATTTTTTATTTGAATTAAGACAATTAACAAATACAGGTGGCTACGACAATTACTATGAAAGTTTAAGGTGATCTATGTATGACAAATGGTGCTGTCAAGTCCTCTTAATTAAAGACTCTTTGTTGTTTATCTTCAGAGCCTGTATGAGATGGGTTATACCTGGTTGGCTTTATAAAAGAGTAAAACCTCTTTCTGACTTCGTAATGTCTGAAAGATTGCCTGTTATGCACATCCAACTTTGGTTTCATGCTATTTACTAATAAAACTTTTCTTGCCCTCCTTTTAAGTTTTTTTTTTTTTTGAATAGCAAGAATAGCCTCTTTCCCTACCTCTATATTCTGTTTCTGTTAATTCCAGTATGTAAGATTATTATAGCTCTATTAGTATAATTTTTATATGCATTTTAATTCAGTGTATTATTTCCTTGTGACTTAGAAATATTTTGTATTACATTAATTATTTTCTTTTGAAAATAATACTTATGAAAATTGTTTGAGAATACTGTGAAAATGAGATATATTTTTCCAGAGAGAATTTCTTTCTCTTATTTCCACTAGGAAATTAGGTGTCTATTGGAAAGAGACATACTAGATTTATGAGTTTTCTCAACACTTATGTAACAGGAATTTGGGCTGTGAAATAGACATTTTTGTTGTGTGACATATAACGATAAAGTGTAGCACGTCACAGCGTTTTTGAAAGTCAAGAATCTAGGGACAGTTTATCTGAGTGGTACCAGTTTACAGTCTCTCATGATGTTGCAGTCAAGATGTTGTCTGGGCAGCGATGATCTGAAGTCTTGACTGGGGCTAGGGAATTGCCTTACAAGATATCTCCCTCACTTGACTGTTGTCTGGAAACTTCATTTCTTTGATAAATATACCTCTGCATAGACCTGATCTCAAGATAGGATCCAATGTCCCCCAGAGCGAGCAATCTAACAAAGAGACAGAGGAAGAATCTTTGATTACACAGAATTTAAAGTCACAAACCATCATTTCCACTCGTGTTTTCTATTGATTACAAGGCACTAATTTCAGTCCACAGTCAAGAAAAAGGAAATTAGTCTCCACTCCTTAAAGGGAAACATATCAAATAGTTTGGTGACATATTTAAAACTACTCCAGGCTGTGAATTCAGTTGAGAGCTGGCTAGTCATTTAACTTCTCAGGCACACTTGTTTTTCTTGCTGTGTGCTATACCAAGGCAGGTTTTCTTGCAGTGGTTTAAAAGTGGTGAGTAGTTGTGCTGGGTTTAATTCTTATTTACATTTACACTGAGAGTATAGCCCCTTGGGATCACTTATTAGATTCTCCCTTTGGTCATACCCTGGGCTTATATTCACTTTTTGTTAAACTAGTAAAACTACAGATCATTCCTAATAGTTTGAGAAATATTCTCAGGCAAAAGCCATGTTCCACTTATCTCTGATTTTCTACCTTACTTCCCTTTATCTAACTTGCTTTATCTCAGTAGCTCTTCCATGCTCCCAGAGTGATTTTGTGATTTGGATCATTTCGTATTTTCTTGTAACTTTTTATTTTTCGTTAATTATAGACATATAGGAAGCTGTGAAAATAGTATAAAGATGCAGAGCTTCCAGGATGGGAGTAAGAATGTCTGTAAATCCATTTGTCTATAATAGCAATTAAAAAAAAACCTGGCAAAAGTTAAAAAAAATCAACTTTTACAGAACTCTGGAAACTAATCAAAGCTTGCAATAATCTGAGAACTACTTATTCAAGAAGAAAATGACTGAGCCTCAGTAAGAACAGCAGGACTTATGGTATGTTAATTCAACTTACACCTCCCCTCTGCATACAGCTTTGTGGTAGCCTTGAAAAGGAGCAGCTTTGCCACCACACTGTAGCTGTAAAATCCAGTAGCCTTGTAGCCACAGGAGGAAACATTCTATTTGGAGCTCCTCATATATTGCTATCTCTAGAGTATCGTCTTTATTTGGCCTGCTTCACAGGTCCCTGGAAATACCCCATTCACATGTACATGTCCTTTTTTCTTATAATTATTTTGCTTTGTAAAGATCAACTGCAAATTGTATGGAATTCTAGATTTTAATTGCCCTATGTTTGTTGCCAGTATACAGAAATATGATTGACTTTTTTGTACTGATCTTTCATTCTGCAAACTTGATAACTTATTTATTAGTTCTTGGAGTTTTTGTTGATCCTTAGGTATGTGATCATAGTCTTTTCAAATAAGGATAATTTTACTTCTTTCTTTCCAATGTGTGTGCCTCTCATTTTCTTTTCTTGCCTTTTTGTATTGGTTAAGGCTTATAGATTAATGAACAAGAATAGAAACTAGAAATGTATCCATATGTCCATGGTTATCTGAATTTCTACAAATTCCCTGAGAAAATTTTTGAAAAATAAAACTTTTTATTAAGATGTTGAGACATTGGAAAACCACATAGAAATAATAAGCTTTTATCCATGGCTTATCCTACACAAAATTACGTTGAGCCATGATAATAATTCTAAACATAATAATTGAAAGTATAAATTATCTGGGAAAAAACTAAGATAATATTTTGCCCACCTTAAGTTAATAAAATATTATCAAAGAGGACACAGCAAGCACTGACTGTAATAGAAATGAAACAATTTGATAAATTAGATCTCATAGAATGTTTTAAACCATATACAAACATACTAATAAGAAAATGAATGTGTAAACATCAATATGAGAGAAAATATTCACAAAACATATGTCTGAGAAAGAACTTGAATATATAAAAACACTAAAAGTTCATTAATAAGAATATATATAATATATTTTAAAATGGCAAACATTTAGAAAAAATGGCTACAAAGGACATATACATATGGAAAATAATCAGAGAAAAAGATGCTCATTATTATTAGTTATTAGGAAAGTGAATATTTAGCCCACAATAAAATAATATTTTATAACCACTAAAATTGCTAAATTTAAGAATACTTATTTTACCAAATGCTGCTGATACTACATGAATAATGAATAAACAAATTTATGATGACAGAAATCAAGACAGTATTTACTTCAGAAGTGGTAGGGTGTATCTAAAAAGGAGGCACAAAAAAACTTCCTGAGATAAGGAAAATATTTTTAACTGATAATTTATTTTTCATTGATTCACAGTAATTGTACATATTTCTAAGTTATGTGTGATATTTTGATACATACAATGTGTCATCATCAAATTAGGGTAATTGGGATATCCATTGCCTCAAACATTTTTCATGTCTTTGTGTTAGAAACATTCTAAATCTTCTAGGTGTTTTGAAATATTCTATAAATTTTTGTTAGCTATAGTTGCCCATCCTAATTAGGGTTTGGATTTTGTTCATGTCGGCTTGGCAAAAAATCATCAAATGTTACACTTAAAATGTCTGTATTTCTCTGCATGTAAATTTTGACAAAATGTTAGTAAAAACAAAATTAAAATTAATAGTTACAAATAGTTACAAAATTAATTAATTATTAACAAAATAAATTAACAAAATTTTGTTAATAATAACAAAAATATGATCTACCCAAACATAGCACAGGTATCACATATGCCAGTGTGGAGTAACATAAGTTTCCATTAAGTTTCCCCTAAAACTAAATTATAGGTATGCAAGTCTAGGCAAAGATAACCATGGCAATGTTGAGATGGTGACGGAGAACAAAAGCAGCTGTTGCAGGGTTCTAAATCACAGACAAGAGGGCTGAAACATGTGCTTACAGTTTCATTGGAGAAAGGTTTCTGGTTCAGAATATTATTTGGAAACGGTACACATTTCCTCCGGAAGTGTCTCTGACCCCTACTTAAACTAGATATGATTTATGAACAAAGTAATAATAGTTTTTGTGGATTGGGCAAGAGGTTTAAAAGACTAAGAATCCAGGCCACCTGTAATTATTAACTAACTTCTTAACTGGAAAATCCCCTTACATAAAGCTACTTCTTTCTGTTCTTTTTTCTAGTTCAACCTCTCTGCTCATGTTCAGACAAAGACATATTTCTTAAGATCATCTCTAATACCATGGGGCACTATGTTCTCTGCATCAAATATAACAGTTGATTGAATTTCCTGTATCATATTGGGATATATATTTCTTCAAATCAATTTTGGTTTGTCAAGACAAGATCGTAGTTAATCTCATTAGAGTTAGGAAGGAAAATGGCTAATATAAGTCACATGAGCATTGGTTTTCCTACTGATTATATGACTTCACGCAAAAGCTTCTAGCTCTCACGTTAGGTTTCCTCCTCTATAGCTGGAGTTTCAAAGATGCCTGGTTTAGAGATAAAAAGAGCTGGCTGAGTTAGCTTATTGCTTCCTGAGACAGGATGGGGCTCACTTTAGGCACTCAGAATGCTGTTTCTAACACTAGCACGACTCTAGTTTCTTTTACTAAGCTCTACTAAGAATGGATGTCTTGAGATTGTTGCAGTAAATTGTTAAACTCTAGATTTTCTTATCACCATGCTCACTTTATCCAAATTTTGAATGCTTCTTTATATAACTACACTAAATTTGAAAGAAAAAAAGATATTGAATCTGACATTAAACTAAAAAATTTTAAGCCATAAGCCCCATTTAACATTTTATTAACTAAAATGTTAAGTATTACTTCATTTGTTGGAGATAGAAAATAATATTGCCTGAAAGTAATTTTTGTTGTTGTTGTTTTAGTTTGTTTCTCTCATTTGAACCATTATCATTGAAAGTTTCCATTTAAGAAAATGCTAACAAACTGATTTAACAAGGCTGAGATTTTTTTTTTGTCTTAAAATCTATTTATTTTAAACGTTTCAAGTTATTTAGAACAGTACTAACACTTTCCTTCTAATTAGAATGCTGCAAGCATAAGGGTATATTTTATGCAAATTGGTATCTATTGGTCAAATAGATATACCACGGATATACCACTGACATTTATAATATCATGGCATTGTTTCAAATATGTCAAATATAATACAACTTTATGATACCTCTGCAATTACATTTTAGATATCATGAAAAACTTCCACAATATGTATAAATATTCTCATCTCCTTGGTCTAACATTGTTTTAAATACAAATTGTAGTGATTTGGAAAGGGTCATATTACAAGTTCCTACGTAATTATCAAACTAATTAGTTCTACCACCACTAGCATCTTACTATGCGCATCATAAGAGCATCTTTTAAAAAAGCTCTTTTCACTTAATAAAGGAATTTATGGTTTTAAAAATTGTGTGATCACATTTAATCCATAACATACCTACTTAAATGAGTAAGTCATAGAGTATCACCTGTGAGTCCTTCTTCTAAGAAGCAGCACAAATCAACTGTCATATCCTTAATTATAAGTTCAGAAGTAATCCACTCAATTTTTTCCACACACAGTTTAAAGACTTCAGCAATTTCATATGAAGAACACCATACCCTACGGAACATTGTCTGGTGTCTAGGTTAATCATAACAGCATCCTCTTCTGAGTGAGAAAAATTACAGTGTCATCTAGTTATAACCGAGAACATTAATGTGCTGATTCAGATAAAATGCAAGTCCAATGATACCTCCCACAACTCAATAATCATATGCACACCAGCGATGTGTTAAACTAACAAGAAATACAATTAACCATAAAATATATTATCATGTGAAGGTTCAAATGCTCTTTAATAAATATGTTGTTAGGTTTTCTTATCAAAGAAGGATCTTGATAATAAAAGGAAGTGGGTGTTGACGTGTTAGTTGGGTGCTGAAGCAAGCAGCACTATGGGACAACGCTGGGTGGTATGTAGTTCTCCCAGACTTTGGAACTGGAGTTAAAAGAGGAAACAAAGGAAAATGTGTTTGATTATATAAAATTGGGGATAGCTACGCATACTAATTAAAGAATTTCTAGAGATCTGAAAACCTGTTATTTCCGCTAATGTGTTATGCTTCTCCCACTGACTCTGTTATTTCTGGGTAGTTAATAAATCTTTTAGATCTATTCTCATTGCCATGTCCATTGTTCAAATTAGTTGGTAGGGCTGTTTGAGAAAACTCTGGGATAGGAAAGTCTCTCCTGACATGCTGCATGAATTCACCTGAGATCAGAACAATCCAAGTAGAAATTTACATCTTCACCTTTATTGTCATGGGGAATTGGGTATGCCGGACAACACATAAGAGTCAATAAATATGTCTTGTTTCTAGGTGAATATTAATCCTTTCTCATAATATCACTATTCTACTATGTTTTATTTAAAATAATAATTGCAATTTCAAACTCTAATAAGTACTTAAAATTATATAGCTTGATTTGAAATACGTGGATCTTTTCTTTCGATTATATTCCAAAGAGAGGGTGAGTTTTCTACTGTGTCAATTTTATCGGAAATGAAGGTTTTTCCTTTTTTTCCTAACTTTAGAAGTATAGGAATACCACTCTACAACATATGTAAGTCATTTATTTTATTATGCAAACACTTCAGAATATTAAAACAATAAACTGAAGATATATAATTTAAGAATAATCTTGTATGGACTCCATGTCATTCTAATAGTAACTCAATGTGCAAGACATTGAGCATTTCTATGTGGGTTTTGTGAAGATCTGCAGTAAGGTCTCATTAAGTTGCATTTTTTTAATTCAAAATTTTTAGCACTTCAGCCCGGTTTTAGGCTGACATTTATCTCTATAAGCTCTATAACAAATGTTAATCAAATTAAGAGTGTACATAAAGTGAAAGACCATTTCCAACTACTTAAGATAATAAGTGTTTTAGAGCTCTTAAAACACTTTTTAAGATCACGTTTGCTGTCAAATAATTGAAACGTTAATCTTAAATAGTTCTTAGCTAAGCAGTAAAACAGTTCCCCCAAGGGATTCTACTAAGTAAGGATTCTTCCCAAGATATACAATATAAATTTGGTGGCATTAGACTAAAACTACATATTTAAAAAAACTATAATTCAGGATTTATACCAATTTGGAAAGAAATTTTCTCCAATTTTTAATTAGCTCTTTATTATACTGTCAAAATAAAAATATTATCTACATACATAATTTTTAAAAAATGTTTCTATATTTGATCTGATTTATTGATCTTGGTGTTTTATATTATTATGTTATAGGACATGATACTTATGACATGAACCACATTTTAAACAAACAGAATAATATTGTCAAAGATATTTTATTTTCAAAACTACAGAATATTACTGTTCTCTACATTTTACCATGTGAAGTTGCAGATTAGCTAAAATCTGCAAGTATTCATTAAAAAGCAGTAATAACACAGCAGCCACAACATGTCATATATAACAGAAACCAGGAATAATAAAAATACATTAATAATAAACTATGATATATAATTTTGAAAGATTTCCAATTAAATTGAGTGTTAATGATTTTGTTATTAATATATATTAAAATAAATGAGGAAAATTATATATGATCATAGAAATACCTTGAATTGAATTATGGAAAGTGGAGGATGGTATAGAAAGTAAATAAAGCATTTTGGATTATACTGGATAATAGATAGGTCCCTTCCTATTAAGTTATTACTTAGCACAGCAAAGGCTCCATCAATCATAATCAGAGTCTGAAATTATAGCAAGCATAGTATCTCCCTCAAAAAATGATAAAAAATAAGCATTTTACTAATAAATCCTTTGTTTCAGTATTTTTTTCATGCTTATAGTTTGAAATTTATAGACTATACATATTGAATTGTACTATGTATTCTAACAAATACATCACACATTCTTTTAGGACAAGGAGTAACTAGATGGTGTTATATATTTTTCCATAGTAGCAGAACACGTATTTTGATTTTTATATTACTTTTTACTCTGTTAAATATTACTTCCAATTCCCATACTTGTTAAAGGAGTAACAAATAAATCAGCATTTTAAAGCCTTATTTTCTGGTAGCATATGCAAAACATAGCATAACATCAAATGTTATACTAACACAGATAATATATTTGAGTATGTGTATAGTTTCAATATAAGAGGAATCAATTTTTCAAAAATTATGGCTTGGTTAAGTCCGCAAACTAGTTAATAGCAGAGCTAGGACTCAATCCAAATTCTTTTGACTTGTAGCTTTTGTCCTTTCAGTGGCCTTACAGTTTTAAAACAAATGTAGACTCCTTTTGGGGCTGTAAGACAAGAACTGACATGATACATTGAAATGAGGAGGGCAGAAGCAATGAGAAAATAGTATAAATTTTTTCTTAATGGAGAAGTCAAAAAGAGTTTTTTATAAACAGCTCCTTTATAAATGAGATTTGAGTTAAGTCTGCAAAGAGGCAAGGAATTTGACAGGTGTCTTTGGATGAAAATATTGCAATTAAAGAAATAATCTCTGAGAAGTTCCAGAAAAGGAGGTGAAAAATTCAGCTTGTGTTAATTGAGTTAGACATAGAATTAGAATGATAAAATCTTAGTATTAAAATGGTTGAAGACCAAAGACTGTGCTTTTAATATAGGCTAAAGATTACAGGAATTAATTGCAGTTCTGTTTAGATTGTAAAGAACCTAATATGAGCCATTCAGGCAGGCATTGCCCTGTGTTTTCAGAGGCCAAAGAAGAACACACATTGTCTTTTCTGTGAAAATAGCTGACTGATTTATTGATGGTTTCAATATAATATAGTGATAAATATTATTAAATAATGCTCAGGAAGATATAAGAGCCAAGAGGAGTAGCACAACTTGAGTATTCCAAGGCAGCCTTCCAGTAGGAGATTTTACCCACAATGTTTTGGAAAGAATGAAGTCAAGTCAGATTAGCAAGACAGAGGGAGCAACAGATACTAATCTTAGAAATGTTGAACACCGGAGATGCTGGAAGGGTCCTGTGGAGGCCTGTGGAGGCATCTTCCACTTCTTGTCAGGATAGCAGAGCCTCTCTTAAATATCTTTTGCAGTCATGAATCTCATGCCTTAAGTTGTGTGCTCTGTACTTTCTTTTTTAATGGTTCCTTATCCATGAAATATCTATAATATTTTTTTCTCACCAACTCTTTTCTGTTGTTCTTTTCCCCAGTATAACATCCTCCTCGAAGTTCTATGCTATCTCCACTTCCTAGTTATAGCCTGGAGGTTATTTGCCTAACCCAAATTAACCGTGCTGCATTTATTGTAGTGGGATTTATAGTAACTGCAATGATTTACAGTAGACATTTTGAAAGAAATTTCTAACACAGGAATCTATTTACCTCAGAAGAAAAAAAAAGTATTATGGTGACCATTTTATCAATGAATAAACAGAAAGGCAAAATGTCTAAGCACATGCAGCTGGTAAAAGATGATACTATAGCAGAAGAGTAGTGTAACATAGACTTCCTCTCTTGATTTCTGTATATCTAAGGCCCTGCAAGGAAGAAATGTGTTGGGTTATCCAAGAAAGACCCTATTCCCATCACTGCAGGCTCAGCAGATGAGTTAGGCTGTTGATGTGACAACATCTCCAAATATCAGTGAAGATTGGCAGGCATTTCTTATTTCTGAAAACATGTTATTTTACTCTTTCAGAGGGAAAGGGAGTACCTCATAGAAAAAGTGAGGGTTCAGGGACCATGAATATGTTTGAAATATGAATAGTAGGAATACAATAAGCTTGAAATGAGAAAAATTTTGACTGATCTAGGTAAATAAGCTGCTAAATAGAGTAATCCAAATCAGAGGTGGGAAGGAAAATTGAGTTAAATGACCTCTGGTTTATTCACTTGAATTATATGAAGGATTATCAGAACAAAAAAAAAATGGGGCAGGGTAAAGCTGACAAATCCAATGGGAGGTGGTAGGGCAGCCATTGAGGTCTACGGGAAGAAGTACTGCACAGGGAGAAAGAGCATATCAACAGTACAGAAGCCATTCAGACATCCTAAAAGAGCAGCCACAAAGGTCAGCAGGGCAAGAGTCAGCAGGCTTGTGCTCCTTCCTAAATTAATGACACCATGACCCAATCCTTTCTAATCTGAAGTGAGGTCAGTCCCTGGCTCCATTCATCCTCATGTCATATGTCATATGTCAGGGTAGGAGTTAGCCTGTGGATATGGTTAGGCATTGTGTCCCCACCCAAATATCATCTTGAATTGTAATTCCCAGATGTTAAGGTAGAGACCTGGTGAGAGGTGATTGGATCATGGGGATGGTTCCCCCATGCAGTTCTCGTGATAGTGAGTGAGTTCTCACAAGATCTGAAGGTTTTATAAGGCCGTTTTCCCTGTTCTTGCTAGAACTTCTCTCTCCTGCCACCATGTTAGAAGGTCCAAGCCTGCTTCCTTTTTGCCTTCTACCACGATTGTAAGTTGCCTGAGGCCTCCCCAGCCAAAGAGAACTGTAAGTTAATTAAACCTCTTTCCTTTATAAACTATCCAGTCTCAGGTAGTATCCTTATAACAATGTGAGAATAGGCTAACACCTATAATCCAGGATCCCAGTGTCTATCTGTTACTAGCTCTAACCCATTGGAAACAAAACCTGAATGCAGAAATTATAGGGGAGATGTGGGAAGACTCCTTATCTCCAATATATGAGAATTATTAATTCAAAATTTCATCAAATTACCATTTATTTGGGCTACAAGATAGAGCCAATGTGTCATGCATTTCTTAGTAGAAATCACAGGTTACCTTAGGGAAACTGTTCGTCTTCATTTTGTACCACTCTGCCTTTCACTTGCTATGCTCTCACTACTAGGCAATTTTCTTCTTTTAAAATCATCTTTCTGTAAATTTTCTGTTGGATATTTTTTCTCTATTCTTATTTACCTGGCAAGGTTCTTGTTATTCATTAGAATTAGATGAGCAATGTCTCCGGTGAACTCTTCCCCAGTTGCCTTGGGGAATATCTGGACATCAGTCTCTCTGTGACACCCTCACTTCATGATTTGCTTCATTATTGAATTTATTATGTTTTATTTTACTGGAATAATTAAGATGCAAAAGTTGCTCATTTTTACTATTTTACAGATATCTGAATATTTCTCACAATATGTCTAGATTTGAAATCATTTGAACTTTTCTACTACCCTATCAGTAATAATTAATCTATTGAAAAAAATATCCAAATGCCTTGGGGTGGGTAACATCTCGATAAATATCTGATAATTTAAGCAGTGCTCCCTATATATAATAAAATTTGATTTTGATACTTTTGTGTTAGATTTACGTATGTAGATAATGCTACAAAATTGAATACAAATGCTCAACTCACTCCTCTTATTTTTTATTAGTATACTAGATCAAGAAGATGTATATATTATATATATATACACACACACACACACACATATATATAGTTTATTCAATCATAAGCAAGCTGGTTAAAAAATTAAGTTGGTCCTATATCAGTAAAATTATTTTCAAAATGTAATGTTACCTATTTAGTACATTTATTTACCCTCTTTTACCCTAATTACCCCAAACATAAAGTATTGCTATTTCTGCTGATTAAATTAATATCACATGAAATATCTATAAGGAATGTGGGACAAAGTGAATGCTCAGTAAATGATAACCACTGACACTGTTCTACTCTGTGCATTACATACACATTTATTACTCAAAAAATATAAACTCTTAAAATAATCAAATAATGTCTCTTCACTCCTGGATTCCCTGTAACCAACACAGTGTTCCCAGGTAGTATGTCAATTTAATCCGTTTGGAGAGCTAAAATCAAAACTAATATAAGCAGCTAGGATCATTCCCCTAGATAACAAATGAAGAGCAGTTTTAAGGGGCCCTGGACTTTTTTTGTTCTTTATTTTTGGTGCACATTTGTTTTCTGTTTGGTTAAGGCACCATCCAATTTCAGAATCACCATTTTGCAAATATTAATATGCATTTTGATTATACCATGTAACTGTGAAACACACACACAAAAAGTTTTAGGAGAAAGATATAAGAAGACTGTTAGGCAATATAAATGTAGAATTTCCTATAAAATAAACTTCATTTCATAAAACATTTTTATTTTGTATGGGAGTAAGTTGTGTTGTGCCTTTATATTATTATTATTGTAAATAAGTGGTCATTTCTCTTTGAGCAACTTTGTGGAGAGACGTGGAGCCAAGATGGAGAATCCAGCAGAGAGTATATATATATATATATGATTTCTGAGTTATCTAGGTGATAAAGGTAAGATAGACAATTTATCCCATTTCTCTCTTTTTTTATTGTGTGCAGGTTTGTTATATAGATAAATTGCATGTTGCGAGGGTATGGGGTACAGATTATTTTGTCACGCAGGTAATAAGCATAAGAATATTTGATAGGGAGTTGTTTGATCCTCATCCTCCTCCCTCCCTCCATCCTCAAGTGGGACCTAGTGTCTGCTGTTCCCTTCTTTGTGCCGACGTGTACTCAATGTTTAGCTCCCACTTATAAGTGAGAACATGCGGTATTTGGTTTTCTGTTTCTGCCTTAATTTGCTTAGGAAAATGACCTCCAGCTCCATCCATGTTGCTGCAAAGGACATAATCTCATATTTTTAACGGCTGAATAGTATTCCATGATGTATACGTACCACACTTTTTTTTTTTTTTTTTTGAGACAGAGTCTTGCTCTGTCACCCAGGCTGGAGTGCAGTGGCACGATCTTGGCTCATTGCAACCTATCCCTCCCAGGTTCAAGCGATTATCCTGCCTCAGCCTCCCAGCAAACTTTTGTATTTTTAGTAGAGACAGGGTTTCATCATGTTGGCTAGGCTGGTCTCGAACTCCTGACCTCAAATGATCCACCTATCTCTGCCTCCCAAACTGCTGGGATTACAGGCATGAGCCACCGCATCTGGCCCCACATTTTCTTTATTCAGTCTACTGTTGATGGACATTTAGGTTGATTCCATGTCTTTACTGTTGCAAACAGAGCTGCCATGAACATATGCGTGAATGTGTCTTTATGGTAGAACAATTTATATTCCTTGGGTATATACCCAATAATGGAATTGCTGGGTCAAATGGTAGTTCGGTTTTAAGTTCTTTGAGAAACCTCCAGATTGCTTTCCACAGTGGCTAAACTAATTGTTATTCCTACTAGCAGTGTATAAGCATTACCTTTTCTCCACAACCTCACTATCATGTTATTTTTTGACTTTTAGTAATAGCCATTCTGACTGATGTGAGATGCTATCTCATCATGGTTTTAATTTGCGTTTCTCTAATGATAAGTGATGTTGAGCATTACTTCATATGCTAGTTGGCCATGTGAATGTCTGTTTTTGAGAAGTGACAGTTCATGTCCTTTGCCCACTTTTTAATGAGCTTGTTTTTTGTTTATTAATTTAAGTTACTTATAGATTACAGATATTAGACCTTTGTCAGATGTATAATTTGCAAATATTTTCTCTTATTCTGTGGGTTCTGTGTTTACTCTGTTGATGGTTTATTTTGCTGTGCAGAATGTCTTTAGTTTAATTAGGTCCCATTTATCAACTTTTGTTTATGTTGCAATTGATTTTGATGTCTTTGTCATGAAATATTTTTCAGGGCCTAGGTTCAATATGGTATTTCCTAGGTTTTCTTCAAGGATTTTTGTAGTTTTTAGGTATTACATTTAAGTATTAAATCCACATTGAGTTGATTTTTTATATGGTGTAAGGAAGGTCTAGTTTCAGTCTTCTGCATATGGCTAGCCAGTTATCCTAGCATTATTTTTTGATGTGCTGCTGAATTCAGTTTGCTAGTATTTTGTTGAGGGGATTTGCATCTGTGTTCATCAAGGATATTGGCCTGAAGTTTTCTTTATTTGTTGTTGTGTCTCTGTCAGGTTTTTGCTATTAGAAAGATGCTGGCCTCATAGAATGAGTTAAGGAGGAGTTCCCTCTCTTTATTTTTTTGAAACAGTTTCAGTAGGAATGATACCAGCTCTTCTTCATATGCCTGATAGAATTTGGCTGTGAATCCACCTGGTCCTGGACTCTCTCTGGTTGGGGGCTTTTTAATGCTGATTCAATTTCAGAACTCGTTATTGGTTTGTTCATGGTTTCAATTTCTTCCTGATTCAATCTTGGAAGGTTGTATGTTTCCCAGGAATTTATCTATTTTTTGTAGGATTTCTAGCTTGTGTGCATAGGTGCATAGAGGTTTTTGTAATAGTTTCTGGAGTTTTTTTTGTATTTCTGTATTGGCAGTGATGTCCCTTTGCCATTTCTGATTATGTTTATTTGGTTATTCTCTATTTTTTTCTTTATTAGTCAAGCTAACTGTCTATTAATCTTATTTATTCTTTCAAAAAACAACTTTTGGCCTTGTTGATTTTTGTATGTTTTTTTTTTTTTTTTTGCATCTGAATTCCTTAACTTCCCACATACAGCCAATTAAATTAAGTTCTCAATTACAAGACCTTCAAAATAATTACAAAGAAGGAAATAATTCATCCAGCTAATCTCCTTTTCTTGATCTCAAAGGAGGATTCCTACCTGGCATAGGCATTCGCACTCTGTATATGATTTATCTCAGTTTATTACTTGTTTGCTGCTAGGCTTCAGATTTCGGTTAGTATTTTCCAGGAAGAAATAGAGTGTGGCAAAACAATCAAGCTAAAAGAATCTTCACACTAATTAGTTTTGTAGCCAACAGTAAGTTTCAATAATTAAAAGTGAGGAAGAGATAGTTACCTTCTCTTCGAATATCACTACCAGGTACCATATTAGAAGAAAGCAAATCTAAGATTGATTTTTTTTCAACAAATTTAATCATTTACTTTAAAGCAGTCAAGATATACAATGCACACACACACATACACACATACACATACTTTGCCTGTAAAGGACATACTTTGCCTGTAAAGGAAAATATTTTTTGTGACAGGATTCACCAAAATTTCATTAAAATCAGATCACAATATTATCTATAAATTGCTAAATATAGGAGCAAGGAAATCCTAGACTCAGGATGACATTTTGAAGACTACAGGCTATAGGGCTAATGGGGTTATATCATATTTATGTAACAGTGGTAAATATACTTTAGTTTTAGGAAACTTTCTGTTAATTTGTAGAAATAAGTTTATTCAAGCTTTTGTAAAATCTACCTGTAGAGTTGGCATTTCAGAATCTGTGACTGAGATTGATGTGCCAGAAGTTTATTGGGAATAGTTTCAGGAATAACATCTGTTAGGAAGAAAAGTAACCCAGTTGGGGCAGGAGTTCAACGATGATAGGCATGACCACCATCTCAGCTGATTTCATGAAGACAATTGAAAACTGCTTTGAATTAAGGCTAGCCTCTGGGCCTTTGTATTGCTTTCCATAGCAGTCTCTGAATGAGTAGAAATAAGGTGTAACTTAAACTGAAGAAAGGGTATACCTTAAACCAAGGGTAATTGCTGTAGAGGAACTCAGTTGTGTGCCCTCAGTAGCTAACAAATCTAGTAGGTGAGGCATGAATACCTCATTTCTGAAAGGAAATCTAGGTGGAGCATAATGATATTCACTATAGCTCATAAAAAAATAAAGTTAGAAAAAAAAATACAGCCCTCACTGCTGTAGCTGGTCTCAATGCCACAACTGATACTCATTATCTATCTTCTCTAACATTAATTCTAAAATCACCCAACTCTAGCCTATCACCTCTGCTGATCTAAGTGGCTTACTTGAAGGAGTGACCCAGACTCTCATCTCTGCGGTGGCTGAGCCGCTGATCTCCAATCCTTCCTCATGTTGTGACTGCTACATTAAATTATGTAAAATTGAAAATGGCCAAAGGAGTACTAAGAGATGCTCCATAAACTCTCCTGGATAAGTCATATAATGGTAAATGTTTAACAAGCAGATTTCTGTAAAGAAAAAAAAAAGAAAATGTTTTTTTTGAAGGTTTGCTGATTTCTGTAGTGAAATATTTCAACCATAGCTGATTAGAGCTACCGATATTACCCTAATTGAATGAGGAGTTGAGAAGAGATGTACATAACTGGCTCTGGTGAGCAGGTTTAAGAGCTGATACCAACACACCACTGCCTTGATGCCAACCATATTCTCCTTTGTCCCACTGTGTTAACAGCAGCTGTACTTCCTCTTGATGCTGAGTCAATAACCTGCCAGGATGATGTCTTATATCCTTGCCTGCTGATCCCTTGGCACAAATCCCAGATATTTGTTTGGATGCCATAGCTTAAAGTTTAATTTCGGCTTTATTCACTCATGGAAGAGCTCTTCCTCTGGGAACAAAGAACTTTAAGTCTTCTGAACCTAGAATGTAAAGACAAGAAGGACAAATCCCCCAGTGTATCACAAAGAGAAATTGTAAGCATTACCTCTCCTACTTCAATCCCTTATTACCAGATCTTTGTGTTCTACTTGGAGACACAGCATCATGCAACCGTCATCTCAAATTTTCATGCAGCTCTCAAAAATTTAACTCCAAGCTGGTATAGCAGTAATGCCTTCAAAACTCTCTTCTGTATTATATCAGAATGGCAACTTCTCAAGAATATGATATGTGGTAGAAGAAGTAGATCTCATAATTATTCATGCAGTACCATACCTCCCTTTAAAAAAACAGTTTGTTGGTCTATAGTGATATCATGAAGGATCCCTTCTCAGCAAAACAAATACTCTCTAAGCTCTCAGATTGTGGTACTGTCAAAATTGTGAGAAGAAAAGTCAAATTCATACCTAGAATATGTGTTAATTTCAGTCTGAACCACTCCCCCTTCCAATGTAAAAAGGACACATTACAATAAACTCATCACCATTTGAAAGCATTTTCACACACTAAGCAAAGCATATTAAATATACCCATATCACAAAAGAGTTCTGCTAGAAAATTTAAAAATAATTTTTATAATTTTGCTTCTGAAATTATTTGGCAGAAAGATTGTATTCACAGTGGGTTACCATTTTGGTCACCATTTTGCATATTTAGAAATGTTTTCAAAATAGGAGCCATTATACTAAGATTGGTTTTCAAATATACTGATATTCTTGAAGAATCAAACAATTGATAATGTTTACATCAGGTCACTTTCTGTAGATCTTTTATAACCTTAAATATTCTAATTTTTAAACTTTTAGTTTTCTGTTATAGAGCAAATTTAAGTTCTAAGTAGGGTTTTGTTTGTTTTCTTAGAAGAGCATAAAATAGCTCAGAGTCCCAGTGCCCTGTGTGACTCATGGGTAAATAACACTTTTTGCAGTGACTATGACTTTTTTCCAACTTATTTTTTCTTCTGGCTAATTATTCACACTTTATTTTATTCATAACAAAAGTTCTCATAGCACTTAACTTTCTAGGCTTTTTACTTTCTGTGTGGTATTAAATATATTGTAAGGGAGACTTGTTGACTTGTCAAATTTACTAACCCTGAGTTTTTTTTTTTTTTTTTTTTTTATAAAACATTCTTTATAAACTCCAAAAAGGCATCTCTAAATATACACACTTGGGGAATAATTTACTGAGGGAGACTACAGTTTTTTGAAGTTGTTCATCCCTTATTTAATATTCTTGAGGTTTCTCTATATATGAAAATAAATGTACTCAAAAGTAGGAAGATTTGCTGCAGAAATAAAGTAGGTCTGCTCCCAATTCTTTCTTCCTTTGACTTATCATTTGTTGGTGTCTTTATGATGTAGGTTTGTTGATAGAATTCCACTGGATGACCTACAGCTTATGTGAAGACTTTCACATATATTATAAAACTCTCCATAAAACTGTCTTGAACTCTATAAACTCCGTATTACTCATACACTGAACATGCAAAGATGAATAGGACAATTACATAGGAAGGGTTTACTTTAGGGGGCCATAGAAATGACCAAAATATAAAATGCAAAACTCCAGTGTATTTTGAATAGCATTGTGTATAATTAGCAATATCAAAATATAAAAATTAAATAATCATTTTTCTATTATTTCTCATCCATGGCCATATATATCATCATATGCTCTGTATATCTATATCTAAATCTATATTATATCTAACCCACCACCCCTGCAGAGTTTTGTGATCATTTATGATGACTGGCATAAGTAGGCATTGACTTTTTGAAGACAACACTTACCTGATTATAATTAAGACAGTCATTATTTATGACAAAGGGAAGGCTTTTGTTTTTCAGTTGCTTGAATCCTAAGTTAAAAAGCTTAAAAATGACATTAACTTCAATGTAAGTTGTAATGTAAACTAGTTGTTTACATTAATGTAATATAATGTAATATAAACAATTGTTTTTTTAAACAACTTTTGTTTTAAACTAACAAGATTCATCTTGTGGAATGACTAATAAAAGATATATCCCTAGGTATTATCCCACATCAATGCCATGGGAAATCAACAGCATTAGAAACTTACACTGAAAACAGACTTTATTTCAGGTATAGCTAGTGCGAGAACTAATGCTTTCCATATAACACTGCTGTAGAGATTTGCAGTGTTAAAGCTATGTTTACTAAGGGATGCATGCAACCAATTATTTAAGAGCTTCTCTGTCCAAAAAGGCAAACATACAGTTTGTGTGCCTATAAAAATAAAATTATTTGTGCAATTTACATGACAGGCATCACCCTATTTATAATTCTAGGCATTGAAGTAATATATTTCAATTCATTTCAATGCTCGGAATTTTTTTGTTAAGATAATATTGCTTTGCCCTTTATTCATCTGTTTTTCCACAACAAAATCATTTTTAAAAAATACTTTCTAGGTGTCTTTCACATATGCAAAACAATAAATTTTTTTCTGGGATGGCTATATAAATGAATAAACTTAGTCCATTCACTTGCATTCCCTACAATAGAGTTGAAATTAAGCAGTAGCTTCTGTCTTCATAGCAACATAAGTCAGGATATAATGTATATTTTAAATAGTATGATGATTATATCATAATGAAAACCATAAATATGTGAAAGAATTATGCAAGAATAAGGCAAATAATAAGGCTATAAATGAACAAAAAAGAATTTAATTTTGTCTCCAGATAGATTTTTGATCACAAAGATGTTCTAAGACAAGAACACATGAGTGAATACATAGAGATGATTAACTTTATGATGTTTTCTAGAAAGATCAAATTTCATGATTTGGCTAAGGTATTACTAATGAGAAAAAAATGGTAAATAATGGTTGAAACTTGACTACAGGCAAGGGGAGGGGAGAAATCCTTCTAAGTTAAGAATTTATCTTTATTTGTTAGGTGTTGAGAAGTCACTGAAATATTCAAAGAAAATGTAATGTTCTTGTATATTATAAAATATTTATTGAAAAGGCATCACATTGTAGATCTTATATTTTTTTTTCTGAATATAGGCAGGGTCACAAATGTAGACAAAATATGTTATTTCCCATAAGAAAGTCTTACTGTGTTAGGAAAGCTAATATATTTCATAAGTGTTAATAATATAAGACAGATGACAAGAAATCCCAGAACAGAAACACAGATACTTCGACGGAAGAAACAGAAAAAGCATCTTGAAGAATGTTTATTTGAGATGAACATTTGAGAATTTTGAAAGTCCTAGATTAAAGGTAGAGAGAGGGTACATTCCAGATTCAGTTAATATATGTGTAAGCTGGCAGGAAAATAAACTTGTGTGATGATCTTAGGAAACATTTAATGGCTTATAGTTAGAGCAATGCAATTATAGTTACATGCAAAGTCCTAGAAGGCAGCTAGTTTGTAAATCAGGGTGTGAATGAACTGTAGATTTATATAGAGGGGAATAAGGGAATTCACTGATAGTTTGACAGTGACAAAATTTAAAAAGTAATCATATAAGTTTTTAATGTTCAAAGAAAAAACTATGGCTTAACTTTTTTACTGAAAATAATACAGTAAAACTGAATCATAAGTTTCCTCTTTCAAAACCAAATGAATTAATGAAAAAATATAGTGATACTACCTCATGGCAGCTACAAATGTCTGCTTACTTTTTAAATAGAGCTTAATATATTAAAACAGTAAAAGAAAAAATAAGAGTAAAAAAACACAGCAAGTGCAAGGGTAATTAAAAAGTTATTATCTTATGCTTTTAGAGAAAGAAGAACTGTTTATAATAGAGAGAAAACATTCTACAATTTTAAAATGTAGTGCAAAGGAAAAAAATAACTTCAGTCATGGAATAACAGGTCAAAAATAATTTGGACACAATAATAAGGAGAATAACTACTATGGAAAATTAAATCCATGACAGTAACTAGAAGAAAGGAGACTAAAAATGAAAACAGAGAGAAGATATGATAAATGTGTAGGAAAACAAGGAAGATGGAGTATTTTTTAAATAAATATTTACAAAGACAACAAAACAAAAACACATCAACTGGAACAAAAGAAAAATCAAAGACTGTAGGAAAATTTGCCTGAGTTAAAGGAGAGACTTGGGAGGGGAGAAAACAGGCTTATAAATAAATATCCAGTCTAATTATCTGCAAGTATCAAGATCTAAACAGTCATTTCAAAAGACAAAGGAAGAGGAAATATTGTTAAGTACCAATTGTACTATCAATCAAGTTTTCTGTTATATATGAAAACAACTAAAGAATATTTTTAACATATACAGGGATTGTATGAAACATTCTACACTGGTAAACAGGGAAGTTCTTTGAAGGCACAGACAATATCTACATTATTTATTACTTTATCAACAGCAATTAATGAGGATGCTTACACATAATGCTCTTCACCAAATATTCATTGAATGAATTAAACATTCTTAAGCAAAATTAAATATGCTTGTGTGTGTCTGTGTTTGTGTGTGTGCTTATATGTGTACGTGAGTTAAAGTTATAAGTCAGCATTATAAGAGGATTTCAGGACCACTGATTAGCTTTGCAAAAATTTAACTCAGCTAATCCTTTACCAGCAAATGAGAATATACAACCACAATCTTCACAATATACAATAGAAAAACCCTGCTATGTTCAATCATCACAAAAAGCAGTAACCGGTACTAAATTTTAAGCTCTATGATACAAGGACTATGTTTATATTGTTCACCATGCTAGTTACAACATTGATTACAGATTAGTTTCCAGAGCTGATAGCCAGTCCATATTTCCTGAGTAACTGACATAATGAATTATTAGGGACAGAAATTTTAACAGTTACTAAATTATTATAACAGCACCAGAAAAATTGCTAAACAATTATATCGATTCATTCATTTGCTAAATGTTTATTAAATTTACCACTGTGAGTCAAACAATATTTCTGACACCGGAGAGACAGAAATAAAATAAATAAAGTCAATTCTGTCCTCATGGAGCTTGCACTCCAGGAGTGGGAAGACAAGGCAAGAGACACAGATGAATATTGAGAGATGTGTGTTAATGACCGAGAACAATCCTTTTCCAAGTGCCCTGATGATTCTGGAGTTTTCCCCTAATAAAGGCAGTATATATATTCCTATGAAACATGCTCTGCTTGGGAAGTTAAGAGTGTGCTATTTCTCAGTCTGTAACAGCCCGATGGGTTCTTCCTCCCTGCTGCACAAACAAAAGCAATTCGCCACAACCGTGGCTTTGACACAAGGCTGGCCATGCCATGCAGGAGACACTTATTACTCAAATCAATCTCATCAAGCTCTCAGAGGTTCGAGTTTTTCAAGATGGTTCAGTGGGTAAGAGACTAGGGTATGGGGAGTGCTGATTGGTTGGGTTGGATATAAAATCACAGGGAGTCAAAGCTGAGTAGATGCTTGTGCTAAGTGGTTTCTGTGTGGGGCCACAGGAGGGGTTGGTGGGTCCAGGCAGAGCCATCAGTTGTCAGACATGCAAAAAGCCTGAAAAAAAATATTTCAAAAGACAAATCTCAGGTTCTACAATTGTGATTAATCTGCAGGATTAATTGGAGAAGTTCCATATCTTGTGACCTCTGGAATAATAGTAGGTAATCATTTACATCTACACTTTAGCAGAATTCAGGCTCCTGTATCCTCCTAGCCTGGTGGTGTCTCATTAGCTTTATTAAAGGGGCTAAGTTTTGGAGAAGGGCTATTATCATTTGAACTATAAATTAAATGTCTCCCGAAGTTAGCTTAGCTAAAGCGTAGGAATACTTAAGCACAGCCTGAAGGCTAAAGGCAAGATGGGAGTTGGCCAGATCAGATCTCCTTCACTGCTATAATTTTCTTGCTGATATAATTTTTAAAAAGGCAGTTTCAAGTCTAAGCCTTCAGAGACCTGGCATGTTTCCCCTTGTCTGTCCTTATGCTTCTGCCATGCTCATCACCATAAGAACATGCCCAGACCAGCCTGATGGAAGAAGAGAGCCAAGTGGACCACAGCCTTGGTCAGCTGAGAGTCACTTGCCACCATCACCAGTCCAGTGACCATCTGTAGAACTGTCTAACCAAACCCAGGCTGACCCAGATTCAGGACCAATATCTGCCAATTATTTTATGCTACTGAGATTTTATTTTGTTTATGCTGCATTGTGTGACAATACATAACTCACAGGAAGTAATTTTGCCAAGTTTCAGATGGTGATCATTGCCAGAGAGAAAAATAAAGCAAGGCAATGGGGACAGAGAATGGCAAGGGCAGGGGAAATTTGCATTTAACACAAAGTGATAAGAAAAACCTCATAAGTGATGTGACATTTGAGTAGAAATATGAAAAAAGGGAAAATTCTGATGAAAATGGCTTTAAAATTTCCTTCAGCCTGACTAAACATTAGAAAGGCTTCTTTCTGCCCCTAAGCCCCTGACCTTCCTTTTCATAGATCATTTGCGTTAGAAAATTGTAAATTCTTTCTCTACTGCTTTGAGATACAAATCCGTTTAAAAGCTTCTTGCCAACCAGTTTTGCAATGTGGAACTGAGTGTCTTTGTCAAGGATCTGGGCATCATCCCTTTGAAAAATAATTATCAAGGAAGACAGTGAAAGTTTCTCCCAATTTCTGTGGGAGGGTAGGAACCTAACTTTGCTCTAAGTTATGAAACTACCTCCTATCTTGAAGAGAGCATTTACTTTAAAAGATGCTACCTGATTTGCATACAGAAATTCATTTATTGGTGTTTAGAAACCTGTGCTAAATGTACATTAATAGTAATAATTCTTAAAGTGCACTGTGTGTTTCTTAATGTCAGAGACATGGAATCAGGGCATGAATGTATTTTTCATAGAAAGTCAAATCTTTCTAATAAGAGCCTTGGTATTAAAAATATATATATTCAAGTGCAGGCAAAACAGATAAGCAGTATAGTGTTAGAGCTCTTGTATTGCTCTCTGATACAAACTCTCTTTCACAGAACTTTAAGTCTCCCTCTCTATGTGTATATATACATATATATGTATATATACACACACATATAGGTACTATAGGTACACACACTATGTATAATGTGTATAATGTGTACAAATAGATATGCCTTCATATGCTTATAATACATAATAAATATTTATTATAATAAATATTAATATGATTTCCCTGTGTCCCCACCCAAATATCATCTTGAACTCCCATGTGTTTTGGGAGGGACCCAGTGGGAGGTAATTGAATCATGGGGGCAAGTCTTTCCCATGCTGTTCTCATGATAGTGAATAAGTCTCATGACATCTGATGGTTTTAAAAAGAGGAGTTTCCCTGCACAAGCTCTCTCTCTTTGCCAGCTGCCATCCATGTAAGATGTGACTTACTCTTCCTTGCCTGCTGCCATGATTGTGAGGCTTCCCTAAACCCATGGAACTGTAAGTTCAATTAAACCTCATTCTTCTGTAAATTGCCCAATCTCAGGTATGTCATTATCAGCGTGTGAAAAGTGACAAATATAGTAAGTTGGTACCAGGAGTGGGGTGCTACTGAAAAGGTATCCAAAAATATGGAAGTGACTTTAGAATTGGGTAAGAGGCAGAGGTTGAAACAATTTGGAGGGCTCAGAAGAAGACAGAAAAATGTTGCAAAGTTTGGAACTTCCTGGAGACTTGCAGAATGTCTTTGACAAAAATGCTAATAGTGACATAAACAATAAGGTCCAGGCTGAGGGGGTCTCAGATGGAGATGAGGACTTGGTGGGAACTGGAGCAAAGGTGTCTCTTCTTATGTTTTATTAAAGAGAATGGAGGCATTTTGCTTCCATCCTAGAGATGTGGAACTTTGAACTTGAGAGAGATGATTTAGGATATCTGGCAGAAGAAATTTCTAAGCAGCTAAGCATTCAAGATGTGACTTGGGTGCTGTTAAAGGCATTCAGTTTTATAAGAGAGGCAGAGAATAAAAGTTTGGAAACTTTGCAGCCTGACAATGTGATAGAAAAGAAAATCCCATTTTCTGAGGAGAATTTCAAGTTGGCTGCAGACATTTGCATGAGTAAGGAGGAGCCAAATGTTAATCCCCAAGACAACAGAGAAAATGTCTCCAGGGCATGTCAGAGGTCTTTATAGCAACCCCTCCCAGCACAGACCCAGAGGCCTAAGAGGAAAAAGTGGTTTTGTGGGCTAGGCCCAGGGTCCCCATGCTGTGTGCACCCCAGGGACTTGGTGCCCTGTGTCCCAGCCACTCCAGCTGTGGCTGAAAGGGGCAAATATAGACCTTGGTCAGTGGCTTCAAAGGTGGAAGCCTCAAGCCTTGGCATCTTCCACTTGGTGTTGAGCCTACCAGTACACAGAAGTCAAGAACTGGGGTTTGAGGACCTCCACATAGAGTTTAGAAGAGATATGAAAATGCCTGAATGTCCAGGTTGAAATTTGCTTCAGAAGCAGGGCTCTCATGGAGAGCTTCAACTAGGACAGTGTGGAAGGGAAATGTGGGGTTGGAGCCCCCACACAGACTCCCTACTGGGGAACCACCTATTGGAGCTGTGAGAAGGGGGCCACCATCCTTCAAACCCCAGAGTGGTAGATCCACCAACAGCTTGCACTGTGTGCCTGGAAAAGCTGCAAACACTCAACACCAGTCCATGATGGCAGCCAGGAGGGAGACTGTACCCTGCAAAGCCACAGGGGCAGAGCTGTCCAAGACCATGGGAACCTACCTCTTGCATCAGCATGACCTGGATGTGAGACATGGAGTCAAAGGAGATCATTTTGAAACTTTAAGATTTGACTGCCCTGCTGGATTTTAGACTTGCATGGGACCTTTATCCACTTTGTTCTGACCAATTTCTCCCATTTGGAATGGCAGTATTTACCCAATGCCTGCATCTCCATTGTATCTAGGAATTAACTAATTTGCTTTTGATTTTACAGGCTCTGAGGTGGAAGAGGCTTGCATTGTTTTGGATGATACTTTGGACTGTGGACTTTTGAGTTAATGCTGAAATGAGTTAAGACTTTGGGAGACTGTTGAGAAGACATAATTGATTTTGAATTGTTAGGACATAAGATTTGACAGGGACCAGGGACCAAATGATATGTTTTGGCTGTGTTCCCACCAAGTGTTATCTCGAATTCCCATGTGTTGCCAGAGAGGCACAGTGGGAGGTAATTGAATCAAGGGGGCAAGTCTTTCCGATGCTGTCCTCATGATAGTGAATAAGTCTCAAAAGATCTGATGGTTTTAAAAAGAGCAGTTCCCCTGCACAAGCTCTCTCTCTTCCTGCTGCCATCCATGTAAGATGTGACTTGCTCTGCCTTGCCTCCAACCATGATTGTGAGGCTTCCTAAGTCATGTGAAACTGTAAGTCCAATTAAACCTCTTTTGTAAATTTTCCAGTCTCAGGTATTTCTTTATCAGCAGTGTGAAAACGAACTAATACAAATATGTAAGTGTATTTGTGTGTGTATATGTGCATATACACACACACACACACATATGCTATCACACATATATTTATTATTATATATTATAAGTATTTGAAGGGATCTATTGAGACACTGGCTGAGTAAAATTTAAACTAGTTTCAGCCATTCATAAGTAGGCTATAGTGAAATTTAGGTCTGGTAAAAAGACTTACAAGGAGATTATTTTGAAGGAAAGAAAGAGAAGCTGAAATGATTAGAATATGAGGTGCATAATTTATAGACAAAAGACTGAAAAGGAGTAACATAGAAGTTATTTTGGGCATGCCAGTAGCATTTGGAATAGTTGAGAGAATGAATTAAAGATATTAAAAAGGAGAAGGTAAAAGGAAATAGTAGAGAATTATTGAGAAAAGTGTGTTCTATATGATGGTGTTGTACTTTTTCTATCAAAAACAAAAATAAAAATAATTTTCAATGTAGTCATTAGGCCAGTCAACATATTCACCCTGTTTCTACTTTTAAGTAGTCTATTATTTGGGAAATACTAATACCACTGTGCAAATTACTTGCTGGATTTCTTTTTTTTTCATAATTACAAATTGGTTTTCTTGCATAATGTGATAGCCATTGTTAAATATATTTTTAACATTGGTTAACATCTTGGTTAATATTTCTCTCAGCTCAAGGTTACAGATGCCTTTTAATGATATAAACAGCTATTTAATATTGCAGAATAATGAGCTGAACTTGATTCAGTTTAAGCCTCACCTAATGTTCATACACTTACCCTTCTTATTGAGCTACAGCAACTCTCATTAAAGAAACAAAGGATCTCTAGACACAGTATGTGCTATGAGGGGAAAGGCAGCAGAAGGACCCCTTGGAACACCTGCTCTTAGATGCATTTGACTGGATCGATATATCTGTCCCCACCACTATGAGGTATTGGCTCCTAAGTCTTCTCCTGATTGTTTTTCTCCGTTGACATAGACCATTGCACCTGTGAACATATAATCTAATTTGATTGCCTCAAGGGTAGGAGGGCAACTGTGTAGTGCTTATAGGTTGAAGCCCTCTCCTCGTTATCAGACTAAGTCTAACTCTATCACTTCCCATGTATTTTTCCTTTCATATCTTGTTCTATTCAATAATTTAGAGATCTATACTGAAGAACACTCCTTCAGATGATCTCCTATATCAGAATACTTATCTCAGACCATGTTCTAGGGAACTTCACCTAAAATGATGATTTTTCTGTTGCTTGTGGAGACAAGTGTTTCATCTCTCACCTGCTGTGGGAGCCTCTATGTTTTTACTCTAAGACTTCTTTATTGCCATTAGTGTCCAAAACAATCTGTGACTCACTTCCCACATATGTGTAAAAGACCTTGGAGGTACAATGTGTGGGAATTAATGGTTTGGGTCAACTTTCACTAGTGGGGGAAATAATGCTTTAGATAGAGTATTCTTGCTTCCCTCTCCCTCTCTGTCCTTTGCCCCATGGACTGTTGGAAGACAAATTATTCATTTTGCTCCTCTAACTATACTTGAAATTCAATATAAGGTCAAGCAGTCTGCTTGTCAAAAGGTGGCTATTTTAGTAATATACATGCTTATACTTGCTCTTTCTATCACTCACTCATTCAGTCTTTCTCTTTCTCACTCTTCAGCCAGGGATAGCAAACTAAATCATGACAAAATTTATTTTTGATAACTTTTGTGAGTATAAGAATCACATTTTTTTCACAATGATTGTTGTTCTACAGGTAATAAGAAGGTAGAAGAAAAAAAGAAGGAAGAAAATTCTGGGGAAAAGAATTTAAGAAGCAAATTGAAGGAAGTAAAGAAGGTAGTAAAGAAAATGACACTAATTGAGAAAAGATACATATGTATCCTATAAAAGAAAAGAAAGAGAAACCTGTTGTAGTTCTTATAGATGAAAACCAAATTGGCATTAACATGGATTCAGACACACTTAAAAATAACGAAGGGCAGTTGGCTCAACAGGACTCTTTTTGCATGAGAGATGAATAATATTCTATGTAATGGCATATTTTTATTGAATGGAAAATTAATGCATATACCAGCATTATCCAAAGTCAATACCTTAATATAAAAGCTATGCTACCATTCTGAGTATAGCACAGTATCTATTTCTCAAATCATAAAAAATTATCTGAGTCTTATGAAGACTCAAAATAAAGATAAAATAGTTATTTTCTGGTGGGCATTGTTTAGGAGTGTAATACTGAATTTCTTTGTAGCTTATTCAAATGCAGCACCATTGGCAATTAATATATGCTTTCTGAATTGAGGGTAACAATTGCAGGAAGTGGGGAAAGAAAAAGGGTGAACTTAAAGTCTTATGTCATAGACTAGAAATCCAGGGAAATAGGTTTTAATGAGCTTTAAGGGGTAAAGGATTGCAGTCATTTAAGTAGGCAGAGCTAATAACATCTGATAATATTAATAGCATCCTCAGTTCCTAAAGGAATATTTTAAAATTGTATTCTATTTGTTTTGTTGCTGTTACATTCTTTTCTATAGGAAGCATCTATTGTTTAGAGTGATCTGTGCAATAAGAAATTTTGGCCCACAGGAGAGGTTTGAGGTGTCCACTAAGAAACAGGAGACAGTAGTGAAACAACAGACAGGACAGGAGGGACAGAAAGTGATGGGTATCATGCCAAATGCAATAAGATTGCTTATGAATGTAGTGAGACAAATGCAAGAATTCCTGCAAAAGGAAAAAGACTGTTGCATATCATGAACAGAAACAGTAAAACAGGTAGTGAGTGGAAGAGACATCATAAGAAGAAAAGCCATCAGCATTGTCCTGGCAATGACTTTTTTATCTGGCCAGTTTGAAATTTTTTCTGTCTAATTTTTGAACACATTTGTTGTCAAAGGAAGATGACTAGATTGTTACCTAAAAGAAGAAGGAGAACTTAACTCATGCTGTCATCAGGTTTCTGGCATGGAGTCAGAAATAGGAAAATCTACATTTCTGTAATCAGAGATAACAAACCTAAATAAAGTAGGCATGGCAACACAGGCAACCAGAGTAGAGAATTCCTCATGTGCAGATGCAGTGGTTGGAAAAGAGATGCTGTTTAGGCTAATGAAGTAAAAGAGAGTAAAGCCAAAGTAACTTAGCAGAGAGGGTCTCAAATGCACAGCTGTGTCTACTGCTGTCTTTTTCCCACCTGGTCTTCAGTTGCAGGTTAACTTTTTCTCAATGCAATCTGTTTGCTTCCCTACGGAGCCCCTAATATTTTCTGAGTTCAAGCCAAGTTGCTATCAATTATTTGTTTTGAGTGCCCTGTAACTGATAAAATTTGATTTTCTTCTATTGGTGAGCCCTGAGCTGAAATTAGCTGTATTTGCCAAATTCCAAAGTTCATGTAAGATACCTGCATCAGATTAAGTTATAAAAGTCCATTTTAACCATCAAACAGCTAGACATGGCTTGAAACTATACAGGTACAAAAAATGTAGTTCATTGTAAAAATGTACAATAGTCAAGTTGTGTGTTGGATTTTTAAAAGACAATAAATGAAACACTTCTTTCTTCATCAGAGTTGGAACAAATTAAGAAGGATGATATAGGAGATGAACAGATGCCTTTATTGCTTTAACGGTGATTGGGAAATGTGGCCTTAATTTTGTCCAAATGGGCATGTGCATACTTGGTCTCTGAATTAGGAAAACTTACTATGCTTATCACTGGCAGAACTGGACAAATTGGTTTTCTCATGGACGTCAAAAATCGTATCACATAGTTCATTCCTACTCTGTGTAGAGAATATAACAACAACAATCACAATAACAATAATAAAATCTCACAATGTCCCTCTAGAGCGTAAACGTGCTGTGGTTACTCTTGTTATAATGAGATAGAAAAGTAGAGTGGAAGGATTTTTCTCCTAAAGTAGAGATGTTCTTCACTCTCTGGAACCTCTCTGAAGAAAGAACATCTCTGATTTCCTCTCATTCCCCAACAGAGCATCCCTTGAGCATGTCTCCATGCAGAGCCAATGGCACAGATGGTGTCATGCAGCAGGTGCAAGGCATGACAAAGGATGGCTGAATGCAGAAACTCTTCCAGAAGACCTCTCTCCCATCCTCTAGATGGGTATAGAACAGTTATTCAGGCAAAGCAGCTGACCAAGAGTCATCTTCTTATGGCCGTGGGACCTTTTTCCTTGTGAGATGTCTATATGACACACATTTATCAGCACGGTAAATCTTCTTGTACACACATTGTTAGTCCTTCATTAACATTTGTTTCTACCACTAAGAAAAGACCAGATTTCTTATTCTACTGAGGTAAAATGAAAATGCATCTTATTGATTTTTAGAAAGCTCTTTCACATTGAGTTATCTGAATTGTTGAGTTATGATATGGGTTGAACTGTGTTCCCACCCAAATCTCATGTTGAAATGTAATTCCCAGTGTTGGAGGAGGGGCCTGGTGGGAGGTGCTTGAATCATGGGGCCAGTTTCTCATGATTTAACACCATCCCCCTTGGTGGTGTTTTCACGATACTGAGTTCTCACGAGATCTGGTTGTTTAAAATTGTGTGCATCTCCCCTCTCTCTTCCTTCCTCCTGTTCCAGTCATGTAAATTGTGCTTGCTTCCCTTCACCTTTCATCATGATTCTAAGAAATGTTTCCTGAGACCTCTCCAGAAGCAGAAGTGGCTACACTTTCTGTACAGCATGTGGAATCATGAGCCAATTAAACCTGTTTTCTCAGTTTCAGGTATTTATTTATGGCAGTGTGAGAACAGACTAATACAACTTCCTCAGGATTTAAAGCCTTTATTTAATTTCTTTATTCATGCTAAAATAAAATTGAATGACTGATGCCACCTTCATTTTCTAGATAACTCTCTTAAATTCCAATAGATATATTTCTATAAAAATTGCTATAGTCTATTTTTTTCTAACATTACTCTCTACACTGAAATATTTTATCAGTTTTAAAATGTTAAAACATTTTAAGTTTCAAATTTATTGAGTTTTTGGACACAGATATGACTAGGAGAATATGAATGATTATTCCTAAGCCTAATTTTTCTACATCCAGGTATAGAAAATGTAATACTACTTTTGATAATTTAACTTAATGTATTGACTGCCTATCTCACCTGAGGAAAAAAATTAATCAACTCCAGGCAAATTCAGTCACTTTGGTGCTTTCGTGAGTATTTCTGTAATACACGGTCAATTGAGACTTTTCCTTTCTCTGTTCTACTGTCCCGGTGCTGCATCTAGTTTTCAGAGGATCACATAATTAGAGTATCTAAAGAAGTAAAGGGTCTACAACCATCTTTGTTTCAAAGCTAGTATCTTATAGAGAGATATGATTTTGCTCTGTCTGGTTTTTGGCTATAGAGCCTAACTCAGTGTCACCTTTTGAGACAGATATGGTACTCACTATCATAGTCTCCAATCTTCAGCCCTTGTATTCTCCTTTATGTATGTAATATACATATACATGTATGTATGATTATGCCTGATGTTATATGATTTCCAACATAAGGATCTTGCAATTATTTTCCTAATACCTAAAAGTTTTATCACATTATTGTGTTATAATTGGTATTCTTAATTTCAAATTTTGTGCTTATTTCTAGTATATAAAAATAAAATTGACTTCTGCATATTATTATTGTTTTCTGCAACCCCCTTAAAGTTGCTTGTTAGATTTAAGATATTTTTAATACTTCTGTTGATATTTTCTATTTTGATATTTTCTATGTAGATGATTATGTCATCTGCAAGTAGAAACAATGAGACATTTCTTTTCCAATGTTTATATATTTTTTACATTAAAAAATTATTACATTGTGGAGGCCCAGGAAGAGCTTTCCTTTTGTCCCCTTTGAAGATTCGCTGAAAAGCCAACTTGCAGAAGGTAGATAATTGGGGGAAAGGCATTTAAATTTATTTAATATATACATACAGGCCAGGCGCAGTGGCTCACGCCTGTAATCCCAGCACTTAGGGAGGCCAAGACGGGTGGATCATGAGGTCAGGAGATCGAGACCATTCTGGCTAACACGGTGAAACCATGTCACTATTAAATATACAAAAAATTAGCCAGGTGCAGTGGCGGGAGCCTGTAGTCCCAGCTACACGGGAGGCTGAGGCAGGAGAATGGTGTGAACCCAGGAGGAGGAGCTTGCAGTGAGCCGAGATCACACCACTGCCTTCCAGCCTGGGCGGCTGAGCAAGACTCTGTCTCCAAAAAATGTATATATACATACACATATGCAGGAGCCTTCAGAATGAAGACCCAAAGATAGAGGGTAATTGTCTATTCTTATGCTTAGACTCCATAAAATATGGACAGCCATGTAGGAATATGATTGGACAAACAAGTTATGATCTAATGCTAATAGACTGAGTGGGGAAACCAAGCAAGGCCTGGTTCTTCTTGGCCTATGTAAGCATGCACTTCTTCCTTTTGGGTATAGAGCAAGACTCTTTCTGGAATGGGAGTCTTATGACCTACAGTCAAACAAAGTAGGTCAAATAATTTCCTTATGATTAATTTTTACACGGAGAGGGTGGAGGGAAAGTTATTGTAATATTTTTAGGTCTTATGGCTGTCTTTGAGGAAAAGGGGGTTCTGGTTTCTATGACTTGCCTTAGGGAAGAGAGATTCTAGTTTCTATGGCTAGCTTCAATAAACAATGGGACTAAAAATGGAAAGGCAGGAGAAGGTCAAATAAAAACTTTTGCTTCTGAGTCTGCTTCTGAGGCCTTCATTTCGGGGTATTGTTTTCTGAGCCCCAACATAGAGGCATGAGATAATTTTACATAATTAATCTCACTTTCTTGTATTTAACTTACTGATTTATTTTCCAGTCATTTTCTTTATTTTTAAAAAGCTTAATTGAGGAATAATTGATATTAAAAACTGCATATTTAATGTATAACAATTTGATAAGTTTGTACCTATGCATTTTCCTTCCTTCCTTCCTTCCTTCCTTTCTTTTTCCTTCCTTTCTTCTTTTCTTTCCTCCCTCTCTTTCTCTCTTTGTATTTGTTTTGTTTGACTTACTGCTCTGGCTAGGATTTCAGTATAATGTTTCACAGGAGTTTTAAGAGAAAAACATTTTTAGCTTTTACCAGATGAGAGAGGAAAAGACTTCAACATGTAACCATATTTTTTTATTGTTTCCTTTCATCTTATTGTAAGTAGATGATAAATTTTATTCTCCATCAAGAAGGAACTTATCATTTTTTATTTAGTTTCTTATCATAGTAAGTAATCTATTTGTGAATGTTGAAAGTGCCTTGATTTACCCACTGTGGTGATATTGTTTTTATATATTTCTGAATTCTATGTGCTAATATTCTGTTGATGCTATTTCTGTGTATCTTAATGAAGAATATTTGTCTGTAACATTTTTTTCTATTAATGTTTCTGTCTGATTTTGTTATCAGTTTCAGGCTTTCACTTCATAAAAGACAAGGATCTCGGCAAATTTAATACTTTTCAACAATTGTTACTCTTCTCCTCCTGGAGGCCAGTACCACGAGGAGTGCTTTCTTAGGACTCCTGACTATTTTTATGAGTGCTTAATGAAATTTATGAGTAAGAGCCTGCAAATGGGGACACATTTCCCTTATATTTCTGCTGTCTAGGACTTCTGTATTCTCTTCTTACCCTACATTTAGTCTTCACCAATTAGTTCTTTCTTCTAGCAAGTTATGGTCTCACCTTGGATTTAAGACAGTGATTTTCCTTGAGACCTTGATTTTTGATGGGTAAAAGAAAAGCTGTGAATTTTCAGTTTGTCTAGTTTTTAATTTTAATTTAATTTTATTTTTATATTTTTTTCAACTTTTATTTTAGATACAGGGGGAACATGTATTTCATCATGTGCATGTATCACATTTTCTTTATCTAATCCACTATCAATGGGCACCTAAATTGTTTACATGTCTTTGCTATTGTGAATACTGTGGCAATGGACATACAAGTGCATATATCTTTTTGGTATAATGTTCTATTGTCCTTTGAGAATATGTTCAGTAATGGGGTTGCTGGGTCAAAGAGTAATTCTATGTTACTGCTCTATTTAAAGTTTTTGATAAATCTCCAAGCTGCTTTTCACAGTAGCCGAACCAATTTACGCTCCCACCAACAGTGTATAGGCATTCACATTTCTGAACAGCCTCGCCAACATCTATTGTTTTTTGACTTTATGTAATAGCCATTCTGACTGCTGTCAGATGGTATCTCACTATTGTCTGACTTGCATTTTTCTGATTAGTGATGCTGAGCATTTTTTTCATGTTTGTTGGCTGCTTGTATGTCTTTGTTTAAGAAGTGTCTGTGTATGTCCTTTGCCTATTTTAATGCATTTACTTTTTGCTTTTTGATTTGCTCATATTGCTTATAGTTTCTGAATATTGGACCTTTGTTGGATGCGTAGTTTGTGAACATCTTCTCTCTGTAGGTTGTCTGTTTACTCTGTTGATAGTTTCTTTTGCTGTGCAGAAGCTCTTTAGTTTAACTAGGTTCCACTTGTCAATTTTGTTTTTGTTGCAGTTGATTTGGGGAACTTAGCCAGAAATTCTTGGGGAAGGCCAATTCTGAGAAGGGAATTTTGGTGGTTTTCTTCTAGGATTTTCATAGTTTGAGGTCTTACATTTAAATTTGGATCCACTTTCAGTTAACTTCTGCATATTGTGAAAGGTAATGCTCTAGCTTTGTTCTTCTGCATATGACTAGCCAGTTATCCCACTTATTAAATAGGGAGTACTTTCCTATTGCTTGTTTTTGTCAGCCTTGTCGAAGATCAGATGGTTGCCATTGTGCAGCTTTATTTCTTAGTTTTCTATTCTGTTCCATTGGTCTATGTGTCTGTTTATGTACTGGTACCATGCTATTTTGGTTACTTTAGCCTTATAGTACAGTTTGATGTCGGGTAGGATGGTGCCTGTAGCTTTATTTTTTTTTTGCTTAGGATTGCTTTGGCTATTTGGACTATTTTCTTTGTTCCATATGAACTTTAGAATAGTTTTTTTCTAATTCTTTGAAGAATAACGTTGTAGCTTAAATAGCAGTGAATCTGTCTATTGCTTTGGGCAGTGTGGCTATTTTAATAATATTGATTCTTTCATTCCATGAGCATGGGATGTTTTTCACTTATTTGTGTCATCTCTGATTTCTTTCAGCAGTGTTTTGTAGCTCTCCTTATAGAGACCTTTCACATCCTTGGTTAGCTGTATTCCTAGGAATTTCCTTTTCTTTGTGACTATCGTAAAAGAGAGTGTGCTCTCAATTTAATTCTCAGCCCAGACATTGATGTCTTAAAATGCTACTGATTTTTGTTCATTGATTTTGCATCCTGAGACCTTACTAAAATTGTTTATCAGTTCTAATAGTCTTTTGGCAGAGTCTTTAGGGTTTTCTAGTATAGAATCATATCATCAATGAAGATAGATAGTTTGACTTCTTTTAGTCATTTGTCAGACCTGATTGCTCTGGATATGACTTACAGTACTATGTTAAACAGAAGTGGTGACAGTGAGTATCCTTGTCTTGTTCCAGTTCTCAAGGGGAATGATTCCAGCTTTTACCCACTCAGTATGATGTTGGTGGTGGGTTTGTCACAAATGGCTTTTATTTTTTTGAGGTATGTTCCTTTGATATCCAGTTTGTTGAATGTTATTATAATGAAGAAATGTTGAATTTTATTGAAAGCTTTTTTCTGCATCTATTGAGATGATCATATGGTTTTTGTCTTTAATTCTGTTTATCTGGTGAATCACATAATGTTGAATTGATTTGTTTATGTTGAACCAGCCTTGTATCACAGGAATAAAGGCACTTAATGGTGGAATTTCAACTTTTTGATGTGCTAGTTGATGGTCCAGCTCTTTTGTTGTTGTTGTCAGAGATAAAGTTACGTGCATTTTTATCTTTTTAAATTCTGACTCTAAAAAGAAGTTTTTAAAAGATACGTGGTTAATTTTCTTAGCTCTTGGCATATGCCCCATTGTTTAGGAAGATTGCTAAAACATGGAGGTTCTAGAATGTGAAGGAATCATCAGCTCCCCTCCAGCCTGGATCTCAGATGGGCTAAACAAACATATATCTTCCCCCTCCAACAATTGTGAAGTATCCCTCATAGTCACTACTACCAAGTGGCTCCTATTGAGAGGTGACAACATGCTAGCAGCCCTCGCTCGCTCTCGGTGCCTCCTCGGCCTCGGCAACCACTCTGGCTGCACATGAGGAGCCCTTCAGCCCATCGCTGCACTGTGGGAGTCCCTCTCTGGGTTTGCCGAGGCCCAAGCCAGCTCCCTCTGCTTGCGGGGAGGTGTGGAGGGAGAGGCGTGGGTGGGAACTGGGGCAGCGCACAGCGCTTATGGGCCAGCACGAGTTCCAGGTGGGTGTGGGCTCGGTGGGCCCTGCCGCCAGAGTGGCCAGCCAGTGCAGCCAGCCCCAGGGAGTGAGGGGCTTACCACCTGGGCCAGCAGCTGCGGAGGGTGTCCCGGGTCCCCCAGCACAGCTGGCCCACCTGCGCCATGCTTGAGTTCTTGCCGGGCCTCAGCCGCCTCTACGTGGGGCAGGGCTCAGGACCTGCAGCCTGCCATGCCCAAGCCCCACCTCCCCACCGTGGGCTCTGCTCCATGGCACCCCTTCCCATCGACCGCCCAAGGGCTGCGGAGTGCGGGCATGCTGCGTGGGACTGGCAGGCAGCTCTGCCCATGGCCCCAGTGCTCTTCACAATAAATCTTGCTGCTGCTCACTCTTTGGGTCCACACTGCCTTTATGAGCTGTAACACTCACCGCGAAGGTCTGCAGCTTCACCCCTGAGGCCAGTGAGACCACAAACCCACTGGGAGGAATAAACAACTCCAGATGGGAGGAATGAACAACTCCAGATGTGCCACCTTAAGAGCTGTAACACTCACTGCGAAGGTCTGCAGCTTCACTCCTGAAGCCAGTGAGACCACGAACCCACCAGAAGGAAGAAACTCCAAACACGTCTGAACATCAGAAGGAACAAACTCTGGACACACCATCTTTAAGAACTGTAATTCTCACCACGAGGGCCCATGGCTTCATTCTTGAAGTCAGTAAGACCAAGAACCCACCAATTCCGGACTCATTTTGGTTACCACAAAGGGACCATCGCCTATCACTGAGCGGTAACACTGTCACCTATCACCAAGCAGTGAGTACCATTGGACCCCTTTCACTTGGTATTCTATCCTATTTTTCCTTAGAATTCAGGGGCTAAATACCGGGCACCCGTCAGCCAATTAAAAGCAACTAGCGCGGCTGCCGGACTAAAGACATGGGTGTCAGGCTTTCTGGGAAAGAGCTCTCTAACAACCCTCGACTCTTCGGAGTTGGGAGCGTTGGTTTGCCTGGAACCAGCTTCCGCTTTTCCTGTACTTCTGGGCTGAGCCGAGGGTTGACAGAGAGGAAAGCCATTCAACTCCGGGGTCCCGACAACAAGTTGGTTGACCCTGCAGCCATGAGTGGAACTCTCAAAGACATGTCGCCCAAGCGAGACTCGCCCATCTATCCTATCTATCCTGACCCTTGACCCCTGGGTCCTAATGCCTGCCAGACAAACGTCATCTCGCCTCTCTTCTCTGAGGCTAGTCCCGCTTCTAAAACTCAGTCCCTGTCTCTGGTGCTTTTCTAGTTTCTCCTATAAGAATGACTTCTAGTATAAACTCCAAGACTCTGTTACCTTCTTTAAGCACCCTGGCTCACCAATTACAAAGACATAATTTTTGCCCAAAGCCCCATCGTAAGGGGGACTACCTGGAATTTTAGGATCCCTACTCAAACTAACAGGCCTAACAAAAGCTATTCCTGACGCTAGGATATGGGGAGCCTCAGAAATTGTATCCTTCCTATTCATATAAGTGAGGAAAAAAGGTGTCACTATTCCAACCCTGGAGATCCCTTCCCTCCCTCAGGGTATGGCCCTCCACTTCATTTTTGGGGCATAACATCTTTATAGGACAGGGGTAAAATCCCAGTACTAACAGGAGAATGCTTAGGACTCTAACAGGTTTTCAAGAGTGAGTCAGTAAGGGCCACTAAATCCCATTTTTCTTGGTCCTCCTTGTGGTCTAGGAGGACAGGCAAGGGTGCAGGTTTTCAAGAATGCATCAGTAAGGGCCACTAAATCTGACCTTCTTTGGTCCTCCTTGTGGTCTGGGAGGAAAACTAGTGTTTCTACTGCTGCATTGGTGAGTGCAACTATTCCTATCAGCTGGGTCCAGGGACTGTTACAGGTTCTTAGGCAGGGGTTGTTTCTGCTGCTGTGTCAGTGAGCGCAACTATTCCGATCAGCAGGGTTCAGGGACCGTTGTGGGTTCTTGGGCAGGGTGAGAAACAAAACAAACCAAAACTGCAGGCAGTTTTGCCTTTCAGATGGGAAACACTCAGGCATCAACAGGCTCACCCTTGAAATGCATCTTAAGCCATTGGGACCAATTTGACCAACAAACTCTGAAAAAGAGGCAGCTCATTTTTTTTTTTCTGCAGTATGGCTTGGCCCCAATATTCTCTCTCTGATGGGGAAAAATGGCCACCTGAGGGAAGTACAAGTTACAATACTATCCTGCAGCTTGATCTTTTCTGTAAGAGGGAAGGCAAATGGAGTGAAATACCTTATGTCCAAGCTTTCTTTTCATTGAGGGAGACCACACAACTATGCAAAGCTTGAAATTTACATCCCACAGGAGGACCTCTCAGCTTACCCCCATATCCTAGCCTCCCTATGGTTCCCCTTCCTATTAATGATAATCCTCCTCTAATCTCCCCTGCCCAGAAGGAAATAAACAAAGAAATCTCCAAAGGACCACAATCCCCTCCCCCTGGCTATCGGTTATGTCCCCTTCAAGCTGTAGGGGGAGGGAAATTTGGCCCAACCTGGGTACATGTCCCCTTCTCCTTCTCTGATTTAAAGCAGATCAAGGAAGGCCTGTGAAAGTTTTCAGATGATCATGATAGGTACATAGATGTCCTACAGCATCTAGGGCAAACCTTCAATCTCGCTTGGAGAGATGTCATGCTACTGTTAGATCAAACCCTGGCCTTTAATGAAAAGAATGTGGCTTTAGCTGCAGCCTGAGAGTTTGGAGATACCTGGTGTCTTAGTCAAGTAAATGATAGAATGACAGCTGAAGAAAGGGACAAATTCCCTACTGGTCAGCAAGCCATCCCCAGTATGGATCTCCACTGGGACCTCGACTCAGATCATGGGGACTAGAGTCATAAACATCTGTTGACCTGAGTTCTAGAAGGACTAAAGAGGATTAGAAAAAAGCCCATGAATTATTCAATGATGTCCACCATAACTCAGGGAAAGGAAGAAAATCCTTCTGCCTTCCTTGAGCAGCTACGGGAGGCCTTAAGAAAATATACTCCCCTGTCACCCAAATCACTCGAAGGTCAATTGATTCTAAAAGATAAGCTTATTACCCAATCAGCCACAGATAATCAGGAGAAAGCTCCAAAAGCAAGCTCTTGGCCCTGAACAAAATCTGGAGGCATTATTAAACCTGGCAACCTTGGTATTCTATAATATGGACCAAGAGAAACAGGCCCAAAAGGAAAAGTGAGATCAGAGAAAGTCAGCAGCCTTAGTCATGGCCCTCAGACAAACAAACCTTGGTGGTTCAGAGAGGACAGAAAATGGAGTAGGCCAATCACCCTGTAGGGCTTGTTATCAGTGTGATTTACTAGGACACTTTAAAAAAGATTGTCCAATGAGAAACAAGCTGCCCCCTCATCCATGTCCACTATGCCAAGACAATCACTGGAAGGTACACTGCCCCAGAGGATGAAGGTTCTCTGGTCAGAAGCCCCCAACCAGATGATCCAATAACAAGACTGAGGGTGCCAGGGGCAAGCACCAGTACATGTCATCACCCTCACTGAGCCCTGGGTATGTTTAACCATTAAGGTCCAGGAAATTGGCTTCCTCCTGGACACTGTTGCGGCCTTCTCTGTTAATCTCCTGTCCTGGATGACTGTCCTCAAGGTCTGTTACCATCCAGGAAATCCTGGGACAGCCTATAACCAGGTATTTCTCCCACCTCCTCAGTTGTAATTGGGAGACTTTGCTCTTTTCACATGCCTTTCTTGTTATGCCTGAATGACCCACACCCTTATTAGGGAGGGATATATTAGCCAGGACTGGAGCTATGATCTACATGAATATGGGAAACAAGTTACCCATTTGTTGTCCCCTACTTGAGGAGGGAATCAACCCGGAAGTCTGGGCATTGGAAGGACAATTTGGAAGGGCAAAAAATGCCCGTCTAGTTCAAATCAGTTTAAAAGATTCCAGCACTTTTCCTTATCAAACACAATATCCCTTAAAGCCTGAAGCTCATAAAAGATTACAGGATATCGTTAAACGTTTAAAAGCTCAAGGGTTAGTAAGGAAATGCAGCAGTCCTTGCAAAACCCCAATTCTAGGAGTACAAAAACTGAACAGTCAGTGGAGACTAGTGCAAGATCTTAGACTCATCAATGAGGCAGTAATTCCTCTATATCCAGTTGTACCCAACCCCTATACCCTGCTCTCTCAAATACCAGAGGAAGCAAAATGGTTCACAGTTCTAGACCTCAAGGGTGCCTTCTTCTGTATTCCCCTGCACTCTGACTCCCAGTTTCTCTTTGCCTTTGAGGATCCCACAGACCACATGTCCCAACTTAAGTGGACGGTCTTGCCCCAAGGATTTAGGAATAGCCCTCATCTGTTTGATCAGGCACTGGCCCAAAATCTAGGCCACTTCTCAAGTCCAGGAACTCTGGTCCTTCAGTATGTGGATGATTTACTTTTGGCTATGAGTTTGGAAGCCTCATGCCAGCAGGCTGCTCTAGATCTCTTGAACTGTCCAGCTAATCAAGGATACAAGGTGTTTATGTTGAAGGCCCAGATTTGCCTAAGGCAGGTCAAATATCTAGGCCTAATCTTAGCCAGAGGGACCAGAGCCCTCAGCAAGGAAGGAATACAGCCTATACTGGGTTATCCTCTCCCTGAGACATTAAAACAGTTGCAGGGGTTCCTTGGAATTACCAGCTTTTGCCGACTATGGATCCCCAGATACAGCGAGATAGCCAGGCCCCTCTGTACTCTAATCAAGGAAACCCAGAGGGCAAATACTCATTTAGTAGAATGGGAACCAGAGGCATTAACAGCCTTCAAAACCTTAAAGCAGGCCCTAGTACAAGCTCCAGCTTTAAGCCTTCTGACAGGACAAAACTTCTCTTTATATGTCATAGAGAGAGCAGGGATAGCTCTTGGAGTCCTTACTCAGATTTGTGGGACACCCTCACGACCAGTGGCATACCTGAGTAAGGAAATTGATGTAGTAGCAAAAGGCTGGCCTCACTGTTTAAGGGTAGTTGCAGTGGTGGCTGTCTTAGTGTCAGAGGCTATCAAGATAATACAAGGAAAGGATCTCACTCTCTGGACTACTCATGATGTAAATGGCATACTAGGTGCCAAAGGAAGTTTATGGCTATCAGACAACCACCTACTTAGATACCAGGTGCTTAGATACTCCTACTTAGATACTCCTTGAGGGACTGGTGCTTCAAATATGTATGTGTGTGGCCCTCAACCTTGCCACTTTTCTCCCAGAGGATGGGGAACCAATCAAGCATGACTGCCAACAAATTATAGTCCAGACTTATGCTGCCCGAGATGATCTCTTAGAAGTCCCCTTAGCTAATCCTGACCTTAACCTATATACTGATGGAAGTTCATTTGTGGAGGACGGGATATGAAGGGCAGGTTATGCCATAGTTAGTGATGTAATCATACTTGAAAGTAAGCCTTTTCCCCCAGGGACCAGTGCCCAGTTAGCAGAACTAGTGGCACTTACCCGAGGCTTAGGACTCAGAAAGGGAAAAAGAATAAATCTGTGTACAGATAACAAGTATGCTTATCTAATCCTACTTGCCCATGCTGCAATATGGAAAGAAAGGGAGCTCCTAACCTCTGGGGGAACCCCCATTAAATACCACAAGGAAATTATAGAGTTATTGCACACAATGCAAAAACCCAAGGAGGTGGAACTCTTACACTGCCAAAGCCATCAAAATGGGAGGAGAGGGGAGAACAGCAGTATGAGCAGCTCACAGAGGCAGCTGAAAGGAAAGAGACAGAAAGTCAAAGAGAAAGAGAGATGCAAGTAGTAAAGAAAAAACTGTACCCTATTCCTTTAAAAGCCAGGGTAAATTTCTGTCTACCAAGCCAAGGTATATTCTTCTTATGTGGAATGTCAACCTATATCTGCCTCCCCACTAACTGGACCGGCACCTGCACCTTAGTCTTTAACATTGCCCCTGGAAATCAGACCCTATCAGTGCCCCTCAAAGCTCAAGTCCATCAGCACAGATCCATACAACTAATACCCCCACTTATAGGGTTAGGAATGGCTACTGCTATAGGAACTGGAATAGCCAGCTTATCTACTTCATTATCCTACTACCACACATTCTCAAAGGATTTTTCAGACACTTTGCAAGAAATAAAATCTATTCTACAATCCCAAATAGAGTCTTTGGCAGCAGTGACTCTCCAAAACCACCAAGGCCTAGACCTCCTCACTGCTGAGAAAGGAGGACTCTGCACCTTCTTAGGGGAAGAGTGTTATTTTTACACTAACCAGTCAGGGATAGTATGAGATGCCACCTGGCATTTACAGGAAAGGCTTCTGAAATCAGACAATGCCTTTCAAACTCTTATACCAACCTCTGGAGTTGGGCAACATGGCTTCTCCCCTTTCTAGGTCCCGTGGCAGCCATCTTGCTGTTACTCACCTTTGGGCCCTGTATTTTTAACCTTCTTGTCAAATTTGTTTCCTCTAGAATTGAGGCCATCAAGCTACAGATGGTCTTAAAAATGGAACCCCAAATGAGTTCAACTAACAACTTCTACTGAGGACCCCTGGACCGTCCCCTGGAACTTTCACTGGCCTAGAGAGCTCCCCTCTGGAGGACTCTACAACTGCAGGGCCCCTTCATCACCCCTATCCAGCAGGAATTAGCTAGAGCAGTCTTCAGCCAAATTCCCAACAGCAGTTGGGGTGTCCTGTTTAGAGGGGGGATTTAGAGGTCACAACATGCTAGCAGCCCTTGCTCGCTCTCAGTGCCTCCTCAGCCTCAGTGTCCACTCTGGCCATGCTTGAGGAGCCCTTCAGCCCACCGCTGTACTGTGAGAGCCCCTCTCTGGGCTAGCTGAGGCCGGAGCTTCCTCCCTCTGCTTGCTGGGAGGTGTGAAGGGAGAGGCATGGGTGGGAACAGGCTGCATGTGGTGCTTGCAGGCCAGCACAAGTTCCAGTTGGGTGCAGGCTTGGCAGGCCCCACTGCCAGATCGGCCAGCCATCTCTGCCAGCCCCGGGCAGTGAGGGGCTTAGCACCGGGGCCAGCAGCTGCGGAGGGTGCGCCCAGTTTCCCAGTACTGCCAGCCTGCCCACACCATGCTCAAATTCTCACCAGGCCTCAGCCACCTCCCCTTTGGGCAGGGCTCGGCACCTACGGCCTGCCATGCCCTAGCCCCCCAGCTTCCCCTGTGGGCTCCCATGTGGCCCAAGCCTCCCCGACGGGCACTGTCCCCTGCTCCCTGGCGCCCAGTCCCATCGACTGCCCAAGGGCTGAGGAGTGTGGGCGTGCTGTCTGGGAATGGCAGGCAATTCTGCCCACGGCCCTGGAGCAGGATCCACTAGGCAAAGCCAGCTGGGCTCCTGAGTCAGATGGGGACCTGGAGAACTTTTATGTCTAGCTAAAGGATTGTAAATGCACCCATCAGCACCCTGTGTCTAGCTCAAGGTTTGTAAATGCACCAATCAGTGCTCTGTGTCTAGCTAATCTAGTGGGGACTTGGAGAACTTTTGTGTCTAGCTAAATGATTGTAAATGCACCAATCAGCACTCTGTGTGTAGCTCAGGGATTGTAAATGAACCAATCAGCACTCTGTATCTAGCTAAAGGTTTGTAAATGCACCAATAAGTGCTCTGTGTCTAGCTAATCTAGTGGGGACTTGGAGCACTTTTATGTCTAGCTAGAGGATTGTAAATGCACCAATCAGCACTCTGTGTTTAGCTCAGGGATTGTAAACGCACCAATCAGCACCCTGTCAAAATGGACCAATCAGCTCTCTGTAAAATGGGCCAATGAGCAGGATGTGGGTGAGGTCAGATAAGGGAATAAAAGCAGGCTGCCTGAGCCACCAGCAGCAACCCGGGTCCCCTTCCACCCTATGGAAGCTTTGTTCTTTCGCTCTTTGCAATAAATCTTCCTGCTGCTCACTCTTTGGGTCCGCACTGCCTTCATGAGCTGTAACATTCACCACAAAGGTCCGCAGCTTCACTCCTGAGGCCAGCGAGACCACAAACCCACCAGGAGTAATAAACAACTCCAGACAGGAGGAATGAACACCTGCAGGCCTGCCGCCTTGAGAGCTGTAACACTCACCACAAAGGTCTGCAGCTTCACTCCTGAAGCCAGCAAGATCACGAACCCACCAGAAGGAAGAAACTCTGAACACATCCGAACATCAGAAGGAACAAACTCCAGACACACCGTCTTTAAGAACTGTAACACTCACTGCAAGTGTCCGCGGCTTCATTCTTGAAGTCAGTGAAACCTAGAAACCACCAATTCTGGACACACTATTCTTAGACAACTTTTTGCCTTCTCCTATATTCATGACTCATGTTGAAACCTGCATATAGCAGAATACCCAGATTTTTTTTGGAAAATATTGGGAAGAAAAGGGAAATGTAGTTGTTTTCTGATTGATAAAGATCTTGCACTTCTGAACAACTGTTACCCACATTTATCACTACTAGCAAACTGTGTTAGGGTTCTTCACAGAGACAAAAACAGTTTATTAGGGAGGATTGGCTCACATAATTACATGACAAAGACCCAAAATAGGCTGGGGAAAGAGAGAAGCTGGTACTGGCTCAGACCAAGTCAGAAAGCCTCAAAACCAGGGAAGCTGACAGTGCAGCCTTCAGTCTGTGGCCAGAGGCCCGAGAGCTCCAGGAAGGCACTGATGCAAGTCACAGGGTTCAAAGGCCAAATGACCTGAAGTCCGATGTTCAAGGGCAGGAGAAGAGGAAGCAAGCATCCAACAAGGGAAGAAAGAGAGAGCCAGAAAACCCAGCAAGTAAGCTTATCCCTCTTCTTTCGCCTGATATTTTCCAGCTGTGCTGGTAGTCAGTTGGAATGTGTCCACACACATTGAGTGTAGGTCTTCCTCTCCCAGTTTGCTGACTCAGTCAGTCTCCTTTAGCAACACCCTCACAGACACACCCAGAAACAATACTTTACCAGGCATTTAGACATCCCTCAATCCAGACAAGTTGATACCTAATATTAACTATCATAATAACCAAACCAAACATGACATGGGAAGGATAAAGGGTCTTCCTACCATCTTTGAGGTTGTCAGTCCTGCTCTATGAAACCAACCTAGTATGTGAATTTAAACAATTTTACATTTCATACAATTGTATCAAAATCCTACAGAGTGTTTAAGTGATAGAAACAAGGCTTTGGTTTTTAGAACTATGAGTATTTGCCTTTCAAACGTTCACATATGCATTTAAAGGAAAATTGGAAAATAACGTTTTTGAGCTGCTGGCCATATGTTGTTATTTCTAACAAGCTAAATTTAAAATAGGTATAGAAATGAATTTCTATACCATTATCCAGTTTTCTTAATACCTTTTTATTGTCTAAATGTCAGAAGTGAGATAAAATAGAAAGTATTTTCATTAGTATTTATTTCAGTTGATGAAACATCTAACATTTTATTTGAAATTATAAAAATTATTTTTAAATCCCTCATTTTTCTGTATATATTATTTAGATAAATTGAAAAATATGAAAATATTTGAAGCGCAGATGTACTTTAAAATAATTGCACACTTTGGTAATATATGATTCAAAGGTAAGTTTTCACTGTAAAGCACAGAGGAGGATTTCATAAAATTGTAAATAAGTACCATTTATCTGGGTTAGATTTTGCAGATGCATATAGAGATATTTTATACTTATTGAAGTGTTATAACAATATTTTTTATTATTTATTTCCATATAGTCTTATAAAAACTATTTTTTCCTAATACAGAAACATTTTTACTATAAGTGCCAGAAAAAAATGAATATTAAATGTTTATGTATCTATCTTGCTCTCAAGTAGAGGTTTTGATAATTTTTTAAATGGCATATCAATATAATTCCTAAATTAATTTTTAGTAAGGATGATGGATTCTAGTAATGTACCATAAAGAACAGAGCAATTGAGCAATTAGATTAGTATGTAGATGGTAAAATACTCAAAGTTTTGCCATGCGTCATGAAGGCCTATCATTCTGTAGTGAGTTTTTAATGTAAATTCAGCTTCCATGTGGACCTCCATAAGGAATTGCTTCTTAGAATCACAGAATAGTGTAGAACATTTTAAATAATCTGCTATAATTTTCCATTTTGGAAAAAAATAACTAAATGCTGACACACTAAGAGCATACTTAAATCCACATTGGTATTTGTGGTAGAGTAAGGTATAAGACTCTGATAGTCTAGCTCCCACATATATATTTTTACAAGTGATAATGTTTTAGATTATTTATTATGCTACTTAAGATATATATGTTAGTATATATAGAAACACTTTGTGAAATGCATACATTGTCCTAATATGCCAATAAAATCTCTCTAGAATATATTTCAATGGATCATTGACTATTTATGAATCAGTGACTGGAATTATTAAAATTAATAAATGCAATGCAACTCTTTAAAAACATATACTCAGTAAAAACTTGATTAATAAAATATATAATATTCATAATATTCATTTATATTTATTTAACTCTACATGTATTATATTATTAATAACCTTCTAAAGTTGTTTTTAACATTTAGATAAGTAAAAGTGCTTTTATTCAAAGTTATCAATAAAATATACCCCAAATGCCTATGCATTTAATATTTATTAATCCTTTTGAAAAATGAAATATAAATAGTAATTCAAAAATTTCTAAATTTTCAGCAAAATTAATTTTTGAGATTAGCATGTTTAATATATATTTAAATATTTTTAATATATGTTATAACATGTAGTATAATTATAATAACAGTTTATAATGATAACTGAAGGATTTGACTTAGGAGAAATTACTAATTGTGATTATTAAGTGAATGAAATAGTTGGATTCATTTACTAGTCTATGTACTCACATCCTTGTTTTGTTTGGTAAGTTTTAGTTACAATGTCTATTTTATTTTGTTTTTCTAAAAGATGTGGTAGCCTTTAACAGAGTAGTATATGGTGGTTGTTTTTTTCAGGATGGCTTCCATGTTTCCGTGGATATGGAGACGTCTCATCTCAGCCAACAGCATAATGCAAAAGAAGACAGAGAGGAAGGGAGAGAGAGAGAGAGAGAGAGAGACAAAGCAAGGGAAAAAATACATTTTTAAGAGGAAGTAGTTATATAACAATGTGAATTATTTTCCAAGAGTATCTCATTGAGCATCACCTGAAATGCAGACATTTCTACTACAATTTGTAGATGCCGTGTGGTGGAATAAGTACTGCAACTGGAGTTAGAGGACCTGCTCCAGAAATACCTGTCATCTTGAGTGTAAATTTGGGCATCTCATGAATTATCCAGTCTCAGACTATTCATATTAAAATGCATATAATGGTACTGCATTTTTTTACCACAATCTTGTAATTATTGTGTGAAATCAAGGATATGAAAATACTTTATAAGATAAAATCTGGAACTGTGTTTACCATTAGAAGTTTTATAAATGTTAAAATTTATTCATCTTTCCGTAGATCTATTTAAGACATTTGTATATTCTTGGTCACTGAAAAAAAGAAGATAGTGTATGAAAATTTTCTTACTGGAAATATCTGGTTTGATGTTTGGAACATAAAGGCACATGGTATATTTAGTTATATGAAATTCCTGAATCATCTGGTTGTTTTGGTTATTTCCTTTAATAACCAAATAATTGTTATTTCCTTTAATAACAACATATATAAATCACATCAGCTAATACCTTACACATATTAGATACTCAATAAAATGTTGAAATCACACTAAATATCAGTCCCAACAGAAAAGCAGTTTTTAGTGCTTCTGCCAGTACTATCAGACTATAATTCAACATTTTATCTCTTTACTATATAAAGTACTTCTTCCTTAATTATTGTTTGCTCTTCATTTAAGACCCTGAATAAGAATTATGCAAGTGTGGTGAAGTGTAGAAGGGAATTTAAAAATGCCTTCAGTATTTTTTGTTTTCTTTACTACCAAACAAAAAGCAATACTAGGAGTTAGCTGGCATATGTAATACTTTGACACTTGTAATCACCCTTGTTCTCTAGCGCCAGTATTATTTGGTGAGGGTATTGCATTTTGTGATTTGGTAGGAAAATTAATTCTCTCGAACATCCTCAAACTTATATTTTTTTACCTGAAGTGTGAATTTAGATGGCTCTATGTTATGTTGTATCACAAAAAATTTAAGAAAACCAGCTGGACCCAAAACCTGCTTAGACTTTTTACTGAGTCTGTATTCTGTTGTTTACCAGATTATCACCACTTATAAATTCAGTTTATGCAAAACAGAAAGATCTTAAAATGTAAAGTAAAAAGACTTAATAGTCCCTACAATTTTCTCGGCGTTTGCATGAGAATCATATATGTTTCAGTGTTTAAGGAAATACAATTTATATTAAATAGGATGCATTCTTAACAATAAAGTTAATCAGTTAATTTTTGAAATAAAAATATCTAGTACTTGTGAAGTTCACATATGCTTTGATATCTAATAAAATAATATATTTTAAATGCAAATTGTTTTTGAAATAATTAAACATAAAATGAGATTTGGATCAAAAAATGCTTTCGGTTGGTAAAAAAAAAAATTTCATTATCATAATGTTCTTCAGTTATAAAAATCTTATAAGTGTGGGTGTTTTATTTACATCATCTTTTAGTTTTTGCTATTTCTGTATAGTTACTACATATCTGCCCCCCAGTGATGGAACTTGCTGGGCCATATTCTTGTCTCACAATTAGACACACACTTGACAATGTAAGTACCTATTGAAAAGCCATAGGATCATAGAATGTTGTGCTCAAAGGGACTTGTAAATTGATGCTGTTAAATTTTTTACTTGAATGAAAACATCATTGTTTCCATCACATAAGAGCAATGAAAATGTAATTGCCTAGTTGCCACTGAACAGGAGGATTAGAATTCACCTTTCTTATTGTTCTCCTTTTTATCCACCTTCTTATCCCCATCCTAGTGTGGTCTGAAATGCACCAATTCCAAGAACAAGCACTCTGTGGTAGATTTGATTTAGCTGAAGCTCAGAGAGATAAAGCACATGTTAATAGTCACACAGCTATTAGTGACAACCTTGATTGGAATTCAATTGCCTAGTGTCCAAATATATTATCCTTACTTCTTTATTGCATAACGTCAGCAACCAATGCTTTATTCTTGTAGACAGTATGTCACTTCTCAGCACACACTGGCCCCTATTTCAGGTTTCCAGATTTTGACTGTGTGGGGACATTGCAAGAAAGAAACAAAGTAGAAATGAAATATATAGTATATGGCAGAGTTGGTAATACATTTTCTAGAAAACCCCAATTTGCTGCACAGACCAGCGTTAGTAATAAGTTAAAATATAGAACCATCAGTGTATTTAAATGTCAACACAATTGTCTCTTTTCTATTTGGGCAATACAGTTGCATTCTGTTTCCCAGGTATCATGCTCTAGAACTTATCACTATATCCCCCAAACCATATTTCCCAAACTGAAATATCTTCTGTGACAGACACTGAATTGTTTCCTATTATGTATTTTTTAATCTTCCTTGGTTACAGTATACCTGATTTTTTTTTTCTTTTCAGAATGTTAATTGTTCAAGGAAAAAAATAACATTCTAGTATCTCTTAAAAATACATTTGGCCCTGCGACTTAGTTGTAGGCAAACAAAATGCTAATAGTACCTGTTAGGACTTCGGGGAAGTCTGGCTAAAGAGGGTAAGGAAAGCTGGGTCCTCTCTTCTTCTGTCCTCTCTTCTACTTGCACTTTCTATTTATCTTCGTAATATCATGTGTGTCTTTGTACAATCCGTTCTCAACACAGCAGCTATATTAACTGTTACAAATGTAAACCAAATGATCATCTCACTTCTCTGCTTAAACACTTTCAGTAGTTTTCAGTCACACTTAGGTTAAGATCCAAATTCTCTATCTTGGCAAATAAAACCCATGTGCTTTCCCCCTCTCTGTCTCTCTGAACCCTTATTAGTCTTTCATTGTCCTGGTTCACTAGGCTTTAGAACTTTTTCAGGTTCTCAAATGTGCCAAGATCCTTTCTACTCATTTTGCCCTGAATGATCTTCTTTTGATATCCATGGCTGGCTCTCTCTTGTGAAAGTCACCTCCTTAGAACTTTCCCTCTGCCCAATTTAAAAAACCACCCAATCACTCTTCTTTTGCACTGTTTTTATTCATTATGTAACGTGGTGTTCTCTATGGACAACAGTACTTCATTATGTGCTTATTCACTGTAACTAGTCACAAGAGCTACCTGAAATGTATAGTTATTCGCATGTATCTCCTACCAATGATATTAAAGTATAACTCCAACCTGGAGCCATATTCCATATCTGTTTCATTTTTAGTTGCCAATTTTTTAGTGATCAATTGTTTTACCACTTGAGTCATGTCCCAAAATCATTAGCAGCTGGTATAAGGCAAGAACATTCTGCTGCTTTATTTCAGTATTTTTCAATTACACTTAATTCACACTCATTTTCTTCACCCTCTTAGGAGCTCTTTTTAGTATATCAAATGAATGCCCTCCCAATACAGCTGGGAGGGCATTCATTTAATATACTAAAAAGAGCTCCTAAGAAAGTGAAGAAAATGCACTCCCTTTAAATTTAAAATATTTATTTATGTATTTATAAATATATATTTATTATATATTTTAAATGTTTTTATTTATATATTTAAATATTTATAAATACATAAATATATTTACATATTTATAAAATGTAAATATATATTTTTATATTTATAAATAGAAATATATACAAGATGTATTTATGTATTTATATTCATGTATATATTTATATGTATGAAACATATAACACATATATATCCTTTAACAAAAATAACATCATTTTATATGTTTGTTTAATTTACATAAATTCTATTATATTAAATATCTTTACATTTTCTATTTGTAATACTCAGAGCAATGCTGTGAGGTCTATCTGTATTACATTAAATAAATCCAATTAATTACTTCATTGTATTACATGGTATTCCATTGTAAGCAAATACCACTTTATACTTCACTTATCTAGAGATAAAAACTAATTTGTGTTTTTTTTATACCATCACATCTAAAATTTTATATCTCAAATTTTTTTCTGTAAGTCCTATACTGGACAAATTATAACTGAAAATGATGGATTTACAACATCAAAAATTAAAGATTTGTGTTCAATAAAGAACACTATGATAATAATGTGTTATTGGCTGGATAATGGACTGGAAAAAGATATTTGTAACATCCACAATCCATGAAGAAAGCAAAGGTATAACACATAAGAAATTTAAGCACCCCATAGAAAAAACATAAATGAGTACAGAATTCATGAGTAGGCAGCTGTTTTGCTTTAGTTTTGGCCTGTATTTTTTACCAAATGCATTGGCATTCCATTAGAAATGTGTCAAATATAACACACACTACACACCACACACACAAACACACACACACACCACTCAGTAATAACTGAGTGAATACATGGAAAAATTAATGTACACATGAAATATGGCATTATGTAGTCTCTTACATATACACAGTTATATGTAAATCTAGTCTCTTATTTAACTCAACATAAATATATATTAAAATTGGATCTATGTCATAAAAAAATTAACAAATAAAATCTTGGGCTAGAATATCATTCAGTTCCACATGATATCCACTTAAGAACATAAATTTTACACTTAAGGAGGCTGAGACAGGTGGACCACCTGAGGTCGGGAGTTCAAGACTAGCCTGACCAACATGGAGAAACCCCGTCTCTACTAAAAATACAAAATTAGCTGGGCGTGGTGGCCCATGCCTGTAATCCCAGCTACTCAGGAGGCTGAGGCAGGAGAATTGCTAGAATCTGAGAGGCGGAGGTTGCAGTGAGCCGAGATTGCGCCATTGCACTCCCCTTTGGGCAACAAGAGCGAAACTCCATCTCAAAATATACAAATTTTAATGTTTTATTAAAGAGAGCAAAATAGCTTTAAAATTTTTGTTTTCATAAAATGAAAACTTCTGTTCATTTATTTACCTCCTTCTTCATGATACATGATGCTGTGCATGATGACTCTTTCTACATATGCATAATGTTGTGCATATCTTTTGTTGTATATGATTTTGCAATTTAAAACTATTTGGTTTATATGCTATAATTTTTTATTTGTTATCTTTGCCTTGGCACTGTTAAAATGTGCATGTTTGATGTACAAAATGGACTCCCCATGTCTAACCGTGATGAGTTAAAATAGAACTAGTGTGCCAGAGTTGAGTGAGCAAGTGGTTACATACTCTGTGTTCTCAGAAAGGTGTTGTAAAAGTGTAAGAGGACTGCCCTTTCTATATAATCAAGCCAACCAGTTTCTGCTGTAGGTACTAAGAAAAATTACAGCAAAGCCTCTCTCATCATTTTAAAGAAACATCGACAGAGACTTCTGGTTTAGGACTTGTAAATCAACCAATCAGAGCTTACCTGAACCAACCAATCAGAGCTCACTGTACTGACCAAACAGGACACAGCTGTGGTGACCAGTTAGAACTAAGTAAGTTGGATTCTTTCATTTGCATAAACACACTTGATTGGGAACCTGGGTAAGAACTATTGCTTTAAAACCTAAACCCTCTCTTTGTTCTCTAAAATACACCTTCACTTTACTCTGAAGGCTGCATCTGTTTGCTAACTGTTCACTGGAATAAAGCCTCTTTCCTCCAAATTACTTTTCAGATAAATTTGATTCACTGTATTCATCATATTTTAATTTTATTACTTGATATTGCATTGTATATCCTAATCCTGTAAATGACTCTTTTAAAACAGAATATCCCTTTGTGTTTTACTCCGGCCTCTTGACCTTGGTTCTTTGAATTCATTACTACTTGATGCTCTTGAACAGATGACACAGAACATTCTGTGGTATATAATGGCACTTGGAATAAGTCTGTAAGTGACAGAGTTGATTGTAAGTTATTGGTCCTTCCCTCCCCTCCCAGCAATGTAGTTTGCTGTTAACAAAGCTAAACAAGCAAGTATCATACAGTAAAAGGGAAAGAAAAATAGCTTTATCTTCATCATGAAAATGCCAATTTTTAAGGGATTGTGTTTATATAAACAAAAGAGCTAAGACTTCTACAGGTAATAGAGCAGGCTGTTAACCTTGGGCTATATCTTTTGTGGTGCTAAAGAAAGTCAGTTTGTTTTAAAATTATTAAGTTCGTTTTTCTACCAACCTTCAAAAACAAGACTGCAGATAAACTTCATAGCATTTTTTGAAGAAAATATATCATGTCTTTAAAAAAGAATCTGGATTCTCAGGTCAGCAGTAAAGCAAAGAAAATTACCTCTGAAGCAAGACCCAAACGGAGGTCACTAGCAATTCTCCTATATGTTTCTCCTAAAATTAAACTACAAATACTATAAATAATCGGTCATGAAACTTGAAGGAAACATTGCTTACCTAACATGGTGACCCCTGAAGTGACTTTCTAGATCAAAGTGGCACTTTATTCTCAGAAATAGGACACAAACAGCATGCTTGTGTTCAAGGGGAAAAAATAAGGTACTTTAGTGTCAAATAGAACCAACTAAAATGAATGTAGCGGTGAGTTAAAACTGTTTCCTTAAAGCAGAGAGCCAGGTTTTCTTAGCTAATAGGTTTCTCTGCATACTGAAACTTTAGTATTAATTTTTAAAATTTATGTTTGCTCATTTTAAAAATAGGTATTAATATTCATAGCACAAAATTAAAAGTCTACAAAAAGGTATTATAGAAAATAAATTTCCTTACCATTTCTTCCCCAAGCCATGTAATTCCCTACCCAGAGGCCACTTTTAATACCACTTTTTGTGTATCCTTTCAGAGAGATTCTATCTCATATGTTAGAACAGGGATGCATGGCAGTACAAACTCAGCACTGTACAATCCAGGGACATCATTTATATGTATTAGGATGTAAACGATGCTTCTAAAGTGGTGCAATCGAGGAGCTCTTTTATCAACAGACACGTATTTACACACATTGTAGTATAAACTTCACCCTGTTCTGCATTCTTTTTTCCCTCCCCTTACAGTATTTCATAGTAATAGATATAAAGTTACCTCATTTTTAGTAGCTTTGTGGTGCTCCAGTTTATAGATATACTATAACTTATTTAACCATTTACTTTATTAATTGATTTAAATTGACAAAAATTGTCTATACTTATGGTATGCATAATGTTTTGAGATATGTATACATTGTGGAATGTCTAAATGAGGTTAATTAACGTATGCATTACCTCACATACTTTTCTTTTTTTGTGGTCAAAACACATAAAATCTACTCTCTTAACAATTTTCAATATATTGTTTCAAACTGTAGTCACTATAATATACAACAGATCTCTTGAACTTATTCCTCCTGTCTGACTGAAATTGTGTATCTTTTGACCATCTCCCAATCTTCATTCCCTCCAGCTTCTGATAACCACTATTCTGCTTTAACCAACTTTTAAGAAAGAGTTAGTGTTTTATATTTAAAGCAATGCTGCTATAAATTTCTTACACATATTTATTTCACATATGCTGGTATATCTACAGGACAAATTCTAGTAATTTGAATTTCTGTCTCAAAGAGTATATGTATTTTTGATATTGAAAGTTATTATCAAATTGTTTTAATAGAGCTTACCCAGTTATAGTCCTACTGACCAACAGTAGAACATTTTAATTTTTGATCCTCATTCTGATAGGCAAGAAAGTGTATTTCAATAAAGTTTTAAGTAAAAATTATAAACCAACACATCCAGGAAATTCAGCAATCCCTCAAGGCAAGAAAATAAAGATAGATGTATATGTATATAAAGAATTACATTTTAAATTATAACTTCACAATTTATAAAATTTTACCAAAAAAAGTAAATTATACATTTTAAATATATGCAATTAATTGTACATCAAATATATCTTCAGAAGGTGTTATATAAAAAAAGAGAATATTCTATAAAATGGTTATTGTAAATATGGCATTTTATGTAAGAGAACTTACTCTATTTGGCTGGTCTAGAATGGCCTTGTCTCTCATCTTTTACCTAGCTATCCTGGGCATGTTTTCATTTTTGAAGAAGCAAGAGTCACAATAGACCATGACATTTTCAAGTTCCTGCTTGCATCCTCATTTCTAACATTCTATGAGTTAAAGAAAGTTAAATGGATGGGAGAGACCATCCCACTCCCAATGGGAAGAGTGAAGAAAAGAATGACCAAAACTACCCGCTTATTTTGAGGTTGACATTAAAATACAAGTTTTACAACCATAATATGAAATGGGAGAATATGTTTATGTGGAAGTCTAATATTTAATTCATATTAATTTAAAATCATGGTGACATGATATATAGTTATAAATCGAGTATACAATTTTTAGTCCATGGAACTACAAATTGAAAAAACAATTACTCCATCCAATCTAAATAAGAAACAAAATTTCAATTTGTATTTTTTCTCCTAGAAAAATCAAATGTTTAAGACTATGTCCTTTTCTGTAAAACATCTGTTGATTTCTTTGGACATTTTTCTGTTGAGATGTTTTACCTTTTACTCACTGAATTACTTTGCAAACAAATTTATCTAATTCCTTAGATAAGGATAACAGCCTTTTATCTAGGAGTTTCAAGCATTTTATTTTTCTTTGTATTATTTTAATTTTGACATTGTGGGGTTGTTTTCTGAAATGTTTTAATCTTTTGAAGTCTTATTTTATAGCTTTTGATGGGTTTTGGATTTGAGTCAAATGCAGAGAGGTATTCTCTAAGTTGAGAATATAAAGAAAATATCTCAACTGGTTTCAAACATTTTTATGACATTTTTGAGTTTATTTTCTTCATTCTGACTTTTTTAGTAAGATCTGTTGTAAGTATCCAGTTTTACTATTTTTTTGTATCTCTACTTGTCCCTGAAATTTATTGAATTATATATCTTTTCCTGACATTAATGAGATGCTTTTAATTATACATTACTTTTAGTACATTTGAAACTATTTTCAGGCTTTTTTATTGACATTTTTCAGTATTCTTGTGCCGTATAAAAATATTATCATGAATTTGCAGTTTAGTATATGGTGACAACCGTTCTTACTACCACTTTCTTTTCAGAAAGGTCTTTTTTCTCCTTTTTTAAAATTTTTTCAAATGAATTTTGTAACTAACTTCCTTCCCTACTTCCCCCAACTCAGTTGTTTTGCTGTTGTTGTTGTTTGGTATTTTTATTGAGGTGGAGTTTCACTCTTGTTGCCCAGGCTGGAGTGCAATGGCACAATCTCAGCTCACTGCAACATACGCCTCCTGGGTTCAAGCGATTCTCCTGCCTCAGCCTCCCAAGTAGCTGGGATTACAGGCATGGGCCACCACGCCCAGCTAATTTTGTATTTTTAGTAGAGACAGGGTTTCTCCATGTTGGTCAGGCTGGTCTCGAACTCTCAACCTCAGGTGATCCGCCAGCCTCGGCCTCCATAAGTGCTAGGATTACAAGCATGAGCCCGTGAGCCACCACGCCCAGCCTCAATTTTTTAAATAAGGCAATGATCATTCATAGAACAAGATAGCAGAAGAGAAATCATTATGATGTTAACACTTTGTATTCAGATGTTCTTCTATGTGCCCCAGCAGCATTTCAAACAAATCCTTATATACACCATCCACATTTCTTACAAAGTTTATTTCTGATTATTTTTGCTACTTTAATACCCATTTTTATTATTCAAAGAATAGTGCATCAAATTTTGTGTACAAGACACTGTTCTAGGCAACAGGTGAGATTTTAGAAGATAGTCCTCTGATAACCAATGCTTCTGCTCTCTTTAGTGTACCACACAACACTATCATTTCCATGCTAAGAAAAGCAAATATAATTCTTTCCATATTTATGGTTTTTAGGAAGTAACGATTAAGTCGTTTTTTAAAGTTATGGTTGTTAATGGAGCCCTAGTAAATAGACTTCTTCCCTAGTAAGCATAACTCTAGTAACAATGAGTTAAAAAGAAATTTCCTAGAGCAGAGAGACAAACAAGGTTAGACGGAAAAACACACAAAAAGAAGGAAAAGGATAACTATCCAGTGAAATTTTGTCTTTATTTTTTTAATGTGCACAGAAAAAAAATTTAGAATAAAAAAGTACAGTTTTTTCCGCAATTCTATATACAAAATAATTATATAATTAGAATACTTAATCATTCCAGCTCAAATCCAGGAAGCAAGAACATATACCTTCCTAAAAATGCAATTTAGGTTCAATAAAGCATATTGACCACTTAATGATGTGCTAAGTACATATGCTTCAAATACTCATAGTGACTCATTTCAAAAATATTTTTTAAACTATTAGTTTAGACAACTGAGAATCAAGGTGATTAAGTAATCTGAGGACATCATACTAAGGGTCTCTGAACTAGAACTGCCACACCTAGATTTTGTTATATTCTAATATACTTGATTTACCATATATTTATACATCTATTTATCCGTTCATTTATTTTGTGGGTTTTTTTGCATGTATATCAGTACATGTTATGCAAAATACTTCATTGTGCATAATTCTATTAGAAATCACTATTTGCACATGCCTTTTTCTTTTGAACATATGATGAAATAACTAGATAATGTGATGAACAAGATCCTAACCTCCAGTCAAATATGAAACATCGCCATCACCCCAGAAAGCTACCTCATTTTCCTTTGCAGTCGGTCCCTACTCCTAGAGGCAATCACCATCTGATTTTTCTCTACCATGTATTAGCTTTGCCTGATCTAGAATTTCACATGAATGAAAGCATACACTATTTAGTCCGTTCCATAGAGCTTTTTCAATCAGTGTTAAGACTTTTCAAGATTCATGTATGTTGTGTGTGTTTCCATAGATCTTCCTTCTTGTTGAATATTTATTATTTTTAGGGTGTGTATATATATATATATGTGTGTGTGTGTGTGTGTGTGTATCCATATATATATACACATCACCATTTATTTGTTCTTCTGTAGATGAACACCTGGAATGTTTCCAGTTTTTATTATAATTAGAGCTGCTAGGAACAATTTTGCAAACTTTTTGAAGATAGATAGTCTGACTGCTCACTACCTGTACAAGAAAGCCAAAGTAGCAAGAGCAAGGTATGATAAAAAGAGTGAATTTTTAAATCTGTTGCCAGCAAAGGGTAATATGACTGGAATCCTTTCCAAAAATTTCCACTTTCCAATTTCTGGAGAGTGGGCAGGAGTTTAAGGAGAGGGGCTTGGAATACAGGAGAGGCCAGGGGGCTACGAGGTGCTGGCTATGTGACTTGTTCTTATGGCTTATCTTGAATTATTGTTTTATCTGGTGAAGGGACTGCATCATCTTGGACCCAACCAGGTTACAAATCAACTGCAGTCAATTTTGCAGTCGATCCCTAGCCAGAGGTGAACTTTGGCTTTGAAGTAATCTTCTACTAGGGAGAGAATTCTCCGGGTGTCTGGTTCATGTCAGGATTTGGCCCCTGAAGCTTCTAAGGAAATATATGACCAGATAAGTGAGCATAGTTTGAGCCTAACAAGCATCCAGGTAAATAAATGTGTATAAAGCATGGAAGCATAAGGTGGGAAAAGGAATGCAGCGAAGTTTTAAAACACCTGGGAAGGCTATATTTCCAGACAGAAGAAAATACACGTGTAGTTTGTCTCAAAGCTACATCTTGAGGCTAGGGAGAAAGGAGGAAAGATCAAGTATTAAAACACGGCTGGAAGCTAAGCTGCTCTGTTACAATTGGTCATAGTGTAGTCATAAAAGATTATACCGTGTTACACTCCCACCAACATGGATCAGAGAAAACCCAAAGTAGTACAGTCTAGAGTAACAATTATAACTGCCATCCTGTGTGTATATTTTGCAAGTCCGCATGTCCAAACCCATTCTTGTTGTTCAGTTTGTTATTCCCACATTTCAATTTTCTCACAAAAGAAATCCTGTGCCGGGTGCGGTGGCTCACGCCTGTAATCCCAGCACTTTGGGAGGCCGAGGAGGGCAGATCACGAGGTCAGGAGATCCAGACCATCCTGGCTAACACGATGAAACCCCGTCTCTACTAAAAATACAAAATTAGCCGGGCGTGGTGGCGGGCGCCTGTAGTCCCAGCTACTCGGGAGGATGAGGCAGGAGAATGGCGTGAACCCAGGGAGGAGGAGCTTGCAGTGAGCTGAGATCGCGCCACTGCACTCTAACCTGGGACACAGAGCGAGACTCCCTCTAAAAAAAAAAAAAAAAGAAATCCTGTGAGCCTAAGTCCTAAGGCTGGAAAGCCCCCAAAGAGAAAACTACTGCTTGATGTTTCTTGCCCATTGCTTCTCAATAGGTTGCAGTTTTGTTCCCCAGAGGACATTTAACAAGACCCGAGAAAATTTTTGACTGTAATAATTTGGGACAAAGTGCTGCTAGCATCTGGTGAGTGGAGACCATAGATACTGCTAAACATCCTGCTATGCATAGAATAGCTTCTGAAAATGTGAATAGTACAGTCTGAAAAATCCCACTTTACTGTGAAGATTATTTCTTCCTAGATTTCTGTCTTAACATGCCCTTTTCTCAGAAAGAATGACTTTAAAAACATTGACTGTTTCAGGAAATCGTCCCCTCCCCACCACACATACCATCATACATTGGAGGAAATTAGGATTTCGTTTCATTCTTTGGTCCCCAGGGAACTAATTATTTCAGAAACAGTTCAACATCTGTACTTTGGGGGTCCTGAATTAATACCAATAATTGTATTTAGTTCTTTTTTTTTAATGTTTTCAATCATGAAATAAAGAATGTGCCCTTTGAATTCTCTGTAGCTCCCTTTGTTTTAGCTCTTCTTGTACTGGAAACAATTGCTCATAACGTTTAGAGCACACTGTTTCCCCAATTCAGCTTTCAAAATGAAAGAATTGGGTACAATAATAGAAAGATATTGACAAAACTAAGAAAACAGTACTGAAGTTTTAAATTTGTATTATTTACTCCATTTAAATAGGGACTGCATAGATTTTTTTCCCCAAAGCAAGTAAATCTGGTTATAATCCTTTATGTAGAGCAATCAAGTATTTTTTATCAGAAAAAAAAAGATAAGTGCATTCCAAGTTGAGTTTTGGTATCCTTGCTCTTTAGGACTTCAAACTGCCCGATAATATGTGCTAATTCCTGATCCAATTCAATTTTGTCAATCTGTCTTTGGTTGGTGGGAAAGGTGTTTTGACTAGAAAACAGAAAATAGGTGTACCAGCCATACCCTGCTGTCTAACAAACATTGTGATTCTCCATGGTTGGTACTCTAGGAAAACAAACAGGATATCTCTGCAAAAATGAACTTGCAACTAAGAAATTGGATACTGAATTCTTTCCATCAGAGAAATTAATATGGCATATAACAGCCCAATGCCCTATCCTTTTAGCTGAAACTCTCTCTCTCTAGTTTACTTAAAAATCAACCACTTAGGCAGTTAGGTTCTGTTAAATACTCTGTTAAGAGTGGAGAATAAAACTTTTAGGGGCTGTAAATTTAAAATCTCTTCTTAATCCCTAATTTTGACTTCTGGTGTTTATGAAAATGGCTTCACAAAACTAATTTCAGCCTTCTCTGTAGCTCTGCTGTTTCACTTCCAGTTTGATAACTTGATTCCAGCTGTTTATCTTGATTTACTTGTTTATTTGATAATTTGCTTTGGAATTTCGAACCCTAGTGCATGACCTGTTTTCACTTAACCACAACTAAGCTGTAAGTGACTAGCAACTTTCTCCTAAATTGCTATTTTTATTCTAAGATCAAGATTCTTTTAGTGCATAGGTTGCTGATGTTACTTTACAACAGCATTGATTACATATAAGGCAAATATAGATAAATGTGTGTGTTAATAAATGTATCATTTTTTATCTCATAAGAGTTAGAAGTAAGATTATTGGTTTTAGGTACTGTCAATTTTATATTCAACCTAGTTTTTAATTTGCTAGGTCCTTCTTTGTTTTCTTATGATTTACAATCAATTAAGAAATATTGACATAAAAATTGATAATGAATGTGAAAAGAAGTACAGCTTTTTCCACTTAAAGTGTTTTTTTTCTAAAATTTTGCATTAGAAAGGAATTTGACATTACTCATTGCATGTTGCTAGCATCGTTGGAGGAAGGCAGCTTGATTAACAAATCTCACTCTCCACTTGTAATTTATAATCTGACAAAAGAGTCAGTGAAAATTAAAAGAAGTTTTTACAGTAGATTGCCTTTTACAAAACAAAGGACAATACTTTCCACAGGAAGGATGATAACTCAAGACGCCAAGTATTTTTAGCAACAGGTAACTAACATGAGACTTTTCTCCCTGGAGCAAGATAGATTCCTGACCAGATAGGATAGCAATGAACTTCAGATAGAAGACTCAAGGGAATCTAAAATTAACTGCATATAATTTTCACACCTGAACTCAATCTTAGCAATTAATTAGTAAAACACAGAAGACCTTTAACAAAGGATATTAGCAAAGGAATCTAAGAGAGAAATAACGAATATTTATTTGTAGTCTTTTATACCTATTGTTTGCATTCTAAAATTGCACTCATAAAATAAATCCAATATATTTAATGTTAAATGATTAGTAATTCACTATGTGGGAACATGAAGTAAAGGTGCAATGTATGTTTTGTACATTGTTTCTATTCATGGCAACATATTCACAAAATAAATAATAAGCATTTCAAAAAACACGTAATAATAATTATTATGAATAACTATTGTTGATTGCTTACTTCACACCTGGGATTGTTCTAAATGCTTCACATGTATTTATTTACTATTATTGTATTGCTATCTCTTTAGGTGTAATATTTGTTTTATGAAACTGGGTGATCTGATATTAGGTGTATATATACTTAAGATTGTTATAATCTCTTATTGAATTGATCCCTTTATCACTGTAGAATGACTTTTTTTTACTTGCTGTTAATTTGAAGTCTGTTTTATCTAATACAACTATAGCCACTCCTGCTTGCTTTTGATTTGCGTTTGTATGGAATATCTTTTTTCATCTCTTACCTTCAGTCTGTAAGTTTCTTTACTAGGAAGGTCTGCCTTTTTAAAGCAGCATATAGTTAGTTCAGGTTTTTAATCCATTCCATCTCTTAATATATTTTTAGTTGATCATTTAAGCTGTCTATGCTCAAGGTTAATCTTGACATGTGAGGTTTTGTTTATGTCATAATGTTAATTTTTATCTAGTTGTCTTGTAGACTCTTTGTTTCATTTTTTTGTATGTTTGTCTTTGAGTTTTGGTAGAGTTCTGTCATGATATCATTTTATTTGTTTTTTATCCTCATTTGTGTAATTGTTTTATAAGACCTATTTGTTTTGTACTTTGTGTGTTTTTATAATGGCAAATATTGTCATTTTGTTTCCATGTTAGAACTCCTTTGATCATCTTGTAAGACCAGTCTAGTGGTGATAAATTTCCTAAGTGTTCTCTTTGGGACTTTCTGTCTCCTTCATTTCTGAAGCTTATTATGATAAGAACAAGCTTATTGCTATAAGAGAAGAATAACCATGCCAACCATGAACTTATGATGAGATAAGTTATAGTTACCAGGTATTACAATAAGAATAAATTCATGGTTGGCAGGGATTTTTACTTTAAGTGCTTTGAAGATAATATTCTGAACTCTTCTGGCTTGTAAGGTTTCTGCTTAGAAGTCCATTGTTAATCTGATGGGGGCTTGTTTTTTTCTAATAGGTGACTAGATGCTTTTCTCTTGCTTGACTAGATGCTTTTCTCTTGCTGATATTTAGATTTTTTTTTCTTCATCTTGTTTTATACAGTCTGGTGACTATATATTATGGTGAAGCCTTTCTTGCAATGTATTTATCTGGGGTGTGTTTTTTGGGGGCCCTTGTATCTGGGTGCCAAATATCTTGCTAGACTCAGGAAGTTATCATCAACTATGTTCTTAAATAGATTTTGTAAGCCTTTTGATTTTTCTTCTTCCTCAGGAATGTCAATAATTTGCAATTACAGTCACTTTATATTGTTCCATAGTTTCTGAGGGCATTGGTTTTTTTTAATTTTTTATTTTAGTTTGATTGAATTAATTCAAAAGATTTGTCTTCAAGTTCTGAGATTCTCTCTTCTACTTGATCTAGTCTATTATGGAAGCTTTCAACTGTAATTTGTAAGTCCTTCAATACATTTTTTATTTCCAAAAGTTCTGTATGCTTTCCTTTCAACATCTATTTTCTTAGTAAACTTCCCATTCATATTCTGAATTGGTGTTCTCATTTCTTTGTATTGGCTTTCAGATTTCTCTTGCATCTCATTGAATTTCTTTAAAATCAATATTTTGAACTCTTCATCTGGCATTTCTAAGATTTCTTTTTTGGTTAGGATCTACTGCTAGTGTACTATTGTGTTCCTTTTGGAGTGTCATAACCCATTGCTTTTTTATATGTCCAGTATTATTCTGCTGAATTATTTGCATCTGGAGAAAGTCTCTTCTTTTAATTTTTGCATTTGTTTTTGTTGGGGCAGGTCTTCTGCTTTCTATTTTCTCCTTGAGTCACAGCCTTGAGGCTGTGACTGTGATGTGTGTTGAGTAAGGCTGTTTGGCTTTGCTTCTTAATACGTTTAATGGAGAAGACTGTATAATTTTGTTACTTATAAATAGCCTTTGTGTGGTGACTTGGCATGCCATTTAGCTGAATGGGTTCTCTCCCTCCTTGGTAGCCAAGTTACTATGGGTAATAATGGTAGCAGAGGTATCAGGAAGCTTGTCTATTTCTTGAGCACTGTGCACTAGTGTCAACAGATGTAGTAATGAATTTTGTCAGTGGACCTCCAAGCCAGTAGGTAGAGCTTGGATATGACAGCCAGATGCAGTGGTAGCAGTATGGTTTATACTTAATCTTTGTTAACGAATAGAAGTACACATGCCTCAGGTGATTAATTGGGCTGTGAAACTCTCAGTTGTCTGGAACATATGCTCTGTATCTAAGGTAGGGGGTGGAGCAAAGATGGTAATGGCTGGGTTGAGCAAGACTTCCCTTGGACCCCAATGATAGGTGCAAGTGTTGGCCCTGACAGGGGTCAGGGAGTAGATCTCAGGCCGCTGGAGAAATGCCCCAGTGAGGAGGAAAACAACAATCACTGTTGTGCCAAAGTTCCAGCCTGGGTAAAGAAGGGCAGTCCTAGCTTCACAGCCAAGCAAGAGGAAGTGAGATCCACTTTGCTCTCATGCTCCAGACCCAGGGGATTGCCCCCAGTGGCCCAACTCAGGCAGCAGGTGACAGTCAGCCAAGTCACATGCAGTTTGCCTTCCATCCGTGAAACTGCCCCAGGTTGAAACCACGCCTCCCAGGCAAATCTCCTCCCACTCTAATCCCAGGAAGGAAGGTGCCCAACTCCAGCACAGCTGGTCTGTGCCCATTCTACACTTGCTTCCCAGTTCTGGCCATGGAGGCCCCTCAGCTGCTTGATCGAGTCCAGATTGCCAGTCCCTTTCCTGAGACTCTCAAACCAGTGGCTGCCACCCTGGAGAGCTGACAGGCTCCCGGGCAGCCTGATATGTACTAGGATGAGAAATGGTTTCCTTCTCTCAGTGCCTATGTCTGGAAGTATACGTAGGACTCATCCCAACACTCTTCCTTCTCAGTTTCTCTGCTACTCCTCAAGTTACATCCAGGGCTTAGGAGTATCAATGAGCTTCCCTATGGCCTGGAATTCATGCTGCTCAGTGGAAAGTTCGATCACAGAGGGACACTCACTCACTCACTCCTGTACTGGGGCTTTACTGACAGTTCTCAGCCAGGCCCTTCCATGCAGCCTGCCTGTGCATCTTCTTTTCTCCATAATCTGAAATGTCCTTTGCTTCCGTTGAATTCCTCTGCTCTTTATTGGATAAAAGTTCACATTGTGAATCTCTACACACCACTTTGATTCTTCCAAGTGGGTGAGGGATACTAAAAAGGCTCTGGTTTGCCTTATTGGAAATTAACAATTTTAAGCAGTAGATATGTTTTATAGTTGAGACTATTTTTAATATAATGAAAAATTAAAATAGTCATCCAGAGTAATTTTATATTAAAAATGCCAAAGCACAGTTTATTAATATTGCAACTGCCTTATGTGATTTCTTTTTTAATCAAATTTTACCTTTTTAGTGAAAAGATCCTCAGTTGTCTTCTGCCTATTTATATCAAGGATCAAGGACTTTCCAACTGTCCTCTCTGGAGAGACATATATGCTGGAGGAAGAAGAGCAGGAGGGACAAGCTAAATGAAAGTTAGAATTACTCCGCCTGCAGTTCACTGTTCTTGATTTTATGATTACCACCAACTAAGAAAGCAAAAATCAGAAAGAAACATACATTATAAATTATTAACATTATACTAACCGATAAGGATTTTGTTGTATTCACCTCGAACTATTCCAGCATTTCCTTAAAGTAGGTTTTTCAGGGTTTTAATTCTCTTTTCAGATCTTCTTAAGCAGCTCACTTTGCAAATATGAGCTACTGACTCAATATTCCCTTATCATTTTAAAAAGTAAATATTTTATGCAAAAACAAAGATAAACACCAATATAACAAACACTTGTATCAACCATAGAGTTTAATAACCAAAACATTGTAGATATAACTGAAGCTTCTTTTTTACTTAATTGATCTCAGTCCCCACAATGATTCCAGAGATAACTACTATTCCAAATTTAGTGTCTATAATTCCTACTATGTGTTAATTTAAAATATATGTATAAATATAAAGAATATATGGTATTATACAAATATATATGGTATTATTGTGCATGCTTACAAACTCCACGTAAAGGGAAATCTGATGTATATGCCTTTTTACCTCCGACATTTTCATGTAATGTCATTGTGTTTTAAGATCTTTTTCATTTTACCAATAATGTTAGTTTAATTATCTTCTAGATTACATATAGGAATATACTTCAATACAAACATTTTTATGGTAGAATTTCTCTACGGTATATATCTAATAGTATACTTTCTGGGTTATAGGATAGATTCAAGATTCATATTAATACTTATTACTGAATTGTTCCCCCAAATGGTTGTTTCCCTGTATTTATTTTCACTCTGTCAGCAATATTCCTCTACATCAAATCTGAAATTTTATTTACATTAGTAAACTTTTATTTTTGGTTTGAAGTGAGTAATATAAAATGATATCCTTTTATCACTTTAATGTGTATCATCTATTAGACTACTTAGCTTTTATGTAGCTTCAAACATGTATTGTCTATTGCAACTCCCCCTATAAGTTGCTTGTTGTTATGGGTTGTCCTTTTTTCCTGTTTGGATTTTAATTAATTTTTATAACTTAATTATTTATTTTAGAAAATAACCCTTATTTCTGAGATATTTTTATCTGTAAATGTACATATGTAACTATCAATATACCCATCTATGAATAACTTCATTAAATGTAACTATTATTTCACAAATCTGTTACTTTTCACTTTTTTTGGGCATGGATGGGGTGGAGCCAGTCTTGCTCTGTCACCCAGGCTGGTGTGCAGTGGCACGTTCTCCCTCACTGCAACCTGCACCTCCCAGGTTCAAGCAGCTCTCCTGCCTCAGCCTCCTGAGTAGCTGGGATTATAGGCATGCACCACCACACCAGCTAATTTTCGTATTTTTAGTAGAGGCGGGGTTTCATCATGTTGACCAGGCTGGTCTCAAACTCCTGACCTCAGGTGACTCATCCACCTCGGCCTCCCAGAGTGCTGGGATTACAAGCATAAGCCGCGGTACCTACTCACTTTTCACATTGTATTTGGTGTTTATATTTTATATTTCACATTGTATTTGGTGTTTATATTTTAATGTACTGTTACTGTCTTCAAAGCCTCTTTATGCAGATAGTGTATCTGATATAATTTTCAGGTATTTCGTATTCTAAGGATACCCGTGTTTTGACAATGATTAAAATATTAATGTGAATTAAATAAAACTCCTATTATTTCAGGATTTGGACATCAATCATTGCTCCATTTCTTCTCGAGCAACAAACTCCATAGTAGCTCCCAGGGCACTTTGTTTGTTATTTCATTTATTCATTCACCAAACATATGGGGAGAAACTTAAGAAGAGGGGTCAGAGAGAAGCAAAAGATAAATTTAGTGACTTACAAATTCATTTGCTATGACATATTTTAACTTGAATTATAGAGTCAAAATGATAGCATTATTATTACTGGTGGTATAGATGGGTATTATTTGGAGCCATTGAAAACAACATCCCAGTGGCTCACACTTGTAATCTCAGCACTTTGGGAAGCTGAGGCAGGAGGATTGCTTGAGCTCAGGAGTTCAAGACCAGTCTGGACAACAAAGTGAGACCTCATTTCTACAAAAATATAATAACAATCAAAAACTTAGCTGCATGTGGTGGCACATGCCTGTTGTTTCAGCTACACAGGAGGCTTAGGCAGGAGGATCTCTTGAGCCCATGAGGTCAAGGCTGCAATGAGCTGTGATCATGCCACTGAACTCCAGCCTGAATGACAAAATGAGACACTATCAAAAAAAAAAAAATCCCCCCGAGTATGCCTTTTATTCATTATTTCCGAAGATACTTGTTAGCTTAATACAAGGTAACGAGAGCTTGGGGCACTCTGTGGAATGATAGTAAAAACTAACTGTCCATCTGCATGGGTGGGGAGTTTGAGAGGAAATTACTGAACATCACCTCAGAACACAGACACTCCAACAACTTTTTGCAGGTTTACTCTTTTCAAACACAATCTTTAAGGCTGACAATACCTGAATATAATTTTTTTCACTTAAAAATTAAATCTACTTGCATAAATAGGCTGAAAGTGTTCAATTATACTTTATGATTTAACTTTTATTGTGAAGGTTTTTTATGAGGAACAAATATTATTTCCCAGCTAGACTGTAATGAAGGAAAAAAGAAAGTTGAAGACCAGACTGATCCAACCTCAATATTTTATTTGAATATTTAGCTAAATAAGACCTATTTTGATGTTTCAAATATAACTATTACTAGCTATAAAAACATTTATGTTCATGCAGCAATTTGATACTTAGAACTAGAGTATGATGATAAGTGCTTAGCATCCAAGTCATTATTATTTTCAATGATTTTTTTTCTTGCCTATATTCAAAAGCATTTTCTAATCACAAGTAAATGTTTTGCAACAAATGCAGATGATTTTAAATTACTCTTAAAAGTTGGGCCTTCAAACTCTGGTTCTTACTTTTCTAACTGTGGGTCTCCTTCTATGGTCTTGTCTTTTGTAAAAAAAATTGTGAGCTCACACAACAGAATTAGTGAAATTTAAATGAAATGTTTTTGTTTTGTGTTCATATGTATACATAATTCATTTTATGTAACAACTTTAACTTGCAATTTAGCTTATTTGAAATCTTTAAAAAGAATTATAGAAATGTTAATTTAAAATTGTTTAGAACATCTATCAAAAAAGGAAGTAAATAATTTATAGGTGGTTTTATCTATAAATATTATGCAGTCTAGGGAAAGATATGTTTGCAATTAAAGGGAATGCAAGTATCTTTCAAACATGAGTGAATCTAAGTTATTCATAAGAACATAATGTGTTTGAATTTAGGTGGATTTAATTTACTTCTCTTATTGTTAATATAATTAAAACATAAAATGAAATTCTTCTGACGAAAATAATGAATCATTTCTACTTATATAATTTTACATTAAGATTTTACATCAAGATTTTACATCACATTACAATTTTACATGAAGAACAATATCCAGTGTGAACTATGCATACAAGATGTTCAGTAGTGGGTTTTGACTAAAATACAGTGTGACAAATTTATCTGGATTACAGGAAACCAATTAAATTATAAAAATAAAATATTTTAAAATAAATTTCGAACCTAAGGATCTCTTCTGGCTGGTTCTGATTCAAATTCTGGCAATTTGAGTTGATGCTACAACAGCACCAATCAATACAGATAGATATTTTTGATTTAGCATTTAAACCATCCACATAGAGCATAACGCAGAGTGTATTAAAAAGGCCCTCCTGGAGAGCTTCAGTTATACAAATGACTTACTTTAAAATGCACTGCTCTCTTCAAGGGACTTTTATCATGTGTACATACGAGTTACCATACTCTTGTATTTCATATGCCTGCTTCTCTATTTGACTGTAACCTCTTTGAGGACCTTCTGAGTCCATCAATGAATAATCTTTGTTTCTCAAGAAACCAGCTGTGTCTGGCAAAAAATTACCAGTAGGACTAAACTGAAGCACATCGTAGTAAGCGAGGCTACTATAGTGGTAGATGTCTTCAGAGTTTTCAGGAAAAGATGAATCTGAAGAAAGAGGATGATTTATTGAGTTTTATATGAGGGGGAAATATCAGAAAGAGAAAGTCCAGGAATACTTCGTAAAAATCTCATAATTAAGTCAGGAATTTGAGGGAATGAAGCAATACTAAGATATTAGAAAACATTATTTGAGTTTATAACATTCTCATATTTGTTATTTATATTCTCTATCGGTTTCTCTGTAGTGATTGGGGAAAAACCCCAAAAACCTAAAAGCCAAACATGACTTGTGCTCATTTGTAAAGAAAGCAAATATGTATGGCACGGAGTTAGCATACTTAACATTAGACATCTTCAAACTGTGTGCCACAGAAGACCCTAAGTGGCATCTGAGAAGCCGCTGAAGTCCAAAAATACTGTCTTAAGCTTTTCATCCAACCTGCTTAATAAGTTTTAATTACTGAACATCAGAGTTAAATTTCATTTGAAGAAAGCATTCCCTATCTTCAAATTTTGAAATCCACTATGCTTAATGAAAGCAAGTAATTTTGTTTACTTAAAAAAATTTACTCTTGGTATGCTTTTTCTCTTGTCATGTGTTCTACAGAACTCAATATTATACATGCATACACACACACACATACTATATATATATGTGTGTTTATGTAAAGGTCATTTGACACTCTCCCTGTTGAGTTTAAGAAAAGAATTGCAAATAAATGTCATTATTATTGTGATATAAAATCTCAATTTTCTTAAAGCAAATTATATCTGCAATCCCAAGTGTATTGTTTAATTATATCTTGTAAGACTATTTTCTTCAGATTTTTCGTATACTGAAATAATAAGAAGCTCATTTCAGTTGTACCAAATCACCTAGTAATTGTCAAATGCAACCATCTTCATTTGTGAACTGCTGTGGGGGATGTAATCAAGGAGCATATATAATTAGATTATGTAGATCTATGTAGGTTTTTCTTATAAAAATGACTTTCCTCTCATGGTAAATTTTACATTTAACCTAAGGAAACAATAAGAATAAAATAATGCATCGTTATCAGTATCCTCAGAGAAAGTTGGTATCAGCTTTGAAAAAGGTTCACATATCACTGATAATCTGCCAGAGTGATGAACAAATGTTTCCACTCTTAACAGTATTAAACATATTTATGCAAATAATGTGGAGCCTAATGTAATTAATTGAAAATTTAAGTAGGAAATAATGTCACTCTACCTAATATACTGCATATATTAATGCAAATATTGTTTTTTCTTCAGCTTCCTATTGTATGAAAAGTGAAATATGAAGTGCTTTAAGAAATCATTGATTGTACCAAATAAAAAGACAGACAGAGAGAGAGAAGTCAGTATGTAATTTTTTTCCAATGTAAATTTTTTCCAAATTGATTGCAAACATTCAGTGATTATACTAAAACTTAATACTAGTTTATCAGTTTCCTGTGAATAATAGGGTTCTTATTAAGATTATTGGTTTGTTACACGATAATAAAGCCCTGTCAAATTACACAAGTAGATTTATTCTTCATTAGATACAGCATGTTCTTTTAGCAGTCATTTAAAGAGCTTTGAAAATATGCACTAAATGAAGTTGAAAACTATCAGTTATCTCTCTACTACCCCCGCTTATAGGTTATCTCAATATAAGACAACTTGCATTAACTAATCTTTTGTAGTAGCCTCAGGGCATATAACGTGGAGTGAAAACAAGTTAAGTTCATGAATATTTAACTAGTTTACACAAAAAATAGAAAATATGGCCTATCTAGAGAACTAGAAATCTGTGTGAATTCAGGGAATGGTTAATCCATGACAAAAGAAATATACTATATGATAATGGATGAACTCCTACAAGTTGCTTATTAGTGTTCTCCCCAAAGGGTCTATAATTTGTCAAGACTATCTATTGTTCCATACCACCTGTCAATATCTCAAAATGAATAGATGGCATGCACAATTGCTGATGGCATTTTAACAGATGAGAAAATTAGAGTGTTGTAAAGTATTTCTACTTTTTCTTATTTTCAACTAAAACTTGAAGATTTTCCAGATGATAAAATCAGCCATTTATCTTAATTTGTTCTTTAAAGGTCAGAATAACAAAAAAGGGAATTAGTGACAATATAACACACCATGTAAGAAACAATATTTGGTATATGTCACATAATGCATATGTGCTTATTTTTGTATATCTACATATGCTTATATAAGTATATATACTTATATGTCTTCATGAATGAATAAGAATAGAATTCATAATTTAATTGACTTTAAAATATGTTATTAATACTCTGCAGAAGTAGAAACATGGCAAACTCACACAACTAAATGTAAAAATCTTTCTGATTTCCAGATGCGTAGAGAAACTCTCTCTCTCTCTGTGTATAGGCACAGAGAGAGTTCATAGGTTCAATGCTACCATGTGTCATGGGTCAATAGTAAATATGGAAACTTTTTTTTAATTTCATGTTCAATTAAGTAGCTATTCTCATTTCTGGTAGAAGTGAAAACCTTGAGTGATTTGAACTCAAAGTAGAAAAATATAGAAACAAACAAGGACTAATAAGCCAGGTTTTCTGCAGTCTTTCACCCAAAATAAAATAGATGTCCATAACAGAGCTTACCAGATGTTTAGACCATAAAACCAAATCTTCAATCTTTGCTGCCACCAGTGGAAAGTAATATATCAGTTGTAAGTGAATCAAAACACAAACATAATAGAGAAAAGAATTAAAATTATGAAAACAAAGAACCATCAATATTCCGTTTTCACTTTGGATGAGAAACTATAAATGATGTCAGTTGACTTAAGCAGCTGGTGAGATACAGCACTCTGGAGATAAAGTGTATCTAGGCTTGTCAGGTAAATCTACCACGCACCTTGGTACGACCTCCAAACTAGTAAAAGGTACATTTCCTTAAAAAATAAAATCACAACTCATACATTTAAAAATAGTACATATGAATAATTTTATTTAGCTCAATAATTAATTTGGGAAATTGGAAAGTTGTTACCACTTAGCTAAAAAGAAAAAGCAAAAAATAGACCTTTTTATAGATTAGGAATGTATACAAAACTCTTAACATGGGTGGATTGTCTCTTCGTATTTATAAGCAAGAATAACTTTTGCAGTGTTTTCAGTTATTATCTACAAAGTACAGAGGTTGAAAAAACTCAAAATGGATAAGTACTTCAGAGCTTTGGTAGAATCAGAAGATTCTGAAGGACATGCTAAAGAATGAAGTTTTTGGGGAGGCCAAGGCGGGCGGATCAGGAGGTCAGGAGATTGACATCATCCTGGCTAACACAGTGAAACTCTGTCTCTACTAAAAATACAAAAAATTAGCCGGGAGTGGTGGCGGGAGCCTGTAGTCCCAGCTACTTGGGAAGCCGAGGCAGGAGAATGGTGTGAACCTGGGAGGCGGAGCTTGCAGTGAGCCGAGATCGCACCACAGCACTCCAGCCTGGTTGACAGAGGGAAACTCTGCCTCAAAAAAAAAAAAAAGAATAAAGTTTTTCACTGGAGGACAGCTTTTTACTTGCATGGGGAACCCTTCCTTTGGACAAGCCTTAGTTCGGGTATTCAGGGCACTAGTGCTGGAACCTGACATCCCATTCTCTGGGATGCAGAGCTGCCCCCACCTCAGTGCTCAGGATCCAAAGGGATTCTCAAAGATTAAATCCCTTCCCCTGTGCTTTTAGCCACCGACTGAGGCACAGCTTTAACTCAGACAGATTACTGGAAATTCCACGTGGTTACTTGCCTCAGAATGCACATTGCCATTGCTTGTTTGGGTCTTTTGTTACCATGCAACTGTCCATAATATTGAATTTCTTAGAAATCAGTAACAGAGAAATTGAGATTAATTTTATCATATTAAGTACTTTGGCATAATTTGGTCCTTGGGTCACCTCGGTGGGGAACAAATCCAGTCCATCAATCCACATTCCTGGTTTGACCTCCTTCTTGTTCGCCAAACATCCTTGTGTAAATAGACTACAAAGTTGAGTACAGTCATTCTCCATATGATGACACTTTGCTTTGCAACAGATCACATATATGATGGTAGTCCTGTAAGATTATAAAGGAGCTGAAACATCCCTTTCGCCTAGTGACGTCAAAGTCATTGTAACATCCTACTGCAATTAGTGTATGTTTTTAATAAATACAGTGTAGCCTAAGTGTACAATGTTTATAAAGTCAAGAGTGGTGAAGAATAATATCCTAGGCCTTCATATTCACTCACCACTCACTGACTCACCCAGAACAACTTCCAGACCTGCAAGTTTCATTCAAGGTCAATACCTGATACAGATGAACTATTTGTTATTTTTTATACTGTATTTTTGCTGTACCTCTTTTATGTTTAGATATGCTTAGATACACAAATACTTACCACTGTTATACAATTGCCTACAGTATTTAGTACAGTAACATGCTGTACAGGTTTGTAACCTAGAAACAATGGGCTATACCATTTACCCTGGGTGTGTCATAGGCTATACCACCTAGGTCTATGTAAGTACACTGTGTTATGTTCATGCAACAATAAAATAATCTAAGAGGCATATCTCAGAATGTGTCCCCTTCATTACACAATACATGACTCTGCTTGCAGCCCATGATTGAATTAGAACTCTAATCCATTAAAGAATGAATACATTAAATACTATAAAACTGTTAGGTGGTTTGTTCAGTACAAAAACTGCAAGTAGAACTCAAATTGTATTTGTTCTATGATAGCCTATGTACTATCATAAGTACTGGATTGGATATCAGAAAAATGATTATATTCTCATCCTTTGAAAACAAAACAGTTATTATGTGAGAAAGACAGATAATAAACAGTGTGTAAAATAAAAGATAAGTGCAATGTACCATAAACGTCTAGTGCAAGTTTCATTACATGTTTCTCGAATTATTACATATGAGGATATTGGCATCTGAGAAACTGAGCAAAAATTTCAAAATCATTAGTCTACTAAGTGAAGAGCTGAAACCTAGAACAAATGTTATGATTCTGATCCTCTAGTTTACATTTCATTTTTTATCTTGATCTCAATATTTTAATAACTTGAACTCATAAATATCTAGTCCAATCATATTTTAAACATACAAGGCAAAAATGAGCTAATTTATGCTTACCAAATTGTATTACTTACTGAAAATGACATACTTAAATAAATGTATTTTTTTATAAATATATCTCTCTGCAACAGAATGACTTATGGAAAGCAGAGCTATTATAATTCTGAATTGTACTATAGTTGTATCACGTACAGCACATTGAACTTGAGAACTGGAAACTAATCATTGTACCTTTTTAATTACTCACTTTGACTCTATTTAAAACCAGGTTATGTATAGAAATTTAATTTTTACTGTCTGTGTGTCCCTGCAATTTCCAGAATTTCACAATAAAATTTTCTAATGTAACATACTGAGCATTATTTATAGTGTCTCTTATGTTTTTTAGCTAATAAGGTTGTCATAAATTCAGAATAAAATGCATTTAAAAACCTGCTTGTTATTACAATAATAAGACTTAAGAATTATATGAGAAAAGATGAAGGGGGGATAATTAGTGTTAGAAACCAAACTCAAGCATACTTTGCTTTACTCATTTCTTCCAGGTTTTCTAACAGCCATAGCAAAAGGAAAATTAGTAGATTATGTAGATGCTATTATCAGTTTTAATCAGCATATTTATTTTTCAGAATAGACAAACACTGTTACCTTTTCACTAAACTCAAAGGTTAGTATTCTGTATTAATTTTATTTGTAATTTTAGTCAGAGTTTAAGACATCTTCATCAATATTTCATTTATTGAATTCTTATATAGCTTCTGTTAACATCTGAGAACATAGTACATTACAGCTTTATGAAAACATTTTTCTATAATTACATATTAATATGTACTTTTGTTTGTAATCTAGTTTAGTAGAATCACAAATTTTATTTAATACAACAAAAAAATTGATGGTTAGCATGACCAACTGGCAATTTTGATCATATGTTTCTAGAGAGCCATGCAAACAAGTCTTAAGATTAAATAGTGGCATTTCTATTAATTTCCTGACATAAAGATATTTGTTCTAATAGAAAATTGTTACTGATTTATAAATGCATACTTCATTATTGCCTAATAACAGTTATAGGATAAAAATCAAAGGTGGTCCTTTTATTGAGCTTACTTTGTTATCCTGTTGGATTATTGACCAGTTCTTTCACTAACCCAACATTCTTGCTGCTGTAGGTGCTTCGACTAATGACCTCTCAGCTTTACTAGACAATAATCACTGGGAAATTGGGACCACCTTTCCTGGAGGTGCCTGGCAGTTATGCCCCTCCCCTATGCATGATGGTTTGTGTTCAATTATTTCCTGGTGCAGTGACTGACTCCCTGCAAGGGGCTACAAATTGCCCTTCCCCTATCTGAAGGTGGGAAAGACACTGGAGCTCCATGTAAGATCAGAATAAAGCCAGACCTCACCTCAAACCACAGTTTTAAGGAGCTTCATCCCCACCTTCAATTCTGCTTCCCTCCTCCCTGTTTCTCCTGGTAGTGCTCTTTCAAGAAATCTTTACAAACAACTCCCATTTTAGGTTCTGAAGCTAGTAAATCCAATATAAAATATTCATGTTCTGAAAGATTTGAATGTCTTCTTCTGGTTCCATTTTGTTCTATTATGGTGTGCTTTTCATACATCAGGAAAAGTTATCCTTTTTAAAAAAATTATTTTTCTGATTAAAGTCCTATTACAATAAGAATGTCATAAATGTTCTTACCATGGTTTATAAGGATTGGTAAAATCTCTTCCCTGGTTACTTCTCCATACAAATATCCCACTACTGTTTTAAGTTGCAAAATCTTATCTACAGGTTTTATCTTGTTTCTGAAAAATAAATAAAGAGGCAAAGTCTTGGGAGAAGAGTTCAGTAAGCATAATACAAATGACCCAAGGTAAGAATAAGCTTCTTATTTTTGTTTACTTCCTTCTCACCACTCATATTTCTCTTCAAATGTCACCACTTTCAAGTTAGCACCCTTAAAAATGGTGTATAACGTATTAGTTATATGCCACTGAAAGTAATGGCAAAAACGACAATTATTTTTGCACCAACCTAATATTTTCATATACCTAGTAATAATCTGTCATGTGATGACATTGAAGAAACAAAATTTATTCAATTTGTAAGAACACGTATGATAGCACTGGTGATGAGGGGAGTTATTTCTATATCCATAGACCACATAAAGAATGTTAAATGACAGTCCATAAAAAATACATATTTTTGTCATTATAGTCAATAATAACGTATCTATCTTTTCCCCCACAATTGCAGTAAAAAGTCTATCAGTATCTCTCTCATTTGTTTTGTTTTTAAGTATAGAATGCAGATACTGTCACTAGTTTCTAATATCTTCATACTTAAAAAATATTTTTATAAGAAGGTCTAATTATGTTATTTATTATAAATATAGTATCATAATGAATAATTATGATATCATTTATCTTATTATTATTTCTTAATAAAATAACTTTTTCCTTCAAAATTTATTTTTCTGACCTTCTGGTTCAAGTTGATAAATTGATTCCTACACATTCAACTCTAATCTCTACAATATTCTTAGTGAAATAATAAAGGACAAATGAATACTTGAATAAATATATCATACACTGAAGAGAAATCAAATGACACCAATTTTTGGGATCTGTTTATATAATTATTTCTTCAGGTTTAGGTAATTCTTTATTATTGTCTTTTAGTTTTAGGGCTAGTAATGACTCTAGGATTTCACTATCCTTCTCGGATACTCCAACAACCTTTGTTGCTTTTCCTAAATTCTGGATTCACTTTCATAAAGAATCTCTTTTTTTTTTTTTTTTTTTTTGAGATGGAGTTTTGTTCTTTTTGCCCAGGCTGGAGAGCAATGGTGTGATCTTGACTCACTGCAACCTCCACCTCCCGGGTTCAAGCGATTCTCCTGCCTCAGCCTCCCGAGTAGCTGGGATTACAGATGTGTGCCACCATGTCTGGCTTATTTTTGGATTTTTAGTAGAGATGGGGTTTTGCCATGTTGGCCAGGCTGGTCTTGAACTCATGACCTTTGTAACCCCAAAGTGCTGTGATTATAGTCTGGAGCCACCACACTGGCCCATAAAGAATCTCTTTATTAAATTACCTTAAAATAATCTCATTTGAATGTGTCATCTGTTTCCTGCTGGGACCCTGACTATTGCATTATGACACTGATACAGGTTTAATATTCCTTATCTGAAATACTTGGAGTTTTTTTTTTTTGATTTTGCAGTATTTGCATGTACATAACATGCTATCTTAGATACGGGACCCAAGTCTAAACATGAAATTAATTTATGTTTCATATATATCTTACACACATTTTCACTGCAGTCCAGTTTTCCCAGAAGCTTAATTGTGGGAAAATTATCTGTGCTAAAAATAAACATAAATACTTTTCTTTCTACTTTTCTTATCATTATTACCCATAGAGATATCTGCAGGCTTTTGTGACACTTTTGATAGTGTCTTTATATCACCACACATAGAATAAGCAGAAAAACACAATGAATAGTATACATTGGTCTTGGCCCCATGTGAGGCTTTGTGGGGAACTTGGTGTGTTCAGCCTGCACATATGCCATTTTATTATCCTCTGTGAGTGTGCTTGAGTGGAGGAATATAGGCATACACAGAACAGATATATCAGAACTGAAGGGGGTTGGGAAGGTCTTTTTTCCCTTGGGAACACTGAATAAGATGTATTTTGCCTTTTGAGTACAACCCATTATATGTGGTCACGTGTAGAATTTTTCACTTGTGGCATCATATCAGCACTTAAAAAGTTTCTGATTTTGAAGCATTTTAAATTTTGAATTTTTGGATTAGTGATGCTCAACATACACTTCTAAAAATTATTATCGTTTCCATTAAGATAAGAAAATTAGCATCATGTACGAGTTCTAAATTATACTCCATATGAAAATTCTCTCTATCCCATATCATAGTAAAATGAATCCCACATAGAAAAGACTCATTATAATAAAAGCAAAAACATGCTTTTTATCTTAATAAGATGTATTTAGCTAATGAGAATATGTTGTTGGTCTTTAAGATTAGAAGAGGTATTTTTTCCTAAGAGAAGCCTTTTAGAAATTAATTCTTCTTAACATTATGTCACTTTATATAACCTTGTTTATATTTGTCCAACCAAATACTCTAATTTCAGACAATTTAACAGTATTAGGTTCATATATTATGCTTGTTTTCACCTGGCTTAATCAGTGATTTTGAAACTATTTGTCGTCAAATCTGTTGTTTAAATAAAACTTTTTAGTCACATGCAATAAGAAAAAAATTTGGTAAAATATTATTCAGTTATTTTCTCTTCAGAACTTTTAAAAATAATTGCATATTTAATTAAATATGATTTTATGAGAATATGAATTAAATATTGATACCTACAATATCAGAGATGACATAGGTGCTTGATTTTTATTTTAGGGTAATATATGTTCTTGCTATAGGCAACCCTTTTATTTTGTTATAATTCATGTTAAACAACTAATGTTGCAATACTCAATATATTATCATGATGAAACATCAATGTTCCCTAAGCTCATTGGAAGACACATAAGATTTATAGCAATTAAATGTAACTCCCTAATGACAGGGCCTATGGGTTGTTCACCATTGAATTTATCATGCATATCAAAATCATGGTACATAGAATGTGATAAGCATATAAAAATATTGAGAATTAAGACAAGATTTCTGTCTTCCATGAGTTTATAATCGAGAGACAATTATATTGTGATCTAATCATGATATTACAATATACAAGGACATGTCTAGTCTGATGTTTCTAGTTGCATATAACAAAATACCAAGATAATATGGTTTAAACCATGAGTAACTATGTGTATGGATTAGCTGTTGCACTTTTTACTCTTAATTACGACAAGACTACTTGTGGTTGGAATACTCTACCATTCCAGTACCAAGCCTGACACATGAAGGACTGAGAATACTAATGTCTTATCAACTCTGGAATCATTCACAGTTACCCTCTTGGTGATCAAGTTTAAATAAATGGGTTTTTGTAATTGGGTTTTGATATGACAGCAAGTACAAGCATTGCTAATCAAAAGATGATTAATTTAATAACGTAACAAATTCGGCAAGAACACCAGTTTTTTGCAATTCTCAACTCTGTTATCTTCATGTTTTTCTGTTTATCTCATGTTTGTCTTATTAGTATTTCAAGATATCCACAGCTTCTGCCAGCATCATGCTCACACATAAGTATTGCTGAAAGAAAGAAGTTGGAGAGTATCGACTTATAAACTATGCATCTAATTTTACTGGGGAACACCATTTTTCCCATAAGCTCTCATATAATCTTCTCTTCAAGTCATATTGACCAGGAGCAGATCACATCCATGAAAGTGCAGGTACGGGAAATACTAGGAAAACATTTAAACTTCCATAAAATCAACACCTAACATACATTGATTTCTGGCCAATATGAAATGAGTGAGAGAGATCATGTGAAAAGAAGAAAAGAAGTCTAAGGTTATTCAACAATTTGTACTGTTTGCCATGAAACCCAAAGAAGAATTCAGTTCACAAATAGAAAGGTTTAAATACATTGGAGTAGCATACTGGAGATTAAAATCTTATTTTGGAGACTTTTCTTTGTTTTTAAACTAGAAAACTCGACAAATAAACAAATAAAATTTACAAGATAGTATTTTCATTTGGGATAAACAGAGCGTAATAGAGAACAGTTTTAACCTAACACTTTAAAGAACCCCAATAGAATGTCAGACCACAGTGCACTCAAACTAGAACTCAAGATTAAGAAACTCACTCAAAACTGCTCAACTACATGGAAACTGAACAACCTGCTCCTGAATGACTACCGGGTACATAAAGAAATAAAGTCAGAAATAAAGATGTTCTTTGAAACCAATGAGAACAAAGACACAACATACCAGAATCTCTGGGACACATTTAAACCAGTGTGTAGATGGAAATTTATAGCACTAAATGCCCACAAAAGAAAGCAGGAAAAATCTAAAATTGACACTCTAACATCACAATTAAAAGAATGAGAGAAGCAAGAGCAAACACATTCAAAAGCTTGCAGAAGGCAAGAAATAACTAAGATGAGAGGAGAACTGAAGGAGATAGAGACAAAAAAAAAAACCTTCAAAAAATCAAAGAGTCCAGTAGCTGGTTTTTTTAAAAGATCAACAAAATTGATAGACCACTAGCAAGACTAATAAATAAGAAAAGAGAGAAGAATCAAATAGATGCAATAAAAAATGATAAAGGGGATATCACCACCGATCCCACAGAAATACAAACTACCATCAGAGAATACTATAAACACCTCTATGCAAATGAACTAGAAAATCTAGAAGACATGGATAAATTCCTGGACACATACACCCTCCCAAGACTAAACCAGGATGAAGTTGAATCTCTGAATAGACCAATAACAGGCTCTGAAATTGAGGCAATAATTAATACCTTACCAACCAAAAAATGTCCAGGACCAGACGGATTCACAGCTGAATTCTACCAGAGGTACAAAGAGGAGCTGGTACCATTCCTTCTGAAACTATTCCAATCAATAGAAAAAGAGGGAATCCTCCCTAACTCATTTTATGAGGCCAGCATCATCCTGATACCAAAGCCTGACAGAGACACAACAAAAAAAGAGAATTGTAGACCAGTATCCCTGATGAACATTGATGCAAAAATCCTCAATAAAATACTGGCAAACTGAATCCAGCAAACCTTATCCACCATGATCAAGTGGGCTTCATCCCTGGGATGCAAGGCTGGTTCAACATACTCAAATCAATAAACATAATCCAGCATATAAACAGAACCAAAGACAAAAACCACATGATTATCTCAATAGATGCAGAAAAGGCCTTTGACAAAATTCAACAGCCCTTTATGCTAAAAACTCTCAATAAATTAGGTATTGATGGGACATATCTCAAAATAATAAGAACTATTTATGACAAACCCCCCACAGCCAATATCATACTGAATGAGCAAAAACTGGAAGCATTCCCTTTGAAAACTGACACAAGACAGGGATGCCCTCTCTCACCACTCCTATTCAACATAGTGTTGGAAGTTCTGGCCAGGGCAATCAGGCAGAAGAAGGAAATAAATGGTATTCAATTAGGAAAAGAGATAGTCAAATTGTACCTGTCTGCAGATGACATAATTGTATATCTCGAAAACCCCATTGTCTCAGCCCAAAATCTCCTTAAGCTGATAAGCAACTTCAGCAAAGTCTCAGGACACAAAATCAATGTGCGAAAATCACAAGCATTCTTATACACCAACAACAGACAAACAGAGAGCCAAATCATGAGTGAACTCCCATTCACAATTGCTTCAAAGAGAATAAAATACCTAGGAATCTAACTTACAAGGGATGTGAAGGACCTCTTCAAGCAGAACTACAAACCACTGCTCAGTGAAATAAAAGAGGATACAAACAAATGGAAGAACATTCCATGCTCATGGATAGGAAGAATCAATATCATGAAAATGGTCACACTGCCCAAGGTAATTTATAGATTCAATGCCATCCCCATCAAGCTACCAATGACTTTCTTCACAGAATTGGAAAAAACTACTTGAAAGTCCACATGGAACCAAAAAAGAGCCTGCATTGCCAAGTCAATCCTAAGCCAAAAGAACAAAGCTGGAGGCATCACACTACCTGACTTCAAACTATACTGCAAGGCTGCAGTAACCAAAACAGCACAGTACTGGTACCAAAACAGAGATATAGATCAATGGAACAGAACAGAGCCCTCAGAAATAATGCCACACATCTACAGCCATCTGATCTTTGACAAACCTGAGAAAAACAAGAAATCAGGAAAGGATTCCCTATTTGATATATACTGCAGGGAAAACTGGCTAGCCATATGTAGAAAGCTGAAACTGGATCCCTTCCTTACACCTTATACAAAAATTAATTCAAGATGCATTAAAGACTTAAATGTTAGACCTAAAACCATAAAAACCCGAGAAGAAAACCTAGGCAATACCATTCAGGACATAGGCATGGGCAAGGACTTCATGTCTAAAACACCAAAAGCAATGGCAACAAAAGCCAAAATTGACAAATGGGATCTAATTAAACTAAAGAGCTTCTCCACAGCAAAAGAAACTACCATCAGAGTGAACAGGCAACCTACAGAATGGGAGAAAATTTTTGCAACCTACTCATCTGACAAAGGGCTAATATCAAGAATCTACAAAGAACTCAAACAAACTTCCAAGAAAAAAACAAACAACCCCATCAAAAAGTGGGCGAAGGATATGAACAGACACTTCTCAGAAGAAGACGTTTATGCAGCCAACAGACACACGAAAAAATGATCATCATCAATGGCCATTAGAGAAATGCAAATCAAAACCACAATGAGATACCATCTCACACCAGTTAGAATGACGATCATTAAAAAGTCAGGAAACAACAGGTGCTGGAGAGGATGTGGAGAAATAGGAACACTTTTACACTGTTGGTGGGACTGTAAACTAGTTCAACCATTGTGGAAGACAGTGTGGCAATTCCTCATGGATCTAGAACTAGAAATACCATTTGACCCAGCGATCCCGTTACTGAGATCATGCTGCTATAAAGACACATGCACACGTATGTTTATTGCAGCACTATTCACAATAGCAAAGACTTAGAACCAACCCAAATGCCCACCGATGATAGAATGGATTAAGAAAATGTGGCACATATACACCATGGAATACTATGCAGCCATAAAAAAGTATGAGTTCATGTACTTTGTAGGGACATGGATGAAGCTGGAAACCATCATTCTTTTTTTTTCTTTTTTTTTATTGTTATACTTTAAGTTTTAGGGTACATGTGCACAACGTGCAGGTTAGTTACATATGTATACATGTGCCATGGTGTTGTGCTGCACCCATTAACTGGTCATTTAACATTAGGTATATCTCCAAATACTATCCCCCCCAACCCCCACCCCACAACAGGCCCCGGTGTGTGATGTTCCCCTCTCTGTGTCCATGTGTTCTCATTGTTTAATTCCCACCTATGAGGGAGAACATGCGGTGTTTGCTTTTTTGTCCTTGCGATAGTTTGCTGAGAATGATGGTTTCCAGCTATCCAATATATCCAAGAAGATGAAGAAAAAATTGAGTATGTTAAGTAAAACCACTAGCATACAAAAAAAATCAAATTTCCAGCAGTGAAAAACTATGATATCTGAAATGAAAAAAATGTGAGGGTACGGAAACTATAGAAATCAATGTAAAGACTCTTTTTTAAGCAGTTAAAATTTATTATAAGACAGTAAATGTTAAAAAGCATATACCAACCATATTTTGTGGTGTTAATAACTTCATATAGTAAAAAACTTTGAAACACAACACTAGTATAAAGGGTGGGAGGGAGAAGTATAAATATTTTGGTTCACGGAATAAATATAATATTGTTTCAATATTAATATTTTATGTATATATTTCATAGGAAGATGTGATAAGTTAAATATATATACTTGAAAATAAGTATGAAAAAATAAAGAATTATGTCTTATAAGCCAATAAATGTGATAAAATAGAATCATAAAAAGTACCCAATTATCCTTAAAAAATGGATGAAAATGAAACAAAGGATAGATAGGAAAATAGAAAACCAATAAAAAGATGGTATATTTAAATATTTAAATAGTGATTCAACTGTATATCACCTACCAAAAAACAACTCACTTTAAATAGAAAAATAAAAATAGGTTCTATGTAAAAGGACAGAATATAATATATCATGCATGTACTAATTAAAAGAAAACTGGAGTACTCACATTAATATCAGATAAAGCAGGTTTCAGATAAAAGAGTGTTACTATGATTTTTAAATTGTGTCATTTCATAATGAAAAAGAGGTTTATACATCAGTAAGATATAATTCTAAACACATATGCAGCCAATATCAGAGCTTCAAAATACTTGATACAAAAACTGATAAGCTGTAAGGAGAAAAAGGCAAATTCAAAATTGGAGTTTCAGATTTCAAAACCATTTTCTCAGTATTTTATAAAACTAGCAGAGATAAAATTAGTGAAGATACAGGAGATCTAAACAACACTATTAATCAACTTTACCTAATGGACATTTGCAGCATACTTCACCCAACAACAGCAGAATAGAAAATCTTTTTAAGTGCACATAAATAGACCATATTCTGTGCCATAAATATTTCAATGGATTTTAAAAGATTCAAGCAATCAAAGTATCTGACCACAATGTCATCAATAATGAAAAAATAACTGGAAAATTTTCAAAAATAATAGACTTAAGCTGCTTCTACATGATCAATAGGTCAATTAAGAAATAGAAGTATAATTTCAAATAATTTGGAACCAAATGAAAATTACAACACACCATATCAAAATTTGTAAGATGCAGCTACAAAAAAGGAGGTACTTAGAGAAAAATCTACAGCAATTGTATCTATATTAAAAAATGAAAGATCTCAAGCAAAGGTCTCAGATACTCAAGAAATTAGAAAAAGGAAAGGAGACACAAATGCTCAATTTTATGAATGAGAAGACATCTCTAAGATATTAAAAGAATAAAAGATTATAAATGTTATGCCAATACATAGAAAACTTAGTGAAATGAACAAATTACTTGAAATATGTAAACTATTAAAGTCAACTCCCAAGATAAGCATATACATATATATTAAATAAATCAAATGTAAGAAGTATTCTATAAATGTCAATTACATCCAGTTGATTAATGGTGCTGTTTGTTCAACTATATCTTTACTCATTTTCTGCCTGTTGAATCCATAAATTACTGTAGAGTGATGATAAATTATTTTAATATCCATATTTAAAGGGTCAAATAATACTGTACCTCTTCAGAGTAACTGCAGGCACCTTGCAATAGAGTTTTACAAATTCCTCCCTTCTATCCATCTTAATATTGCTATCATTAATTATACTAATCCAGCCATAGGACATAATCCAAAATACCTTGTTGTTATTATTACTTCAAACAGTTTTCTATGAGATCAATTATGAATTTAAAAAATTAATGCTTTTTTAATTTTAACTTTATTCTTTCTCCAACTTTTTCCCCATTTTTATATAGATCCAAGTTTCTGACATATTTTTTTCCTCTCTGAACAGTTTCTTTTAACATTTCTTGCAAGGCAGGTTTACTGGTACAAAATTTTCTCAGATTTTCTCAGAGAAAAATCTTTATATCTCCTTCATATTTGAAAGGTAACTTTGCTGTCTACAGAATTCTAGGTCAGTATTTTGTTTTTTCTTTCAGTGCTTTAAATATTTTACTTTACTCTCTTGTTGCTTTCGTAGAATTATATAAAAACTGTAATGGAACATTTTCCTTGTTCCTGTAGAGGTAATTTTTTTTTTTTTTTTTTTTTTTTGCTCAGGCTTCTTTCAAAAATTATTTTATTTGTGTTTTCTGCAGTTGGAATATGATATGCTTAGTTGTAGTTCTTTGGTATTTATCTGTGGTGTTCTCTAAGCTTCCTAGATATGTGGTTTTGTATCTGTTATTAATTCTGAACAATGCTCAATTATTTTTGCTTTATTTATTTATTCTATTATATCTACTCTTTCTCTTCTTGTGGTATGTCATTTTCAAATATATTTATGTTACACATTTTAAAATTGTTCCACAGTTCTTGGATATTCTGAGGTTTTTTTTTCCCCATTCCTTTTCTCTTTGCATTTTAGTTTTGAAAGATTTTATTGACCCCTCTTCAACTATTTCTTACGTTATCCATGTCCAGGCTACTGATGAGCCCACTAAGGTATTCTTTATTGCAGTTACAGTGTCTTTAAGTTTTAGAATTTATTTTTGAATCGTTCTATGAATTTCATAGCTCGTATTACTCATTTATTCTCAGATGTTTTCTGCTGTTTTCCATTAGAGCCCTCAACATATTAATTATAGTAATTAAAATTTCCTATGTGATTATTTTAAAATCTGTTTCATATTTGAGTTTCATTCTGATGATTGTTGTATCCCTTCAGGCTTTGATTTTTCTTGGTTTTTAATGTGCCTTATAATTTTTTGTTGAAAACTGGACAGAATGTAGCTGGCAGTAGTTTAATGGTTGCTATAGTTGTAGGTGCCAGTGGTTCCAATTTTTTTGTAATTTCTTCTTTGTTTCTCCCTATTGTCTTTAGATGTTCCTAATGACTTCTTAAATGATGTCTGTGTCTTACAGCTTCTTAGTTGTAATCTACTGCTATATACTAGAGCCCTATTGATGCGGTAGTAAGGTGTTGGGGAAAGTTTTCTATACACTTATTATAAAACTCAAAATTTCAGTGAGTCCAAGTTCCTGGGCTGTGACTTTCAGAAAAGCCTTTCTTTGACTCTTTTTTCTCCATTTGGGTGAGACAGGGGAGCTAGAATGAACGAGTTTTCTGATTGTCCTTTTCTCAGGTAAGGCAAAGCTCTCATAGTTTCTCTTGTGTACCAGCCTTTGTTATGGAGAATGTTCTGTGCTTATTTCAACATAGTTACACATACCATATTCTTGCTTGATGCACATGAGAGTTTTTCTCTGATTTTCACGTGAGAACTTACTGAGGCTCCTGAAAGTAAAATGTACAAAAGTGTGGACTCTCCTTAAGGCAGGAGCCTCAAGCAGTTTTTAACTTTAAGGTGCCACATAATTATCCTCTTGCATTTATTGATTGCTATTTAAATGCTCCTACTAGTTACTGGCTCCAATGGCTTTTCCTCCAGGTAATCCGATCTGTGCTGTGTAATTTCCTATATTTACCTTTCTTTCCAGTTTTTTGAGTGATAGTTTGTCTGTGACCTCAATTCTCTGAAAGATCTAAGAAAAGAAGTTGATTTTCAGTTTGTTCATTTTTTTTTTCTTATTGTGAAGATAGATATGATAACTTCTAAGCTCTCTACTTGTCAAAGCTAAAACTGGAAATAAAAAATACACAAACTGCCCCAGAAACAGAGTAGAAGGAAATGTTTTTCAACTGTGCTATCAGCCTACCATTATATTGATAATCACAACCAATGACACTACAAGAAAAAAAAAACCTATGAATTAATATCCTCTATAAATACAGATCCAAAATTTTAATTAAAATGTTAGAAATGAATAATTTATATTATGTAAAATGAATACTATATTATGACTCTGAGAAGTTTATCCCAGGAATGGGATATCCCAGGAATATGACATCAATTAATAGGATTCACAATATTACCAGAGAAAAAAATAAATCCATATGATAATCACAGTGCACAGAAAAAAGTGCTTAAAATCCAATATCAGTTTCTGTTTAAAACAAACAAAAAACCTCACATCTAGTGGGCTGATAAATGACATCTAAGGAAAGCATATAGCTAACACAATTAATGGTGAAAGCTTAAAGACTTTTTCCCCTAGGATCAAGGACTAGATTAGTTCAAGTTACCACTTTCAGTCAACATTTTAGTGGAGAGTCTAGCTAGGTGTGATTAAGCAAGAAAATAAATTATGTGCATCCAGGTTGAAAAATAAGTATTAAAATTGTACTAAATCATAGAAAACACACATTTTTACATAGAAAATGTTAAAGAATGCATAAAGAAGCTGCTAGGATTAAGTAAGTTTAGCAAATTTTAAAGATATAAAACTAATATACAAGCGGGCACAGTGGCTCACACCTGTAATACCAGCACTTTGGGAGGCCGAGGTGTGTGGATCACCTGAGGTCAGGAGTTCAAGACCTGCCTGGCCAACATGGTGAAACCCTGTCTCTACTAAAAGTACAAAAATTAGCCAGGTGTGGTGGTGGGTGCTTGTAGTCCCAGCTACTTGGGAGGCTGAGGCAGGAGAATTGCTTGAACACAGGAGGCGTAGGTTGCAGTGAGCTGAGATAGTGCCATTGCCCTCCAGCCTGAGTGACAGAGTGATATTCTGTCTCCAGAAAACAAAACAAAACAAAACAAAACAAAACAAAACAAAAACTAATATATACACTAATTGCATTTCTACAGTGTACATAGTAAAAAAATAAAATTACCTATTTACAATTGAACTTTTAGAAATACTTCAAGTGCTTAGGGATAAATTTGACAAAAGATATGCATAACTTGTACACTGAAGATTATAAAATGTTGCTGGATAAAATTATGGAGGAACTATGTAAATTAGATTCATACATTATTAAGGGATTGGAAGACTCAATATTTTTAAAATATTGGTCATCCAAAAATTGATCTGTAGATTCAACACAATTCTAACTCAAATCCCAATTATTCTTAATTTTTTCATTTGACAATATCATTTCAAAATTCATATGTAAAAACAGAAGACCTAAAAAGCAAAAACAACTTTGAATGTATGTATCCAGTTGGAAGACTGACTCTACATCAATTATAAAACTACAATAATTAAAACAGGGAGAAGTCAGCATAAAATTACACAAATAGATCAATGGAACAGAATAGAGTTCTAAAAGAAACTTACCTATATGTGGCCAACTGATTTTAGATAAAAGTACAAAAACAATTTAGTGAAGAAAGAAAAAATTTTCTACAAATTATGGTGTAATAATTTTTTACATCAGAAAATATAAACTCCATCCATACCTTGATAAAAATTTAACTCAATGTTAATCACAGACTAAGTTTAAAAACATTATAAAATTTCCAGAAAAAAAAAACAGAAGAAAGTATTTTGGAACATGAGTAAAGCAAAATTTCTTTGATATATTACCAAAAGAATGTAAAAGAAAAAATAAACTTGATAAAGTAGACCTCACCAAAATTATAAATTATGCTTTCAAAAAACATTCTTAAGGAAGATAAAAGATAAGCCAGAAACTGTAAATTAACATATCAAATAACAGACATATCCAGAATATGAAAAGAATTCTCATAACTCAAAACAAGAACACAAACAATATAAAAACAAAAACATAAAAAAGAAGATATACAGGTGAGAAATGTTGAAAATAATTCATACAATTTACTACGGATATTCAGACCATTAATTGTTAGGCAATTGCAAGTTAATACACAATCAGATACCACTACTGGCCTATTATAGAATCCTAAAATAGAGAGATCTTTATGCCTGGGTTTGGGAAGGATTTGGAACAATTGAAATTCTTATCCAGTATTCATGGGAGTCTAAAAAATCAACAGACACATGAAAAAATGCTCATCACCACTGGCCATCAGAGAAATGCAAATCAAAACCACAATGAAATACCATCTCACACCAGTTAAAATGGCGATCATTAAAAAGTTAGGAAACAACAGGTGTTGGAGAGGATGTGGAGAAATAGGAACACTTTTACACTATTGGTGAGACTGTAAACTAGTTCAGCCATTGTGGAAGACAGTGCAGCAATTTCTCAAGGATCCAGAACTAGAAATACCATTTGACCCAGCCATCCCATTACTGGGTATATACACAAAGGATTATAAATCATGCTGCTATAAAGACACATGCAGACGTATGTTTATTGTGTCATTATTCACAATAGCAAAGACTTAGAACCAACCCAAATGCCCATCAATGATAGACTAGATTAAGAAAATGTGGCACATATACACCATGGAATACTATGCAGCCATAAAAAAGGATGAGTTCATGTCCTTTGCAGGGATATGGATGAAGTTGGACACCATCACTCTGAGCAAATTATCACAAGGACAGAAAACCAAACACCGCATGTTCTCACTCATAGGTGGGAATTGAACAATAAGAAGACATGGACACAGGGTAGGGAACATCATATACCAGGGCCTGTCGTGCAGTGGGGGGAGCGGGGAGGCATAGCATTAGGAGATATACCTAATGTAAATGACCAGTTAATGGGTACAGCACACCAACACAGCACATGTATACATATGTAACAAACCTGCACCTTGTGCATATGTACCCTAGAACTTAAAGTATATTTAAAAAAAAAAGTTGAAGGGAAAAATAAATAAATAAATGTTTTAAAATTCCTTGAAATCCAGTAACACAGACTGAGTTATCAAACTCATATACTAGAGAACCATCTTATTATTCAATATTGTCAGATTTTTTGGTTAAGTGAACACTTGAGAAATTTTTAATGTTTTCTGAGTATACCAGGTGGGTTGATTGAGGTTTCTTTCTATATATTAAATATTTTTGATGAATTTGAACCTTTCATCAAAAGCACATGATACGTCTCTTCACTTAAAATTATTTTAATAAAATCTCTGAGAGATTTTAAAATTTTTGGTGTAAAGTTCTTGCACTTTATCAATTTTTTCTGTTTCTATGCTTTTGTAAATATATGGTTTTTATATTCAGTCGATTGATGCTGAGGTATATAAGTGCAACTGATTTTTAATACTGTATTGATCTTGTGGCCTCTGACCTTGCTAAATTAACTTCACAATTTTGATAACATTTTTGCATATTATTTATATTGTTGGTGTATAAAATTAAGCCATCCCCAAATAAATAATTTTATATTTTAAAATATGTTTTAAAACCTTAATCTATGAGTCTTTTTCTTGCCTCATTTCACTTTCCAGGAACTCCAGCATAAGTGATAGTATAAAAGATATGAGACTGGACATCTTTTCCTAGTTCCCAAACTTGAGCAAAATATTTTATTTCAACATTAAATATGATGTCACCTTATTATGTTCAATAAGTATTTCTTCATGGAAATTAACAAAAGTTAAGTTAAATTACTCTTATACAGTACTTAGAATAATTTCAGGATTCTAAGTATGTGAATAATTTATTATTTGCTGCAAAATAGAGTAAGAAAAAATAGCATTTACTTGATCAATATATAAATTTCCTATGTATGGAAAGTTGTTGTTTTTCTCTGAATTTTGAGATTTTCAAATGTTGATTTATAGTTTTACTTAATAACCATTATAAAAACATGCTCAATGAAATTATAGTCCCTAATTAAAAATTATTAACATTAGTAATTGTACAAAAAATCAGCACAAATTGTCTCTAAAGAAAAGTGAAAAAAAACTTCAAAATTAGGAGAGTTGCAAAGTGACTCTAGCATATACTACTAACACTCTCCCATATCATAGTCCTCTTCAGTCACCAACACTTGAGTCTTTGTGTTGATGGACTTTCCCTGGGACACTGGGACCTATTTTACTTTTTACTTGTGGGCACAAAGAGGCCTTAGGAAATAACACCTTTCCACCAGGTTACCACAGCTCTTGAAAAATGACTGGAGGTTGAGTGATAATTAATGTACTATCTCCCACATCCCCCTAATGGGAACAACTCAGAGGTGTGAACTGAATTTCATGGTCTACAGGGCTGGTTTTAGATTTCCCCCTTACTGTATTGAGTCTAAGTTGACCTCTATGCTACTTTAGCTTCCTTTACTTCCTAAGGCTCCAGTTTTCTAGCATCTTTCAACTAAAGAAACTCCTTAGTAAATCTTTTTTTTTTTCTTTTTCTTTTTTTTGAGACAAAGTCTCACTCTGTTGCCCAGGCTGGAGTGCAATGGCGTGATCTCAGCTCACTGCAACCTTCACCTCCCGGGTTCAAGTGATTCTCCTGCTTCAGACCCCTATTACAGGTTCCCACCACCACGCCCAGCTAATTTTTTTGTATTTTTAGTAGAGACGGGGTTTCACCAGGTTAGCCAGTCTCGTCTTGAACTCGTAACCTCAGGCAATCCATCCGCCTTGGCCTCCCAAAGTGCTGAGATTACAGGCGTGAGCCACCACGCCCAGCCCAATAAATCATTTTCATATGACTCCTGCATTAGAGTCAGTTTCTGGGGCCCGAAACTGAGACTGTGGCCATTTTGTAGTTATTAGTCAATAAGAAGGTACTCTAATTCATCTGTAAAGGTTTAGTGTCTGGCACCAATCAATATTCTGCAAAACCGTTGCTCTTTTGATACATAACTAGAGCACCCTAACATATAGTGCATTTGTTGACAACATTAAATGATGGTAGTGCTAGAAAAAATATGATTAATAACATGTAGACATTGGCTAATCAACCAATGCCACAAATATTAATATTATCTCTATATTGTTTTGTGATTTAACGTTCTTAAATAGTGAATGTAGAGTTAAAGCTCTCTTCTGTTCTTCCAAATTGCTCTTTTAAATATCTATAATATATAACATCTTGAATAATATTCACAATAATTTTAAATTATTAACATACAAAATTATTTCTTTGTATGTAACTATTAGACACTTGGAAGCATGATTCCTTTAGTTGAAATTCAGTAGATTGTTAAAAATAAAAGAAAACTTATTTTTGAAATAAATAATGGCATAAATGAATGAAGAGACTGGTATTTGTGGCTTAGGTAGTGTTAACAGCTATCAGACAAAATTGAGTCTCAAAGTCATAAATCCAGAATTAATACAATTCATAGTAACTTGAGTGCTCAGTTAGCCCTTTGCTTTTTCTTTAAACAGTTATTAAATAAAACTGTAATAAAACTATAACAAATGAAATATTTCTTCCCCTATTTTTATAATAACCAAATGCTCGCGGGTGTACCTCATCTGTATGTATTATGACTTTAATGATTTATCATCATACTACTTTTAGAACTTAAATTTGATAACATATGGATTGATGATAAAAGGTTGACATTTCTTAATCTTTGACTAATATCTGTGTTGGAGGTAATAACACAGCAGCAATAAGAAAAAAAAAAATCAAAACATTTAGTACTTCCCTAGTGCATCTCTGGTTTCAGTGATATCCTCACAGCATCCCGCTAACAGACTGACAGTAAGCTAATTTTAAGCTGGTAATATACAGTAATGCCATTTCAAACCCAACAGAATGTCAGAATCATTGTATATTATGAAACTGAATTGAGTCATGGGAAAAATTCTTTTAGTGAAAAGAAGATAAATAATTCCGAAAGTATCATTTTTTACAGAAATGCAGGGTGACTCTATAGTGGAGTCAAATGTTTCTGACTTTATCTTACAAAGAGACACATATGTCTATATCATAAACTATATTTAGAAGAGGCCAGTATACCTCTTCTCTTTGACTGCAATCACACAATATAATTTTATGCAACACACCAAAATGTCCCATTATCCACTTTTCTATTTATATTGAAGCAGGACTTTGATAATACAATTTCTTTTCTAAATACACTTCTTTATTACAGTATAAAATTTTCATAATTGGGAAACCCATTTTACTCTAATCTTTTTTTAATTGAAAGTATGTGAACTATAAAATAGCAAAAAGGAATGTATCTTCATAAAATCCTCTTTTATCTTTCTGTGCACAAACCAGCACTCCAATAGTCTAATTAGTAATTGTGCTAATAGCTTTGGGAATATATTAAAGCACTAAAATTTTTGGTAGGGCTTACAAATAATGACAGTTATTTTACAAATGTGTAAAGCTGCTGATTAGTATTTGATTCTAGTGAGTAATTCTAATTGAAAGAGTGGATAGATAATGTGTGTATATTAAAAAAGTTAAGAGTGTCATTATAGAAATTGTCCATGCTAAAAGATATCCTTTAAGCTGTCCTAGATTTTATATTTTTAAGAGCAGTGTAAAACATGCTCAACTGTGCAAGTTTGCAAGCACATACACATACATTTATATATTTAAAACTTAAAACAACTTGCTGCTTATAAGTTCAAATATTTCTAAAAGGAATAAAATATAGATATTCAGAAAATTCACATAACTCTGTTGAAGGAAAAACTAAAAATCCCAATCTGTTTTTTCTTATGCCTATTGGCCATTTGTTTCTTCTCTTTGGAGAAATGTCCATTCAGGATTTTTGCACACATTTTAATCAGACTATTTGGGGTTTTCTTGCTATTGTGTAAGTTCCTTGTAAATTCTGGATATTAACCCCTTGTCAGATACATAATTTACATATATTTTCTCCCATTCTGTAGGTTGTCTCTTCATTCTGTTGATTGCTTCTTTTGTTGTGCACAAACTTTTTAGTTGGTGCAATCCCATTTGTTTATTTTGCTTTTGAGGTCTTAACGAAAACATCTTTAACCAGTTCAATGTCTGTAGCATTTCCCCCTTGTTTCTTCTAGTAGTTTGATAGTTTGGGGTTGTACATTTAAGTCTCAGTCCATTTTGAGTTGCCTTTTGTATATGGTGAGAAATAGGATCTGGTTTTATTCATTTATCATATTTATTGCAGCACTATTTACAATAGCCAAGGAATGGAATAAACTTAAGTGCCCATCAATAGATGGATGTATAAAGAAAATGTGGTATATATACTCAATGGGATACTATTCAGCCATAGAAAAAGAATGAAATTCTGTCATTTTCAATAAGATGAACAAGCTTGGAGGGCATAATGTTAAGAAACAAACCAGGCACAGAATAACAAATGCTGCATGATTTCATTCATATGTGATATCTAAAAAAAATTACCTTATAGGAGTTGAGAGTAGAACAGCAATTACCAGAAACCAGGGAGAATAGAAGGGAAGGGGAGATGGGAAAATGCTGGTCAACTGGTACAATGTCACAGTTAGGAGGAAGTTCTGGTACTCTATTGAACAGTAGGGTGGACACTCATGCTAACAATCATGTATTGTATATTTCAAATAGCTAGAAGAGAGGATTTTGAATATTCTAACAACAAAGAAATGACAAATGGTTATGCTGATGGATATCCTAATTATGATTATTTGAACATTATGAGTGTAAGTATCAAACCATCCCATTGTGTCCCATAAATATATGCAATTATTATGTGTCAATAAAAATTACTATTTAATTTGTTTCATTATAGCTACAAATATACTTTATTTGATGTAATGTGACAATGTAATGTAATGTAAATTGAAAGCCATTATTTAAGGCACAATGTTATCTGGCTTTCCTCATTTTCTTTAACTGCATTTACCACTACTCTGCCTAATCTCTCTCTTACTCAATTCTTGACTGCCAGCATTACTGCCTCCTTTCTCTTTCTAGAATGTGAGAGACATTTACTTTGCCTCAGAACATTTTACTAGTTCTACTCTCTGTCTAGAAGACTATTTCCTGAGACAGCCACGGCGTAGCCACTTCTGCTTAGTCACTTCTCAATGTAAACTTTCTTAAAGCTTTATATTTTAAATTATGACCTATTTTATGCCCACATATTCAAGTCACTTTGCCATGCTATCTTTTTCATAGCGCTTGTCTTCCCCTTACATATTGTACCATTTATTCATTGTGTTTAACGATTTAACGATTATCTGTTCACCCCACTAAAATGTAGATTTATGATTATAGAATAATTTTGAAATAAGTGTATCAGAAGCTTTGAAAAAAGTAACTGGGAGATAGCAAGATGCTCAGATAACTTTCAAATGCATAAACTGAACAACAACAATGAAAACACAGATAAAAAAATCAAAGCTTAAGGCAAACAATAAATAATGGAAATGTTATTATAACACGTCCTATGCTAAAGACTTGATACTATATTAATTGCTTAGTTCAATAAATCAGGCATATTTAGGAACTAAAGCTAAATGTATTTTCAAACTGAGATTACTTACTTACTTTCATATACATTCATTTTAGTAACATTACAAATAAACAAATTACTTATCATTGGAAAAGAGTGTAGAGGAACAAGCCTTGCATTTCTCTGTGTTTTGACGTATAGGTTGAGGGGATAAGTCAACAAATTATCCAAAAAGAAGCCCTCAAATACTTTAATCATAGATGTGCAAATATTAAATTCTTTTTTTTTTTTGTAAATGTGAAAGCTGCATTCACATTTTTCTAACTGGAAATATTCCAGAGTAAATTAGAGATACTCAATCCTGGTTCAATTCTATTTCTAGTGAATGTGGTAAGAAACAGGTCACTTTTGATATAGATGTAAAAAATAATTTTGGAATATAAAAAGGGTATGCCTGTTAAGAGGAAGTTTTTGAAAAGGCTCGAACACTTACAAAGGCAAGGTGTGGTCAGGGAATGGTGAATCCTCCAATACAATTACTTGATATGGAATTTGCAATGAAACATTAAGTAGGAAAACAAAAGGGTGAGAATAATTTTATGCTAAACTAGCTCTATACTGGATTTATCCTGGATGTTTTTAAACACAACAAGGGGAGAACTAACTGAATAGAACATAAAACAAAATATGTTTTCTTGACAAGCATTTGTTAGTTACACTACATATATTTTGTATGAGTTTTTACTTGTGCACTTCTTTTGTTAAATATAAAAATGTTGATTAGAACAAAAATGTAAGGCACATTTAAAGACAAAGATGAAAATGTAACATATTTCTACAAAAAGAAATTATATTTTTTAGAATAGAAAAAAGCTGAAATTTCTACTTGACAAAAGTAAAAGTCATAATACTAAAGTTACCATTTGCTAAATTGCTTACAGTATTTTAAGGAACTTGTATGTGATTATAAAACCATAAAATTCAGTGGTATAAATAAACATTAAAATTCATTATTTATCTCAGTAGAATGCTTTTCAAGTTTATTTTAATGCACAGTAAATTAGAAAATTCACTTGCTGTTAAGTGATGTGTCTGTTTCTCTATTCTGTTTATTAGTTAATAGTAAGTATTTTTACTACACACTATTAGTTTAATCTCTGGAAAGTGATGATATATTATGACTTCACAAAACTATTTCATAGTTATCAAATATTCAAAAATATATTAATAATTATTTTATTGGTATTTGTCTTTTAAAAATAGGTATAAAAATTGGCATTAAATTATTTTTAATATTTAAGACAATATATCTGCAGAAAGATGATAAATTGAGCAGTTTTCTGCTATAACTTTCAAGTGGGAACTCTTTGGAATCACCATGGATATGAAGTTACTTTTTAAATTTTATAAGTGGATTTTACAAATGTGCAAGATAATAGGGCTTTCATTAATTATTATACAAAACACACACATAAGACTGAATTTTTAAAGGAATGCCCATTAAGAAAGAAAACAAACTTAAGAATTAAGGGGAAAAGAGAATAGAGTGCTTATTTTGTATTGTCAATTCAGTATTTTCAAGGAAGACCCTCTTTGTGAGGTGAATAAACATCAGAATATTGTTTCATTAATGCAGAAAGTAGACAAGAGGAATGGAACAGATTCTCTTCCACAGTCCTCAGACTGAACCAATCATACTGACACCTCGATCTTGAACCTCTAGCCTCCAGAATTATGAGACAATGAATTTCCGATTTTTAAGCTACCCACCTTGGGGTGTTTAATTACAGCAACTCTAGTAAACTGATAAAGTTAGTCTGAATACTTTGTTCTTTAGAGGAGAATATTTTTAATATAACCTCTCTTTCTCCTTATAAGGTAAGTAAAGCATTAAAAACTTTGACTTATTGATATATGTTGGTTGCTGGCAATAATCTCAATTCTGAAGTCTTAGTCTGTTGATACTACTTTTGCTGATTACCCCATTGCTAATCAGTCAAACAAACAAACAACAACAACAACAACAAAAACAGCAGAAAGAGACACATCTTTGGAAAGCTTTATTCTGATAATGTCTTTTTTAAGCAGATAATATCATCTACAAAAATAATGATACAAAATTTTAAACTTTGAATTAGAAAAAGAAATTAGACTAGTGTGAATTTTTATCAGGACACATATTAAAGCACCTTTTTTGTCCAATATATTGGGTTAGCTGTTTTTATTTTCTACTTCATAGCATATAGCAAGTTATTCACATAAATGTACAATATTTTATTTAAAATAATTTATGTAATTAATGACACTTTATTTGGGAAGCTACATTAAATGAATTAAATTTATCTAAAGGATATCAAATATATTGAGAATACACTCTATGTTTACTTTCCAGGTGAATGTTTGTTTTTACCTACATTATCATTAGCAGCAGTATTAATATTGCTAACCTCCATAATGAATGCATATTTATTTTTGCTATTGCCACACTACCTGTGACTATATATTTGCAAGGCAAATGCAAACTTTATAGCTGGCACTAAACAATGAACAACTAGAGATTAATTTGATAGCAAAGTGAAGAACAAGTTGGCAGGTGAAAATGAGAGGGCAATAGCACTATAGAAAAAGAACCATATGGCATTACATAATTCCTTTCATACCCAAAGACCCACTCCACAAACTGCCAAGACACATTTATTCATGATTCTCACTTGAAACTTTTTTGGGGGGTATATAGATGGATAATAAAGCATTTTGAGAGATCTTAAAATGCAAAATACAGAAGACTGTTGGCACTCATTACAAAAATGTAACATAAATAGTATTTTAAATTCATGCAATGACAGGCTGTTAGGAAGTGGAGAAATACATGAGCAAGAACATTGTTATAACAGAGACAGATGTTACAATCTGTTTCTTCTTTGGTCATTCACTATCAAGATACTTAAGAAAGTGCTATAAAAAGAAATGTCTTTGATAACTATTCTTTATGGTAACATTAATCAGAGCACATATTAGTTAATACTCTACTAGTACTACAAAATGTTTAGTTAATTAAGAATATTTAAAAGATAATAAAAGGTGGCAAGTAGATAGAGAAATAAATCATCTCTATTAGAGAGACAGAGAGAGAATAGATAGATAGATAGATGATAGATAGATAGAAAAGGATAGGAAAGAATAGGGAATTTGTAGTGAAATAACAAATGCAATTTTTAATTCTATTCTTTAAGAGCTGGATATCCTTCTGTATTCACAAATACTTTAATTCACTTAATATATGATGTGAGAATTCTTCAGAGAGTTTTTTTTAAATCAAAGAGTATGTGTAATGATATGAATAAAAATGTTTAATCCTCAAATGCTTAATTAGCTAGTATTGCCAAGGGAGTTTTAATGGCTTTACAGAGAATGCATTAAAAATGAGTTGATTTCAGCACCAACTCTTATGAAGCAGTGACTTTTCTTCCCAATTGAATTTAAAAAGCTATTTAACTAAATTTGTCAAAAACAAATTAACCCAGAAAAGAGAAAGTGGACATTTTCAGTACTCATTCAGGTTAGAAAGAAAGGGACTCAGGCTTTGTAAACAAATAAAACAATGATCAAAGTAAAAACAGAAAGAAGAGTATTAATTTTACAGCAAATATTATGGATTTCAAACCATACATAAACATCAACTAGTATAAATAATATGAGAGATAATTATTAAGAAAAATGCAGATAAGTTATCTATTATGTATCTGTTAAGATATAGTTTTTTAGAACTTACTATAGAAAAGTTAAATCTACAGAATTAAATCTGATTTATTTGGCAAAATAAAAACTATAAGACAACAATATACTGGAGTAAGGATATTCTAACACTGATAATTGTTTTATACATACACAAAGAGAAAGAAAGATAGTGGGCTTAGAGGTATAAGGACTTAAGTTCTTCTGTTTCTAGCCAGGACAGAGTAACAGATTTACCTCCCTCATCAGACAACTAAAAAATGGACAAATTATATTAAATAATAGTTCTTAGGCATGAGAAAATAACTATCACGTAACAGTGATTCCTGATACAAGAAAAAAGAATCAGCTGTAAACGAACTACTTGAGAGAGCACAGGCCTCAATACAAGTATATAGAAACTCAACAGAACATGTCTTCACTCTGAGTTGAGAAGACAGAGTTGAGTATTCAGGAAGTCAAAAGTAGCTTGAATTGGCAGACTGTTCTATCAAAGCTGAGGAATCTGTAAGAGAAGAGAGGGTGGCCAAAATCAGAGCCGCATATATCTGCATGGGTTTCTCCTCAAGTCTACAACTGCAGACTGCCAATAAGCAAAGAGAGCATCAGTGTATGTGGGGAAACTTCTACTATTACAGATGTAGACAGAGTTACTGAAAGAGAGGAGAGAATGGAGGGTGATAAAAATATTAAAAATAATAATAAAGACCAATTTTTTTCAAATTTGATCAAAACTCTCAACCTACATATTCAGGAATACGAAGAAACATAAAAGTCAATAAACATAAAGAAAACAAAATGAGGGTATGTCATAATCAGACTGTTCAAAACAAGTAATAAAGAAATCTAAAAAGCAACCAGACAAAAAGGATACATTACCCACAGAGGAATAATGAAAACAATGGTAGCAAATTTCTTGTGAGAAACAATACAAACAAAAGACAGTACAGCAACATCTTTAAGTGCTGAGTAAAGAAAACAGAAGAAAAACTGTCAACCTATAACCTTACAGTGTATATAAGATGTATGTATCTTTTTAAAATGTAGGTGAAATGAAGGCTCTTTTAGATATAAAAAAGCTGAAAGAATTAATTTCCAAAGGATCTTTACCAAAAAAAACTAGCAAAAGAAGGTTCTTAGGCATACAAAATATACCAGATGGAAATCTACAACTATATAAAGTAATCAATAGCAACAGAAGTGGCATATATGTGAGTAAATGAAAAGTACTATTTTTTTATTTTAAATCTCCTCAAAGATAATCAAAAACAAAAATGAAAACGGTATTCTAGAATTTATGACGTATGTAAAGTAAATGTAAAACAAAAATAGAATAAAGGTTTGGAGAGACAAGAAGGAAGGAAGACTTAAATGACAATTTTGACCAACTGCTGGAGTCAGTGTGGACTAAAATGAATACTTCCAGGGTCTAAAGTCTTGGAGGAGCTGCCACAATTATATCCAGAAACCCCACTAGGTTCTCACATTGAAATCTCAAAACAGTTTTCTAATTTTGGGGGTAAGGGAAGAAAAAATTAGCCATTTCAAATACACCCAAAGCATTATCTCCATAAGAAGCCTAATCTAAGAGGAGAGAAAACTTTACAATAGCCTTAACTTAAAAAAAAAAAAAGCAAGATACAGATGCAAATGTTATTTTAAAAGTTATTCTGAGAGACTGAAAAACAACAAGGAGATCAAATGAGGACAGTACAGTAAAATAAAACCTCAGGCATTCATATGCGTACTGAGGATAAATACATTAGTTCTCGTAACCAGTATCCCAACTGCTAGCCAGATAAATGTAGAACCTCACAATAAAGACCTGTTTAGCTCAGTTCTTACTACAAGTTCAGCATTTTCAACACCCAACCAAAATTACAAGGCATATTAAAAGGAAGAAAAAACACAATCTGAAAAGACAAAGCAAACATCAAAATTAAGTTACAACGAAGCTTGTGAAGTGATCGGATAGGAAGTTTAAAATAAATAATAAGGTGTTCAATTGAAAAATTAGACGGCATGAAAGACAGGTGTTTTCAGCAAAAAAAATTTCCTCTAAGAAATAATCAAAAGAAAATGCTAGAAAATAAAAACATAGTAAATGTGTGCCTTTGATAGGCTCATCAGTATCCTGAACATATATAAGAAAAGAATCATTGACTTGAAGAGAAGCCAAAGGAAATGCCCAAAGCTGAAATAGAAGGAGAAAAAAGAATGAAAAAGAAAAGGACCAGAATCTCCTAGAACTATGCAATAATTTAAAAAGGAGTAGCATAAATGTAATGGATTACCAGAAGAGTATAAAGATAGAAAGGAGACGAAGAAATACTTGAAGTAATAATGGCTGAAAGAATTCAGTAACAATGTAGGAAAACACACCACAGATATAGGAAGTTCTGAGATTACCAAGCAGGATAAATACCAGAAAATCTACACCTAGGCATGCCATATTTAAACTGCGTGAAGCCAAATTCAAAGAGAAAATTTTAAAAGAAGCCTAAGCAGAAAATAAACCTTATCTGTAGAGCAACAAAGATACAAATTACAGCAAACGTGTCAGAAACCAGGCAAGACAGTAGAATAAAATATAAAAAGTAAGAAAACATCAACCTAGAATTCTATATCCAGCAAAATTGTCCTTTATAGGTAAAAGAAAAATAGAGACTTCATCCGTAGAAGTCTTTTCAGTAAAGCTAAAACAAGGTTCATTTTGTTTTTTGTTTGTTTTTTCTTGAGACAGAGTCTCACTCTGTCATCCAGGCTGGAGTGCAGTAGTGTGATCTCGGCTCACTGCAACCTACACCTCCCGGGTTCAAGTGAGTCTCTTGCCTCAGCCTCCCAAGTAGCCAGGATTACAGGCGCCCACCACCACACCTGGCTACTTTTTGTATTTTTAGTAGAGACAGGGTTTCACCATCTTGGCCAAGCTGGTCTTGAACTCCTGACCTCGTGATCCACCGCTCACAAAGAAAAAGGTACAGGTCACAAACTCTGATCTACAGAAGAAAAGGAGATTGCTGGCGTAGGAGTATATGAAGGTATATAAACTCTTTTATTTTTCCTATTCCTAACTAACCTATAGATAAGTATTTAAAACTATAATAGTAACATTAAATTTTGTGATTATATCATATAGATAAGTAATATGAATACCTGCACTATCTGTGAGCAGTATAATACGATTTTTAAAAATCGATTAGCTGTGAATGGATATCGCATACTCTAGGGAAACTACTAAAACACATCTTTTATATAGAACTATAATTGGTGTGCTAAAAAAAGAGAGAAAAAGTAATGATAGAAAATTATCATTTAAGACCAGGTAAATCAGATAGAGATGATAAAAAGGAAACAAAGAAAAAGTGCAACAAACAGAAAATAATTACAGGCGTGGTAGATACTATTCCAACTATATTAACAATCAATGTATCTATGAATGCTTGAAATACACCAATTAAAGATAGACATGGTCAGAGTGAAAGAAAAAAATATATTGTCTAGAGGAAACCCACTGTATATATAAAGGCACACATAGATTATAAGTAAAGGGATAGAGAAAGATACGTGATACAAACACTAATTAATAGAAATATTGAGTAGCTATATTCATTTTGGGTAAAGCAGATTCCGAACACGGGGAATTTTCAGAGATTAAAAAGGGCATTATATAATGATAAAGGAGTCAATTGTCCAACAAGACATAACAATGATTACGATGTATGCACCTAACAACAGCATGCCCAAATATGTGAGACAAAACTGATAGATCTGCCAGGAGAAATAAACAAATCCACTATTACAGTTGGAGACTTCAACATCTCTCATACTATAATTGATAGATCCAGCAGGCAGAAAATCAATAAGTATATAGTTGAACTCAACAGTACCATTAATCAACTGTATCTAATTGACATTTATAGACTAGCTTATCCAGTAGTGGTGGAACACACATTCTTCTCAAGCTCACGTGGAACATTTACCATGATAGACCAAATTCTGGGCCATAAAATACACCTAAGCAATTTAAAAGAACAGAAATCTTAGAGTATGTTCTCATACCACAATTAAATTTAAAAAGATATTAATAATAGGAAGATAGCTAGAAAATTACAAAGTATTTGGAAATTAAACACTATACTTCTAAATAGGTCATGAGTCAAAGGATCTATTACAAGATAAATTAATAAGAGAGCAAAGTTGGTATAAAGCATATAGGAACATTCTATTAGCTTTGAAATTATTTAGTAAATCTAAAATTATTTTTTAAAATTAAAGCCTTTAAAAACAGATGTAGCTAATGGACAGATAAAGGATATAAAAGATGGTAAAAAAGATACTCAGCTAATAAAAATAATGCCAAATGCAGGAAAAGGGAGTAAATAGTTGGGACATATAGAAAACAAATGGCTAGGTATGAGATGTAAACACACCTATATCAATAATTATATTAAATGTAAATAATCTAAAGGCAGACAGATTAGACTGAAAAAAAACAAAATTTCACCACATGCTGCATAAACTATTAAATAAATTAAATTGAAAATAGAAATGCATCTACATAAAAATAATACGAAAATACACAAAGCTAACAGTAATCCATAGAAAGCGATAGTGGAAGTGGCATATTAATATAGAACAAATTAGACTTTAGAGGAAATAACTTTATCAGGGATAAAGAAAGTTGGTCCATAATAATAGAAGGGCCAATTCATCAAGATGATATAAAAATACTAAATATTTATGTATCTTATAACAGAGTTTCAAAATCAAGAAACAAATGTTATAGAAATGCAAGCAGAAACAGACAAAATCAAATTATGTTTATATAATCTCATACCTCTCTCAATAATTAATAAAATTAATTACAGAAATCATTCAGAATGTAGGGGGCTTGTATAATACTGCCAATTAATTTAACATGATTGATAATTATAGAACATTTCAACCAAAATTAACAGAATACACATTGTTAAGTTTACTTATTGCATATACCAAGATAGACCATATTCTGGGCTGTAAAACACCTATCAATACATTTCAAGGATTTGAATACATGTAAGATATTCTCTGACACAATTCAAAGAAAGTAAAAATGAGTAAATATAGCAATCTAAAAAATCATCAAGTATTTGAAAAAAATTACACATATTAACATAATAATTGGTTAGTAAAGCTATATAAATAGTAATTAGAAATAACTGAACTGAATGAAAATGAAAAGGTGACCTGTCAAACCCTGTAAGACATCTGAAACATTGCTTATAAGAAATTTCATAGCAAAATATGCCTCTATTAGAAAGAAAGGAAGGTCTTAAATCAATGACCTAAGCTTTCACCTGAAGAAACTAGAAAAAGAAAAGCAACTTAAATCCAAATAAGCAGAAGGAGAGAGCTAGTGAAAAAAAATATTAGAAAGTAGCACATCAAAATGAGAAAAAAAATCAATGAAATAAAAAACTTCTTTGAATAGTAGCAATGAAATTGATTAAAGTTTAGGTGGATTAATTTCATAAAATAAAGAAGACATTTATAATGGAAGAAAGACAGTATTACGTATCTTATAAGTAATATAGACATAAGAAGAATCATAAGGGATTATTATGAATAAACTGTATCAATTAATTTGACAACTCAGATAATATAAATAAATTTCTTGCAAACAATGTGAACAGATTAACAAAGCTCACTCAGAAAACTTGAGAACCGGAATAGCTGTGTTAAGGCAGACTTTGTAACAACTTGCATAGCCTTGTGTCTATCAAACACATTGAACTTCTGGTTAAAAGCTTTCCCACAAAGAAAATTCTTACGTATATTGTTTCAGTTGTGAATTCTATGAAATATTTAAGGAAGAAATAATACAAAATGAAACAAACTTTCTCCAAGAAAATTAAGAGCATAAATCACTTCCTAATCTATTTTATGAAGTCAGCATTGCCAGAAAAGATATTAAAAGGAAAAGAAAACATCAAACCAAACTCTACATACCAACAACCCTCATGATGAAAAAAGCAAATATCTTCAACCAGATATCAAACTGAATTCAGCAATACATACAAAGTGTAACAATACATCATGATAAATCATGTTTCATTTCAGTAAGACTGGTTTAACATTTGTTAATCAATCCATATAATTTATCAAATAAACAGAGTAAAAAAAGTTTTAAAAATTATCTCAATAAAGGCTGAAAGTACACTTGATAATATTCAACAGTCATACATGGCAAAAACCCTCAAATGAACAATGAATAAACAACACACTCATCCTTATGAAAATCACACAAAAAAGTCTTGGCATTTACATCACCATAAATGGTGAAAGACTGGTATTTCTTCTATGCTTAGGAATATTCTACAATATACAAAATGTGACATATATAGGGATAAATTTGGATAAGCATATGGAAGACATACATCTTGGAAAATAGAATTACTGCTGATAAAAAATTTAAAAGACCCATATTGATAGATGGGAAACCTCTTTATTATTAAGATGTCTATAATTTCAATAAGTTGTCTATTTATTCAAGAAAACTTCAACCAATATTCCAGCAGGCTCTTAGTAGAGATTAACAAGGGGATTCTAAAATTATACAAAAATGCAAAGAGTCTAATATAGTCAAAATAACATTGAAATAGAGAAAAATAAGAGGACTTACACTACCTAATGTTAAGTCTTATTTTAAAGCTTATAGTAATGAAGACAGCAAGCTATTAGCATAATAGTAAACATATTAAATACTTGGTATTTTATTCTGTAAACAAAATACAGAGTCCTTAAACTGACCCATAACCTATATGATCAATTTTCCACAAATATGACAAAACAATTCATTTACAAAAGAATCTTTTCACTAAAGAATGCTGAAAAGAATAAACACTGAGTAAGCACCTTGGCCCTTAAATAATATCACATGCAAAAATTAGCTCAAAATGTATCACAAATCTAAATACAAGTACTAAATCTCTAGCAAGTATTAAAAATAATAGTGAAAAATGTTATTAATAATGGTTTTTGCAAAATTTCTTAAATACAGCACAAAATGTATCAAGTATAGTAGAAAAAAGCACTAAATTAGATTCTTTAAATTAAAAATATTTTCAAAGCATATATTTGACAGTGGACTGATATTTATAATACATAAAATTTCTTACAATTGATGTCAACAGAAGTCAAACCATGCAAATTTTAAAATAGAAAAACTATTTTAGCAGACATTTTACCAAAGGATATATACAGATGGCAAATAAGCATGTGAAAAGAATGTTGAACATCTTTAATCACTAGGAGAATACAAATTAAAATTATAATAGACTGCTACATACTCTCAAGAATGGCTAAAATTTATATATACACACAAACACATATATATATGCACACACACACATTATATATATATATATATATATACAAATACATATAAAAATATAAATTATAGGTTAAGATGTAGAGAAACTGGACCTCTTTTACATTGCTGGTTGAAAAGTAAGATTGTGTGCTTTGGAAAGCACTTTTTTTCACTTTCATAAAAAGTTAAAGATATGTTCACCATATAGCCATTTATTCCATTTCTACAAATTTACCAATGGAAAATGAATACACATGTCAACACAAAGACTTTGGGACAAATGTTTACAGTAGTTTTAATTTTAATAGCCCCAAACTGGAAAGAATCCTCATGTTGTATAGTATATTGACAAAAAAGAAATACTACTAAGCAATAAAACATTGAATCACATATTGTTACATGAAATATCAGTGAATCTCTAAATAATTATCATGTGTGAAAAAGTGAGTCTAAAACTACTACATGTTTTTTATTGTTTTTATATAAAATTCTGGAAAATGCAACCTAATCTAAACAGACTAATGGTTGATTGAGAATGAGGAGAGTAAGGGAGAATTTCAAAGAAACATGAGAAAACTTCTCAGAAGGACATATATATGTTTAATAGCTTATGTTTTGAGGGATTCACAAGTGTTTACACATTTTGAAATACATGCAGTTTATATACATCCATTATATCTCAATAAAATTAAAATGTAGACATAAAGGCATTTTCAGTCATTGTGTGAGTATAAATTGCTACATTCTTCTGTAAAGCTATCTGGAAACCATAACAAAGGTTTTAAATAGCGTTTATTCACTTCGACCATTATTTCAACATCTACAAATTTAATGAAAAAGTAAAGAATAAATGTCCATGAAAAAAATTAGGAAAGAGTGCTTTGCCTTTTTATCTGAAAGTATAGCCTGGTTTAACCATATACACATAGTGATTATCTTTTTTAAATTAAATTTAATTTATTTATTTTGAGATACCATCTCATTCTGTTGTCCAGGCTGGAGTGCAGTGGCAAAATCACATCTCATTGTGGCCTTGACCTCTCAGGCTCAAGTGATTTTCCTGCCTTGAGTAACCGGGACCACAGGCTCATGCCACGATGCCTGGCTAATTTTTTTTTTTTTTTTTTTGTAGAGACAGGGGTCTCTCTATGTTGCCTAGACTGGTCTCAAACTCCTAGGCTCAAGCGATTCTCCCACCTCAGCCTCTGAAAGCGCTTAGCCTCTGAAAGTGTGAGCCACTGTGCCTGATCTCATAGTGACTACCTTTACAGTGATTGTGATTATTAAGATAGTCCAAACAGAATCCACTAAATTATACCCCCACCTCAGGACATAAACTTGTTTATGTTTACTTTAAAATATTAATTACCATTTATATCACAATCAATGTTTTTCAAATGCTTAACAGACATCAAAAAATTAAATATTTAAAAATAACACTGTAAATGGTACTGATAAACATATTTTCCCAAGGCAGTTACCAAAATATTGGTACCTTCCATAAATGTTTTAAGTACCACAATCAGGAAGAATTGTGTTAGGTAAGGATATAGTTAAAAAACTGTTGAAAGTAATTAAATACAAATATATATATTTGTGTGTGTATGTATACGTGTATGTATATGCATACATATACATACATACACGTATACACACACATATACATATACACACATATACATACACATATACACTCACGTATACATATGCACACATATATATGTATACACACACACTCTCTACATATACACACATATATATGCATACACACACACACACACATATATGTAGCAATAAATTATATGTTCTTTTTATTATCTCTCAAAATAACTTGTGGAATCCTGTAATGAGAGTGGGTAAGAGAACATTTTTTATGCTCGTTTAATTTGAACCCCTCCTAATATTGTCCAATTGTATAAATCATATTTTCTTCACCCAAACTTAGTTTCTCATGCTGATTTGTACTGAGATATTACTCCCATGTTGGTGAAAAAAATGTACAATGACACAAACATCAAATATGTTTTTAATCTCTGGTGTTTCAAGAGGAATTTCATTTGTATAATTCAGACTACCAAGCTCTTTGACATGAAGGTCTGGTCCTAAATGACCTGACATGAGGGTCAGATATATGAGAGTCAGATGGTGGGAAGAGAAAAGTAAGAAATGGTTATAATACTTAAATAATTAGAATATCGATTTGTATTTAATAAAAGGAAAAATATATTTAATTATTTAATAATACTTAAATAATTAGAATATCTAATCTAATTAGATTAGAAATCTTTACTTCATCTTAACAGTAAGAAAACACTGGTTGAGGCCAGGAGCAGTGGCTCATGCCTGTAACCCTAGCACTCTGGGAGGCCAAAGCAGGTGAATCACCTGAGGTCAGAAGTTCAAGACCAGCCTGGCCAAAATGGCGAAACCCCATCTCTACTAAAAATACAAAAATTAGCCAGGTGTGGTAGTGCACACCTATAATCCCAGCTACTCGGGAGGCTGAGGAAGGAGAATCGCTTGAACCCGAGAGGTGGAGGTTGCAGTGAGCCAAGATCGCGCCACTGCACTCCAGCCAGCGTGACAGGAGCGAGTCTCCATCTCAAAAAAAAAAAAAAAGAAAAGAAAACACTGGTTGAACTGATAAGCAACATCTTTTCTTGGGGCCATCAGAGAACTGAGGTCACTGGAAATCCTGCTACTCTAAAATCCTACAACAGATTCATCCAGAGAGATGTAGAAATAAAGATCAAATTGTTTGGAGCATAGGCACGGCTTCACATGGCTTCAGAGAAATAGATTGGGAATGTAGCAGCCAGGGAAAAAAGTAGGGGGCAGTGAGAAAAAGCTATGGAGAAACACTTGTAAAGAACAGCGCTCTCAGACACAGGCGCACTAAAGGACTGAGTTAATCGGAATTTTAGAGAATGCTTCCCCTCCCCTTCAAAGAACAATGTAACACTAACAGGCCTACAAAATTAAAAAGTATTATATATTACAAGTAATATATAATAGCATGGCATATACTATAATATGCAACATATCAATATTAGTATGTTATATAATATACACCATAGTATACACACTATACTATTGTATATTACATATTCTAATATGTACTATAATATATTAACATAATATGTCATATTAATTAATATAATAGATATACAGACATATATAATCAGAGTGGATTATAGCTGAAGACTGTCTGCGAAGTACATAATAAAAAAATAAATATAGGAGACAAAAATAAAAATCATAGAGCAGCACCTGGTGTTGTCAAAGAAAAATTGCACCGGATAAAATTAAACAGGAAAGACAGGCTTTATTTAAGATTATCACAATAAAAGAGAGAATTAAACTCTGTTAAAACAAAAAGCAAGAGAGTTTTTAAGCATTCAGGTGAACTAGTGGAAAAGTACTAGTTTTATTTTCTATTTAAAAATAAACTTTACTTATTTGATAATTTATTCCAAATAAAGTAGATCATTGTTTAAAAATCAATCAATGCAATTCACTATATTGTATCAATTGAAGTAAAGCAATCATATGACAAAATCTAACATCCATTCAAGTTATAAACTCTCATTAAATATGAATAGGAGGATGTTTTCTGAAGTTTATGGGGAATATTTAGAAAAAAACTGGCAGCTAATATTTTGTTTAATGGTAAGAGATGATAATTTTTACCTTATTATTGAGAGTCAAAGATGTCCCCTCTCATCACTCCAAGCCGACATCATATTGAAACCCCTAGCTAGTGCAATAAGATAAGAAAAATAAATAAAATATATGCAAATTGGAAGGAACATAATAAAACTACTTTTGATTCATTGTGTAGAAAAGACCGAATAATTTATAGACAAACAAATTTAGAAAACTCCTGCAATGAATAGGTAACTAGAGCAAGGTAATATGAGATACAAGGTCAATATGCAAAAGTCAATTTTTTGTCTACATGCCAGCAATGAAAAATTTAAATTTAAAATTAAAAAGGCAATACTATTTGCAATAGCACCAAAAAAAAGTAAAAATCTATCAAAATGTGTACAGAGTTTATAATGAAAAACTTCATAACTCTGATAAAATTAATCAAAGATTTAAATAAATAAGTTATTCTGTGTTCATGGCTTAAAATATTTAATATTTTTGTAATTCTTCCCAATTTGAATCCAGTGAAATCAAAATTCCAGCAAATTATTATATAGATATTGTTAAACTCTTCTAAAAATGCATATAAATATATATATAAATCAAAGGAGCTAGAATAGCCAAGGGAATATTAAAGAAAAACAAAACTGAAGATGTCACATTTTCAGATTTCAAGACTTATTGTTCTGAAGTACAGTAATGTAGGCAGCATAGTATTGGTGACAGATTAGGCATATAAATTAATGCAACAGATCAGAGAGCACAGAAATAGACTAAGACAAACAGTTAATTTCTGACAAAGGCACAAAGGCAATTCAGTGGAGCAAAGGGTAGTTTTTAACAAACGTTCCTGGAAAAATAAGCAAAACAGAGACAGACTGCCCTGACATAGACCTTACTTTGACAAAACTTAACTCAAAATGCATCATAGAAGAAATTGTACGATGCAAAATTATAAGCTTCTAGAAAACAACAGAAGAGAAAACCGCGTTGACCTTGGATTTGCTCCTGAGTACAGTAAAATAACAAAAGCACAATGTGTGAAAAACTAAGATGGACTTTTTAAAAATTGAAATCTTCTGCTCTGAGAAAATACGATATGAAAGACAAGTTAAAATTGGAAGTTAATATTGCAAAGCACATTTGATAAAGGACTTATATCCAAAATAGTCACAGCTTCTAAACATTAGGAAAGAAATCCAAAATATAACTGGAACTTAAAAGAAAATCAACAGTAAGAAAACTAATTGAAAAGTGGGCCAAAATCTCAACAGACATCTCTCAGAAGATATTCAGATGGTATGTTAGCATATGAAAAAATACCCAATGTCATTTCTCATTAGGAAATTGCAAATTAAAACATCAAAGTGATATCATTATACACACATTATAATACCTAAAATCCCAACAACATAAATATCGATTGCTGGTGAAGGTGCAAAGAACAGAAACCTCCCATTCCTTGCTGGTGGGAATGCAAATGACACAAGTTCTTTGGAAGACAGCTTGGCAGTTTCTCATAAAGCTAAACATAGTCTTAGCATATAATCAAGTAATCCTGCTCTAACGTATTTAACTAATTTACTTGAAAAGTTATGCCTGCACAAATAACTGTGAGAAAATGTTTATAGCACATTTATACATAATTGCCCCAAACTAGCAGCCATCAACATGTCATTCAATTCAGGCGTCGTGTTGTGCACCTGTAGCTTGTAGTTCCAGCTATTTGGGAGGTTGAGGTGGGAGAACTGCTGGAGCTCAGGAATTGAAGGCTGCAGTAGGCTATAATTGCACCATTGCAAGCCAGCCTGGGCAACACGATGAGACTCCATCTCTAAAGAAATAAAAATACTTAAATGAAAATGTCATTCAATAGGTGAATGAATAAGCATACAGTGAAATGCTGTTCAGTGATAAATAAAAGACTGTTCCATCAAGACACATAGAAACACAAATAAATTTTTTTTTTTTTGAGATAGAGTTTTCCTCTTGTTGCCCAGGCTGGAGTGCAATGGTGCAATCTTAGCTCACCACAACCTCCACCTCCTGGGTTCAAGCTATTCTCCTGCCTCAGCCTCCCGAGTATCTGGGATTACAGGCATGCACCACCATGGCTGGCTAATTTTGTATTTTTAGTACAGACAGGGTTTCTCCATGTTGGCCAGGCTGGTCTCAAACTCCCGACCTCAGGTGATCTGCCCGCCTCGGCCTCCCAAAGTGCTGGGATTACAGATGTGAGCCACCGAGACTGGCTGAAACACAAATAAATCTTAAATGCATAATATTATGTAAAAGTTGCCAGTCTGAAAATGGTGCATATAATTTCATTTATACGACATTTACAACTCCCCACTCTTGAGTATGTGCTACATATACTGACTTCCTTTTTACTATACAAAATGGAAATGGGGTGAAATAAGTTATGTACAATGGAGAAAATTAACAAACTGTATCCCAGGAATGGGATCGAGTAAACCTGAAGAATGATTAAGTAATGATGATAGTGTGTTTCCTGATATGATGCAATTAGAATGGCACTTTATCTCTGTGTGGTCTTATTCCAAAAGTCCATTATTATACCCTAGTATAATAATGAAATTTCTCTATTCAGGAACATTGTATAAAATGTCTTAGCATTTATCAAAACCTTCAAGGTCATCAAAACAAGGTAAGTTTGAAAAACTGTCACAATCAAAAAGAGCCTTGGAAGTCATTAAGACCAGTTTTAATTTTATTTTATATGATACATGGGATGTAGGAACAACAAAAAAGACACTGTGTAAAAACAAGAAAATGTGAATAAAACATGGATTTTAATTAATAATAATATATCTTCAATCATTCATAAAAGGTACATATATCATATATTGAAAGATTTAATAATAGAAGATACTGGGTGTACAATATATGGGCACTTTCTGTTATGATTTTCTGTAAATCTAAAACTGTTCTAAAATGAAAAGTTTATTTAAAAAACAAAAATATGTAACTCCGAAAGGAATAAGCTATGATACTTCCTAAATGAACCCCATGTTGAGGGCAATAAAATTAATGTGCAAATTGTTTAACGAAAACCTGAAGATTTTTTAAATATATTTTCAGTGGCTTTTTTCTATATCTTACTGCTTCTTTGAGTTCTAATCCCATAGTGATTAACAATCCTTAACATTAGAGAATTTTCTGGGAACCATTTCTTTAGCAACAGTACCAAAGATATGGTATAATGAAGAGTGGTGAAATAACAGATAATTATTTCTTACTTTTCAATTAACATGGGGAAAATTTTTTGGCAACATGGGATGTGATAAGTCTAAGTTAATTATTTAATCATGTTTCATGTCTATAATATCTATATATGATATAGATATTAATGCCATGGTTGCACATCCTTTTTTCTGCTAGCTGAAATATTTTGTCATAAAATCTGCTAATATATAGCTTTTATGCAAAATTTCCATTATATCTTGTTTTAGAAAAATGTAATTAAGGTATATAATTTATTTACTCCTTAGATAAATATAAAAATCTATACCAACCCTTTAAAAATATTTATATGTAATTGTATTACCTAATCCAAGTATTTTTCTATGTGTGACTCAAGTTTTATGCTTCACTCCTATTTTGCTCAAGCAAAATGAATGAATAGATCAATCAAGCAAATTATTCTTCAGAATGATTAATACTAAAGACAAGTGCCTAAACACACACACACACACGCATACAAATGCACACTCTCACACACACACACATAGAAACCCGCATGCAGAATCCTTAAACATAATTCTCTTTTAATTTATCTTTTGGAACTGACCTTCAATGATACCTGGCACAAATGGTAAATGGAAGTAAATTGTTTTATTATGTGTATGTTTATCCTGTCATCTAGAACTACTCTTTCAAGACTTTGCTCATATGAGACAATTTATAAGTAGGGCTTTTCCCACTTTTTTCTGTAAGCTATGTCTTTTCTACCAGATCCCATTCTCCACTTGAGGAATGAGGAATCCTTAAAAAAAAAAAGTATAGCAGTAGGTGGTGCATCAGAGTCAGTTTGGGGACATTTGTTTCCTTGCCTGTTATGCCTGAACATCTAAGAGGATCATATTTATGCCACTCTACTGAAGTTTTATGAGTCTGTATAACAGTGGTACATAGTTGAAATTGATTCAACACATTTCAAAGTGGGAAAATAAAAACTTTATGTTAAAATAAGAAAATAGTACAATAGAGCCATCATTTCTAGGTAACCCAAAGCAAGATGCATTCTACATGGATCTGCAAGTAATTTTGCAGCATAAGGAGGACTAAAAAAGAAGAAAAAGACACAGACATACATACATGCAAATGTATATTTTTTTTACATATGCCATACTTCTGAGGTTAAAAGGAAATTTCTCTGTGTGAATGTATTGATTCTTTTGCCTTTTGAATAGCCCAAGCCCTTTCAGTTGTCATTAGTGAATTGAGTTTTTGTGGGATGACAGTATATTATGTTTGAAAACCTATATGCAATCCTATGAAACCTAAAGTTAGACCACCTAGATTTGAATTCTATCTCATCTATTTACTATCAGCATAACCAGAGGAAATTTTCTCAAATTATCAATTTTCTCATATTTAAAGCTGAAATACAAATAACTTATTCATAGCGTCATTGCATTGATTTTCTGAATACAAGGAACTTAATGTATTGTTGAGCATAATATACATATAAGAAATGGTAGGTACTCAATATTATTGTCTACTAGTAGACTGCCTCTTCAACAAAATAATCAAGAGACTCATTTCTATTGAGAATCTATATTTGCAATGATAGGTACATTCTTAGGTAGGACTGAGGTTTTGGAATACTTGATCTAAAGTATTATTTTACCATAACAAAGCCATATCATTACCAGATAATAGGGATGCATAATGTTTGTGTCTACATTCTGAAACCAGAGAAGTAAAAAAGTTTCTGTCACATTCTTACATCAGAATGAAGTGATAGTAATGGAAGGTTACTGCAATGGGCATATTAGATTATTATTTGTGACTAGAAAAAGTTGTAAGTACATAATTGACAAACTATTTATGTGGTCGTTATTTTAAAAATGAAATACTGGTTGCGTGTGGTGGCTCACACTTGTAATCCCAGCACTTTGGGATGCCAAGGCAGGTGGATCACCTGAGGTCAGTAGTTCGAGACCAGCCTGGCCAACAAAGTGAAACTCCACCTCTACTAAAAATACAAAAATTAGCTGGGCGTGTTGGCGGGCAACTGTAATCCCAGCTACTCAGGAGGCTGAGTCACAGGAATCGCTTGAACCCGGGAGGCGGAGGTTGTAGTGAGCTGAGATCACGCCACTGCACTCCAGCCTGGGCAATAGAGTGCGACTCATTCTAAAATAAAAATAAAAATAAAAATAAAAAAGAAATACTATTAGGATGCAAAGATAAATTAATCACAGCCAGGAGTACCAGTTATTATTCAGGATTATTTGGCATCAAATCTTGCTTTGTCTATTTGTCAAAAAGGCCATTTGTCTAAAAATCTCTTTGTTTTAATAGATTATATTAAATATCATCCTAAATTTTATAATGCAATTTTTAAGATAGTAAAACAGTCACGTTTCTTTTTATTTCCAAGATGTGAAAATCAAGTGTGAGATGAATTATTTCCTAATGGCTTCCTCCGTTGTCCTTTTAGATCAACAACCTATAAGAGCAATTGTTTTGTGTGTTTCTGTTTTTATGTCACTTACACTGTGTAACAAAGACAAAAGCTTCTTCTCATATATACTTTCCTCACTTCAGATCTTAGTTATAGGAAATCAATTTTGTTACTGTTTTATTGTCTCTTTCCTGTATAAAGACAGAGATTAGTAAATGTTCATCTGACATTCCAAGGAAAAAAGGCCCTGATTTGTAGTGTTTGCTGATTTCTGTGGCAAAAATGCTCCCATCTGGCCAATTTCAAACTACCAACGTGATGTTCCTGAACTAGGAGTTCAAAAAAGATGTGCAAAATTGAGTTGTGTAAACTATTAAAATCCAGCTCCAGCACATTTTGTGTGTGTGTGTGTGTGTGTGTGTGTGTGTGTGTGTGCCTGTCTGTCTCGATATGCCAGGATTTGTTTCAGATAATGGGAAGAAAACAGACAAGAATATAAAATGTCTGTTTTTGTGGTATGTGTAATTTAGGGGGAGATACAAACATTGAATTAGTAAATGAATTAATAAGCCCAATGATTTCCAAAACACTAAGCAGGGAAAAAAAATAATACAAAGATATGTTGGAGAGTGACTTGGGGAATTTGATGGTCAGGATAATTCAGACAGTTGTGTCAGTAAATCTCTTTTTAAAAAAGGGGCATTTGAACTGAAACATATATTATATCAAGGAAAAACCTTACAAAGTATTGCGAGCAGTATGCTCAAAACTGCCCTGAGGTAAGAACATGCTTGGTGTGCCTGAGGAGCAGATATAAGCCCAATGTGACAACTGGGAAATGAGCAAGGTGAGATGTAAAAGATGAGGTCAGAGAGATAGGGTACATTATGTAAAGCCCAGTTGTGTATGACACTACATCAGAATTTTAGTGTTACAGGCCATAGTGTATTAGAACCGAACATTTGCCTCTAGAGGAACAGTTTTAGGCAGAGACTTCAGAAAAGTATGAGGATGTCTGTACTTGGCATTGAGAGAGTCAGCAAGTTAACATAGAAGCCCTTCATCTCAGTAACATTTTGACTTTGAAGCACTGCTATGGAAGTCTTCAGATTTTGATGAGCAGGCAAAAGTTGCATTTTACATTCAAGATTAAAAATTAGGACTTTTCCAATTGCTATGGACAAATTATACACCGTATCAAGATAATGAATATCAGTGACTTGCATTTGTCCACATGTTGAGATTTTCAGTAACTTTTCTCACTATTTATTTTCTTGTATTAACATAATTATTCTATGAGATAGTCAGGTATTTCTTATTATTCAAAATTAAAGTGTAGAAAGTGAGAGTCAAGGAATTCTGGTGACTGGACCATGCCTGACACAACTTTAATTCTTATCTTTTCTATTTTGTTCCCATGTTAATTATTGCTTCCATAATTTTTATTTATTTGAGATATCCTAATTATTTTTTGAGTGTTATTCATCTCATTAAATATAAATTAATGAAATTTAACAAGCCATTAAAAATAGATTCAATTGTCATATTTAAAGCTTTAAGTCATAGTGTAGTAGCTTTTCCTCATAATACCCTACTTCTTTGTCCTATTATCTCTGTGAATTTTGGATCTGTAAAGATCCATAAGTCCTATTTAAATTATGAGAGCCTGTTCAAATATTAACATGATCTCAGAGAGTATTGAGTTATAAAATATATAATATATAATACATAGTATGGTATAAAAACAACAACTTTTTTTCCTCGATCCTCAGTTTGATGTATGTTATTTTCGAAGAATTTTATTTCAGTTTAGAAGTAGCCTTCACTAAGAAACTTATTAATGTCACTTTGATAGCTCTGTCCCATGCTTTAATATTTCAATTAGATAACATATAATTAAGTTATCTTAACTGTCTTTCAAAGAAATAGAGAGCTCAAAAACTTAGTGCATTAATGGAAATAATTTAAGAATTATGGAGGAATAAACTTGAAAAAATTTAAATGTGAATAATTTTAAGTTACTTAATTTATAATACTTGATAGAGTTTACAAAACTGATATTGTCAATTTATTATGTACCTATATTTAGTCTTCACGAAATATACACGAAATGAATAATTCAGTAGCATAAAAACATTTATTACCACCAGAAGAAGAAGGACTTTTTGACTGTCCACTGCTGCCCAGGCCTACATACAACAACTCCTTCTTAGCTCCTCTTACCTTTGGGAGTTGGAGTTTGTAGTCTGATTTGTCAAAGTTAAGGTCATCTTATAGCTATTATGGTACTTTGATTTTCATTCAGAGATTCTCCCTTATGTGTAGATTTCCCTTGAAAGCCCTGTAGAAAAGTGATATAAATGGTAGGCTAAATTTAGCTATCCTTAGACCCCTGGCCTTCATGCCATTATAATAGCACAAAAAGAAACCCGGGACTCTTTGAATTATTTACATCCTCATAATTATGGTGTTAAGGGGGATAGTTACAAAGATGGAGGACAGTTTACCTGCCATCAAGAAGTTCATAGTCTTACATAGGAGACACTCATATAAATAATGAAATCTTGTTCCATAGGGACAAAAATATAGGGGAGCATATTTGATTCTGCTCTGGTGTATAAAGCAGGAAAATTTTTCATGGAATGTGATATTTGACTTTGACCCTGAAGGGCAAATTAATTTATTTCTAGATGTAGAATAAGAAAGCACATAATAGGATTTAAGAAGCAAGCTTGAGTAAGTATTTGAATGTCCATGACTAAAATAATCAGATAGTTAATATAAGGGTTGGGACAAGAAGTGAAGATGAAATTTTAAAAAAATGCTTTATATAGGTAAGAAACAAGATTGGGATAACCATAATGTCTTTGAATTGAGAGGGAAGAGTGAGGTGAAGAAACTCAAGTGTCTCTTTGTGGATAGAGATCATGTTGGGCCTCAAATGGGAAATGAAAGTAGATAAACATATTTGGAAGGTGAGTTATGAGAAACTTTTAGAGATTGGTTTGAGGAATCAATACAAATGTAAGTAAAGAAGTATAGGGGACAATCGGACATGAATATATGTTGCTCAGGGTAGAAGGTAGGTTTTAAGATATGACTTTGAAAGCCATCATGGTATAGAAAATACCATGTAAGCTGAGAAAAATATATACTGACAATACACCTCCAACAATCTATCTAGTGAATTGTGGTTTAAAATTTCCCTTTATTTCTGCAAAAGATATGAATGCTGAGTTGAAAGATGGATAATGAAGCGTGGAAAGGATGTTGATAAAGCCTTCAGAGACTTGCTGGATGCTCCTTTCTGAGATTCAAGTGACCAGAGTCAGGCAGATACACAGGGAGGGACAGGAAATAGAAGCTTTAATAAAAATCATTATCTGGTGAAAACAAATGAGACCAAAGGTCAGTCCTAAGCTGAAAAGGGTGATCAGTTAGTATTTCTGAGTCTACTGTTGGTAAACATAATAATCTCACTGGAATAAAAAGGCCTTACCTCATGTAAATGTCACAGGAGCTCCAATACTGTCTGAAAGTCCAGCCCTTCATGGATACAGCGCACTCTGCTGAGCACACCACCAAAATCACTTGCTGCAAGCACAGACATTTCTTTGGCCATAGTATCTGTGCATGCTAGAAATGCAGAAATATTTCCCCTCTGCATTGCCCATATTACAGCTGTGTTAGGAGGACAGTTCATTTTCAATAACCAATAAATCACCAGCTTGTGTTGTTTCTAAACCTCCAGAGAGAATTATCTAAGTACAGTGATAGAGCAGCACATCAGTTCCGGTAAATGCCTGGTAGAACAGAGGAGGTACCCTAAAAGAAAAACTGAATTTCCTGCTGTGAGAGGTGGCAGTTATATCATTGTTCTTTGCAGTATTACGGTGCATGGTAGAGCGTTTTATTTCCTTTACTTTAATTTCAGGTTACTCCCATATCATATAATGTTAACACTAGCTACTGTATTAGTCCATTCTCACATTGCTATAAAGACATACCTGAGACTGGTAATTTATAAAAAAACATTAATTGGCTCACAGTTCTGCAGGCTATATAAGCTTCTGCTTCTGTGGAGGCCTTGGGAAACTTACAATCACTGCACAAGGTGAAGGGGAAGCAGGCATGGTCTTCACTTGGCCAGAGCAGGAGACAGAGAGAGAGCAAAGGGTGAGGTGCTATACATGTTCAAACAACCAGATCTCTTGAGAATGCTATCACAAGAACAGCAAGGGGGAAGTCTTCCCCATGTTCAAACACCTGCCACTAGGCCCCTCTTCCAGCACTGGGAATTACAATTTGACCTGAGATTCAGGTGGGGACACAGAGCTCAATCACATCATTCTGCACCTGGTCCCTCACAAATCTCAAGTCCTTTTCACATTTTAAACACAATTATGCCTTCCCAACTGTATTAGTATGTTTTCATGCTGCTGATAAAGACATACCAGAGACTTGGAAGAAAAAAAGAGGTTTAATGAACTTACAGTTCCACACTGCAGGAAAGGCCTCACAATCATAGCAGAAAGCAATGAGGAGTAAGTCACATGTTACATGGGTGGGAGCAGACAAAGAGAGAATGCTTGCTCAGGGAAGCTCCCTTTTTTATAACTATCAGATTTCATAAGACTTATGAAATAACTATCAGATTTTTATAACTATCAGATTTCATAAGACTTATTCACTATCACGAGACCAACATGGGAAAGACCTGCCTCCATGATTCAATTACCTCCCACCTGTCCCTCCCACAACACACGGGAATTCAAGATGAGATTTGGGTTGCGACACAGCCAAACCATATCACCAACAGTCCCCAAAATCTTAATGTATTCCAGCATTAACTCAAAAGTCCAAGTCCAAAGTCTAATCTGAGACAAGGCAAGTACCTCTGCCTATGAGCCTATAAAATCAAAAGCAAGTTATTTACTTCCAAGATACAATGGGGGTATAGGCTTTCAGTAAATATTCCCTTTCCAAAAGGCAGAAATAAGCCAACAGAAAGGGGGCTACCGGCCTTATGCAAGCCTGAAACTCAACAGGGAAGTTATTAAATCTTAAAGCTTCAAGATAACCTTCTTTGACTCCACATCTCACATTCAGACCACACTGACACAAGAGGTGGCTTGCAAGGCCTTGAGAAGCTCCGCCCCTGTGGCTCTGCAGGGTAAAACTTCTGTGCTGCTTTCAAAAGCTGGTCTTGAGTGCTTGTGGCTTTTCTAGGTGATGGTGCAAGCTGTTGGTGGATCTGCAATCCTGGGGTCTGGAGGACAGTGATCCTCTTCTCACAGCTCCACTAGTCAGTGCCCCAGTGGAAACTCTGTGTGGGGGGCTCCAACCCCAAATTTTCCCTTCACACTACCCTAGTAGAGGTTCTCCATGAGGGGTCTGCCCCTGCAGCAGACTCCTGCCTGGACATTCAGGTATTTCCATACATCCTCTGAAATTTAGGTGGAGGCTCCTAAGCCTCAACCCTTGCCCTCTGCACAACTGCAGGCTTAACACCATGTGGAAGCCTTGGCAGCTTCCAGCTTGAACCCTCTGGAGCAGTGGCCCAGGCTTTATTGTGGTTCCTATTAGCCACAGCTGGAGCTGGACCAGGACCAGCTATGATGCAGGGCACCATGTCTCGAGGCTGTACAGAGGAGTGGGGCCCTGGGCCTGGACCAAGATACCATTTTTCCCTCCTAGGCCTCCAGGTCTGTGATGGGAGGGGCTGTCATGAAGGTCTCTGACATGCCCTGGAGAGATTTTCCCCATTTTCTTGGCTATTAACATTTGGCTCCTCTTTACTTATGCAAATTTATACAGCTGCTTGAATTCTTTCCCAGAAAATGGGTTTTTATTTTCTACCCATGGCCAGACAGCAAATTTCTCAAATGTTTATGCTTTCCTTTTAAATATAATTTCCAGCTTCAGGTCATTTATTTGTTTATGCAAATGAGTACAGACATTTAGAAGCAGCAAGGCTACATCTTGAATGCTTTGTGCTTAGAAATTTATTCTGCTAGATACCTTAAATCATCTCTTTCAGGTTCAAATTTAATAGATCCCTAGAGCAGGGACACAATCCCACCAATCTCTTTGCTAAAGCATAGCAAGAATGACCTTTATTCCAGTTCCCAATAAGTTCCTCATCTCTATCTGAGATCCCCTCAGCCTGGACGTCACTGTCCATATCACCATCAGAATTTTGGTCGCAACCATTCAACAAGTCTCTAGTTAAGTTCCAAACTTTCCCTTATATTCCTGTCTTCTTCTGAGCCCTCCCAAACTGTTCCAACCACTGCCCATTACCCAGTTTCAAAGCTGCTTTTACATTTTCAGATATCTTTATAGCAATGCCTCACTTCTCAGGTACCACTTTTTTGTATTAGTCTGTTTTCACACTGCTATAAAGGCTTACCTGAGACTGGGTAATTTATAAAGAAAAGAGGTTTAGCTGGCTCACAGTTTTGCAGGATGTACAGGCTTCTGCTTCTGAAGAGAACTCAGGAAACTTAACAATCGTGACAGAAGGCAAGGAAGAAGCAAGCATAGCCTTCACACAGTCAGAGCAACAGAGAAAGAGAGCAAAGGGTGAGGTGCTACACACTGTCACACAAATATCTCATGGGAACTCTATCACTAGAATGGCAAGGGAAAGTCTGCCCCATAATTCAATCACCTCCCACCAGGCCACTCCTCCAACACTGGGTATTACAATTCAACACAAGATTTGAATGGGGACAGAGAGACAAGCCATATCAGCTATCAAGCTAGAGAATTTTTCTTTATCATAAGTTAAGAGTTCGTCTGGAACTTTTATTTTATTTATTTATTTATTTATTTTGAGATGGAGTCTGGCTCTGTCACGCAGGCTGAAGTGCAGTAGTGTGATCTTGGCTCACTGCAACCTCTGCCTCCCAGTTTCAAGCAATTCCCAGTGATTTTTTGTATTTTTAATAGAGACAGGGTTTCACCATGTTGTTCAGGCTGGTCTCAAACTCCTGACATCAAGTGATCCACCCACCTTGGACTCCCAAATTTCTAGGATTATATGCATGAGCCACTGTGCCCAGAAATCTGGAACTTTTCCTGAAATACTATCCATAAAATAAAAGTGACAATGTTGTTACTATAGTATTAACTAGGGATTTTCATAATACAAATGGTAACAGAAAATAATGACATTGTGTTTCCATATGTCATTTCACAAATTTCATAATTTGTCATAGTTTCACAAATTGTCATATTTTTGGACAGACATTAGTTAGCCTTCTCTTTTTATTTTTTGAGATGGAGTCTCACTCTGTCAGCCAGCCTGGAGCGCACTGGTGCAATCTCAGCTCACTGCAACCTCCACTTCCCGGGTTCCAGCAATTCTCCTGCCCTGCCTCAGCCTCCTGAGTAGCTGGGATTATAGGTGTGCACCACCACACCCAGCTAATTTTTGTATTCTTAGTAGAGACAGGGTTTTACCATGTTGGTCAGGCTGGTTTCGAACTCTTGACCTCATGATCTGCCCACCTTGGCCTCCCAAAGTGCTGGGATTACAGGTGTGAGCCACTGCTCCCGGCCTAGTTAGCCTTCTAATGTCAAATATAGACAGTTCTGCAAAGGAAACAAAGAGATTTGCCCAACTTTAAATAACAATGGTTTAGGAATACATATTACATTTGATAATTATTCAACAACTTCTTAATTCGAGGAAATAAACTAGAATTTATTAATAGTACTTACAGAACAATTTCTAGCTTTATCTTGCTGAAGGTATTTTAAGGCCATTTTATTTGTTGTTTTTCATCAGTCACTAAGTGATATTTTTCTGCCTGGCCCTCAAAGCAACATAAAACATACTGGCACAAGTAGTCCTGTTCATTGCTAGCTAAAAAAGGGAAGATGATAATGTTATAGAGAATACCCAGGGTTTAGTTTTCAAACAGCAAGTCAAGTACTTATACTTTTTATAATAATTAACAGAGTAAAAATGTCTTTGAAGGAATTAGGTTATGAATGAGTAATAATTAAGTTTACCTATATATAGATATCAATATGTTTATTCTCTGAACACTGAAAGAAAATATCTTTCCCTGGCTTCTAGTAAATTAAATTTCATAGCAATAATTTAAATAAAAATATTTTACTGAGTACAATTTCTGGAGAGAAAATGAAATATCCACATTAGGACAGGTGTTAGAAGCTATAGCCATTGAACAATTGCTAAATTGTATCAGGCCATCTTCAGCAAAATACACTGGGGTTTTCATTAAAATGTATGTTTCTGGTCTCCAACCCCTCCTGATGATTGACTCCTATAAGTAAAAAATTGAATATGCACTTTTTAATGAGCTGAGATTTGTATATGATTTTTATGCAGACGAAGACTTGAGAATCTCTGATATAAAAGTAGGCTCCTCTTATTTTTGGTTTGTTTTTCCTCCTGAATCTTTTATAATGCAATAAGTAGTAAGCATAAACCTAGGAAGACCATATTCTCTGTAAAATGAGACTATGTTAATCAGTCACGACATTCAATTATTAGGCAAAGGTCAACATTAGAACATGCAAAAGAGGAGGCTTGAGAAGCAGTTTATGTGAAGGGCTAGTGAGCTGACTTTGTATAAACTATGAAAAAGAACAAGGCACAATGAAAACTAATCTGATTGTAGTTTGCAGATGGATTGGGGTGTTGACAATAGGAAAAGAAAAGAAGAAGAAATAGAAAAGTGTTGGTCAGAGTGTGCCCTAAAACTTCTCAAGGAAAATGGATAAAAGAAAATACACCATTATCAAAGTTCACAAGTATGAGCAAGAAATGTTGGAATAAACATACTGCAAGTAAAAAAATTAACAACAGAAGATCCAGAAAGAGGAAAAGAATTGCTGAGAAAGCTTCTTATATACAAGAATTAAGGGGGAACACAGCTCATGCATCATCAAATTCTTATTCATTTAGGAAGGAAGTAGAGAGACCTGGAAAATAATTCGCTCTAATGTTGGGTGTGGAATGTTGTAAAAGTTATATCACTATAAGAAATATCATAGCAAATTAGGCCATTGAAAATGTGGCCTGAATGTCAAAAATATAATAAATGATATAATGATGTTTTGCTTCAGCAACTAACAAAATGCACATTACACAGAATAGTCATTTTGTACAGGTGAAAACTATGCTGAGGGCTTGCTACCCAGTCAGATGAGTTATAGAGACATGACTTGTTTGCAATAAATTACTTTGACAGGGAAATGCCTTGGCATTTAGGGGGCAAGCAATTAATCCTATACAAGTAAGAAGGCTATATTTTAAAGAACAGTGAGTAGGGAAATGACAGAGTTCCCAGAGCTAAATTCTAGAACGTGAATGCATTTCTACCTACTTCCTGCTTTAACCCATCCATAAATATTTGAAAATATTTTTCATTTTCCAATACAATTCAGATTATAACACTATCAAAACTGGACTACTAGACATGTGAACTGCTCAGCTGCAGTCCTTGTAGAAGAAATAGAATTTCACAGATGTAGACTTTGATTATCTTTTTGTGTGCTTTTGGTCATTATGCAATTTGTTGTGTGTGTGATACACAATAATATATATAATATAATATAATATAATATAATATAATATAATATAATATAATACAATACAATATAATATATGTCACAGTTCGTATCATTGTACCTGTGAGCAGTAACCAGACTGCTTTACAAAATCTATATGACATATATGAAATTAATGGTTGACTTCATTTTAAAAGATTAGTAATGTAGAGAAATTTTCAAACCTGATGTCTACTCTGCCTTACTGTCCGTGAAGATGTTTGAAATTGGTGAGTGTATGCAACTGACCATGATAAGAATCCATTTTACATAATAAAAGAATTGAAGTTGTTGCATTATAAGCATATATTATATGTATCACCAAAAGATCATTCTATTTAATACATAATTACTAAGGATTATGAGAAAGAATAATTCTGAAAAATTTACTTGTTGGACACCAGTTTAAAACAATTGCACTCTTTTGAAAAAGCCAATTGAGAACCATAATGAAGATTTTACTTAATCTTCCAATGATCACAATTGCAGTATCCTGGTCTTCATAGGAACAGAAAATAATTCTGGTATAGAGCTTACTTATAATCAAATCAAAATATAAAACAATATGGATGGTTAGACACAAAAGGTAGGGATTTGTTCTTAAGGCCATTCAACAATTACTGTTATGTTTTGATTATCTCAATCTGCCCCCAGGTATTTCAAATGTATCTTAAACTCATTCCCTAAAGTAAAAAAACTGAATAAATTATGTAAATCGTTAAATAAATAATTTTTTATGTTTGGAAGAAAAATAAGCAAGGATACTCATTATGTACTTACATGAAAATTTAGATTTTAAAATTCAGGCACTTAGCACTTCATTTAACTCACTTCATTAGACTAGGAATATAATTGTTAAAGAAGGAATGTTTTATTTATTTTTTATAATTTTTGTAGTACTTCACCATACCTATTTTGAGGATATTGTGAAAAATATCTATAAAACACACACTGAGTGATATTTACATTTATTATATAATTAACTAATGCTTTTCAGTAAACCTTGTATTCTAAAATATTTTTGGTTACGTTTTACAAAAAAGTAAGAATTACTTTTCTTGACTATATTTGAAGAGGGATTAAGTTCATGTTCATTTTTGATTACAGAACAATAATCCTTTAAAAACCACATGAACATACCCAAAACACACAACCAAAAGTAAAACCTTGAAGTGTGCTTTCTATTTTATTTAAGCCCATCAGGAGAAAATAAAATACTTTTTCTTTTATTACACAAAGCATATAATCCCAAGCCTTGACGGTAAAATCAGATACTTTGTGTTTCTCTGGAAAAAAGTGAGTAAAATAAAATCAGTCTATCAATTCAACATTATTTTAGAAATATAATAATATATAAACAATATAATCAGCAAATATAGAACTTCTAAAGTGAGTATAAAATATATTTTTGAAAGTGTGAAAAAAGGAAACGTGAAATGTGATAAATGAGTTAATATTGTCAAAAACTTTGAAAAGTTGATTTTATAATAGTAATGGATTATAAATTCAATAGTAAAATTACATTATCTATCTATCTATCTATCTATCTTCCTGTGAATGGGATATAGTATGCAAACATATTTGACCTTTAAAAAGATATTTTGATATTTTATCTATTCAAAACAAAACAAAAGTATTACCATAGATGTAAATGATTATCTTAGCATTTTTTTTTCATTTATATAATGAACTGTTCAATTTATGTGGTGTGTTAACTCTAGCAGAAAATGCTTTGGCAAGATGTATTTGATGTTGTAGTTTGCAGGACAGTAATTTATGTGAAATACAAATGAAAAAAGTGGCTTTATTTCAGATGAAATAATGAGTAGAAGTTGCTACTATAGAAGTCATATAGACTACACACACACACACAAACATATATATTATATATATATATACACACATATATATATGCCATCAAGAGATGCTCTATTGGCTTAGAATAAATTTTATCTATTTAACCAGTCATAGAAGACATTTTATATGTGACCCCTGCCAAAATCTGATGAGATAATTTATTACTGTATTTATGGAAACATGCATGTCCGTAAATATGCAGATCCTTGTATTTACAGTCCCAAGAGCATATTCTCACAATTGCTAATCCTTATACATATCCTTCCCATCCCTGCATTCTTCATTGAATGTCTCTTTTAAGCTTTAAGACTCTTCTTCAAAGTCATTTTTTAAAATTTTTGCCATTGATTACAGTTTAACTGCCCTATTTTTTTAAATAATTCCCTATTCATATCTCTGTCTAGGTGTTATTATATAATTTTGTGATTAATTTACTTTGATCCCACCCTTCAACAAGACAGGAACAGTGTTATGTATATCTCACTTTGTATCTCAGGGAAAGGAACAGAAGATATATGTATTCCAAAATATGTGAACAATAAAAATATATGTTTATTAAGCAGCACCTTTACTCCTTGCAATGTCTATGAGGCTGTCGATTATCACTGTCATTTTATAGATGGAGAAAATATTTATTCAAGGTCACATAAATAACTGGAATTCCTGGGATTTGGACTTAATTTTTTGATAATTTCCTAGTTCTCTTTATTTTATATCACATTAATAAATTAATCTAACTGGGGGGTTCCAAGATGGCTGAATAGGATAAATTAATCTAACTGAATAGTATTTTGCAACTTTTCTTTTTATTTTATTCATTATGCTACTGCTTCATATAAAAATAGGCTTTCAAAAGCAGTATTAGGGAGGCAACTCTTCCACATTTTTCTAAGCTATATACTGTTTGTAAAATTATGGTACATCATAGTTAAGGCAAAACCATAGTCACGGTTAGAGGCAGTAAATCAAGGCTGATCCACTTATCTATCTTTGATTTATGATGGATGAGCTCCTTTTCCATGGATGTTTGAGCAAAGTTGTTTCATTCACCCACAGATGATTTATTTTGGGTGATCTACTTGTCCAATGAAGATTTATTACAGAGGATCCACTATCCACTGTGATTAAATATGTGCAATTGGCTTGTCCAGAAGTAAGCAAGAAAAACCGAGACACGCATGTACATTGTATCCCAACCTAAATCACTGAACCTAAGTACGAAGCAGAAAAGTAAATCATAGCTGAAGAAATTATAGATGGCCCCTTTGTTATTATATATTTTTAAATTATTTTATTACTCTGTGTCAATATAGGATTATACCATTAGAAATATATTTTTGTGAATATAGGTGGGCTAAATTATTAATTTGAATAAAATCTTGAACAGATGCTATTCTAATTTATATTGTTCAGAAAATTTTAAATGGATTTTATAATTTCTGATTAGGAATCATTTGAGTCAAGTCAGTTCAGTATGTGAACTAACTGTTTTATCAACATGTATTAAAGCTTAGAGTAATATTATATTTTTATTGCATCTATTTTTCTAAATAAATCAAACCATTTAGAATGTTGATGTATATTTTATTTTTCCAAAAGCAGCTCACCTGTAGTCACATATTTTTCTCCAATATAGATAATTATCATAATTATTCACTTCATCCTGTAGACATTTATCCAATTATTAAAAGGTTCATAATCTCCCCTAAATGTTTAAGCTCACTTAAAATCTCTTTTTGTCTCTTTTATAAGATAATCCTATTCTGAATTTTTCCTCAAAAACTAGATCCTTAAAACTGAGGCAGAATCACTGATAACCATTAAGGTTGAGGCAAAAGTTAATCATTCATTCAGTCATTAGAAATGGTCGATAATTGTACTTAGCTACTTGTGAAAAATAATTTCATATGGCATGGGAAAAAAAATTCTTAAAAATATCTGTACAAATTGTCACTATTCTTTCCCTTTGTCTATCTGATCTCTTTATTTATCACATGAAGATATTAAGTGAGATTAGTACAATTTCTCTTCAGAGAAATAAAAAATTCCAGTTTTTTATATTTGCCTAGATAACTGCAATTTTATTCAAGTCTTATTCTAATTTACTTGCAATGCTCCATGTTATGGTAATCTATCTGTATTTTTTTGTTTGTTTTGTTTTCTTTTGTTTTTTGACACGGAGTCTTGCTCTTGTCACCCAGGCTGAAGTGCAATGGCACGATCTCGGCTCACCGCAACCTCTGCCTCCTGTGTTCAAGCGATTCTCCTGCCTTAGCCTCCCGAGTAGCTGGGATTACAGGCATGCCCACCACGCCCGGCTAATTTTGTATTTTTAGTAGAGACCAGGTTTCTTCATGTTGGTCAGGCTGGTCTTTAACTCCTGACTTCAGGTGATCTGCCCGCCTCGCTTCTCAAAGTGTTGGGATTACAGGCATGCCCACCACGCCCGGCTAATTTTGTATTTTTAGTAGAGACCAGGTTTCTTCATGTTGGTCAGGCTGGTCTTTAACTCCTGACTTCAGGTGATCTGCCCGCCTCGCTTCTCAAAGTGTTGGGATTACAGGCATGAGCCACCACGCCCGGCCCTCTATCTGTAATTTTTATGTCTATATGTATATATTGATGTATGTATCTTATTGGAATTTATATCCACGTGTGTATCTATCCATTTTTTATTTCTATTTTATTTTATTTTATTTATTTTGAGACGGAGTCTCAATCTATTGCCCAGGCTGGAGTGCAGTGGTGCCATCTCGGCTCACCGCAACCTCTGCCTGCTGGGTTCCAGCAATTCTCCTCCCTCAGCCTCCCAAGTACCTCGGATTACAGGCACCCGCCACTGGGCCCGGCTAATTTTTGTATTTTTAGAAGAGATGGGGTTTAGCCATGTCGACCAGGCTTGTCTGGAACTCCTGATCTCAAGTGATCCGCCCACCTCAGCCTCCCAAGGTGCTGAGATTGCAGGCGTGAGCCACCATGCCCGGCTCATTTTTTATTTCAATCAGAAACGCATCAAAGTTCCCATTGCCCCACATCCTGACTAAGATTTGGAATTTTCAGTTTTCTGGATTTCAGTCATTTTAATGGGAACGTAGTAGTGGTTTTAATTTTCAATTCTCTGCTGGCACATGGTGTTTTCTACCTTTTCATATGTTGATTTGTCATTTGACAATCTTCACTGGTGAGATATCTGTTCAGATCATTTGCCAATATTTCATAGTGTTTAATTTCTTATTGTTGAGTCTTAAGATTTTTTTGTATATTTTAGATAACAGTCTATTATCAGATATGTGTTTTACAACTATTTTCTTTTTGTCTTTGCCTTGTACTTTCAGTCTGAGCAGTGTCTTTGGCAGAAAAAAGTTTTTAAATTATCATCAAGTTCACTTTATAAAATTTTTATTATGTAAATTATGGCTTTGGCGTTGTATCTAAAATGCCATCACTGAACTCAATGTGATCAAGATTTTCTCTTATGCTATATTCTGAAAGTTTTATAGTTTTGTGTTTCACATTTAAGTCTATGTAAAATGTATAAAGTTTGATTCTTTTTGTGTCTATTTTGAGCTATATATTCTCTTCCATGGATCTATTTGCCCATGCTTTTGCAAATACCACACTGTGTTGATTATTGTAGTTTTATAATAAGTCAAAGTCAGTCATTCAAGTTTGTTCCCCTCCAATATTGAGTTGGTTATTCTGCATCTGTTACCTTTCTTTATACACTTTGAATCAGTTTGTCAGTATCTCCAAAGAAACGTACTGAGATTTGGAGGGAACTCCATTGAATCTATGAAGTTTGGAAGACCTGACATCTTCATGATATTGAGTTATTCTATCCACGTGTATGAAAAATATCTCCAATTATTTGGTTCCTACTTTTCTTTCATCAGAGTTTTGAAGTTTCCCTCATATGGATTTTGAAGTTTTTTTTTTTTTTTTTAAGATTCATACTTGACTACTTTTTTTGTGCTGATGTAAGTGGTATTGCATGTTTTCCTTCAAATTTCACTCTTTTATTGCTGGCATATAAAAATGCAATTGAGGCCGGGCGCGGTGGTTCACGCTTGTAATCCCAGCACTTTGGGAGGTTGAGGCGGGCGGATCACGAGGTCAGGAGATCGAGACCATCCTGGCTAACACGGTGAAACCCCGTCTCCACTAAAAATAATAATAATAAAAAAATCAGCCGGGCATGTTGGTGGGCCCCTGTAGTCCCAGTTACTCCGGACGCTGAGGCAGGAGAATGGCGTGAACCCGGGAGGTGAAGCTTGCAGTGAGCGAAGATCACCCCACTGCACTCCAGCCTGGGCAACAGAGCGAGACTCTGTCTCAAAAAAAAAAAAAATGCAATTGAATTTTGTCAAATTTCTTTTATTCTCCAAACTTGTATAACAGCTTATGACTTCCAGGATTTGTCTTTGTTAATTATTTTGGGTTTTCTACAGATGATCATCTCATCTTCGAATGACATAATTACACTTTTGGTTCACTTCTCAATAATTACACTTTTGGTTCACTTCTCAATAATTACACTTTTGCTTCAAATGCTGCACTTTTTGCTTCATCTAGGACTTCCATTACAATGTTGAATAAGAGCGGTGACTTTGGAGGACATTTTTGCCTTGTTCCTGATCTTAATGGGAAAGTACCTAGTTTCTGTCTATTAAGTATGATGTTAACTATAGGTGTTTTATAGATATTGTTTATGAAGTTAAAGTTCATAGAAGTTTCCCTCTATACCTAGTTATCTGAGAGTTTTTATTACCAATGGGTGTTGGGGATTTTGTTGTTGTTGTTGCTGTTGTTGTTTTGTTTTGAGATGGAGTCCGGCTCTATTGCCCAGGCTGGAGTGTAGTGGTGTGATCTCAGCTCACTGCAAACTCTGCTTCATGTGTTCAAGCGATTATCCCACCTCAGCGTCCGGAGTAACTGGGATTACAGGTGCACACCACCAAACCCAGCTAATTTTTCTGTTTTTGTAGAGATGGGGTTTCAACACGTTGGCCAGGCTGGTCTCGAACTCCTGACCTTAAGTGATCCACCTGCCTTGATCTCCCAGAGTGCTGGGATTAAAAGAGTGTGCCACTGTGCCTAGCTGGGTGTTGGGTTTTGTCAAATACTTTTCTGCACCTATTATGATCATATGATTTTTCTTTTTGAGGCTATTGATGTTATGGATTATATAAATTAATTATAAAATGTTGAGCCAGTCTTGCATTTGATTACAATTCAATTGGTAATGGTGTATAACTATTTTATGTATTGTTAGATTAAATTTGCTAATATTGTATAGATTATTTTCACGCATGTTTATGTTGTATATTGGCAGGCAATTTCCCTTTTTCCTTTTGTGTAATGTCTTTATCTAGCTTTGGTACCTTTTATTTTTATTTAAGAAAAAGCAACATTGTAGATATTATCTTTGTCTATGTTTGACTGTTTAAAATTGTGGCTTTATCAAAATGTAGTTTTTCACTGGTTTAAATTTATAGTTAAATAGGTTTTGACACAATAGGTTTTGTTATTATTATTTTTTAAATTTAATTAATTAATTAATTTATTTATTTTTGAGATGGAGTCTTGCTCTGTTGCCCAGGCTGGAGTGCAGTGGCACAATCTCGGCTCACTGCAAGCTCTGCCTTCTGGGTTCAGGCCATTCTTCTGCCTTAGCCTCCAAAGTAGCTGGGCCTACAGGCACCCGCCACCACGTGCAGCTAATTTTTTTGTATTTTTTAGTGTAGACAGGTTTTCACCATGTTAGCCAGCTTGGTCTCGATCTCCTGACCTTGTGATCTGCCCGCCTCAGCCTCCCAAAGTGCTGGGATTACAGGCGTGAGCCACCACACCAGGCCTAGGTTTTGATACAATCATGTAACGTAGCACTGTAATTAAGGTAAAAACATTTTTCTCCTTTCAACATGTTTCTTCTTAATTATTTTCATCTGCATACTCAGTTAGTAATTTACTCTCTATCACTATAGTTTTGCTTTTTCTCTAATTTCATATATGGTATATTGAATCCGAGAACAAAATAAGTCAGTCTTTTGTCTGACTTCTTTTATATAGTAAAAACTCTTTTGCAAAGCTGAATAGAATTTTGTTATATGAATATATCTGTTCATAGCCTATTGATGGATGTTTAAGTTTGATCTACTTTTTTGTTTGTTTTGAATTAGCTATTATGAATAACGCTACTTAATATTTGAGTGCATTTATTTGTGTCCGCATATGTTTTCATTTATCTTGAATAAGGACCTAGAAATGGAATTGCTGAATCATTTGCCAAGTGTATATTTACTTTTTGTAAGAAGTTGCTAACATAACTACCAAAGAGGTTGTACTATTCCTCAACTCCACCAGCAAAATTTGAGAATTCAGGCTCTTCATAAATACTTGAAATTGCCAGTCTTTTCCATTTTGGCAATTGCAATGTATACAATAGTATTATTTCATTTTGGTTTAATTTTAAATTTATTTTATTAAATAATATTATTGAGCTTTTTCTTTTGTTCTAATTGCCATTCCTGTTTCGCTTTTCTTAATGTATTTTTCAGTCCTTTATCTTTTTTTTTTTTTAATGAGTTGTTTGTCTCTTTGCCACTTAATTGTAAAGTATCTTTATTATTCTGGACATACGTCCTTTAACAGATGCATGTTTTATAGAGATTTTCTTGCCCCATTTTATTTCCTTAACCTGTTTTAGTTCCTCTTTACTGCACTATTACAATCTTGTAATCTGCCTCAAGGCAGAAAATCGGAGTAACCTAACTGATCACCTGTCTTTCTTTCCCCTTCTCTTAGACACCATATTCCTGCTCTGCATGCTGTTCACCACCTTGAAACTTTTGTTTGATTTATTTTGTACAGTTTTCTAGTTGTTTGTAAAGGCATGTCAATTTCTGTAACAATCATTCATGAGTGTAGAATCCCTTCTCAAATTTCAAAGGTTGATAATTTTAAATAAAAATAATGTTAATTGGGTATACATGGACACAAACATGGGAACAGTAGACACTGGGAACTACTAGAGCAGGGAAAAAGGGAGAGAGGTAAGGGCTGAAAAACTATCTATTGAACGCTATGCTCACTATCGGTATGATGGGATCATTTATACCCCAAACCTCAGCATCACAAAATATACCTATGAAACAAAGCTGCATATGTACCTGGTGAATCTAAAATAAAAGTTGAAATTATAAAACAAAAAAAATCATGCTTAAACTTCCTTTAAAATAGAAATAGTGATTCAATAAGTGATGTTGTGGCAATTGGCTATCCATTTGATAAAAGTAGTTATCTCCTTGCCTTCTGTAATTAAATCATTTATTGTTAATCTCAAATGGCCCCGAAAAATAAAGAAAAATTTATAACAATGTTAGAAATAAACACATAAAAATATGTTTAATATACTGGAATATTTAAGGACTTCTTGAACAAATATACAAAAAAAAGACATAAAAAGAAAAAATGATGAATTTGGTCATATTGATTTCTTAAACAGATATATTCATATAACAAAATTCTACCCAATCATAATTACAAATAATCCTTTCTTTCACTGTCAACAACATTCTAGTTTAAATAATAAATTATATGGTTGCCATATGCAAAAAGGTAGGTAAACTCATAGGAAATTTGGATGTATTTATTAAAATCAATGTGTCGACTTTTTACTTCTTTGCACTTATTCCATAGAAATTTTTGCATATGTGCCTAGAAGACCTCTAAAATGATATTTTTGTAAGCATCATTTATAACATTTGAAAAACAAAGTCAGAGAAAATGAAAACTGTGGCAGATACTTTCAGTTTTTTACCAAATAACCATTTCCTCATTTCCCTTGCTATATAAAAAAAAACAAAACAAAACTGTTTTTTCCCCTAGGTATTGAACATGTGTTCATGAGCACCTTCTGAGCTACACCTTCTGAGCCACAGCAGGAGAGGAGGGTGGGTGGCATAAATGTTGATTAGTCTGTTAATGATATTAATTTCATTCACCTTGATGGCGATTACTGTCAGTATAAGAAAGTAATGCCAGTATAGCTAGTGAGACCTGAGGTAAGTTTACTGAAGGTATTCCAGGAAAATAGCACTTCATGTGAATGCTGATCATACAGAAGTGACTGGTCATTTTCTACCTGTGAATATGGATAGGTGACGAGGTAATGACAGGCATAATTGCATTAACTTACAATGATGAAATACACCTTAAGAACAGTGAAGGTGGGGCTGGGCACAGTGGCTCATGCCTGTAATCCCAGCACTTTGGGAGGCAGGTCAAGGTGGGTGGATCACTTGAGGTTAGGAGTTCGAGACCAGCCTGACCAACATGGTAAAAAAACCCTGTCTCTACTGAAAAAAGAAAAATTAGCTGGGTGTGGTAGTGTGCACCTGTAATTCCAGCTACTCAGGAGGCTGAGGCAGGAGAATCAGTTGAACCCAGGAGGTGGAGGTTGCAGTGAGCCAAGATCACATCACTGCACTCTAGCCCGGGTGACAGAGCGAGACTCTGTTTAAAAAAAAAAAAAAAAAAAAAAAAAAAAAAAAAAAAAAAGAAGTTGGCTAAGTTGGCTAAACACAGATATAAATGGTAACTTGGGAATTTGATGATATAACAGTGCTCCTGGTTTACTTATGCTGGAAAACACATACCCGTCACATATCTTGCCATGTGAGATAATACCTTTTTTTTTTTAAGCTTCATCATAGATTTCAATTGATCCAAATGTTCATCTATAAGGTAAGGAAAAAACAAATTATAGTTTATCATTATGCAACCTTTCACTTAGGTAAAAAAGATTGAATAGAATATCTAAATAGGTCATTTTGTTGTGTGAAGGGGAAATACAGAGATTTTTATAAACTCACATCACATGTATCGATAATACAATGTCTTCTAAGATATATATGCGTATGATATGCATTTGCTATGCACGCAGGCATACGCATTTGATGGTACAGGGCATGCTTTGGATGAATATGAACTAAATGGACAACCGTGATTATGTTTAGAAAGGGTGGTGGGAACTGGTATGCAGAGTTGTTCAATGTTGTTCTTATTTGGTCTATAACTTAAAAAATATTTATTGTACAGAACGTATTTATATATAAATGCTATAATTAATATAATTACAGAAAATAAACAAAATATTTTGAATAAAAATGATGAAAACTTATAGAAATTATTACTTTGTAGAAAATGTGCTGGTAGTAGATTGCACATTTATAGAATGCTTCGGGCACATAATAGGGTAGGAGGAAAATCTTTTTTATGTGACAGTGAAGCAAATGTCTCTAATCTCATCTGTAGAGGCTTGGCAGTATACCCTGACTGAGTTATCATGAAAAAGAAGGCCTGCCTGACTCTCAGGGATCCATCAACCTCTGCCCATCATTAGCCTCTCCTTTGATATGCCAACATAAAATACCCTAGGCTACATTTATCTTTAATAGTTGAAAAGTTCAGGGTTAACATAAGAAGCAAGTTAGTGCTATAATGATTTAGGTACCATTTAATACACTAAAGCAGTAATTTACCAAATGGTACGCTAGAGGCTTAAAAAATTAATATATTTTCTAAAAGTGCCTAAATTAATCCCAGGGTATAGTTAATATACTGTGAGCCATTATTTCAATGTTTCTATAAATTCTGGAGGGATTTAATTTTTGTTATTAACTCAAGTGGAAAAAATATTTGTTTTACCTGTGTGAATTTAATTTTTAAACACTAATTGTTAATGTTTTATTAGAACTTTATTTGTTGGCACATTTTTCAAACTAAAAATTTGTTAATACTATTTAATTTGTGAGGAAGAAATAAATCATTACATTACCAACCTCGTGCTCCTTAAATTATCTTACAAGCTAGACGGAATCCCTACAGTTCAATTAATAAAAATTTTTTTAACCATTTTTTCTGTAGTCCATGTTGGAGTGCAATAGAGCGATCTCAGCTCACAGCAGCCTCTTACTCCCACGCTCCAGCTATCCTTACACTTCAGACTTATGAGTAGCTGGGACCACAGGCGTGTTCCACCATGTATAGCTTTTTTTTTTTTTTTTTGTAGAGACAGGGTTTTGCCATGTTGCCAGGCTGGTCTTGAACAACTGGACTCAAGGTTTCCACCCGCCTTAGTCTCCCAAAGTGTTGGGATTACAGACGTGAGTCACTGCCCCTGGCCAATAAACCTATTTTTAAAATTGGCTAATGGAATGTGAATTCTGCCACAACTTCTCTCTGGAAACTGCAAATGGATTGGTGGAAATATGGATGTTCCAAGTGGTTTGATTTGTATTAGGCAAAAAGACAAGGCCTTGTCAGAATAAAATAAAGAAAATCATGTATAATATAATTTTAAAACATATCCTTAACATTGAAAGGGGTGAATATATTACAGAATCCAAATTAATACAATCCTAATATTTAATAATCCTTTTGTGTACTTGATAGTATACAGATGCTGCCTCAATTATTTTGATTATAGAGTTTTCCATGCATCACAATTGCTCCATTTGTAATTTAAAAACACCAAACTACACAGACTATATAATATCAATAACCTGCAATGTAAACTTATATAATACCTTCAATTTTTATGCTTGGTTTTGGTAAACGAGTTACTGAGGAGGACTCAATTCTCATTCTACCAAATATTCTCCATGTCACAAGTAATATCACTCTCCAGCCTGCTAGTCTACCCTGAAGATGTTTGACTTGCCAGTTTTCACTTGTGTGATACAGTTCCCTAAACCTCTCTCTCTCTTTCATATCTGTGGATATATATGTGTATACATATATTTATATATTTTGTTTGTAATACATTTTCTCTATTTTTTCCTAATATATCTATCCTTCATGCCTCTTGTCTCACCATTCATAGTTAATGGAAACACACCAATTGATTTGCTATTTCTTGACATCCTATGATCTTATATTTCATTGTTGATTCACTTTGTTCACTTCATTTGTTTTCTTATTCATCTATACATACAAAACATAGCTTTGAGGAACTGCTATTCAATAGAAACTGAATGGAGTTCCATGCTTGGGAAAGTAAGCCAGTCATGTGATAGAAGGAATACATACTATCACTTCTGTTCATACTTATGCAATATGATAACCGCTAGGCTCATGTATCTAATGAGCACTCAAAACATGTCTAGCCAAAATTGAGATGTACTATGATTGTAAAATACACACTGGACTTCTAAGACTTAGTACAAAATAAAAAAAATTGTTCTCATCGTTTACTTTTTACTCTTTTTAATATGTTTACTAGAAAATTTAAAATTCCATATGTGACTCTTCTGAATTCTATTGGCAGTGCTGGGCTAGACCATCCTATCTTCTCCATCATCCACACATCTTTTCTCAGATATAATATTCTCCATCACTGACATGTACTTTCTCAGACTAATATAAGATTTGCTTTACTGTGTTCCAATCTGTATATGAATAATTATTATATTATAATTTTTCATAGTATATTCCAAATTACCATTTGACAAACATTATCACTTGAACATCCTTGGCAAGTAGTAGATACTCAAGAAATGTTTGCCAGATTCATTTTATTAACAAATAAAACAGTGCATATTTCACTTACAGATGATAAAGAGATCTTGTAGAAGTCTTACAAATCATTTTGTTTTTCTAGTTAAAAATATATTTTTACTATCTGAATCCTCCTTCTTTCTCTATGTAATGTCTTCTTTCTGTGTTTTCTTCAGACAGTAGTCTCCATTTGCCTTAACTCCTGAAGAACAATTCATGCTGTGCTAATTTCAAGTCCATTCATTCTGCCATTGTGTAGTTAGCAACTACTATGTGTCATGCTCTACGCTAAAAGTGGAGCAGTGGACAAGAGAGAAAATTTCCTTGCTCTCATGGACTTAAATTTGAGATATAGTACACATGATGAAACCAGAAAACAAATACCTTCATTAAAAAGTGTGTCAAAGACAAAAAGATTAGTAAAACAAGGGAGTATTTTTAGATTATGTGAGTAGGGATGTGAGCTGAGAACTCTGTAATGGAAAGAAACAGCTAATCAGTGATGTGAGTTCAGAGGTACTGAATCATGAGTAGGCCTGGAGTGTGTGAGGAATAGCAAGGAAACAAGTAAAGCTAGCATATAGTAGGTAAGAGTGGTAGAGCAGGAAACGAGGTCAGATGAGTGGGGAGTACCAGCTCAAGTACTGCCCTATGCAGAAGGCAAGCAGTTTGGATACATCTTATAAATGCAATGCGAGGTCATTGGAGTGCTTGGCACATGTGGGTAACATGATCTAACATACATTTTAAATACGTCACCTTTTTGCATAAAGAATGGATTTTAAAGCAGTAAGTGTAGCTTGCTAGAATCAAGGAGACCATTTAGCAAGCTGTTTTAGTAAAAAAAAAAAAAAGGGGAAGAAGTTGATGTCTTGGAAAAAGAAGTTTGCAGTAGAAATGAAATGCAGAGACTGTGGTTTTATACGCCAATTTCATCTTTGCCCTACACATAGTTTCTGGCACATTCTAAGCAATGATAGCTATTTTTGTTGAGTGCATTTACAGTGTTCCAAGGACCACTTAAAGCACCGTACACACACACACACACACACACACACACACACGCACACACAGGCACATACACACACACACACACACATATATGTATAAATTTCTATTCATATTTAATAACCTAATTAGGCAAGTACTATAATTATTGTTAAGGAAATACTGACAATAAGAGAGTTTAGCCAATTATTTTCTTAATAAATTGTTAAGCGTTGGGGTGAAATTCCTCAGGCATTTTGACAGTTTGAAACCATAGAACTACTCTTAAAATATACTATCACACTTATTTGTCAAAGAACTTATTGGATATAATAAATTTAAGTCTGAGGAGCAGATATAATATTTATATACTGTGATTTAGGCATGTAGAAATGCAGCTTCCCAGATTTCATGCATGCCTTGGAGGACAGGAAGTGCTATCTTGGCCTCTCTCTTCTGAACCAAGCATACCACTATGTCTGCTCTTCTTGGTCTGCCTCCTGTTTCTGTAGGAGTACCTGGTAAGCATTTGGTTCCCACAGTCAAAGTGGGCCACTAAGCAGAGTCTCCTTCAAGTTTTAAGTTCTTCATCAAAATAGCTCAGGTTTCTATATCCTTATAACTTAAATTTCCTTTTCCTGTGAACAAGATCCTAGAGGGTCAGATGCCTACATCCTCTTTCTGAATTATCTATCTATCATCTATCTATCTATCTATCTATCTATCTATCTGTCTATCTATCTATCTCTCTCTCTCTCTCTCTCTCTCTATCATCTATCTATCTATCATCTACCTACCTACCTATTCATCTCTATCGTCTATCTATCTACCTATCTACCTATCTCTATCATCTATCTATCATCTATCTATCCATCTATCTATCTATCTACTATCAATCGATCTCTATCATCTATTTGTCTATCTACCTACCTACCTACCTGTCTCTATCATCTATCTATCTATCTATCGCTATCTATCTATCTAATCTATCTATCTGGCATCTCTCTATGTATATATATTAGTGCATTGCATCTTCAAAACTTCTATATTTTTCCAGGTTCTCTCATTCCCATCCAAGCAAAATAACAACATTTTTTCCTTCATAAATGACAGGAATTTCCTCCATGATATATCCAACGTGACTACTCCATGAGTAAACATGCTTTCTGAATTCTCTAATTTGTGCATTCATGCTTTTTTTTTCAACTTTTATTACATGGATACAAATAAGAAAACAATAGCCACTGGGGCCTACTTGATGGTGGAGGTGGAAGGAGGAGGAAGATTAAAAAACTACCTCTTGGGTACTATGCTTATTACTTGCATGATAATTCTTGCATTGGAATACATTGGTTTTTTTCTTCCCCACTGAAACTCAAGACTTAATTTTTGAAATCATCCTGGGTTTTTGTCTTGTTTTATTTTCTCAGTTTAAGTAATATATGCCTTATCTTTAATGGCTTAATAGGTTGAGAAGTACAGGGCAAAACAGTAATAATTAACAACAACAAAGAGTATGAATAGAAGACACATTGGGCAGTGTTTCAAACTGTCTTTTATCCTTGCAGACTGTTTTGTGCCTCTCTTTTGCTGTTTTGCTTTCCATCTAAATATTAGAGGATTAATTAGCCTGTGTTCATTTGTATTTGAGATTTTCTTTTAATTTTTCTTTGTTGTAATTACTTTAAATAGCCTTTCCTCACCATGCAGAAAAAAAAAAAAAAGAGTGTATTGAATGTTGGGAAATGCTATTAGTTTCCTGAGATTAAGTTTTTGGATGGCAGAAACAACCTGCCTCTCCATAATTTGTATTCCTCTCACAGCTCACAACAATTGGATTAAAATACTAATATTGCCTGCTATATTTAATGAACAGGGAGAAAAGAAAGAGCATCATCTAATCTTGATGGTCTTCTCAATTAATAATTATTAAATGTGATCCAAGACTCTCTTCAGCTCTTCCCATAAGTTGATTCTCAGCTTGGAACATCATCATGGTTACCTACAGTCACCCTTCTCTGTAGTTTCTTATAGTTTTATTTGCACATAAAGCTGTTCATTCCAATCAGCCTTCTGTCTTTCAGTAACTGCTCAAAACTATATTTTTGGTGACATTTTGTTATTTTCTAGCAATGCAATAAATGTATTTATTTTGAAATACTTTTTTTCCCAAAGAATTAGAGATTGGAGGGAGAATAGATATATGTACCAATTTTGGAGTATTGATCCATTCTCAAAATAATTTGATTTTTCTTTCCTAAAACACAAAGTTGAAATTCTCTCTTTACAGTTTAGAATCCCTTATTGCCTGCTTATAACCCCCAGGGCAATAACCACATTTATTAACACGTCACTAGAAGGCCTTTATTATTATTATTTGTTACTTTAGCTTAAACTCTAATCAGTCTCATCCCTCCACCCTATGTTAGTCACAGTGGAAGATAGAGGTTATAATACTGGAAATCAATATGCCTCTTTTTAGCTTTCACTGCAGTATTTTTCACTTACTCTTTGCCTGGCTTGAGTTTTCTCAAGCTTTATGATACAACTTTAAAGTCAATCTAACACTATACAGTGAATTCTTTGACTTTCCCCTCAACCTAATTAGATGGCTTGTCTGTGCATTCTTAACATTTTAGGCACATATCTATTTCAATTCTTTTTATCACATTATGTTACAATTTTTCACATAAATGTCTCTCTTCTAGGCTGTTAGCTCCTTAAACACAAGCTATACCTTCTTTATCTTCATAGTTTCAGTGCCTGGTGTCTTATAATATGTATGCTAAAACATTACTGTATAATTCAATGAACCACAACATAGTCATGAAATATTATACAACTTTTAATAGTATCAGCAAAGGAGAGCATAATATCAGTAGCTCAGTGACAATTGATTTTATAAACACAGTATCTTTCCAAAGTTAATCACGGGAACTTCACTGTAGGCCAAACTCGACTTTGGCCTTCCTTAAGAAGACAGAAAAAAACTTCGATCAAACTTGAAAAGCATAATTAAATCACTCTGAGGAGTTATCTTCCCACTTGGAATAGCTTAGACATGTTTCATCTTTGGACATAAGTATTCCTAAAACTTAGTCATCTTACACTTCTTCTCTGGAATGTATTTGAATTCTTTATCCAAGTCTTGTTAAAGGAAAATGGAAGCAACCACAAATTTTAAGGTTTAAATTATTATCTAATAAAATGAATTATTTTTCATTGTTGAAGAGCAGAGTTTCTATTTTCTCAATGACTGTATATGATTTTTCTCTATCACTCAAATTTTAATTAAGTTCATCTGAAATCTGTGTTTCTATTCCTAATGAAATTTTGAATTTCTCATTTGCCAGCTAACCTCTTACCAAGGAAATGTGTCTTGTTTTCTATTAATTTAATATCAATCTCTTATGAAAACAAAAATTTTTAATGCTGATTGTTAATGCTTTGAATATTTGGAGATAAAACCCTTAAAATACAAACTATTCAGGGACAACATATTAATATTATGTGAAAGCTCCCTTCCACAGATCTATGAATAACATTTAAGTTTTAAAGTTACTAAATTTAATTAAGCAATTAATTGGCATTTCATGGTCAGAATGAAAGATTTCCTTAGGTTTCATGACATATAAGTTTTAGAGTTCACTGCCAGCCATCAGTAAAATTAACCATCTCAATTTTTTCTGCTAATCATTTCCAAAGCAAACGCATGATAAAAGACTAGAGAAATGCAAATCAAAACCACAGTGGGATACCATCTCACACCAGTTAGAATGGCAATCATTAAAAAGTCAGGAAACAACAGGTGCTGGAGAGGATGTGGAGAAATAGGAACACTTTTACACTGTTGGTGGGACTGTAAACTAGCTCAACTATTGTGGAAGTCAGTGTGGCGATTCCTCAGGGATCTAGAACTAGAAATACCATTTGACCCAGCCATCCCATTACTGGGTATATACCCAAAGGACTATAAATCATGCTGCTATAAAGACACATGCACACCTATGTTTATGGTGGCACTATTCACAATAGCAAAGACTTGGAACCAACCCAAATGTCCAACAATGATAGACTAGATTAAGAAAATGTGGCACATATACACCATGGAATACTATGCAGCCATAAAAAACGATGAGTTCATGTCCTTTGTAGGGACATGGATGAAATTGGAAATCATCATTCTCAGTAAACTATCGCAAGGACAAAAAAACCAAACACCACATATTCTCACTCATAGGTGGGAATTTAACAATGAGAACACATGGACACAGGAAGGGGAATATCACACTCTGGGTACTGTTGTGGGGTAGGGGTAGGTTGGAGAGTTAGCATTAGGAGATATACCTAATGCTAAATGAGGAGTTAATGGGTGCAGCACACCAGCATGGCACATGTATACATACGTAACTAACCTGCACATTGTGCACATGTACCCTAAAACTTAAAGTATAATAATAATAAAATAAAATAAATTAATTAATTAATTAAAAAAAGACGACTAGCTAGCTCAGTTATTCTATCAAGTTCAAAAATTCAACTCAAAGAAAAATTAAAACTGGCAAATGGGAGCATAATTTCTGATGTAAATGATACCTGAGATTACTAGAAATGGGGTTGTGCAGATGATAAACTTTTCAAGGTGCAAACATTATATGTAATGCTGTATGATTTTATGCTGTCATAAAATAATTATTGTCAAGGGAGGACACATTTTTTCTTCTTTCTGTACACACTTTTCTAATGCCACAGTCCTGGATCAATTATTATATGTACATTCTTTATCATTTTTTTGATATAGAGTTCAGTCCAGGTACAGTAGAAGTCTTGAACACAACAAGAGAAAAAGAATATAACACTGTATAACACTGATGATGGAGAAATTCAATGAAATATCGAGGGTCTAGTCTAGGCCAAACCTGTGTGTTGAGCAAAAACAATTTTATCCAGTGTGTACATAATAAAAATATCTAGCAGTTTCACAGTGCTTTACAAGTGCCCACTTATGGTCTAAGAACTTTCAGATGTCAATTCATCATTTAATTGATTTTTTTAAGTGAGAATTGAAATAACTATAATTTCAGATAAGTGAATTAACTCAGGTAGCCAAGTAAATAGTAGAGCCAAGGATTTAAAGAAGCCAAGGAGTCTATCTTCAGAAATAATGCCCTATTCTTTAAACCACACTCTCCTTCCAATCTATCGATGATGTAGCTAATTAGAAGGGACTAAGTTTAGATTAAAAATTTCTCCCTTCAATTCCTCCCTACTATCTAACTAAAATATTGAATAAAAGAAAGCAAACAAACCAAAACCAACAGCAATTTTATTAGATTAGTTGAATCTTGGAGGAAAACTTGAGAGATATAATATATAAACATTCAAATAAATTTATTTTAAAAATTAAACTTACTTGCCAAGTAAAAATTCAACAGGATCATCGGTAATCAGTACTCCTGTTTCTTAGTCACACATGTGAAAGATATACTTAGGCATAATAATTCGTTTAACCAATAAAGATTGAAGGAACTTACCTATATTTACCATTGTAACTACTAATTTTACTTCAAGAAAAAAAGTTACAATAGTAAACTGAAATTATTGAATTAAACATAGAAATGTTTAACCTTTTTTCCTCCAAGTAATATTTTTAATCCCATCCAGACGTCCATTCATCTATTGATTTATTTTTTTTCATCTAGAACAATGCTTTCCAAACTTATACATGGAATAGCAAAAGTAGAAAATGTCAGTATGTGTACGCACATGGGGTAAACTAGTGAAGATTTTGAAGCATCTATATGTACAAATATGTTTCTTTAATGAAAGAAACATTTTTTTCTTGGAATTATATAAAGAGGTAAAGAAAAGTGAAGCACACGTTTTTAGAGAAGATGTTAAATACTAAGTCAGTATACAATTTTCAAAATAATATTTTATTTTATAAAGAAGTATATTTGTATACCTTCACAGATCAAAAATGTTTTATTTCATATTTTATGCTCGAAATGCTGTCTTCAAAATCTTGATTATGTAGTTCAATAATAAATTTTTCAAATGTAAATTTTAAGCAGCAAATGGAAGAAAAATCAAAGTATAACTGATAAAACAACAACAAAAATTATTGTTAACCTTATTTCTGAAATAAGGTTTGATTTTTGTCAGTAAATATTAACATATATTTTAAGCAGTTATTGAACTTTTCATTACAATTAAATTTCCATCAATACAATTAAATTTCAGTCAAAACGGTATATTTTAGTGATTAGTATCATTCAAACAAATTGCAAATAGAAAAAAATTCAATTTTTTTCAGTTTTTTGACTCATAACTTTTTGATAAAATTCTACTTTTGGTCATCAACCCATTATCGTGTTTTATAAAAGCAATTTGTTAAGGAGCACTCTTGTTTTGATGATGTTGACACATACATGGTTGATTATGTCACTTTGGAAGCATTTAATATAGAAATCAAACCTAGAAGCCAGCTTGTATATAAGAGAACTCCTTTCCCTTTTTATGTTATCCTGTCATTGAAGCTTACTTTTACAACACACATACATATATGTTTATGTAATTTTTTAATATTTCATTCACATTCAAATTGTTGATATATCATTATACATAATTTATTCACAGTAACCTCTTTAAGAAATTATATAGAGAATGCACAATATTCTCCTCAGCCCCTTTCTTCAATAAATCTATTAATACTTATTGAGGACAATATATAAATAACTGTAGATTTATCAATCTGCAAGGAAAATAATATAAATTTAATAAACTTCAAGATAATGTTGACACCCTCATGAACGCATAACCAGTAATGTTCACTAATACTGTCATGTGAAAATGGCACCTTTTCTATTTCCTTTGATTTGTTGCTCTCAAACATGACAGTGACCATTTCCAATATAAGGAAACAAAAATTAAACTATTTTGTTGGGGCTATTAATTGTTCAACTTTGGCTGTTTACCGGAGCTGAATCTGATACTTTAGTTGCATCTGCATAGAATATTTGTAGCTAGCTATGTGATTTATTTTTATTATTTCTTTCTATAGAAAGAAGACATTTAGGCAGAAGAAGAGATGAATTTTCAGAATATAGTAATGCATAATTGTGATGATCTTCATGCTGCTTATTTATTGATTTAAATTATGTATTTTGACATGTTCTTTCTCTGAATTGATAATTGTTGATTTTATTTTAAAACTGTTGACTATGATGTGGAAGGGAATATCAAAATATTGTATTTAAATACACTTAAAATATGTAATAACTGCCAACCTTCATGACCAGAACATTCTTATTTTTACAAATATATAATAATTTGTATTTATAATAGTTTTTATTTATATAAAATAACCAATTTTATTTAATCACACATTTTGAAAATACTATGTGATAAGCAAAATGAGAAGAGCTAAATATTACTTCTCACTTATTTTAATATTAAAATTTGGCAAAAAATACAGATTTCAATAGTATTACCTTATAGGATGAAAACATAATGCAAAACATATTTTTGAAACTCTTGGTACCCATAGTACCTTAATAAATCACTAGTGCATAGTGCACTGCAATAAATTATGTTTTCGATTTAAGAAATATTATTTACTTTTGAAAACAAATATTAATGTATTAAAAATTTTATAAATGTTGACATCAATAGCCAATGATTAATAAATGCTTGAAATTAACTATTCGATAAAACCAATTTTGTTCTTTACATAGAAATATCTAATTCCAGGTAATAAAAATAGCAATCATAGATGATACTAGCTTAGAAAAATCTTTTTAAAAAGTTTTAATAACAATTCTAAATACTTACATGCATTCTAATGATAAAGAATTTCTCTGGTGATATAAAAATCTTGACAATAATGAAATCAGATTAAGTGGTTCTACTCAGCAGAGAGTCAGAGAAACTCTTCTTATAGGCCTGGACACAAGTCCTGCAGATAACAAAATTAATTACTCAATTCATAACAATCATAGAGAGGAGTCATCTAAGGACTCTTTTAGTAGACTTTCAACTGTTTAAAAGTCAATAATACATTTTAAATACCATCTTACTATACATGTTTTACACCCATCTTGGAGCACACCTCTAATCTGGGGTTCAAGTGTTCATGTACCTCAGTGCACTGGTGAGAATTCCCAGCTTTGATCATCAGTGACTATTATTTTCTGCAGAAGCCTAGAAGTAAATTCCATATGTGGTACTTTTTAAAAAATCAAAAATAATGTTTTAAACTTTTAATGAGATTTAAAAAAATAAATTTGCCACCACAGTAATGTAACAAATTACTAAAGAAAAGAGGCCCTCATAAAATCAGTAGATGAGTGGGATACCATCATGTGCTAAAGCAATTTTATGAAACTTCATTGCTTGTTTTTAAATCTTGATTCCCAAGCTCAAAATTATTATTCTCTTAGTATCCATTAGGTTTGATGTGCTGCCTTTTTTAAAAAAATAACTGATGGAAGACTTACACTGTTTGATAATTAGATCAACATATTTCTATTCACACATTTTGGAAAATAATAAAAATAAATTCTAAATATATAAGAAAAATATATTCATATATCATTGTATCACATAGATTAGATCATTACTTTTGTATTTAAATTCTTCACTTTCATTAAGTAAAAAGTGTCTCTCATCTCACTTCTCATGAAGCAAATGCTGCATATACTAACTGTTTTATTAGGGTCTGTATCTTTTAATTTGTATCTTTACTATTAATTTCAGGAACAAATTTTGGATAAACGTGAATGTTAATTTGTTAAAGTTAATAAAAAGATAACACTCTAATTTATTGACTTGCCATATTCTGTAGTATGTAGATTTATACTGTCCTTCAGAGTAAACAAATGTTATATCCTCCTATGGCATGTTTAATACTATCAGTTGTTGCTCTTGACCTTTGAATTAGAAGACCTTTCAAATGTTAAATTACCTCTAAACTAGGCATTCTCATAACTGGGTAAAACTAAAGGATAACCCGGAAATGTAAGGCCATTCTGTAGGTTCTGAGACCAAAATCTGTCTGAAAAAAAATTGGAGGAAAGAAAATTAATTCTAGTGAACAGTTTGCCAACTGGGTAGACAGCCTTCAGTGCAAAACAAAGCTATATTCCAGAGAACAAAGAGAGCATATGGGTTTTATAGCAAAAGTTCCTTCTCAGGTTCCCAAACAGGTCTGTTGATGCAAATGAAGGATTGAAACTATCTAAGTTCTGATTGGTTGGTACAGCTAAATTGTTACTGGTCAATGTAGCTGAACCCTGATTGGTTGATACATCTGAGCTTCGATTGGCCCAGGTAGGTGAGCTCTGATGGGTTGGTTTCCAAGCCCAAACTCAAATACCTTTATCAGATGTTTATTTCAGATGGTGGATAGGCAGGGAATTTCTGGCCAGAGTTTATGTTGGCACAGCCATCAGGAACTGGTTTAGCGCCATTTTAGAGAGGAAGGCCCTGTGATACATTTATAACATCTTTCTGAGATCCCAGAGTATGTGACTGTTTGCTCACCAAATCATGGCTCCCTGGTTCTGTTTTAACTTTTTGCACCTCCTTAGCCATGGGGAATTAATTTCCACTGTTAGCCAGAGACATAAAGTTCTGATACTAACACACAGAGTGGGTACCTGCTCCTCTCTTGGTTAGCCTGCACTACTCAGAAAACAGTGAACTAAGAGTTCCATGCAGGCCCTCTCAGAACATCCAATTTATACCTACTCCTCCTCTTTTCATCTTCCCATCACTTCTTTCCTTATAATACTTTTCCACATGTAACCGCATGAAAATTACCTCAAGATCTTGTTAAAATGCAGATTATTTTTAGAAGATTCATGGTGGGGCCTGATTTTCTGGATTTCAGACAAGTCCCAGGATTGGTGCAGATGTTTCTTATACTTTTAATAGTGAAGCACCAAATCACTTCTAAGCTTTGTTATTTACTAAATCTAAAGAATGAATAGTTCCTCTTTTATTATGCCATTATGGGCTTTTATATTTCTACAAAATGTTATGAAAAATATGGACAACCTCTTAAACTTTTAATAAAATAAGGATATACAGTCTGTCTTTTACATCTATGGGTTTTACGTTCATGGATTCAATCAAACCTGGATTGAAAATATTTGAAAAATATATCCCACAAAGTTTCAAAGAGCAGAACTAAAATTTCCCACCCACTACTGCATTAAATTCACATAAATGAGGTGATGTGTAGGCATTGCATGAGGTCTTATAAGTAATCTAGAGATTATCTAAAGTATATAAGAGGATGTGCACAGATTATATACAAATACTTTGCCATTTTATAGAAGGAACCAGAGCATCTGTGGATTGTGGTACTGGGAGAGTTTGGGAACCAATGCTCTTCGGATATTGAGGGATGACTGTAATCTCAAATGATAATACTTTATATCTGATATTTCACATGCATTTCTACTATGTTTCTTAGTGAATGAGCAAAACTAGTTTAAATTAACCAGGCATTGTTGAGACAATTATTTTGGTGAAATGGTATGTTGTTTGAATTAAAGTAATATTTCATTAATCTTTTTATTTTAACATTTTATTTTTAACATGAAAATGATGACTGACCTAAACTCTGGGATATTAAGAAAATGCAAGCCAATTAAAATCAAATTTAAAATAGTCAAATATTAGATTTGTGGCTAACTGATAAATATATTCACATTTTTAGTTTCATAAAATTTCTATTAACATTTCAAATTTTACAAACATTGGAAATCATTTCCTAGAATATATAAAATCAATTGAAGCAAAAAGTTTAAAAATAGCACAGAACAAAACTAGAAAAGAACAAAATAGGAAAATGGGCTAAGAGGCTAAAGGTCTAGTTTTTAATTTTCACTGGAAAAATCAAAGAAAATTAGATTTATGTAACTCTACATAAATTTTACCAACTTATTTCTTGCATATGATTGCATTACATTGTGTTTCCAAAGAAGATCATTTCCAATTTGACCTCTATTAAATCTCAAAGCATCCAATTGTTTTCAATATTACCATTGTTTTTTTCTATGATTTCATATCATATTTTTATGTCCCCCATTCTTTATGTTGTTTCTACTATTAAACAACTGTAAAGTATCATTAGTTGATTAAAAATTAGAGTAGATGGATCTCACTACCCCTTGACAAGTACAAGCCTATACCAATTTGGCATATGGTGTAGATTCTCTCAATTATTTAGCTATTATGTTGGTTGCATCAGAAGAATGTATTGTCTTCTGGGACCTTGAGTCTGAAAATTCCTTGTTTACCTATCACCAACCATGTTTCTGGAACATGGTGCTCAAGTCTGCATCTTGGAAATTCACAGTGCCAGATGTCCCCAGAAAGGAGGTAGGAAATAAAATCTCTCAACTTGAGATTTTATCCTTGTTCTATCTATCTTTTCTCCTTGTCCCTTTGGGAGTTTGGCTAAGCAAGCAGAAAAATTAATACACATTTTATTATTACCTATGGAATTCTGTACTTTCCCCACACATCTTCAGCCTTTCTCTTTTCTCATCTTTTATGGCCACTGGAAAAATAGGTAATATATAATTAATTATATATAATCTATAAATCATATATATTATAAATAATTATATAACTCACTAGTCATTTTAAATGTGCAATGTTTTAAATTCTATCCACAATTTAAATATAGCTAAATGATTGAATCTTTACCAAATGTCAATTATTTATAATACATGTTATATCTTCTTATATATATGACATAATATATAATTCTACACTACTGAAGTAATGCTAGAGTCTGAGTTGATCAAGCTTGATCTTGATATGAAAGCCAAGGGAAACCTAGTGATGATAAATTTAGAAGGATAAAAAATTTTTTTTAACATGCCAAAATATTATTTCTGTTCCGGTATAACTAGATACAACATTTCTAAGAAAATGCTTGAACCTTCGCAAGAAGTTGACAGTAAAATTTAAATTCCAATCTCATATTCTAGCATCATTGCTGAATCCATATTATGGTTGCTAATTTTATTAGAAGTTTTTCTCACTTGACTACCAAGACTACTCCAGACCTGCCAAGGCAGATGAAGTAAAGGAGGGTGTAGCTGAATCGCGAGCTGAGGATGTACAATGCCTTGCATTTCTTGACAAGGAGTTTAAATTTTATAGAAATTTTAGCAGGTGAGTAAAATGTTCCAATTTATTCTTGCTGCCTTTGTTAGAAGAATGTTGTAGGGGCTGGACAAAAGTTATTGCAATAATTTAGTTTGGAGAAAATATTTTAAAAACTAGTGGTTTGGACAAATGTGAAAATAATATAGGTCCTAAGAAATTGTGGCAATCTTTCTAACGTTTATTTTGGTAAAAAAGATGTATTTTATAATTGTAGGTGTATTGTCGTGGAAAGAAAGTAAGCAATATTGCTCCATTTTTTTTTTGCCCTAGGATATGAAAGAATGGTGGTGCCAGCTGATGGAGAGTGAGCGTGAAAGCAAGACATGTTATGATCCATATGCCTCCTTGAGATTCAAGTGGAGAAATCAATTCATATAAATAGAGCTTGAAAGAATTACAAAAGCTTCTAAAGTTATTTATCTCTTAGGAAATGCTTGGATTATATAATGGAAACTTGATTATTGACCTAAATTCTCATCTTAATCCTTAGTGGAACAGTGCAATCTTTCAAAAAAATGAGTTTAAAATTATTTTATTTCTATTTGTAACTTCTATATATATTTTATAGCAAATATATATATAGAAGCCTTATAGTATACATATGCTATATATATACACACTATATATACTATATATACACTATATATACTATATATACACGCTATATATGGTATATATATACACACTGTATATACTATATATACACTATATATAATATATATATATATATATATACTATTGAAGCCTATAAATACTTGAAATCATTTTCATTGGCATTTACTGATATTTTACAAGGCCAAAACTCATGAAACAATTAATCCATTTTGTAAGACTAGGTTGTTTCTTAAATATAGATAAAATCTTATTGATTAATGGAAAAAATAGTGATACAATGGTTAAATTATAACATAAAAACTCTAACAGTAGATATATGTACACAATACAGACACACACAAATACATATACATATATGTGTTTTAACATGTAGAACTTATTACTCAAGTTTGCTGAGGCCAACAGATGAGGAGATGATTGTTGCTGAAAAGATAGTTTCACAGTTCCCAGGAGCAGGGGGCACACTATGCCACACAAGGCCACACAGAGACACGCCAGGGTCAGTCAGGAGGAAGAAGGAATGAGGGAAAAGTGTGGACAGGAGACTTTCTTGTGCTTTCTGTGGGGATGGCAAGGCATGGTAACAAGATTTAGAATTAGCCAGTTTCAAATAGCATTAGTGGGCTGTAGGTGGTAGGAGTTGTCTTGAATTGTCTGTTACCTGGCCCTGAAGTGATATTAGGCAAGGAAGATAGTGGCTCAACCTCTGAGAGCTGAAGAAAGAGGGTAGTTGGCCAATATGAGATCTGAATTGGTTGATTTGCATATGAAGTTTATGCTCCCATTAAAGTCATTTGCTCTTTCTAGGAATTAGCTAGTTATGGGAGTGGCAGTGTTTTTAGGATTAGCAAGATGTCAAAACATTATAAAATACAAAAAAACAGTGATTCATATAATATGCTTACATATTATGCATATTATGTTTACCTAGTCTATGTTATATACATATACATTATACATATATAATAAATATATGTTTACGTAGTAGATATTATATGTATTATATATATTTATAAATACATATCTAAGGAAGCCACAGAATATACAAATATATAGTTGAAAATTTATGGCTTCCTTACAGTTTTCTTTTAATCATCAAAATATGTTTTCTTAGAATAAAGTTTTTGAAGTATTTTTAAATAGACAGATAAAATTACATGTGTTTGCCATGTACAGCATGATATTTTGAGTGCAAGATTCACTTTGTATTATCCTTCTGATGCCCCTTGGTTTCCATTCATTAAGTCAGCAAAGGAGAATGAACTTCCTCATTGACCAAAATTGAAACAATATTAAAGTTCTAGCTGAGTGCTCAAATACATTTCCAATTATTATCTTGAAAATAAAATACTGTAGCATCCTTCTGCTTTCCAATATAGTAGAAGATGCCAAGTTCTAATCAAAATCACAATGTTTAACTATGAGATTCAAAATCTCTGTGTATGTGTGCTTTCTTTTCTATTTTCAAAATTCTTATTTTAAATCAATTAAGACAAAAAGCTAAAATATGTCATTAGAATAAACATAACAAAAACAAACTATTTAAAGAAATTTATTTGTCTAGTGTAATTCAAATTTGCTTTCAAACCATTATGGATAGTGTTACATTACAGCATACGTGTATAAGCATTAAAAGAAATGAGGCTTCAAAATTATAGTGAAAGTTGGACTAAGAATATTATTTAAAACTTACTAATAAAGCTAATTTGAAAGTGCATTTTAAACTATGTTACAATGAATTGAAATTCAAGTATTTTTCAAACTAATTTTGCAAAATTCAAGTTTAAGTGAGGCAGGTAAGAGCCTTCCTTTGAATTTCAAATCCAAACCAATTATTTTCCTCCCTAGAAGAGAGATAACAAATAGATTTTAAATCAAATACAACTCTAATCTATTGGTGTTTTCTCTCAGTTATGCCATAAAAGCAGTGAAAATAAAAATGGAGTCACTAATGTTGAGAAAAACCTCAGAAATAGAGCCAAGGAAGATCATGAAGAGAGTCCTCACACTTGTATGCTTGATAGTGAAAAAGACCACAAAAAGCGAAACTTCTACAATGACATCTGCCCAGAAATTGCCTGCTCAACCTCAGACTGCTGTCATCCTTGTTATTTATCTCTGTAGGCAAAGATAATTATTTCAAAAATAATTATGTAATCTTTCTTATTTTGTCCTTTAAAAACCTTGGTCTTTTTTACCTTTCGATACATAGTTTACTATGGCATGCATATTCTTATTGCAATGCTCTATTGCCAGATAAATGTGTTTCCTTTCAGAGACCATCTTTTTGTTCGTTATTTGTTTTGTCATATATATGGTATCTGAAATGGGACCTGAATAAGATCACTATAAGAAGAAATTGGCAATTCTTGCAATTAGTGTGAAGGAGTAACTTGAGCCTCTGCTTCCATGCTTCACCGTGTCTGGCCTTGCAAATCTTCTAGGTTCAGCCTTCACCCTTTTGGTAGAGGCTTTTTGATATAAGTTGGGGAATCTTATTTGGATAAGGCTACCTTAATAAGGAATGGTATATTCCTCCAGGGATGATAAAAGATGTTTTGTCTTTTCTGCTTATTCCTTTCTGGTATAAAGATAAGGATCTTTCTAATTGAGTAGTCTTATTTCTATAGGTCTTACATTCTGTCTTTAAGGTATGTCTTCTGGTGAGTAATTTCAGTCTAGACTGTGCATCTGGTTTAATATTTTGTTGATCTGCACACCTAGGTTAAAATTTTTGTGCTTATCCTTATTTTGGTTTCACTGAGTTCTGTTTGACTCTTTTCCCTTGCTTGTTTCTGAAAGTCTTATGAGAGCAAAAATAAACATTCAAAATAGTAAATGCAGGGTAGCTAATTTAAAGCTACTAGGACAATTGTCACAATCTAAAACACCAGTCTAAACTCCTGACATTCCCTGACAAAATTTATATAATTTTTATTTTTGGTATTTGTGAGATTAATAAGAAATGGAATGGGATTCTCAAACATTAAGAAATGCCAGGTTTTCTGAGGCTCCAGCTGACTACATTTTATGGTTTGTTTGTGGGAATACTTTTAAACTGGTGGGCAAATTACATCAAGGAAAATTCAGAGCTCAAATAGTAATTACTAGAAAAATTAGCAGCTATAGAGTTAACATGCAGAGTCTTCTAAGTTCTCTATCTAGGTCTCTGTATTTTTTCTGTCTACTTTAAATCTGCTGACTTTTCTAATGGCATTGAAATAAAATTCACTGTTTATGGCATTGCAGCCTCTCTCTCTCTCTCTCTCTCTCTCTCTCTCTCTATATATATATATATATATATATATGTGCACGTGTGTATGTATATATAATATGTGGGTATATATGTAGACATATATACATATATATACACATATATACATATATATATATATGGCAACATGACAAAACCCCATCTACACAAAAAAATACAAAAATTAGTTGAGTGTGTTGGCATATGCTGTGATCCCAGCTACTCAGGAGGCTGAGGTGGGCCCTTGAGTCCCGGGGTTGGAGATATATATATGTATAATAAAATATTTTATTTTAAAATTTATTTATAAATATGTAAATATATTTATAAATATATAAATTGATAAATAAATATAATTTAATATATATTTATATATACTTCAAAGGGAATCTTAAAGGGCTTTAAAATTAATGGTTTTTTACAAATTCTGACAGCTCCATGATAGCCAACAAATTGAACACCCGTTAGAAATGTAATTTTAGATTTGCTTGACTAACAATTGCATATGATGATAGAACATAATTGAATAATTAATGATCAAAAAAAAGAACTAGGAAAAATGTTTTAAAAAGTTGGATCTCCAATTAAACAGATCAAAATCTTCAGTTGAAATCAATCACATAAGTTGTCTCAGTCATGCATAAAAATATTTTTCTTTTTTCTGCCACAGAGAGGCCAAAAGTGAAAAGTCCAAAAAAAAAAAAAAAAAGAAAGAAAGAAAAGAAAAAGAAACCGCTAAAATTCTTTTCTACTTGAATTTGCTAATCAAGCAAATCAGAAAGCAAATAACAGACACATTTGTCTCTAATTCAAGACTACTTGGATATTTTGTTTATCTTATAAAATTCAGCTAGTCCTAGCTAAAATGTGAACACTAAAATTTTAACCCTAAACACTTTTTTTTTTTTTTTTTTGAGACAGAGTCTGGCTAACTCACCCAGCCTGGAGTGCAGTGGTGCAATCTCAGCTCACTGCAAACTCCACCCCTGGGACTCAAGGGATCTTCCCACCTCAGCCTCCTGAGTAACTGGGACCACAGCGTGTGCCAACACACCCAGCTATTTTGTATTTTTTTGAGTAGATGGGGTTTTGCCATGTTGCCCAGACTGGTCTCTTAACTCTTGGGCTCAAGCAATCCAGTGGTCTCAGCCTCCTAAATTATTAGGATTACAGGCATGAGCCACGGCACCAAGACCTTAAACACATTTGAAACTAAAAATGGTGCAAGAAAATAAGAGAAGAGGTTTTTTGCTTGTTTGTTTGTTTGTAAAATCAAACTGCCATGGGAAATGCTTTACCCAAAGTTTCGGTCCACAACCTTTGTTAGATTACATATTGGGGCTAAAAATGTTTAGTTATGTGAACTTGTTCCAATTTTGTCTGAAATACAATTTGGATTCAACTGTCTCTTATAAACTAATGTATTTGTTGTATTACTAGCTCATGTCTAAAATTTTAAAATGAAGCTATAAGATCTTTGTGTGTGTGTGTGTTTAGACTTGTTTATGCATATGTACATGTATCATGTTATGTATTCTGACTATGCTAAAGACAAATGAGTGCTCATATAAAATATATAATTAACCCAAATGTCTTTTTGTCATGTTAATTAAGCAAATATTTAATAAATTAGTTGGTTTTTAAATTATTCATAACATAAAAATAGATACATCTTCAAATTTGCCAGCATACAGTTTTGCCTGGATTTACTGGTAGTTTTATATTTGTTTCTGCTAGGTATTTTCAAATGTCAGGGTTTTATACAAAGGTTATAAAAACTATAAAACCTGTATAAAACAGAATATTTGTGAATTTTTTCGATAAAATTAATTTAATGTTGTTGGTTTGATGAAGCCAGCTGTATGTTCAGATTTGTCAGCAAAATAACCACATATTTAACTTAAGATTTTTTTATTTAGGTAAACACCAGATAGTCATGGGCTATAAAAATGGTTAACAAGGAAATAACTAGAAGTGAGGACTATCATTGTCTAATGTCTTGGTTTTTATAAGTAATAGAGGTAACTGTTAAAAATAAATAAATTAGATGAATGTAAATGTGGCAAATATCTATAAATGAACTTTTCATATAATTTGAAATATTTAAGTTATGTTTAATAATAGATACTAATTAAATGTCTGGGTCATATCTAAATAAGATTAAAAAAAATACTGACCGTAAATACAACTTTGTTTTTGCCTTCTTAATGTTTGTAGAAAGACTAAATATATTTGAGTCAATTAATATACATAAAATTATGTTATGAAGAAACATGTTTCTAAAAAATATAAAATCGTCCTCATCTATAAAATACTCATGTATGGGCAGATAATTCAAGATTGCTTGATTCCTAGGTTTTCATTAAAGTTTAAGGTTATTAAGAGTTTAAAATCCTAACATATATAAACAGTTCTATATATAAGTGCACATACACCTAAGTTGTTTTTAATAAAAAAATTAGGAAAGACATAAAAATGCTTTCTTTTTTGATAGAAACGCATTTTTATCTAATTTAAAGGAAATTTAATGTTGCTTCAGACTATGGGTTTATGAAGAAAATAGAAACAAGATAAAAATAAACCAGGAAGTAGGAGAAAGAGATGTGAAGAAAGTTATGAAGATTAAGATGCATTCTTGGCAAGGAAAGTTGATTAGAAGAGAGAATAATTTTGTATGAGAAAGAAACTGGTATGGTAAATTTTGTTCTAAAGCAAAATGACTATTTTATTTTTTTGGAAAGAGGAAGTATAGGATAAAGCAGAAATTTTAAGTGTGTTGCCAACATTCTGAGTAAGTTATGATAAGGTTCATGAAAATAGAATTTATTAAAGGAATTTTGTGTGTCATTAAGTTGGCTGTAATAAAAAAAATTATTTAAGTCTGTAAAATTTGAGCTTTGACATTAAAAATGAACTAACACAAAAACTTTTAAAGAAGGTCCTTATGTTAGAACAACAAGGTTTTCTTAAGATATTAATTTGCTGTTAGTAAAGTTATAAAAGGTATTGATTTTTGATTCTGAAATCTGTTTCTTTATAACAATCATCTTCTAAATTACATACAGTTTCTATTTTTTTCTGAGATTTAAACCATTTCTCTGGTTTCACACTGGAAATACTGTCTTTTTCATTCAGATGGATAATTGTATTTCTTGAGGTAAAATTTATCTTTTTGAAACTTTTGAGCTTTATATTTCAGAAGTTCAAATTTTGTTGTATCTCACTGCATGTGATTTGCAGGTCATAAGTCATTGCCTTCTGTTTTATTTTTCTCCCTTTAAAAAGGTATGTCTCTTTGGTTGGCTAGGGTAATTCCTCTCTCCTTCAATCTTTTCATCAACTCCTGTAACCTTTTTTTCTCTGGCTCTAACTCTGCTTTTATGGCCTGATGCTGAAATGTTTATCTTGAAGGTCTAGAAAACCAGTGTTTTTCTCCAGTTTAACTTGTTTCCATACACTTGGATTTTTAAAATATGCCTGAATTATTTAATGTAACCTGGAAAATTCCCATGCTGTTACTGAAATCCATGTATTTTCCTACTCAAGGTACTAATTTGTTTGTTTTAACATTCCTTTATAATATAGTTTAACTCATAATGCTGGATACACTCTTCCTGTGTCTGATTAAATTCAAGTACCCTTTTTATCAGGTTTGACTCCCAGGTTATCAAAATGGACTTCCCTTAAAGAAAAACAATCACATTGTAGTATGTTTTTCTTTATTTTTATGGAGGCTGGCCTAAAAAGAAAAATAAACAAACAAACTAAAAACAACAATTTTATGTTTTATCAAGATAATTCCTGTATTGTCTTTATTAAGTTTTAATTAAGAAATCCAAATTATAATAGGGATAATGTTTTTACATCCATATAACTTTCTGTATTGCTTTAGAAGTGTTTTGATTATTATTCTGATTAAATGAATAGCTATTTTTTTAACATGACCTGTGATTCTTTTTTGATCAAGTGTTTTGGGCCTTTTGACATTTTCGATAGGTACCTTCAGAATCAAAATCCTATATTAAGTCTTTTTGGCATAAACTTCATGGTAGGGTATTTTAGTTGGGTCCCTGGATAGCTTTGAAGTATGTACCTCTCATCATGCAGATATGTTAAATTGTAGGACTCATTTGGTAAACTGTATGAGAGCCATAGATAAATGATGAGTCATATTAGATTTTCCTTATATTACATTTCTGAATAAGTTACTGATATAAATGTCCCAGAAATTACATAAACTTATAAAAATTGAATGTTTTGTCATACTTTTGATTGTTATATTAAATCTTTTCTAAAGTTATGTTCATATAAATATGTTATTAATGGAGGATTCTAAAAATTATAAGAAATTTATAAAAGTCTGATGGTTCTGATGTGATGCTGTCTGATTCTGGATCTCATCTTAAAATGCCACATGTAATGCAAGTAATTAAATTTCCTTGCCAATTGAGAGCTTTCATCATATTTTAAAATGGTTATTCTGTTTGTCATCCACAGTTATTGTTTTGAATTCTTCTGTAAAAATATTTGCAATCAGCGATAGTCCAAAAATGCTTTTCATGGAAAAGGCTCTAACAAGTAGTCTTGAACACAGATATCTGAAAATTTTAAGATCAATGGACTAAATAAATATTTCTAGAATTCTAGTGAAGAAACTCATGGGTTCATAAAAACTGCTAATTAAAATCAAATTTAATAATTGCATAAAATTAAGAAACTGATGAAGATAAAATTTTTATGACTTTTATTTAAAATGTTTTTGATTCTTTACTTAAATGTTTTGTTTTCCAGATTTAAGAAAATTTTCTCTCATAAGCTATCTGTAGTTTTTAACAATTTGGAAAAGTATACATTTGTGAAAAAGATGCAAGCATTTGCTTTTTCTCCCACTTGATTCCTCCCAATTTCAGAAATTATTCATGTGTATTTGTATTTTTACTTATATAAGTTCAATAAAAATTTTCTCTCTCTTTATAAATAAGCAGGGTACAATTACAAACATTAGTTCTATTTCCAAGACTTTAACTAAAATGTCATATTTAATAATGTGTATAAAATGCCCGGTTTCAAGAGTTCCCAGCCTTACAATGAGTGAGTAAAAATAGTAGCTACCTGGCAGACTCAAGAACCTTAAGACTGTAAGTAAATTCTAAATTCTGCCTAGACTCAAGATGTTTTTAAATAACAGATTGCTATAGGATCAATATGTATAGAAAAAGTTATCATAAAAATATCTATTATATAGCTGTTATTAGATTGTGGTTCTATGCATTGTTTTCAAGTTCTTGTTATCTACCTCTAGACTGGACTAGGTCCTGAATTCTCCCAATTCCCTCCAATATTTGAGTACAACTTTACAACTAAAACCAAAAGCTATTCTCTTCCCAACACCTTGCAGGCTGAAACTAGGTAAATTTTAAGGATCATTCTCATGTCCGATGTATAGACAACACAAAAAGTTCACCAAACTGCCAGTGCCATGACCAGAGTCATTCAGACTACAAACTAGGAGAAAAAGTTGATGTTTTCATACCGTAGACAGCTTTTCCAGACGTTGGGACAAGGCTTCGTATCATAATGAAACTTTTACTCTTTTAATGCTACTTTTTTGCTTGATAGGATAATGGTGTAATGGAAAGTTACAATCAATAGCTTCTGCTGGAATTTAACAGAAACTAACCTAAAAAGTCCTTTTAACTATTGGTTAAATAAGAAAATGTCTATGCTATTGCTAATACTAAAAGCTGTGCTTCGGTAAATACATCTGGGAAAATAGAAAACAGACCACATGGTTACAGTAGGTCTCACTTAATTCCTTATATTTATTAAATTTATTAAATTAGTTGTCTTTAAGCCTAGATTTGTGGCTCAAAATCATTATACAAACTGGAATTGTCTTATTACTATTAATTTTACTTTGTATTTTCCTTTTTTAACTTTGCATCTATTATTTATTAGATTTTTGCAGAGGGACAAATCCTAACAAAATAATGCTGGTCAAGCATTTTGAGGCGAGAACAACAGACTATAGAACAAACAAAACTGAGCTTAACGATAGGCTCCAGGCAGACTTAGCCTGAGAACAAGTCTTTCTAATCGCCACTGTCGTTCAAATGTGGCCACTGTCTCCTAGTTTCCAGTCACTCCTCCCCATGTGAGATAAGTCAACTAGAATAGGCCCATCCACACACTGAGGGACATCAAATCCTAACAAAGGGATGACTTATTAGTGATACTTTTGGAGAAGGACTTTGATCAAAAGGGATAAATGTGAAGGTTATCAGAACCAAAGTGGGGTTACTAATGTTAAAAAAAAGAAAAAAATAAATAATGGAGCCAAGGAAGTTCAAAAAGAGATAATTATCATACTTGTATGTCTGATAGCAAAAAAGACTGCAAAAACTACAACTTAGCACACACACACAACCTCACACACACACAAATACTTCTGCAAGGATATCTTTCCAGCAACTGCGTGTGCAGTCTCAAACTGGTGACACCCTTGTTATTGATCTTCGTAACCAAAGATGATTATTTTAAAACAATTAGGTATCCTCCCTGTTTTTTCCTTAAATGTTTTCACCTCTCTAAATATGCACATAGTATGCTACGGTACCTGAATTTCCATTGTGATGTTCTATACCTAAATAAATATGTTTCTTTTACATAGCCTCTCCCTGTTTGTTATTTAAACATGCTGAATTAAAAGCGTTCCATCCTCCAGGATTGGAAGAGATTGGTGCACTTTGTACTGTGATTAGCACACTTTGTTATGTGTGTATTCTCACAAAGACTCTATTCCTCCAAACAAAAGTACAACAGAGAACTTACAGTTTGCAGTCTGTCATGTGAGAAGGTTGGAAATGTAGCCACTTCATTCCAACAGTAAGTAAAATGCTAAACAAATTGAAAAATCAGTAACCGGTTAGTTTAGATCCGTAGGAGAAATGAATTCTTATCAGCTCAGCACAGAAACCCAAAAGTTGAAACATCTGTGGCCAGGGCAGGAAAATGCCAGGGTAGGAAAATCTAAACTGCAATTGACTAATTGCTGGAGGCTCAGTATGGGCAACTTTGGGTCAAAACTACAGAGGAACCTGTCATGGCAGTGGGGAGGGGTTAATTTTTGTAAATTTTATCTGGTGGAGCTTCACCTCTTTTTCACAGTGAACATCAGAGAAAAATACCCTCTGGAGGGGAAAGAGGAGAGGAATCATTTTAAAATATATCAGAGTATTCTGTTCTTATTAACAAGGTCAGCTGTGAGAAGAAACTAATGAGCTAAAGTCTAACATTCTAGGGTTGGATCAGAGCCTAACTGACCTGGAGGAAGTAAGATACCCAACTCCAGCCTCCTGAAGCCTTCCAAGTAGGAGAAAAGAAATACTCAACTCCAGCCTTCAGCCCACTTTAGTCATGCTGTCCAATCTCATGGAGATGGGAGTCAAAACAGAAAAGCACTTAGAAAGTTCTCATTCTAGAGGCATAGGCTCACTAAAAGATTGAAATTTAATCATAGGACCGCAGAACACTTCTCCTCCTTCACACCTTACCACAACATTACTAACAGCCTATTTACAGCATTCCTTTGATCATGGAGTCTGGATATCAAGAAAAATTACAAGGCCTACTAAAAGGCAAAGAAAAAAAACCCACAAAAAAGACAAATAAAGCATAAGAAGACTCGGATGTGGCAGGGATGAGGAAATGATCAGACTTGGAATTCAAACAATTATGATTAATATGTTAAAAGCTCTTCTGGATAAAATAGGCAAAATGCAAAACAGGACAATGTTAACAGAGATAAACATTCTAAGAAAGAGCTAATATGCTAGAGATAAAAAACATTGTAACAGAAATGAAGAATGCCTTTGTGTGTCTCATTAGCAGGCTGTACACAGTTGAGGAAAGAATTTCTGAACTTGAGACTATCTAGATAGAAACCTCGAAAATTGAAAAAGCAAAGAGAAAAAAGACTGGAGAAAAAAGAACAGAATATCTATGTTATCCTGTGGGATAATTTTAAAGGTATAAATGTACATTATGGGAATATCAAAATGTGAAGGAAGAGAAGAACAGAATCAATATGCAAACAAAAAATGATGGAGAATTTCTACAAATTAATGTCAATATCAAGCCATAGATCCAAGAAGTTCAATCAGAATAAATGCCAAAAAATAAAAATGAAAACCTACAATAAGGTATATCACTTTTGAACTACATAAAGTCAAAGATAAAGAAAAAGATCCTGAAAGAAGCCAAAGGAAAACAAAGATTGCCTGTAGATGTGGATAGATAAGAATTGCATCCAAGTTTTCCTCAGAATTCATGCAAGAAAGAAGATAATTGAATATATTCTTTTAAATGCTGTGAGGGAAAAAAATGCACACCAAACTAGAATTTGATACTCTAAATAACTGTCCTTCAAAAGCAAAGAAAAAATGAAGCCTTTCTCAAAGAGAAATTGAATGACTTTGTTGTCAAGAGACCCATCTTACACGATATCACAAGTTCTTAAAGAGAAGAAAATAATATCAGTAAGAACTTCAAAACTACATTAAAAAAAGAGAGTATCAGAAAAGAAATACGTAAAGGTGAAATTTAAAAATTTATTTATATCATTTTTAACTGATCTGAGAGATAACAGTCTTCAAAATAATAGAAACAATGTATTTGAATACGTATGCTTGTGTGTGTGTGTGTTTTAATGTATACCTATGTATAAGCAAAATGGATAACAGCAATGATTCAAGGGATGGTAGGGAGAAATTAGGATTGTTTTGTTTTCATTAGGTACTTGCACTACCCCAAAGCAGTGCTGTCTTATTTAAAAGTGGACTTGGATTAGTTGAAAACATATATTGCAAACTCTAGTACAAAAACTTTAAAGAGTGAAAAAAAGCAAAAGTAATATGTTAAGAGAAGTGAGATAATGGAATCATAAAGTGTTCACTCAAGTAAAGCCACAAAAGGCAGAAAAGAAATAAAAGAGAAAAAGGATAATAAATAGAAAACAGAAAAACATATGGCAGATATGATTCCAGCCATACCAATATTCACTTTTAATTTGAATAGTCTAAATGTACCAATTAAAAGATACAGCCATTTTGGAATACAGTTTGGCAGATTAAAAAAAAACTGATTATACTCAACATACAATCCAGCAATTACCATAGGATCCTTCAATCATGTCCTTGGTATTTACCCAAAGTAGTTAAAAAGTTTTGTCCACACAAATACTTGCACATGGATGTTTACAGCAACTTTATTCATAATGGTCAAAACTTGGAAGCAACCAAGATGTCCTTTAGCGGGGGAATAAATCAACAAACTGCAGTACATCCAAGCAATAGAATATTATTCAATACTATAAAAAAAGAGGTATCAAGCAATGAAATATATGAAAGGGAACTTAAATGCATATTACTAAATGAAAGAAGACCATCTGAAGAGGCTACATACTATATGATTCTAATTACATGACATTCTAGAAAAGGCAAAAATATGGAGACAGTAAAACAATTATTGGCTACCAAGCACCAAAGTGAAGGTTGAGATAAATAGGCAGAGTACAGAAGATATTTGGGGAAGTAAAACTTTTCTATATGAAAATGCAATGGTGGATTCACATAATTTATACCTTTGTCCAAACCCATACAATGTACAACAGTAAGAACTGACACTAATGTAAACTATGATCTTGATAATTGTAGTGTCATATGTTTAAGGACGTGTCAGTGTAGGTCCATCTATTGTCACAAATATCACTTTGATAGGGAATATTAATAATGTGGAAGGTGATGCATGTGTGGAGGCCAGAGATATTTGAAAAATCTCTGTGCCTTCCTCTGAATTTACTGTAAGCCTAAAACTGCTGAAACAATTAAATAAGAAAAGTCTATTTTTAAAAGTCTAGCAGAAAATTCCAGAGAAGAAAGAGGAAAGATGATTAAATCACCAAATTTACAATGCAGAAGTTGCTGAAGAGTGACACTAGTGAAGATCTGTTTGCTGCTTCATAGGGTGATGATGACTGAAAAGCTAAACTGATGCTGGGATAATATAAATTTTTAAAAAATATATTTAATATCTGCTGATAGTAGCAGGAGACAGACAAATCTCTAGGCAGACAGGGGTTGATCCCCAGTGAAACCTGACCTTCAAGCCAGAGACAGCCCCAGGTAAATCCTCAGACCAGACTGAGAATGTCTCTTCCCATTTTGCATGCTTTTTTCTGATTGATTCCCAACCTTCACCTATTTTACATATACCTACCCTTTCCTAACTGGTTTTCTACAGTGTCATGCCCACCTTTGAGTGGTGTCTTTGTTTTAGCCTTTTGTGCATATTCACAAACCAACCAGCATGCACTTTCCATTCTGAGCCTATAAAAGCCACAGACCCAGCCACACTAAGGGGAGGGCACCCCCATGTGCCCTCTCCACTGAGAGCTGTTCTGTTGCACAATACAATTCTTCTTCATCCTCCTTACCGTTCAATTGTCAGCATACTCTGATTCTTCTTGGATGCAGGACAAGAACTTGAGAACCACAAAACATGGGTACGTGCTATAACACAGGTGGGCTGGGCATGGGAGGGCCACCTCCTGCAGCAAGTAGCGTGGCCAAGTGAGGCCCTGACAGGGGCGTCACCAGCTGGAAGTCCCCCACTAGCAAAGTAACCAAGGAAAATCCTGCATCACTACTAGGTACCAGGAAATAGTATTTTCTAGAAACACAAAGATGAGCAAAATGCCCTCTGACCTTCAGGAATTTACAAGTGATAAAGACTATTAGTAACCAAAGGATAAGCACAATGATACCCAGGGCTTGCAAGAACAAATATGTATTTCCTGCTTACATTGCTGCTGTAGTTATTCACAATCTGCAGGGCTTTTCACAGTCTGCTCTATGTAGCTTCCACCTTCTGGAATAAAGTAAAATAGATCCACCCGAGACCTGATGAAACTGCAAAATTGCTGTTTAAAGTTTTTGCTCAGAATTGGCAGACAGTCATTCCTGCTCTCATTTTCTTGGCCAAAACAAGTCACAGACCAAATTCATGTAAATGTAGGAAAGCAGTATACTCCTCCATCAAGAGAGAAGTAAAAGTCATACAGCAACAACCAGGAAAATGTGTTCCTCTGTGTGTGTGTGTGTGTGTGTGTGTGTGTATCTGTGTGTGTGTGTGTATAAATTTCCTCTTACAAGGAACTCAGGCAGGGGGATGCAGCAAACACTTTAGGACAGTTTCAGAATACAATATAACCTACCAGTGTAAACACCTAGCTGTTGTTTTATGCCACTTATTTCTGATGTCCCAACAGAATGGTGTAATGAATATCCAATATATGCCCTTCTTAGGAATGCTTCAAAGTTTTACTGGGCTCTATATCCAGTATAGAAATTAATAGTCTGATTTTGATCACGTAATCTCATTTCAAAACCTACATGCGGCGCATAAAGTTTCTTCTTCCTCACATTTCAGTTGGAATTTTCTAACTATTTGAAGTTTGGTAATTTAACAGTACAAAGTGAAGTGTTACACTTTTAAATTGTTTGTTTTATCGATGTTAGTTTTGCTACTAGTATCCTTATATTTTCTAAGCTAGTTAGCAGAAGTTCTTTTATATTATGTTCAATATTGTCACTTTTGGACACTAAATTTATATTCTTCCATTGTCATTTGTTAAATTTCATCCATACCTGTATCCTTTACATCACACTCATTCAATCATCCACTAAGCATTGTTCATTCTATTGCACTTTGCCTCTGAGATATAAAAATGAAATCCTAAGCCCCATGACTAACTAAATGGACTCCTCTTGGCTAAGGGGACCCCAGAGTAACCTTGAAAACTGAGTTCTTGGTCATGATGGGAGATCAGACATGCCTTGTTCTACCCCATCCCTCGCTAAGTGTACTTAGGCTTTCTTCCCTGATGGCTACACAGAACCAGTTTCTTTAAAAGACTCTACTGTGGAGAGTAGAATCTACTGACCTTTCTGCTGCCCCTCCCTTTTGCGGTTTCGACAAAACAAGCAACTGGCATTTCTTCCTGATAAGATACCATGGACCATGGAGCAGTTCTGGTATCTATGGCGGATGAGCAGTAAGGTTTTTCACATCTTCTGCTTCACCTTTTGACATCACAGGGCCTAAATCTCCACCCTCAGATTCTGCTAACTTGGCCATTTTTTGTACATAGTACCCATGAAGGGGCATGAAGCTCAATTGCACATGTGCATATTTCTCCTTTAATAAATATTCATAACTCCACTTATAGCTTTTTAAATATATATATTCGTACACCCTGCTCAGCATACATTCCTTTTCCCTTTGCGTCTCTCTTGAAGTGTCTGTTTCTAGCTTCTGACTGGAGGTTATGCTTTCTTCCCTGACAGAATGGCCACCCAGCAGGCTGCACTTATTTATGTGAAATAAAGCTCTGCTTTCCAAATTATTGATTCCCATCCACTCGTCAGTTGACTCCTGTCAAAACTGTTTCCATCCTTCTCCCCAGCCCATATGTTAATTTAGTTGAGCATCATCTATTGCTGGACCACTGTAATAACATCTAACATTTTTTTCTGTGCTGTTTATACATCCCTGATGTATTTTTCATAATGTAACCAGAGTAATGGTCCTATAATTAATAATAATAATAATAATAATGATGATGTCTAGAAGAAAAAACTTTTCCTCCACCGTCTTAGGTTCTGAACTGGTGACCAATTAATCAAACCATCACAAGATGAGTAATAGGATAAAAATCATGTACTCACATGCACAAGGGAGCGAACAAAAGAAGTAGCTAGCTGGTTAAATAGTTAAATTTAGAGGCTTAAGTACCTAACTTATTAGGGGAAATAGAGGAGGGGAGTAAAGGCTTTATGTGAAGAACAAATCAATTTTTTTAGGAAAAACAGCTAAGTTTTTAAAATGAGAGGAAGATAGAGTTTGTGATAATATTTGTTTATGACGGAGCAAGTGGTCTTCTGTCTTCTTTTTGGCCATGACGCTTTCTCGAAGACAAGAGTTTTACAAGTTTTACTTTTAGTCTCTGTTGTGGGATAGACCCATCCCAAGGAGAGAATTTATGGCAGCCTCATTTCCCAGCAGTTGATGCTTTTCGTCAGATAAAGGAAGATCCTAGAAGGCTTTTCTCTGATCTGTTGAATCTCATATGTCTTCCGCTTAAGACAATCTTCATACCAAACCCTGGTTTCTGAGTCACCACAATGGCAATCATTTATTTAGTGTTTACTCTTTACTAAACATTATTGTAAGTTCTCAGCATGTATTAGATAGTATAATCCCTAAAATAATCCTGTTAAATATATACCATAAATACATACCTAAATGTTCCCATTAATATTTTAGCTGAATGAACTGAGTTCAAGGGGCAGCATAGTGAAGTGATTAGACTATGAACTCTAACAGCACACTGCTAAGGAACCACCATTTACTGTCTGTACACTGCTGCTTAAACTAATATTCTAATCATGCCATTCCTTAGGTTACAAGGTTTAATGTTTTGGCATTACTTACAAGGAGTTGTAAATCTCACCTCTGGTTACACTCTGACCTCAATCTTTTATATTTCTTCTTATTTCTGAAAGTCTATATTGAGAGGTGCCCTCCCCTGACCCCAGGCTTTTGTGCTTGTAATTCTTTCTTTCTTAAGGTCTCTCTCTTTCTTCCCATAGCCATCTAACTTTTATTTAAGATTCAGGTATTGAAGATGACACTTTCTCCAAGAAAATTTCTTTTTTCGTACAGTGGGTGCTTCTCTTATGTACTCTCATTGTATCTTTGAATTTTATTTATAGAATGCATTGGACTGTATTTATCTGGTTACCTTCCTTTCTGATATACTAGGCTTTAAGCTTTGCGAAGGTATTTTATTATTCCCTGTGTGATCCCCAAACTAACATTATGCTTGCCACGTAACAGACACTCAAGAAAATACTACGTATAGAAAGAAAAAATAAAAGAAGGGAAGGATGCAAGGAAGGAGACAATTAAATATAATTGCAAACTTTAAAATGATTAGGTGAGAAAACCACTTGAGGGCAGGAGTTCAAGACCAGCCTTGGCAACAAAGTGAGACCCCATGATATGGTTTAGATCTGTGTTCCCACCCAAATCTCATGTTCAATTGTGTCCCCATTGTTGCAGGTGGGGCCTGGTGGGAGGTGACTGGATCACTGGGGCAGAGTTCTTATAAAAGGATTAGAACCACCTCCTTAGCGCTGTTCTTGTGATAGTGAGTGAGTTATCATGAGATCTCGTTGTTTAGTGTGTAGCCAACACCCCTCTCTATCCCTCCTGCTCCAGCCATGTGAAGTGCTAGCTCTCCCTTTGCCTTCTGCTGTAAGTTTCCTGAGGCTTCCTTGGAAGCTAAGCCGATATCAGCATCATGCTTCTTGTACAGCCTGCAGAACTGTGAGCCAATTAAACCTCTTTTCCTTATAAATTACCCAGGTTCATGCATTTCTTTATAGCAATGCAAGAATAAACTAATGAACCCTATCTCTGCAAAAAATAAAGACAAAAATATTAGCCAGTCATGGTTGTTCTCACCTGCAGTCCCAGCATCTTGGGATGCTGAGGTAGGAAGATCACCTGAGCCCAGGAGACTGCATTGAAGTGTAATCATGCCACTGTCTGAGTGAGACCCTGTCTCTAAAAAAAATGAAAAAAAAACCCAGAACCAATTTGTAACTTTATATAAGTGATTTGAAAAGTTAAATGAAAGTGTTTCATCACATAAAGGTTCTTAGAACAATAACTATCAACACCATGCACAAGTGAAGAAAAGGGGTAATTATTAGAGTAAGAGTAGGAACATGGCCATCTCCCGTTTCTATCTTTGTTTCTATTTCTGCTTGAGAGTGCAGGCCAGAGTCTACTAGAAGCACAAATTGTGCTTTCATGTTGTGTTTTTCTGACCTGGTTAAAAGATATCTGTCATGTGTTCAGCTGGCCAAAGGACATTAACATATGCCATTTGCAAATACGGGAAAGATTGCCAGGATCAGTCCCAGTTGCTTGCCCTTGCCAATATTTTGTGAAACACATACTTGTTTCTCTTTAGAGTTGCCAGTCTCCAGCCTTCTGTGAGCCAGAGACTGAACAGATTCCACCTGGACTGCTATGTTGCCCTGCTTCCTGTCATATGTCATCTTCTTATCTTCTTTTAATGTCTCTACAAACAGCAGAGTGAGAAATAACACAAATAACACTAGATATGCTGGTCATGCTTTTATAATTTTGTTACTTTGAAACAAGAATATTCAAAATGGAAGAATTTGCTTTCAAATTTGACATGCCTCGTGATGATAGGAAAAGATTTTTTTTGTCAACTGGCTCAGTTAGAATCAAATTCTGTCTAAAAAACTTTGGATCTTTCTTGGGAAAAATGTAAAAAAAAAAAGCAGTCTCCGAAAGTGAAGAAAAGAAAGTTCAAGTTACAAGGAAAACTTTTGTCCATTTCTCCAGTCAGCATCAATATTTCCCTGTGGTTGGCCTGCCCCATATCCAGCTGTTTCCCTAAATACGTTGTAAATGCCAATGAAGGGAAAAGGGAGAGGAAACTGGACCCACTTGGCTGTGTGCTCATGTATTCAGCAGCCAGTAGCTTCCTGCTAGATGAGAGCTTACTACCTGCTCCAGAGGTAAACAAATGAATTGTTCACAAGAAGAAATTTTCCAGCTGGTTGTTCACAAATATGACTCTTTCGAACAATTTGACATCACATTTTCAGCTATTTTGTTTTTTTCTTAACAAATGTTTTTGTCATTATATTTCTTTTTGGGCAGAGTGTGGCTAATTTCTTTAATGCTTCTGGGAAGTCTAACAAATTTTGTGTGGATTTTCCATTCTTTAAAAACGTGTAATTAATTTTGTGCTTATTCTGTTGGGCAATGCTTTTATGACCTAAAACAAAACAATCTCCCACTACTAGAATGAAAACACCTGAAAGCAAATACTGTGCAAGTGAAGAGTTCAATTCAAATCTAAAAAGCGTGTGATTATCTTGATAAATTAGGAAGAAGGAATGCATACTACTCAACATTCCTTTTTGATTGTCTTAATACGGTCACAACTCAATAGCATCTATAGCATAGCAATGTGTCAATATTCTACTAATAACAAACTATGAGATTAAAACTTTGAAGAAAGAAATGTTTCTCTGTATTTTCTAGCAAACCTAAATATAAGCTATCATGAAATTACAAACAAGAAATATATTTTGTGGATGAACTAACTCCATAAACAGTATAAAATAAATAAGTGAAAAGTTTATAAGAAATAAGAACATGGGAAAATCACAATTCCTCGTCCTGTTCAAATATTGAGATTGTTCTCAAACTCAGAGCCCATTAACTGAAGAAGACACCTGGTCCTCTTAAGAAAGAACCTGCAATGTGACCAGTGTGTGTGTGTATGTGTGTATTTTCTCCAATCTTTCCTGAAAGGATCATACATTCATCACAAAGGAAGGGAAATGTCCAGATATTTGAGAATTTTTGGATTTTGTACCTAAGACCCAAAATGCTAACATGCTTATAGTCTTTGAGTATAGATATATCAAGATCAAGACCAGGTGATATATAGATCATTCTGGCCCACATTCTTTTTTTTTTTTTTTGAGACAGAGTCTTGCTCTGTCGCCTAGGCTGGAGTGCAGTGGTGCAATCTCGGCTCACTGTAAGCTCCACCTCCTGGGTTCAGGCCATTCTCCTGCCTCAGCCTCCCAAGTGACGGGGACTACAGGCGCCCGCCACCACACCCAGCTAATTTTTTTTTGTATTTTTAGTAGAGACAGGGTTTCCCCATGTTAGCCAGGATGTTCTCTATCTCCTGAGCTCGTGATCCGCCCACCTCGGCCTCCCAAAGTGCTGGGAGTACAGGTGTGAGCTACCGTGCCCGGCCCTGGCCCACATTTACATTGAATGCAGTGATCCTTAGACCCATCTTGAAATTATTTTTATGAGCCTTGAACCCTCACCATCATTCAAGGAGATAAACTAGTTTTGGACCCTCTCATTCTTTTTCTTTTTTCTTTCTTTCTTTCTTTTTTTTTTTTTAGATGGAGTTTCACTCTTGTTGCCAAGGCTGGAGTGCAATGGCGTGATCTTGGCTCACTGCAACCTCTGCCTCCCAGGACTCCCTCTTTCCTGAAAGGGCCAGGAGTAGCAAAAATTTATACTTACTGGGATTGTCACAAATTCTAGAAATGAATTTGTCTTGTCTAATCACATTGCTTCTGCCAACACCACTCACTGAGGTTTAGCATGACACATAGCATGACCTCAGTCCAAGAACGCGGTAATTTTATAGTGAAGGAAAAACAATGAAGGGCACATGTTATAGAAGCAAAAATTTCTGCCCACATCACCTGTGCAATGCCGTTATGATAGAATTTTAAATAGCCTTTCAAAGGCTCAGGAAAATGCATCATGTTGTATGTGATGTGGAGTTGGGAACCCTGGTATATATGTGAAAACAACAACTATTTATGCTACTGCTGTTTTTTCTCAATAACTAGTCTGGGAATCAAAGGGTAGAAATAGGAATGCCTTCTTTCTTCATCATTTCTGTTGTCTCACTTGGGGAATTTTAGGTTCTCATCTATCCAATATTGGAGTTTGTGGGATTAGAGACTGGTACCCAGAGATGAAATACTTTGACCAGAGGATGCAACAAATGCTTCAGTACATGAGACACCATAACTTCTTCTGCTTCATTGTGGGACAGGATAATAGGTCAGAATCCAAAGACAGGGTCTCCTCTCCTAAAAAGACTAATTGAAGCTCATTTACTAGATGTGCTAAAGTTGCAGCTATATAAAGGGCAATGAAAACGTTGTGTGGAATTCAAGGACTTATTGAAAGTTCTTACTTGTGCTTCCATTTCCTGTGATAACAGTGGATTGGTAATTAAAGCCACTGTAGGGTAATAAAAAACCAGGTAATTAGGAAATCAGAACCTTGAGGAATTATGACCTAAGTCAACTCACCAGGACCAGTACCTAGGCCAGTGGAATGCTGACCAAGAGAGATGGGACTGAGAAATAGAAAGTAGACGAGGAAAGTTATGAATACACAAAATTGTCTTGGGACTAGCGATAGCCATAGGAGTGTAATTTTTCACCATCCTTCCCATTTCAAATATTCTTTTAGAAGTTGATACTAGCTATCACCTCGAAGTCTGAATATTGCATCTCCACACTGGGGACTCAATGTGACCATGACTAAAATAGGATAGTATAAGAGATATAACATACACAATTCATGCAGTACAGTCCACTTCAGTTTATAGGCAACTATATTAGATCTTTTCCCAGCACATAAATTACACCTTCCTGTCTTAAAAGACTGTTTTTATTTCTTGTTCCTGAGAGCTTTCTTGCACTGCAATCATTCAGCATCAATTGCCTACTGACCCAGAGAAGGAAAGGTGACTCCCCAGGGAAGATAGAGAGCCCCAACCTATTTGTCTACAATGTGAGTCTGCACACTAATGAACTGATGATTGTCTTTTCTCTTGTCTCATACTTTTTATTTCCTCATGAGTGCTTCATGGGGTCACCTCTATAAGTACCTAACTCTATATCTCAAGTATTTCTTTGAGGGAACACAGATAAAGAGTTGAATTATCATCATTAGCCTTGTATAGGGGATGCTCAGGCCCCCTTAAACAGTGTATCCATCCCCCAACTGATATGTATGTTGGTTGCTGATAATTCACAGCTGTAATTTCTCTGGAGCACTGCCACTCTCTTCTTCCAACAGGTCAGAGTTGCCTATCCTTCAACTTAGACCTAAGGCAGTGAGTGATCCTGCCTAAGGTAAGACAAACTCTGTGGTACAATTTTTGCCTAGAACCTCTTTGTGGTATCAGACTGAAGCTAGTCTTCAACTGAGACACAGGCTTGCTTAGTGTTCCACCAACACTGCCTTATCCTTGCTTTCGCCTTGAAACATCGCTTGAGTCAGTGAAAAAAAATCACTATTACAGACTTTGCTTCTAGAGAAACTGACTTAAAACTCGTGACATTGTAAGGCCCTTACACGTGTAGGAACTCCAGAGACTATACTGATCCTACCTGTGTTGGGAGGAGAAAAAGAGTTCAAAGGCAATTAGATCATGAGAAGGGGGCTTGTGCCTGATATTCCAAGGTGTTAAACCCTAAAAGGAAGCAGTGACCTAATCTCCAGAGAGATTCGAATGATTTAAAAGCAAAGAAACTTCTGCCTCATTTTCTGCTGTTTCTTTAGAAAGGTATAGCACGTGATTACACAAAGAAATGGCTATGTGATGCTGGAACTGGCCTTACAGATTTTCTTGGGTTCATCTTCTTTTAAAGATGATGTTTCTGTAACCTTGCATGACAAATAAGAAGTGCTCTTCTTAATATTGTAGAATTCCATGAATCACAGCATGGAGTAGGAACTACAAAATATGTCCTGTGCATACAAGAGTAAAACCACACATAATACAGAGAGCCACTAGACCTAAAGAGACCTGCTGGAACAGAACAAAAAAACTTTGCTGTAGTGACCTATGTGGAATGAAAACAAAAAATCAGAAAAAAAAAATTATGATGAGTACAATAAATGATGGCCAAGAATAGTTCACGTTCGTCTCTCCCTGAAAATATAGCTTGATTTGTTGAAACACTCAGTCAAATTAAGTCAGATGAAACTTTACAAGAAAAATGGAAATTCTCTAATTTTTTACAAATCAATAAAAGGGAATTATTACGCAAAACTTTATTTTATTCAAAGGTTTGTCATGATCACAAGAAATATAATTTTCTTTCTTAAATAATTTATAATATAGAATAGGACATCAGAAGAAGGTGTAAGTGAAAAAAAATCAAATACATCTAAAGAAAGTGCCAACATCTATTATTGTAAAGCAGATGATAGCAAGCGATAGCAAACACACAGTGACAGCAAAGCCTTTGGACATTATTTATAATAAACATTTTCAGATATACATGCTTTGGATACAACTGTCTGGGAAATATACTTTTTAAGGATATTGATAATTTGGGTTCTTATGATAGGCTAAAAATTACATAAACATATACAAATCCAGAAATATATTTTTAAGCAAAATAACTATTAACAACATAACAACATAATAGATATTCACTATTTAGCAAGGAGAAACAAATGCAGTTTCTTCATTTGCACAAAGGAAAAAATCAAGGATATTTTTGTATGAAAGGGAATTTGTGTTTTACTTAGTCCAACTGCTTTAAAGATCAGCATATGGAAATCGGAAGGTGGAAAGTTCTTGCTCATTGCTTCTACAGCTAGTTCATAGCAGATCTAGTATCTTAGCCTTGTGATATTTTTCAATAGAACAAGCTGAGAATAGTGAGAACCTGAGATTTTGAAATTCAAGGTTTTTTAATTTGATGTTTTCTTAATTGTTATTGAAATATTCTCACCTTTAATTAGATTAGTATGTATAATATCTTAAAATAACCACATAGTGAACACAGAACATGGAAAATAAAGCATCTAAGAGATGAAAACAATATGAAGCATAGGTGGGATTTTTTTTAATAGAAACTACATTTTAAAAGGTTTTTCAGCAGCATAATTTTATTATGAAGTATGTGAGCTTTATCCTTTAGCATTTAAAACAATTTCCAGAAGTAGCTCTTCAAGCAGTTTCTGATTTTATAGATATAGTCCATCAGAAATTTCTGTATATGGAAAATAACTTTGGTATATAATTTTTTTGTTTTATTTCCTTTTAAAAATTTTAAATTATTATTATTATTATTATTTGTAAAGATGGGGTCACCTTATGTTGCCTAGGCTGGTCTCAAATTCCTAGCCTCAAGTGATGCTTCCACCTCAGCCTCTCAGAGCTGGGAGTACAGCATTATCCACCATGCCTGGCTGATATATGATTCTTAAAATTGCAATTATTTTAAATTTTATTTGTAAGATGGTTGTTGAATTACACCTAACTGTATACTTTGTGCATATATTTATCTTACTGGATACTATTAAAGGAAGGGATCATCTTACCTTGTTTTTAATTATCACATGACAGCCAGACACAGTGGCTCATGTCTATAAACCCAGCATTTTGAGAGGCCAAGGTGAGAGGATTACTTGAGGCCAGGAGTTTAAGACTAGCCTGGGCAACATAGTGTGAACCTGTCTCTACATTAAAAAAAATAATTATCTGTGTATAATGTTGTCTGTCTGTAGTACTAGCTATTGGGAAGGATGAGGAAGGAGAATCGCTTGAGAGCAGGAGTTCAAGGTTACAATAAGCTTTGATAACAGAATTCTTTTAAGCTTTTAAGCTTAGGGATGTATTAGTCTGTTCTCACGTTGCTATGAGGAAATACCCAAGACTGGATAATTTATAAAGAAAAGAGGTTTAATTGACTCACAGTTCAGCATGTTTGGGGAGGCCCCAGGAAACTTACAATCATGGTGGAAGGCACCCCTTCACAGGGCGCCAGGAGAGAGAATGAGTGCCAGTAGGGGAGATGCCAGATTCTTATAAAACCACCAGATCTGGTGAGAACTCACTCGCTATCATGAGAATGGCATGGCAGAAATTGCCCCCATTATTCAATTATCTCCACCTGGTCCTGCCCTTGACATGTGTGGATTATTACAATTCAAGATGAGATTTGGGTGGGGACAAAGAGCCGAACCATATCAGGGTAAAATAATAAAAACACAAATTGATAGCTTATATGATAATCACAATTCAGTGGGATAGATAAAATAGTTCAGGTTATATTTCTCCGCTTCACCAAACCTCAGGTAAAGGAATATTTTTAAAACACGTGATTTTCCCGACTGACTTAGAAGTTTTGATGGTTTGTAAATATTAAAGATTTAGAGATTTAGAACTGCAATTCATAAATTTTCTGTATAGCAATTTATCTGTATGACAAGAACACAATGTCTGATGGACTGCTTAAGTCACTTCATTCACCACTGAACTGAAACTAAGAAGAAACATCATATGGAACAAAGTGACATGATTCAAACATTTCAAGAATAGAAATGAAGAGGAAATTGATGATTCATCATATAACCAAAAAATGAATTTATTTGTACAATATAATTATCTTAATTTGCATTAGTTAAAACTGAGGCTTAAGTTTGCCAGTCGTATTAAATTACTACTAGTTGATTAAGGGAAAGTACGGGAAAAACTTAACTCCAACAAATATGACTGCATCTGCAGCTCTGTTTATATAAACACATGCATTTTAAACATCAGCTTAAATAATGCCATGCACTAGGGAATAAATTATAAAATAAAGTCATTATTTGGCTTGTGACTGTATTAGTGTTTTGAAGTAGTTTTTCCTTTTGTATTTCTCCACTTTTTAAAAAATTTCTATGCTGTTACGTGCACTGTAAAAAAAGTGCTTTATTCAATGACAAATTCTCAAAGCTATTAAGGTTAACATTATTATACAATTGCAGTATTTTAGCCAAAAATAAATAAGAATATTTTATATTTAAAATAAGTCTATTTGCCCTATTTATGATTTTTTTCTTTTTTTTGATATGAATTGCTGTGTTTAAACTTTCATTTTGAGATGACTTCAGACTTAGGGAAGTATTGCAAGACAGATACAAATAACTCTAATATAACTTTCATGAAGATTCCCCAAGTGTTAACATTTCACCATATCTGCTTTATAATTTTCTCTACATCTATACATATATATTATTATCTTCTCACCTGTGGGGAGTAAATTGACACTAGTCATGCCCTAAATAATTCATTTTGCATTTACTAAAATCAAGAACATTGTCTTGTATATTAATGCTGTAGTTATCAAAATTAGGAAATTAACATTGAACGGTTATCTGTTCAATAGACATTATTTAGATGTCACCAAGTGTTCCTATAGTGGTATTTCTTGTAAAATGTTTGCTTGTTTTAGTTTCTGCTCCAGGATGCAATCCAGTATAACACAATACATTTAGTTGTCATGTCTCTTTGGTTTTCTCTAATCTGGAATAGTTCCTCAGATAGTCTTAGTTTCTCAGAGCCTTGATATTTTTGAAAATTATAGGCCAGTTATCTTGTAAAATGCCCCTCAATTTGGCTTTGTCTGATATACCCTCATGATTAAATTCAGGTTATGCAGTTTTGGTACAGATATCACAAAAGTGCTGTTGTGCTGTTCTCAGTGCAGCATGCCAGGAGATGATAGATGATAACTTGATTATTTTAAATAGCCTAGCTCAAATATGATTTTACTTTTACTATCATTCTTGTCACAATGCCATTCTTTTCAGGGTATGTAATATATTACAAAAACCATTGTATTTGTTGCTTTTTGGGAGCTCAGGATTTTCATACTGTTTAACTATTTTTACTCTTTTTTTATATAAGTATTTTTACTCTTTTTTCTTTTGATGTTTCTTTCTTTTTTTTTTTTTTTTTTAGAAGGAGTCTTGCTCTGTCACCCAGGCTAGAGTGTGGTGGTGCGATCTTGGCTCACTGCAACTTCTGCCTCCTGGGTTCAAGCAATTCTCCTGCCTCAGCCTCCAAAGTAGCTGGGATTACAGACATCGGCCACTGCACCCGGCTAATTTTTGTATTTTTAGTAAAGACGGGGTTTCACCATCTTGGCCAGTCTGGTCTCGAACTCCTAACCTCGTGATCCACCCACCTCAGCCTCCCAAAGTGCTCGGATTACAGGCATCAGCCACTGTGCCCGGCCAACATTTTTATTCTTTATTATTCCAGATATAGATTTAAGGTTGATGTTTATTAGTTGTTGTTTTTTTTCTTCAGGTTTTAAAATTTATTATTTATTGTACATGGCCTCATGAAGTGCTTCTGTTTTGTCTTCCATCATCTGTATAATAGAGTTACATTGGAAAGCTTTTAAAAAACGAAGAAGAAAAAGAAAACTCCCATATGGCTACCACTGAAATTTCACTTTCTTTCAATTTCTCTTCCATGTGGATATGACTTCCCTTCATAAATATTAATCACTAACACAAAGTTTAGTTTCCTTACTCAGTAGACCAACTGTTGAGAAAAAAAATAAATCAAATTGATTAAATAGGATTCATAAAACTTATGAAATCTCAAATAGATCACAAATAATCTAACATCTCAAGAACTGGAATTTCTCCTGAATATAGTCTGAAAATATGATGAGCTATAGTCTGAAAATATGATGAATAGGATGAAAATATTATATCTCATTGAGTAATTTTATAGATGGTAGTAGAGCATCTCACTAAATAATTCCACAGATCACTAATTTAATTAAAATGAGGTGTGTTCAAAAAAGTCATTTTTTTAAATCTACAATAAATTTATACAGCAGCACTGAGGCAATGTAATTGGTGCTTGAAGTTACCCACAACAACAATTTAGAAATTAGTTAATTTGTATTGTGTAGCTGCAGGCCATGTAGATAGTGCTGAAATGTAGATGAAATTCTAACTCTTTGGATTTTAGACAGAAGTAATTGATCCAAGACTGTATTGAGAATAGTTCTTGTTGCTCCTCCATTTCATCATGTAAATTCCCCGAAAGCAACTGAATGTTAATCATTTTTGTTGATTTCCATAAAAGAGTCATTTCAATTACATCTAAAATAAAATACACGAGTTCAGCTTGAGTGTTTGCACCTCTTATGTGCCATAAGTTACTTTTCCTTTCTACGGGGAAATTTGTAATTTGCCAGTTAGGTATTGAGAATAACAGTGGGCCTGCTATTGTGACACATAATCCTTAAAAGTCATCCTACTCTTCCTTCTATAAATTAAACTAGGCTTTATTGCATGCTTTCATGGTTTAGGAAATCTAATCGTTATTTTTTTTCTTCTATTTTGTTATTAGATATAATAGAACTGCCATATATATGGCATACTTTTTTTTTTTTTTTTTTTTGAGATGGAGTCTCACTCTATCACCCAGGCTGGAGGGCAATGGCCCAATCTGGGCTCACTGCAACCTCTACCTGCTGGGTTCAAGCGATTCTCCTGCCTCAGCCTCCTGAGTAGCTGGGATCACAGGTGTGTGCCACCATTCCTGGCTAATTTTTGTATTTCTAGTAGAGATGGGGTTTTACCATGTTGGTCAGGCTGGTCTCAAACTCCTGACCTCATGATCTGCCCACCTTGGCCTCCCAAAGTGCTGGGATTACAGGCATGAGCCACCGCACCCAGCTAGGCATACTATTTTTAATCATGTTATGGGGTTGAATATGGACTTGGATGAGTATTTTTTCTCAGGAGATGATCTTATAATTGGTAACATATTCACTTTCATGTGGTAGTAGATGCTGAATATTTCCCTTTCTGATCGCCTGAACCAGTTGGTGCATCTATCTCCCAGCTATTTGTGAGGCCTGTGCTTAGCAAATAACTCTTATCTGACCTCTTCTCCAGAGAACTGCTCTCAGCCAAGCAGGATCCACCACCACAGAAGTTATATGCCACTCCCTGTGTGTAGGGCAGACTTTTGCTCCTGACTGACTGATATAGGGTCCAAGGTAATTAGTTGCAAGTCATCAATGTATTGTTGTAATTTGCATTCTACAGCTTCCACATGGTATCAGACTGAAACAAATTTCCAGCAGATATGACATTATTGCTTAAAGTTTTTCTCCTAACCTTCATTGTTTCACTGTTTTCCCTTCTCAGAGCTTTCTGTAATAAGTTACGTGGAAAAAAAGTCTCCTCTTAGATTCCACTTCTAGGAAACTTAAGACAGTGTATGCCAGGAGTCATCCTAGGAAGGAGTCCTGGAGGATGTAATTCTGGTTGGCGATAAGGATCTCAATGCTGATTCCAAATTGAGTCTGGACAGTCCTCAAAATGCTGTAGCAGTGGAATTGCTAAGGCTTCATCTATGATGGTCTGGAATGGGATATAGCAAGAAGAGGATGCACTGGCAATGCAATGTCTCAGGTGTTTGAGATTAATGAGAGAGCTGGCAAGAACAGTAGAACAGTAAAATTGGATTGGTGTTGCTAAGCTCCAATGATTAATTTATCTGAAAAAGTGATAGGCTCATATCTATTAATCAACAATTTAAAGCAATTTATGAAAGTCAAAATGCCTCTTTGGCAGTTGTTAAAGAAACCATCATTTTCTGCAGCTAAGCAGTGAAGACAGTTGGATATCAGGCATAGAACATAATTGTAGAAAGTAATAGAAATTCAGAGAAGACTGAATTCTTAGCCTAAGAGCATTCTCTATGCCATAGTCAATACAAGTAGAGGAAAGAAGGGAGAAATGAGATTAGGCATGGGGATATAAGGGTAGATGCACCAAGATCCTGAATGCTTGCATCCCTTTGTAGAGGATAGTGGCAGCCCTTTGCTTGACGAGTGTGAAGAGGCTATTGGCAGGACAATTCTCTTCTCAGAATCTGACATAACTTATTTCTTTGACAGCAGACCAATAAATGAGGCCTAGTCTTAATATGAAAAAAAACCAGAAAAGTGTTTTGTCTACTAAAAGAAAAAAGGAATTTTAAACTGGAGGAGCTGCAGAACCTGGAAAATATACACTCACAGGACCATGAAACTATGCATAGGAGTGAATATTTTAAGAGAACTAAGTAAGATATGAGTATGCACACATATTTTAAAAGTGGATAATGGATTTTGTCAGTATCTGAGCACTCTCCTGTGAGTTGGAACTTAATGCTCTGGAATGTTGCTCAGGCCAATTCTGATGCATGTGGAGTTGAGTTGGCACGTGGAAACTAAGAAAATAGCAACAACCCACATTAAACAAAATGATGCTTGCAGAAGAGCAAAGGCTGAGAATAAATGAAAGGAGAAAAGTCCCAGAGAAATAAGAAATACCAAATGTAAGACACAAGACACCAGAAATCTTTGTTCCTCGACAAGACACGTATGACACTCCATTTACAATAGCAGCAATAACAGCCTATTTGAGGTGGGTACTGATATCATAAAGAAGCTCAGTGGCAGATGTTCTCTGTAGACTAATACTAACAGTAGGAGATGCTGTTGCAGAACTGGGCTCTCAAATTGACAGTAATATAATTTCTGAAAGAAGCAGCCAGGTAGAAGCATTTCAATCACGGAGGTAAGGTGAACATCATTCCCTTTATGGAACAATAAATGTATCTTTTGTAACACCACCTTAATCCACTGAACCCACTTTACGGCAAAAGAGGTGAAGTGGTGAGCACCATGGGATCTGATAGCTCTATCATATGCCACATTTTAAAGATGCTGCATTCCTGGAACAGCATAGTCAATAGCACTAGTAGGGCGTCAGTATGGTGATGACATAACACAAAAGTGGTGAATTGTAAGGGAATACACCTGAAAGGGATGTACTGTGTGATTCAGTATCTTGTCATTTGAGATATATAGGATAAATAATAATTATAACCACTTTGATACATTGAAGACAGAAAATAGTCAGCTTATACCAGTCAATTACCAATTTCTTTTCATCATTCTGGACTCTGCTCATACATCAATTCTTTAGAGAGACTTATTTCCAACTAATGACTGAGCACAGTGAGTGTACTAGAACACTAATCTTGCTTGATGTAGGATCCCTTTAATGGGAAACATTTGCTTGAAAACTCGCCAGTAGCCTGCCAAGACTTTATCAGGGCTAAGCTGCATTTGAGGCTCTTTCTGCCTACCTCATCATCCCCTTTTTCCTCACAGATTAGAACTTCCATCTTTATCTGAAGGCTATCACTGCCTATGCCTACATCCTGCCGCTTAGTCAGTTTAGTAGCTCACAACAAGGCTATTTGATCCTGCACTGTGATAGTAAACATAGCTGAGGAGCAAAATCGATATCTGATAGTAAGGGTTATGAAGCTTGAAAGATTTAAATTCTCACCCATGCCAGTTCTGTTATGACAAGATCAGGACCCTGGTTGGGGAAACCTAAGATATTAAAACATAATTGAGAACATCTGAATGAATGCCCTAAGAACTTTGGCTCTGCAGATTCCTGTGAGTCTTCAAGGCTTGCCAAGCTGGCTCAATGCTCTGGAGTATGAGCTAAGACTTTCTCTCTATGGGAACAGACTGCAGAGGTGTTTCTTTGACAAGTCAACAGGTTACCTTTAAGGTAATTTATCCATTTTGCATCCTGGCTGCCAGGTTGGTAATTAAACTAAAATATCAGCATGATGTAGACAGGGATATGTTGGGCCTATAAACAGTAAAGATACTGCATTCTACAGAACTTCAACAATTAGCAAACATGTGTCAGCAGGAGCAGGGGAGCAGGCCTAGAATTAAATTGTGAGGGTCCTTTATCAGAAGGTGATAATAAAAACAAGTAATAAATAAATAAAAGTAGATAAGTAAGAATTCATTGGCCTCTTGGCCCTTTCTTGGCAGTTATGTTTTGCTGCACAGGTCTCCTTTCCAGATATTTATCTCCTTTCCAGATATTTATCTCCAACTCAGAATTCTGTTGTGATTTTTAGATTCAGCTTCACGTTAATGTATTTCCCTCATTGAAAGCATTTAGTGGTGGTAGCAAATTATTACAAATAAAGCTAAGTTCCTTCCTGTAGTGTGTCTTCAAATCCAGAAAATGCTATTTTTCTTCCTCAGTCCTTTGCTTGGGCTGTTCCTCTCACATGGAATTTTCAGTTCTTTATATCTCCCACATTATTCTTTTCATCAATAGCTAATGAATCTAAAACTCTTATTCCTAAATAAATGTATCCCTATATTACAAATTTCTGATATGTGGCCAGATGTTATGATAGTCAAGAATAACGGTTAGATATCACTCAATATAAGGTACAAGATGATGCCCAGTCATTTAATAATTTAATCTTGGACAAGCTTTTACATTTCTTTATGCCATAATTTGACATTATTAAATTGTAAACAAGGGTATTTACTAGAAATGTAGTAAGAATTGAAATATATAAGTTATGTGCCTGGCAGATAATTCAGTAAATGAGTTACGTGTATATAGTTTTTTTTATTTTTATAAAATATATAAAGCATATTTATTTTGGTTTACTTTCTTCAATATGTACATATTTACACATACAAATCCCTCCTACCCCATTTATTCACTTCCCACTTAATTTCTTCTTAAAAATATATCCCACTACTTCTGGAGTACAGCATCATAATCTATGTTGCTAAAGTGTGTTGCTGGCCTCCTTCCCGCTTAAATTGCCTAGGAAAATTTTACAGTGAATTAAATTTGGGAAACTAGTTTAAATATTTTGAGTGATTAATATGTTTTTGGAGTTGGTCACAGAAAGATTTATCAAGAATGAGAATTGATGCCTTTTATCACATTGGTTCAACTTAAAATATTGATTGTAGAAGGATATAGTTAAGAAGAAATGGGGTATGATTTTTATTTATGTGAAGATATAAAATCTTGACTAAATACAAATGATTTATGTTTTTAGTTTTTATTCATTACTTGAAGAGGGTGAAGAATATGGTAATATATTGGCACCTTTGGCTTAAATCAGAATTTAATTTTTTAATAGAAAATTATATAACAATTATTAACTTTTTCTTTTATTATAAAATATAAAAAACTGGTTAGGCAGTTTCACCAGAAATTGTTACTATATATCATGGCTAATTGATGATTATGATGGTAAAATACTATTGAAATTAATGATCTATTAAAATTACTATTAAAATGCTTCCCAATATAATGTGTAATATATATTAAAATCAAAGTGAGTTATTATCTGGAAATATGTATATTTTGCCATGTAGCCATTCCTACTCATTAAGCTGCTAGATATTTCATAATTCTCATTTCAAAAAAATACTTAACTTTCTAATTTTTATTAGAATTAATGGAAAACATTTATATTTACCCATATGTAAAGTCATATTGATGTATTCACTTAAAAATGATAACAGTGCATTTCTGGTATTAGATAAGGTTGATTTTATAACAACTTTTTAAATCTCTCCTCACTTATATTACCTCACCAATAAGATATAATTTTTCTCTTTAAAAATAATCATTTTGAACACTTTTTTTAATATGAGAAACAAGAACATGTTGTATATATGAAATACAGCAATTGTTATAGACAACACTGTCATCCACAAAATTTTGTGTTGCTGATCACTTTAGAATATACAAAGGTGTATTCCATATAGCTCATTTAACCTCTATCTACTCCTACTTCTTAGAAGAATATCATATCTCAATAATGATTTAATTGAGTGGGCATTTAAATCCTACAAATTCAAGGAAAGATTGTGGGTAGGATAGAACCCTATCAACACAATCAAACATCGAAATCTAAACAGTCTACCTAGACTTTATATTACAGTATGTGATTCACATCCCAACCAATCAAAATACACTCTAGTAAAGTAAGAACAGTACAATAAATTAACAAGTCCGCGATCTATAATGAAAACACTAGGTACTTAACAATAATTCTGTACATAAATAATACTGTAAAATAAGTTCTGACAATTTCTGGTCTCTTCTTACTGAAAAACTGGTGGTAAATATCACCTATGTCACTGGGAACTTTTCTTGACCAGTCTGGGTAATATTGTGTTGAATAAGTTCTTATCCTAGTTGGTTTAGCCTGTGTCCAAACATCTCTTATTTGCTTATATATCTGTTTAAAATCTTCAAGTAACTGATGTTCGAAGCTCAATTTCTGGGAAAGTTACTTCTTTCTTTCAATATGTTCAATGATTTCAGTCTGCTGTTGAACTTTGTATAACTACCCCAAACTCCTTTCATATAGATTGATCTTCTTGCTTGTTTATGTTATGTTGTCATTGCAAGATCAGAATGAATCAGGGAGCTGTGGGACAGGCTACTCATTTTAAAATCCTTGAAGACAGAACAGTCGATATCTGCTTTGAGTGGAGCTAAAAACTTTTTTCTCATTTACTCCACACCATGCAACCTCCTATATAACAATATTTGATAACTTTTTCACAGCAGTAGTGACGGCATTGATGCTTAATTACTTTAAGCCAAATATCATGTAATGTTGTGATACTGCTTATACATTTTCTAAAATATTCAGAACATAGTGGCCACTATTGTGTACTACTTTGCATCAGGAATTATTTACTTAATGAAGATATTTTGCTTATTTGAGTTTACTACTATGGTGTTTCTGTGGGGAGAAATATTAAAAGACAAAATCAGAAGTTGGCCTCTACTGCTTCCCAGTTCAATCTTTGTTCTCTAGGCATCATTGTTGTAGTTCCTGAATGATAAAGGAAATAAGCACATAAAGAAGTAATGAACATTTTTTAAATATTTATTTTACATGGTACCAATTTCTCTCAACACAACGGCTAATTCATAGCATAGTGTATAAGTAAAAATAAATATATATATCTGCAGCAGAAAATGTTACTGTTACTGTATGCTTTGAAACATATTCTTTTGATAATGATTATACTCTAAGAGAAAGACTGCACTGTGGAAAAGGAAGGCAATCATAATATTTGAAATGTCAATTATATTCTTGTGTAATGATTAGTTTCACTGACAAAAAACTACTTTATAGAACTCTGAAATACAGTCAACTTTTTTTGTAACTCTTGAAGGAAAAAGCCTAATCAGAATTTAGAGCATTCCTTTTAGAAACAGGTGTATCTTTTTAAAATAAATTATTTTTTTCTCTAAAAGCATTTTATATTTACAATATTATGAAAGGTTTTGAAAATTGCTTATATATACTTTAAATCAGAGGTTAAAAAATAATTTCTATTTGCTTGATTTTCTTGAAAGTCTTCATTAAAATATAGTGTATGTGAAAATTTTTCTTAGCACTAACAGCATTTTTGTATGTAGACATACATTTTTGTATACACACTTATACCTCTCTGTGTATATACATATATATATATCTGTATATAATGTACAAACATATTTTGAAAGGAACTGAGTTTACTGATATATTTACATAAGCATGCAATGTGCTAATATGTGCAATTAAACGCACAATGTATTAATAAATCAGAACCTTGCCTGAAACAAATTAGTCATATTTTATAGTACTACTGTATGAAAACCATCAAAATAGCATTATAAACAATGACAAAATATTCTTATTTGTTTATAAATAAAATCTATGGTTCAAGGACTTCTGTAAATCATTAGGAAAGATAATTTAACTTCATTTATGTTGCAATTTATGAACTATAATAGGATGTACCAAGAGAATAAATAAAATATGAACTGAAAATAAGCAAGACAATTATAATTTTGAAGTATATTTGAAAAATAATTTGATTATTGGGTGAAGTAGTTGTCCATCAAAACAATTCTAAACAATTACGTTTTACATTCTTTTTGCAACTGCTCCACCAAATATAGAAGTTGGGATAATGGTAAAAACAAAATAGCTTTCCAAACTCATAGTGTAATTTTTGAAAATTTTTCTAACTATATCTCTAGAGAAGTAAAACTCAGAAGATAATATATTGAAAGTGGGACAATGCAGAACATTGAAGGAAAAAAATTGTTAGCAAGTGATATTAGCAAATGCCTGCCTAGAAATTACACGGTTGAAGCTTAATCATTAACTCACTGGACATGAGTCCAAGGGAGATGTTTATAATAATTCATACCCTAGACAGGAAAGATTTCAATATTAACTAATAAATGGAAATATTCTATATGTTTTAGATGAAACAAGAAGAGAAAATGCTAGAAAAATTCTACGATGATATAAAAATTAGCCCCAAGTAAAAATAAAACATTTTTCATTAGGTACAGAAGGATGTGGTAAAATAGAAATAAAAAAAATTAAAATGTGCTTTGAAAATACATCTGGATTACTGTGTTATGGTTTGCTACAATTGGCATTGACTTGATATATGACTAGAAATTGATGCAATATAAGATAAAATGCAATCATTTATATGGTATTTGTATTAAGGAAAAGCAAATTTTAGTTAGTGTCAGTAAAAACCTATCAAACATGGTAACAAACGTTCAGAAAAGTGTGAATGTCAGGTCTGCAATGGACATCTGTTTGTTTCATTTTGATGCTTCCCTGGAGCATTTTACCCTTTCTCTAGTAAAGAATCTCTCCCAACACATGGATGACATAATTAAAATATCCTTTCATTCAGACTACAGTGATTGGTTCAGTGTGGTCTAAACTAATCAAATCAGAGTTGTCTCTATGAAATTGACAGATTTAAGGGCAGAAAAGTTATGGAGTTGCCATTTAAGAAAAAAAAAATGAAAGTAGGCTGCCAATGGCCCATGTTTGCTACATGGAATGGGTTTATCTGAGAGATGGAGAAAGGGAGACCTGATGATATTGTTTCACTTGGTGTCCTTCTGTTTCTGAACTTAATTTTGCCTTAGATGTTTCAGTTATTTGAGAGAATTAATTCAACTTTTTTATTAACTAGGTCAAAATGAAGCTCTCATATTGCAATTGAAGGAAACATCAATTCATATCTTACAAAGGTACAATAAACCTGATTAGGAATACTTCCTGCAAAGGAAAGTACTACCTGGTTTAGTTTCTCACAGAATAGTGCTTATAATTTTTTGTCACTTATAATTTTTACCAAGCTTTTTAAAACCTCTGTTAAAATCAAGTTATGGTTTGCATTCTTCATATCTCACATTAATTTTTCTCCTTGCCCTGACAAGATCCTGCCTAATACTGCCACATGTTTATACTAAGAAGATTGTTTTCACGTAGTAGAATTAGTATTATTATTTTAATTACACCCTCATATTATTGGTCAAAATCTCTTCCATTTAAAAATATCTAGGCCTTGCATTGTGTTGCTTTCATATATGCTTATTGCTTTCTGCTTCTACAATTATTACATTAAGAATGAAATGTTAAAATATTTGTGGTATTATTCCTTTCCAAATCACAATGATAGCTTTTCATATGCTATCAATTGTCTTCTCTTACAGTATACTTTTAATAAAAGTGATAACTTTAGGATTAACAAGAGGAGAAGTATTTCCCCATTGTATAGAAGTTTGGGCTCTATGGCACTTTTAGAGAAGAAAATAACTTTTTATAGCTATACAACAATTTGATTTTATTAAGAAATTATTTCATGTAAAATATCACAAGCCTATAAATACTTAACAAATGTGATTAAATTGCTATGGCAAGAAACATTTTTAGTGTATTTTTAGAACATTTTTAGTATATTTGTGTAGAGGTCTTAAGAAATCCAACTTAGATATAAAGTGATAACATTAAAAAGACTCTAGGAACTGGATGAAACAGGAAAGTAGAAGATTATAAAATTATTTAAAGACTTTTTTTACAGAAGCAGAGAAAATAGTGAAAAGAAGAGGAAAAAGGATACAAGAGACAAACTGAAACTATTATAGTTACTGTGGAGACAGATACAGTGGGACTATAAACAAGGAAAGTTGAAATATTTTCTCAGAAAGAATAATTTGGGTAACTTTAACTGGATTATTAAAAATCCCATTTGAACTTTGATGCTGCAAGAAAAAAAAAGAGAGAGGGAAAGGAAATGGTAATGAAGAATGATCCAAGGCAATGAAAAAAATCTAAAAAAGTCATGAGCTCAAAGTAAGCACTGAAAAATATTGAAGGAGCCTGAATGACCCTATACAAATATATTCTAGAGATTTTTAAATAGATCAAGTAAATGTTTCTATAATTATACATCTGTGATTTAATGTACCTTTGTACACATTTTAAGCCTTCTGGAATTATGTGCTTATTAAAAGAACTTTATGCGTTATCCTTGTTACCGTATTTAAAATTTATGTTTTATAATAGAAATAATAAATTTTGAGTTATTCTGTGGCAATAGAATCTCTTATTATTGACTTAATAAGGTACATTGATATCATTCTATTTGGGGCCTTAAGTACATATTTAATATACTTTGAGAGAGGTATTTGTTTTTGTGACATGCCTGAGAAGTCATTTTTCTACACCTAACTAATATTATTCATGATTCAAAAATTGTAAACGAATGACCTACTGCGAGAAAGTGAAAAATGCTTTAAAATTTTTTAAAAAATAGTTAAAGTAATTACGGTTTATTTAAAAAGCTTGAGGTAACACATATAGTATGTGGCCATAGAAATTATAATATTAGATTGAAAATGATAAGCGCTCTTAGAAAAAATTTTAAATGCTGTGGTTTCCAAAGCAAAATGAAGATTTCTATAAAGGCAATTCAGGGAACATTCTTGGAAGGGAGGCTTTTGAGTTTGTCTTTATAATATGGATGAGCTATAAATGGATGGGACAAGGCACTCAAATCAGGCAGATGAAATACTCTGGATTATTATACAGAGGCAGCGAAAGTGTAAGGCATTGTGAAAAATTATGATAATAACACTTAGAAATTGGATTATAGCTTGTGAAGTTAAATAATTAGATAAATCACTTAAAAGTGTTCAGCTCTTAAGTGATCTTAAATATTGGTCTAAGGGAGTTTGTATGCCTTTCATCAAGGCAAATACAGAACTTTATTATATTATATCTATAATATATTAACAAACATATATGAAATATAGAGTACAGATACAAAATTTTTACACTATTATGAATTTTTCAAAATTACAGCCTATATTTTGGGTGAAGAAGCTGATTTTCCAACTTGCAATATGGAAAACAACTTTTCTAATTGTGAATTCAAGGTTGATTTAACATACACAAATCAGTGAATATGATTCAGCACATAAACAGAATTAAACACAAAAATATATAATCATCTCAGATGCAGAAAAGACCTCTGATAAAATTCAACATTTCTTCGTGTTAAAAACCTTCCACAAATAAGGCATCAAAGGAGCATACCTTACAATAATAAGAGCTATCCATGGCAAACCAACAGCCAACATCATACTGAACAGGCAAAAGCTGGAAGCATTGCCCTTGAGAAGTGAAACAAGACAAGGATGCCCACTGTAACCAGTCCTATTCAACAAAGTACTGGAAGCTATAGCTGGAGTAATCAGGTAGGAGAAAGAAATAAAATGCATCCAAATAGGAAGAGAAGGATTCAACCTACCTCTCTTCACAGATGATATGATTCTGTAGCTAGAAAACTCTATAGACTCCACCAGAAAGTATCTAGAACTGATAAGCAACTTTAGTAAAGTTTCAGGATACAATATCAATGTACAAAAATCAGTAGCATTTTTATACATTGATAACATCCAAGCTGAGATATGAACCAGTAATGCAATTTTATTCACAATAGCCACAAAAAGAATAAAATACCTAGGAATATGAATGACATCTACAATATAATTACAAAACACTGCTGAAAGACATCAGAGATGACATACACACATGAAAAAAATATTCCATGCTCATGGATACAAAGACTCACTGTTGTTAAAATGGTCATACTTCTCAAAGCAATGTACAGATTCAGTGCTATTCCTGTCAAACCTCACATGTCATTTTTCACAGAATTATAAAAAGCTATTTTAAAATTCATATGAAAGCAAAAAAGAGACAAAATCACCAAAGCAATCCTAAGCAAAAAGAGTAAGACTGGAGGCATCACACTAATTGACTTCAAATTATATACTACAGAGCTACAGTAACCAAAACAGCATGGTACTGGTAAAAAAGCAGAAACATATTCCAATGAAACAGGTTAGAAAACTCAGAAATAAAGCGACACACTGACAACCACCTGATCTTTGACAAAGTCAACAGTAACAAACAATGGGAAAAGGACTTTTTATTCAATAAATCGTACTGGGATAACTGGATAGCCATATGCAGAAGAGTGACACTGAGCCCCTTCCTTTTACCATATATGATAATTAACCCAAGATGGATAAAACGTTTCAATGCAAGACCTCAAACTATAAGACCCTAGAATAAACTCTAGGGAATACCACTCTGGACATCAGCCTTGGCAAAGAACCTTATTGAAGTTGAACTGACATAGGAACAAAAAACTAACTAGTATGTGTTCTCATTTATAAGTGAGAGTTAAACACTGAATACAAATGGATGCAAAGAAGAGAACAATAGGCTCTGGGGACAGCTTGAGGTGGGAATGTGGGGAGGAGAGTGTGGGTTGGAAGGCTACCTACTGTGTACTATGCTTATTACCTTGGTGATGGGATTTCCCATACACCAAGCCTCATTAACATGCAAATTACCCAAGTAACAAACCTGCATGTGTACCCCCTGAACATAAAATAAAAAATAAAAATTAAAATAATTAAGATTAAGAAAAATAAAAGTATCACATTGTATCTCATAAATATATACAATCATTATTTATCAAATAAAAATAAAATAAAACTTGAAAGTGTGCAAAAATAAAAAATAAATGAGTAAATTCCTCATTTCAAAAAAAGAGAATATCTTAAAATGTCAATGAAAACAGAAAATCGAATAAACTCGGAGACATTATTATGATAACATACTTTCTTACATTCTGTTTTAGTTATGTGAAAGAGAAAAAGACACAAGTAATGTATCAATCAGAATTTTCAGAATAACTCTAATTTTAAGGAAGCTATAAGAAAAAAATCTGACTAAGCAACCTGATGTTTTGGCCAAATAAATACATGTCTTCATTATAAACAGTGATTGATTAAGATAAATTTCATGTTTGTTTAAAGTAATGTCCTTAACCCTAGATGAAGTTTGGAATAATAGAGCTAACTGAAAATCCAATGGCCACACCATACCCTCAACCAATTATATCAAAAGTTCTATATATCTTATATATCCTAGTTCTTATTATATCAATTATAGACCAATTATATCAAAAGTTCTATAATCTAATTCTTATATCTTGGACCAAATTATATCCAATAGGAACCAAGATGAGTACTTTAAAAAACTCTTTGGGTGATTTCAACATAAAGCCAAAGTTGAAAGCTACTTATTTACAGGTCAAGTTAAGAAATAAAATTGCCTACCACAGCACATTTTACTGTGATTATTATATCTTATTTTTGTTAGAGACAGTAAACAATAATTATGTATCTAAACAGTTAATTATCAACCAACTGATTTACTAAATTTTTTCATCATATTTACATGCTTCTTGAATGTTAATATTCTAAAAGCTTTCCCCTTGTATGCTTTATATAATTCAGGCAAAATTAAGTCCACAATATTTTTAATGTGGCATGTCCTTTTAAAAAGATAGGTCTGAATATGGTTCCTTGTTTGCTCTACCCTCCTGTAAACACATAGGCTAGCAGATATTTACATTTAGAGTGAGAATACATGGAAAAAGTGACATAAACTTTATTGCATTTACTAAATTCACTTTATGTCACATAAGCTTAAAATGGCTTAAATTTTCTTTTTAACCAAAATCAGTCAGCATTTCATGATTACTCTCGTTATGTCCACAAATAAAATTAAATCATTTACTTCTTAGTCTAGGTTTCTATGTATTTCAAAAGGAATTCTTCTAACAACTTTCTAACAGCAAATTATTGTCCAAATTTTAATATTATCAAATGTTTTGCTCATTATGTGTGCAAATGATCCAAATTAAAAATAAACAATGAATTCGTAGGCTTATCTATGTTTTAACAGCCTTGTTCCATGCTACATGTAAACATTCGTATTAGTTATATGCATATTTATATCTGTTTATATAGATATAGATATTCATGTATTACCCACTCAAATTACTTATACTTTTAATCATACAAAAACTAAAAGGAAATGTTAAAGCCATCCTTATACCTCAGTATATATATTTTTAATAATGTCCTTTTACTAAACTTACCTGATTCTATTTCATATCTTTCACTTTAACTTTCACTAGATCAAACATTTTTATTCAATGACAGGCACTAGATTAGGCCCTAGTAATAAATGAAGAGTAAAACAAATGTAGTATCTGAAATTATGAAATTTAAAAGTCTGCTAGTGCCAATTCACAGCCATCTATTATAATGGGAACCATGGAGTGATATAATTTTGATTTGTATTTAGAAATTTGGTTCTTATATTTTCTAAGAAAAATACGTTCTCGCATATTTATCTTCAGAAACATGAATATTCAGCTATTACTAAAATAACATTGCACTCTTTGAGAATCCAGCAGTGAATTCAGGGAGTGCTACGGTTTGAATGATGGTGTCCGCTCCCACATTCATGTTGAAACTTAGTTCTCTATGCAAAAGTATTAAGAGGTGTGGCCTTTGGAAGGTGATTAAGTCGTAAGAGTAGAGCCCTCTTGAATGGGATTAGCACCCAAATACAAAAGCTAGAGGTTGAAGGGAACACTCTTTTGCCTTTCCGTCATGTGAAGTCACAGCACTCATTTTCTCTGGAGAACGCAGCAATGAGGCATGATCTTGGAAGCAGAACCATACTGAACCTGTTGACACTTTCCTAGGAGTCCCAGCCTCCAGAACTGCAGGAAACAATATTTTTCTTGCTTATAAATCACAGTCTCTGGTATTTTGTTATAGCGGCACAGACAGATTAAGACAGAAAGTACGTGGTGAAAATGTTACATTCTGTGTAATCTCTGAGGACCCCAAATACAATTTTTAAACATTGCTATGCACAATCCACAGAACTGATCATCTACACAAAAGTGTTCAATATGGAAAATACTGATAGTCTTACTACAAGAAGCAAGATATATACAATGGTAAAAAAAATTCCTAGAATCCAGCAAACTACATTTTAAAATTCTTGGTGTGTACATTTTGTCAATTTCTTAGCATCTTTTTTACATCACGGAGGACGGTATAAGAGATGATGGTAGTTAATAAAAGTCATCGTGGAAGTTAGAGGCACTTAAAAAAATCGTTTCCTCCCTGTCCTGGAGAAAACTTGTAGCCTCGCAACTCACATAAAATGTTTTTTATTGAAGAGAAAAAAACAGAAAAAAAAAATGAAGAAAACAAGCAAAGTAGAAGAAAATAAAAAAGAAAGAAAACCTGAAAAAAAATACAGCCATGACAGAAATTACTATTTCTCTTTAATATTTGTGTTATACTTGTTCTCCTGGTTAACAGCTGGCTTTTGTTTGTTTGCTGTGTAATCCCTTGTGTTTAATTGTGGGTATGTCAGTGAGGACTGTCCATTGGAAACTGTGCAGAAATGACAGGTACCCTCTTTCAGCCTGACGTATATATATCTCCTAAGTGTGATCCTCATATTGCTTCTCCATCTGCTGGCTGAATGCAGAGCTCTCTAGGATCAAGACAAGAGCAGAGTAATGAGATACAGGAGCCTGAGTTCTTGAATAACTGGAAGGAGTAGAGCTGTCCTATGCATATTAGATGGTTGTATTGGAAAAATATAAGCTTTCCGGTGGTAAAGAAGTGGAATTTTTAAATTATTACAGCAGTTAATCCACTCTGAGTGAACCACACCAACATTCTTGACATTCTCAGATTATACTAGTGTTGAAACAGATTCGTACTCTCAGAAAAATATACTTGTATTTCACATTTATATTAATAGATTTCATAATATTTTTGAGTTAACTATGGAATAATGAAACTATATTAGCTGCTAATAAATAAAAGAAAATAAAGCTTTCTTTTTGTCTTTAATGAGAAAGAACCTCAATGGGAAATAGAGCCCTCTAAGTTGTAATGCATTTTTTAAAGTTTTATAATACTAGCATTAACATAATATTAAAGGAAAACACACAAAAATAATTACTTTTAACAACAGAGGTAAGGAATAGCTGTATATAGTAGATATAATTTAGGTTGCTTCTGAATAGTAATTATGAGTTTACTGGACAGCAAGGACAACATGAGTTGCATATAAAGAATTTTTGATTTTGTGCCATGTTAAAAAAATTTGTGTTTATGAAATGTAACATCTGGAATTGTTCAATCTGTTGCTAAAAATATGTGTGAAGCTGACAGAAAACGTTAGATAGAAGAAATATATGGATGTCATCATTTTATAATAGGCAGTGGCTACCACAGGCATGGATAAAGAAACCATCTGGTGATGTGATAGAGCAGGAGTCAGCAAACTGACACCTGGTACAAATTGGGCCTACTGCCAAATTGTGAATAAAGTTTTATTGGGACACAGTCATGCTCATTCACTTACAACCAGGAAAACTGACAATGTTTTCTATCTTAAACTTTACAATGAAATGTCTTGAGTACATCTATACAGGGATTACTAGAAGAAGGCCTTGTATTAAAAGAGTACATGTTAACATTAAAGGCTGGTACAGGGTGACATGCAACAATCAGAGACATGGCAGAAGATGGAGAATAGAAAAGACAAGATTCTGAAAAATTAATAGAAGACAAAATTGAAGTAGTAAACAGTATTTACTTATTACGGTAGAAAATTGTAATAATTTGGTCTAATGAATCCAACATCGAATACCTAACACGGTGTTTTGAAAGAAGAAATAAGATTGAATCACACTGAAGAATGGAGATTAAAGAACATTATTATTTCAGAAAATGTAGCAGTGGAAGGGAAAAAAGGAAGATACAGCAACATTACTTGAGTGATTGGCGAAGCAGTGGGATTCTATTTATTTATTTGTTTACTTATTTATTTACTAGTTAGAAGAGGCTGTAAAATGTTTCAAACTTAAGTCAAAGGAAAAAGATGTAAAATTGAAAACAATTTCAAAAACAGACTTAAGAAAGGCAAAAGGGAAAGAATCCAGTATACAGGTAATGGGACTAGCTGGAATAAAAAATGAAATGCCTCATTGTTTGCTGCAATGTAACTGAGCTGACAATTATACATAGTATTATTACGGATAACTTTAGAATTAGAACTGATGGAATGTGATAATGACAACATGTGCATGGTGTTCTCTTTTTCATCTATAGCTTAGGAGGCTCATCCATCTGCCTGGATATGAAGATGGTGGTCTTCAGTAGGGCAATAAACAACTCTAAAGGGTGTAGAGTTATGGAACCTACTCAAATTGAGTTGAAAAACATAAATCTTTAGTCATATCAATGGGCATATAAAAACTTTTCTTTTTTTTAATTTCATCGCCAGGCGCAGTGGCTCATGCCTATAATCCCAGAACATTGGGAGGCTGAGATGGGCCAATCACCAGAGGTCAGGAGTTTGAGACCAGCTGGCCAACATGGTGAAACCCTTTCTCTACTAAAAATACAAAAATTAGCTGGGTGTAGTGGTGGGTGCATGTAATCCCAGCTACTCGGGAGGCTGAGGCAGGAAAATCTCTTGAACCAAGGAGGCGGAGGTTGCAGTGAGCCAAGATCATGCCACTACACTCCAGCCTGGGCAATAGAGCAAGGTGCCATCTCAAAAAAAAAGAACAAAAATTGGCCGGGCGTGGTGGCTTACACCTGTAATCCCCCCAGCACTTGGTGAGGCCAAGGTGGGCAGATCACCTGAGGTCAGGAGTTCAAGACCAGCCTGGCCAACATGGTGAAACTTCATCTCTACTAAAAACACAAAAATTAGCCAGGTGTAGTGGCGGGCGCCTGTAGTCCCAGCTACTCTGGAGGCTGAGGCAGGAGTATTGCTTGAGCCCGGGAAGCAGAGGTTAGAGTGAGCCGAGATTGTGCCACTGTACTTCAGCCTAGGTGACAGAGCAAGACTCCATCTCAAAAAAAAAAAAAATTCATAATAGGTCTGTTTCTTGATGAAATAACATTAGGTGGAGTTCCGGGAATTACCATTAGCTGAGCATGGGGACTCCACTATGAAGAAGTCTGGGCACAAAAACCCATATAACTTGTAAGGAAATGAAAATGTTGAAATCTGCACTAGATATTGTTAGTTGGCAGCCATTAAAGGTTCCAACCCATCATCCTGTGGCCATACAGTGAGGATAAGAACCTCATAGCTCTGCAGTGCTTCAAAGTTTCACTTTTTTGGGATGGGGGAATAAAAAACTATATTTTCTTCCTTAGACACTTTCATTCTTATTTATGAATTACTAGACCTGAACATTTTACAATACACCTGAAAATAATCATCCCTAAATTTTAGGCTAATTATACAAATGATATAGTTTAAATGTGGAGTAGTTATACATATTTGAATTGCTATTCCTGATGTTTCTGACTATATCTAAAATGTATGCCCTTGGTAGGGCAAAGTAAATAAATTTAGTAAAACAGAATAAATAGATCACTGATCATTGATTACTGTTTTTTTCATATTTCTAAGAAATTTGTGTTAGAAAGCCATGTTAATTTTAGCCAGAAGGGTGGTTATAATAGTATTGAAACAGACTTCTTAACATAGCAGCTTAGGATTGAATTCTTGTCACAGCCAGCTCTTTGGGAGAATTCAATGTATTAAAGACACAGAAATTTAATGAGTGTGGTAAGCTATTTGTCCTTTTAACATAATTGCCCAGATCATCCTGAGGTTTCCAGGCTGTGTTGTAATAGGTATGAAATATTAACTACCAGGAAGTGCAAAACTGCCCACAGTAGCAAGATCTTTGGAGGGACTTAGCTTAACTGAGTACAATGCAGCTCTGTACGGTTAGGTCTGTCATGTTTCTACTCCCCAAAATGCTTTGGGTCACAAATAAGTTAGATTGTTTTCAAATGAAATTGAAAGAAGTTATCTACCCCTAAATCAAACAGACTTTGATCTAAGTATGTTAAAATGTAAAATACTATATCTATATCGTGACCTAGTGTCAACAACCTTTTTAATTGACTCATCTACCATAAAACAGACATATTAATATTAAAAAAAGATTTAAAAGATAAACCAGTAAACCATTGGATTATTTTTGCTATGGATTTGTCAATTTAAAAGCAATTATACTACCTTAATAATCGAAAAAAATATTTAGATAGTTGATGTGATAGGGTTTAACTTTTGTATTGGAAGTAATTTAGAAAGTATGTCTTAGCTGATTATTTAATAATCTCACAATGTTATTCAAATAAAACTATTATACTATTACTTTAACCCAAAAATTTGTTTAAAGATTACATAATGTTTCTGATATACTGAATTGCGTGGCAATCCCCATACTTTCCTAACCATTATGGCCATATAATTGCCAGAATCTTTTGAATAATTGAAAGACTAATTAAAATGTTCAAGTGTTATTAAAGTTGCTCCATATTTAAAGTATGCCATAGTATAAGTTTGACATGTGTATAAACCTGTAGAAATGGTCACCAAAATCAAGGTAACGAACATATCCATCACTCCAAAAAGTTTTCCCTTGCCCCTTTGTAAACTTTTCCTCTTGTTCCTCTCTGCCCTTTGCCCAATCTCCACGCAACCACTTTTTGTCACTATAGATTAGTCTGCTAATTTAAACAAGTTAAAACAATGTTAAAGTATTGCCAGGATTGTTCTAAATCCTAAATAATTATTTTTTAAACTATATTAAATTGCATCTATATTAATATTGATAGGTAGTAATAATAACAACAATAAATACTTTAGAAAAGCTATCGTAGTGATATGTATGACTGAGATCAGTGTGCCAGAAATTGTCAGGGATTGTATAAGTAGGAACTGTTTATACTTGTCTTTGGAATTCTATCCAATTCTCCTGTCATGCTACTATAAGGACATACTGGAGAAAGGGTAATTTATAAAGGAAAGAGGCTTAATTGACTCACAGTTTATCATGGCTGGGGAGGCCTCAGGAAACTTACAATAATGGCAGAAGCAGAAGTAAACACGTCTTGTTTTTATTTTTATTTTTTTGAGATGGAGTCTCGCTCGCTCTTTTGCCCAGGCTGGAGTGCAGTGGTGCCATCTCGGCACACTACAAGCTCTGCCTCCCGGGTTCTCCCCCTTCTCCTGCCTCGGCCTCCCGAGTAGCTGGGACTACAGGCGCCCGCCACGACGCCCGGCTAATTTTATTTTTGTGTTTTTAGTAGAGACGGGGTTTCACCGTGTTGGCCCTGTTAGCCAGGACAGTCTCGATCTCCTGACCTCGTGATCTGCCCCCCTTGGCCTCCCAGAGTGCTGGGATTACAGGTGTGAGACACTATGCCCGGCCGCAAACACATCTTTTCTTCACAGGGCATCAGGAAGGAGAATGAGAACCAAGCAAAGGGGGTAGCCCCTTAGAAAATCATTAGATCTCATGAGAACTCACTAGCTATCATAAGAACAGTATGGGGGAAACTGCCTCCATGATTCAATTATTTTCACCTGGTCCTGCCCTTGACATGTGGAGATTATTACAGTTCATGGTGAGATTTGGGTGGGGACACAAAGCCAAACCATATCACCTGCTAAATTATATAGATCGATGATAGATAGATAGATAGATGATTGACAGATAAATAGATAGATAGATGATTTGTTACCCTTCACATGTTAGTTCTTAGAGCACTTTTATATAAAATTATTATTATTTTTCTAAAGGATGAAATAACATATTCATTATTTTAAAGACAAATAATTTTATGGTCTTGTAAGCATTTTGAAACTTAAAACATTCTATAGGACAATCCTTTTGCTCTTATGCAAAGTTGTCAAGGCTTAAAATTTTGACTACGAAATAGAATTAATGAGAAAAGGAAACAACTAGTAGGCATTACCAATGTGTAATCTCTTATAATAATTTATTAACTGATGATAAAAATTAAGTCAATTATTAAAAAACTGGCATATGGATGTTGATGTGCATGTTCAAGAGTGTGGCTAATATGAAAAGCAATCGTAAAGAAAGGAAAGAGCTGCCTATGAATGCTTGTTTTTCTATGAGAGCAGAAGCCAAATTTTAGCACATTTTTCTCCATATTTTAAAAACAGAAAACACATTGCAACACATTTTCTCTAATTGTCACAAAAATAATTTATAGTTGTAATGATGGACTACTTAAGTTATATACCAGACATTACTAAATTGTGCAATCTTTGACATAGAATCCCAGGAAGATTTCAGTTTTCTCCCATCTCTTTAAGTGAGGAATGCCTCTATCAAGACTATATCATAAAAGAGAAGAAAAATTTAAAATAAAATCATTGTTTTGGAGAAAGAATTGAAATTGCAACAAGAAGAAAAATTTTAAAAAATGAAGAAGCATACTAACTTATCTAAAGAGTATTTAAGTGTATTTTTAATAGAAGTGAAGACATGTCTTGCAAGTATGAAACTACCTGAGGGATATAGATAATATTCTCCAAGACCATGTCCTCTAAAAATATATTTCAAGCAATGAATGTTTCAGAGTCTTAGAATGTCATAAAACATATTCTATTTAAGCAAATATCTTTCTCGTACTGTTCATTCTGTCTTACAAAAACCTTTGCCACTGCATCTTCAAAGAAGAGAAAATCAGCCTAGCTCTGGTGAATAAATTGTCATGATCCCCGATCAACTATCCAACCATTTGGTTCTATTTTGCATTTGAGATACAAAGTGAAGGGACACATGTATAAGCTTGGAATCTTTTCTCAATCTACATTTTGAAAAATAGTATTATGGAATACTAAATTCTAGTATCTCTAAGTATTAAAGAGATAGCTAAATGCCAAACTTTCTACAATAGCAGGAAGTAAATATGTTACATTTCCTTTGAGCATAAGATTTTACAAGTTTACTAAGAAGATGAGATAAATATACAACCAGTTAAGTAATAACATGATAGTTTCAGATTTAGGTTTCACAGAGAAGAAAGGTTGAAGGATATTAGAAGAAAAAATATCAATTTTAGTTGGTTAGATTTGGCTGGATTACTTAAAAACTGGATGACTTGACATGAAGAAAGTCATAGCCTCTGGCTGGAACATGTTTCTGTTATAAAGTAACAGGACATATAGTTAGAAAGGTAACACATTGCAAGTTTATTTGAAGTTTAAAATTCACTCAGCAGTATTTGAACACGGTCAAAAGAGATAAGAGTTATTGAATTGTTCTTACCAATAGAATATTAATATATAACCTTATGGTTGTATGTAGAAAAGGTTAGGAAGGGAAAAGAATGGGGACAGGGAGATAACTCACAACAAGGTTCAAAATAGCCCCATGAAAGAGACCAGGGGAGTAGAAGCGGGAGTCAGAGAGAAAGGGAGATCTAAGCATATTTCATCATGTGTAATTCACAGTGAAATGACATTAAGAAAAATCTAGTGTATTTCTTCTTAGATAACACAAGAATTAAAATGTATTATGAGAAAATAGATACAGGAAATTAGGAAATGGAAATAGAATTTGAATTTCACTATTTAGATATAAGAACTTAATCATTCTCATGATAGTTTTTCAGTATGTGAGTAATTATTTATAAGATTTTATATGATAGCTTACATGTAAGGTATAATATATAATGAAATATAAATTATCTAAGTTTTATAGTAATCTGATACTATATATTGGATTTACATACATGTGTGTACATCTGCATGTATATATCCCTAATAATATATATGTGTATATATGTGTTTGTATGTATATAAATATAACTAAAATAACAAATGTATATTTTGTTGCTAAATATTGTTGAGATTTAACTCACATAAAATCAAACACACAACATTTAATTATATACATTCCTGTAACCAGCACCTAAATTAAGAGAATGAATATTTTTTGATCCCTGGAGGTTTTTCTTTTTCTTTTCTGGGCAGTATTTACCAAGAGTAAACAGTATTCTGATATCTATCACCAATAGCTTTAGCTATTCTTGCACATCAGTTAAATGATATAATACAGTTGATACTTTTTATTCATTTTATTCTCCGATTACTACATTTGTAAGATTAATGCTGTATTAGTCTGTAATGTTCAATTATATTAGTATAATAGTATTTATTTATCATTCTACTAAGGTAGACATGTGGCTTATTTCCAATTACCACTATTATGAATAAAACACTTATGAGCACTCTTCTAAATACCTCTTGGTAATCGATTGCACTCTGAGGATACACACAGTCTCAGGAGTGAAATTCTGTGTCAAGGTGTGGTATATCTTTTTTTAAATACGTGTCCAAAATCGATGTTCTAAGCTAGACTTTCTGGATTCTCACCCTTTGTCTACACTTTAGAGTCATCTAAGGCCAAGGAGAAGTTTGTACATATTTGGGGGTGCTTCCTCTGTGGTTCTCTCCTGCATGTAATCCACCTCACAATCTCATTCGACTTGCAAATTGGAATCCTAATCTTTGGTTCCTCCAGTCAGTGAAAAAGCTACTTGCTGATGGTGGTTAACTTTTCTGTGGCCCAGCTTAGAAAGTACACACAGGAAGAGGACCATGGGGAATGATGCTATTGGAAATATGGAGCTCAACTCTCAGGCTTCTTTCCCCGTAAGGACTACAACCTAGATATGGTTCACAGTCGATGTTTACTGCTAGAAAATATTGCTTTTATACAGTGAGAGGACCTTCCCAAGAACAGATAGGATATCATAGCCGATATGTTGATATCTAATTCATCACATAGTGATGTGAATCCAATTTTAAAAAATAGAGAATTACTACAATGAACACTTTCCCATAGGTCTAGGCATTATCTGGATAATATTAAAGTAAATATGTAATATTAAAAGAATCAATTATTATTTAATAAAAACCTCTGTGGGAGAAAGCTTACATCAAGAGTTTCACTACCATAAATAACACAGGATTTATTGCACAGAACAAATCTAAATATTTGCTACCTCAAAATTTTCTTAGAAATATAATTTCAAAAAACACGTAAAATTGACTTTCTTACAAATTTGGTTTTCCATTTCCTGTTTCGTATTTTAACGCCCTTAATTTTCTTATTGGGTATGCACTGCTGAATTCCCAGCTCTAAAACAATTCACATAATAAGTAGTGTGCCATAGAGCATTGCTAACACTCAATTCTTATGCACAAGTAGAGGAATATTGGTTCTTTATAGTCTTCTACGCTGTTTAGACAGTTCTATGGCTTAGGAAGTTTTAACTATTTTCAATGCAAACACTGCCAGGTAATCATTGCACAGTGACCTAAAATGTACCCAGCTGATTGAGACTTGCATGTAATTAAGTGGGAACAATCTTCTTCTTTCCGGAATGATATGATTTTGCTCTGTGTCCACACCAAAATCTCATCTCAAATTGTAATCACCATGTGTCAAAGGAGGAACTTGGTGGAAGGTGACTGGATCATGGGCAGGCTTCCCCCATGCTGTTCTCAGGATAGCAAGTGAATTCTCACGAGATCTGATGGCTTTATAAGGGGTTCTTCTCCTTAGCTCTCTCCTTCCTGTTACCTTGTAAGACATGCCTGCTTCTCCTTCCACCATGATGATAAGTTTCCTGAGGCCTCCCCAGCCATGCATAACTGTGAGTCAATTAAACCTCCTTTCTTTATAAATTACTCAGTCTTGGGCATGTTTTACAGCAGTGTGAAAATGGACTAATACAGAAAATTGGTACCAGGAGTTTGGGACACTGTTACAAAGATACTTTATATATATATTATATATATACAATAATATAATATTATAATAATATATATATTACATATATTATATATGTAATATATATTTTTATATGTATATTTATATATTTTATATATATAACATATATTTATATATGTTATATATAAATATATATTTATTCCACTGTATATATTCCACTATATATATATATATATATATACACATAGTGGAAACAACTTTGTAACTGAGTAATGGACAGAGATTGGAACGGATTGGAGGGCTCAGAGAAGACAGGAAAATGTGGAAAAGTTTGGGGCTTTCTGGAAACTTGTTGAATGGTTTTGACCAAAATGCCGGTAGTGATATGGACAATGAAGTCCAGACTGAGGTGGCCTCAGATGTAGAAGAGAAACTTTTGTTTAAAAGTGAAGCAGAATATAAAAGTTTGGAAAATTTCCAGCCTAAACATGTGGTAGAAAAGAAAATCTTTTTCTTGGAAGAAATTCAGCCAGCTGCAGAAATATGCATAAGTAATGAGGAACCAAATGTTAAAGAGGAGACAATGGGGAAAATATCTCTAGGGCATGTCAGAGACCTTCGTGGTGGCTCCTTCCATGATATGCCTGGAGGCCTAGGAGAGAAAAATGGTTTCAGGGACCAGGATTCAATGCCCTGCCTCCCAGCCACTCCAGTCTTAGCCACAGCCTAAAGGGTCAAAGGTACAGCTTAGGTCATTGCTTCAGAGGGTGCAAGCATCAAGCTTTGGTAGCTTCCATGTGGTTTTGGGCCTGTGGGTGCACAGAAGTCAAGAACTGAGGTTTGGGAACCTGTGCCAAGATTTCAGAGGATGTATGGAAACACCTGGATGTACAGGCAGAAGTCAGCTGCAGGGGTGGAACCCTCATGGATAACTATGTTAGGGCAGGACAGAAGGGAAACGTAGGGTTGGAGCCCCCACACAGAGTCCCCACTGGGACACTGCCTAGTGGAGCTGTGATAAGAGGGCTGATGTCCTCCAGACCCCAGAATGGAATATCCACCAACAGCTTGTACCGTGTGCCTGAGAAAGCTGCAGACACTCAATGCCAGCCATGAAAGCAGCCAGGGAAGGGGGTGATGAGGAGCTGTATCCTGCAAAGCCACAGGTATATGGGGCTGCCCAAGGCCTTGGGAACCCACTTTTTGCAACAGCATGACCTGGATGTGAGATATGGAGTCAAAGAGATTATTTTGGAGATTTAAGGACTGCGATGACGGCCCCACTGGGTTTTGGATTTGCATGGGGCCTGTAGCCCCTTTGTTTTGGCCAATTTCTACTATTTAGTATGGGAGCATTTATCCAATGCCTGTACCCCTATTGTATCTTGGAAGTAATTAATTGCTTTTGATTGTACAGGCTCATACATGGAAAGGACATGCCTTGTCTCAGATGAAACTTTGGATTTGGACTTTTGAGTTAATGCTGGAATGAGTTAAGGCTTTGAGGGACTGTCAGGAAGGCATGATTGTGTTTTGAAATGTGAGAAAGACATGAGATTTGGGAGGGCCCAGGGGCGGAATAATATGGTTTGTTTCTTTGTTCACACCTACATCTCATCTTGAATTGTAATCAATCCCCATCTGTCAAGGGAAGGACCTAGTGGCAGGTGATTGGAACAGGTGAGTGGTTTCCCCCACGCTGTTATTGTGATAATGAATGAGTTGTCACAAGAGCTGATGGTTTTAAAGTGTGGCACTTCCTCATTCTTACACGATTTCTTTCTTGCCTGCCGCAATGTAAGACATGCCTCCTTCCCCTTCCACCATGATTGTACATTTCCTGAGGCCTCTCCAGCCATAGAGAACTGTAAGTCATTTAAATTTTTTTTTAATAAATTACCTAGTCTCCGGCAGTTCTTTATAGCAGTGTGAAAATGGACTAATGCACTGAACTCTGGCAAAAATAACATAACAAAGAGATTTGTTTAATATTCCTAAATTGGTCCTGGAACAAAATCCTAATCTGATTCTGGCAATTTGCAAAGAAGAGTAATAAATTTTAAGTGATACAGAAACAGAACCCTGGAGATTATGAGACGATATTAGTAAAAAAATGATTTATAGGCCGGATGCAGTGGCTCACACCTGTAATCCCAGCACTTTGGGAGGATGAGGCAGGTGGATCACCAGGTCAGGAGTTCGAGACCAGCCTCCCCTGAAACCCTGTCTCTACTAAAAATACAAAAATTGGCAGGACATGGTGTTGAGTGCCTATAATCCCAGCTACTCGGGAAGCTGAGGAAAGAGAAGTACTTGAAACCATAAGGCGGAGGTTGCAGTGAGCCAAGATCATGCCACTGCACTCCAGCCTGGTCAACAAAAGCAAAACTCTGTCTCAAAAAAAAAAAAAAAGATTTATAATAGTATGAGAAAAGCTAAATAACTCACAATGAAGGAAAGTCATTACCATGCCCATGCCTATGCATAAAGAGGCAAGGGGTGATAGAAATAACTGGAATCTCCAAATGAGAGCTGCATGCGTAGGAGAGGGCCATGTGATGGATACTCGAACTGCAATAGAAAAAAAATAGCTACTGCCAACAAGAGAGTTGGCAAATGAAACCTCAACCTCACTGTCCTCTCACCCTCAAATCTGCTCTGTTCCTTATTGTCTGAACCTAATCTGAATCCAGGGTGAAGAAATCAGTCCCTAAAAGTCTGCATCTCAGGGTAGAGAACATTGTAGAAAACAACAGTACATGGATTTGAAAGGCAATACAGTTTGGATATGTATCTCTACCCAAATCTCATGTTCAATTGCAATCCCCAATGTTGGAGGTGGGGCCTATTGGGAGGTGATTGGATCATGGGAGTGGATGCTTCATGAATGATTTGGCACCATTCCGTCCTTAGTACTGCATAGTGAGTGAGTTCTCACGAGATCTGGTTGTTTAAAAGTATGTGGCACCTCCCCTTTCTCTCTCTTCTTGGTCTTGCTCCTGCCATGTAAGATGCCTGTTCTGGCTTTGCCTTCCATTATGAGTAAAAACTCCCAGAGGCCTCTACAGCTATGCTTTCTGTACAGCCTGTGAAACTGTGAGCCAATTAAACCTCTTTTCTTTTTAAATTACCCAGTCTCAGGTATTTATAGCAGTGTGAGAATAAACTAGTACCAAAGGATACATGGAAAATACTCAGCATACCACTTCAGTGATTCTGTTTGATAATCTTCCAGCTAAACTATGTTTTCTTCATTCTAAATAAACTAAGGGCAAAGTAATTGTATTTTTAATGATTAATAAACAGATACAATTACATTATATGAGAATGAAGACTTAATGATATTAACAAAATATTTATCAAGCACAAATTAGTATATATAATATAGTTCATTTGCTGCCATATTTTTTGGCTGTATGTTTGCAAGAGATGTTTTCATGTAAGCTACTAGTAATCATTTGTAGGAAATTCTAGTTTCTCACATGCAAAACTGAAACAATTTTCTTGGATTGTAAGTTTTTGCTGACTTTGAAAATAGTAAGTGTAATTGTAGAGAAAATTCTTGAAAAATAAAAGTAATCAGGTTCCAAATTCTTCAAACACCTTAAAGTTCAATTCTGTTTTTGCCTAGGTCTAAGAATATCTAATATTTTATACTGTCATATAGTAACATTTTAATTTGCTGGGATGCAGTAATCAGTAGTAATATCTATTTTTTTAAAAGTCTGGGTAAAGAACACTAATGTTAGTATATTTACTTATCATTATATTCTTAAATAATGGTAATATTCATGTCAGAGTTAAATAATACAGTATAATTTAAATAATATTAGAAAACAGTTCAAAATAAATAAATAATACACCAGTATAATGTAGGATATTACAAACATGATAGTGTCTGAAGATATATTCAGTATTCAGAATTAAGTGTTAACAGTATTTAGTAAAAATAAAGGGGCTGTTATAATACACATAAAATTAGTTTATAAATTATAAGTCCTCCTAATACTAATACTAATGTTGCATTGTCTGTGTGAATCAAATTAAATTAACAATCATATTCTATAATTCATGTTCCAACATAAACATTTTTGGCAAAAGCCAAATTTTTCCAAAAATAAAAATTTTAAATATTATTTAAACTAAAGTTTCAGTGAATTAAAAACATATTTACATATATTATAAAATGTGAAAATATCATTTTGTGAGATAAATTGGACAGCTTTTCATTTTTTACATTTAGTCAATAATAGCTATGTAGTTATAATTTTTCATATAAAATTTAACAAGTAAGAATTTTGTTTGAGAGCATAATTGGCAAAAATGAGTATAAGCATAAGAATAAGCCTAGATATATTTGTGTAGTTAATTCCAGAATATTACTTTTCAAGTTATTTTGTTAGGGTACATTCATTATTTATTCCACAGATTAAATATTAAATTAAAACTGTAAAAACATTTAAATTTTAAGATTCAGTGTGAAGTGTACTAATGTATTCTCTGGAAATTTACAGGTTAAAAGTTAGAATAAAGACATTTTCTTAATTATTGTTATAATCTTGAAGTAAAATGAGTTTATTTAAAAATATTTTCTTTCGTCTTGTGCATAAATGTGTGCATAATGTTTTTGCTGTGAAGATGTTTCAAGAAACTTAGATTCTCTTGAAAATTTTCAAGAATTGTATTAGCCTAGAGCATGATGCAGAGTTACAAGGACTTTTTAAAAATCATCCTTCTGTCCAACTTATTTTTACTCAGATAATACATATTCAGTAATATCTAAGAACAAAGGGAGAGATAATCTGGGGAGAAACCTATCTTTCAATATGTTTATCAGTGGAAGTTTATGATACCTTTTTCATTCCTAGGAAGAAAAGATCCTTTGAAAGCAACTACAGTTGAAAAGAAATTTAATTGCCATATATGATGATTTTATAAGTAAATTCCAATTTTTTCATATTTAGTATATGAATCACTTTTATGCACATATTTGCAAACAAGCTTCTCATCATCTTGGATGATGATAAAAAGTATACAGTTAAATTTAAATTGAAATTAAATGTAAAAATAATGTAATTCACTGAACTGAAAGACATCATAATCCTCAAGGACTTCAAAATCTAGTTTCATTTAAAATATTGATAACTATATGCAACAATTATTTGTATATACTCATAATCAGAGAGATAAAATCAGTCTCACTCCACATTTTTTAACTTGTAAATACACTGCATAAGTTACCAAAGTCTTTAAATATTTACAAGCATAAGTACAAAGGAAAACATGGAGAAAAATAAACAAAAAGGGAAATATAAATTTATGTTTTTCTTTTTTAGACTAATTTTAAGTATTCAAAGTGAAGGAGAAACATGTTGCTATTTACATGGCAATAATACAAAATCTTTAAAAATATTTTATATCTGACCCAAAATACCAGACAATTCAACAGCCTCAAGTCATATAGAATATAAGAATAATTCAAACACTTCCCATGTTTGAATTGAGAGTGGCAGGTGGGCTAATTGAAAAGGATTTGTGACAAAATCTGTACTCCAGTCAGAGCCCCGCCACACTGTGCTGTGTAACCTTCACAGGTTATTTACTTCTCAGTTTATCTTTAAAATGAAAGAAGACAGATGTACAGTATCCAAACCATCTTTATAATTCTAAAATTGTATAATTTGACAAGAATTCATGTTTTTCAATGACAGAAGGATATAATCACAATATATAAAGATCCCTTTGATATGCCAAACTAATATTAAGCTTTAAAACATTAGAAAAATTATAGCTTTTATTTTTATGTGGAAATTGTTCAAGCTAAACCCATATAATTTAATTCATTTTGATATGTGTGTAAGAACTTTGTTATCATTTCTGATGACATTTTTTCTATGAAATATTAATTGCATCTGTTATTTTCAATTACTGTTGATTCATTTTTATTTTATTGATATTCATAATAAAATTTAAGACTTCATTATTTGTCTCATTGAAGAATACTTTTTCTTCAGAGAATCAAGAAATCTCCTATGATATATACATCAAAAAATAACTCAATTTTTATTTCAAGTGATATGAAAAATATCTCTTCTTGTGAAAAGTGAGTTATAATTGCAAAATGGCAAACAATATCTAAAACTAATGACAGCATGTGTCTGCTTGAAATGTGCTCCCAAATTAAATTTCTTAATGCTACTGATATTAAACCATGTAACTTCAAATATGTAGCTAAATGATAAGAAAACTATTCACTACATGCTATATTAAATTATTCATAAATAGGCCAGGTGTATTGGCTCACGCCTGTAATCCCAACTCTTTTGGAGGCCAAGGCGAGCAGATTACCTGAGGTCAGGAGATTAGCCTGACCACCATGGAGAAACCCCATCTCTACTAAAATAACAAAATTAGCTGGGCATGGTGGCGCATGCCTGTAATCCCAGCTATTCAGGAGGCTGAGGCAGGAGAATCACTTTAACCCAGGAGGTGGAGATTGTGGTGAGCGAAACTCCGTCTCAAAAAAATAAATTATTTATAAATTTATATTATTGTGTTTGGTATGATCTTATTATACTCTGAGAAACTGTAGTACATAAAAAATATTTTACTCAGTCTCTCATTCATTTATGTAACAAACAGTTTTCATATACCTACTGACATTCCAAGCACTAAGCTAATTCTGAAATTACTAACATAAATAAACATAATAAAGCCTTCATGATAAGTTCACATACAGTTCAACAGGAGAGGCAGAAAAACACAGCAGTGAATACAATAAAATATTTTAGGTATATTTAGAGACTTATGTTCCAAATATATGGGTAACATAAAAAAGAATAGTTAACTTTAACATGAATTTTTATAATGGCAAAATATAATTTAAAATGCTCTTCACAATATTATATATATAATTCAATTAAATATAAGGTACTTTCTTTTAGGGATTTGAAAATTTAATTCTGAAGATCATCTGAAAATGTATACGTATAAAAATGTCCATACAAATATTATTGAGTTTGGGGATACTGACTTATCAAATAGCAAAGTTCTATAAACTTGTCATTTGTGAAATTCTATGAGAGGAAAGAGCCAAGGTGGCCGACTAGAAGCAGCCAGGAAGAGCTTCTTACACTGAGAGAGACTAGACCAACAAGTAGACCAGCACACTCTGAACAGACTTTCAGAAAGAAGGAAATGGGAGTTAACAGAGAGAGGACAGGGACCCTGGGCTGAAAGAAGAGGAAGCTGGGAACCCTACACAAGGTTGCTGAGCACCCAGCACCACAACTCATTCCTGGCCCTGACTGGCTCCTGGAAGAGCAAGTGAAATGGGCATATAGTGGCCTGCTATCACCACAGACCCTCAGGATCCTAGTTTCAGGGGACTCTACAACCCCACAGGCATCTGAGATGGCAGGAAAATTGCATGGACAGTGGATGAGACAGAACTCCAGCCTGTACAGAGTCCAGAAAGTTTGGCCTGGGAACAGCTGCAGTAGAGCGTAACCATGAACCATGAACATCTATTCCCCAAGGCTGGCCATACTCCCCTAGGCAGCTTTAGCCTTTGTTTCCTGCTAAACTACACAGAACAGGGCTGTCTTGCCTGTGGGATGGGGCCAGTCGGATCTAAGTGCCCTGGTGACTGCCACCCTCTCCCGGGTTCCCTCCCTACCCACACCCACTTGCAGACCAGCTTCAACTTGCCAGTGCCAACCACAATAGCCCTTCCGCTGGCCGACTGCACCTTCCTATTGAAGCACTTTTGTAGATGGTCTTCTGCCAGTGGAGACCCATCCAGATCTCCCCGCTGCTGACCCACCAGTGCACACATGCGTGGAGACCTGCTGCTACCCCCTGGTGCATGTGTGTGGGGCCCCACTGCAGCTCCACTGGAGTGCCTTTGCTGGCTGCCCCCATTGGAGTGTTGTTGATAGTGGGCTGGGAACACCTCAGTCCCTCCAGGACAGCAGGTGCTTAACCATGGAGAGCCAAAGAACAAAGCCATGAGCCTGATCCCAGCCATCCAGGGGTAGAGTACACAGCCCAGGAGTGCTGACCTGAGCCTTTCCCCCGAATGCATATAGAAATAAAGCCAATCGACTAAACCAAACTACTATCTTAAACCCTGAAGGGCTCATATCCATAAATATTTTCACCTTGTAACACTGAAATTCTGTACTTATGAAACATTGACTCTATTCCCAATCTCCCCATTCCCTGACCACCACCAGTGTAAGCGCCCCATGTAAGTGGAATCATGTAGTTTGTCTTTTTGTGACTGGCTTATTCCACTTAGCATGATTTCTTTCAGGTTCATCCACAATGTCACATATTGCAGAGTATTCTTCTTTTTTAAGGCTGAATAATATTTTGTTGTATGTGTATACCACATTCTGCTTCTCTACTCATTCATTTTGTTATTTGTGCTTAGATGGTCACTTGAGTTGCTTCCATATTTCAGCTATTGTGAATAGAGCTGATATGAACATGGTGTACAAATATCTCTTCAACACCGTGATTATAAATATTTTTGTTATGTAATCAGATGTAGAATTGCTGGATCCTATGGCAATTCTATTTTTTTTTTTTTTTGAGAAAATCCTCTACTCTTTTCCACAGCAGCTATACCATTTTATATTTCCACTAACAGAGCACAAGGGTTCTAATTTCTTCACATCTTTGTCAACACTTATTATTTTCTGTTTCTTGATAGTAGCCATCCAAATGGGTGTGAGGCATTATTTCATTTTAGTTTTGATTTGCACTTCCACAATGATTAATGTACCAGTCCATTTTCTGCTGCTAGCACAGAATATCTGAGACCAGGTAATATGTAAATAATAGAAGTTTATTTGTTTCACAGTTTTGGAGGCTGAGCCATCTAGAATTGAGGGGTTGCAACTGCTTAGCTACCTCCTGCTGCAACATCCCATGGCAGAAGCAGAAGTCTGTGAGTAAGTAAGGAGGCAACATTTATCCTTTCATCAGGAACTCATTCCCGTGATAACCTACCAACTGTCATGGTATTAACAGCATTAATACATTCATGAAGTCTCTGCCTATTAAAAATCCCATTTCTCAACACTGTGGCATTGAGGATTAAGTTTGGAATAAATGGACTTTGAAGACACATTCAAACCATAGCACTTAGTGACCATTGAGAATCTTTTTGTCTGCCTACTGGCCATTTTTAAATCTTCTTTGGAGGAATGTCTATTCAAGTCCTTTGTGTATTTTTTAATTGGATTGTCTGTGGTGATGCTGTTGTTGAGTTTTAAGAGTTTTATTTATATATTCTGCATATTAATTATTTATTAAATATATAATTTTCAAATATTGTCTACCATTCTGTGGGTTGCTTTTTACCCTGTTGATAGTATTTTTCATGGCACAAATTTTAAAATTTTTTGATGTTCAATTTGTGTATTTTTTTCATTCGTTGCCTGTGCCTTTGGTGTCATATTCTAGAAATCTTTGCTAAATACAATGTTGTACAGCATTTTTTTTATGTTCCTAGTTTCTTTCTAAGAGTTTTATAATGTTAGGGTCTTACATTTAGGTAGCTGATCCATTTTGAATTGGCTTTTGTGTATGGTATTATGTAAGGATCCAATTTTTTTTTTTTTTTTTGCAGGTGGATATTCTGTTTTCACAACTCTTTGTTTAAGAGACCATCTTTTTCCCTCTTGGCATCCTTATTAAAATACATTTCACCTTATATGGCAGAGTTCATGTCTTCACTATTTTATTCCACTGGTCTATATGCCTGTCTTTATGTTAGTACCACACTATTTTGATTACTGTAGCTTTGTAGTGACTTTTGAAAAGTCCTCTAGCTTTGTTTTCCTTTCTTAAGAAGCTTTTGACTACTGGTATTCCTGATGTCCTATAAGAATTTTAAGACAGGTTTTTGATTTCTGCAAAAAATATTTTTGGGATTTTAATAGGTATTACACTGAATCTGTAGGTCACTTTAGGAAGTTTGTACAACTTAACAATATTAATTATACCAATCCACCAACATGAAGTATGTGTCTAGTTATTTACATTGCTTTTAATTTCTTTCAACAATATTTTGTGGTTTTCATTGTACAAGTTTTTACCTCTTTGATTAATTTCTAAGTATTTTCTAGTTTTTGAAACTATTTTACATAAAATTGTTTGCATAATTTCCTTTTGAGATTGTTCATGATTAGTGTATAGAGATGCAACTGAGTTTTCTGTTTTGAGTTCCTACCCTGCTGCTTTGCTAAACTCATGTTGTTAGTTCTAACAGTTTTTACTGTGTGATTTTTTTTTGTGAAATCCCCAAGGTTTTTAATATACAAGATCACATCATTTGCAAACACAGATTACTTTCTTCTTTCCAGTTTGAATGCCTTTTATTTCTTTCTCTTGTCTAATTGCTCTAGCTAGCATTTCATGTATTAATTTTACAGATGTGACAAAAGCAGGCATCCTTGGCTTTGTCATTTCAGAGAAAAAGCCTTCAGTCTTTCATCATTGTGTATGATGTTTGCTGTGAGTTTTTTTAATATATAGCTTTTACTATGTTGTAGTAGTTTCCTTATAATGCTAATTTGTTGAATATTTTTATCATAAAAGTGTGTTGATTTTGTCAAACTCTTTATCAGCATCTATTGAGATCATTTTGTTGGTTTTCCTTTATTTATTTATTTATTTATTTTTGAGAGAGAGTCTTGCTCTGTCACCCAGGCTGGAGTGCAGTGGCATGATCTCAGCTCACTGCAACTCCGCCTCCCAGGTTCACGCCATTCTCCTGCCTCAGCCTCCTGAGTAGCTGGGACTACAGGTGCCCACCACCACACCCAACTAATTTTTTTTTTTTTGTATTTTTAGTAGAGACAGGGTTTCACCGTGTTAGCCAGGATGGTCTCAATCTCCTGACCTCGTGATCCACCTGCCTCGGCCTCCCAAAGGGCTGGGATTACAGGAGTGAGCCACTGCGCCCGGCCGTTTTTCCTTTATTTGATTAATGTGGTGCCTTACATTTTTATATGTTGAATTATATTTGCATTATAAGAATAAAAACCACTTGGTCATTGTGTGAAATTATTTTAATATGATGCTAAATTATGTTTGCTAGCATATTGTTGATATTTTTGTTTATATTTCATAAAAGATATTGGCATGTCCTTCCTTCCTCCCTTCCTTCCTTTCTTTTCTTTCTTTCTTCTTTCTCTCTCCTTCCTTCCTTTCCTCCCTCCCTCCTTCCTTCTGTTTTCTTTCCTTTTTTCTTTTTTTCTTCCTTCTTTTCTTTCTTCCTTTTTTCCCCTCCCTCCATAACTTCCTCCCTTCCTTTCCATGCAATCACCTTCCCTTTTCCTTCCGTCTTGCTTTCTTGCTTTCTTTCTTTCTCCTTCTTTCCTTCCTTCCTTCCTTTCTTCCTACCTTCCTTCCTACCTTCCTTCCTTCCTTTCTTCCTTGCTTCCTTCCTTCCTCATTTCTTCTTTCTCTCTCTTTCTCTATTTCTTCTTTCTTTCTCTCTTCTTTCTTTCGAGATGGAGTCTCACTCTGTCTCACTCAGGAGTCTCACTCAGGCTGGAGTGCAGTGTCATGATCTTGGCTCACTGCAACCTCCACTTCCTGGGTTCTAGCAATTCTCTTGCCTCAGCCTCCCAAGTAGCTGAGATTACAGGCATGTGCCATGATGCCTGGCTATGTTTTTGTTTGTTTGTTTGTTTGTTTGTTTTCTTTTAGAGATGGGGTTTCACCATTTTGGCCAGGCTGGTCTCAAACTCCTGACCTCAAGTGATCTGCCTGCCTTGGCCTCCTGAAGTCCTAGGATTACAGGCATGAGCCACGACACCCGGCCTCTCCCTTTCTCTCTTTCTTTTTTCTTTCTTTCTTTCCTTCCTTCCTTCCTTTCGTCCTTCCTTCCTTCTGTCTCTTTCTTTTTCTTTCTTCTTTCTTCTCTCTCCATCTTTCTCTCTCTTTTCTTTCTCTCTCTTTCTTTCTTTCTTTCCTTTTCTTTCTCTTTCTCTTTCTTTTCTGAAGTGTTCTTGTCTGTCTTTGGTATCAGGTTAATGTTGGCCTCACAGAATATATTACAAAATTTTCCATCACCTGAAAATTTTTGGTAGAAGTTTGAGAGAAATTAATTTTATTTCTCTTTTAATGTTTGGAAAAAATTACCAGTGAAGTCACCAGCTCCTGGTCTTTTCTTTGCCAGAAGATATTAATTTACTGATTCAATCACTTTGCTACAGTTCTATTCAGATTTTTTTTATTTCTTAGTGAGTCTCTTTTGGTAGGTTTTTTTTTTTTCTAGAAATCTGTCCATTTCTTCTAGGTTATCTAATCTGTTGGTGTATATTTATTCATAGACCTCTGTTACAATAGTTTTAATTTTCTGTAGAATCAGTAGTAATGTACCCATTTTCAATTCTGGTTTTAGTAATTTAGTCTTCTACCTTTATTTTCTTAATCCAGCTAGCTAAATTTCTGTTAAATTTGTTGATTGTTTAGAGAAGCAACTTTTGCTTGAATTAATTTTTCTCTATTGTTTGGCTATTCTCTATGTCATTTATCTCTGCTCTAATTTTTATTACTTCCTATTTTCTGCTAGCTTTGTGTTCAGTTTGTTCTTTTTTAAAATAAGTTTTAGTTGTAAATCTAGGTTGTTTATTTGAAATTGTTCTTTGTTTGTCACGTAAATATTTACAGCTACTAATTCTTCCTTAACACTGCTTTTGCTGTATCCCATGTTTTGCCATGTTCTGTTTTTATTCATTGTTCTCTAAGTATTTTCTAATATAGTTTGTAATTTTTTGATCTACTGTTTGAATACATTATTTAATTTCTAAAAAAATGTGAATTTTCCAGTTTTATTTTTGTTACTGATTTATAACTTTATCCCATTGTGATAAAAAAATACTGTGTATAAAATCTATATTTTAAATACATTGGGACTAATTTGTGACCTAAACATATAGTCTGTCTTGGAAAACATTCTTTGTGCGTTTGAGAAAAATGTGTATGTTGTTGTTATTGGATACAGTGTTCTGTATATGTCTGTTATATCTAGGTGGTTCATGATGCTGTTAAAGCTCTCTGTTTCCTCACTTATTTTTGTCTATTTTATTCTATGTGTTATTAAGAGTGAGGTATTGAAGTCTTCAACTCTTAATGTAGAACTGTCTATTTCTCTCTAATTTGGTTACCTTTTTCTTCATATACATTAATGATCTATTCTTAGCTGTCTGAATGTTTACAATTATTATATTTTCCAGTTACGCTGAAACTTTTATTAGTAGTAATATCCAGTTGATGCAGAACTTTGCTCCTTAGTTTAGCTAAAACTCGGTTCTTGTCACATGACCAGGAAACATTAGGCATGTGGACATATTGAAGGGTAAGTAGAGGATAATTTATTGGGCAAAAAGGCAAAAAAAAAAGAAAAACTTTCAGAAAAGCAAGAGAGGATCCTGACAGTATGCTTCCATCTCACAGAATGAATTCCATACCACCACACATGAGCTGAAGAGTCAGGCTTCTCCCCACTGCACAAGGCGCAAACTTCCCATGACTCCACCCCCTTCTCCCAGTGTGCAGGTGGGTTGGAGATTATCTGGGAAACCTCCTCCTTATCTACCTCCTGCATCTATCATCGCCCCACTCTAAGAAGTACATCTAACTGCCGTTAGAATAAGAGTAAGAAGAGGTATGAGGACTGATCTTAACTGCTTCCTGATGGCAAGGGATGCTGTTTAGGGAAAATAGCAGTCTGATGTCCCTCAGAGGCCTATTTAAACATCCCTGGCAAAAAGGGCCATCATCTGAGGCTCCAGTTGAATGACCATTTAGAGTTTGATGGCCTGAAGGTGAGAAGAGGCAAACCAGGTTATTAGAAAACATATATCAAAACAAAACAAGTGGGGGAAAGGAGAGTTCAAAAAGTTGAGGCCTTTTACCAGTTTTCACAGTGAGAAGGAGGTTAAAAGCCCAACTGGTAAGAAAAAAAAAAAAGAAAAGAAACACACACACACACACACACACACACACACACACACACACAAAAGTCTACCCTTTTGCCAGCATGTCAGGCTTCTGGGTTTCTTTGCCTTGAGCCCAATCCTAAACCAACCAGTTTAAGGTTTGGGGAATTAACTTTTCCCAATTTGGAGGATGCATCTGAGGGGAGTGTCCCATAGTATGAGACACAATTACCTATCAGTGAAGAGAGGACAGAGGAGGAAGAAGGAAAAGGAAGGCATTTTTTCAAAGGAGTCCCAGGGGTTCAAGACTGAAAATGCATGGCTACTCATCTAGAAAGAGGAGAGTAAGGTGTCCCAATTCCCTTCTCTTCTTAGCAAATACCCAACATACGTGACGGAGAGAAAGTGAGGTGTTACTCTTTCTTTCTTCCATCCTTGTTTCTATGAGTCCCAGAGACTACAACAGGGTGCTACCCATGGGTGTCAAAGCAGTTTTCACCTATGTTAACAGGGGGGCTTAGAAGGTGGGATATCTGCTCTTACCCATGTATGGCTATTTCCCCTGCTGTCAGTGGCCTTTGAATTCCCTAGACCTCATTTATGCCATGGATACTAGCATGACCTTTATTCATGAAATGGGAAGCTTGGCTTAATTGGTAGGAGCTTAATCATGCTCACCTGCACTGTGCCTTTTAACTTCCTTTATCATCAGCCTCTGGATCCCTCAGATCCAGTTTTCTGTCCTAGGGCTTCAACCTGAAACTTGGAATTGAGATTGGGACAAAAATGTGTCTCGGGAAGGTTGCATGGACTCATTACTGTAAGCCAAATGCTAAGTTGAACCTGTTAAATTGAGTTCTCCTCCAACGAGTGAGAGAAAAGGATGTCCTGTGACATGCCCAGATAACTGGTGGCTATAGTTATGTCTGCTAATATTTGGATGCATGGAGCTTGGCTTTGGTTAGCTCCCTTGGTTTTACTTTCCCAAAAAGGAAACCTCCAGGTGATGGGCACCCTATTTATTCTCATTGCCTGACAGCTTTTGCAGGATAATGGCTCAAAACTAGAATATTGATCTAGACTTTTACATTACCCATCCCCTCTGTTCCTTCTGAATGCCCTTAAAAATTACTGGATGGTTCACAGGCACAAGCAGGGTTAGTCTAAAATGTAGGCAAGAACCTAAAACAACTGAGTCTAGAATTTAATGATGAATGTATGATAAGTTTTCAAACATAATTTTTCTCTCTCCCATCCTCATTTTTGTTAAAAACTAATAATAATAGGACTGAGTTGTTTGCAAAATAGACTTTCATCTTATACTTGGCCCGATTATTTGCATAAAGTGCAGCAAGAATAATTATCTTTACATAGGCCTTTTAGATGGGCTTTCATGGAACTCTGTTCCACAAGGAATCTCAGATAGGACTTTCTAAGGCTGAGCTTAGCCATGGGTTTGTCTCCTCAAATACCTGTGAGTTGGGTCATCCTTTCCTCTTAAGGTCACAAGATAAACTTGGAACCCTTGGGCCTGTCAGAAAGTGACATTCTTTACTTACCACAGGTCAGGAACCCTGTACAGGGATTCTGTAGACAAGGTATGAGGACAGTTTTCCCAAAGGACTTTTATCAGCTCTGCAAGTCAAGCTTGACTCCTTAAAGGGTAGCACAGCCTTCCAGTCAAAGCCTTTGTAAAACAAACATTTTCTCCATTGCATCCTGTTGCAAAAGAAAATGGATTCTTATTGCACTGATGCAAACAACTATATTGCCATAAGTCAAAAATACTCATAACTAGTTTCCAAATTCTGGAGAAGCTAGGCAGAAAGAGAGAGATAAATATGCTCCAAGTTTTGTTCACAAGAGTATACCTTACTCAATTATTAGAGGCTGTAAATAGCTGAAAATAAGTTTCCTTGACTCTGATAAACAAAACAAGAATCAACAATGCTTCAAAAGTTTACTTCAGTTGTCTAATTAGTTCAGTCCATTCAGTTTATTCTTGTTTTGCTTGATACTCATGAACATTTGAGCTCTTTATGAGTCCTGTACATTTTTCCTTTAATCCAATGTCACAATCTCCAAAGTTATCAGAAACCTGTGTTTTAAAGCACCTGTCAAAGTTCTATCGGTGATTATAAACCATCATTTGAAGAGGATAAAAACAAGACAACAGTTGTCAGTGAGTAACAAAATGTCTAGGATAGTACAGTGAGAAAAATTATTGTCAAAGAAATTTGGTTATACCCATGATTTACAACAATTTAACATAACAACCTTGACTGTGATTAATAGCATATACTTAGACATTAGAATTTTAGAAATCCCATATAATTTTGGAATATGTATTAATATTATTCGCTAAAATATAACCTAAACAAGATTGAATAGAATTTTGGCAATCCCATGTACCTAAAACCTGTCAGGTAATCTTGTTTACCTCTCTTCTGGATACCCCAGGGGGCCTCTGTAACATCCAAAAGCCAGGTGTCAGGAAAGACAATTTTGAAACCAAAGTTTGATTTTGGGAAGCCTATTAAATGTTAGAGATTTAAAACATGTAATATTATGAAATAGAATTTCAGACTACCATAAGTCATTTATTTTGCTGAAATGAGGACTCAGAAATTTAAAAAAAGCAAAAACCTTTTAGAACCCTTTACAAATTTTGCTAAAGAACAGATTAGTGCCTTAAGAGTACCTTGTTGTGGTTGTATTTCAATGCTCAATTTACAGAAAAACCATATAATAGCTTTTTGAAGTTAGTCAATATGTTCACACAGAACTTCCTTTGCAAGATTAAATTTTACAACCCTTTCACAACTTGTTTGAACTTTTAGCTTTATTTTATGTAATTCAAAACAATTCTTTAAACCTAGTAAAAAATTTGCAGTTTGACATCTGCATTTTACCTATAATCTTTAAGGCCTCTGGGATGGAGCTCTTTAAGAGACAGGACTAGGAAAACATGCACTTCCTAAGGCCTAAAAACAGGCATAGCTGGGAGGCAAGAACAGATTTTGAGAGGGATCTATCTGCTTTTCATTCCTGGGGTTCCATGAGTAAAACAGGTTTCTCCACAAAACAGGGTCAATGGTGCCTTCTCTGTTTTTCCCAAGGAGTCCCATGTCCCCAGGAGTTATCTTAGGGCCTCTGATGCATGCATTAAGAGTGGCAATACAAAATGCAGAAAAAGAATGTAGTTTACTGAGAAAAAAAAAAACTTTCTTAGCAAAATACAATCTAGGAAGAGAAAAACATAAAGGCCTTTTAAATATACCTATAACTTGGATATCCACTTTTAATTAAGCAGAGCACTCTTTCAGAATATCCTTTTAAATCCCTTGTTATCTGGCTTTAGTCAAGTAAAGTGACCAATATTTCTGGCTTTCAACCTTCACTAAAGGCTCAGAGAAGGGAAAATTCAAGGTGGTTTGTGGAGAGGAAAAGAATCAACAAATGTCAAAAGGTCATGCAGATATCAAACCAGAAAGGACTCATTCCCTAAGTTAGGATTTAACCAGGGCTGCCATTGTGAAATGGCAGAGGTTACAACAAAGCATTTCCACGTAGTTACAGGTCACACTTTCAAGGACGTAACACAAGATGGAGGCCTGCAGCAAAGTTTGCTACTGACCAAACAGAAACACATGCAAAGCACACGAGATTGGCTACAGCTTAAGGCCAACCTCACAAATCCTTTTTCATAATTCAAACTTTACAGATAATATAAACAGTGATCCTTATCACTCCTGGCATAGTATACATCTTTTAAAAAGAAAAAAAAAATGCTTCTTTTAAAAAAGTTAACTCCTGACCTGGTGGAGAAAAAAAAAAACAACAAAAAAAAAAACAGCTTAAACGCAGAGCTGTGTTAACTGCTGACAGGTTGGAGAGAAGAAAAAGGTACCTGGGGAAGAACCTCTCATTCTTATGCAAATGGATTCCTCCAAGAGGAAGAGACTTAAGGTGGGGAATGCAGGCCAGCCTGCCACCTGGGGCCTTTAGGCCATAGCCACCATTCACCCATTCATCCTGTGGTCACCTGCAGCTGTTGGGGTGTGGTGGTGCCTGGTTTCCTCTACCCTCATAAGAAGTCCAAGGAAAAAAAGGCTTAGAAGCAAAAGGGTAAAAGATCTTTTGGTCCGCATATCACTCACCTTTTCTCATGCCCCATGTTTGGGCACCAAAATGATGCAGAACTTTGCTCCTTCATTCAGCTAAAATCAGGTTCTTATCACATGACCAGGAAAGATAAGGCACACGGACACACTGAAGGGTGACTAGAGTGGAATATATTGGGTGAAAAGGAAAAAAGTAAAAAAAAAAAAAAAAAAAACCCTCAGCAAAGTGAGAGGGGATGCTGACAGCAGGCTTCCATCTCATAGAATGATTTACAGGCCACCACACAGGAGCTGATGAGGCCAGGCTTCTCACTCCCTGTACAAGGCACGAACTTCCCATGGCTTCACCCCATTCTTCCAGTGCACAGGTATGTTGGAGATTCTCTGGGGACCCTCCCCCTTATCTGTCTCCTACATCTATCACAGTTTTGTATCTTTTAACCTGTTTTAAAGTTTAATTTGAATATTTTGTCTAATATTAGTGTTAGTTTGATGTAAGTACAGCCACCCTTGCTCTCTTTTGGTTACTACTTGCATGGAATATATTTTTCATTCCTTCACTTTAAATCTCCATTCATCCTGTCCACTGAAAAAGCCTAAAAACAATGATACCACAATATATTGAATAGATCTGGTTGCCCAGAATTTTATTCCTAAACACTGTAACATTCTAAATGGTGAGGTTTTAGTTATTAGTATTGTTGAAAACTTAGAAGATCACCCTAAATGGAATAGAAGCCATCTTGAAGGAATTCCACTATCCAAATTAGGGACAATTAGGAGGGAAAAATAACAATTATGGTAGTAAATGTAATGGATAAAAAATAAGTAATAAGTCCATTTGATACACACAATACACAAGCTCTGAGGAGAAAAATTTCTTCTATAGAACAAAAAACACCCCATGATGTATCAAAACATTATATTCATTGATTACTAATTAACTACAAAAAACATCTACAATTTTTACATGAAGAAATCTGGAGGACACTGCATGATTCATATGATCAAACAACATCAACAATAATATTACAAACTGACTTTACAGCCTCACTCGAACAATAAATGACACAATATTAGTTGCATAGTATTCTTGACAAAGTTGTTTATTCTGAATAGGCGGAAAATAATCAGACAAATTTAATTTGGGAGATCTACAACCTGTACTCACAAAAACCTGAATTTTTAAAAATATCCATGACAGAAAAGACATACAAAGGCAAAGGCACTCTTCTATTTTACAGGAAAATTTTAAAAATGCCTACTAAACACAATGCACAGTTCTTGGCTGGATCCTGGGTTTAAAAATAAACAAATATTAACGAGGCATAAAGGACATTATTGGGCCAATTGGAAAAAATATATATAGTTGCTTATTAGTAAGTTTTATTATTTGAATTAAAATTCTTGAGTGTGATAATGGTATTTTACTTAAGTAGAAGAATACCCATTTTCTTTAGAGATACATGTTACAGCAAGTACGAGTGACATGTCAGGATGTTCGCCATTTAATTTCAAATGATTTCTGAAATTTTCAAATGATTCATCCAAAACAAATCTGCATTTATACTATATCCAGAACTATATTAGAAAGACAGAGAGCTATATTATTGTGGTCAATGTTGAAAACTGATGTATCAAGGATGAGGCTGTACTTGTAGCAGCTTATTTTATGTTTTCACTTTCTCTGTATTTCTTAAGAAATTCTAAATAAAAGTTGGGAACAAAACCAAAGCAACCAAAGAACAGAATATAAGAGACAAAGAATTATAATTAATTTTTGTGTATTTCTTTAACTGGAAAATTATATTGAGTCCCTTGGCTTATTTTTGTAATCTAGGGAAATTATAAAGTGCAGGCTATTGTTTATTTTTCATGTACATATGCTACGAAGTACATTTTAATCAGTTTAAAATATGTATAATCTTCCAAAGAAATAAAAGCACAAGAATATCTATACCCAAGTGATTGGAATATTTTATTTAAAGTTATTTTTTAGTAAATTAAGTACTTACATAATGAAGAAGTAAAACATTTATTTTTGCCTGAGACAGATGTCATCTTTCATCTCTATAAGCTTGTCTGAATGAAGAAAGGATGTATTTCATAAATTACCACTTTCCTTTTTTGAAATAAATGTTAATGTTTATTTGGGGGAAATTATTTCTGGAGAATTATTGGAAAGAATGCAACAAAAATATGTAATTTAAATAATTTATCATATTTTAGAGAATATGTAAATGACTATGGGAAAATTAATTTACTACAGGAACTCATTCCTAGGGGAAAACAAACAAGATACAGCAGTAAAATTTAGTTTTTTCAGATATATCCCATCTATGCATATTATCTCATAAAGGTTGTATACATATCCTTTTTGAGTCTCATTTATTTATTGTAAAATGAGAATAATAATGTTATCATAATATTGTTACAAGAATTTAAATATAAAATGGAATATACCTAAACCAAAAACAGATAAGTAGTTTAATGGTCAATAAATAATAAACTGCCATTGATACTATGTTTCTTAATGTTAGCAAGGCTTGTTTTGTTTATATGTGATCCACATGAGGTCTCCCAGTTTGTTTATAAATATTTCTCAGGATTTCTAAAAAGCAAATGCATTGTGCTATTACCTTCAATTTATGTGTGTGTTGGTGTGAGTCTGTACACGTATAGCTTTCATCTCAAGAACACATGGCAAATGTATTTTTTAAATTATTATTATTTAAGATTTTCAAGGTCTCCAAGAAGAATGATCTTAGAAGAAATACTCTGTTAGGATGTATTTTATAAAGCAAAAAAGAGAATATACTCAAATTCATGTATGGGCATAATTAGAGGTGAAGATTAAAATATCTCTTTAACAAAAATAATTTACCTAAATTCCTACTGAATATTAACAAAATTTGACTTATATCATAGTTTGAGTTACATTTTACAGTGCACATAAATTTTCATGAAAAACATATTATTATATAAATAAAACATATTAATAGAAAGATAAATTGCAATACATAAATACATCAGTTTGATAACCTAAGAATTTAGAAAATGTTCTTTAAGTGCTTAATATTTGGTATCATTTAAACATATTACCTTTTGAAGTTTTGATATATTTATATGAACAACAGAACTCTCTAACATAGTAATACAATGAATAATTTTGTCATATTACATGGGAAAGCATTCATATAAAATTATCAAATATTATTGCAGAATTAAAAAAGTTGGGATGAGTAACACTCCAATATTTCCATATAAACATATTTCTATGTAAATCTCTGCAATGTGAAATCATTTGGATTTCATTTTTGCAGAACTAGCTAATATCGACATGAATTATCTTTAAATAAAGCTCAGATCTATCCTGTCTTCCTCCAACCCTCCCCTTCCACCCTCAAAACTTGCTCCACGTTCATTAAGGAAATAAAAGAAAATAAATTCTAAAAATTGTGATACATCATATTATCAGTGATGGGATTTTTAGTGTGCAGAAGATGTTAGAAACTACCTATAAGGTAGTTTATAAAACTGGTTTCAGGAAAATTCTTCATTTCTCATCTTTAAAAATTGCTTTTTAAAAATTGTGCTCTCTTCATTTTCTGCCACCTTCTACGGATATAGTTCATAAAGCAGACACAGTGTCATCTACAACTCTTCTTGTGCCATCTACATCTCCCCAACTTAGGGTCAATATTTTTCTCATTCACATTTATGTGGAGAAAGTTCTTTAAAGCAATGTATTTCTTTTAGCTGTATTTCAAATAGACTAAATCACATCTCTGACAGGAAAGCTGATGATGAGACTCCAAATTTTGCATTTTTATGTATTTCTTCAAGATATTTTTTATACTTTGAATTTGAGAGCAAACTTCCAGGAATGTGGGCAAGAAAGAAACTTATTATGACTTGTTATGTCTCTTCTATGAATCCCTATCAGATTGTACAACTTAGCAAGGACAAGGAGCCAGCACAATTTGCAGCTGTGTGAAGCTCTAAATATAGTGAAGAGGATTGTTTCTGTAAATATATTCCTTCAGTGGTGAGTGTGTGTGTGTGTGTGTTTGTGTGTGTGTATGTGTGTTGAGGAGGTGAGTACAATGATGGGGATGGTATTAACAGGAGAGAAGAGCAAAGCTGGAGTTACAGATATTTTCATTTAGAAATCATGCCTATATTAGTGAAGCAAGGGTTTTGAGATTTTGATTTCTGGGCACAGGTAAAAAACCTAAAGAGAAGATCTATTGTATTGTATTGTAAGTATTGTATAATACTCTTTCTTTGTATCTTATCTAATACAGTGTGTGACCAATCTGTTATAATACAATGCAGTTGAGGGTCAAAGTTCAAACAGAGCTGTGTGAACACACATCTCTCTCTCACACAGACATACACATATTCAATTGCAGAAAGCTAGTAAATTAAAACAGTAATCAAAATGAGGTCTTAGACATTATTAGTAATTTGTTTTCTAATCAAAACATGCCTAGACATAGGATTTTCAAAATCTGGGATAGTGTTTACATTTCAGGAGATAAGAGTATTGGGTTGTTGGACAAGATGTTAGTTGTTTAAAATATGTCTATACTTTAAATAGAACTATATAAAATATGGCAAAATGCTATTCTCAGTTTAATCATAGTTGCAGGTATATAAATTTCTCTTATGTTAGCCTCTATTGCTGTACACATTAAATATTTACAATTTAATAAAATAAATTAATAATAAAAATAAAATAAATTCTCAAGTTGAGATATTAACAAAGTCATGGCAATTTACCAAAATCCACTCAACTTGATACAGAAGCCCCTTTAATTTTCTCTTGTATTCAGACAAGCTGACATGCGCATATTGTGATTTTAAAATTATCTTGGGTGATTAATTTTGTATATTAATATGGCCAACAATACATTGAGGAATTGTCCCTAAGGAAGCAATCTTGCAAATTCAGACTACCAATGAATGATGCCTTGGCAGAAATATTGCCAATAATAGCATTTAAGTATTGGAAAATTATAGTATCAGATAATGAAGTCTTAGAGTATATAACACTCAGACAACTGTCAGGTTGGTTGCAGGCCTTGAAAGATATAAATGTTTATTAGCAGGAAGGTCATATATTAATGCAAATTCAGTAATTCTTTTTCAGGACATTGAATTAAGTTGAGAAAGAAGAGGGAAAAGAAGCTCTTATTAAAGATACCATGATGTTCAAGGTCGTGTGAATGTGCTTAGCATGTTGCTGCCTATATCATTTTGCCAAATGACTGGATTAAAAATAGCTTAAAGCTTTGTAAAATGTAAATTCCTCTTCTAAATTTCAGGTGCCCTTTATAATACTTATTTAAACTTTTAGTAAAATTTTGGAAAATAAAGTTATTTGGATTTGCTTCATTATCCTTCCATGTTCCAAGAAACAACTGGAAAGTAATGGAAGCTGTGCTATAACAAGCCTTCAATGTATGAATCAGGACACTTGGCCGGGTGCCGTGGCTCATGCCTGTAATCCCAGCACTTTGGGAGGCTGAGGCCAGTGGATCACCTGAGATCAGGAGTTCAAGACCAGCCTGGCCGACATGGTGAAACCCCATCTGTCTCTACTAAAAATAAAAAGTTAGCCGGGTGTGGTGGCACGCGCCTATAGTTCCAGCTACTTGGGAGGCTGAGGCAGGAGAATCGCTTGAACCCAGGAGGCGGAGGTTGCAGTGAGCAGAGATTGCGCCACTACACTCCAGCCTGAGTGACAGAGTGAGACTCTGTCTCAAAAAGAAAAGAAAAAAAAAAAAAAAAAAACCAGGACACTCATGTGCCTATTAGAATTTAGAATGAATGCATTCCTTTTCATTGTATTGCTATCACTGGCAGGTTTTGGAAGGCTGAATCTCTCTGAGTTGGCATGCATAATATACTGAATTTTCTAAACAATCTATTTAGATGAAGAAAATTTCACAATCTCAGGATTTCGAGATTCTACTCTTTTCTGTTTTAACCCCTTGCTTATTTTTGCCATAATAAGTATCACAATCAGGCAATTTTTTGGGTCTATTATCATATTATCACTAAATGTTTTGTTTTCACTTACCTCTAAGAAGAATGTGTTTTATGTCAGTGGCCACATACCTCATTTTCACTTTTGTGTGCCCAATCTTTAGCATGGTACCAAACAATAGTAGAGTTCATTAATTACCTAGGGACTAAATTAATGACTTAACGAGTGAATGAAACAGGCCAGAGCTTGTTACTATAATTAATGTTAATGTGGTTATGCAAAGAGAATACATTATGTAAGAGACAACCTGGCAAACAATCCAAGAACAAAAAAAGCTTGAAAAATACAACTTGAAAAGAACATTAACGGTAGGCAAAGTGAGGATATGAATATGTATCAATTATTGGCAGTTGCACAGGGTCAAACTGCATTTATAGGAGCAGTTACTAAGCAATGATTTTTGAAGTAATATTAAAGCAGAAGATTCATTGATTGTTGAGGTTTATTGTTGAAAATATTACCAAATATGGTTCCAAGGGAAAGAATCAGAGATAAGTTCCTGGTCGTCTGTAGTAATACTGCTACTACTATCATACTAAAAAGAAGAAAATTAGGAGAATTTGCCCTGCAGTGTTTCACTCTATCTCTAACAATAACATTCAATTTCTCTGTAAAAAATAAACCAGTTTAAGTGATTTTTTGTTTCCAAGTATGAGACTAGCATCAACATCCACCCAGTTACTTAAATACCTGGGAATCCCTGAAACTCTTTGCTCCCATAGAATATTTATGTCCAGTTAGAAATCAAGCTCCATAAATTCTAGTTAATTAATGTTTCCTGAATCTGCTCTCACTTTTTCCTTAATAGTCATAATGGCTTGGTCAAGATTTCATCATTTCTTATTTAGATTATTACAAAAATTTACTAACTGCTCTCTCTTCATATGATCTTGCAACTTAGAATCCAATTCCCAAACTGCTTATGAGAAGACTGCCTAAACTATTAAACTAGTTAAATTTTGATTGCTAAGTATGGTTTCTTAATAAAGTTCAAAGTTGTTAACTGAGCCTTTATAACCTGCCTGTCCCTATAGTCTCATCAGTAATAATGCTGCTACATTATTTCCTTCATTATTCTCTTCAGCACTATTGCTAATTCCTTGTACTCGAATATCTCCACTATTGCATACCTATGAGAATTTACATATATAATTTCCTCTAACTAGCATGCTCTTCTCTTTCTTTGGGTCTATATCAGTCTGATTAAAATTTGGTGAGTAAGAACCTAATCTTTGGAGTTAGACCACCTACTTACTAGCTGTGACTCTCTACACTCAACTTTTCCCCTCAGTGAAATAGTGCAACAAGAGTTAATAATGTTGAAGTCTATAATAAACTGAATGCTTGCATCCTCCCAAAATTCACATTAAAATCCTAAACCCAACGTAATAGTATCTTGAGGTGGGCTTTTGAGAGGTAATCAGGTCATAAGGGTGAAGCCCACAGAATGGGATTAGTACCCTTCTAAGAAAAGGCCACCGAGCCAGCCTGCTTTCCTTCTGCCATGTGAGCATACTATGAGAAGCAGACAACCTGCATCTCAGAAGAGGGCCCTCAATAGAAGCAACCATGCTGGGACCCTATCTTGGACTTTCATCCTTTGGAACTATGAGAAATAAATTTTTGTTTGTTTATAAGCCACCCATCTATTATACCTTATTTTAGCAGCCCAATCTAAGACAAAGTTTTTAGAGTGTCTGGCACCTGGGAAGTGTCTGATGAACATTAATTATTGTTTCAGATTTTCTACACCTATATCAATTGTGACCCACCTAGAATTTTGTTATTTCTCAATATTTTAGCAAAATTTTCATTGTTTTTCTATAGGGCACTCCTTCGCCTATTTTTAAAATATTTTAAGATCGTCATTATTCATCCCTCAGTAATAAATTTTCTTTTATGTGGCTTTTTCTAATCCCTACAATGATATGCTATATATTTATCTAACCTTTAATATTTTCACTTTTATAGTACACATTGTACTTTTTTAAATATCTATATACTTTTACCATAAACATTTTCATGCTATGAAAGTTGTTATTAATTTGTCCATATTCCTACCTAATTTATAAATCACTGGGGCTAAAGGATATATTATTCATGGTAGGCAAACAGTTGCATCATCACACCTAAATTTTAGTAATTATTAAAAGTCCAACATGGGTGTTCTTTGGTACACCTTCTGGTACACATTCACTCTTCTGGAATGTTCTCGTAGTAGCAATGACTCAAGGACCTTAGTGCTTATCTGCTTGTCTCTTCTAGGATTTGACTTTGTCAGAGTCCTTAACATTAAACTCGCAGTTGGGGAAAGTACATTACATATGCTCTCCCTCCCTTTTTCTCTCCGCCTTTCCCCTGCTCTCCCCTTCTCACCTTTCCTTCTTTTAATGAACAAGCCCTGACAGTGATGTGCAATATTTCAATCTACATTTTGCTGGCTAGGACTTAGTCATATGCTACACACATCACTCTTGCATACAACCCTTTCAGACAAAAGGTCTGGATTAAAGTAGGCAGCAATTTTTTTAAATGTAAAGTTGTGATGACTAAATGAGACAGCAATAACAACCAAATAAACTAAAATCCCAGCACCTGAGCAGGGGTAGAGGGCTGGATATTAATGATCTTTTTATTTCTGACCTGCTCCTGAAAACTCGCTACTCCTTCTAAAAAAGAACTCCCTAGGCTGCCTTTCCAAGCTGCTGTGAGTACATTTAACTCAGGCTAAATATTGAATTCATCGTCACACCTGACTGCTAACTAAGATAGCAGACAATGGTTTCAGCTCCTGCACTTTCCTGGCAAAACACCTCCAGATGTTGTCCACAGTAGTGAGACATATTAACTGATGTCATGGACACAAAACTATTTAAATCGAACTGCCTCAGAAAACAAAGACTGAACTGAATTGTTCAATCTGGATAGGGGACCCCAGGGCAGGAGGCCACATGCTGGAAGTCCACAATCAGGGCTTCAGTTACCCCAATTACCTGATTAGTGAATATCATGTTTGCAGTGTCCTTACATTGAAAACTCTGTTTCCAGGGCACCAAACATCTCTGATGGGATTGTACTTCTTGTGTATTATACTTTCTCAGGAAATTGCCTTAGCTCTGAAAGATATTTAGGTTAGCCTCAACTTACTGGCCAGAATTGTGCTGTATGTAGTAAATGTATGCCTTAGGCCAGATTAAAAAAAAAAAGATAAAAAATATTTATGATTCTTTTTTTTTTTAAACTTCCTGGTTCTCTAAAGTAGATCCAGAGGGGCTATGGAACGTTTTGTTTTTTTCTGTTTTGGCAATGGTTGGGCCTCATGGTTATAGTCAAGAAGGGCCTGATCATTCTGCTAGGAATAATTTTAATCATAACCATGATCTTCTGTTGCATCAGACAAATTACTGACAGGCCTCCAAAGTATGACCTATTTGGTTTCATGGTAAACTGGCCTATTTTCTTGCTCAAGTCCCAAAAAGTCAAGGAATGGAGGTGAAAAGTGTGTCTCCTGGTTACAAAAGTGTGGCTCCTGGTTACAAAAGTGTGGCTCCTGGTCACAAAAGTGTGGCTCCTGGTTACATCTATGTTTGAATTTTCAGACCTAACGTTAGGGGATTATAAAGCCTTTACCTGGAAGTTCCTCACAAGCGAAAACTGCCCTCCCCACACCAGATGTGGTGCACAGCCAGTGCAGTGCATCCTCTGAAGGAAGCTGCAGTCAAGGATTCTGTTCCCGCGGGCCAACAAGCTCTTACACATATTTCCATTCTTAGCTCTGGTACCTTCGTTCATAGTTCTCCTTTTCTGAGGTTCCTTATGGGAAGGAGGAAGAGGAAACCTTGAAGACTCTTCCCTACTATCTCAGTACTCATTATTTTTCTGCCCCTCTTTTCGCCTTTCCCTGGGCCCCAGGGTCCATAAAACTACAGCCTCCCCTTGTCTGGGCTACCTCAACAATGAGGACTACCACATCTGCGCCAACCCTCCTGATCCCTGAACCAGTGCACCTGTTCCATGGGGCAAAATGGAAAAGGCCCTTTCTCTTATTTTAGCTTCTTGCTTTTACTATCAAGGTAAGTGATCAAAGTCTTAATAGTTAACCATCATTTTGGCTTGTTGTTGCTATAAGTGACTACTCTGACACCTGGCAGCTCAGCTCTCTCTCCAGCTGAGCTGAGTTCCCAACAGGTAGGTACATACATAAGGAACTAAACAATAATTTAGGGATTAAACTACAATATCTTGAGCAATGGCCTACAGAAATGAATTTATAAAGAAAACAGAGTAAAGTTACATAATATATTAAAGAAAAAATATATAAATTATCAAACTAAATCATTTATGATGAAAAATTAATATTTATACAAATACTACAGACAAAAGCTACTGACAAATACTCTGAACAAGTAAGTCAGGTTGGGCCGGGCGCGGTGGCTCACGCCTGTAATCCCAGCACTTTGGGAGGCCGAGGCGGGTGGATCATGAGGTCAGGAGATCGAGACCATCCTGGCTAACAAGGTGAAACCCCGTCTCTACTAAAAATACAAAAAATTAGCCGGGCGTGGTGGCGGGCGCCTGTAGTCCCAGCTACTCGGGAGGCTGAGGCAGGAGAATGGCGTGAACCCGGGAAGCGGAGCTTGCAGTGAGCCGAGATTGCGCCACTGCAGTCCGCAGTCCGGCCTGGGCGACAGAGCGAGACTCCGTCTCAAAAAAAAAAAAAAAAAAAAAAAAAAAAAGTAAGTCAGGTTGGTGGGGTTCTTGAGGTTCTTATCTGAACAAGAATAGGAAAAGGCTGTGAACTGTTGATTTTCATCGTTCACCACGGTTTGAACCAAACAGGTATTATTTTATGTGGAAAGGATGAAAAAGTTCAGGTTTAGCTCAGAGAGGTCTATAGCTTTGATCAGATTCAAAAAGAGGATTCAAAATATAATTTTTAAGAACTAATGATAGATATTAATAAAATACTTTTCAAAAATTAAACCTTCAGTTATATGTAGGTATTCATTTGCTTTGTAAACAAAACTTTTTTTCCGTTTTATGCAGGTGTTTTCGCATCTTGAAAACATGTTTATGTTTAGTATGCCCATCTGCCTGTCCTTCCGTGATATTTTTTTCTGGATACAAAGATCTAAATTAAACACTGCCATTCCTCACTTCACAGAACTTGGATCAGAATATTCACATGAGATACAGTAAGTTATCAGTTTTGAAGTCAGTTTCTCCCTGTAGCCTATGCTATATCTGCATATTCTGACAGAGTAAATACTCCATAAGTGCATGCTGTTGAATAACATTGAACTGTTCTTGCTGATATGACATTACCTGTCAAGAAAAATCACATTTAAGGAGATCAACACACATTTCAAATTCATTCATTCATTAATTTAAAAGAAAAGTTTTAAAAACAACTTGTTTTGGTCTCCATCAATATTCTGAAATATGTATTTCATGTGAGTTTTCAGATTTCTTAGCCAATGCCCCAGTAAAAAGACTTGCACTACAGTGCCTGCAGCAGTGGAAAAACTGTTTTACAGTAAATCATGCAAAGGCTGTTTGCAACTTTAGCTCACATCCTATTTTACAGTAATAGAAACAGTCAATAAAATCACATTAAAAAGCACATATTATTTTCACCAACACTTAATAATATTAAAAAACTACTATGAAAGGGGAATGGTAGAAATTAAACTATGTATGAATACTTTCTAAATAGTCTAATTTTCACTTTGTCAATACTTTTCTTACAGAGTGTATTTCAGGTTATCCTTTAGAATTTTCATTTTATGTTGCCTGTCTTTACTGTTGTGATTTTTTGGCTTGCATATTGAAACTTTAAAAGTGCAAGTTTATATCTCCTAAAATATTTGGGGTTTCTTTGTTAAATTTTTACAATTTAATGCAAATCATATTAATTGAATTATATCAATATATAAGGTAACATATTTCTTTTTACATATTGCTTAATAATAATCATTCTTATACTATCGAATGACAAGCTGAGCATGATTGTAGTAACTGGAAAACAATGAAAAGGACCAGGATAAATGAGATGCTGGTTTTCTCTCGAGTCTGCATAATCCATGCTTGCAGCACCAGAATGTAACCTGTGAAGAAAATACCAGAGGGGAGTCGGTTCAAAAATCAGCAGTTAATAACTATCAATATCATATGAAATTAAGTCTAAATTCTGTGATATTCCAGGCTCTTTCTTTTCTCTTTCTCTATGTTTTTTGTTCTACTTAGCTCCTTCACCTATTTTTAAAATATTTTAAGATTGTCATTATTCATCCCTCAATATTAAATTTTCTTTTATGTGGCATTTCTGAATCCCTACAATGATATGCTATATATTTATCTAACCTTCAGTACTTTCACTTTTATAGTACACGTTGTACTTTTCCTAATATCTAAAGACAAAGACAAAATTGATTGTTTATGACTATGCCCCTAGTGCGTAAAACATTTCTTGCTTAATATAAGTGCTCACACTGGTGAATGAGTGCTATACTGTAAGATCCAGAGGGGGCAGGGAACATGTCGAATATTGCATACCAAACGTCTTATTATGTGGCCAAAATATGTCAATAGAGATCAATTGAATGTATTATTGGAAGAGCAAATCAGTTTCTTTCATCATCAAAATCACACAAATCTGTCCATTGGAAACAAGGTTAAAAAACTGCGCTTATTTCAGAAAGAAGGGAAAATCACATGAAGAAGAAACAGCTTATTTCGTATGAATCATAACAATTTGTAATTTTCTTTCCACATTTAGATTGTATATAACTGTAACATTGATTGTTGTGGAGATGCATAGATACTTGGTGGTGGTACATACATTTTTATCCATCTGATAAAGAGGATTTAAAAGATTGCTCAGAGCTGTCATACATTTTTTTTTTTAATTTGGAAATGATTAACCCCTTGAAAAATAGCAAACAAAATGAATTTTACTTCTAATTTTGAGACTAGTTTTCTTATATTAGCTTATTTTTTATTTGGGGGATATATGATATATGTCCTGCACACTTATTTAGCTACATATTTCTATGACTAATTCTAAAATGATTTAATTTTATTAATCTCATATTGTGAACTTTAATAAAATATATGCCTTACTAGATGAGATGCAGTTTTGGCAATTAGGAGGACAAATTGTGTGCATGTATAGTCTTCTTGGAAATAAGAACACTAACTCAAAATAGTGTTTTATTAAATGACTCAAAATTTAATTTTAAAGCAGTTTTACTGATAATCATGACATTTCTTAGAAAATAATTACACCTTTATAACATGAAGTCAGACCTTCTATAACCTGAACAAAACATATTGGTAATAAAACTATGATTGGGAAAACTGTGCATATTTAAAACTATAAGAGATAATTTAGTCTTGTGCAATTAATGATATGAGAATTAATAGTTTTCTTTTGTGTGGGGGTTTTCTCTATGTGGTCTTATAAAATTAGAATAACTAATAGACATTTAGTAGTATATCCAATGTTATATGTTCTATTGTTTACCTGTGAGAAACAGATGGTGGTACAGTTTAATTTTGTGGTAGGATCAATCCTGGAGGGAAGACTCAGAGAGCTAAACAGATGGATAGAGAACGAAATGCCCCAGGTACAGATAATGAAATAGAAAGACAGTGGAAAGATGCCCAGAGAACAAAAATGAGGTGAACCATCAAGAAGGTACGCAGGCTATTATGTTTAATTATTTGATGGGAATTTAAAGTGGAGATGAGACAGTATAGTCAGGTTTTAAAATGAGAAGAGACTGTATTTGAACCTCTTGAAATAATAAAAATATAGTTAGTAAATGAGCCAGAAAAGATCATCTTAGCTAAAAGAATAGAAAGTTGGGGCAAAATATTACGGCTAGTTAGTTTTTACCTATGTGATATAATAAAAACTATCCTGATTGCTTTTTTATTTTAGAGCCTAATGTAGTGTCCAGAATAAAAATTCATTTAACGAATGATGGACATGATGTAAATGCCAGTCTATATATCTTTCATTCAAAGCTATCAGCTGTTTTTTTTTCTAGAAAAGGTCAGCAGTTATGGAAAAATAAAAGAAATTCAACAAGAAGTATGGATATATGACTTTGCAAACTGAACAGAGAATACAAACACCACTTCTCCACGGAGTATCAGGAACTTTTTTTTTTTTTTTACCTCAAGCTTTCTTTTGTTAGGGGGAAGAAAAAAATCTAAACCTGAATGATAACAAAAACACTGCACAGAGTTTCAGATATTCAGACTTTTGAAGTACTAGCATATGCTTGTTATTTTTCTTCAGAAAAATAAGTCTCAAACAAGTCTCATTTACTACCCCAAACATTCTACTGAATATGAATAACAACAAACTTAAACCATCTACTTATGTAAGAATAAGAACTTCAGCACACTGGTGTAAGATTTTTTGCATGCTCTAATAATTGTGGTGTAAACTTAGGTTTCTAAAACAATTATTTGATCATTTTTAAATGAATTTATAATAATGTATACAACAAACTATACAGAAATGTTTCGTGTGATAAGTTAGACAATTGTATGCACCCGTGTGTATACAGCCAAAAATTACACATAGAACATTTCCATCACTCCAGAAAATTCACACAAGTTCCTTACCATTCATTTTTGTCTTTCTCTGAGTCAGCTGCGTTCTGGTTGTTATCATTATTGATTAGATTTGCCTGCTAATGTGAATAAACTATCAGTGTTTGTGGTTCCTTTTGTTTAAAATACTGTCTTTTAGATTCATCTATGATGTTTTATCAATAATTTGTTTTTTCATAGCAAAATATTACTCAATACCATGAATAAATTTTAACGTGATTATGCTTTTTGTTGTGAACATTTGGGTTTTGTTCAACTATAGATTCTTATGAATATATATGTACAAATATTTTTGTGACCTTTTGGTAATTTAATGGTTAAGTATCTACATGTTAATTTGCAATGTTATAAGCTAGATGTATATTTAGCATTAATTAAAACAGTTTTCTAAAAGGTGGTTATATAACTATTCTCCCACCAGCAATGTTTAAGGGTTCTAATTATGTCAATATTTGCCAGCATGTGGTAACATAAGTACTTTTGGTTGTAGCTATTTTAGAATGTATGAAATAACCTCTTAATGTGGGTTTCATTTGCATTTTCAAAATGAATAATAATATTTAACATATTTTCCTGTGTTTATTCGACATTCTTAATTTTTTTGCAAATTGTGTGTCATATTTTTGCCAATTTTTGTTAGTTTTTCTTTCAGTTGCAGATGTGTATGAATATCTTAAAATCCGAGTGTTAGTTCTTTAACAGATATATGTTATGGCAAATATTTTCGTAAAGTCTGTGACTTACATAATCAATTTCTTAATGATGTATTTTTAATAGTAAATACATTTTATATTATGATAATTTGTCTTTTTAAAAAAATGATTACTGCTTACTATATACCATCTAAAAAAACTTTAATTAACCCAAAGTCATTAAGATATTTTTATGTTTTTTATGCTAAAATATTTGTGTTTCTGTATTCTATAATTGTCTCGAATTATTTTTTAATGTACAGAATGAGGTGAGTGGCATGTCTCGCTTTTCTATGAAAATATTTGACTGTCATCAGTGCCAATGGTTCAAAATATTTTTTTTTTACCATTTATTTGACATGAAAAGTGGGTAAAAGGTATCAATCAAAATAAATACATGTGTGTAAAAACTCAACTGAATACATATGTATAGGTCTAATTCTGCATTATTGATTATGTTCTACTGATCTATTTGTTATTTTTATGTGAATGCAACACTATCTTGACTGTGTAACCCTTAAAGCAAAACTAGGCAACAGTAATTTTAGGTCATTTCACTTTGTTAATCTTTTCTTAAGAATCTTGGTATTTCTAGATTTTTTGCATTCCCATGAAAGCTTAGGGGCTGCCTTTCCAGTTTTTCAAACACTTGCGTGCATTCTGAATGCAGTTGTGTTGAAACTATGTATTAATTTATGCAGAATGAATATCATAAAATACAGTCATAATTTCTGAATGTATTACATATCTACTTTTATTTAAATCTTTTTAATATTTCCTTAGCTCTACATTGTAGTGTACTGTGTAAAAGATTTGCACAATTTTTATAGATCCATTTTAAGATATGTATATGCTATTATGTTATATTAGCTTACTAAAATCATTTTGCAATTGTTTTTTGTGAATATATGGATATAAAATTGATCCTGTGTATTGATCTTATATCCTGCACATTGTTAAATTCACTTATTGGTTCTAGCAGCATTTTGGAGATCCTATACTAATTCTTATATAAAAGATCATATCATCTATAAAAAAATTGAAATGCTTTTCTTAAGGCCTTTTGCTTTATTTTTCTTGCCTTATGTTATTGCATTACCTAAATAGCATTGATAAACAGAATAAACACAAAAGGTAAGCTGAACAAATGACTATTTTGTTATTCTTCATAAATTATAAAATATTTATGGGAGAATAGAACCCCTTTTAGTTATTACTACTTGTGGTATGGTAACCCATTGAATAGAATTTGTGTATGAACTATATCCACAAGCTCTAAAGAAAAACCATGCAAACTTTGCCTTTGCTAACTTATGTCAGTGATGGACTGGCAATAAAATATTAACCTCTACTGAAGTTCAGTTTCATTTGTGTGAAATTGCTTTTTTAAAACTGATTCATGCTTTAAATAAAAAAAATGAGAATGATAGAAATGTATCAATGATTCCTAATCACAGCTCATTATATTCCCTTTGCTAGTATTGAATTAGTATGTAACTCTTGACACTGCTTGCCAAACCCATCTGGGAGTTCAGGTTATAGAGTTGAGGATACAGATAAATGCCATTTTTAAATAGAATATGGCTCAGGGCCAGGTTGTGACATATTTGCATTCTGGAAGTTGATTTTGATAATTATAACTGTTTCACTTTTGGGGGAGCACATATGATACACTTGGAGTTAAAGATATCATTTTGGATTTTTCGGTCATATCAGTGATGCAAATGTTTCTGCATATTCTTAGGGGAAGCTTATAGCACAAACCTTCAGAAAATAATTTCTTTCCCCACTGCTCCACAACAAGAGTTTTTCTGTAGTCAGGTAGGAGTTTGGTACTGGGCTCATTTCTAGTTCACAACTTCTATTGACAACGTAGCCTTTATTGTACATATTAATAATGGTGTTTCTCCTGTTTAGCTGTCCACCTTTAGCATTAAGACCATTCATTGTTAAGGTAAATCATTACAAACCTTCACTCAGATGTGATATAAAACTAATTTGCATAAATCAAATAAAGGGTTTTGGAGGACATACGTCTTTTTATTCAGCAGATAATTAATTCTTGTTTTCAGGCAGCTTTCACATATCATAATCCCTTACATTATTTTCCCTTAGAATTCATCTTCTCTAATCACAACGTTTTAAACGACTTCATTGCTTAAGAAATAGATAATTTTGAAAATGATTGAAGCTCATTAAAATTCTATATGCTTATCCAATTTTGCATAAAAAATAGCCTATATAACAGCTCTAAATTGTATAGACAATTCAGACACTGTTGAAACATCTTTAGGCTGCAAACAAATAACCTCATAAAAATTCCTTACAATATGTTATTTCAGGCCTAAAGAAATAAAATATCCCATGTAAAAGAATTAAATATAAATAATTCTAAGTGTTCCAGATTAGGTGATAGTGGAGTGAGTTATAATGGAATAACACTGCAGCAGCAATGACAAGCTCAAAAAAACTGTATATTTATACAAACAAATATTTAGTATCATGGTAGAGGACCAAAACTTGTAGATGACTTAACCTTTGAAAAAAGAAACCTCGACTCATTGAGTGAGATTTACATTTATATGTTTTTTTCCCTGAGGCCATTAAACTCAAGCAGAAAGCTACTATTTTATTGACTAGATATATCATAAGATGTCAATTAAGGCTGTCAGCGTAGCTGGAAATTGAAGAGAGAGATCCCAGAAAGGAGAAAGTCATATGGTGAGAGAAGCCCTAAAATATATCTATATACTCCCTTTAAATATTTGGCTGACACCAAATCCTCACTGTAGCTCAGGAGAAAGCAACATCAGAAAAGAACAAAAGAATGTTTCAGTGTAAGATTGCTTGTGATAAATCAAGGTGATAAATACATTACGAAATGTGTGGAATGAAAGAAAGGTGAAATCATCTGAGTACTGAGATGCTGGCTGGCTTGTGTATCATTATGATCCTCAATAGCTTGTCAAGAATGGAGAAGTGGAGAAACAGTATATAGCTCTACAGTACTACTGCAAGCATTAACCTTTTAGTGTGGACAAAAGGAATATTCACTGCTCAGTCAAATGTGATATGTGTGATCAAACTTTTGAATTTGCTTTCCTTGAAAGTGATTTATACAGTACATGGGATGATTTTGCTACTGAGAACACACTAAAATACCCAGTGGCCCAGATATTATTTTAATGTCAAAATAAAAAAAGTAGGACTTCCTCAGTATTGATTTCTATCCCTAATTATTTAGGATTCATATGTATAATTTCAAAATTATTTCTAAAGAAGATATGTTGAGATTATTAGTATGATTTCTGAAAGCAATCAGAATGATGAAATAATATTTTCTTAAAATTATTAAGTTTAGCAAATACTAAACAAAATCCTCATTACATATAAAGTACAAAGAACATCTAGTTGCATTGTATAGTTTTTCAGTATTCCTACTCAAAACTATGGAAAAAAATGGAAATTTACATTTTTGAACTTGAGTAGGCTTAATTAAGTATTGAGATTCTTTTACTCCATTTCGACTGTAATTGGAAAATAGACATAACAGCTAATTAACAATAATATTCTAATATTTCTGGGAAAGTAATCATGACTTGATATTTCTTTTGTGATTAGAAGTTTTCTGTGGCATTACAAATAGGTATATAAAATGAGACATTTTTAAACAATATTTTAACAAAAAATTAAATATTTAAGATTAATTTCTTAAATAAACTAATGAATTTATATTTGTAGCTTATAATTGTAGCTTATAAAAAAACTAGTTAATTTATTCTATTATGGTGCTGTACATGTTTATTTGTGGAGACAAGTAAACTATTAAAATGACTTGATAAAACAAACAAAAAGGACAAAGTGTATGAAACAATAACTTACAAATAACTTCATCAGACAGTGAAAGAAAGCAATTCCTGAGAGAAGAGAAACAATTGAATTCAGTCCAGCAATTACCTTGACTTACTGCCTTTAAATGTTGTTTTTTTTTGTTTTTTTTTTTTGTTTGTTTGTTTGTTTTCAGGAAACAGCACAGGAAGGAAAATTCCAAGAGGAGACTAACAGTTTCCCTGATTTGAGGAAATAAAATTGAAAGTCCAGAGTGATCAAGTCATTGAAGCACAATGAGAAACGTTTGGAGATGTGCAGAAGTTGTCCTTGGAACATTAAATGAGTGCATATCTGCACATACCTGAGGGAAAACCACTCCTGATTTGGTATTAAACTACCCAAAAGGATTAGTAATAGCTGTGTTCATTGCTGATGTAGAGTTAGATATAGTGCCTTTTTCTATAAGTCAGACTGGAAAAGCTCTACATTCATAGGGTGTTTTCTCAGCAGTGAGAAACAATAAGCCCTAGACTCAGGACTATTCCATTAGTATCCATAAAACCTTAAAAACCAAGACTCGGCTTTCAATTTTGCTCCAGGTAACCTTACTACATCACAGTTGAAAGCTCAAGAATAGAGAAATAAAAAATGTCTACCAGGCAACAAAGCAAAATTCATGATATCTACCATCCCATCAAAAGTTCTAAAAAGCAAAAAACTGTGACTTACAATACGGCAATAAACTAATCAAGTGAAACTGACATAGACTTGGCATAAATGTTAGATTTACCAGACAAGGATACAAAGAGTTATTAAAACTGATTTTCATATGTTCAATTAAAACATGACATGGAAGAGAAAGAGAGGTGCAGAGATGGCAATGGCGTCAATGTTTCCCTCCGTTTTAAGCAAAAGTGCCGAAGCAAGAGTCTAGACCTGGGGCACAGGAGGGTGCCTTATCATGTAGCTTTTATCTGCCCCAATGCTGCCCTTCACCAGCCATTAACTTCCCAGCACTGTGCTCATGGCAGCCTGCAGTTGCAGTCCCCGCCCTTTCATCACAGTAAATAGAAACCAGCAGCGTGATATAAGCAAGGTGGCAGACTGCAAGGTTCTAGGCCTCAACCACCCCCACATCCCCAATAAAAACAATGAGTTAACAACTGTTTGTGCACCAAAGTAGCTCTGGGAGTGCTCCAGAGTGCAATTAAAAAGCTGCAGCAACCCAGGAAAATAAGGAACTGAGAACAGCCACTTAGAAAAGTGTAGAAGAGATTTTACCCACATTACCCCGTCTGCCAGACTGACACAGCTCAATGCCAAAGAGAATCCCCTCAGCCATGACTTCCTCCATGGGAGAAAACGAGAGCAGAAAACCCTCAGCAGCTCTTGCAACCACTGTAGACCCACACAGCCACTGCGGCAGAGCATCCCATAATTTTGGCCACTGCAAACCCTAGCTAGTAGATCTGCACAGAGACCATCTAACTGCACTCCCCTGGAACTGAAGCCACTGCACTTCCCAGCCCTGGGGCAGCCACACATCACTCAGACCACGAGCCACCATGCACCCATTGGACCCCATCACTGCCATAAGCCCTACCAGCCTGGTCCTCTCATGTCCAACTATTTTTGAAGGTTTTTCCCCACCAAAGCCAGCCTGTAAAGTCTAGAGGAAGGGACTTTTTTCTTCAAATGCACAGAAACAAATGGATGACTACAATAAGGAAAAACAGGGAAACAAGACACCACAAAAAGAGCACAGTAAATTTCCAGTAGCCAACCACAGAGAAATAGAAATCTATGAATTACACTCAGAAAATTATTTTAAAGAAGCTTAGCAAATTATTAGAGTGTACAAACACCTCAGTGAAATTAGGGAAAACAATACATAAAGAAGATGAGAAGTTTAACAAAGAGATAAAAATCGTAAGAACTAATAAGAAATTCTGGAGCTGAAAAATATAATGAATAAAATAAAAAAATAAAATACAGAGCTTCAACCAGCAAACTCAAAAACAAACTATTTGAAATTATCCAGACAGAGGAGAAGAAGTTAAAAGAAAAATGTGAAGAAAGCCTTTGGGATCTATGAGATTCCATCAAGTGAAGCAATATACCTATTATGGAAATCCTAGAAGGAGAAGAGAGAAAGAAAGAGAGATAAAGGTTATTTTAAAAAAATGAAAACTTTAAAAATCTCTAAAAGAAAATAGACATCCTGATTCAAGCAGCCCAAAGCCCTACACATAGTTTGATGATAAAGAGGTCTACACTGAGACACATTATAATCAAATTGCCAAAACTCAAAGCCAAAGAGTTTTGTATACAGCAAGACAAAAGTCACTCATCACATGCAAAGAAGCCCTCATAAGACCATCAGTGGACTTCTCAGCAGAAACCTTTCAGGCCACAATAGAGAGGAATCATGTATTTGAAGTAGTTAAATAAAGACCTACCAACAACAAATAATATGCTTGTCAAAACTATCATTTAAACATGAAGAAAATAAAATATTTCCCAGGCAAACAAAAACTAAGAAATTTCATCACCACTAGACCTGCCTTAAAAGAAATGTTTAAGAAAGTATTTCAACTTGAAAAGAAAACATGCTAAACAGTACCACAAAACCACATAAAAGTATAAATCTCTCTGGTAAAAGGAATAATATATACCCATACAGAATAATACAGCACTACAATGTTGGTACATAAATAACTTTATCTCTAATATAAAAGTTAAAAGACAAAAGCTTACTCTGCATATATGATATAAAAAGAAGTAAACTCTCTGAATTTAAGAATGCAAAATTGAGGGGAATAAAAATGCAGAGTTCGTATCTGATTGAAGGAAAGTTATTACGAACTAAAAATAGATGGTTATAACAACAATATATTTTATGCAAACCTCAAGCTAACCACACATTAAAAACCTATAACAGACTGGGCATGGTGGCTCATGTCTGTAATATCATCACTTTGGGAGGCCAAGGCAGGCAGATCACTTGAACTCAGGAGTTCAAGACCAGCCTGGGCAACATAGTGAAACCTCATCTCTACAAAAAATACAAAAATTAGCCAGGTATTGGGTCACGCACTTGTAGCCCCAGGTACTTGTGAGTCTGGGTGGATCGCTAGGGCCAGGGAGGTAGAAGTTGCAGTGAATCAAGATCATGCCACTGTGACAAAGCAAGACCCTGGCTCAAGAAATAAAATAAGATAAAAATAAAATCCTATAACTGAAACTCACAAGATTAAAAAGAAAAGAATAAAAGCAAAACACTGCAAAACACACATAAAACAACAAAATTGCTATAGAAAGTCCTCACCTGTCATTAATTACCTTAAATTCCCCAATGAAAACTTATACAGTGGTAGAATGAATTTTTTAAAAAAATATGATTCTGAACTCTACTGTCTACAAGAGACTCACTTTAGATTTAAGACACATATAGACTGAAAACGAAGGGATAAAAAATGACATTCCAAAAAATGATATTACCTATTCATTCTCTACTAAACTGTCCACTTATGATGTGTGTATTTATTGCACGTGAAGTATGTATCTCAAGAAGAAAAACAAATGTCCAGTTAAAAAAAGACATAAACGATACAAAAATTTCCAAATGGACCGTTGAGATATAAAACTATGATGTGCATGTAAAAAAAAAAACACTCGATGAAAATAAGAACACTTTAGACTTTGCAGAAAGCAAGATCAGTGGACTTTAAGACATAATGCAGTGTAATAGAAAGTCTTCATAATTAACAGAAAAAGAAAAAAAGAATTAATAAAATTGAACACAGCATCAGTGAGTTGCAGGACCACATCAAGTGTCTTAATATATGTGTAGTAAATGTTGTAAAAAAGGAGAAGAGAGAAGGGGAAACAGAAAAAAAAAAAAGAAATAACTATGGACACATTTTATAAAAAGAATAAAAATTACAACTCACTCCAGGAAGATCAAATACACACAGGCACAAGACGTGAAGAAAACCATACCAAGGTATATAATAATAAAGTTCATTAAAATCAGTGATAAATAGAATGTCTTAATACAGCCAGAGAAAAAAGAAATGTTACATATAGAGACATAAAAATATAAATAATACAGTAAATTTCTTATTCGAAGTAATACATTAGAGAGCATGTTGAAATACCTTCAATGAACTGAAAAAATATAATACAACTATCATCTATCTATTTTTTATGGAGAGAAGAAGTCTTTCAAGTATTAGGCAAAATAAATATATTTTTTAGGATTCATCACTAGCAGAGCACACTATAAAAGAAGTTACTCAGATATCTTTCAGACACAGGGAAAATTAAAAACAACAGTTGAAAACATAGATTTTCGTGAAAGAATCAGAACAATGTGAAATGGAAACTAGGCAGGCAAATAGATATTTTATTCAATTTGTTCATTTTGTCAAAATATAATGTATTGTTTAAAGAAAAATAATAATAACGTAGTGTATAGTTAGCAAAAACGTATAAACATGACAATGACACAAAAAACAGAGAGGACACAAAAATAATTTATGTAAACTTAATCTACATCCAAAATTCAATATCACTTTAAGGTAGACCGTTGAGGGAAGTCAGGGACCCTGAACGGAGGGACTGGCTGAAATATCGGGGGTGAATTTCGCCCGATAATAGACTGTGATAAATTAAAGATGCATGCTATAAATAATATAACTACTAAAATAGCAAAGAGTTATAGCTAATACATAAGGAAATATTGTAATAACAAGGGATAAAAAATTCTCAAATTACCCAAATGATGGAATATAAAGAGGATATGAAGAAGCAAGATCATATGAGACATAACAACAAACGGTATGATGAAAAATTTAAACCTAATCAAACAGTAATCATATGAAAAATGGTATAAATACCACAATTAAAAAGTAGAAGTTATATGATTGGATATAAAACAACAACCAACTAACTGGATGTTGCCAGCAAGAAAAATGATACAAATATAATCAATGAAAAATAAATGAAATAAAAATAAAAATAATGGAAAAGCATATATAAATTTTTAAACTAAACACTAATCAAGTGAATCAAATGGTGTGGCTCTATTAATATCGGACAAAGTCAATTTCAGAAAAAAAGAATATTAGCAAGATAAAGAAATTAATGTCATAATGACAGAGTTTAGTTCATTAAGAATACAGCATAATCCTAAATGTTTGTATACCCAATTAGAGATATTCAAAATACATGAAGAAAAACTGAAAGCGACACTAAAAATTCTACAGCTATTGTCAGATAATACTTTCCTTAACAACTGACAAAACAATTAGAATGAAAATTAGGAAGAATAGAGAAGATTTAAACAAGTCTATCAACCATCGTGACCTAATTGCTATTTATAGAACATTCTACCAAACCACAAGAGAAAATATATTTTATTAAAGTAGGCATGGAATACTTAGTAATATATCCCATACTCTAGCCATTAGCAAGCCTCAGTATATTTTAAATGTTCAAGTCATGAAAGGTCTGTTCTCTGAGTACAAAGGAATTAGATCATAAATCATTAACAGAAAATAATATTTGGAAATCAAATCTCCAAATATTTGAAAATTAACTACCACATTTCTAAAGAATTTATGAGTCAAAGGAAAATCACAAGGGACGATAGAAAGTCATTTGAATTGAATTAAAATGAAAACAGCACAGCAAACTGTGGCATGCCACTAAAGCAATATTTAGTGGGGAAATTTGTAACACTGAACCCCGAAATTTGAAAAAAAACTCTCAAATCGGGAATCTCAAGTTGTAATGTAAGAAAGAAGAGCATATTAGTTGCAAAATGGGGGTACAAGAAATAAAGTGGAAAAAATCAAAGTAGAAATGAATGAAATGGAAAACAGAAAAACAGCACAACAGAGAAAATCAATGAAACTTAAGCCGGTTTGTTGAAAAAACAAAATAGTAAAATCAGTGTACCTAAAATGAAACAAAGTAAGAAAAAATATAGAGAAAACAAGTTATCAAGATCAGAAATGAAAGAGATCCCATTCCTAGGCTCTATACATATTAAAATTATAGAAATATTAATAACTTTATGCTAATAAATAATTTAGGAAAAATGAAAAAACTTCATTGAAAAGCCAAAATGATGACAGATTACTCAGAAGCAAACTGATAGACTTTAACAGCTTTACAGCAATTACATTAATTGAAACCGTACTTAAATCTTGCACCAAAAGTCCCGCCTTTGATGGCTTCAGTGGTGATTTCTACCAAATGCTTAATTTAAAAAATAATATAAACACTACAAAATATACCAAACACTGAACAGTGGATATTGAATCATAATTCATTATGTACGGCCAATATTACACTGCTACCAAAACCAAAGACATTATAATGGAAGTAAACTACAGAATAACAATTTGCATGACATAGAGATTTTGCAGATGTAATGGTTTGAAAGCAGTTGACTTTGAGTTAAAAAAAAAATACTATACTGGATGTATACAAGTAAAAATGCTTACTAAAAGAAGTAAACTGCTGAAACTGCTGTATTCTGAGAAGACCTATGAAAGACCCATGTTGCAAGAAGTATGGAGATGGCCAGGAACTGAGGGTCCCCTTTTTGACAAATAGCAAGAATGCGAAAACCTTATATGCCTAACCATAAGGAATTGAATTCTGCCAATAGCAAAATGAGCATGAAAGAGAGGCCTACGCTATAGAACAGAATGTAGTCTGACTGACACCTAGATTCCAAATTTGTGAGACACTTTATCAAGAAACCTAGTTAACACTGCATCTAGACCATGACCCAAAGAAACAGTAAAAGAATGAACCCATGTTGTTTTAAGTTGCTAGGTTTGTGATTCTTTACATGACGATAGAAAACTAGAACAAAACCCAACACCATATAAACAGATAATAAAGATCAAGGAGGGTTTTCTCAGGTATCCAAAGATGGTTCAACATTCTAAGACCAATTTATCTAACCTACCTTATTAATAACTACCACAAAATCCTGAATATCTAAATATACAGGCATGCTTCAGAGATATGTGAATTCAGTTCCACACAACTACAATGAAGTGAATATTGCAATGAAGCAATTCTCACATTTGTTTTTGTTTTCCCAGTACATATAAAAGTTATATTTACACTATACTGTAGTCCTATTAAGTATGCAATAGCATTATTTCTAAAAAGTGTGCATGCTTTAATTTTAAGATACTTTATTGCTAAAAAGTACTAATGATCATTTTAGCCTTTAGTAAGTTGTAATTTTTTTGCTGGTGGAGGGTCTTGTTCTAATGTTAATGGCTGCCTACTGATAGAGTTGTTACTTGCTGAAGGTTGGGGTTGCTATAGCAATTTCTTAAAAGAAGCAACAGTGAAATTAGCCACATAGCTTCACTCTTCCTTTCATGAGATAGCATGCGATGCTGTCTTACAGCATTTTACCTACAATAGACATGACTTTTTTTTTTCAAAATTTGGTTTAGTCTTCCCAAAGTTTGCTTCTGCTTTATCTAATAAGTTGATGTAATACTCTAAATGTTTTGTTCTCCTTTCAGCAAGGTTCACAGCATTATCACCAGGCGTAGATTCCATTCTCAAGAAACCACTTTACTTCCTCATTCGTAAGAAGCAACTTCTCATCCATTCAAAGGTTATCAGAAGATTGAAACAATTCAGTTCCATCTTTAGGCTCCATTTCTAATTCTGCTTCTCTTGCTATTTCCAGTACCTCATCTATCACTTACTCGACTGGAGCCTTGAACCCCTCAAAATCATCTGTGAAGATTAGAATCAACTTCTTCCAAACTCCTGTTAATGTTGATATATTGACCTCCTCCCATGTGTCATGAAAGTTCTTAATGACATCTAGACATCTAGGTGAATCTTTTCCAAAAGATTGCCACCTTTACTTTGCCAAGATCCATCAGAAACATCACTCTCTATGGCAGATATAGCCTTACAAAATTCATTTCTTAAATAATAAGACTTGAAAGGCAAAATTACTCTTTCATCCAAAAACTGCAGAATAGATGTTGTGTTAGCATGCATGAAAGCAACATTAATCTCCTTACACATCTGCATTACAGTTCTTGGATGACCAGGTGCATTGTCAATGAACAGTAATATTTTGAAAGGAATTATTTTTTTGTATTCCTGAGCAGTAGGTCTCAACATACTTAAAATATTTGAACAGATTTATTATCATCCAGGTTTTGTTGTTACCTTTATAGAGCACAGATTAAGTAGATTTAGCATAATTCTAAAAGGGCCATAAATCATTTGTTAAAATGATAAATGAACATTAGCTTCCACTTAAAATCACCAGTTGCATTCACTCCTAACAGGAGAGTAAGCCTACCTTTTGCAACTGTGAAAGCAAGCATTTTTAGCTATGAGCAACCTACATGGCAACTTCTTCCAATGTAAGACTGTTTTGTCTATATTGAAAATCTGCTGTTTAGTGTAACCACCTTTATCAATGATCTTAGCTAGATTTTCAACATGCTGTAGCTTCTACATTTTTTATTATTTTTTAGCAGTTAATAGTTTCAGTCTTAGATTTAAGTCTTTAATCCATTTTGACTTGATTTTTGTATATGGAGAGAGATAGGGTCTGGTTTCATTCTTCTGCATATGGATGTCTAGTTTTCTCAGCACAATTTATTGAAGAGACTGTCCTTTCCCCAATATATGTTCTTGGCACCTTTGTTGAAAATGAGTTTGCTGTAGACGTATGGATTTGTTTTTGGGTTCTTTATTCTGTTCCATTGGTCTACGGGCCTGTTTTTATGCCAGAACCATGCTGTTTTGGTTACTATAATTTAAAGTTAGGTGCGGTATAATTTAAAGTTAGGTAGTGTGATTCCTCCAGTATTGTTCTTTTTGCTAAGGATGGCTTTGGCTATTCTGGGTCTTTTGTGGTTCTATGTAAATTTTAGCATTTTTTAAAATTACTGTGAAGAATGTCATTGGTATTTTTATTTGAATTGCATTTAATTCGTAGATTGTTTTGGGTGGTATGGATGTTTTAACCATATTGATTTCTCTAATTCATGAACCTGGAATATCTTTCCATTTTTTGTGTCCTCTTCAATTTGTTGATAAATTTTTTATAATTTTCATTTTAGAGACATTTCACTTTTTTGATTAGGTTTACTTCTAGATATTTTATTTATTTTCTGACCATATAATGATCCTATTGGGATTTTAGAACCCGTATTGCCCATGCTTATTCAGTAAAATATTGAACTCGCAGAGAGTAGGTCATTCAGGCAGCATTCCAACAGAGAAGAGAGGTGAGAAACTGTTGGTAATTCAGAGTCTCTTACCTGACTTGTGTGGCTAGAGACAGACCTTCAGCTAGTCTCCTCAATTCAGGGACTACCTGATATCATGACAGAATTGTTGGTGAAATGTAATTAAAAACAAAATCTTCTCTCAACCCATAAAGACTCTGCCCAAGGGTAGAAGAGAAAGAAAAACAATTGTGTTGTTGAATAAGCACTAAAGCAGAATATTATATGCATCACAGGCAATCCACTAATGAAATTGCAAAAACAGAATGAAAGCTCGCCCTTTGATATAACAAAGCAGATACAACCCACTGCACACAAGTTCTCAAAATAAACAGTAACCACTCCACAAGAGAGTGAAATCGATAACACCATTAATCATACATGGTTCATTCAAAATTCACCTCATAACTGAGGTGGTCATCTTTGCTAACTGGCTTTACTCAAGGAAACAAGAAACTTCTCATATTTTTGTGGGAAGAGGTAGTTTTGAAACTTGGAGTTAAGTGCCCACAAAAGTTAAGCTCCATCCCTTTCAGCTCCTAGCCTTCCACAGAAACCAGCAGATAGGGACTCTGTCTTCCTTGATAATTACATTTCAAAGAAATGGCTTCCAAGTCCTTGAAAAAGATGTTCCTGGGTCAGAAATGTGGCAAGAGGCTTATTTAGCTTTAAAGAGGATTAGCATATATTTTAAGGAGACAGATAATTTACCATTACAAGTTTTCTAGGAGTAAATGTTCTAAGAAAAGACAAGGACAAGAGTGTGGGGCAGGAAGTGATCTCTTCCCTTATCTTCAACAAAGATAATTAAGTGTCTTATTTTTTTAATTTTTAATTTGTATTAGTTCTTAAAATGACAATAAGCAAAACATCTACTTATTTATTAGTTAGGGTATGCTAATAGCAGTAACAAACAACTCTAAAATCTCAATGGTGTCAAAAAACAGAGACAGACTTTGTTTATAGGAGTCTAATATCATGAAAAGCAGGTTTCTCACCACAAGTATTTCAGGATCTCCAGAATTTCTGCCTCTAGATTCTTCGAACAAGCATCAGATAGGCCAATAAGCAAAGAGATGGGAGGGTCTCTTAAGATGTTAGGGGAGGGAAGCACACACATCTTATTTTGTTTTATCTCTACAATATTTCAGATTTTTAAGCATATATATTTTTATGATATTAAAATTTGTTTTATCACAAAAACATTATGTTGTGCAAAAGAATCCAGGAGTACTTACTACATAGTTTTATTTCTATGAAGTCCAAGAACTGGCAAAAGTAACCAATGATTGTAGAAATAAGGGTGGTTGTCAGTGGGGCATGTAAAGTTCAAGAAAAAACAATCTTAGGTGAAAGATATATATCTTGTTTTGTATGGTGAATATGCAGGTTATACAATTGTCAGAATTCATATAAATAAGCATTTAACATCTTCAGATTTTAGCACATGTAAATTATATTTCAATGTTAAAATTTTTTATTGGAAAGCAAAGCTGACCCCACTTTCTCCAGCATTTCTTTATTGCACTTACATTTGACTTCGATTTATTTTTAATAGTAGCCATGTGCTCTTTTTAAGGTAATAAAGTATATAAAGGCAGCTCCAATGTCTACTCACTTCTTTAACATTTGACATGACATGTTACATTGATCAAGTGCACAACAAATATTTGCTTTATTTAATTTAAGAATAAAATTTCTTATTAATAAATAATACTTATTAAAATATGATTTTTAACAAAATAGGTAGACTTTTACGTTTATTTATTAATTCATCATTCATCTTTTAGTTCACTTATTTTCTCTTTAAATATTTCCCAAGTATATTAAGCACCAAAGTCTGCTGGGCTCCAGGCATACAGTGGTGAATAGGAAAAATATGTAGGCTGTCCTGGAAGAATTCCATCTACAATAATCTGAATAAAAGTTTTTCTTGGTCACTTTACATTGTTGTTTTATATATTTTTTCTTTAATTGCATGAAAAAATTTAAAAGATTAACAATGCAATTCTATATATTTTGTCTTTGCTATAATTTCTGTCATTTTATTTTCATTCTATTTTGGTCTTAAGCTAAGAAATTCACAATTATGTTTGAAAGGTGTCAGTGATTTTTTTTTTATAGATAAACCCCACCTCTATATATAGTATAAGATTTTAAGTACTGTTGATCAAGTAAAAAACTGTATGTAAACACACACATACATACATATATACACATACAATTTTATACACTTTTATTTTGATAACAGATTAACTTTCAGAGGGAATATAGATATAATTCCAACTTCACTTATATGTATATGAAAAATTGTAGTAAACAAATCACATTAAACTGACAGCAGTTTGTGCACTTTGATATGTTTACAGCTTTACCTGATTAAATTTAGAGCACAAAATTTTTCCCCGTAGCAATTTGTATGACTGCAATTCTAACAAATAACCTGTTTGTTGGGAAGTAAAATATATATGTGACTGCAGCATTTGAAGCATGCATTTCACTCAGATTTGATATTTAATTTAAGCTGAACAAGCCAATAGTATGGAGTTGTTTAAACATCTAACATATCTTAAAATTCATTAATAGAAACTTATATCAAAAGCAAATACACATTAATGATTTTCATTAATCACCCACATTGCAGGTATTTTGATCAATTGTAAGGTTTTTGTTACTAGAAGATTGTGATCAAACTCATAAAGGTTATGGAAATAATAGAAACTCATTTAATCCTTATGCCAACTCTGAAACAGAGATAGAGTAATTTACATATTTTACAGATTATAAAAAAATGTTAACTTTCTAAATCTCCATAAAATTGTGATGGTTGAATACCAATTTAGAGAAATCTTAATAACAAAGACCATTCTTTTAAACTGATTCACGCTATGTATTCGTCAACAAACATTTTATAATTAAAAGTGATTTACAATATTGTGAAAGAAGAAATCTGAATGTAAGAGAATAGGTGACAACTCATTTCAAAAGCACTCTGTAAATATGTAAAGCAGGGTACCAAACAATGTTCATTTAGAAAGAGTAGGTATAAAAAAAGCAACTGATCCAACATGGATATATAGGTTGTTATATCCAAAGTACTATTTGGTCTATATGTTCAGTGTGACTTTATGTGTGTTCCTGGAATATTAGATGCATTTAAACAGATAGCAGATAATCATCCTTTCCACCTGAACTAATCAGTAGTCGCTCCTAAATATATTTTAAATTTGTAAAAGAAACCCACACATTCATGTTGAACTTTCTTGTGATGTGAGGAGAAAGATGAGTATGCCTTGGCTAAATTTCATGCTTCCATGAACCTCAAAAATAATTTACAGAGTTATCAGGGCATTCATTCAATTTCCTTATTACCTGGCAGTTGTGATACACAGGTATGTCAGATTAGAGAGAAATATTTTAATATTAAGCCAAAATAAACTTTATACATGTATTGAAAAACTTACGGCAAAAATTACTTTAACATGCATATTTTGACATATTATATATGTCATTTGTATTTTATATCCTATAAAACTGCATAACTGTATTTGAAGTAAAAAATCTGTAGTTGTAAATTGAGCAAAGAAATTGCCTTTACGATACATTTTACAAGTTATTTATTGTATTTTATTTTCCATTCCAGAAGTAACAATGAATTTGTACATACAGTTTAGCCCAGACATTTGTGTAGTTGGAGTAGGTCATCATGTGCAAAGTTCAGTTTACGGGAGGACTTAAAATGTAACCTGTGCATCAGCATATTTCTATATTGTTCTGCCTCTAGTTCCTCTCACCATATTTAAAGTTAAGTCATTGCAGTTTAGGACCATTAATTTTAAATCTATAACTAGGCTCAAATACATGTTTATTTATCAAAATAGGAACACAGTTTTGCCAACAAGAAATAAGTTTATTTCTGTAGCATAAAAATCCGTCCTTTGGGATTCCAGAAACTCTTCGAAAGTATTTTCTGCATCCTGATGATTGTGGAAGCATTTTCTCTGCAAAAAGGTGTCTAGTTGCTTGAAGAAGTGGTAGTCGGTTGGGGAGAAGTCAAGTGACTATGGCAAATGAAGCAAAATTTCTTAGCCCAATTAATTCAACTTTTGAATTGTTGGTTGTATGACATGCCATCGGGTGTTGTTGTGGAGAATTAGGTCCTTTCTGTTGATCAATGTTGGCTGCATGAGTTTCAGTTTTGCGTGCATCTCATCAATTTGCTGAGCATACATCTCATGTGTCATGGTTTAGCTGGAATGCGGAAAGCTGTAGTGGATCAGGCTGGCAGCAAAACACCCAACAATGACCATGACCTTTTTTTGGTGCAAGTTTGACTTTGGGAAGTGCTTTAAAGCTTCTTCTGGGTCCAACCACTGAGTTGGTTTTCACCAGTTGTCACATAAAAGCCACTTTTCATCACACATCACACATCACAATCAGATCAAGAAATGGTTCATTGTTGCATAGAGTAATAGAAGATGACACTTCAAAATGATAATTTTTTTTTTCATTTTTAGTCTGCTCATGAGGCACCCACTTATTGAGCTTTTTCACCCTTCCAATTTGCTTCAAATGTGGAATGACCATAGAATGGTCGAAGTTGAGTTCTTGGGCAACTTCTTATATAGTTGTAAAATGATCAACTTTTATGATTGCTCTCAATTGGCTGTTGTCAACTTCCAATGGCTGGCCACTACACTCCTTATCTTCAAGGCTCTCATCTCCTTTGCAAAACTACTTGAACCACCACTGCACCGTACATTCGTTAGCAGTTCCTTGGCAAATAATGCTGTTGATGTTGCGAGTTGACCCTGCTGTTTTACAACCCATTTTGAACTCAAATAAGAAAATCGCTTGAATTTGCTTTTGGTCTGACACCATTTTCATAGTCTAAAATAAATACAAAATAAACAGCAAATAATAAGTCATTAGCAACAAAAAGTGAGAAATGTGCATTATAATGATGTAATAATATAAACAAATTTATTTAAGAAGGTATTTCAATATTAAATGGCAAATTTCAACAAGGCAAAATTAAAATTACTTTTGCATCAACTTAATATAAGCAGGAAAAATGTTAATGGGCACTCAACCATTATTTTCTATGTAATTATTCTTTTCTAGAAGCAAATAAAATACTCAGAGGATATGGGACAAAAAACCTATAAATGAGGAAAAAAATGAAAAGAATGGAAACTTATCTAAGGACATATTTGGAGATATGTTCAGAGAGCGTTTCTGTGAGATTGCATATCCATAAGTAGAACAGAGAATGACACTATACGTTTACAATAGGTTTGTTGAATAATCAGGAAAGGAAGGAAAGTAAGAAGGAAGAAAGAATGGACTTACTTCTCTCCAAAAGCCATAAAACAGAAAGACATTGAATGGATGTATTTTAAAAGCATATATATTTTCACACACACAAACACACACACGCGCACACACACACAGAGAATTATATAACTGACAAAAATATATCTTTCAAACAGAAAAGTAGAAATAATTATACTTCAGACAAACAAATCTGACAGGTTTTTTGGCAGCCCACCTTCATACTACAAGAACTATTGAAGGAAGTTTTTCAGGCAAAAAAATAAAGATAAAAAAAGACACATTACCAGAGAAAAATCTGAGTTTACACAATGATTTAAAGATAAAATAAATTGATTTTTATTTTAAAACATTCTGAACGATAAGTTGCTGTCTAAAACAAATTGTTAACAAAATGCTCTATTTAAATCACAGGACGGGGTAAAATATATAACAATAATATCCCAAACACGAGAGGCAGGGAAATATGAGATGTACTATTGTAAGGTACTTGCACTATATATGAAGTGATGTAATATGATATAAAGATAAATTCTGATTAATGGATGACGTATTCAGTATGTTTTGGGGCAACCACAAAAATAAATTTTAAAAGATATAATAATAACCTGTCAATAGAGGACATTAAATCAAAAGAAAAATGAATGCTAAATTAAATTGATAAATGGTAGAATACAAGGAAATTATAAGTTACAAAAGACAAGGAACAAATAGAAAACAAACTAATTGTAAATTTTAATCCATGTATATCAGTATTCATGTTAATGTGAAATATCTAAGTTTATTAGGTAAAAGACAGAGATTTTCAGATTAAGCATAGTTGACAACAGCAAGGAGTATGTTGTCAAAAAGAATTTAAATATAAAGATACAAAAAAAGTTTGCACAGGAATGGAGAAGATTTACCATATAAACAATAACCAAAAGTAAAGTCAAATAGCTTTCAGATCAGGAGATATTAACAAGGATAAAAAGGACAATCCTATTGTTGTAAAATCAATTCTCCAAAAAGTCATAACAATTTTGGATATCTATATAACCAACAAGAGAGACTCAAAATATATGAAGTAACAATAAATAGAAGTACAGAGCTAATAGAAACAGCACGGAGTGTCTTTATCACTGTTCTTTCTTACAAATTGATAGAATTTAAATGAAGAAAACTGGTAATAATGTAGAAGACTCAAGTAAAACTATCAACAAATTTGATCCAACTGATCTCCATTAAACATGCTTTTAATAACACTAATAACAGAAAAGGACATGCTATTTTTAAGTGTATATTAACATTCATTGAGAATGTTTTTTATGGTCTAAAAAATTTAATATAGTTAAAAGCATATAAATAATATGCAGTATTTCTCAGCCCATAATTGAATTAAATTAGAAATTAATACAGAAAGATAATTTAAAAATAATTTGGTTTCAGAAAAGAGGCAATAAAATTCAAAATAACCAATGGGCCAAAGAGGCAGTCTCAGGATGCATTTAAAATGTTTTAAAATGAATAAAATAAAAAATCAAAAAAAATTAACTAAAACAGGACGTAGAGGAAAATTTACAGCATCAAAACTTACAATCAAAAATGAAAAGATCTTAAAATAACATGGTTAAAATTAAAGAAAAAAATCCTAAAATTAAACTCAATGCAAGCAGAACAAACAAAATGATAACAATATGGGGAGGACTCTATTTAATTAAAAACAGAAAACAACAGAGAAAAAGCAATAAAACCAATATAGAAAAGCAATAAAACCAGTTGCTGTCTTTATGAAATATAAATAAAGTTGATAAACCCCCAGCCAGAGTGAACAAAAGCCATGTATGACAAACCTATAGCTAACACAGTACCAAATGGAAAAATATTAACAAATTTTCTCTAAAGACTGGAACAAAACAAACACGCCCACTCTTGCTGCCATTATTCAAGATAATACTGGAAGTACTGGCCAGAGTAATTAAGTAAAAGAAAGAATTAAAGGACATCAAAATTGGAAACAAAAACTTTAAATTAGTCTTGTTTGCAAATGACATGATTTTTAAATTAGAAAAACCTAAGACTCCACCAAAAAAACCTGCTAAAACTAATAAATTCTGTGAAGTTTCAGGATACAAAATCAATACACAAAAATCAGTAGTATTTATTTGTACCAACAGCAATCAATCTAAAAAAGATATTTTTTTAAAAAAAAGCAATCCACTTTAGCTACCAAAAAAAATAACCTGGAATAAATTCAACTAAAGAAAGGAAGGACCTCTACAACAAAATACATCAAATGCAAATGAAAGAATTTGAAGAAGACACTAAAAATGAAAAAAAAAAATCCTATGTTCTTGGATTCAAAGAATTTATACTGTTAAAATGCCCATACTACTCAAAGCAATCTACAGACTCAATGCAATCCATATCATAATATCAATGACAATCTTCACAGAAATAGAAGAGACCATCTTAAAATTGGTATGGGACCAAAAAAGACCTCATCTATTCAAGGCAAACATGAACAAAAAGAAAAAAGTTGAAGAAATTACACTACTCAACTTCAAATAATATACAAAGCTATAATAACCAAACAGCATGGTAACAGCGTAAATATAGACATATAGGCCAATGACATACAAGAGAGCACAGAAATAAATGTATGCATTTACAGCCAACTCACTTTTAACAAAGGTGTCAATAATATACACTAGGGAAAGAATAGTCCCTTCAATAAATGGTGCTGTGAAAACTGGATATTTATATGCACGAGAATGAAACTAGACCCCTGTCTCTTATGATACACACACACACACACACACACACACACACACACACACACACAAATAAAATGAATTAAAGATTTGGATGTAAGACCTACAACTATAAAAATACTAGAACAAAATTTTGGGAAACGTTTCAGGATTCAGGACGTTAGTCTGGGCAAAGATTTTTGGGGTAAGATCTTAAAATCAGATGCAAGAAAAGCAAAACAGATAAATGGATTATATCAAGCTAAAATGCTTCTGGATAGCAAGGGAAACCACCAAAAAATAAGAGACATCCTATAGAATGGGAGAAAACATTTGCATACTATCCATGATGAGGGAATAATAACCAGAATATACAAGGAACTCAAACAATTCCACAGCAAAAAAAAAAAAAAAAAAAAAAAAAAAAATCCAATTTTAAAAATGGATGAAACATCTGAGCAAATATTTTTTAAAAGACAACATACAAGTGGCCCCCAGGTATACAAAAAAAGTCAACATCACTAATCATCAAGGAAAGGAAAATCAAAAGCACAATGAAATATCATCTCACCCTAGATAAAATGGCTGAAATAAAAATACAAAAAATGACAGATAATGGTCAAGATGCAGAGAAAGGGGAATTATTCTACACTGCTGGTGAGAATGTGAATAAATACTGCAATTATGGGAAAAGATTTAGTGATGCCTCAAAGAATTCAAAATAGAACTACCATGTGATCCAGCAATGCCATTGCTGGTTATATATAACGAAGAAATAAAATCAGTACATTTAAGAGATATCTGAACTTCCATGTTTATTGCAGCACTGTCAACAATAGCCAAGATATGGAATCAACCTAAGTGTCCATCAGTGGATGAATGGGTAAAGAACATATGGCATATATATATATATATATATATATATATATATATATATATATATATATATATATACAGGCACCAGCCATCACACCCGGCTAATTTTTTGTATTTTTAGTAGAGAGGAAATTTAACCATGTTAGTCAGGATGGTCTCGATCTCCTGACCTCGTGATCCACCTGCCTCGGCCTCCCAAAGTGCTGGGATTACAGGTGTGAGCCACCGCGCCCGGCCACTTTCTCACCAATAGTTTATTGGTTTATATAATAGTTTATATAATAGTATATATATATATATATATATATATATGCCATAGATATATGCCAGTGGATGAACGGGTAAAGAAGATATGGCAAATATATATATATATATTTGCCATATGTATATAGATATGCACACAGTGGAATATTATTCAGCCACAAAAAATGAAATCTTATTATTGCAACAATTTTATTGAGCCTGGAGAACATTGTGTTAAGTGAAGTAAGCCAGGAACAGGAAGCCAAATATCACATGGACTCTCTCATATGTGGAATCTTTAAAGAGTTGGTTTCAAGAAGATGATGAGTAGAATGGTGGTTGCTGGAAGCTGGGATGAGTAGAGGGTCACAGGAATAAACAGCTTTTGGTTAATGGTATAGAAATAAATGGTTGGATAGAAGAAACAGATTCTTGTGTTTGATAGCACAATATGGTGGCTATGGTTATCGATTGTTTACTGTATAATTCGAAATAGCTAGAAGAGACGTGAATCTTTTCAACACAAGAAATAATAAATATTTGCGGTGATGGATATCCCAGTTACCCTGATTTAATGATTAAATACTGTATACATGTAAGAAGATATCATATATACCTCATAAATATGTATAATTATTATATGTTAATTAAAATGTGGAAAATGTAGAGAAAAAATTCACAGTTGTGCTAGGTAAGTTAAGTGAAATGTGATGCCTATTTGGTAGGCAAATTATAAGGGTGAGAAAAGAGAAGAAATTAACGTGAATTGTCTATCACAATATTGATTGACTATTCAACTAAAACAGCACAACCTTTCACTAAAGAAATCCACAAAATACTCAGTTGTTCTGTTGCTTTTTCAATCACCATGTCTCCAAAATAGATTCAAATTGTTTGATGGCTTGATTAGTAATACATTATTTTCCTTTTCATCAATAAGGCCAATGTTAAAATTAGATACTTTAAATATTCTGTCTCTAAATCTCAACAGGACATAAAACTGATTTAGAACAAACAAGTATACTCAAAACCCATTTACTTTTAATATCTGTAGCTTTGAAAGTTTAGAGTTCTGACAGTACTAAAACGTGTTTAGAAATAGGTTACCTTGGTTACCAAAACAAGCAGCAAAATGGGCATATATCTATATGTGAATTAATTAGGTGTTCAATTCTTCAACTGGTTAAATTTTATATGCAATAATTTAGAGTAGAAATACTGAATTTAATTAGAAATATATTTTGTGACAGATTGCTTATTCATAGACTGAAACACTCAGCATTTTTATTCTACTATTTTAACAAAGTAAACAAAGTTTGAAAGTCTCAAAGAAAATTGTTGCCTTACTCCAAAATTAATTATTTTCAGTACAGTGCTTAGAAAAGTATAGAAAATAAAAGTAAAAGACTGCTGCCAAGGATCAATGAACATAAAAAAAGAAGAGGTTACTTATATGTTCAGTTTTTATGTTAACGACCATGTGTAAGTAAATGAAATACGAATCTAGCATGTCAATGTTTTTGTTGATGAAATTATGAATAGTAGTAAAAGGTAGAAGAGATTTTTAAAAATATAATTATGGAATGGAAATTCTTTCTAGTGTTATTTTACTTCTGCTTTATTTTTTCATTTTAACTGTGGCTTTTATTCCATAAAAATGTGTCATAAGGAAAAACAGCTATAGCTGCAACTATATGTTTTTATTCAAATAATAGAATTTATAAGTTTTAAAAATCACAGGACAGACATCCAGATTCACCTAAGTTAGAGTAAGCAATGACAACAACAACAACCACCACCACCAATGCAGAATACATAAAATACCTATAGTTTATGAAAAGTAAATAATTGTGGGAAAACTTGGAAAGGAAATAAATTCCAAGAACTAATGCAGTGGTACATTCACTCTTTTTCTACTTTTTTTTTTTTTTATTTTGTTTTGTTTTGTTTTTCTTGTTTTTTTCAACCCATATCTCCTGCAAGGCAGCCTGATCCCGGAACTGTGTAACTGCATAGCTGACACAGACAGAGGTGTTCCCAAGAAGAATAAAAAGCAGAAGCAAAACAAAGAAAACAAAAGGGATATAGTAAGTGGAAACTACACACCCCCCTCATCTCCATCTCTCTCTCTCTCTGTCTCTCACGACCTTCTGTCTCTGTCTTTCTGGTCCTATTTTCAGGCAAGCCCCACTGATAAAACTATATACTCCCATAGTAGCTACAGTGGTGGTAGAGGTGGAAGAAATAACGATGGTGGCAATCATGGCCATAGAGCATGGAGGTAACTTGAAATAAAATATTTATCTTGGACCAGAAGAAGTAAAAAAGGTTCCTTTTGTGGTTTGAACGTTATTATTTATTCTCTATTTTATCTCATTGCTCCACATAGAGTTATGCAGGGCAAGGAAATTTAAGAACAAGGAAAAGGGGACACTGGGAGCTGACGAGCGTTATCAAAATGATCATAAGGAGGAACCAACATGAAAAAGATTGAAAAGAGCCCGGGCGCGGTGGCTCACGCCTGTAATTCCAGCACTTTGAGAGGCTGAGGCGGGCGGATCATGAGGTCAGGAGATCGAGACCATCCTGGCTACCACGGTGAAACTCCGTCTCTACTAAAAATACAAAAGAAAAAAAAATAGCCAGGCGTGGTGGTGGGCACCTGTAGTCCCAGCTACTCGGGAGGCTGAGGCAGGAGAATGGCATGAACCCAGGAGGCGGAGCTTGCAGTGAGCCCAGATTGTGCCACTGCACTCCAGCCTGGGCGACAGAGCAAGACTCAGTCTCAAAAAAAAAAAAAAAAAAAGAAAAGAAAAAGAAAAAGAAAGAAAAACACTGAAAAGAGATTCTTGCACTGAGAAACTTGATTTCTCACTGAGATTAGGAAAAAGGTAAAGATCTCCACTCGGTATTGCTTTACAACATCATACTGGCAGTCCTAGCTAATGCAATGAGATAAGAAAGGAAAATAAAAGGTATAATGATTGGAAAGGAAGAAATAAAACTGTCTTTGTTCACAGATAATATAATCATCTAAGTAAAAAATTCAAAAGAATCAACAAAAATAACTCCTGGAAGTAATACATGACAGAAGTGGGTTGAAGAATGTCAAGAAGCCAAAATCTAGAAAACTGACATTAGCATCTAATGTCTGAAAACGATGTGTAGATGCAGGAACTCTTATTACTAGTAGGAAAGCAAAATGGCATAGTCACTTTAAAAGGTGGTTTAGTGGTTTCTTTCAAAAGTAGACCTACTCTCACCATATGACCCAACAATCATGCTTCTTGGTATTTACCCAAAGGAGTTGAAAACTTAAAACCCACACAAAAACTTGTACACCAACGATTATAGCAGCTTTATTCATAATTGCCAAAATTTGGAAGCAATCAAGATGTCCTTCAGCAAGTGAAGGGATAAGTAAACTATGGAAGATTCAGACAATGCAATATTATTCAGTGCTAAAAAGAAAAGAGCAATCAAGTCATGAAAAGACACGGGGGACAGGGGGCGGAGGGAGGAAGTTAAATCCATATTACTAAGTGAAAGAAACCAATCTGAAAAGGCTACATATAGTATGATTCTAATTATATGACACTCTGGAAAAGGCAAAACTGTGGAGACAGTAAAAATATCAGTGGTTGCAACAAATGTTGGGTGAGGGATAGATGAATAGGCAGAGCACAGAGGATTTTTATGGCAATGTAACTACTCTGTGTGATACTATAATGCGAATACATGTTATTACACATTTGCCCAAACCCACAGAACGTAAGATACCACTTGTTAACTCTAATGTTGACTACCGATATTGGGTAATATTGTGTCAATGTAGGTCCATCAATTGTAACAAATGTACCACTCTGTTGGGGGATGACGATAGGGGAGGCTATGCATGTAAGCAGGCTAGGTACATACGGAAAGTCTATTCTATGTACTTTCCTCTCAGTTTTGCTGTTAACCTAAAATTACTCTAAAAATGAAGTCCACTGAGAGAGAGAGAGTCAGCATTACTTTCCAAGCATCAGTGTGTGGCAATACACATGGAGTACTTTCAACCTGCTGAGCCTTGGTGTTCAGTGTTTTACTTTCGGCTGAATCACACAGGTACCGTTGACTGTCCACATAGGGGACGCAGTCTCAAGTTTCCAGCTCCTCTAGAGGTCTGCTGATACTGCATGATTAAAAGCCCCCACCCTAAATCACATTGTTAGGCTATCCAGTGTGACACAAGGCTCTCAGACAAAGACACTCTTATTGGGCATGCTATTCTAAGGGTTCAGAGACTAGCCCCAATAAGCCAAAAACAAAGGTCAGAACTCTCTTTGGGTAAGATTATGTTGTTTATGACCTAGGGAGTATAGGAATTATATGTAGAGCTAATTTGAAGATTAACAATTTCTTCCTGATCATTCCTTAGTATAATGCTTTATTCTTTCTGCTGACAGCAACCTCAAGCTACCCTTGTTGATAAAACCTCTAGATGGCAACCCAGTAAGAAAGGGGTAGAGGGGAGTCAAACAATTATGATTATATTTATAAAGTTTGGGCATGTGTAGAGGATTATATATATATATATATATATATATATATATATATATATATATGCATATATATGTGTGTGTGAGTGTGTGTGTGTGTGTATATATATATTTGTTTTGTTTTGTTTTTTTGGGTTTTTTTTTTTTTTTCGTTTTCTTGAGACGGAGTCTTGCTCAGTTGCCCAGGCTGGAGTGCAGTGGCGTGATCTTGGCTCATTTCAACCTCCACCTCCTGGGTTCAAGCGATTCTCCTGCCTCAGCCTCCCAAGTAGCTGGGACTACAGGCACATGCCACCATGCCCAGCTAATTTTTGTATTTTTAGCAGAGACGGGGTTTTACCATGTTGACCAGGGTGAACTTGAACAACTAACGTCAGGTGATCCACCCTCCTCAGCCTCCCAAAGTGCTGGGCTTACAGGCGTGGGCCACCACGCCCGGCCAAAATTTTGTTTCTTGAGACGAAGTCTCACTCTGTTGCCTAGGCTGGAGTGCAGTTCATGATCTCAGCTCACTGCAACCTCTGCCTTCTGGTTTCAAGTGATTCTCCTGCCTCAGCTTCCTGAGTAGCTGGGATTACGGGCGCCACCACCCCCGGCTAATTTTTTTTTTTTTTTTTTTTTTTTGAAACGGAGTATCGCTCTGTCGCCCAGGCTGGAGTGCAGTGGTGCGATCTCGGCTCACTGCAAGCTCCAACTCCTGGGTTCATGCCATTCTCCTGCCTCAGCCTCCCAAGTAGCTAGAACTACAGGCACCCGCCACCATGCCCAGCTATTTTTTTTTTTTTAAGTAGAGATGGGGTTCCACCATGTTAGCCAGAATGGTCTCGACTGACCTCGTGATCAGCCCACCTCTGCTTCCCAAAGTGCTGGAATTACAGGAGTGAGCCACTAGAATGGCACACCAAAAATCTGAGGCTTTAAAGGAGGACAATACCTTGGTTCCTGGGATGGGAACACATTAGATTCCAGGAGGTACAGAGAAGAGAAAGAAAAATAATAATCTTTGCCTTTCAGAGCTATTTATGACTGAGGACTCACTTATTTACTTGGGGAACACAACAATTGTGAACATTTTCTTTCCAGGAATACCATTTGCGTTCTGGGTATTGTACTTCTTGTGTGAAAGCCCAGCATTAACTTGCCTCTCTTGAAAATATGGTGAATTGCACCTCGGGGATGGTCATAAGAAACCTTACATGTTTAAGAAAACACCTACTCAACCCTTAAAATCATTCAAATTGGATTCAGTTACTGGCCAGCATTGTTGAAAATAACGGAAATGCTCTAAGTCCCTTTTTAAGGGGCAAAGCGGAGTCTGTAAACATTAGAACATTCTGTCCTACCTGGATAAATGCCATGGACAAAATGCAAAAGCTCATACAAAAAGTTAAAGTGAAAGCCCCCAGTATTCTAATTACTTACTGTTTAGGGGATGAGAGTTGGGACACTGGGAGAATGGCTAAAGTCAATACTGCAGGTTGGCCTCATTCCTCTGCCTTCAGTCCTACTGATAGTAGCTTCAATTTAATACTGTATAAGATGAATTGAATAAATTTGTTCACATCCCTATTTGGTTAGAATAATTTAAAAAACTGTCAGAAGGTCATATTTATAGGAAAATTTGCCAGAAGCTAAGATGTAGAAAAAATGTAAATACTGTTGGGAGACAATTTACCATTATTTCTTGCATTTCTGCATGACTTGTATCACCTTTTGTCCCAGAATCTCTTCTCAAGGTTGTTTGTATAACACACAGACTGAGAAGACAGACATAGCGTCCACAATCTTTATCCCCTCCGGAGCTAAGACGGGACAGATTTACTAGCAAAACCCTTATAAGATTGTCAGTTTAATAAACTCAAGTTTCCTTATCTGTGGAGCAAACCGACTGCCTCTGGAGCAATCCCACTGCCTTTGGAGCATCTATCTGGGCCTGCCTCTGCCTTATCCCCAGGGAACTTTAGGGACAAGGTAAACAGAAGCAAATCTGAAACTCATGCTGCCTGTTGAGTTCGGTGCAATCCAGTCCATTTTCCCTGTCCCACATATCCATGTCTTTTGCCAGCAAATATGAAAATGTAACAGGTTAAAATATCTAGCCTACCAATAGAATAAAATCTCAAATCCTTTGCTTTTGCTATTAAAGGGAAGAACACAACGGGAGGACTCATGTTACCTGATTTTAAGATTTATTATAAAGATACAGATAAAGTAAGGACTTGCTATAAAGACAGTATGATAATGGTGAAAGTTTAGACATACAGATCAATGGAGTGGAAAATAGAATCCAAAAATAGAGCCACATATATACGGGTAATTTATTTATTTATTTATTTTTTATTTTATTTTATGACAGAGTCTTGCTCTGTCGCCCAGGCTGGAGTGCAGTGGAGTGATCTGGGCCCACTGCAACCTCTGCCTCCCCTGTTCAAGTGATTCTCCTGCCTCAGCCTCCCGAGTAGCTGGGTGTGTGACATGGCATCCAGCTAATTTTTGTATTTTTGGTAGAGATAGGGTTTCACCATGTTGGCCAGACTGGTCTTGAACTCCTGACCTCAGGTGATCCACCCGCCTTGGCCTCCCAAAGTGCTGGAATTACAGGAGTGAGCCACCACCCAGCTGGGTAATTTATTTTTAACTTTCAACTTTGAAATGATTTTAGATTTAAAAATCACATAGATTATAACAAGTAAGTAGTACAGAGAGACCTTGTGTATCTTTTATCCAGTTATCTCTAATGGTAACATCATATAAAATTGTGATACAGTATCACAACCAGAATATTAACATTGACACAATCAAAATATGGAATGTTTCTACCACCCAAGCACTCCTCATGTTGCCCTTTTGTAGCAACACCTACTTCCCTTGCATCCTCACCCTGTCACCTTAACCATTAGTGACTACTATTCATTTCTCTACCTGTTAAATTTTGTCATTTTACAAAGTTATACAAATAGAATAATTGGATGTAAACATTTAGGATTCTTTCTTTTCACTCAGCATAATTCTCTGGAAATTTATCTAGGTTGCTAATTTTATTAGTAGTTTCTTCCTTTTTATTGCTAAGTGCTATTTTGTATCTGGATGTACCACTGGTAGGTTAGCCATTCACATTTGGTACATTGTAATTGCTTCCATTTTTGGCCATGATAAATGTTGTAAACATTCATGTAAAGGTTTTTGTATGAAAATAAATTTTGGGTTTTTTCGTTTGTTTGTAGTTTTTCTGGGATAAATTCTCAAGAGCAAAATCATTGGTCGTACGATAGTTGCCATGTTTAATTTTGTAAAAAGTACCAAACTTTTCCAAAGTGGCCATGTAATTTTATATTCCTAACAGCAATGATTTAGTAATCCAGTTTCTCTGAATCATCTCCAGCAATTGGTGTTGGTATATATTTTTAATTTTTAAATTTAGCCATTCTGATAGATGTATCATGATATCTCATTGTGGTTGTAATTTACAGTTTCCTAACGGCTAATGATGTTAAACATCTTTTCGTATGCTCGTTTGCCATCTGTATAATCTTTTTGGTGAAATGTCTGTTCCTTCCCATTTCTAGTCCAATTGCTGGTTCTTTTCAAAAAATGTTTATTTTGGAGAGTTCTTTATATATTCTACGTGTAGTTTTTGTTGAATATGTAATTTTCAAATATTTTTTCGCAGTTTGCAGCTTGTCTTATCATTACCTTAATAGAGCCTTTCACATGACAAAAAAAATTAATTTTGATCAGGTACAACTTATAAATTTTGTATCTATGGGTTCTGATTTTGATGTCAAGTATAACTCTTTGATCATGCCTAGAGTCCAAAGATTTGCCCATGGTTTCATTATTTTTTTTGTAAAAATTAAGAAGGTAAGTCTTTCACAGAGCAAAGTTTTTAATTTTGATGAAGCTCAAATTATGGATATTTCCTTCACTGTTGTTGTCAGATCTAAAGAACTTTTGCTTAGCATAATGCCTGTCAGACATTTTCCCAAGATTTATTTTTCCAAATGTTTTGTAACTTTACAGTTAACATGTAAGTTTATAATCCGTTTTTGAATTAATTTTTTTATTAGGTGTAATGTTTAGGTTGAGAGATTGTTTTTGTTTGCTTTTTCTATGATTGTTCAATTGCTTTAAAAACATTTGTTAAGAGTTTTTTCTTTCTGGGTTTTCTATTCTGTTCCATTAAATTGTGCCTATCTTTCCCACAGTATTACACAGTCTTGATTCCTGTAGCTACATAATAAGTTTTGAAATTGGATAGACTCATTCTTCACGTCTTTTTCAAATTCTTTTACTTTCTTGAACTTTTCATATATATTTTAGAATAATTTCATCTTTATGCACATAAAAACGTTGTAGAAATTTATATATAAATCATGTTAAACCCAGGTACTAATTTGGAGACAACTGACATATTTACGCTTTTGAGTTTTCCAATTCATAAACAAGGTATCCCTTTTATCTAAATCTTCTCTGATTTCCTTCATTGTTGTTGCATATATTTTGGCATACAGACACTACACATATTCTGTTAGTTTTACACATATATTTCATTGTCTTTGAAGTAATTGTAATCATAATTGTAAATGCAAATTATAATACTGGATTATTAATTTTATTGTCTGTTTCATCATTGACAGTATATAGACGTACAGTTGATTTTTTATGTTTTATCTTTCAATTTTTGAACTTACCTGACATTTCTAGGTTTTCTTTTTTTTTAGAGATGTCTTATTATTGTCTCCATAGACTATCATGTAATCTACAGATAGAGACTTTTGTTTCTGTCTTTCTGATCTGTCTTTTTTTTTTTTTTTTTTTTTGAGACAGTCTCACTCTGTTGCCCAGGCTGGAGTGCAGTGGCACAATCTCGGCTCACTGCACTGTGTGTCTTTTATTTGCTCTTCTTGCTATATTGCACTGGCAAAACTTCCAGCACTATTTTGAATAAGAGTGGACAGCTTGCTTTGAATAAGAGAATGGACATGCTTTCTTTGTTCCTCATCTTTGAGCAAGTGCTCCTCTATTCCTATTTTTTGAGATTCTGTCATGAATATGTGTTGAATTTTGTTGAATGCTTTTTCTTCATTAATTGATATGATCATCTGATTTTCTTTAGCTTGTTAATTTGGTAGATTAAATTAATAGCTTTGCAAATATTGGAAGTCTTACATTTCTAAAATAACTCACTTCTTCATGGTGTATAATTCTATTTATATAATGTTGATTTCTATTTGCTAATGTTACAAAAATTTTCTTCCATATTTATGAGGAATATTAGCCTGGGATTTTTGTTTTGTTTACTTTTTGAACTATGTTTATAAAATATTTAAATTATGTATTTCATATTTAGTGAGTTCCAGTAGTTTGGTTTTATGGGTAACTGGTCCAGTTCATCTAAAATGTCAAATTTATGTTTGTAGAGTTTTTCATAATATTCTTTTTTTATCCTTGTCATATCTGCAGGGTTTCTAGTGACATGCCCTATTTCATTTCTAATATTAACAATCTGTGTTTTCTCTTCCTTTATTAGTCTTACTAAAATTCTATCAGTTTTTTTATTGTTTTCAAATTACCAGCTGTTTGTATTACTGAGTTTCTCTATTGTTTTTCTGTCTTCAATCTCATTGATTTTTGCTTTTATGTTTATTATTTCTTTCATTCAGCTAGCTTTGGATTTATTTTCTTTTTCTAGATTCTTGAGGTGGTAATTGAGAGTAGTTATTTGAGGTGTCTTCTTTCTAACACACAAATTTAGTGTTACAAGTTGACCACTCGTTAGTGTTTTAGCTATGTTCTGCAACTATTAATATGTTACATTTTCATTTTTATTCACTTAAATGTGTTTCTTGATTCCTCTTTGACTCATAAATTTTCTACAAATGCGTTTTTTTCTGATTCTTCAGAATGAAGAAAAAAATTGTTATTTATTTCTAGTTTGGTTACATTTTATGTTGAGAAGAGATTCATAATTGTAATTATTTAAATCGGTTGAAATTATTTTGTTGCAGTCTAAAACACGACATATCATAGTAGGTACCTCAGAAATGGAGCCTGTAGATGTCCTGAGTCACTCTAGAATAAGGTAACATGTAGAGAGAAGCAGAAAGTATTTACATATCATTTTATAATGGTTAAAGAGTCAATACACCAAGATTATATATCGATTCTAAATGTGTATGCACCAAACAACAGAGAGGTAACATATGTAAATCAAAATTGATAAAACTGAAGTGGAAGCATATTTAAAATTGTAGTTGAAAATTTCAACACCCCTTTGTCAACAGTTAATAGAAGAACTAGACATAAAATCAGCAAGGGGTATATTAGTCACACACACACACACACACACACACACACACACACGGATAGATATGGAGACAGATGCTGAGACAAAGAGATAGACAAAGGCAGAGACACAGACAAAGAGAGACAGAAATAGAAAGACAGGAATTGGCTCGTGCAATTGCAGAAGCTTGGAGATTCTAAAATCTGAAAATCTGATAGCATTGGCCTGCAGCCTGGAGACTCCTGGAAGAGCTGCCCTGGAAGTCAAAGCAGTTTCCTGGAAGAATCCCTTCTTGCTTGTGGGAGGTCAGTCTTTGTTCTAATAAGGCCTTCAACTGATTGAATGAAGCCCACACATTATGGAGGGCACTCTGTTTTACTCAAACTCTGCCAATTTAAATGTTAATCTTATCCAAAAACACTACCATAGAACCATCCAGGATAATGTTTACTAAATATCTGGGCACTGTGGCTCAGCCAGGTTGACAATAAAATTAACCATTCCAAAGAGTATATAAAACTAATCATATATTTGTCTATGTTCTTTTAACTTATTATCTCCAAATTAGTTCAAATTGCAGGTTTCCTTTATGTAGTAATTCAAAATTACAGTTTATATATATCTTCTAACCTCCATGAAATTTAGGTAATGAAATTTAAGCAGAACATATAAACCTTACTACTCTTTACAGTCCTTTATTCTCTCTGCTTATAATTTAATAGACTTAAATATTTTCTGTACATATATTTAAACTGTATCAGTTAGTATTATAATTTTTGCTTTAACCATCAACCCTAATTTAAAAAACTTAAAAAGTGTAAGAAAACTTACTGTATTTTTTCCTAATTTTTGCTTACCATGTATTTTGTTCTAATCTGATGTCATATCATTCCTTCTCTCAGTGTTTCTTTTCTACTTAGAGAATTTCTGTTAGTCATTCTTTAGGGTAAATCTGCTGATGACAAATTCTTTCTTTTTCTTCTTCTGAGAATGTTTTTACTTCTCTTTATTCTCAAAGGATATTTTCCCTAGATGTAGGATTGTGGATTGATAATTCTTTTCTTTCATCATCAAAACGAGTGTGCTGCTTTCTTCTGGCCTCCATGACTTCTGTGAAAAACCTGTCATTCAGATAATTTTTTCCCCAAAGTATGATGTTACTTTTTTTCTGGCTGCTTTCAAGATTGTTTTCTTTTTCTTTGTCTTTAGTTGTAAGAAGTGCGATTAAGATGATTTTGGCATAGATGTCTTTGTGTTTAACGTTTTTGAAGTTCTTTCATTTTCCTCAAGCTGTAAGTTTATGTCTCAACAGATTTTTTGGAGTTCTCAGCCATTATATCTTCAAGTAATTTTTCAGCTTCCATTTCTTTCTTCTTTACTTTTGAAATTCTGATAACATGAATATTAGATCTTTTGTGATAAACAGGTCTGTAATGCTCTGCTTATTTTTTTCAGTCTAACTTTTATTTATAATGTGTATTTTTAATTGTCCTCTTTCAATTCATTAATTCTTTCCTTTTTCCATACATCTTAGCAATATTGTGCCCCTTCACTGAGATTTTATTTTAGATATTGTATACTATTGCAGTTATAAATTTTCCATTTTATTCTCCTTTTTTGTTGTTGTTGTTGTTGAGAAATTCTATTTCTTTGTTAAGCCTTTATCTTTTTTCATTTTGTTTCAAGTATGTTCAAAATTGTTCATTGAAGCATTTTTACCATCACTGATTTAAAATGCTAGTTGGGTAATTCTGGTGTTTGTGTCATCTCAGTGTTGGCATCTGTTATCTTTTTTTTAAATTTAGTTTGAAATCTTCCTGGTTCTTGGTATGGTAAATGATTTGCTATTAAATCATGAATATTTTCATATTATGTTATGATATTTTCAATCTTATTTAAATATTCTGTTTTAATTGGCTTCCTCTGACAGTGCTGTGGCAGGAGAAGAATGGATGGCTCGTTCCTTCCAGGTGGCCTCCTTTGACACTTGAGAGGGAGCTCTTTATTACTGATAGCCTGGGATGGAAGTGTCAGCTCCTCACATGGTCTTCACTAACACTGTGGTTGGAGTGGCTTTGTTACAACTTGTTACCAGATGATTTTGAAAGTCCTAGTTATCCACTAGGACTTCTCTGAGATAGCCAGCACAGAGCGGCAAGGATGCCTTATTACTGCTAGATGAGGGTAGGTGTCTAAGCTACCCATGTGATCTCCAGTGAACGGCAGCATAGGGGGAGGGAGGTCCTGTTATATTAGCTGGTGATGATGAAAGTCCTGGCTCCCTATTTGGCCTTTTCTGGCATTACCCCTGCCATGGTATTGTAGCAGGATGAGCCGCAGACAAAACCTCTCAGACACCGAGCTATGGAAGGAAGGGCTTTATTTAGCTGGGAGCATCGGCAAGCTACTGCCTTAAAATACGAGCTCCCCAAATGCACAATTTCTGTCCCTTTTAAGGGCTCACAACACTAAAGATTTCACATGAAACGGTAGTGATTGATTTGATCAAGCAAGGAGTACGTGACAGGTGCTGCATGCACCGGTGGTCAGAGAGAAACAGAACAGGGCAGGGAGTTTCACAATGTTCTTCTATACAATGTCTGGAATCTATGAATAACATCGCTTTCTAAGTCATGGGTTGATTTTTAACTACTAGGTTTAGGCCAGGCAGGCCCAGGTCTGGTTTTGGGCCTAGCGCCTGGCTGCCTGTCTTTGATTTCACTTCCTTGTTTTTTTTTTCTTAAAACAGGTACTGAGTATAAAGCAATATGAGAGGGTCTCTCTCTTCTCTCAGTATTGTGGAGCTTCATTACTGTCTTATGAGAGTGGACTTCTAGTATTCTCACTTAGCCTTTTCCTGTGTGTATGGAACAAAGACTACTATTTTTCTATAGTGTTTGGCTATAGAGTAACATTATTATTCAAAAGTTTCCTGTTTTTCCAGGATACCCCTAGGATGGTCATTTGGCAAGTGAGAGCAATCTTTTTTATTTTTTCTTTTTTAATCTGTGTGGCAATTTATTTTTAGAAAGCTTCAAATATACTTCACTGGGGAAAAGCTGGTCATTTAATAAAATTGTACTGGAATAATTATTTTTTATATATAACCATATGTAAAAAAAAATCCATGCACACTTAAATGTGAAATGTAAAACTACAAAACTTCTATATGAATGCCTAAGATAATGTATTTGTAAACATGGGTTACTCAACAGATTCTTAGATAGAGCAGAAAAAGGAAAAACCATATGAGATAAAGAAATAGACCATACAAATTTAAAACTTTGCCCTATAATAATATTACTAAGGGAATGAACAGACAAGCTGCAAATCAGAAGAATATATTTGAAACCATTTACGTAACAAATAATCTATGTCCAGAATATATAAAAACTTTCAAAACTAAACAAGAATGCAAACAAAACAACTAAAAAAAATGAACAAACGATTTGAATAAACACTTTATCAAAAAATGTATACAGTTGGAAAATAAACTGCATACATTTATTACATTTAAATAATGATTCTTAAGATAATTAGTCATTAGGAATATGCAAATTAAAATCACAGTGCCACACTAAAAAAATTAAAAAATAAATTAAACTGACATTAATGAGTGTCAGCTGGAATGTAGATTAATATGAAACTCCCTACATTGTTGGTAGGGATAGAAGGTGATGGAAAACTGTTGGCAGTTTCTGAATTGTTACACATACACTTACATGACCAGCAATTCCACTCCTATGTATTTAAAAATATTCGCCAAAAAATTTTGTTCACAAAAAAATCTGGTCATAGATGTTTATAACATTTTTGTTTGTAATAACTCAAAAGTGAAAACATGCCAAATGTTCTTTAACAGGTAAATGAAAAAACAAATTATGTAACATCCATACAATGAAATACCAGTCAGCAATGTAACAAAATGAACTGACACACACAGCATGAATAAATCTCAGATCCACTATGCTGTGTGAAATAAGCCAGGCTCAAGCTCATAGGTATTATATGTTTCCATTTCTGTGACATTCATCAAAAGACAAAAGTATGACAGTGGATAATAAATGAGTGATTTGGAATAAGTGTAAATGACTACAGAGACAGCATGGAACTTTTATACAGGGCAGTTAAGGAAGTGTTCTATGTCTTAATTTGGTCTGTGGTTTTTGAATACTGTGCTGTCAAAACTTACAGAGTGTATAACAAGATTGAATTGTACAGAATAAAAAATACATAGGTAAAATAATAATACAGAAAGCCAAATATGATATTTTGCTTTTACTTGGCATTCATCGAGATGAATGACAATACTATAAGCTAACTGTCTATTTTAAAAAAATACCTTATAACTTCATGAGTATAGATACATAATTTTTCATTGTAATTATAGGTACAATTAAATATTTACTATTATATTATTCATTCTGGGATCAACATTCTAGACTTAAATCTATCTAAGAAGTAAAAAATGCTTTCTAGAATGATGTTTAAAATTCCTTTTTCTTTTATGAAAATTACAATTTAAAATAATTTTATCCTTGCCCTCATATTCTCATATGGCAGCCAGTATGAGCCTTTGAATGTATAAGTTATACACTGTCACTCCTTTGCTTAAATCTTTGTAATGTCTGCTTGCCTTATTTCAAGTAATGACAAAGGCCTTAAAATATTCTCTAAGGATCCTTATGACTTGGCTACTTTATTTCTTGCTATTAATTCCCCCTACCCCCTGCATACTTCTCCCATTCCTCTGCAGCTACACCCATCTTCTTTGAGAGTATCAACCACAATACGCATGCTCCTTACTTAAATCCTTCGTGAAATCTGAATAATCTTCCATTTCCTGATGGATATGCCTCCTTTGAGCTCTTACCAAATGTCAGCTTCTTAGAGAAGTCTCATTTAAATAACATTGCTACAGACACAGCCACCCATTTGCCCTGATCTACTAGTATTGTTTCACTTATCACCTACCCTTTTCTTACAGAGTATATAATATGCTTTCTTCATTTTATTCATTGATTATTGCCTCTCCCCTAAAATTTAATTTCTTTGAGAGCAGGAAACTTGTCTATTTTGTTCTCTGATGTATGCAAAACACCTAGAAAGTGCCTTGAATATAGTAAGTGTTCAACACTCAATTGTTAAGCAAATGAAAGACAGTAAATGGACCCATATAGTTGTACAATTGCAACACTTACCTCTATGGGTGTGTTTGTGTGGTTGAGAATAGCAATTTCTTTAATGATAAATAAACATGATAAAACATATATTTCATGAAATTCTAAGGAAAAGTCCCTCCTTAACTAGAGATTTCGTACTAGTTTATGATAAGATCAGCATCCTGTGACCTAAGAGTTCTCTCTAACTTGAAGGTAAAGCAAGGATAAATCTAGAGAGCTGTTCCAGATGTGGATTTGTAAATTATGCCTATAAAGCTTCGATGCCAAGGAACACGTTGAGCTCTGGAAAACTTTTTATGATTTTTACAAAAGTGAGATCATTTGGCTCTTACTTTAATACTCTTTAAGGAGTAAAAACAATAGTAAAAGGATTTTAAAAATTTGTGTTTGAGGTCCATGACGCCATAGCTAAAATTTTATTTATAAATACCCGGGCTGATAATGTAAAATACTCTCCTCGTGGTTCCACATATAGTAAACTTTTATGTCCATAAAGAAGAAAATTCTCACTCCTGGATCTTTTGACTTGGAGGATCCATAAGATAACTGAGAAAATAAGCCAGCTAAATCTTTTGCAGTGTGCAGCAAGAGCTGAAATAGAAATAAAAGGGCTTGAAGGCAATTGGGTTTTTTTGAGTTTCAAAGCAATGGAAACTCAAGAACAGGGAGGTTGTTTCTGCATTTAGGGAGAGTGAAAACGAAAACAGTCATTGCCTACATTGTAATATATCCCCAATGCTGACAGAAGTTGAATGTTTCCCAATGATACTTCTTGTTCAGAAACACCTGCTTCAGAAAGTTAATTCAGCAAACCTATTCATATTCGGGAGGAATGCAAAGCTGTTATTCTTCTCACTCATGTACCTGTTTCAGAACATGATAGCAAAATGAACCTTTAAAATATCGAACAGTATTGCTAATACAATGTGCAGATTTAGGGGTATTCATGGATTATAGGATTTTGTGGAAAGTATATTAATATCAAATAATTTCATTTTTTATTTCATTTTATTTTGAGTCAGTCTTGCTGTGTTGCTCAGGCTGGCATGCAATGACATGATCTCGGCTCACTGCAACCTCCACCTCTCGGGTTCAAGCAATTCACCAGCCTCAGCCTCCTGAGTAGCTGGGACCACAGGCACCCACCACCACACCCAGCTAATTTTTGTATTTTTGGTAGAGGTGGGGTTTCACCATTTTGGCCAGGGTGGTCTCGAACTCCTGACCTCAAGTGATCCACCCACCTCGGCCCCCCAAAGTGTTGGGGTTACAGGCGTGAGCCACCATTCCTGGACTGAACTGCCACGCCTGGTCACGTCAGATAATTTTAGATTTAGACTAGAAACACAACCAAATGAAATGGTGGTATAAAATATATGCACTTAAGAATTTGGTAGATGTCCTACTTAATGTTGCCGCTTAATTTTACACATTTTAAAAGAGTATAGAAGTTTTTTCATTGCTTTGTGTTTGCAAATTAATGCTTGTAAGGTAAGCAAAGCCAATGATTTACTGATTTACAAATGTTTGAGTATGTAGTTTGTGTGTGTGTGTGTGTGTGTGTGTGTGTGTGTCTACACATTTGCTTATTTAATATTTTGCAATAAGGTTATAGCTTGTATGAGATGCTAAAATAGAAACAGTAATAATACAGTGGAATGAGAATTAAGGAATTAGAACACTGAATTTAGGTAAAGGGAAATCAAAGTAATTTACAGCTGAATATTTCCTGTCCACAAGTAATTATTTTTTTCATAGTTTGGCAGGACTTACAATGTAGACAAGTGATTCATAAAGCAGAAATTGGTCGTGCTATGAAAATTGGCATAACTCCTGCTAAGACACTCCAGGAACAATGATTTGAAAGGGGAGCTGATCTATTGCTTTGTGAAAATTCATGTTGTTTTGCAGGAATCTAATAGATAAATGCAAACTTGAAAATAGCTCCCTTTTGACAACATCTCCACCTTGGATATTGCAATAGCACTGAAATGAATAGAATTTGTCTGAATATGTGTTAATTGGGTTTGCCACCACACACTGTTCATCCTTATAGAGGTGTAGTGTCTACCAGGATTATCAACTTTTAACAAACACTTGATGTATTGATTTTGTGCTTTAGTTTCTCACTTTAACCCCACTATGCGTCAGCATGACGGTTTTCTTTTATTATTATATTTGTTATTGTTATAGACTCTGACATGAAGCTAGAAATGACTCTAGAAATGTAATATGATTAAAATGAGCATATATCATTTATCATTTTCTTAACATCTTTCTCTGTTAATAAGAAAAAACTTGAAAGCAAAATAATCCACTGGATAGGTTTTCATACTCATTTATTGGTATAGGAGAGTAATGAAAATTTATAAATTCTCATAAATAAAGTGTTCAAGAATCCACTATTGTCACAGTTAAAAAGACAATGATAAATCTAAGTTGGTATAAAATTATATAAATTAATTAAATAGAATAAGATAGATATAGTTACTGCATCTTTTGTTTTCTCTTGTTCAAGATGAATGACTTTACTAGGAGGAGAAGGTTTGAAAATACAGTTGACTCTTTATAAATAAATGGTGAATAATTATGACTTGAGTTTTTCCAAAAGCAGAACCTTAGAAAAATAATTGTGTGCAGATAGTTTACTTGAGAACCGATTTCAAGAAGCATAGCAATGGAGGGGGGAGAGAGAGAGAGACAAGTTAGGAGGAGTCTCAACATAAGGATGCTCTGGAGTTGCTGCCATGGGGTGTTCTAAGACAAATACAGAAATCCTCTCAGTACGGTCTTTCTCAATAACTAAAGCTGGAGAATTTTTCCATTAGCTCTGATGGACATATTATACCCTTCCTGCTCCTCTTAATGTTCCTGCACTTCCAAATTGTGTTTGTGTGTTACTGGGAAAATTACAGGCAAAAATCAGAAAAAGACATGGCATAGGATCAAGACAGTATGCATGTGGTATGAGGTGACTGTGAGCCAGACTGGAACCTTGCATTGTAATTGCAGCTAAAATAAGAAAGAGAACCATGGTTGTACACTTAGCCTCTTACCGAGGGACATGCAGCTAATTCTGCTCAATTGAAAGTAAGCAAAAATAGTTTGAACCACTTTTAGTCCAGGGCTCTCAACAGAGTGGGTGTGTCTTTTTCATACGCTGTTTCTCTTTCCTGGCAGCTGTAACCTGGATGATGAAAAGAATCTATGGAATGGTGGAGCCATATCAAAGAAAGAACTTGGGTCCCTTATTAAACTCCCAGAGCAGAGAGCTTCCTTAAAGGGAGCTCTCTTTGGAATTGTTACATAAGAAAGAAATGAGCTTTGGTTGTTTTGGGAACAACATTTTGAATTTCTTTTCAGGATGACTTATTATGTCATTATCTCAGTACAGCAATGTAAGTTTTTTTTTTTCTTTAATGAAGACTATCATTATTAGTGCATATTTAGTTTTTGCCAAGTGGGTACACATTTTACATGCAGTTACTCATTAATCCTTAGAAATAATTAATGAAGGAGTTATTATCATCTTTATTTTATAAATGTGAGAATTGAGGTCCCAATATTATAAGAAATGTGCCTGCTTTCACAAAGGTTTACTCCAGACAATCCTTAAACCAAAGACCTTTCTCCTCACAGAAAGTTTACAGAATTTTTCTTTTCTGTAAGACAATACTACATTTTAAATCAAAGTTGAGCTCCTCTCTTGGTTTATTTTTCTAGATTCTGCATCAGTCTTCCTCCATCATGAATATCCATCTGGTAGCAGTGGAAGGTATTCGAGTTACATGGCACCAAAATATGTTACCAGCAGGTCTGCAGCAACCTCATTCTTGCCTCCTCAGAAGAAAGAATTTGAAGGACATAAGGGAGAAGGAGAGACCAAGGCAAGTTTTAGAGCAGCAGTGAGTGAAAGTTTATTAAAAAGCTTTACAGCAGGAATGAAAGGAAGGAAAGTACACCTGGAAGAGGGCCAAGTGGCCAACTTGAGAGATCAAGTGCGCAGTTTGACTTTTTGACTTGGGGTTTTATATGTTGGCATGCTTCCGGGGTCTTGCACTACTTTTTCCCTGATTGTGCAGTGCTTGGGGAGCGCTTCCTGCATGTGCAGTGCCTGCCTAGCACTTGAGAGGGGAGGATGCACAGTGTGCCTGCTGGAGTTGTACTCTTGCTTACCTGAGGAGTTCTTCCCTCACCAGCTGGATGTCCCCAGGAGGTCACACACCAGTTAAACTCTGCCGTTCTGCCTCTTGCTCAACTGCTCAACTGCTGAGATCTTATTGGGAAGCTGCTGATCAACACTTTCTGTTTTTTTTTTCTATCTACAGGGAGACTGCCTTTCTCTGGCACTGACTGTGACCAATGATTATTTTAGAGAAACAGTTAACAACTGCCTGACCATCAACTGATGGTCGTCTGACATTCCAGGTGGTGCGGGAAGCCCTCTCCTGCCCTGCTCATGCCTTACTAGCTACCTACTGTAACACACCTTGTCTTTAAGTAAATGTGTCTGTTGTCCCTATGCTTTGTAAAACTTACCCTCACAAACCCAAAGTTGACTTGTAAAGCCTATATCTATCTTTGTCTTCTTGTTTTCTTTAGAATTTAGATCAAAACTTATCTATTAGGGAGGCTATTTCCACAGATTAGTGTGGTCCCATAAAATTTATTTTCACTCCATTAATTAAGGTTAGAGAGCAGCACTGTGTGGTGTTTAAGAACTGGTTTTGAATCAAATTGCTTGTTTGAATCTTGACTCTACTACTTACCATCAGTACCAAAGGCTTGGAATAATTTATGACACATAATAAGTGTTCATTATATGTGTGTTTGAATGATGATTTTTAACACCATGCATAGAAATTTGAACTATTGTAACTGCCTAAGGGGTTCTTCCTGCCCACTGCATAAAAAGAGACCACAGTATCTTAGTAAAGAAAGAGTTTTATAGACACTAGGCCAGCCACGCCATATGGGAGATTGGCGTTGGTACTCAAATCATCTCATGCAAAGCTTATAGGTTAGAGGATTTTTAAAGGCAGTTTGGGGGAAGGGGTGGCAGTGGCTAGCTGTTTGTTGCTGATTGGTTGGGTTGGAGATACAATCATAGGAGACGGGAGCTGTCTTCCTGTGAGCTGAATCTCTTCTGGGTGGGGACATAGGAGCTAAGTTGGAGGGTCCAGGTGGGGCCTTCAAGGTGGAGCCATGGCAGACATGCAAAAACCTGAAAAGATTTCCCAGGAGTAATTGGGGAAGCAGCATATCTTATAACCTTCCAGAATAATGCCTGACAATTGTCTATGTCTGCGCCTTAGCAGCACTCCGTTTCCTCTCCTCTCCCCAGCCTGATGCCCTCCTATTAGCTTTACAAAAGCTATTGAGTTTTGGGCAAGGCCTATTATCATTTAAACTATAGCCTGAATGACTTCCAAAGTTAGCTTGGCCCAGTAGCCTAGGATTAATTAAGGGAAAGGCAAAATGGTGGTTGTGCTAGCTTAGCTTACTAATATAATTTTTCTCACTAATATATTTTTTGCAAAGTCGATTTCACTGTAAACAAGGCCTACACAGGTCTATTGGTTTCTAGTCAAATACAGTATTAAGAAGTTACTGTTAATCAAGCACTGTGTCTATTACTAGAGAAAAAACACATCACCACCACCACCACCACCCCCACCAAGTCCCCTGGCACTGACTTTTTGTTTTTTGTTTACATGTAGGTAGGAAATTTTGTTTTGTTTTGTTTTTTTGACAGTGTCTAACTCTTGTCTCCCAGGCTGGAGTGCAGTGGCATAATCTCCGCTCACTGCAACCTCCGTCTCTCACGTTCAAGCGATTCTCCTGCCTCAGCCTCCCAAGTAGCTGGGATTACAGGTGCCTGCCACCACGCCCAGCTAAATTTTGTATTTTTTCAAGTAGAGACAGGGTTTTACCATGTTGGCCAGGCTGGTCTGAAATTCCTGATCTCAAGTTGTAGCAGAACGAGCCGCAGACAAAACCCCTCAGACACTGAGTTAAAGAAGGAAGGGCTTTATTCGGCCAGGTGCATCAGCAAGACTCACATCTCAAAAACCGAGCTCCCCAAGTGAGCAATTCCTGTCCCTGTTAAGAGCTTACAATTCTAAGGGGGTCCACGTGAGAGGGTTGTGATCGATTGAGCAAGCAGGGGGTATGTGACTGGGGGTTTCATGCACCAGTAATCAGAACAGAACAGAACAGGACAGGGATTTTCACAGTGCTTTTCCATACAATGTCTGGAATCTACAGATAACATAACCGGTTAGGTCAGGGGTGGATCTTTAACTACCAGGCCTGGAATGCAGCACTGGGCTGTCTGACTACTGATTTCACTTCTGTCTTTTCTTTAACTCCTACCTTTTCTTTGAGGCAGAAATTGGGCGTAAGACAATATGAGGGGTGGTCTCCTCCCTTAAAGTGATCCATCTGCCTCAGCTTTCCAAATTGCTGGGATTACAGGCATGAGCCACTGCCCCCAGACTATTTTGTTTACTTCTAGTTTAAGTGGGTAAAATTTAAGACAACAGAAGAACACTGAAGAAATGTAGAATGGAAGGAAAGAATAGAGAAAGACAGTATAATGTATCAAATAATAACTGACACTAGCAAGACATTTCATAATATGAACTAACTCCTTATCTAATTCTTAGCTGGTATTTTCATCAACCTTGAAAATATGAAGATCAGTATTGACAGCAAAGATTCCATCTTTGATGTGTTATATTTTTGTCAATTATTAAACTTATTGACACTTGTATAATGTTATTAAAGAATTTGGTACTACGAATAAGTCTGCAATAATACTAATTGTGTGTGTGTGTGTGTGTGTGTGTATCAGTATATATCAGTTATTCTAAATAACTAGTGAGTGTTTTAAAAAGTGTTTTGGTTAAAAACTACTACCTACGTAAAAACAAATACATTTTTGTGTGATGATGTATGGACACATGTTCATTTATTAATGGGAAAAAGATTTGAGAAAAAGAGAGGATAAAATAGGTACTTCTGTCTACTTGAAGTGAGTAAAACTGATCAGTTAAACTTCAGCTTTATTAGAAAATTTAAGTTTAAAGTGATCAAATATGTGGAGGAAATTCAGCTAAAAATTTCTAAGTAGAAATATATAGTTTTACAAATTGCAACAAAATGAAGCAAAGAAAACTCAAAACATCAAAACATAGGAAAAGACATGTATAATCAAACTAATAAAATGATAGATTAACATGAAACAAAATTATAAAATATTTTCATTCACCTCAGAAATCACAATCACATGAATAGGTTAAAGCTACTAATGTAAAGGCACTGTCTTCCTATTGGAATTTCACTCCCTCTCCCTCTCCTCAAAGGCTCTATGTCTTTGACATGAGAGGGCTTTAAAACTAAATGATACAAAAAAACTTAAAAATAAATGTAGTAGAAAGATATACCAAATGTATATCACCAAAATTAAGGTTGATTTATTATTTGTATTGTAAAACAAATGAAGATTTCAAGGTGTATAGTATTCAAAGGACAAAAATTATATTTTATATTGATAAAAGCCCTTTTTCCACACAAGTCAATAACCTTATTCTTACAATTTTTGATACAAACACATTATTATTTGATCAGAATATTGTGTGCAGTTTGCACTTTTTGTATTGTCCGTTATCAGCCAAAGAAACAGCTATTTCTCCAATTATCAACTTTTTTATTATATTGGAGAGTGGTTTTTAAAACCAAGATCTGGGTGCTATGTGGACATGTAGTTCCTGGGAGGTCATTGTGTCTAGATTATTTCAGAACAAAAAATATACTGAAAATACTGAAATATATACTAAAAAATATGCTGAAATATATATTCAATATATATAAAATAAATATTTTAAACTATAATTACTATTGTATTCTATTCAAATTTAGCAATAAAGTTTTATTAATTTATTTTATTCAATACTTTTGTACTATAAAAACTACTTCCCAATATCCTCAATAAGTTTATTTATTTTCTTTTTCCCGTAATATACATTATCAGATAACTATCTTAAATAAATTTATAAATATTGAATATAGGTTAAAATAATATATTTAATGTAGTTTAAAAATTACAGTGTCAACATTAGTGCTAACAAAAAACCTACTGAATAAAGTTTAAAGTGCCTTTGTAGTTGATTTTTTTCTTAGATATATTCTGTTATATCCCTACACAGTCAGGAACTGTGTTAAAACTACTTGAAATATTTATTCTTTAGCACAATGTTACAAATTTAATAGAGTTAGATTTGTTTTTTAACATTTGTGCTTAATTTTACATTTATTTTTTATATTTTTTCATGGTACTTTTCTATCCTTGTACTGAATTTCATTTTCAGAAATATAAAGCATAAATATGGCTCAAAGTGAAAACTAAATTAATGTATTTTCTTTTCTGTATTATTTTATTTAAACATTCAGTAGTTAATATTTCAATCTTAAATTCCTTGAAATTAAACAAATATACCTGCATAATCTTCTTTAAGCTTTTTGCAGAAAAGATAGCATGCTGTATTAGCTGTCCCCCCACTTCTTATTTTTTCTCATAAGAGAGTGATGCTTTACTGTGTAGATAAGAGCACCTCAATTTCTACTCTGATGGCATAGTCTTTCTTTTATTCCTAACCTCTATACAAAAATAAGCAGAATTTTAAAGACATATGAATTTAGTAACTATCTAAAAAGCATATGCGGAAGTATGCAAAAAAGACTCACACATTTAATATGTGCCTCAACTAGTATATATGTATATGGAAAAATTTTATAAAGCATATGTGATGATTTCCAAAATCAGTTTTCAGTATTTTGTTTCTTAAGAAATAATAATAAAAGCATGGTTATAACAATAGTGTTTCTTCTGTCTGCTCTTGATCTTCAGTGTTTTGCTGTCTGGTGAAGAAAGCAAATATAATTCTTTTGGAATTGTTATTTCCAAGTTTTTGTTTATACCTTGGTACAAGCAGTTTTTTTTTTATTTCTTCTGTGTGCTCAAAGGGAATGACTGAAGACTGTCTTTTTATTCTTATATAATCAACCATTTTCTTTTCATAGTGACTATCATTCATCTGTTTCTACAGTGATCTCTGTATATATCAAGGAATTGGGATGAAAAACAGGAAAATCTCTTACCTGTGAGTTGTGACTAAAAATGTATCTTCATTTCCTTATCTGATATGGTTTGGCTCTGTGTCCCCACACAAATCTCATGTGGAATTATAATTCCCAGTGTTGAAGGAGGGGCCTGTTGGGAGGTGACTGAATCATGGGGGCTGACTTCCCCCTCTCTGTTCTTGGGTTAGTGATAGTGAGTGAGTTCCTAGGAGAGCTGGTTGTTTGAAAGTGTGGCACTTCCCCCATCACTCTCTCTCCTGTTCCACCATGGAAATTAGTGCCTTGCTTCCCCTTCACCTTCTGCCATGACTGTAAGTTTCCTGAGGCCTCCCCAGCCATATGGAACTGCGAGTCAATGAAACCTCTTTTCTTCATAAACTACCCAGTCTCAAGTAGTTCTTTATAGCAATGTAAGAATGAACCAATACACTATCACTTGCATAGTGCTAGATATGGTGGGATATTACAATAAATAATTATGTGGCTGTTTATAAGACTGTATTCAAGTGCCAGCTATTTCTTTTACTGGCTTTATTGTCTTGACCATTTTATTTCACTCCTCTAATCTTTGGCTTCATTGTCTACAAAATTTAGAAAGTATAATAATAAAATATTGGCCATATCATTGTATGTATATTTATATTATATATGCATGATATTATCTAATGATAAACCTGATAGGGTGAGTGTTATGATTAAATGAGATAATACATATTAATCATTTGGCACATGGTCTGACCTACAGAAAGTTGTCAGCTTTAGTACTTATTGTCATTGTTGTATTCATCACAATTAAAGCACTCTTTGAACTCTGTCAGCAAAAAGAGAAAGTAGTGGGATAACTTCATGTTAGCATTTAGATTTTAAATTTACATGACTACTGTGGAAATGTATATGACATAAATTTTACTGAAAAATAAGACAAATTTGCATATGTTGTTCAATATAAAAATTTTAAAAAGATATAAGTATCCATAAATAGCATCATTGGGCTTTTAATGGAAGAAATAATTGTGATATTCCTTATATTTATACTTTCATATATGTGTATTTTATTAAAATAATGTGCATAAATATTATAATAAAATATATTTTCCTCCACAATACAAACATGTTCTTAAAAACTTAAACTACTACTTATTAAGGACATAATACTAACCTACGCATTTTACATAATATCAGCTAAGCAACACTCCCCTACTTTGATCAGGCATCTAAAGCATTCTCAAATAAAATATCAAGGTTAACTGTGCTAGCCATCTAAACCATCTCCTCCTTGCTGAGTGCACAATATTTATCTTGACAGATGTCAGCTTCATAATGCTTGTGAGAAGTTTGTGCCTTTCATTACCTGGATTTACAATAGTGTGCAACAGAGGCTTAAATTGCACTATGAGCCATGACAGCTGGCAAAAACATGCCAGAAGGACAACTTTATCAAATCTAGGGAGCTCAAGAAAAGCTTAGTGTAGTCAATAAAAAATATAAAAGTTGAAGAGTATAGAGACAAAAGAATAAGAGAAAAAACAAAATGAATGAAAAAGGAGAGGAGGACTACTAAGCCTCCAAATGCCTGTGCTGGGATTGCATGTGGCTCCAGGCAGACGATTGGTCTTAGCTGCAGGTAAGCAAAAAATGATTCAGAGTATGTGCAGAGTATGCTACTATTAATGAAACGTCTTTCAGTGGATTTATATCTGTATTTTATCCTCCTACATATTTATAAATTGATTCTGATTGCTTGGCAGTTACAATGACCACAACCAGTGAGGATTTAACAAGCGGATTTTATTACTTGCAGCAAGTAAGGAGGAAACTGGGGGTGGATCTCAAAGCAATGCCACCTTGAACAAAGGTGAAAACAGGGCTTTTATTGGGCTGATAAGCTGAGTCATTATATGTAGAGGTGGAGTAAAGGCAGTGCAGGTGCAGTCATGGGTCATGCTTCTATATATGTTCCAGGTATAGAAAATGGCCATGAGCTTCTCCCTTGGCAGAGATTTTACTAAGATAAAGAGGAAAGTTTGCCAGAGTTTATCTACAACTCAGGCGTCTCTGGATCAATCGGTTTTTGTTTTTTCTGGGGCTGAGCTTCTTCTTAGAACTTTTTAAAACAATGAGAACTCAAGTTACAACATTTGCATGTGGTTACTTTTTCACAGTGCATACCAAAAACCCAAGGACCCCGGGTTACAATTTGATTTACTTGAATTTGATTGCCAATCTACCAATAAAAAAGGCTCCTAAACAAACACACAAGTAAGGTGGGAAAGCCAATGGGAGATTAAATTGAATAATTAGAGTAAATTCAACTAATAGCAAGTGGAAAGAGACAAAAAATAAAAAATAACAATCAATGAGACCAATATAAAAGAATGTCGGTAGAGTTAAATGTAATAATTTCAATAATTAGTTTACACTTAAATGAACTATACACTTCAAGAATGTGCAGACATTTGGTGTCTTGATCCAAAAGCAAGATGGATCTATATGCTGTTTATAATATTTGCAATTTAAATATATAAAAAAGATAGTGATAAAGTAAAACGATAAAAAAATCATAAGCCAGAAAACACAAATACAAAGTTAACAGGATTACATTATTGACAATATTGTTATCAGGTAAAAGAGACTTTGGGTTCAAAGGAGAAATAACACTCAGAGAAAAAAAAAGTCTCAATGAGGAAAGAGTAAACTCATGAAAAAGAATTGACAATCTTAAAAAGCCTAGTAATAAATCGTCAAGACAGATAAGTAAAAACTGAAAATCTAAATTTGAAATAGATAAAGCTGATGTTTTTACTGGAGAGACTTCCACATAAAAGTTTTATCCTTTTCTGAAATATGAAGATAATATCTTTCCTTTCTTGAAGAAAGATTGAGGGCTAATAGTGGAATGAATTCATTCATAGTCACAAAGGAGACTCCATCTATAAGTAATTGTTAGCAAAAGAAGACAAAAAGTAAATACACAGAATATCTGAAACAATTTTGAAACATATTAATTGCCATCTTTGAATACTCAAAAACAACACAATGCATTTGAAAATGTAACACCAAAGACAGTGCGCATAGTGGTAATGTCAGATAAATGAAAGAGATTAGAAAGTGCAGTAATAAACTCAGACTTATAGGCTGAGTTCTATAACCCAATTGTAAGTTAATAAATAAAGCAAATATAGTCGTATCAATAAATGGTGCTAAGACAACTTAATAGTTCTGTGGAAAAATAGTACTTTCTTCCAAAAAATTAGCAAATGATTTTGAATAGATTACTCACAAAACAATATTTATGAATGGCCAAGAGGCACATAAAAATACATCCTGCAACATTAGTCACCCAGAAAATGCAAATTAAAACTATAATTGGATAATACTACACAGTTACCAGATTTGCTAAAATCAAAACACTTGACAATACTCAATATTAGCAAGGATGTAGTGTTGGGATTCACTCAGGATGGTGGCAGAAATATTAAAGGGAAATATTAGGGGAAGTTATAGGGAATAGTCACAAAGCTTTTTGGAAGGCTGAAAGGTTACATAGCTTATAAAAATTGAACAGGCTGAAGGCAGCCGGTTCTTACCTTAAAGCATTGGGTCATAGGGTAAATTCTAGGGACAATAGAGGCTTCCTCAGTTCAGTCTGTTAACCCTACCTCCATTAACTAACCTTTAAGCTAGATGGCCCTCTGGGGGGTGGCGGGGAGGGTGACGGGGAGGTCGACCAGGGAAATTGCCCCCTAATGGTATTTACTTTAGACTGCAATACCTGAGCTTTAATCATTCCTAGAACTACTCTCTTAACCAGGTTAATCATCCACAAGTGTGTTTACTCAAAGCTTCTGTTGTTAATTGTACACTCAATAAATGCCTGGAGTGCGAGCTGCTCAGGACCGGCCTCAGTGACAGCCTCTCTTGGTGTGTAGGCGGTCAGACACTCCGCAGGACTGGGATAACAGAATATCTGTGTGTCAGTGTACGTTTTATTCATCCATCATTTAGGTCAGGGTCTGCAGGCAGACCCTCACAGCTGATGCCCTCTTGTGAGGAGCGGTACCTCAATGTAGAACAAATGGAATGCTCAGAGATATCTGATTGAAATGTGCAATGTTGTAGTCACCAACCAGTGAATAAAAAATCTGTGATATCTCATTCCACAGGATGTTACCCAACAATAAAAAGAAACAAAATATTTATACATTAAAAAACATGAATGAATATCAAACATATTATACAATATTTTTAAAAAATGAAGCACAAAAGAATAAGTGTTATGATAGGGTTTATATGCAAGTACAGAAAATGTAGAACTATAGGGACAGAAAGGAGGTCAGTGGTCCCCAGTGGTGGCAGAGGAGGCAAGAGGAAGGAAGAACTACAAAAAAAAGTCAAAGATACACTTTAATTGGCTGGAAATGTTTTATAGTATGAATAATGTGAAAGTGCTTCTATTTAATTGACAAAATTCATCAGAATGTACACATAAAAAGGTGAAATTTATTCTGGTTTAATAATGTGTCACTGACATCTGTACTTCAGCTAAAATAAGGTTCGTATAATACAGAATTGGAGACTACTCCTTCCTTTGCAAAAATTGAAGCTCGCTGTAGTCCACGCATATCCCTTCTGATCCCTTTACCGTTCCCATGCACATTGGGTACTGGTATGCTTCCACTCGTAAGAGTCAGTGACTGCACCTTACCAAAGTCTTGCTCTAAGTCGGCCTGATCACAATTTACCTGTTCTTCCATGGAGAGCCAGCATCTCCTTTCCCTTTTGTAACTCAGTGACTGACAGGTGTTTGTGGCATGTAAATACTCCCGCCCCTCTTTTCCTGTTAAAACAGCTCTGAGTTGGTATTTACCGTTAGCCCAGAAATCCCCTGCAAGATGGAACTAAAGTTGTCCTTTAAAGGGCTTTGCTTGTTTTAGCATCTTGCCCCCATATTCTTACTCTCCTGAATTTTTGCTAAAGACTTCTTAATAAATTACTTCCACATAAATGTTCATTCATGAATCTCCATTGGTATATTCCATCTAAGACAAAAAATGATATTCTTTGATGGTATTCATGAGTAACTCAATTAAATTTTAAAAATCCCAATGTGAATCAAATTAGGTTTTAAATACAAAGGAAATATGTTGGCAAAAATGCCTCTGGACTGCAAAGGCTCTCTCTATTTTTTAATTTCTCTTTGTTTCAACTTAAATTTTCTCCTGTTACATGAGTATATTCTATACAATATATAGAGAGAGGGAGTATCATTATCAGAGATAATCTGAGGCCAAGTCTGTCTGTTTACAGAATTTAATATGACAGCAAAGTGCTTAATTATTAATTAGGCTGCCATATATTAAGGGGAAAATAAATATTTTCCATGTTCATTTGTTTTAAATATTTTTTCCTCTTCCCAATATGACTCTGTGTAGAGAAATACATATTGAGATATACATGAGATATTGGCTTTATTGAATAACAAGAAATATAGCACACATATATGGCAAACTTTATTAAATATTTGTTGATTAATTTTTTTTTGATGGAGTCTTGCTCTTTTGCCCAGGCTGGAGTGCAGTGGCGTGAACTTGGCTCACTGCAAGCTCTGCCTCCCCGGTTCACACCATTCTCCTGCCTCAGCCTCCCAAGTAGCTGGGACTTCAGGCACAGGCCACCACACCCGGCTAATTTAATTTTTTGTGTTTTTAGTAAAGACGAGGTTTCACCGTGTTAGCCAGGATGGTCTCGGTCTCCTGACCTTTTGATCCACCTGCCTCGGCCTCCCAAAGTGCTGGGATTACAGGTGTGAGCCACCGCGCCCGGCCTTGTTGATTTATTTTTATGTTGAGTAGTAGTAAAATGTGGTTGAAAAATAGATGGCTAAAAGCTCTGGTAGAACTATGTAAAGCAAGTACACATTCATATATTAGCTGACAAAAACTAACAGTTTATATTCTTTTTAGATTATAGAATCAATAAGTTTTCTCTAGACAGATGTAAACACTGATATTAATAAAATGAGAAGGCAGTAGCAAGAAAGCAATGAGGTTGAGATGTACTGGGATGCTTGATTTTATTTGTGACCATGTTTTCTTGGTTCTGGGATTTTGTTGTTTGTTTTTGTTTGTTTGTTGTTTAACTTCACCCTATTATAAGGTGAACAATCAATATAAATACATGTAGAGATTTTCTGGGTCAAAAACATGAAATATTCGCATTTTGTAAAATACATTAACTTTTGAAAATTTGTGTTTCTCGCATTCATACTTGTCACTAGTAAATGTTCCACAAAGTTTAAAATAATTACTTTCTAATAATATGATAATCAATTTAACAAGGAAGTAGTGGAGAATCTTAAAATATCTCTAGGAAGAGGAAATTACAACTAGCAGAAATACCTTTTTAAATCAATACTAACTACAGATTTACCTTCCCTACTACTGGGACTGTAATAAGAAATATACACTAGATGTCCTCAAGGTTTTATGCTATGACAACAAAATCCATATCCATAAGAAATAAGAAATAATTAACATTGTGAAATGATCCTTGAATGGCATAACACGATATACAATAATTCAATGTCTTGGAAGTAAATATGAATATGAAAATAATGATGCTTATGTAAGTAGGCAGTAAAGGGAAAGTAAAGAAGAAAAATATAGCAGTGTAGGAGAGTGAAAGGGAAGAAAATGAAGTAAAGAGTGAGAACAGATGGGAAAGGAAAAAAGTGTATGAAATATGGAAAAAGGAGATGTAGGAGAATAGGTGGGAAAAAAAACCAAGAGAAAAAGGAAACAATTATTTTATGTAAATTTAGTTGAACAATTTAATAATTACATTATTGGTCATTAAGAGTTTAGAATGTTACACTTAATTTAACTTGGTAATTTTCTTCTTTTTATTGAGTAGATATGAGGGTTTTTTTAAAAATTTAGTGATCAGAAGATGCTTATCACCTGGGTGATGAAATAATCTGCACACTAAAACCCTATGACATGAAATAATTTACTTGTATAACAAACCTGTGCATGTACCCCAGATTCTAAAAGGATTACTTATTTACTTCATAGATAGCGATTAAAAAACTGGATTTGGTAACTCTTCTCTGTAATTCTCTCAATATAGACAATGTATGAGTACACCTATAGCAATATTTGTGTAATATTTCTATTATGTTTTATATCAAGAATTGGCAGGTTAATTGCTTAGAGTATTGAAAATATGTGCCAACAAAACAGTCACAGTGTAAATGACCTATCCTGGGGTAGCCTTACAGTCAATGTAGTGGTAAATTAAGTCAAATATGAAATAAGTGGCACCAGGGAAGTAATACAAATTGAAAAGTAATAAAAGTGCCAGTAAATGGCTATTTTCAAGATAGATGTAAAACTAAATTAGCATGAAATACAGATATATATTAGAAGAAAACAAAATCCCGCATGAAATATCCAAAATATTCCATCACGTTCTAGGGTGGCTTCTACAGAATGAATTTATCTTGAGAGAGACTGCTGTTTTTCCTTAGCAGCTCAGTGAAGTAAGCTCTACTGCATACCAAGGGCAAGAAACACTGAGTATGTGAACAATAGACAAGAAACGCTATCACTGGCTGATAGTCTAATCTTTTAAGCCAGATACAAAATAGTGAGAACCTAAGCATTCTTCTTCAGCATAAATTTGGCTGGGAACCATTGAGATATTGATTAATGTATGGACTTGACCAAAGACAAAGCCAACACTTGCACCTAGGATCATTTTTTGTTCTTACTGGGAAATTAGGATCATTTTTTCATCTTACTGGGAAAGCTAACAGGTTTGTGTAGAGTCCCAGAAAAATATCTGAAGAATGCAAGATACATGTCATTTTTTCTGGGGTCCTGCCACTGAAATAGTTTACTTCTTCCAAGTTCTTTCTCTTAGATCCAGATTATATTGTCAATGACCTGTTTTCTCCCATGCTGCTCATCTGAAGGATGAAACTTTGTCTCATTGCAAAAATGTAAAGCTACTAGAAATAAAAACATTAAACAGATTTTGTCACGATGTACAAATTTATCTTGAATTAACTGTTTAAGTAAACCATGTTTATTTTATATATCTTAAATATTAATATAGATTTACTTCTTCCTAAGGATGGTAGTGGAACTTTTATGAAACTCATCTTGTATTTTTCTTTTTAAGATAAAATATACTCAGTATCTACTTCTTAACATTACAATGGATTTGAAGACTATTAATTGCTTTTATCTTCTAGAAGATAAAAATATGTTTTGTATATAGCTTTTGGGAAAAAAATCTGCCATTTAAACCCAAATCCAAGGGTAGAAAGTTACTGAAAAAAGCTTAGGAACTAGTCTCAAAAATGGTATTGAAGCAAAAGTTATTTAAAAATTTACGGCTGGTATGGAGAAAGGATGTGCTTAATCTACCACTGTTTTAAAAGTACAGTGACTCCAAAAGCGGCAAAAGATCCTACAAGCAACCATTGAAATAATAAACCATGAAGGTAGAGATTAGACACCGAATATCTTCTAAAATATAATTTTTTTAAAAGTGACGAATACAATGGCTGTGTATGGAAATACATAGTAAACATATATAAACATACACGCATATGAATTGAAATATTTACACACAAAATTCTCCCTTCCATAGTCTCTTTATAGGGGGGTACTACTGTCTTCATTTTCTCTAGAGGTAGAAATAATTCTTAGCACCTTAATACACTACACAGAAAATATCTGAGGTGTGTTTGAAACATTATTTTGAAGAAAAAAATGTTTACATAATAATATTAATGATCAACATACACTTATAATGTCTCTGACTAATATGATATTCTCCTTTGTATTTTAAGTAGTATTTTTATTTAAAAAGTCATATATCGTACTGATCAAATACCCTTGATTTAAAATTCTATGTGGTAATGGAAGCTTAACACATAGGCAGAGAATGTTGTTAGACTTTGATTGAGTAGAATTATTTAGCAAATATAGCTGTAACAATTCAGCAAAAGTCATTACTGAGCTACTAGCTGAACAGAGTGGGAAAAATTATAAAAAATGTAGAAATAAACTTGTTTTGAGGAGAAAATTAAGGAATGGATTGATAAAATAGTTTAAAAGAGTCTGGGAAAAGTCTGGATTTCAGAATATAACTTCTGAAAGTTTTAACAGGTTGAGGATATAAAGGCAATATTTTAGATTTGTAATTTTTCAAGAACTATAAGCGAGTATCTAAAAATCCATAAATAGCAACATCACTTTTTAAAACAGTTTATCATTCATATACTTTATCTATGAGTCCAGTACTATTAATATTTGAAATTCTTTGTATTATTTAAATTGTGTATTCCAGGCCTGAGGAAGTCCCACTTTTGAAACTGAAGCCAATATGCTTTACCCATGAGAAGAAAAGGGAGAGGAGGGGAGAAAGCTGTGGCTGTGCCTTGTTTTAATAACAAAACTTTCTGAATAATTAAAATGTTTTATTTGGAAGAAAAAGCTGACAGGTAGCAAACCTCATACAGCATTTATGAATATGTACATAATAGATGCCAAACAGCAAAAACCACTTCAGTAATTACTGTGCATAGTATTTGAATACTATGTGCATAAAAGAGAAAAAAAGCACAGAAAATTCATATTTATTCAAATACATTCATAATAAAAATCTTAAGAATCTTTTAACCTAACTGTACTTGACTACTTTTTAAATTCCATGTTTATATATTGTCTATTTTTTGCATAAATTCAAATACCACATGTTCTCACTTGTAAGTGGGTGCTAAACCAGCGATACTCATGGACATGAAGATGACAACAATAGATACTGGGGACTCCCAGAGGGAGGCTGAAGCGGGAGTGAAAAACCAACAACTAAGTATATGCTTAGTACCTGGGTGATGAGATCCACCCATTTTCCAGTAGCAAACCTGCACACGTACCCGCCACATCTAAAAGTTGAAATTATGAAAAAAATTAAAACAATAAAAAGTCTCTGCACTAATCGTGCTCAAAGATAAAAAATGTTTTTAGTTTGTAAGAATTTAATTACTTTGTTGTGCTTATGATATATATTAGCATAGTTAATGTTAAATAGCCGGGCTTTTATGATAGCTACAAGGGTATTAAAATGTGTTGATATTCAGTGCAAATTCTCATTAAATTTCTTAATATTTGTGCAAATCCGTAATATGATTTGTACAAATACATGAAATATCAGCTTGTCTAAGTTACTTTGACAATCAAATTTCTGGAAGGAACATTGTAAAACTTCTGTACTTAAAACATTCAATATAAATGTTCTTCAGATTTTTGTACATTGATAGAAACATAGTAGCAGATAGGTGAAAAATTGAATCTGAAAATATATTCTGGAAGTAATAAAAAGTGAAAGGCTTACAATAGTGTGAACACTTATACCACACAGTACATTTTGAGCTTTGGTATTCTGTCCTTAAAAATAAATTTTTTTATGAAAAACAAGGATCTTCTCTGTTGTCAGAAATGGCATACCATTAAATTCTTCAAGTTAAAAGAGTTACATTGAATAACTTTTCTTTCTGCATTTTGCCAAATGTGAGTAAAAAAGGAAATACAGTTAATAATGCAACTATTATTAAGCAGGCAGCAATTTGGCATCTTTCCAACAAACCATCTGGCTGATGGACTAAAATTTCATTTTTCATAGAACTCTTCATAAAATATAAAGGTGGCAAAGATTCTGTCCTGTCATGTTTTAAAATGCAGTGATGCACAAAGTGTGTTTTGTAATTCTATGTAAGACATTTAAAATATTTGATAAATATTTACCTGATATTATTAAGATTTTCTACTGTACTTTTTAAAAGTATGAATACTACAAAATAGATAGTTTTGTTTTCTTTAATTCTATTCCATTTATATTTAGTCTTTTTTTTATTTTCTATCTTTAACTTTATCCTTAGGCTTTGATGAGCATCTTTATACTAAAATAAATATATAGTGTCCTAGTCCATTTGTATTCTATAAAGAAATACCTGCACCTGGATAATTTATAAGGGAAAGAGTTTTACTTGGGTCACAGTTCTGTAGACTGTACAAGAAGCATGGTGCTAGCATCTGCATCTGGTGAGGGCCTCAGGCTGCTTCCACTCACAATGCAAGGTGAAGAGGAGACAAAATGTGCAGATCACACAGAGAAAGAGGAAGCAAAAGAGAGACGGGAGGAGGTGCCAGGCTCAACAACCACTACGTGCAGGAACTAAAAATGAGAACTCACTTACTCCAGTGAGAATGGCAGCAAGCCATTCATGAGTAATTCCCCCCAGGGAACAAAACACCTCCCACCAGGCCACACCTCTCACATTGGGGATCAAATTGCAACATGGGACTTGGGGACAAACAATTCTTATCTAAACTATGGGACACAGTTTCAATGACTGGTTACTACTCTTCTTCAATTTGGGCTTAGTTAGCATACCTTAAAATTTAACGTACCTTAAAGATTAACATGCCTCATTAATTCTGGAAAAAAAAAAAACTTTTACTGTTTATAATGTCTAATTCTAAAATAATATTATATATACTTTCAGGACATTATAAATATGTAGATGTGCATATATATATATATATATATATATATATATATATATACACACACACACACACACGCACACACGCAAACACACACATACTAAGTACCAAACAGCAGAAAATATAAGCCAGCAAATAGGGTTTCATTGGTATGCATGTTTTGTGCACTTACACATACACATGTGCACTCACACACACATGAGTGTGTTAATTTTGAATATTATATAGTAGATATTGTTTCTGGATGTCCTTTTTCACTAGAAATTTTGAGATTACTTTGAAGTAGTTATTTCACTGGCAACATGGTTTTTGCCACCCTTAAAGGGAAATGCAAGTTATTTTTAGGTAGCTGTAGAACATTCCTGAATATTTTTGAGTTCCCTACATATTATTGTATAAATATATTAGAGGCAGAGTTTAAATGTGGGTAAAGCAGACTTTCTATGTAATATCTATGTTTTGATTTAGAAAGCAATTTTCTCCTTTCCTAATCATCTACATAAGGGGAGTCCAATCTTTTGGCTTCCCTGGGCCATGGTGGAAGTAGAGGAATTATCTTGGACCACACAAAAAATACTCTAACACTAACAATACCTGATGAGCTAAAACAAAAAAAAATCACAAAAAAATCATTCTCATAATGTTTTAAGAAAGTTTATGAATTTGTGTTGGGCTGCATTCAAAGACATCCTGGGCCACAAGAGACCCACAGGCTGTGAGGTGGACAAGCCTGATCTACACATTTCAAGTATGTGACATTCTCTAATATAATATACATGTATTTCTTCACATGAGAAACGTCTTTATTTTTTGTTCATCTTTGCATTCCCTAGTAAGGCTTACAGTAGTTGATACAGGCTTTATTAAGTAAAAAATATCACTCCAGTCTAGTTATTGAATTTATGTATATGGATGGGAATTTAAATATGTTGTATTTGTTTCCTTTATTGTCCCAAATGTAATCCACATTTACCTGTTTTTGGTACCACACCATCTGTATTCATTAGATAGCTAATCTCTGTTTACACTATTTTGCTAATCCTACTGTGTCTGTTTTTAAACATTGGCTATTTGCTATATTATTACTGAAAAAAGAAAAATTAAAAAAATCACACTATAATGCTAATAAAAAAAAAGATGGCAGCTGCTTTTCTGTACTTGCCTATACTGAATGTAAAATAATGGAAACTCTCCTTATCTTATTTGTTTTGTGACCAATATTTGAAATTCATTATCAAATTTTAAAATAAATGTATTTAATTTTTTTCTATGTAATATTTTCTTCATTGATGTGATTTAACTACATAAAATAATTGACCATCTAAATTATTTTTCTCATGGAATTTATCTTTCATTGTGTTTAAAAATAGTCTGCTTATTCATCAGAATCAAAGGAGGTTTTTTTTTTTACAAATAATAGTTTGTGTGTAGATTACAGCAGAAACTTTAAAAAAAAAAGATGTACTCAATGAAATAAAAAGTCACAGTGAGAAAGAAAACCAAACTTTTACAGAAAACTGTTCCTGTGTAAGAATCTAGATCAAAAGAGAAAATATATTTAATATATGTACCTGACATCACCACAAGTGAATACTTGGAGAAACATTTAGCATAATATACTTCTTAATAAGTATTCATTATAAATGTACATAGAAGTTATTTAGAATACAAGTAGGACAAGAAAAAATCCATTAGTTATATATTTACTATGACCCAGGCATATGTTACCAAGCAAGGTACATCCATGTTTTAATTAATTCTTATTAGTTAGGTATAAGATTTTTCAATTTTTATATAAGATCATACAAAGACTTAGAAAAGTTAGTTATTTGAAAAACTAAGAAATTGAATGTGAAGATATATTCAAACCCAGTTTCCATCTTACTACAATATATTTTCTATGGTCAAATTAAAAATATTAAGATTAAATAAGTCTGCTATTCTACCTACACTTAACCATCATAGCTCTTAACTTTTACATATGATAAATCACATAAATGTACAGATGAACACATGTATGAGGTTCCATATAAACTGAGTTAAATGCACATACACATAAAATGTAAAGATAATTTTTACCTATATTTTTAGGTACTTTTAAAAAATAGAGCACATTCAAAGGCTTTTTTGTTGTTGTTGCTGCTGCTGCTGTTATTCTTGTCCTTGTGTTAAAATTACTATGTATGCAATGAAAGTAAATTCTGATTTTATTTGTGGTTGAAATCACTGACCTTTAAAGTCTACCTCCTTTTCCACTTTATCCTATTCTGGCTTTCTCTTGTTAGTACAAAACATGTGAATAGCAATACAAGGTGGAGGTAAGCATATTTTTGGCAGAAAAGATAATGTCTTACTAATTTTCTCCCCAAAATGATATGTGCTGCAACATGTATCTATTTTATGTTTTGAAATTAGAATATTTATTTTAGGGAAAAATAAATTGCTTCTTCATACTGTATATTGTAATAGAATTGTTTTAGTCCAAAAGCAATTTAAGTCAGCAACATATTGAACTATAATTAAAGATTTATGGTTCCATTAAAAGGTAATGTTGTAGTTAATGCCTAATAATAAAACACTTCATAAAAGTTCAGTGTTATACACAAAGGAGAATATAAATGATAAGCTCTCCCAAATATTTACTGGGCTTATGATTCCATAGCAAATATTAACACTTGAATTTTTAATAATATATCAGACTGATTTTAGATTTCATTATGGAATTACATTTATTTTTTGCATATATTTATAGAAAATATTATGTATTTCCATAGATAACTGGATATCTTTTGAAAATATTATGATGCTTTTTTTTTTCCAAGATGACTGATTGGAATCAGTGTTAGCATTTCTCTCCCATGTGGAAAGACAAAATCATGTATAGAGAGTCATGTTGTAAAAGTTTTTTCCAAGAAGTAATGCAGGAATTTAACAGGAAAATTGAAAGAAATCCACAGACCCTTTGAAAGAAGCAGCAGGCTGCAGCCTACATCATGAGCTGAGTAGAAACTGTAAGTCCCTTGGTTGGAGGATATAAGCCCTCCACCAGGTAACCTGGCAATCCAGCCCACCGTGGAAGGCCTCAACCCTGCCCAATGCTGGAACTGATATAGAGTGCAGTGAGAAATATAAAAGTAGGAGAAGGAGCACAAAGATCTCTGCACACATTCCCAGTCTCCAGTGTGGACTGAGGAAAGCCATTTCTGATTCTACTCACAGGTGACCTTGTGGAAGTCTGCAAACTAACTTAGGCAGCAGTTGCAGATTGAAATAAACTCCCAACTAAAATGTAAAATATAAACTTCAGGAAGGACAGACTCCCTTGGCCAGAACTGGGGGGCAAGTGGGAAGTGGGCTGCAGTCATGGCACAGGTGCTGGGTACCTGGGCTTTGCGGGGAAGGGGAAGGGTATGGCCTGAAAGCCACACTTTCTGTCTCTAAAGGGAAGGCTTATTGCCTGGGACACTTTTGAGTTCTGAGCGTTGATGGCTTGGCTTGGAATTCAGCTAGCTGCCGTTAGTGAACACTGTGGGTGAGAGTCCTGCCTTGCCAAGTGCATGGAAGCTGGGTGAAGCTTACGGCCACCAGATACTCCCCACTCCCTATGTGAACTCTCCTGTGCAGCAGATGCAGGTACACTCCTTCCTGCAACATTATCCCAGTGGCCAGAGAAGCACCCCCATCTCCCAAAAGGGCCTCACATATCTATATGTGAAGAGCCAGAATATGGACCTGCCTGACCCAGGCTTTACCTGGATTTGTCCCTTCACCCACCCTCATAGCTTAATATAAAGGACAGAAACTTTTGAGAGAAATCAGAGTATATCCCTGGGTAATATAAGGCAAGCACAAATCGCACTGCTTCTATGGCAGCTGGTGCTCTTTTGCAAGAACCAACTCTTGGCTAGAGGCCAACCAACATAGTCTAATACAGCATCTACAGGTAGGATAACTGCACTCAGGAAGGATAAAACTTGTGCATGACCTCAGCTATCATTGCCTTCATCACCCTAGCTAACCAGAAGGTCTTGAGTCTGTCCATGTGACAAGTTCATTATTACTACAATTAACATCTGAGAAAGCCTACACAGTATGGCTATCTACAACCAAAGAATCTCACAGAGTCTATGTCACTCCCCTGTCACCCCCATCAGAACCGATCATATTACTGGACACCTGGCAGACATTCCTCAATACCAGCCTGCAGTGTCAGCCCCATTGAGAGGCTAGACCTCAAGGAGCAGCAGCATCCATAATAGTCTGGTTCTCAGGGAATCTTTCTCCTAAGGGAAGGGGGGATGAGCCACATCTAGTGAACACTCTATGGAACAAAATAATCTGGATGGTAGGCCATGAGTTTCAGATTTTTCCACTGACAGGAAGTTTATTTCAGCACAGGCAAAGTTGCAGTGCTGGGCTTAGCAGGGAAAGTCTGCTGCTCTACCTTAGCAGACATGTAGCTCTGCACTTGTGAAGAGTCTTGAAGAAAGGAACTTCTTTATCCTGATGTCAACCACTGCAGACACAACTGGGACTTCTTCCATGGAAGCTCAGAATGGGTGCACATATAGACAGCCTTTCTAGACCACTTTTTTTTTCTGGAAAGACACTCCACCCCACAAGTGAAACACCTTCCAGGTTCAGGCATGCATGAGAGGTAGAGTCACAGGTCCTCTCTATTTGGAACATCAACATTTCTGCAGATGAAAAGAGGATACTACCTGATCCAAATAGCTGGAACTGGGTCAAGAATGTGTCTAGGAGGTGGATGACTTTCTTGCTGACCTGGCAGGGGATCTGAGGTGGCTCCCACCCTTCCCCATGATAAGACCTCAGTGCATTTCACTGAGAGCTCCCTCAGCCACCTCTGTCAAGGCTGGGACCTTGGCTCAGCATTGGCCATTGCATTTACCCACCTGCTTTAGTCACAACTAGTTTCTACACAGGGACATCCTCCCTGAACTATTCAACACAGTAAACAAAATACTGGGAAAAAATAAATAAATTTAAAAAGTGAACATGACTGGGGAAAAAAGTAAGCTTCAAGATATCTCTGCCATTTCAACTAAATAGGAAACAGTGAACTTGCTCACACACCAAGCACAGCAACTACAACCAGAATCTGAAAAAGCTATCATACAGAGTTTTTACTCCTGAAAGCCAAATTAAGACATAATAAACTATAAACATTAAAGTCATATTCTTAAGAGAGAAAAAGAGAAATTTGTTTAAAAAGTCAAATAAGAAATAAATTTAAGAATAATTAGAAAAAAATAGTCTACCCAAATGCGAATGAACCAGAAAAATAATTCTAGTAATACAACAAAACAGGGTTCTATAACTCCCCAAAAGATCACACTAACTCTCCAGCAATGGGTCCAAATCAAGATGAAATCTTTGAAATAACAGATGAAGAACTCAAAAGGTTGATTGTTAAGCTAGTCAAGGAGATACCAGAGAAATGTGAAAACCAATATAAAGAAATTAAAAAAAATTCAGGATATGAATAAAATATTTTCAAAAGAGATAGCTATTTTAAGGGAAGAACAGTCAGAACGTCTGAAAATGAGAGACAAATTTAGGGAATTATAACATGTAGTCAAAATTTTCAACAATGGATTAGAACAAGTAGAAAAAAGAATTTCAGAGCTTGAAGACCAATATTTTAAATTAACCTACTCAGACAAAAATAAAAAATAAAAATAAATTGGACAAGTCTCCAAGAAATATGGGATTATGCAAAATGGCCACACCTAAAAATAATTGGTGTTTCTGATGGAGAAAAGAAAGAAAAATTTGGAAAACTTATTTGAGGAAAAAATTTAAAAAAAATTATCTGGACTTGCTAGAGATTTAGATATTTGAAATACAGGAAGCTCAAAGAATTCCTGGGAGATTCACCACAAACAAGACTTTACCAAGGTGTATAGTCATCAGGCTACTTAAAGTTAAACATGAAGTAAGCAATTCTGTGAGCAGGGAGAAAAAAGCACAAGGTAACATACAAAAGAAATCCTATGAGACTAACAGCCGACTTCTCACCAGAAACTGTATAAGCCAGAAAGAATTGGAGTTCTGTCTTTAGCCTCCATAAACAGAATAACTGTCAGCCAAGAATTTTGTATCCAGCAAAACAAATTTCTATAAATTTAGGAGAAATCAAGTCATTTTCAGAAAAACAAATGCTGAAAGAATTTGTCACTATCACACCAGCCCTACAAAAAAATTCGAAAAGGAGTTCTGAATCCTGAAACAAAAGGTTTATATGCACCAGAATAGAACCTCTTGAAAGCATAAAACTCACAGGGTTGATAAAATAATAATACAATGAGGAAAACAAGTATCTAAGTAACAATTAGCATGACCACCAAAAAAGTACCTCACATCTCAATATTAACCTTGACTGCAAATGGCCTAAATGCTCCACTTAAAAGACACCTAATAGCAGAATAAATGAAAAAAATCAGAAACCCAGTATCTGTTGTCTTCAAGAGACATGCATAGCATGTAAGGATTTATGTGAACTCATGGTGAAGGGGTGGAAAAAGATATTTCATGCAAATGGAAACCAAAAGCATGCAGGGTAGCTATTCTTATTGCTGATGAAACAGACTTAAAAGCAACAACAGGAAAAAAAAAAGACAAAGAAGATCATTATATAATGATAAATGAATCAATCCAACAAGAAGATATTACAATTCTAAATTTATATGCACCTAAGACTGGAGCTCCTAGATTCATAAAAGATTTAGTACCAGACCTCAGAAAACAGATATTAACTTAATAGTGGTGGGAAACTTCGAGACTTCACTGCCACCACTAGAGAGATCATGAATGCAGAAAGTCAACAAAGAAGCAATGGACTTAAACTACACTCTATAACAAATGGAGGTCTGGTGCAGTTTTTTATGCCTGTAATTCCAGAGCTTTGGGAGGCCAAGGCAGGCAGACCACTTGAGGCCAAGAGTTCAAGACCAGCCTGCCCAACATGGTGAAATCCTGTCTTTACTAAAAATACAACAGTTGCCTGGGCATGGTGGCACATACCTGTAATCCTGGCTACTCAGGAAGCTGAGGTAGGAGAATCACTTGAACCCGGAAGAGGAGGTTGCAGTGAGTTGAGATCATGCTACCTCACTCCAGCCTAGGTAACAGGTGAGACTCTGTTTCAATAATAATAATAATAAATAAAACAAATGGACCTAACAGATATGTATAGAACATTCTACCCAGAAAGTGCAGAATATACATTCTTCTCATAAGTACATGGGATGATGGGATATTCTCCAAAAGAGACCATATGATAGGTCAGAAAACAAGTCTCAATAAAACTTAAATACTGAAATCATATCAAGTATCTTCTCAGACTACAGTGAAATAAAGCTAGAAGTCAACTACAAAAGGAACCTTCAAAACTATACAAATATATGAAAATTAAACAACCTGCTTTTGAATCATTTTGGGGTTAACAATGTAATCAGGTTGGAAATTTAAAAATCCTTGAAATGAATAATAATAGAGACACAAATTGTCAAAACCTCTGGGTTATAGCAAAAGCAGTGCTAAAAGGAAAGTTTATAGCACTAAATGTTTACATCAAAAAGTCTGAAATATCCCAAATTGACCTCTTAATGTCACAAATCAAGGAACTAGAGAAACAAGGTCAAACTAAACACAAAGCTAGCAGAAGAAAGGAAATAACAATGAATCCAGCAGAATTAAATGAAATTGAAACACCAACAAAAAAATACAAAACATCAATAAAAGAAGCTGATTCTTTGAAAAGATAAATGAAATTGATAGACCATTAGCTAGATTAACCAAGAAAAGAGGAGAGAAAGCCAAATAAACTAAATTAGAAATGAAACTGGAGACATTACAACTGACTCCAGAGATACAAAAGATCATTCAAGACTGCTATGAACTAGAAAATCTAGAGGAAATTGAAAAGTTTCTGGAATTGTATAATCCTCCTAGGTCAAATAAATAAAATAGAAACTCTGAACAAATCAATAACAAGCAGTGACATTAAATCAGTAATTTAAAAATTGCCCAAAACAACAAAAAAGACCAGGGCAGGATGGATTCACAGCTGAATTCTATCAGACATTCAAAGAAGAATTGGTGACCATCTTACTGAAACTATTTCAGTATATAGAGAAAGAGAGAATCCTCCCTAATTCATTACTTGAAGCCAGTATCCCTAATGAACTTAAATGCAAAAATCCTTAACAAAATACTAGTTAAGTAAATCAAACAGCACATCAAAAAGATAATACAGCATGTTCAAGTGGGTTTCACTGCAGAAATGCAGGGATGGTTTCACATGGGCAAGTCAATAAACATGATACATCATATAAATGGAATTAAAGACAAAACCTTATGTTCATTTCAGTAGATACAGAAAAGTATTTAATAAAATCTAACATCCCTTTATGATAAAAACACTAAACAAACTAAACATAGAGGGACTTACCTCAAAATAATAAAAGCCATATATGACAGATCCACTGCCAACATCAGACTGAATAGGAAAAAGTTAAAGTATTCCCCCTGATAATTGGAACTAGAAAAGGATTCCCATTCTTATGACTCCTGTTCATTCTTATCACTCCTAATTATCACCAGGCCTCGCTGGAGCAATTAGACAGATAAAAAAAAATAAAGGGCATCCAAATTGGAAAAGAGGAAGTCAGACTTTCACTGTTCACTGATGATATGATCATATATCTAGAAAATCCAAAAGGCTCCTAGATTTGATAAATGAATTCAGTAAAATCTCAGGCTATCAAATCAATGTTCACAAATAAGTAGAACTTCTATACATAAACAGTAACCAAGCAGAGAATCAAATTAAGACCTCACTTCCTTTTATAATCGCTACAACAAAAAATACCTAGAAATACACTTAACCAGATGAATGATGAATGCAAGGAGAATTTAAAGCATTGCTGAAAGAAATCATAGATGACACAAACAAATGGCACCAAATCCCGTGTTCATGGATTAGAAAATAATATAATGAAAATGGCCATATCGCCAAATCAAACTACAGGTTCAGTGAAATTCCTATCAGGATGCCAACATCATTTTTCAAAGAATTAGAGAAAGCCATCCTAAAATTCCTATAGAACCAAAAAAAATTTCCCAAATAGTCAAAGCAATTCTAAGGAAAAAGACCAAATTTAGAAGCATCACACTACTAGACTTCAAATTGTCCTAGAAGGCTGTAGTTACCAAAACAACATGGTACTGGTGTAAGAGTAGACACATAAACCAATGGAATAGAATAGAACCCAGAGGTAAAGCCAAATACCTACAACCAACCAACTGACTTTTGACGAAGGATTCAAAAACATAAGATAGGGGAAGGACACCCTATTTTTAAAATGATATTCAGAAAACTGTCTAGCCACATGTAAAAGAATAATACTTGATCCCTATCTCTCAACATAGACAAATATCAACTCAAGATAAATCAAATACTTAAATCTAAGATTTGAAACTATAAAAATTCTAGGTTATTTACAAAGATAACCTAGGGAAATCTATTCTTGACATTGGCCTGGAAAATTAATTCATGACTTAGAACCCAAAAGCAAATTTAACAAAAACAAAAATAAATACAGAGGTCCTAATGAAAATGTTAATTAATCAAAAGTGAGCAAATGACACAGACATTTTTCAAAAGAATATATACAAATGGTTGAAAACATATGAAAAAATGTTCAACATCACATTATTAGGGAAATGCAAATTAAAATCACAACGAGACAGCACCTTACTCCCGCAAGAATGGCCATTATTAAAAAGTCGGAAAACTACAAATGTTTGCATGGATATGGTGAAAACGGAATACTTACACACTGCTGGTAGGAATGTAAATCAGTTCAACTTCTATCAGACTGTATGGAGTATTCTTTTCTTTTTTTGAGACAGAGTCTTGCTCTGTCGCTTAGGCTGGAGTGCAGTGGCGCGATCTCAGCTCACTGCAAGCTCCGCCTCCCAGGTTCAAGTGATTCTCCTGCCTCAGCCTCCCGAGTAGCTGGGACTACAGGCACATGCCACCACACCCAGCTAATTTTTTGTATTTTTAGTAGAGACAGGGTTTCACCGTGTTAGCCAGGATGGTCTCAATCTCCTGACCTCATGATCTGCTCGCCTCGACCTCCCAAAGTGCTGGGATCACAGGCGTGAGCCACCACACTTGGCCCAGTATGGAGTATTATTAAAGAACTAAAAATAAATCTATTATTCAATCCAGCAATCCCACTACTAGGAGTCTACCCAATGCAAAAGAAATCATTGTATCAAAAAGACACCTGCATGTGTATGTTTATAGCACCCAATTCACAGTTGCAAAGATATGAAACCAACCTAAGTGCTCATGAACCAATGAGTGGATAAAGAAAATGTGGCATATATACACAACTGAACACTACTCAGCCATAAAAAAGAATGAAATAATGTCTTTTGGAGCCACTTGAGTGGAGCTGCAGGCCATTATTCTAAGTGAAGTAACTCAGGGATGGACAATCAAATACAGTAAGTTCTCAGTAATAAGTGGGAGCTAAGCTGTGGGTACACAAAGGCATGCAACAGAGTGATATAATGTACTATGAAAACTCATAAGAGGGAGGGTGGGAGAGTGTGCAAGGGATAATTTATTACATATTGGGTACAATGTACACTAATCCAGTGACGGGTGCACTAAAATCTTGGATTTCACCACTGTATAATTTATCCTTATAACCAAAAGCTATTGAAATTAAAAAATAAATAAAAGAAAAAAGAAAAATATTGTGATGCTTTACTTGTTTTCTATGAATTTTATTTCTTAACAGAATAAATTCCTTTCTGGCAAGAAGAATATAGTATATTGATGTGCAATGCTCTTTCTCAGCTCTTAATACATAAAAGTGAGAGAAATATTATAAATATAGCCAATTGAAAAGGCATAGCCAGGTTGAAAAAAACAAGACTAAATGTATAAAGTGTTAAAGACCATGGGCCCTTGACCCATAAGCATATAATGATGACTGAGAATTTGGCTCCAGCATGATAATAGACAACATGTGCACTGTGAGAACTGGGAACAAAAGTGAGGCTCACCGCTTTACTCTCAAACTTAATAGGCTGTCAAGCTCCCTATCTCAGCAAAAGAGGCTAGCAAAACTATTGTAGAACCATGTTCTTTATGGGGTTGCCACTTTCAGCAAATAAGACCACCAAACCTAATGGAACATGTTTATAATTTTTAAAAATCCACTGTTTAGTAGAAATTCAAATTTAACTTGGCACTCTGTATTTTATCTGGCAACTGTACTCCTAAGGCAACAATTTAAAGTAACATACATCACTTGAAGACACGGAACTAAAGAAAGATGAGGATAATAACTATGTTTCAATGTGGATCTCCCTAGTTACCACCATAGAGTTGAAAGCCTCATATTTTATTAAATTAACAAGGTTATAAAATGTTAACAAAGGCCTCTAGTATAAAAAATTAATAGGTCAGGGAACAGATACTAGAAAACTATTGGTTAGGAGGAAATGAAAGTAAATCAAAACGTAGTTGAAAAAATACGAATAAATTTAAAGAAGAAACTCCTTTTCCTGTGATACAATATACTGAATTCCAAAATGCCAGAAACAAACAAACAAAAAAAAAAAAAACTAATGCTAAGAAAGTAAAAAACAACTTCATAAGTAGTATGTAAGTTAAATCTAGATGGACATGATTTCATAAAATGGTCTAATGTCAGGTTTAAATTAAGTATGCTTGTGATGCTCAAATAGTTAACTAAAAAATAAATTTAAAGAAAAAAGGCATTAGAAAATAGAAGAGAAGGAAATAAGAACTTATAACAATGAAAAAAAGAATTTAAAATATTGGCCACAAAATATATATATTTTTTTCTTGAAATAGAATCACAATAGTTAGTAAAAACTTGATAACAAGTGAAGAAAGTCTTAGCATCCTGGAGGACACTACTCAAGAAGTTGCCATGAATGCACCAAAATGTTAAGATGTTAACATTGGCACAATGTTAAGATCAATGTTATGAGGTATAGAGATAACTAAATAGATATTTAAAAGAAGTTTCAGAAGAAGAAATTGAAGGGGTATCAGAGTGTAGTAGGCTGGTGGAAGGCAACCATGTTGCACTGTTAGTATCCTTCCTATAAGCAGTTGATTATTTTTGTCTGGAAGAAATATAGGTGAAAAGGCTGGCCTCAGAGATACTCTCGTTTCATAACGAAATTCCCTGCTATGCTATTTAATGACCCTGCTCCACCTGATAAAAATTGGATCAGGAAGTAGTTACATCATTAAAGTACAAGTAAAATGTAAAATGTCAAGCATGTGGTCTACAAGATAAAAGAAGAAAAAAAAACAAAAAGGAAAAAAAAATGATGTTAACACTCTTTAGAATACAAAAGTTAGGCCGGGCATGGTGGCTCATGCCTGTAATTACAGCACTTTGGGAGGCAGAGGAGGGCGGATCACCTGAGATCAGAAGTTCGAGACCAGCCTGGCCAACATGGCAAAACCCCATCTCTACTAAAAATACAAAAATCAGCCGGGCATGGTGGCAAGTGCCTGTAGTCCCAGCTACTGGGGAGGCGGAGGCACAAGAATTGCTTGAACCCGAGAGGTTGAGGTTGCAGTGAGCCGGGATCCCGCCATTGCATTCCAGCCTGAGCTACAGAGTGAGACTATGGTTAAAAAAAAAAAAAAAAAGAAAGAAAGAAAGAAAGAAAAGAAAACAAAAGTCAGCAAAACAATTACTAACAATTAATGTAAACATTGTGACCAAAATTTTGCTGTTACATTTAAATATAAAATAAAACTATGTATCATTGTACTTCTGTGATGTGTAAATATCACAGAAATTAGAACATAAAACAGACAAATAAAATCTCAGAAAAATATGTCAGAACTAGAGAAATAAATAACCTATGCACTGGCTGACCCCTGAGAAGAATCATAAGAGAAAAATCAAATGATATCGAGGGAAAAAGAGTAATTACTTCGAGGCAGCACAAAGGATGCAATATGGAATACAAGATAACTAAAAAGTTTTAAAAAGTAAATTTAAAAATATGAAACAACATGAAATTCAGGAAAAATTTCATTAAAAAGTATTGAAATCACCAATCGAAAGGACTTACTTGGTCTTGGAAAAAAATCAACAGAATGATCAATATAGAAATATCATAATGAAGCAATTGATTTAAAATCTTATCAATAAATGCATTGTCAGTTAAACAAAATATCATTCTACCTTTCAATATAAAACAATAGGCTGGCCTAACATTTTTCCATCATTAGTAGTGAACTCTGTAAAGGATTTTTGCAATGCCTGCAAAGCTCCCAAGAAACGAAAGTATGCATCAGTAATCAGCAAACTGTCATTCAAATGTAAAAGTAACAAATCAATCTGTCAAGCATTTAAGAGCTCAGAGAAAGCTTTTCTCAAGAATCGTTCTTGAAGAAACTATTAGAAGATAAACTTCAAATAAGAAATGGTGAAATGACAGCAGAAGACTTTGCAGTGGTATTAACTAAATTGCCTCATGTTTTGTGGTAGGCAGAATAATAACGTGAGACTCCATGACCACACCCTTGAAAAATCCTGTGGCTTTTGGTGTAATGCAGGCCTGAAGCTTGCTTCTAACCATTAGAATGTGGCAAAGTTTAGGAACATTACTCCTCTGCTTCTGTTCTGTTGTATGGCTAAGGTGAAGGAAATTTGCAGATGTCATTAAGCCCTGTAATAAGTTGACCTTAGTGAAAGGAAGATGATTTTTGATGAGTCTGATCAAATCAGGTGAGCCCTTTCAGAGAGGTCTTAGGAGTCAGAGACAGAAGAAGTCAGATTCTTTCTTGCTGGCTTTAAAGAAGCAAGTCACTTCATCCAGCAGCAAGAAATAAATTTTACAGTGTGAAGCAAGACAAGACACCAAGCCTCAGCGGAAACTCTAATCCCTGCTTCTGCCTTCATTCACCGTATGTAAGACCCTGAGCAAAGGATTCAGCTAGGCCAAGCTGGGCCTCCTGACTCTTAGAAACTGTGAGATAGGAAATTGTTGTTATATTAAACTGTTAAACATGTGATACTTTGTTATGCAGCTAAGAAGAATATTACATGCATATAAGACAAAAACTTGGCAATTAAGATGATTAAAGAGACTATGTAGGTAATAAACTGAAAATATAAAGAAAATACAAATATAGTTTTTAAAGAGAAAGAGTGAGAATATGAATATGCTAATGCTTTCCTATTTTATAACCAAGGAGAACATTGTGCTGGTAAATTGAGCAATAGAAGTATAAGAATAGTTGAATTTATAAAACTATATACTAAGAAATATAATGTAATCAGATGAAGTCACATTGTTCAAGAGATTTAGGATAAAGTGTGACTATAGCAATTGTATCCTTGCTTATATTAGGGAATCTAACATACTTTCCAAATAAATAGAAATTTATGTATATAATACAAAGAAAATAAAAACCAAACTGTACTGTGAAATATTTTTAAGGCATGATAAAAGTATAAATAGTAAATATAGTGATAAAGTGAAGGCCACACATGTTTATCATTTTAATAAATCTAATGCACTAACTTATGTATTAAAAAAACAGGTTGCCCACTAAACAACAGGTAATACAAAAAGCATATCCCATACAGAAGAAAATGATAGAAGAGCATACTTAGAAAGTGTCTGTCAAAGACAGACAGGAACATTGATTTCAAAAACAAACAAAACTGAATTAAAGGCAAAGGTTATTGCTTGTGTCAGAGAGAAACAATTCAATGATAAATGTGAATAGCAAGAAATTGCAATGGATCTTATATAGGATGAGAGACAATAAAGAAATGTTATACTAAACTTATGGATATACTTATGTGACAATTCATAACTTTACTATTTCTAGTCTAAAAAAGAAAAAATTGAAAATTAATGGCTAAAATATTAAAAATGAAAAAAACTAAAAAAAAGCTAAAAATAGAGTGAGTTCAAAAATAACATAAGTTTAAAAATAGCCATTGAGAAAACAAAACACTGTGGAAAAGAGTACAAAAAGCTGATTTAATAAAAAAAGTGGTGAAATAGAACTATTTTTGGAAAAATCACAAAAAAAGTATCTAATTATACATTAAAAATGAAAATAGATTTGTACTTATAAAGTAGAACTCTTTTTCATTTTATTGAAAGTTGACAATTTATAAGTACACATATTTACAGTGTACAAAGTGATGTTATGATTTATGAGTACAATGAGGGATAATTAAAACAAGTTAATTAACTTATCCATCACCTCAAACACTTATCATTTTTTTGTAGGGAGAACATTTGAAATTTACTCACTGAGTAATTTAAAATTGTACAATATTATTATTAATTATATTCACCACACTGTGCAATTGAACTCCAAAAAAAAAAAAAAACAGACTAAACTTATTTCTTCTGTCTAACTGAGATTTTATACCCTTTGACCATTATTTCCCCATTACTCAAATTCCCCAGCCTCTGGCATCCACCATTCTACTCTCTGATTCTAGAAGTTCTGTTGTTTTAGATTTCATATATAAGTAAGAATATGCAACATTTGTTTTGCTGTGCCTGGTTTATTTTACTTACCATAATGTTCTCCATTTCCATTCATGTTGTCATAAATGAGAGAATTTCCTTCTTTTTAAAGGCTGAGTAGTATTCTGTTGTGTATATACATAATGTTTGCTTTATCCATTCATCAGTTGATGAATACTGAGGTTGATTCCATAACCTGCGTATTGTGAAGAGTGCTGCAATATACATGGAGGTGCAGACATCTCTTTGCAAAGCTGATTTCAACTCTTTTGGGTAAATACTCAGAGTGGGATTTCTGGATCATATGGTAATTCTGTTTTTAGAGTTTTTTTTTTTTTTTCCAAGGAATTCCATGCAGTATTCTGTAGTGGTTACAGATAGTAGCCATTCTGACATGTGTGAGATGTTATCTCATTGAGGCTTAATTTGCATTTCTGCCATGATTTATGATATTGAACAATTTTCTATGTATATATAAGACATTTTTATGTCTTCTTTTTTGGTATGTTTTCTTTTGTTTGTCCATCAATGTCCTTTGCCCATTCTTTTAATCAGGTTACTTTATTTATTTATTTATTTTGTATTTAATTGTTTCAGTTCCTTATATATTTTGAATGCTATATTAACCTCTTATAAAATGTATGGTTTGCAAATATAAACATACCTTGTTTCATTGCACATTGCTTTATTGTACTTTATAGCATGTTTTTTACAAATTGAAAGTCGATGGTAACTCTGAGTCTAACAGGTCTAAGTGGTGCCATTTTCTCAACATTGTGTACTCACTTCATGACTCTATGCCACATTTTGGCATTGCTTGCAATATTTGAAACATTTCCATCATTATTATATATGTTATCATAATTTGTGATCAATTATCTCTTATGTTACTATTTCAATTGTTTTGGGGAGCTGTGAACCACACCCATATAAGACAGCAAACTTCATTGATAAATGTTGTGTGTATTCTGACTGCTCAACTGATAAGCTGTTCTTTCATCTCTCTCTCTCTCTCTCTCTCTCTCTCACTCACTCTCTCTCTCTCTCTACCTCTCTCTCTCCCTCTCTCTCTCTTCCACACTGCCTTGGACCTCCCTATTCCCTGAGACACAAGAATGTTAAAATTATGCCAATTAATAAACTTGCAATGGCCTCTAATTGTTCAAGTGAAAGGAAGAGTTACACATCTTTCACTCACTTAATCCAAAAGCTAGAAATGATTAAGCTTAGTGAGGACGGCATGCTGAAATCTGAGATAAGCTAAAAGGTAGGCCTCTTGTGTTAAACAGTTAGCCAAGTTATGAATGCAAAGAAAAGTTCTCAGAGGCAATTAAAACTGCTACTTTAGTAAATACATGAATAATACGAAACCAAAACAGCATTACTGCTGATATGGAGTAAGTTTTAGTGGTATGGATAGAAGATTAAACCAGCTTCAATATTCCCATAAACCAAAGCTTAATCCAGAACAAGTTCTTAACTCTTGCTCAATGCTATGAAAAGTGAAAGAGTTGAAGCTGCAGAAGAAAAGCTGGAAACTGGCAGAAGTTGGTTCATGAAGTTTAAGCAAAGAAGCCATCTCAATAACTTAAAAGTGCAAGATGAAGCAACATGCGCTGATGTAGACCCTACACCAAGTTATCCAGAAAATCTAACTAAGAACATTGATAAAGTGGCTACAATAAAATACATATTTTCAGTGCAGATGAATAGCCTTATAGTAGATAAAAATGCCATCTAGGACTACCAGAGTTAGGAGAAATCAATGCCTGTCTTCAAAGCTTCGAAACACAGACTGACTCTCCTCTTAGGGGCTAATACAGCTGGTGACTTTGAGTGGAAGCCAATGCTTATTTGCCATTTCAAAAACTCTAGGGCCCTTAAAAATCTTGCTAAATCTATTCTGCTTGTGTTCTATAAATTGAACAATAAAATGTAGACAACAGCATATCTGTTTACAGAATGGTTTACTGAATAATTTAAGCCCACTGTTGAGACCTACTTCTCAGAGAAAAAAAAAAAAATTTCAAAATGTCACTGCCTGTTGACAATGCATCTGGTCACCCAAGAGGATCTGATAGAGGTGTATAAGAATATTAATGTTGCTTTCATGCCTGCTAACGAAACATCTATTTTGCAGCCATAGATTAATAAGTAATTTTGAATTTCAAGTCTTGTTATTTAAGAAATACATTTTGTAAGGCTAGAGCTGCCAAACAGTGATCCCTCTGATGGATCAGATCTAAGTACATTAAAAACCAAGGATTCATTCTAGATGCCATTAAGACCATTCATTATTCATGGGAAAAGGTCAAAATATTAACTTTAACAGGAATTTGGAAGAAGTTGATTTGAAACCTTGTGAATTACTTTCAGGGGTTCAAGACTTTACTGGGTGAAGTAACTGCAGATGCAGTAGAAACCACAAGAAGACTAGAATTAGAAGAGGAGCCTGAAGATGTGTCTGAATTGCTGCAATCTTATACTAAAGCTTGAATGCATGAGAAGTTGCTTCTTATGGATGAGCAAAGAAAGTGGTTTCCTGAGATGGATTCTCTACCTGGTGAAAATTCTGTGAACCTTGTTGAAATGACAACAAAAGATTTAGAATGTTACACAGACTTAGTTGATAAAGCAGCAGTCAGTTTGGAAAGGATTGACTGCCATATTGAAAGAAGTTCTACCGTGGGTAAAATGCTGTTAAACAGCATTGCATGCTATAGAGAAATCTTCCTGTGAAATGATAGATCTTCTGTCTATCAATGCTGCAAACTTCAACATTCTCTTTATTTTAAGAAATTGTCCCAGCTACTCATACTTTCACCACTCCCCACCCTGATCAGTTAGCAGCCATCAAAACTGAGGAAAGATCCTTCACCAGCAAAGAAATTATGACTCCCTAAAGGCGCGAATGATTGTTAGCATTTTTTAGCATAAAGTATTTAAATTAAGATGTGTATTTTTTTTAGATACATTGGTATTACACACTTAGTAGGCTACACCATGGTGTGAATACCAGCAAAAAGATTACAACTCACCGAAGGCTAAAATGATCCTATCATTTTTAGCAATAACTTTTTTTTGTTTAGTTTTGTTTTTGTCATGCAGGCAGGATTGCAATGGTCCAATCTCGGCTCACTGCAACCTCTCCTTCCCAGGTTCAAGCAATTCTAGTGTCTCAGCCTCCCAAGTAGCTGGAATGACAGGTATGGCACACCCAGCTAATTTCTGTATTTTTAGTAAAGACTGGGTTTCTCCATGTTTGCCAGGCTGGTCTCTAACTCTTGACCTCAAGCAATCCTCCTGCCTCAGCCTCCCAAAGTGCTGGGTTTACAGGCATGAACCATTGTGCCTGGCCCACAATAAAGTATTTTTAGTTAAGGTGTGTATATTATGTTTTTAGACATAATGCTATTGCACACTTAATAGACTACAGTATAGTTTAAACATAACTTTTAGGTATACCAGGAAACCCAAAAGTTTATGTGACTTGCTTTATTGCAATATTTACTGTATTGTGGTTATTTGGAGCTTGATTTATAATCTCTTTGAGGTATGCCTCCAATTTCTGTCACTCAATAGGTTGTCTCTTCACACTGTTGATTATTTCCTTTGCTGTGATGAAGCTTTTTGATTTGATGTAATCCTATTTGTCTATTTTTGCTTTTGTTGCCTGTGCTTTTGTGGCCAAATTAAGAAATTATTGTTCATACCAAAGTCAGGTAGTTTTCCCCATGTTTTCTTTTAGTAGTGTTACAGTTTCTGGTCTTATGTTTAAGTCTTTAAGTCATAATGAGTGGATTATTGTAAATCGTGTAAAACTTGAGCTTTAGCTCAAGTTTCATCCATTTGCATGTGGATATCCAGTTTTCCCAATGCTATTTATTAAAGAAATTATTGTTTTCCCATTGTTTATTCTTGGTAACTTTGTTGAAAGCCAATTTATTTACATGTGTGGGTTCATTTCTGGGCCCTCTATTCTATGTCCTTGTTCAAAGTATCTATTTTAATGCTAGTACTGTGCTGTTTAAATTAATATAGCTTTGTAATATACTTTAAAATCAGACAGTGTTAGGCCTTGAGCATTGTTTTCTTTTTTTTTTTTTTTTTTTTTTTGCTCATAATTGCCTGGACTATTCAGGTTTGAAATAGAACTTTAGAAAGAAATGATATATAAAAATTAAAGTTGAAACATTTATTTTATATTAATAAATATCTAGATATTTAATGGTATAACAGTGACTCAATAAAGTTTAAAATATGGCTTAAATATTAAAATTTATCTAATAATACTCTCTTTTGGCAAAAGGCTTCAAATGCAAGGGCTTTATAAAACTTCAAGAAAATATGATAACTTTCTTATTCTCAAAGTTTGCTAAAAGAGGAAAAGAAAATTAACCCAAAAATTCTTAGTATAAAGTTGATACAAATCTGGACAAGCATAGTATAATACATAAATAATAGAAAAACATAAAACTTACTAAACCAAGTATTTTGGTTAACATTGAAAGAACTGTCTCCTAATTGTATATGTTTACAATAATTTATAATCATTAAACAAAGATGCGGTGTGATCAGATTAAATCCAACCAACATAAAAAACTTATTTTCATTGATTGATTGGAAAGCTAAAATCATTTTCTACCATGTTTATATTTTGACATAAAGTACCTTCTACATCAATACATATTTCTACATAAACACATACACTTCAATATTTTCTTTCTCCCTCCCTCTTAAATTTTGGTCAGACCCTTCAGTCTACAAACTATGTGTTCTTTCTTGCAAAAATGAATAGTTCTAATTATTTAGGCCTTGAATAATAGTAAGAAATGTTAACTAGTTTTAAAATAATTTCCATAAATCTTAAAGTAATTATTTAGATTTTGACAATTTTTATTATTTCGTAACACGGTTTAAGTCAGAAACACTGTGGCATGTAGAATTTAATTTTTAGACACAAAGTTGGATTTTGTTAATATCAAATATATTGCATAGAGAAATGTTCTGAATTTTTCTAACTCTATATGTTCAAAATTTCAGATTTTTTTGTTTTATATAGAAAGTATACATGATGTCTTTAATGCTTCCATCAGATTCAAAGACAGTGCCTGTTGTAAGGAAATGGGCAATCTGTGTTGACACACTGCTGGTGCCATGTAAATGTCTTCATAAGGTATCACATTAATATTTCAAATGTTTCTATAGTCATAGTCATTATTTGTTATCCTTCAGAGGAATGGGATTTCGAATTGTGTCAGAGCAGCTGTTCGAAGAAGCCACTTGAGTAGTGAGGGCTATTACCAACAGTCTCAGCATGATGATTACATTACTGTGTGCTGAAATATGATTTTGAAAAATAAGAAGTACTCTATCTAGGCAGAGAGGAATGACTTCCTGTTTGTTTCTGAGTAACTCCGTTCTGCCACTTGTTAAATTGAGAGATAACAATATCTTATAATGATTATTGAAGCCTAGGTAATAAGCCTCATTAAAGCAAACTGTAAGGTAAGTGAAGTTTGATATATATTTATTAAGGTGCTGATAGAACTATTGTCTTTAAAGAATAAGTTAAGAGGTTCAAGTGAATAAATCATCAAACCTAGTTATTGCCAAAACTATCTTATTATCATTATTATTGATATTTATTTTATTTCATTATAATATTTATTTTATTTCAAGACTGAGTATAGTATGGGTGCTATTTACTGTATATTTTAATTGTATTCCAGGAGTTATGTGCAAATTTTTGTTTTGATTATTCAAATTTTATTTTAAATATACTAGAAAAATATAGGACATAAACTACCATAACAATGAATTATTTGATTTGTAAATTGCCACTTTAAGGAAAGCAATCACCTTTTAATATAATAATCTATATCTGGGTATTTAACGTTAGTAAGGCTATTATAAATCTATACTTTTTACATGCAACTTTCATCAACATGATTAAGCAAATAACTTTATGTGTATTAACGTTGGTATATGTATTGTTGTGGATTAATTTTTACAGTGCTTCAAACTATCTTAAAGTTTACATGCATTCTCTTGGTTATATTATTTTGTCTTATCTAAAGGAAGATTCAAAGTTTTTTTAGGCCCCAGAAGAGTTGGATTTGTAATAAAATACTGTTGTACTTAGGAGCATTCTCATTTGTCACCCTGAAATGCTATTACATTTTACTTCTTACTTTGAAGAAGGTAAAACAAAAAAAAAACTACATACTATACTGGAAATACTCATCCTTTCAGTGTCTTTATAAGTTCTTGATCCATAAGTTCATCATGGAGGCAAACTAAATCAATTTTTCAGGTTATAGTGGAGGGAATATGCTCACTAAAGTTATTTCGTGCAGAAAAATGGCTAATTCAGGGAACAAGGTCTTATAGCATTATTAGAAGGGCTGAGAAAGTAGAACCCAGGGAATGGCTCGTAGATGCTAAGGTCAAGCTATTACATTTTCCTCTCGGAGGTCAAGAAGTAGTTAGGGACTACTGATGACAAAGCCATCCCACAGCCTCAGAGCAGCCACGGGGTAAAAGATGAAATCTGGTTATTGCAAACTCAAGTTAGCTAAACTTTACTCATTATCCATCACAGCTGCAAGAAGAAGAAAGCCTCTGCTTTTCTTTCACTTTCTAAGTCTCTTCTGAGTGCATCTCATTGGAAAGAACTTAACCACATTCAAAACACTAGTAAAACACTAGTGTGGCAAATGTATTTACCAGGGTTGCAGATCCCATCACTTAAGGAGAGCACAGAAAGTGTGAGATGTCCATAAAAATGGAAAAAAAAATCAAGGAGTAATAAGAGGGATGAATTCACTCCAGTTGTAAGGTATTATGAAAATCAACTCTGAGTGACATTAGTTTGTGCTAATTCTTAAGGGGTAAATAATAATTTATCAGATGAAGCTTTTGGAAAAGTGATTGAAAGCAGAAGAGAATGAATATTGAGATACAGAGTTATGAACGAGCATGATATAGTAAGTAGTGAAGTATGGTTGGGTGCAAGTTGCATGATAGGTATTGGAGAATCCTCAGCAAGGCTATGAAGGGCATATCATGAATTAAAAAGGGATTTTAACTTTATCTTCGTAGTGATGGAAGGTATTAGAGAGAGTTTCATGATCAGACGTGTACTTTACCAAGGATGAGTGGAAGGGGACAGAAACAAAGGAAGAGAAATCCACTTCTCCAGAAACACTTCCTTACGTGGCAGAAATTATGACAACTTTTCCACAGACACAAAGAAGAGCTTTGTGAATTAATTTGTTCAACTATTTTTTGTTTAGGATCTACTCTGTTTAGACACTGAGGACATAGAAAGAAACCAGACAGGTTTCTACTCTCAGGGAGCTGAATCTGAAAATTGGCTAGTCTGAAAGTAACCGAAACTAAAATATCATGATTTCATGGAGTTCATGGTTTTCAGATACTCTTAAAATTATAGAGCTTTTTACAGATAGTCATTTTCTGTGAAAAATCTCATAACATTCATTAAAAAGAGAACTATGATTTTCAAAATCATTAAAATGTTTATCCAATTAAAGAACTTTTAATGCAATATAGCCAAGAATATTAAATTATTCATATACTCCTCAAGTCCAGATGATTAATGTAACAAAAAATGCCAAGAAAAAGAGTGATCATTTTTCTGTTTTAACTTTCCTCCTCTGATCTTTCTCTTTCTTTACCTACCTCTCAGTCTCACAGGCATGTGCATGACTAGCTTCTCAAAGGGCTGGCAGCTCTGGGTGGTGTGCTGAATCTCTTAAGGAAATGTCCTAATTCAATAGCTGGTTGATGATACCCTACATCATCTGAGGTCCAATAAGTCTGTGCTCCAGAGAAACTTGTAAGATCAATTGAGGTATTTTCTGTGACTCTATTTCAATTTAATGTTTTTTCTCTGTCCAATCTCAAGAAACTTCCCATTAAATTTTCTATACACAAATCTCCCTCTTAAAGTCGTCTTCCAGGAAACCTAGCCAATGACTCAAAAACTTACAGACATGTATACAGATATACCCACTTATTAAACACACAATACAATATACACATGCACACACGTTTGTTTTTGATGGCATTTCTCCTATGAGCATTTTTACTTATGCAGAGGATGTGTTTGAGAGTTTCGGATACTACTCCTTACTATAGGAATATGGCATAAACTTCTTGGCATAACCTATGTCTTCATGACTGATTACCCTCAGACAGTGCATTGCCTGGAAAATAGTGAGCACACAATAAGGACTGATATTGAATGATGGGTCAAATTGAAGCATAATATTTCCCTTACACTTTTGCGGGTCTTGTGACAGAGGTGCCTACTTTACTCAGCCTGCCACTCTCACCTCCTCGTGGGAAGGATCATGTGAGTGAATGAGGCAGGAACTGGAGAGCACAAGTGCTGGAAACAGCCTCCACATAGGCACTGGAAGAATCAAACTCCACTCACTCGGACCTGCTGCACTTCACCCCTCGTGGGAGGGAGCATGCAGGTGAGTGGGTGCAGGTGCCCAAGCAAGTGCTTTTGGGTGCTGGCAGGAGCAACCTCCATGCAGGCCCTGCAGAAGCAGCTAGGTGGGGGTGGCTGCCACCCACAAAGCCCCAGCGGGTGTGTTACAGGGCTCTTTTAGCTCTGCCATCTGTGGACAGCTTAAATGTTAACAGCTCAGTGGGCATATTCCTTTTCAGCTACGGCAGCTGCCCTCTACCAGCAAGGGTAAAGGACCAGTGTGATAGCCTTTTGTATCTTTACTTGTGGCTCCTGAGATGTTATCTAGCACGCAGAAAAAAATGAGGTTGTATGAATGAATTAGAGGTGGGGAATGAGGGGGATTTTATTGCTGATGAAAGTGGCTCTCAACAAGATGGGGAGCTGAAAAGGGAACGGGGGATAGGTAATCTTCTCCTGATGTCTGGCCATCTCCAGCTGGATTCTTCTCCAAAGTTATGCCATCAAGCTGTCCCTCTGAGGTCAAGCTGCTTGTCTCCCACATACAGCCATTGTCTCTGACATCCAGCTACTTCTTCTCTCTGCTGGCTGAGTCTGGGATCTTTATAGACACAGGATGGAGAGAAACAGGGGGCACGGGTAGTTCAGGAAAAGGTAACACTCTAGCTGGGAAACAGGGAGAGAAGTTCTCACTTTGGGTTGTGGGTTTCGGGCTTTTTGCCTTGAAGGTAGAGTTTTGTCAGAGACCGCCCTTTTCTGCCTAGAATTTCTATGCCCCTGTCCCAATCAAAATGAAGGAATGAAACATAAATTAGCCATCATTTTTGTTCTTGGCCCTACTGTATATTTATATAAGAGAGATTTGGAGTATACTGTGCAGTCCTATATGGATCCATAAGACACAAGTGACTACACAGACTTAAATGTGTATTAATGAGTATTTTTTAAAGGCCCATAGTATCTAAAGTGATCTGCAAAATCAGTGTAATCCCTATCAAAATTCCAAAGGAATTTTTCACACACACACACACACAATCCTAAAATTTGTATGAAAATGCAAAACCCCCAAAGAGCCAAAGCAATCTTGAGAGAAAAAAATTCTGGAGGCATAACCCTCCATGATATCAAACTATATCACAAAGCTGTAGTAACATCAGAACAGTTTGCAGTTGTCATATAAACAGACACAGACCAATGGAACAGAACAGAAAGCCCAGAAATAAACCTACACATATATGGTCAATTAATCTTTGACCATGGTGCCAAAAATAAACAATGAATAAAGGAAAATCTCTTCAATAAATGCACTGGAAAAAAATGAACATCCACATGAAAATAAATAAAATTGGACCCTTGTCTTATCCCATACATAAAAATTGACTTAAAATAGATGAAAGACTAAAATGTAAGATCTCAAACTGTCAAACTCTTAGAAGAAAGCAAAAGGCTCTTTGACATTGGTCTTGGCAATGCTTTGTTTGGGTGTGACATCAAAGCACAGTTAACAAAATAAAAAATAAACAAATGGAATTATATCAAATTAAAAAGCTTCTGCACACCAAAGGAAACTGCAAAATGAAAAGGTAATCAATGCAATGAAATAAAATATTTTCAAACTACATATCTAATTAATCTGGGTTAATACACAAAATATATAGGTACTCGCACTACTCAATAGCAAAACAAACAAAAACAAAAAAAAAACACATACACATGTATAACCTTATTAAAAATGGGTAGAGGACCTGAATTGAATATTTTCAAAGAAGACATATAAGTGGCCAAACAGTATATGAAAAGGTCCTCATCATCACTAATTATCAGAGAAATACAAATCAAATGAGTTATCACCTCAGACCTGTTAGAATGACTATTATCAAAAAGGCAAGCGATAGCAAGTGTTAGTGACAGTGTGGAGAAAAGGAAACCCTTGTACACTGCTGATGGAAATCTAAATTGATGTAGCTATTATGGGAAAGAGTATGGAGATTCCTCAAAAAATTAAGAAATAGAGCTACCACATGATCCAGCAATCTCACTTCTGAGTATACAAAGGTAGAGAAATCAGTGTGTCTAAGAGTTATCTGCACCCTCGTGTTCATTGAAGCACCATTCACAGTAGCCAAGATATGGAAACAACCTAAGTGTTTATGGACAAATGAATGAGTAAATAAATGGTGGTTTATACAATGGAAATTATTCCACCATTAAAAAGAAGGAGATCCTGCATTTTTACAACACAGGTGAAGCTGTAGGACATTATGCTAAGTGAAATAAGCTAGACACAGAAAGACAAATATTGCATGATCTCATATGTGATATTTTAATAAGTTGAACTCAGAAGACAGAAGAAAGTGGTGGTTGCCAAGGGCTGGAGGATAGGGGTGGGGGAACTGAAGAGGTGTTAATCAAATGGTTCAAACTTTCAGTTTTAAGTTGAACAAGTTCTGGGATCTAATGTACAGCATATTTAATGATAGATGTGTTTTTTAATTTGATTATGATTGTGTAATGATTATGATAATCATTACACAATGTATATGTATCTTATCATAACATTGTAAACCTCAAATATTAAAATAAATAAGAGAGTTGTAAAATTTTTAATTGGTTGTATTTATTAAATTTAAAATTAAAGACATTATTTTTTCAGTCTCACTAGCCACATTTCAAATGAACAACAGCGACATGTGGTTAGAAGCTAATATACTGGGCAGCTCAGATTATAGAACATCCCCACAGTTGCAGAAAATTCTATTCAATGGCACTTGTTTAGAGGTCAAATCCTGAGAGAATGCTTGTTCCTTTTAGACATAATTTATCTTTAATGGAATGTTGCAACATTTGAGTGACTGCTGAGATGCTAGAATCTCAAAGAATAAGATGCTCAGCAGAAATATGGATGGTGATGGTGTTAGGAATTTGTTGAACATCTAAAATTATAGTCATTTTAGGAGAAATGCAATCTGTGAACAATCCTGTAAAGCAAACATACAAACAAACAATTGACCAAAATAAACAAGTAGGCATTTGTAAAAGAAATCTAAATTTTGCTATAAACAGTCTTTCTTAAAAGCACGTCTTCTTAAAAATTGAATAAATATGGACACAAAAACTACAAGCACCCAAGTTCTAATATGATACTTCAATTAAGTTGCAATTACTTGGTAGAAGAGCACAGCTGTTCCACGTTTTCATCTCTGGGCCCACTGTGAGAAAGAGTATTGAACTGGTGCAATGATCCAACTATAAATGAGGCCACAAGTACTTCAGTATCATGTGTTTTTAAAAGGTATCTGTGCCTGGATATACGAGATACAGACAAATATTCTACATCCCAGGGTAGTAGCTCATATACATGTATACATATACATACAAATGTATACATATATAAACACATGTGGAACTTGGTGTACAGGCACGGACACACTAACAGAGTACTCATTAGTAAAAATATCCAGTTACTGGTCTGCTTGTGAAAGTAAAGTTGTCAAAGCACAAAAATACTCACCAAAGGACTGATCACTCAACAGTTCTCTCTCAAACATCTCTCCCCATTTCAAACAAAGTTGCATCTCTGCCAATTAACTTTACACCCCAACATTCTTCATCATTCAGTGTTTCGTTTTCCCTCCATATCTTAAATATTTTCTTTGTTTTGAATTTGTTCATATAAGATAATACAATGCAAATTAATTTCAAAGTGAAATTGCAAATATTTGAAATTTTAGGACACTATGCTGGGCAGAGGTATCAAAACCTCTGCAAAGCTGTTTCCAAGTGAGGATTTATCAAAAATAACAATTCATTTAAAATTACACATTGATAAGGACTCATTAGCTAATTACACGTTCATTAATTAATTTGTTCAGTTAACACATGGTGAACCAATGCTCACTGTTTCCCAAATGTTCTAGTTTCTAATAATAAAGCTGGAATCAAAAAAGCAAAACTCCCTATCCTCAATGGTTTTGATCTCTCCTTGGGAAGAGGCCTGCTCTCTGCCCTTCAGCTGAGACAGACATCCCTCAGCATGACAAGTGCTTGAGGAAATAAATATAAGAGACTTGAAACGATAATCCTACAGGAAATGTCCTTTAAAAATTCATAAATTTATTAAATTTATTGCAAAATAATGTTATATTATTATGCTACAAAGGAAGAATGTGAATTTAAAAAATGACCCATATAGCTACCAAAATATATTGCCAAGAAACTTTGGAAAATAAAATGGCAAAGAGTAAAACAAGTGATTTCATTATGAAGTTGTTTTACATGTTAAAGTACAGTTCAATTTTGATTTGAGTTTTGATAAAGTTATAAATATGCTTTTTAAAATTTAATATTTTCATGATAGCATTAAAAATAGCTTATAGTTGTATTTATGACCTATATTAGTCAATTAAAGATAAAAGTTAATTTCTTCCCATGTTAAATTTTCACTACCAATTTGTTTTCATTTTGAAGACAAACATCTCAAAAATCTGTTTTTTGGAGTGTTATGCACACAAAGTATCACAATAAAAATTTCACCTCTTATATAAACAAAACGTGTATTGTTATGGACAAATTTCTCCATCACTCTTGTCCTTAAACCTTATAGAGCCTTAAAATATACATATGATTTATTTGTCTATGTCTACTTTTCTCATCCATAAATAAAAGACATGTCTATGCCAAACATTATTTAAAATTCCAAGTTCCTCTTCTCTTTCACTAGTGCTTATTATCCAAAATCAGCAAGAATTTTAATCTTATGTGATTTCCTTTATTTCTGTTCTTTGCCAATTTCCATTTGCAAAACATAAATTGATAAAAATATGTTAGCTGCATGAATGATAAATACTTGGATGGTAGATGAATGATCATATAGGCATACATATATCCATATATGTATATTTATAAACAGCTATGTGTATATATGTATATGTATGAATAACTATTTGTGTATATGTGTGTGTGAAGACAGAAATAGAGGGTATAAAAATGTAGACATTTTTCTCTCTTTAATTTCAGCTTGATGCCAGTTATCAGTAATCTTTTTTGTTGAATCAAAGCATGAGTTTGAAAAAAATTATACTCCTCTATTTTCTCCTGTATTGAGCATAGTTTAACATAGGTTAGCATAGTAAAATAGTCCAAAGTAAAGTGAGAAATGGAAGAGAAAAAATGAAAGGACAAAAAGAATTGCAAATTAAAGTTGTTCCATTTTGTGATACATTTTCAGGTTATTTTTCATGTTTGCCACTAATTTTGTAATCTTTCTCATGATTTTATAAAGACTAAAGTCGACACCCAATGGAAGAGTACAAGGTATTTCTTTCAGTCTAGTGATATATTATTTTTGTTTTGCTGTTTTCTACCATCCTGTTTCACACTTCTCTTCTGGGGAGGGAAAGACATCTCTAATTTCCTCTCTAGAGATACTATTAATCTTAAAAGCACAACTGTTGTATTTATTACATGACTCAAGAAGGATCAGAAGGTTTTATCATCGGTAGTAAGAATTATGATTTTGTTTTTTCTTGACAGAGTCTTGCTCTGTTGCCCAGGCTGGAGTGCAGTGGCACGGTGTCTGCTCACTGCAACCTCTGCCTCCCCAGCTCAAGCAATTCTCCTGCCTCAGCCTCCCGAGTAGCTGGGATTACAGGCGTGTGCCACCATGCCTGGCTAATTTTTGTATTTTTAGTAGAGTCAGGGTTTCACCATGTTGGCAGAATTATGATTTTTTAGAAGAAAACATGACAAATTGATATTGAAACTGCAAATAATTAAGTAAGTTGGGAAAGCATGTATGAAGATCTTAATAAAAGAGGAAAGTTAAACCAAAAATCCTAGATAAAGAGAAAAAGAATGGAGAAATGATGGTGTTGCTATGTTAAGAGCAAGGAAAAACCATTGAATGTATTTCTGAGTAAAGTAACATTTTCAGCTTTAGGTTTGAACTTTGTGGAAATAGTTGGTATGCATCTTTAGTTTCTTATAATTCTAATTTGACAAAGTCTGACACATTTAGCTGAGTGACAGTTCATTTTCTTGTCTCTGTGTTGGTGAGAGTACCGATGATTTCTATAACATTGATCCTTCTTAGCACTGCGATCAAATTCCTTTCTCATGTGCTCATTTTGATTTACCAAGTTTTAATGAGAATCATAAGTTTTACTTTACTTAACCAACAATATGCACGTGATGGTAGCTGGAGAAATCAGAAATTGTTATTGAACTTAGTCAACTCACAAATCAAGATATAAAGTTAGAGTCCTTCTCTTCAATAAATATTGATTGTGTTGGTAAGATATTTTAGGTGCTACATTAAATCCTAGAGAAACAGATATAAAGGAAAGAGTGCATGCCTACAAGGAAATTACAGATTAATGATCGAGAAAGGCAAAAAATAAGAAATGTAATAAAACAATAGAAGAAGATCAATGCAGGGGCTAAAGGGGACTATGAGACAGACATAAAACACAGGTTATTGGTTAGTAAAAGCTTCCTAGAGGAAGTAGTTATTGAAGTCAACTTATACAGCTAACTAGGAATTATCTAAATGAAGAAGAAAGAAAATGGAGACATTAAAGTAAGAATGTTCATAAGAAAAAGATGTGACATATATTGAGAAGAGCAGGTAATTCCATATTAATAGATTATGAATGAAAAGAAGGACAAGATTCTTTTGTTGAGTAATTAGGACAAGCGATCTAACCAGAGAAGGCAAGCAATAGAATATGCCATTATTTTTTATTGTGGACCTTATCATAGGGCTGATGAGTATGAGAGCAACTGCTCTATTAGAAGAATGACTGGAAACTGCATAATTAAATTAATTAATTTTTACTTTCATGGTAATAGTCTGCTTTTCTTTATATGCAAACTATATCAATTCATCCATTTATAGACTTATTACAGCATTTTTTCAATAATTTTAAAATTGCATACTCCATGAAAAGGTCAGAATGGTAGCTGATAAGAACATTAGCTGTGTTTTTGTTATATACATACAATTCATTTCGTCTCTTATGTAGTTCAACACTGCTGTAAGCTCTAAGAATGTAAAACAGTACATTTTAACATAATTGAAGTTGAAATATATTCATAGAACTATTATATTTACGGCCAGTTTAAAATAAAATGATTATTAAAAACTTGTTAACAAAACGATGAGTAGAAACTAGCTTGATTTTTTTTCTGCAAAATAATGAAAAAGAAACCACCCACAGCAAACAATTCGTAACATATACATAAATAGAAATTTCTTCCAGCCAGATGGATTTCCCTTAGAAATCATGATACTTCCAGTTAATGTTATGGAAACAAGTTTTAAGTAAGTTTCTTTATGCTTTTGAATGCAAAAACTATTTTCCCATGATCTCACTGCTTTGGCTTTTGATGACCAATGCCCAAACCATTTTCTCCTCCACTATAGTAGCAGAATATTGACTTTCCAAGCTTCTCTACTTGATAAGGGCAGACCTCATTGCACAATTCTGAATAAACAGGTATGATAAGCAGAAACTTTCTTTTTACATGACATTTCTTCCTAGTTAAAAAAAAAATGAAAATCCTAATTGATCCCATACCTCTTCTTCTTCTTCTTCCTGGCTTCAACCTGAACATGATACAGCAACAGGTAGAAGGACAAAACTCTGATGAGTATGTATTTGATGTTATAAGAAACTGCAAAACTCTTTCCCAAAGAGATTGTATGAATCTGTATTCCCACTAGCAATGTGTGAAGGTTCCGGTGCTCACCATTCTTAAAAGCACTCGATGTTCTTACTGTTTTAAACATTTTCAATTTTTGCTATTCTGTTGGGTATTTGGTAGTAACTCATGGTTGTTTTAGCTTGTAATTTCCTAACAACTAATAATTTAGAGCATCTTTTCATGTACTAATTGGCTATTTGTCTTTCGTTTTTGTCCACTTTTTAATTAGGTTGTTCAATTTATTATTGAGCTACAAATATGTACTGTTTCGCAACAATTTATTACTGCATTGGTTTCTTTTCTATCACTTCACAAAATAAAAGTCAAGTCAATTTGTAATAATATATTATTATATTGAGCTATAAATATTTATTATTTTGCAGTGAACATTCTGATGAAAGTCTTTTTGTGAACACATATTTTTATTTCTCTTAGATAAATACATAGTTGGAATTGCTGGATCATAGAGTAGTTTCACGTTTAAATTTATATTAAAAAGAAACTGAACGATATTCCATAGTAGTGTCTAACAGAATTCTCCTTGAGTTTCTCATATTTATGTATTTCTTACCAGCAAAAACACTGACAGCCATTGTTTCAAACTCTCTTATTTGTACATATGTATGGTGAACAGTTCTGGAAGATAGATTCCCCTTCAGATTTGTTTACTATCCAATGTAAAAATCATGTCTTCCTCAGGGCCAGAGGTCAAACAGGCCCAGGGCCTGTTATACAAGCATGTAGTTCCTTAAGCCTGTGATCCCTTAACTGAGATGCAACTCACTGGGCCCATCTATATGGACTGCTCTGTGTTGCTTTCATAGGACTTAGGGGCAGGGGAAACTGATACAAACATAAAGCTTATGTTCCCTGCTATGCCATGAGTAATAATCTTATTTATATTTTAACCAGGAGTCTTATGTTTTCTGCTAGTATCCAGGAAACAGTAAGAGGATAAAATATAACTTGCACATTATGGTAAAATCTCAGACTATTCAGTTTATGACAAGTGACCATACTACCTTACACTTCCTCCAACAATGTTTAACAGTATTGATTACTCCATATTCCTCCCCAAATCTGATGTTTAACTTAGCTCTTGACAATATTTAGGCTAGATAAAAAAATTTAAATTGATATTATTTTTTCATTAAGACCTTAAAAACTTTGCTCTCTTTTCTTCTAATTCCCATGGTTTTGACAAGAAAATCAGTCATTTTATCATTCTCCTGTATGCAAGTCACCTTTGATATTTATTTATTAATAGTTTAAAATAAGCCTTAAACAAGTTAAATTTAACAGAGGTTAATTGAGTAGGGGAAAAAGACAGGTTCATAGACCAAGTAGTACTCAGTATCAAAAATGATACAGAGAGCTCCTTCCCCTAAGTGTGCAGGCTATGTTTATAGCCACAGAAATAGTAATGATATTCAGAAATAATCTTATTGGTTGCTGTTTAGTGTTTGTCTTATTTGGACATCTTTTGACAGACTTCAGTAATTGGCTTGAGGTTCACTTGTTATAATTGGCTGGGCCTTGGCTACTTGTTTCACGAGTATACTCTTAGGTAAGATTACAAGTTGTTTACACATTAAGTTAGGTTACAGTTCACTATGTATGGAGGTGTATGGAGGCAGCTTTAGGTCAAATTTAATTCAAGTTAACAATAATTTCCAGCAACTAAATTATCAGGTGTCATACAATTTTATACATTTTTCCTGCTTGGGTTTTTTAAAGATTCCTTACATTTTTATCAAAATTGAAAAAAAAATTGTACATATTTTTAAAATATGTTTCAAACTCAAACTTTCTTGAACTTGAATTTCGTGTAGGATGACTATTTTTATTGCCCCACAGGTCACTGAATCTCCATTTTTCCTCTGCAGGTTTTTTCTCTTTGTGTGTCTGTTTAGTTAGTTCCTGTTCCATGTCTTCATGTTCAATAATCTATGTTTTTGTACTAGGTTTAATCTGTTGTAAAAGTTATTCAATAACTTTTGAACTTCAGATTCTGCTTAATGTTTTTTCTTGATTCTATTAAATATTTTTTGTTCATCTTCACAGACTGTGGTTTAAGTACTTGAATGTGTTGACAATATTTATAATAGGTGCATTAGTCCATTTCACACTGCTGAAAAGAAATACCTGAGACTGAGTAATTTTTAAGGAAAAGATGTTTAATTGGCTCATGGTTCCACAGGCTGTCCAAGAGGCATAGCAGTATCAGCTTCTGGGGAGGAATCAGGGAACTTACAATCATGGCAAAGAGCAAAGCAGAAGCAGGCGATTTCACATGATGGGAGCTGGAGGAAGAGGGAGAGGGGTGAATTGCTACACACCTTTAAATAACCAGATCTTATGAGAACTCTATCAGGAGAACAGCACCAAAGGGATGTTGCTAAACATTTATGAAGGACCCATTCCCATAATTCAATCACCTCCCACCAGGCTTTACCTTCAACACTTAGGATTACAATTTGATATGAGATATGTGTAGAGACAGAGATTTAAATCATATCAATAGATGTTAAAACTTTGTCTGCAATCCATCATCTCTAACATTTCTGAGTCTGTTCCTAATGAATGATTTTTCTCGATTGTCAGTCACATATTCCAATTTCTGCACAACTTTATTGGTTTTTAAAGCTACAAACAGTGTAAATATTACATTATTAAGTGTAAGTGGATTTTATTTTACCGTGTCTTTGTTTACAGATTGTTAATATTTGTCTTATCAAGCATTTTAGTTATTTACAAATTAATTTCATCTTGTTAAAGCTTATCCGTAAGCTTTGGTACTATGTGTCTAACATTATTTTAGGCTTTTATTCTAGGATTGTGTTAACCCTACTCTTGAAATATGCCCTTACTGATTTCTGAAATCTCAGGTGTTCAGTGAGGACTTTTCCACTTCTGTGTGAGCTCTGGGAAATGTTCATCTTATAGTTTCCCTGACACTATTTCTCTGCACTCATGTTATTTCACTCTATGCATGGAATCCCTTTGTATTTCATCAACAGATTCGAAGATACTCTTATGCAGATTTCTGGAGCTCTTTTTCTATGTAGTTCCCTCTTCTGTACTCTTCTACTGCTGTCCACAATGTCTAGCCACTAGCCTTCCTAAATTCTCATCTCTGGCTCATCAACTTAGCAAGATTACTGTGTATTGAGTGGGTTTCCTAATTGCGTTATCATCTGGGAAACTACCTAAGACATGAGCTGGGGAGTTGCAGAACCCTCATAATTTGTTTTCTTTCCCTTAGAATAGTAGTCCTCTGTTGTCTGTGGTTCAATGTTTGACAATAATTTGTTTTATATTTTGTCCAATTTTCTAGTAGCTTATGACAGGGGGCAATTCTAGTACTAGGTATTCAAGAGAAACAAAGGTCTCTGATACTTGCATTTGAAGTAGAAATAAAAATTACAAATGAAAAAACAACAGCAGCCACATACACACACAAAGCTTTAATCTAGACAGTTTAAAATATTGACCCTTTTTCACAACAAAATAAAAAATAACTCTAAAATCCAAATGTTACACATTTCTGTCATTGTTTGTATATGAACTTATGATTTGAAAAAATTGATTTATGATATTTTTTAAATTTTAATGTGAAGTCGTAGAATGTAGGTTAATATTCATTGAATGGATGCATAGTAATTAACAAATGAATACATGAATGAGTAATATATGGCTAGTAGAATATAAGAATATAATCCATGTGGCTGTTAAAAATAACTTTGGAATACACAAAAATAGTAATTTACACTCTTTCCCTCACAATCCCAGGAAACAATTAACTATTGAATTTCTTAGGCTATGTTACGTAATATTGTTTTAGTCAAAAACATTGTTTCATAATTAAGTATAAATTAAGTTAACTGAGGTATATTACTTAAATTATTCAAATGAGTACATTGCTTGGACATAGAAATAGGCAGTGCACTTACACTAATCATATCTAATAGAACCTCACACCTTCCACATATAAAAGACAGTTGGAGTGACAGCTGTGATAGTTGTGAGATGAGAAATACAAAACTAAGGACAAGGTAAAATCTTCTCAAGTGTATGGACCTACTCAGAATAGATAAGGTACTATTTCCCATTTGTATTGTCCTATTGAAATGTGGTAATCTTTTATAACTAATCCATGAACAATTCTGACTCATATTACCACAAGTTAATCTTCAATGGACACTGGAAAACACTCACATGAAAATGTCATACACCTCGACAAAACAATTTTCAAGCTGCATAGATGATCCTTCCTACAATGTTAAAGGGGAAAGCTGAAAGAAAGAAAAAAAAAACTTATTTTTCAATCTAAGTCTTGCTTCTTTATTTTAAAAAAGCACTTCACTTTCTTTCTTAGCACATTCTTGTTTTTAAATAATTACATTCTAAAAATATTCAAAAACACACATTTTTTATTTCCTGGAAACTTTCGAAACATGGTGCTTTTGATACTTGTTATAGTTCTTTGTCTTTATGGAGATTTATGAAAACCTGAATACCCAGAATAGTTATTCAGAATTCTTATCACAAAAGAGATGCTTCCATGAGGTTTCAAAGCATTTTTCCCTGAAATGAATTTGGTGTGACCATCATTTTATCTAGTCTCTTCATAAAACAATCTGCAAATACAAACCTCCTTGTGGGTAATAATACAGCCATATTTGCAAAGGCTGTAATCACAAAATTTAATATAAATAAGAAATGCAACTAAATGATGCTCCAACCATACTCTACTGCCCCACTGTATATCACAATCACTCCATAAATGCAGATATTTTTCCATTTCTTTCATAAGGGATTTCTCATAGTGAAACAATTTTCTAGATACCCTTCCTCTTGGCAGCTTTCTTTAATATAAACGTTACTTCGAGTGTAACTATACCTTAAATCTTGACATCATAGATGCCATTAGAAACCAGGAACCAAATATTTCTGTATCCTGGGAGTCATAAAACTGAAAGGATATTTCTGGTATGTAACTTGTTTTTACCTTTCTCTTAAGTACTATATTTTCTCCATAATTAACCCAGCAAGACTCAGAGCTCAGTGGCATATTTAAACATTAGTTTATTAGTGCTTCGTTGGCTAGTAACAGCAAATTACATGACATTTCTAAAGGGAGATGAAGAAAGAAATATAATCTAAGCTCCTGGGTTTATAGGGCATCTATCAAAGTCATTTTTCTGTTTTATTCTTTCCCTAAATCTCAGAGTTACAGGTATTTTTATATCACAAATAACTTAAACTTAACTTTTATATCTTGGTGTTTCAGGCAAGTTTTCATAAGCAGCACTTATTTTCTTGCTAGATTTTATTTTTTAAATTAAGATCTCTAAAGTACCTGAAACTCTTAGTGGACTGCCTTTACTTCACCATTCTTCAAACGAGATGTGACAAATAGATTTCCTGAATCCATTTATGGCTTTCTTTCCTGTAAAACATTAAAAATCAGTCAAATATATTCAGAAAGCACTACTTAAAACAAAAATCCAAACAAGAAAAAAAACTGATATCGTTGGTTGACTGGGCCAATGAATATCTCAAAGAAGGTATTAATTACCTTATCTGATTAAACATACACAATGTTTTCTTTTTTTGTCAGATGTATCTATTAACTTACTCATATTTTTGGACGTATGTATAATTATTTTTTAGGATAGTTTCAAGTCGCTTCTGAATTCAGAATGTTTCTCCCAAAATAGTTACTTTTCTTGGATTTCTCAATAACAAGGATAACATGTAAGTCTTTAAATATTTTAAATTTTTTAATCATTCAAAATGTCTTTCACAACACTGCACATAAAATATTTCCTTTCATCATTTTAACCTTTTATTTGTAACTCACTATTACATAGCTGTTTCTTTAAATGTGTTATAACTTTTTACCACCCACAGGCTAAAGATCAGCCATGTACCATGACATAGGTAGCTCTTCATAATTTTGATACCTTCTCAATCACCAGATCCAAATCCTGTTATGTCTTCCAAACCTGATTCAGAATTCTTCAGCCATATAATATTGTCACATCTTTTGTGTTTGTGAGTACATGCCTTCAAATGCATGTAATCCCTTCTGTCCTTTCAACTACTGGTATTTGTCAGTTGTGCCATCCTACTCACCTGTATTAGTTTGCTAGGGTGACCTTGACAAAATACCACAGATTGAATGGTTTAAACAACAGAAATTATCTTCTCACAGTGCTGGAAACTGGAATTTCAAGATCAAGGTTTCGACAGGTTAGTTTTCTCCTGAGGCCTCTGCCTTTGGCTTGCAGACGGCTGCCTTGTCGCTATGTCCTCGTGTGGCTTTTTTTTCGAGTGCATGTATACCTGATGTATTTTTTGTGTGTCTTAATTTCCTCTTCTAATAAAGACATCAACCATACTAGATTAGGGTCAACCTTTCTGACCTCATTTAACTTTAACTACCCCATTAAACTGCCTATCTCCAAGTAGGGTCACATTTTGGGTTGCTGAGGGTAAGGGCCTCAACATATATATTTTGGAATGATACAATTCTGGGCATGACACCATCCCATTGTAATATACATTTTGATTTTTCTAAATTAGAAATTGCATTATTCCAGAAAACCACTATGTTCCAAAGACATTAGTCACCCCCACAAAAAACGCAATACATGTATTTTTCTAAATGATATTTTGTTATTAAAAGAATCAAACAGATCCTATTAGAATACTTTTAAAATAATTATCTAATAAAAATAAATCAAATATATTTGAAAAGTAATTTGAATTCCTAAATTATTTTGTTAGTGAACGGACTAAAGTAAGCAAAGCAAATCTTTCTTTACCTGCCAGATAAAGTGAAGAGATGAGAAGTATGACAATCCATCAGAACATACACAGGTCATTTTGAGTAGACTCTAGCAAGCTTTTTGAGAACATCTAGAATATGACAACACATGCCTAGAACTCTGAAAAAAATACTTTGGTCTTCAACTATAAAGGTCTTGAAAATGATCCCAGTGGGCCAGGGTCTCAGCTTTGGTCTTTACTCTTTTAAAAATATTTCTTTCCAACTGTAAATTCTCTAATAATCAATTTATTATAGCACCGTATTCTGAGTTCAAATAAATAAATGCTTAATTCAATAACTGGGTTCATGATATCCTAACTTTTATTGTTATATGTGCATTACTTGCTTTCAAAAACTCACTGACACTAGAATCTAATTATGACTTTAATTATTCTCTAACATTGCTAGAATGCCTATGATTAGGATAAATCTTTCACCAGTACTTTGCAAGAACACCATAGGAATATCTGAATTGAATCAATTCATGGAGTAACAATAAAAAATAAGCAAAAATAATGTTTCTTAATTGCTAATAGTTTTAGGTATAGTCAGGCAGCTGTTTTAGTTACAGTTTTAGTTGTTTGGTTATAGTCAGACATTTCTGTGTTACCAACTTCTACATTGTAGATTCATTAATAACTACAGAAAAATATCCATCTCTGTTAATAATAGATGTATTCCTTCTTCTCTAAAGGATTAGATGAAACTGGGACCAGGCATGGAGGCTCATGCCTGTAATCCCAGCACTTTGGGAGGCCAAGACAGGTGAATCACTTGAGGCCAGGAGCTCAAGACCATCCTGGCCAACATGGTGAAACCCCGTCTCCACTAAAAACACAAGAAATTAGCTGGGTGTGGTGGTGCACGCCTGTAATCCTAGCTATTCAGGAGGCTGAGGCATGAGAAGCTCTTGAACCTGGGAGGCAGAGGTTGCAGTGACCCGAGATTGTCACTGCACTCCAGCATGGGTGACAGAGTAAGACTGTCTCAAAAGTAAAAGAAAAAAATAATTAGATGAAGCTATCTTGTAGGAAAGAAAAGATAAGACTTTACAGAGACTTTTACAGAGAGGTCTTTATTAAAAGGGTTACCTAGTGAAGGTATTAGTGATCTCAAGTTTCTCACTGGTGTGCATATTTATCTAGAATAACCACCTCACATTCTCATGGTAGAGTTCAAAGTGTTGGGCTAATTGAGAAGAAATACAAAAAAAAAAAAAAAAAAGAAAAAAAGTTCTCACTCACTGACATTTTCCTGAAGAATTCTTGAGCATTAGATAGGTGGAAAATGTATCAAATACATCAGCAAAACTATATAAATGCTACAATTACTCTCTTTTTTTCTTTCGAAAGTTGGCTAAGGCCAACTATCTCAAGGGAATGAAGAGGAGCTCTTCAGTCTTAACTACACATGTAAGGTACCTTCCTTCATTCACACTCGAATCTATCACTGCTTAATTCTTCAGACACCTTTTTGCTCAAACATCACCTTATTTTCCTCTGATTACTACCTAGATATTCAATCCAATCCTTCCCCTTATACTAAGTACAAACAATGTTTTTCCTTCATATCCATTCCTACGCACATTGCTCAATACATCCCTGATAACACTTGTAGCCAATGGTTCACTGACTTAAGCTATCATTTGTCCCATTCATCAAACTGAAGCTGTTCAAATCCCAGGACCTCTAGGGGATGTTCATTTAAGTATGGTAACCATTTACTACTGCTAGTACTATGATGAATTGAAAGTGATGAAAAAACTCTACTATAGGGTGTTTTTATATTTAATTTTTTCAGACTCATTTTTGAACCCACAGAACATGTAAAATTTCTTTGTCAACATCTGAATTTTTAATGAGTAACATCTATCCTTTTTAATTGACATAGAACTCTGTTGGTTATACCCATGTATTTTTAAATAGCCATGATTAAATATAATTAATTAGATAATCTTCTCTTATGGAATATCTTGGATAAGTTCATTTTTATTGATCAACTTTCAACTCAATACATTTCTTTCTAAAGTTATACTCTTTATGCTTATCATCATCAGTAATCAGCTGTATTAGTCCATCTTCATGCTGCTCATAAATATATATACAAGACTGGGTAAAATTTATAAAGGAAAGAAGTTTAACTACTTCACAGTTCAGCATGACTGGGAGGTCTCAGGAAAAGTACTCTCATGGTGGAAGGGGAAGCAAACACATACTTCTTCACATGGTGGCAGCAAGGAGAAGTGCTTAGAAAAGGGGGGAAAGCCCCTTATAAAACCATCAGATCTTGTCAGAACTCACTCACTATCACAAGAACAGCAGCATGGGAGTAACTGCTCCTATGATTCAATGACCTTCACCAGGTCCCTCCTACCACACGTGGGAATTATGGGAACTACAATTCAAGATGATATTTAGATGGGGACACAACCAAACCTTATCATTCTGCCCCAGGCCCCATCCCAAATCTCATGTCCTCACATTTCAAAACACAATCATGCCTTCCCAACAGTCCCCCAGAATCCTAACTCATTCCAGCATTAATCCAAAAGTCCAAGTCCAAGGTCTCATCTGAGACAAGGCAAGTCCCTTCTGCCTATGAGCCTGCAAAATCAAAAGCAAATTAGTTACTTACTAAATACAATGGGAGTATAAGCATTAAGTAAATACACCCATTCCAAATTGGAGAAATTGGCCACAATGAAGGGGCTACAGGCCCAATGCAAATCTGAAATCTAATGGGGCAGTTATTAAAGTTCCAATATGATCTCCTTTGACTGCATGTCTCATATCCAGGCCTTGCTGATGCAAGAGGTAGGTTCCCATGGCCTCTGGCAGCTCTGCCCCTGTGGCTTTCCAGGGTACAGCACCCCTCCTGGCTGTTTTCACAGGCTGTCATTGAGTGCCTGTGGCTTTTCCAGGTGCAGGGTACAAGCTGTTGGTGTATGTACTATTCTGGGATCTGGAGGATAGTGGCTCTCTTCTCACAACTTCACTAGACAGTTCCCCAGTGGGGACTCTGTGTGGGGACTCCAACCACACATTTCCCCTTCACACTGCCCTAGCAGAAGTTCTCCATGAGCCCTCTGCCCCTGCAACAGACTTCTGCCTGGGCATCTAGGCATTTCTGTATATCCTTTGAAAACTTGGTGGGGGTTCCTAAACCTCAGTTCTTGACTGCTGCACATCCACTGGCCCAATACCATGTGAAAGCTGCCAAGGCTTGGAGCTTGCACCCATTGGAGCAACAGCCTGAGTTGTACATTGGCTCCTTTTAGCCATGGCTGCAGCTGAAGCAGCTAGGACACAAGGCACCATGTCATGAGGCTGCATAGAGCTGGGGGACCCTGGGCCTGGCCCACAAAACCATTTTTTCCTACTAGGCCTCCAAGTCTGTGATTGATGGGGCTGTCGTGAGGGTGTCTTACATGCCTTGAAGGCTTTTTCCCTATTGTCTTGTTGATTAACATTTGGCTCCTTGTGACTTATGCAAATTTCTGCAGTCAGCTTGAATTTATCCCCAGAAAATGGGATTTTGTTTTCTATTATATAATCAGGCTTCAAATTTTCCAAACTTTAATGCTCTGCTTCCTCTTGAATGCTTTGCTGCTTAGAAATTTCTTCTACCAGATACACTAAATCATCTTCCTCAAGTTCTAAGTTCCTCAAGCTCTATGGCAGAGGCAAAATGCCACCAATCTCTTTGCATAGCAAGAATGACTTTTACTCCAGTTCCCAACAAGTTACTCCTGTCCATCTGAGACCACCTCAGCCTGGACTTTAATGTCCATATCATTATCAGCATTTCAGTCAAAAAGCCATTCAACAAGTCTCTAGGAAGTTCCAAACTTTTCCACATCTTCCTGTCTTCTGAACCCTCCAAGTCTATAGGAAGTTCCAAACATTACCACATTTTCTTGTCTTCTTCTGAGCCTCCAGATGGTTTCAACCTCTGCCTGTTACCCAGTTCCAAAGTTGCTTCCACATTTTCAGGTATCTTTATGGCAGTGCTCCACTACTTGGTACCAATTTACTGTATTAGTTCATTCTCATGCTGCTAATAAAGACATACCCAAGACTGGGTAATTTATAAAGGAAAGAGGTTTAACGGACTCACAGTTTAGTGTGGCAGGGAACGCTTCTGGAAACATAATATCATGGCAGAAGGAAAAACAAACATGTCCTTCACATGGCAGCAGAAAGAAGAAGTGCTGACCAAAAGGGGGTAATATGGTTTGGCTGTGTCCTCACCCAAATCTCATCTTGAATTGTAGATCCCATAATTTCCATGTGTTGTGGGATGAACCCAGCAGGAGATAATTGAATCATAAGTGTGGGCAATTTCCCCCATACTGTTCTCATGGTAGAGAATAAGTCTCACAAGATCTGATGGCTTTATAAGGGGAAACCCTTTTCACTTGGTTCTCATTCCCTCTTGCCTGCCACCATATAAGATGTGCCTTTCGCCTTCCACCATGATTGTGAGGCCTCCCCAGCCATGTGGAACTGTGAGTCCATTAAGCCTCTTCTCTTTTATAAATTACAAATTCTTTATTAATTGCCCCTCTGATTCAATCACCTCCCACTGGGTCCCTCCCAGGACATGTGGGGATTATGGGAACTACAATTCAAGATGAGATTGTGGTGGGGTCACAGCCAAACCATATCATCAGCCCATGCTAATAATATTTTTTTATTCTTTACTTTATTCAGTTTTACCACCTCTTCAACCAAAATATTTAGTGGGGTAGGTTGCAGTGATGCTTGCTGGCATTGTAGTAAATATGAGTTATATTGCTAACATTTCATTATCAACCTATTCTCTAATATATCCCTAGAGCAGAGGAATTATTTATCTTCACCAGATTCCTTTCTTAACAACATTTGTAACATGGTTTTGCAAAGATATATAAAAATGTTTTTTTCTCTATGGTATCTCCTACATACCTGATGCAACTAGTAGTAACTTAGCAGTAATACAAAGAAAGGAGAACATGGTTTGAATAATTACTTTTTATTAAAATTAATATCATATAGATCTGATTATACAGTAAAATTAAATTCTATTTATTTTTTTTAGTTTTTTCTATCATTGGCTATTTTATTAATTTTTATTTTAGATTTTTTATTTGAAATTGAGACAAATATGCCATTTTGTTGATAATAAAAACAAATTGTTCATTGCCTGAATAGTTTAATGTAAATTTGAACATTATTTAGGAATTTAAAATCTCCTTATATATTTTAGAATGGAGAGTTTCCACTAACAAGAGGCATAGGGGTATGACAGTTGGAAAGACTAAAATTTAGTATAGATAATTCTATGTGCCTTAATATAGTTTCTTTAAAAACAAAGGATTTGGGAGACTATTTTAAACTTTAACATAATTAAAACTGTTAATTTGTATTCTTGTGTCTTAACAACTAGAAAATCTGTAGGTGTGTTCATTCCTACCCACAACACATCACGAAAAACAAAACCTATGTGAGGTTAAAAATGAATTCTAACAAATCAACACTGAATTCCCACTGCTGAAAATGTCAACTATGTAATAATAAAACAAACAGCAAAAAAAGCTACATTTATTAAAAATGAGTTACTTAGAAAATTTTTCACATGCCTTGCTGTTTCGTCACCAGTGAATCATTCTTGTTCACTATTTCTAGAGTGAATACAAGAAAAGATTGAGATAAAAAGATGCCTATCTTTGAAAAAATTGTATTTTTCTCTTTCTAAAAATAAAAACATCATTTCAAATGTAGATTTTTAAAGTAAACATGGAAATTAAACTAGAATATAAGGCTAATTAGTCTCTTAGAAAATACATCTTATAGTTGTCAACATAAGACAATTTTGTGAATTTTTTTTAAACATAGTGACTATGATGGAAGCAATTTCAAAATATCTTGAATCTGGATAAAATAGTTTGCTTTTGAAAATACTTTCAAATACATACACTTGTGTAGTTGTTATAATAACTGTATGAATGACTGAACAACTTCTTTCTCAAAACCATATTTAAACTTAGAACAGAACACAATCCTGGTGTCAATCCTATGTTCACATAACTCTTTTTGTCAGACAACTAAGCCAAAAATCTCTGACTAAAAGAAAATGAAGGCTGGGTGCAGTGGCTCACACCTGTAATCCCAGCACTTTGGGAGGTCCAGGTGGACAGATCATGAGGTCAGGAGATTGAGACCATCCTGGCTAACATGGTGAAACCCTGTCTCTACTAAAAATACAAAAATTAGCCAGGCGTGGTGGCGGGTGCCTGTAGTCCCAGCTACTCAGGAGGCTGAGGCAGGAGAATGGCCTGAACCCGGGAGGCGGAGCTTGCAGTGAGCCGAGATCATGCCACTGCACTCCAGCCTGGGTGACAGAGCAAGACTCCATCTTGAAAAAAAAAAAAAATGAAGACAGGATTACCAATTCACAGCTAAAAATTAAGAAGTTTTGGGGGAAGTAGTGATATTGGTGGATTTCTCCAGCTATTAACTCTCCCACTTAGTTATTTCAAGGATTACTTCAAGCTTATGCACAGACAGAAATAAAAATGTTAACAATTGATTAATTGGGTAGGTTAAACTAGATATGCTTTATAAGAAAAAAAAATTTGACTTCAGTTTTCAAAAGTGTAGAAAAAGATTAACTAAGAAAAATATTACCATTAAAATATTTTCTGAATGATTTACATTTTAATAGAGTGATGATACAAAAAGAGATACTGAATTCTTTTTGTCATTCAAACTTTGTAATTATAGGTGTGTTTTCAGTTAAAAAAATAAAGAAAAGTTTCAGTTCTGGTAGTTTTTTGATTCCTTTAAATACACTTTCAGATGGTGGTTTTTAGAATGATGTGCATGAATCTTAACATAGTCTACTGATTATCTGCCAAATAAATTGCGGCTAGCCTATGATTATTGTTTAGGACAAAGAATCATCTCTTTTACCTATAATGTAGTTGCTTAAGTCCCATTTGTTGTCCCACTATTGCTGAGCTATTGTCACATTAACCATTTTAACTGTACCTGAAAAATCTGTCATGATGCCATTCTCTCTTACTCCAGCTTCTCTATTTCTTTCTTCTTCTTGTTAACCTCTCAAAAGTTGATTGGGTAAGGAAAACCATTCTTGGTCATTGCTGGAGGAGGGCAGCCAAGATGGCTGAATAGGAACAGCTCCAGTCTACAGCTCCCAGCGTGAGCGATGCAGAAGACGGGTGATTTCTGCATTTCCATTTGAGGTACCGGGTTCATCTCACTAGGGAGTGCCAGACAGTGGGTGCAGGACAGTGGGTGCAGTGCACCATGCACGAGCCGAAGCAGGGCGAGGCATTGCCTCACTCGGGAAGCGCAAGGGGTCAGGGAGTTCCCTTTCCTAGTCAAAGAAAGGGGTGACAGACGGCATCTGGAAAATCGGTTCACTCCTACCTTAATACTGCGCTTTTCTGACAGGCTTAAAAAACGGTGCACCAGGAGATTATATCCCGCACATGGCTTGGAGGGTCCTATGCCCACGGAGTCTCACTGATTGCTAGCACAGCAGTCTGAGATCAAACTGCAAGGCAGCAGCAAGGCTGGGGGAGGGGTGCCCGCCATTGCCCAGGCTTGCTTGGGTAAACAAAGCAGCTGGGAAGCTCCAACTGGGTGGAGCCCACCACAGCACAAGGAGGCCTGCCTGCCTCTTTAGGCTCCACCTCTGGGGGCAGGGCACAGACAAACAAAAAGACAGCAGTAACCTCTGCAGACTTAAATGTCCCTGTCTGACAGCTTTGAAGAAAGCAGTGGTTCTCCCAGCACGCAGCTGGAGATCTGAGAACAGGCAGACTGCCTCCTCAAGTGGGTCCCTGACCCCTGACTCCCGACCAGCCTAACCGGGAGGCACCCCCAACTATGGGCAGACTGACACCTCACACGGCCAGGTACTCTTCTGAGACAAAACTTCCAGAGGAACGATCAGACAGCAGCATTCGCGGTTCAAGAAAATCCGCATTCTGCAGCCACCACTGCTGATACCCAGGCAAACAGGGTCTGGAGTGGACCTCTAGCAAACTCCAACAGAACTGCAGCTGAGGGTCCTGTCTGTTAGAAGGAAAACTAACAGAAAGGACATCCACACCAAAAACCCATCTGTACATCACCATCATCAAAGACCAAAAGTAGATAAAAACACAAAGATGGGGAAAAAAGAGAGCAGAAAAACTGGAAACTCTAAAAAGCAGAGCGCCTCTCCTCCTCCAAAGGAACACAGTTCCTCACCAGCAATGGAACAAAGCTGGATGGAGAATGACTTTGACGAGTTGAGAGAAGAAGGCTTCAGATGATCAAACTACTCCGAGCTACAGGAGGAAATTCAAACCAAAGGCAAAGAAGTTAAAAACTTGAAAAAAATTTAGACAAATGTATAAGGCCATTACATAATGGTAAAGAGATCAATTCAACAAGAAGAGCTAACTATCCTAAATATATATGCACCCAATACAGGAGCACCCAGATTCATAAAGCAAGTCCTGAGTGACTTACAAAGAGACTTAGACCCCCACACAATAACAATTGGAGACTTTAACACCCCACTGTCAACATTAGAGAGATCAACAAGAAAGAAAGTTAACAAGGATACCCAGGAATTGAACTCAGCTCTGCACCAAGCAGACCTAAGAGACATCTACAGAACTCTCCAACCCAAATCAACAGAATATACATTTTTTTCAGCACCACACCACACCTATTCTAAAATTGACCACATAGTTGGAAATAAAGCTCTCCTCAGCAAATGTAAAAGAACAGAAATTATAACAAACTATCTCTCACACCACAGTGCAATCAAACTAGAACCCAGGATTAAGAAACTCACTCAAAACCGCTCAACTACATGGAAACTGAACAACCTGCTCCTGAATGACTACTGGGTACATACCGAAATGAAGGCAGAAATAAAGATGTTCTTTGAAACCAACGAGAACAAAGACACAACATACCAGAATCTCTGGGACACATTCAAAGCAGTGTGTAGAGGGAAATTTACAGCACTAAATGCCCACAAGAGAAAGCAGGAAAGATCCAAAATTGACACCCTAACATCACAATTAAAAGAACTAGAAAAGCAAGAGCAAACACATTCAAAAGCTAGCAGAAGGCAAGAAATAACTAAAATCAGAGCAGAACTGAAGGAAATAGAGACACAAAAAACCCTTCAAACAATTAATGAATCCAGGAGCTGGTTTTCTGAAAGGATCAACAAAATTGATAGACCGCTAGCAAGACTAATAAAGAAAAAAAGAGAGAAGAATTAAATAGACGCAATAAAAAATGATAAAGGCGATATCACCACCAATCCCACAGAAACACAAACTACCATCAGAGAATACTACAAACACCTCTACGCAAATAAACTAGAAAATCTAGAAGAAATGGATAAATTCCTCAACACATACACCCTTCCAAGCCTAAACCAGGAAGAAGTTGAATCTCTGAATAGACCAATAACAGGCTCTGAAATTGTGGCAATAATCAATAGCTTACCAACCAAAAAGAGTCCAGGATCAGATGGATTCACAGCCGAATTCTACCAGAGGTACAAGGAGGAACTGGTACCATTCCTTCTGAAACTATTCCAATCAATAGAAAAAGAGGGAATCCTCCCTAACTCATTTTATGAGGCCAGCATCATCTTGATACCAAAGCCGGGCAGAGACACAACCAAAAAAGAGAATTTTATACCAATATCCCTGATGAACATTGATGCAAAAATCCTCAATAAAATACTGGCAAACTGAATCCAGCAACACATCAAAAAGCTTATCCACCATGATCAAGTGGGCTTCATCCCTGGGATGCAAGGCTGGTTCATTATATGCAAATCAATAAACGTAATCCAGCATATAAAGAGAACCAATGACAAAAACCACATGATTATCTCAGTAGATGCAGAAAAGGCCTTTGACAAAATTCAACAACCCTTCATGCTAAAAACTCTCAATAAATTAGGTATTGATGGGAAGTATTTCAAAATAATATGAGCTATCTATGACAAACTCATAGTCAATATCATACTGAATGGGCAAAAACTGGAAGCATTCCCTTTGAAAACTGGCACAAGACAGGGATGCCCTCTCTAACCACTCCTATTCAACATAGTGTTGGAAGTTCTGGCCTGGGCAATTAGGCAGGAGAAGGAAATAAAGGGTATTAAATTAGGAAAAGAGAAAGTCAAATTTTCCCTGTTTGCAGATGACATGATTGTATATCTAGAAAACCCCACTGTCTCAGCCCAAAATCTCCTTAAGCTGATAAGCAACTTCAGCAAAGTCTCAGGATACAAAATCAATGTACCAAAATCGCAAGCATTCTTATACACTAATAACAGAAAAACAGAGAGCCAAATCATGAGTGAACTCCCATTCACAATTGCTTCAAAGAGAATAAAATACCTGGGAATCCAACTTACAAGGGACGTGAAGGGCCTCTTCAAGGAGAACTACAAACCACTGCTCAAGGAAATAAAAGAGGATTCAAACAAATGGAAGAACATTCCATGCTCATGGGTAGGAAGAATCAATATCGTGAAAATGGCCATATTGCCCAAGGTAATTTATAGATTCAATGCCATCCCCATCAAGCTACCAATGACTTTCTTCACAGAATTGGAAAAAACTACTTTAAAATTCATATGGAACCAAAAACGAGCCCACATCGCCAAGTCAATCCTAAGCCAAAAGAACAAAGCTGGAGGCATCACACTACCTGACTTCAAACTATACTACAATGCTACAGTAACCAAAACAGCATGGTACTGGTACCAAAACAGAAATATAGATCAATGGAACAGAACAGAGCCCTCAGAAGTAATGCCGCATATCTACAACTATCTGATCTTTGACAAACCTGAGTAAAACAAGCAATGGGGAAAGGATTCCCTATTTAATAAATGGTGCTGGGAAAACTGGCTAGCCATATGTAGAAAGCTGAAAATGGATCCCTTCCTTACACCTTATACAAATATTAATTCAAGATGGATTAAAGACTTAAACATTAGACCTAAAACCCATAAAAACCCTAGAAGAAAACCTAGGCATTACCATTCAGGACATAGGCATGGGCAAGGACTTCATGTCTAAAACTCCAAAAGTAATGGCAACAAAAGCCAAATTGACAAATGGGATGTAATTAAACTAAAGAGCTTCTGCACAGCAAAAGAAACTACCATCAGAGTGAACAGGCAACCTACAAAATGGGAGAAAATTTTTGCAACCTACTCATCTGACAAAGGGCTAATATCCAGAGTCTACAATGGACTCAAACAAATTTACAAGAAAAAAACAAACAACCCCATCAAAAAGTGGGTGAAGGATATGAACAGACACTTCTCAAAAGAAGACATTTATGCAGCTAACAGACACATGAAAAAATGCTCATCATCACTGGCCATCAGAGAAATGCAAATCAAAACCACTATGAGATACCATCTCACACCAGGTAGAATGGCAATCATTAAAAAGTCAGGAAACAACAAGTGCTGGAGAGGATGTGGAGAAATAGGAACACTTTTACACTGTTGGTGGGACTGTAAACTAGTTCAACCATTGTGGAAATCAGTGTGGCGATTCCTCAGGGATCTAGAACTAGAAATACCATTTGACCCAGCCATCCCATTACTGGGTATATACCCAAAGGACTATAAATCATGCTGCTATAAAGACACATGCACACGTATGTTTATTGCTGCATTATTCACAATAGCAAAGACTTGGAACCAAGCCAAATGTCCAGCAATGATAGACTGGATTAAGAAAATGTGGCACATATATACCATGGAATACAATGCAGCCATAAAAGGTGATGAGTTCATGTCCTTTGTAGGGACATGGATGAAATTGGAAATCATCATTCTCAGTAAACTATCGCAAGGACAAAAAACCAAACACCGCATGTTCTCACTCATAGGTGGGAATTGAACAATGAGAACACATGGACACATGAAGGGGAACATCACACTCTGGCGACTGTTGTGGGGTGGGGGTAGGTTGGAGAGATAGCATTAGGAGATTTATCTAATGCTAAATGATGAGTTAATGGGTGCAGCACACCAGCATGGCACATGTATACATATGTAACTAACCTGCACATTGTGCACATGTACCCTAAAACTTAAAGTATAATAATAATAAAATAAAATAAAATAAAGCATTCTTGATAAGAAGGCATCACAATTTTTGTCTATTTAAATCACAATATTATTTTTTCTTTGGAGCTCTCTGAGAGTTACCAGCATTGGTACTCTGATCATTTTAATAAAAATACACAATTTTCTGCTCTGAGATATTTCTGGTGTCACATTTGCAGAGCATGCAAAATGCTCTAGGTTCTAATGCTCTGATCTAATATCTTATAGCTTATAGCTTAATTTCTAAAAGAGCACTTCTGGAGAAGTAAATGTTTTTCCTTTCCTTTATAAAACCAACAAATGATTCAGCCATGTTCTTGTCATCTACTGTGATGATCCACAAATCCATTTGCATGCATAAAATATTACTCTGGTTGGATTAAAACCAACTAGATATTTATTAACTTATTTTTCAAATATAAAAGCATATTTGACTAATTGATATTTCAAGAAGGTTTATGGTAAATCGACCAGCCTTCCTATTGTAAATAATTATAATATGAGATTAATTTTTAAAAAAATCTCATAAATATAAAGATAAGGTGACAAGAAAGTAAAGACTAATTAGTCCAAAAAGCAAATGAATGTAGAAACCAGGAAAAGCAAGCGGAGAATTTAGGCTAGTTTTGCATTTGCCATACCACAGGAATTTGAGTTTTGTTGACCACATCAAGGGACTGAGGACAAAGCTGGGCCCAAAGAAGGGTTCAGAGATATTGATGTTTTACATTTGGACTTCAGTATTAGGAACAACAAGAGTTCAATATTCTTCTGTTTTATATTATACATATTTCTCATATAACTCTTTTTTATATGTATACTCTATTTCACAATTCACAGTTTAAAACATTTGAAACACAGTGCCAGTAATAAGCACACTAAGATAATCTTTATGGCAGTACACTGTCCAACTTTATAATATGCAAACCAAAATGCTACTTATCTTTCCTTGGTAAAATTTTTCTTAGCACACCAAAATAATTACATCTTTGACTTAGTTGAAAATTCAAATTACTCCTTGCTCTTTACACCTAATTTGGAGCAATCAGGTGTAATATAATTAAAATTCTTTCAACTTCTAATTCTGGCTGTTTTGTCATTTTTTCTTCTTCTGTTCTCTTAATTAATACTGTGCTATACTTTAATTTCAGCTCTCCTGCTAGGTAGGCAAACACAATTCTTAATTTATGCCTTTCCCATCAGTTTAAAACAGTAACAAAATAATAATAATAGACACTCTATGGTTAGTTGCTGAAAATTTTCTTTCTCAAATAATACTTTTGTTGTAACTTAAAGATAATAAAAAATTTTGTGGCATTTATAGCCCTTTAAAACTGGACTAAATATCATAGGTAGGTTAAGACATCTATTAGAGCCCATTCCACTGTGAACATACAAAGAATAAAAGGCCCCTATAAGATTCATTGGAAATTGACATCAAGCCTGAGGTAATTGTCTGAAAAGTATTTCCCTCCTGAAAAATCGTCATTATTATGAGCACATCATAACTGACTTTACCAAAATATGCTTGCTACTAAAGTTTTGATTTCAAAATCTTTAAGAACCATTTTCTTCTGCCCAGTAATTCTCACCCTCAGTAGATAAATGACTGCACTTTCACGCTCCAAAGCCAGCTATATTAGCTCTTCTGAAACAAACTTTGTCAAACCTCTGTCTGGATTTTTCCCTTCCTTTTGCCTCAAATCCAAGGTTATTGATGGTTTTATTTTAGTAACAAGCCCTTTCCTGCTCCTACTATGCCTAATAAAATCTTGTTAATGTTCCTTGCTAGTGTTTTTTATAAAAGCACGTTTACTTAGCGTATGACTCACTTGTAGACTCAGAATAACTTTAACTATTTCACTACATGTATCAAATTTACCTTTTTTATTTATAACATTTTATTAAAGAGGCATCACTCTTTCTATAATTAGAAATTTTATTTTGTGGTGAGAGTTTGCTTAGATTTCTTTACTTGTTCCAAAACTTGGAAATGCAGATATTGATTCATAGCACCAAAAACAGGATGCATGTGGAGGGGGATAAGGAAGCCTCATTCTTATTGGAATGACTAAATTCTGAACTATGTTGCTGCAGCCTTTATTTTTAACACATAATAAAATTAAAAATTAAAAAGTGTTTTGAGAAAGCTACCTCAGGATTCCTTAAAAACACCTCATGGCCAATAGATTTAATATAATACTGATGCAAGATTTTTGCTCCTTAATTCAAGTAAATCTGGGTTCTTGTCTCACAACCAGGAAAAATTAGGCACATGAACACATTGAAGGGAAAGAAGGACTGAATTTTTAAGTGAAAGGAAAGTTATCAGCAAGGAGAGGGGTCCTGCAGGCAGGTTTTTTTCCGTCGCACTTGAATACCAGGCCACCACACACGAGCTGAAGAGACCAGGCTCCTCCCTTGAAAAAGGCGCAAATTCCTTGTGGCTTCACCCCTTCCTTACAGTGCACATGTGGGCCCTTAGTCTGATCCACTCCACATTGATTTATTTCCCTTACTGCACGTCTGTTAAGGGAGAGAATTTTTCACTGTGAGCATGTTTAGGCAACACCCCAGTGCAAAATGACCTGGGTGAGTCTGAGGTTCTCCAGAGACCCTTCCCTATCTACGTAGGCATTTGGCTGTCTCCTGCGTCAATCATTACTATGCACTAGATTCCTCAGGAAAACCTGCTCCCATACAGATAGCTATGCACCTTGCAGAGATACTCTGATTCATTCTGTCTAGGTCTGCGGTTTTCTACTTTAATGGCACATTACAAACTTCTGCAGAAGTAAATCTCCAACTATGGTCCCTAGACCAGCACTTTTAGCAAGAGCTAAGAATTTGTTTAAAATGTAAATACTGACTGGGTGCGGTGGCTCATGCCTGTAATCCCAGCACTTTGGGAGGCCAAGGCAGGATGATCACCTGAGGTCAGGAGTTCGAGACCACCCTAGCCAACATGGTGAAACCCCGTCTACACTAAAAATACAAAAATTAGCCAGGTGTGGTGGTGCACTCCTGTAGTCCCAGCTACTCAGGAGGCTGAGGCAGAAGAATTGCTTGAATCTGGGAGGTGGAGGTTGCAGGGAGCCAAGATCACGCCACAGCACTCCATCCTGGGCAACAGAGTAAAACTCCATCTTAAAACCAAACCAAACAAACAAACAAACAAACTGTAAATACTTATTCCTCACCTCAGACTCAAGAGTAGGCCCCAGGAATCTGTGTTTTAAAAGCTCTCCAGATGATTCTGAGGCGTGCTAAAGTGTGATAATCACTGAACTAGTCTGTTCTAATTATGGCCTATCATGCCTTGTTCCAGGCGGAAAATTTCAGAAACATGAACTTTCATGTAAAGCACAGGTGGCATAGTAATTAGCAGAATAATCTTTGGATGTGATCTGGCATGTTTTAGCAGTTTACATTTCTTCAAATGATTTAATTTTCCTTACCACATTTTCTCTATCTACAGAATGGGGATATTCATATACATTTCATAGAGTTGTCATAAAAATCAAAGAACTAATTTTTCAGCTCTTAGTAAAGTACTCTCACAAGGCAGATCAATAAAATGATAGTTATTGATGATATTCTTATAGATTTGAGTAAATATATTTTTATTGTTAACATAACAATTGTTTTCACAATTTTTATTATTGAATCTATTTTGGGTTTGACATTCAGCTGGCATTGGATAATCCTAGTTTATAAAATAATACTCACTATGGCATTTCTCTTTGTGTTGAGGGGAGGATATTGGCACTCAATTTTCTATCATTTATTTTTTCACCTTACAAGTTGTTAAATTTGCTAAAACTATGCTTTTCAAAGTTTTATGATGATGATCTCCAGTAAAAAAATATAATTTATATGATCAGTCTTATTAGGATGCGTGTAGACAGATAGATATAAACTGAAATAAAATATTACAAAATAATACTATCTTGGCTATATAGGATTCATTCTGATATTTTACATTCTATATGTTTATCCCTAGTGTGTTTAAATAAAATAGTCTGATTCCATCCTGTATAGGATTGATAAGGATAGTATGAAGAACCCTGATTAAATCAAACAAAATTTAGTAAAAATATATAATAACTTCACATTTCGACTATATCAGATATTATAAATATAATTCCAAAGTGGCATAGAGTTTATTGTTCACTTTGTTTTTCAATAGCTCTTGATTATTTAAGCAGTTATTACATTACATCATAACTTTTATGTTTCTATCACTCCCACTCTTAACAAAAATTGGAGTTGTTTTAGAATACAGGCCATTCACAGTGTCTAGTGTAAAATATACTTTCAAAGTAAGCACAGTCAGATGTCAAAAACACCAGATTTTTCTGTTTTTATATTACTGCTCAGCTCACAAATATTCTTTATGGTTTAAATGGTTACCAGTTAGCACAGTACATAATATATAGAAATTAGTTGTAATTTTTGTTGTTTTATATATTGGAACTGCTTTTCTCCTCTAAAGTATGTAATTAAAAATGTCCACTAAAATAGCAGATTTTCAACACAGGCCGAGAATTTCAAACTCTCATGTTCTACATATTAGCCTTTTTTTCTTGTGATTTATATATCAATATTATTTTTAAAGCATCATTGCTTTGATTTTGTGAGGTAATGTTGATTGTATCACATAGATTCTTTCATCAGAGTATTTTTATTATAATTAACATGAAAGTATTGAATACAAGCTTTTTAAATAGTCAGATTTATTTGCATTTCCTTAGTGTTTCAAATAGGTATCAAAGGATTTTCTAAGCATTAACATTTCAAATACACATCAATTTCCATAAGTATGTGTTGAATAATAGGCTATTCTTCTCTTAATAATTTGCAAATACATATTGGCCTGGTTGTGAATGCCTCCCCTTACATTTTGGCTTATCAACCTAGTGCAATAAATACATATCTTAAATAATAAAGTCAGAGATTGTCTTCCGTAGGGCAACCATATACACTGTTTTATAAAAACCACGATCCCCAGATTTATTTCCTTCATATTTACTGATGAGGTTAGAAAAAAAATGACCTTTCTTGGCTGACTGCCAAGTAAATTCTTCTTTCAGACACTGAAGGCAGCTTTTGATTGTGTTTTGATGTTTTCACCAGCCTATTACTGTATTGACTTGATAGCAGTCAAAACATACATTTGTGATCCCATTTTTCTCCAGCAGTTTTTTCCACTCAATCAGACATGTACACAAATATCCACAGGACAGAAGAATGCTTTTAACTGAAGCAAATCTCTTAGGAATCATGTCATGCAAGAATCTCTTCTTGAAATACATTAGTTTGCTGTTTGTGCCAAACGTTTTTTCCCTTAGTATTAAAAGAATAACATTGAAATTCATGTCAGAAAAAAGGGTGCATTATAAACAAATGATTTTAATATCCCAAATGCCTCCTATAGTGCTAAAGGTTGAATAGTAATGGTACATTTATTGATAAAGACCAGAAGACTTTTAACTTTGATTTGATTGCTGTGACTAAGTATTAAGCTGCAAAAATCCCTTTGAGTTAGCATCATGGAATACTTCTTACTGATGTGAAGGAAGAGCAAAAAAATGAATCAAAAATGCGTTTGTTTGCTTCTTCAGAGAGAGAGAACCCAAATAACAGCTGTCTTTCCTTGGTTCTTCCTTATAGTTCATTACTCTAACAGTGCTTTACTTCTGATATTAAAAAATAAATTATAGCATAAATCTAGATGTTGTTATTACTAAAAATACTTTAGGAATTCTCTTTTTGATTATGTTCTTTCAGCTTACAGGAATTATATAAGAAAATGTATACTTTCACTGTAGAGTAAGGTCCAATATGGGGCATCAAATCGTATTTTTAATGATCATGGAATGCATTAATAGTTGGCACCAAAAGACTTTCAGATCTTTTTAAAAATAAATGAGCCTTCAAGGAATTATATTTTGCCACTATAACAGTGATTTTCTAAAAGGATGTTTAAATTTCAGTTAATATTCAAGATACAAATCTAGTCACACAATGTGACCACTCTATAAGATAACCTAGGTGAAAATTTTTTATATTAATTAAAGATTGTATATCACTCACCACTTTAATCATTTTTCAGCATCAAACAAAACTTGCAGTGACAAAATAGCTGAGTGTTTACACAGGAACATCTTTAAATCATTTTATGTCAGAATATTTTCTGTTTCTGTAGACTTCAGAGAAATATTTTCCCTTTTCTATTCATTTATCAAAAATAACTTTTTCTGCATTTTTACTAATTTCTAACAGTAATTCCCTAATAATGTTTTCAAAATTAATCAACCTAACTAAACATTGTATAGGTAAGATGTCAATTCATTTACTATTAATCCTTATAAGGAATTCAAATTCAACATTTATGTTGTATAAGTTGATTTCAACCAAAGTTAGTTTTAATTCAAAATAAAATATGATAAATGAATAGTAAAATAGAACAAAAATTATAAAATTAACGTATCTATAAATATTTTCTTTAGTATTGAATATATAATGACAAAAATCCATTCTTACACATATATTTTGGAGGTTTTAAAAAAACCCTGAAAAATATATACAATACATATAATTTTGCCTGCCCCCCCAGCAGTCCTGCTATTGAAAAATACTACTTTATATTGAAAAATAAATGCTACTTTATATTTATTGTTAATTTTATGAAAAGTCCAATTAATTAAAAGCATTAAATCAGATATGTATTTATCAAATGTTTATTATTCTAAAAGGAGATACAATCTCTAGTTTGCAGAGTTGTTTAAACTATATCTTTCTGAATGTTTATTTCTAAGTACATTTAATAATGTTAGTTTTAATTTTTTCTTATGTATTTATGTATAGAATTCTGCTTCCTTTAAATAATTATTATTAAATTTCGAAAACATGTTCAATGTAATCACTTCCAGCATTTTTTTATCAGTACCAGTACGCATGCCCTCTCTTTTTTGTATTGTGTGTGTTCAGCTCTATATACAAAAATATAATCTTCTTTTGAATTAAATATTAATGATCTTTAATCAAGAGAATGCTTTTATTAAATATGTTAGATTGTACCAAAACTGTGGGAGTTAAGAGTTTGAAAAAGACATGTTTTTATACCTTCTGTTCTGAACATTCTGAATAAAATGTCCAAGGCATTATCATATAAAGAAGAATGTGACCCTAATGTGCCAAGTTCTTTTGGAAATGAGGGTAGAGGAAGATATTCCTGTAAGGAGGCAAGTGGATGAGATAGTTTTGGAGGTTAACCTTAAAGCATTGTTGGAATTTTAATTGATCACTGGAGAAGAACACATTAAAAAAAAAAAGATATAGCATTGCAATTTGAGGGATTGTCAAAACTACAGAGGCAAAAAATTGCAGAACATCTGCAATACCCATCAAGCAGTCCAGGTGGTTAGAATACAGGACATGGAGTTTTATACTTCCCTCTACACACTTCAATTTTTCCACACTAAATCCATGTTGCCTAATATTCAACTATTGTATGTTGCTTTTCCCACTCCTCACTAAGCTGCTTCTTCTTCTTTTTTTTTTATTTTGAGATGATGGAGTCTTTCTTTGCCATCCAGGCTAGAGTGCAGTGGAATGATCTTGGCTCACTGCTACCTCTGCCTCCCAGGTTCAAGCGATTTTCCTGCCTCAGCCTCCCGAGTAGCTGGGATTACAGGCACCCACCACCATGCCCAGCTAATTTTTGTACTTTTAGTAGAGACTAGGTTTCACCATCTTGGCCAGGCTTCTCTTGAACTCCTGACCTCGTGATCCACCCGCCTCGGCCTCCCAAAGTGCTAGGATTACAGGTGTGAGCCACCGTGGCCAGCCTAAGCTACTTTTTTATAAATATTCAAACTTATTCATATCCCCTTAAAATATGACTTTCTTTGGCTGGTATAACCCATGGATACTGATACTCAATTTAACTGTTTTATTAGCTATACTACCTGAGTTTGTCGTCAACAAAACTTCCAAGAGTTTTCTTTCCTCACCTTCTCCTCTCACTCTCTATCTGCTGTTAAACCAGGTCTCACCAACTGTGAATTATTTGTATCCTTAATTTGAATTTCTTGATGCTCAATTTCAAGCTGTATAATTTGATCCTCTAAAGAGTATACCTGCCAAGTTTTTTCTAATTTTTTAGATATTCCTGTGCATATTTTTAAAGTGTTTGTCTAGCACTTTAAGTGCTATTTCAAGGCATTAATCAAATACCTCAATAGAGAATACCCACAGAGTTAATTCAATCCCTCGATCAAGATAAACTAACTATAATTTTTCAATAATGACTGAGTTGTAGCTACTCTCTTAAACTTTGACAATTGATTTGTTTACCAAACTATACTTTTTCTGTGTCATTATCCCACACGACTAATCTTATAATTTTATGTTTAAATGTCAGTTTTACAAATTGTGAATTATAAATCAGTGTTCATTTCTTTCATTAGAAGTTAAATTATTTGAATGTTTAACAAGACTGAATATCAAAATAAATATAAAACAAGTACACCATCTTCGATGGAGATATACCGGTGCTATGTGGAAACTGAACTTCCAAGAAACAGTTTTACGTATGTTTACTTTATTTGAAATGATTTTTGTCAATTCCTTTTTTTCCATTTGATGTAGAAGAATGAATAAAATTAGAACTAAGTATTGCTGCCTTCCTTGTGTGTTCTATCACACCACAAAGATTAGATCTTTCCCTTTCAAGTTACTCTCATTATACTGGAATCAAAAATTATTCACTTAATAAACTTTTTTTTCTCAAATGCAGTTCCTAGTAGCAAGCTGGTATTTTTAACACAAACTTGTTTCCTGTACTTGGAAAGCCATATTTAACTTCATATTAGAGATATCCTTTTAATATCTTTTAGACAATATAGCCAAAATTTAGCTACCCAAGCTGTCTCCCTAAGTTGACTTCTTCTAAGGTAAAATACTGAATTCAGTTAATAAGAAGAATGTTTTCAGTCCATATTGTCAAATTGTTTAGTAATAATCTTTGGAGCTCAGACAGGCAAATTTTCCTCACTCTCTCACTACTGGAAAAATAGACACGCACATATATACTCTGTTAACCACAGAAGGGATTTCAAAAAATAACAACAGAATATCATTTCCAACAACTAGTGGGTTTGAGAAATTAGGTAAAATGATGTACATAAACTATTATTCACCTTTAATAACAAATAAGAACTTAACATGTATAAATTATTAATATATAATCTCATGAATTATTCCTATTTATTTTTTAAGAGTCAATCTAGCAACCTCTGCCCCCAAAACCAGGTACAAATTATTTTAAAAAGCCAAACTTTCTTTTGTTGTTATGTCAGAGAATGAACATGAAAGATTCTTACTTTCCAATTTTCTATGAAACAGTCATATTGTCATCTATTCTCTTACTTCACAAAATAATTTAAAGAACCTATTTATGTTAAAGTTATTTCTGGCAAAGCATTTAAAACAAAACACACACACAGAAAGGTAAGAAAACGTTTTTATATTGTCATATATATCACAAAAAGGCTTGAGGAAACAAGGAAAACCCTCTGGTTGACATTTCTGTGGGATTAATCTCTTTAATTCTCTCCACCTCCCCTTTAGCATGCAAAAGGGCTGCAAATCACTGTAGCTACATGAAATTAAACATAGTTTTTAAGTAAAAACCTAAAACTGCCTATTGATTCACTTAATGCTATAGAATAGGTAATAACAAAAAGTCATGGTTTAATTAACTGAATTTTCCATGTGATATTTGTTAAACCCCTTTCAGATATTTTTATTCAGATATGTTTAAAGTACACTTCTATTAAATTATTTTTTAGATTCTACTTAGATTAAATCAATGTCTAATCCCAGTGGTAAACTCTGTTTATTCTGCCAAGGTTGGGAAAATGTGTAGTGTGCTTCCTCTATCATGTGGCTGCAGCACGTGGCATCCTAGGAGTGACAGCTTCAGCAACACCATATGTTTCAACCATCTGGATGATGGTGCATTGCCCATGTAGTGGTGCACACTTTTTCTTAACAATTTTTAAACAGAAACTTACAAACTTTATGAAGTGATTACCATTAAGTCAAGTCAAAATTACTGACATATTGGTGGGAAGAATTATGTAAGGCTGTTTAGTACGCATCTTTATATTGTAATAAGAAATAAATTAACAAAGCACAGTTTCAAGTCCTACAGTCAACAAATCACATGCTAGAATTTGAGGCTTACAAACTCCATTTATTTTGATAATTTAAAATTTCTTACATATTAGGTGAGAACTTGCTAGGTTTTAATGACGCCACTAAGATAACTTAAAACTATTAAATTTTTTGAGATGTTTAACACAAAATTATATAATTAAATCATCATTATTTTTTCAAGTATTTATTTGCACAGCCCAATTTTTACTCACGCATTCTCAGAGTTCATTGTTTGAAATGATGGTTTTATTTTAGTTATATTAAATAATACTTTTACAAACACAGGACATGTTGACATTCGGGAAGAAAGCATTTGGTATGGAATAGCTGCACATATCTAGGTGTCAGTGCCATAACATCAAAATTGGATTTTCCACGAAATGTTTAAAATAAATGTTTTATTTAAAACCATGAATCTTGTCACATATTAGGAACATTTCCAGTCAAATCAGTTAATTAGTATCTTTTGAAGTTAAAGTGCTGTCATCTCTACAGTTCCTGTATGCCTTCTGATACATATCTAATATGTATTTGATTGATTGAAATATGCTATCTGTCAAACAAATCTGATAGAAATAAGATTAAATAAAAGGAAAAAAAAATATGTCCCACTTCAACAAAGTGGCTCAGATCTTAACTAGTGCCAAAAGTCCAAATACCGATTTAAAGCAAGTCATCTGAATTTCAACTCAAAGTTAAGAATTGTATTTTATAAATAATAAAGGGCTAAAATGAAAATTTTGCCAAAAATTTAATAATGGATAAATAGAAAAAGAAAGGAGGGAGAGATACAGTATACAAGAATATGAATTTGAGAAAATTTAATTGGATGATGATCATGCTGACACTTTAAACTATGTGATGCCACATGAGGACAACTTTCCATTAAACAAGTGAGAAAGAATTAGCATACACACATTGGTACAATGTTTAGAAAAGCAATGCAAATATTTATTGTTGGATTGGACACCTTAAGGACATTATGTGAAACTGACTCCCTTTGCCCCCACTTATCTGCTCCTTAATGTCTTGTTAGTTTTACATTTTCTCTCTTTGTAAATGTTGCTAATTTGAACACAGTTGTACAACTGTTCCAAGCACAGCCAGGCATATAATTTCTGTTGCAATGTGAAATGGTGATGATAAGATAGCCTGTCAGTATCTGCGTGTGGGATAAATTAAAATGCATGAAGCTGTTTGGAGTGTGGGAGACATATTCTATGTCAAATATATGTAGAAAGTGTAATGTCAATATTGTAACATGTCACCTACCAATCATTTTTACATGTTTATGCAAGACAAAAAATTTGTGAATAATCTAATAGAAGTGAATATTTTAGACCAGCTCCAAGAAATCTAGCCTTAGCCTAATTTTCATCTCAATCTTTTTTCTCCCTTCAGTGTTCATATCTAGAAAAACTGGCTGCTGCTTAACAGCTACAAAATCATATTATTATCCATAGTCATATTATAGTCCTACACAGTTTAAAATGGTTGGTCAAATGCAAGGCTAGCTACTTAATTTGCAGGGCTTACTGTAAAATGAAAATATGAGTCTCTCTGTTAGAAAAGCAGGGCAAAAAGCTGCTGTTAATGGTAATAAATAGAAAGATTTTTCCATTCTTCTATGATCCGTCTCTCAAGTTGTCATTATGTTTTTTATTTGCTATTTAATATCACTATAGGCAAAGAAAAATTATATTTGAAATCATTAGCATGAGTTTTACCATCATCTTTATCTTGTGCAATGGCAGTTTTAAAATCACTGAAGTTACATTACACAATTTGTATTTTGTAGCTCATACATGTTTATGAATTTAGTACAAACAAGGATAACACTGTACAAATTTAACTCAACTGCTTTAATTTCACTTCTTGATATTTGCACCATCTGTAACACTCTCTACCTTTGAGAGTGTACAGAAACACAGAAAGTAAAGGACTGAAAGGAAAGCTGTGGGTTGCCCTATCTTTTTCTTTTCTTCTATGTAATCTTTTTCAGTGTAAGTGGTTGGCTAATATAAAGAAATAATATAAATAAGAAAATATATGTTAAGGCCCTTTGTGTGTGTTTCTTAGAACATTGTGAACTTTGTTTAGTATTCAAAGTGAGTTCTGGTTCAAATGGCAGGTGTAGCTCTCAGAGCTATCATTACCCTTGCTTACTTGGTTGTAGATGTGACACACTTACCTTGTCATTGGTTTGAGTCTCACTGAACTCCCATGCATACTGGGTCCTATGGAATTCTGTGATCATGGGGCATCGTGAACTTTATATAAAAATAAGATGAAAAAATGGTAAATATGCAAATCTCAGGTATCTCCTCTTTTCACATGAATGTTCCATTGGCTCCTCAGTCTTCACTTACAGAACACAAATTTGAAGATAAAATTATTAGGAATTTAAATATGTTGATGTTAGAGCCCTAAAGCAAGTGTGGGGTCCTTCGAGTCCATGGTCCTGCTTGAAGACCTGGATAACGTGGCCATGATGCTGGCCCTGGTCAACTCCTAAACTCTTTTCCAATGTTCCCTCTTGTGATTTTCCTCTAATTTGGTCTGAAAGTTTCTCTCTGAAGTGTGAGTATAATTTATATTTCTGCCCTGACGGGATTCTAGAGGATTAGGTTGTGAATTTTTAAAGTATGCTTTTCATGAGATACATTTTGTCTTGCAGACAGCCTAATACTCAAGTGTCTGGACCCATGCCCAGATGTCCCTCTCACAGGAAACTTGTTTATACCAGCAGATACCCTTGTGGCTCCTGTCTGACCTGTGTCTAGTTTATTCCTGCTAAGATAGACACTCTCAGCTAGGCACGGTAGCCCACGCCTGTAATCCCAGCACTCTGGGAGGCCAAGGAGGGTGGATTACGAGGTCAGGAGTTTGAGACCAGCCTGACCAGCATGGTGAAACCCCTTCTCTACTAAAAATACAAAAAATTAGCTGGGCATGGTAGCGCGCGCCTGTAGTCCCAGCTACTCCGCAGGCTGAGGCAGGAGAATAATTGCTTGAACCCAGGAGGTGAAGGTTGCAGTGAGCCGAGATCACGCCACTGCACTCCAGCCTGGGCGACAGAGCGAGACTCTGTCTCAAAAAAAAAAAAAAAAAAAAAAAAAAAAAAAAAAAAAAAGATACGACACTTTCCAGGAAAGCCGTGACTGGGAAGAGAGTTAGGTTCTGGTGTGTCGGTCAGATGAGACACAGAGGAGACAGTATGACATAAAATAACAGAAGTCCTGTATTACTTACAGATCCCAGATAGAAGAGGGCAGCAGGCCTCACAGGGCCAACACGAAGCAGGGAGCTGCCCAGACACGCATATTCAACCAATGGGTGAGGAGCAAGAGAGAGAGAGGACCTGTGGGACTATGCCTTTATTGGCATCCTGGGCGCTACTCAAGCAGGTTTTCTGAGGGGAGTTCTAACTAACTGGGTTTAAAGCAAACAAATATAAATTCGTGGAGTCACAATGTGACTTACAGTGTCACTGTGGCATATTTGCTCAGTCCATAGGGAGGGTGGGAGTCTCAGGGGTAAGTCATGTAAATTGCATCTAGCCATCCCATAGGGAGATGGGTACCAGGAGGCAGAGGTAAAAGGCAGGTATCCGCATCTGGATCAATGACCTTGAAGCACTGGGAGGACACTGAGAACTGGAAACTGTGTAAAGGGTGACTAAGCCCTGCGTCTGGTATGAAAAAATCAAAGCTAGATTCAAAATGGATGCCAAAGTAAATATCAGATTGTAAGAAATCATTACATCCAAATAGCCAAGATTTTCCCCAAATTTTGGGATCTTTACCATAATATATTCATGATTATCAATTAACTTGAAATCAGAATAATTCAGTGCATCCAGACTCTTTTTTAAAAGATCTTCGTGGAAATGTTTGATCACTACTCACCAGAATTTTTATGTGAAAATTGTATAGATATTCTTTTAAAAAAATCTACATAATATATTGTTTTGATGTATTTTGTAGAATTGAATTTTTTTGTTTTATTGTTGTGTTTTAAAAAACCACTATGCAAATGCATTTAAAATAACTAATATGCAAACTTTTTTCTAAAGTTTTCTGTAATTGACTCAAAGACTATGTACATGTGTTAGTCACAGTTTATTAGTCACCTATCACTAAAATAATGCTGTGTAAATATGCTCCAAATTCAATGACATACAACAGTATTTTGTTTTTTGTCAATCTCTTTTATCTGTGACAACGTCACAGTTGCAGCTAGTACAACTGTGGTTTGTTGCACACATTCATGGTAAATAAAACACAAATTTTAGTTAGAGGCTATTAAAATAAACTGTTGTTCTTTCCCTCTCATCTGAGATTGTGCATATGTAAGTCAGCTCAACATAATGTTCAGATAAAAGACCACTCAAAGATCACAGTCTCTTTTCAACTTCGGGACAAGCAAACATCTAAAAAATACTACCAGTCTTTAAAGCAAATTTTGGTATTAACTGTTCCGCTGAGATCCTGTGAGATTCAGTTTCTGATCACACATACATATGTTGAAAACAGACTGTGTGATCTTTGAGTGATCTTTTAATAAACATTGTGGTTGGTGCTCAGATCTTTTATCTGTGAGCTGGCCGGGCCTTTGCTGAACTCCGATGGGATGGGCTTCTATTAACTTCAAGCTGCTTGGTTCAGGTTTGTTCCTTGTGTCTTTCTTCAATTTCTTTGCACTAATGAATGGCAGTAGTGCAAGACACTAAACTCAACTGTGCAAACACATTTAAAGCCTCTCTTCACATTATGCCAACTAACATGGATTAACCAAAACAAGCTACATGGTGAAGTCCAAAGTCAGTTGGACAGTGAAGGACTTCACATGCCAAGAGAAGTGGAAGGGAGCTAATCTGAAAAACTAATCCAATATATCATATAAAGGAATTTATACACATGCCTGGTCATATATTTACATGAAAAGGAGATTTAAAAGTGGAAAGTAATTCAATGTACATATATCCCATGTATCAAAGCTCACAACTTTTATGTGATAATTAAATATCATTTTTTAAAATGAATGAAATTATATTATTCTGAGCATGTAGGGAAGATGTCACATAATCTAGGTAAGTCTTGGTCATATTATGAAAGATTGGTTTTGTCACTAAGATAAAAAGGTGTATCAGCAGGGCACAGTAGCTCATGCCTGTAATCCCAAGAGGAGAGGTGGGCAGATCACTTGAGGTAAGGGGTTTGAGACAAGCCTGCCCAACATGGCAAAACACTGTCTCTACTAATAGTACAAAAATTAGCCAGGTGTGGTGGCAGTTGCCTTAGTCCCAGCTACTCGGGAGGCTGAGGCAGAGAATTGCTTGAACCAGGGAGGCGGAGCTTGCAGTGAGCCCAGATAGCTCAATAGAGTTGAGCTCCAGTCCAGGCAACAGAGCGAGACTCCATCTCAAAACAACACCACCACCACCACCACCAACACCAATAACAACAACCAAAACCCCACATATATTATAAACAAAATATAAAAGCTAAAATTAAAAAGGCTACTATGACATTTCCCTTGTCCAATGCCACTTATATACATGAAACAACCGAAGCAAATTATAAGAATGGATCAAAATATTGTCTGCATTCTTGCCTATATAAATGAATGGATTTAGGAAGAATAGAAGTCTTTACTATTTTTAGAGCAATTAGCAAAGGCTTTAATTGTGAAAATGTATTCTAGTGTTTATTTTGACACATAATTTTTGTAACATGTCTTCAAAATAAAAAATTATAAATAATGTTATGTGTGTTTCCAAATATATTGCTAGTCTTTAGGAGATAATTTAGCCTGATTTTCTTTACTACAATTCATTCTCCACCCTCTAAAAGAGAAATATCAATCACATTCATAATTCTAAAATGTAATTGAGCCAAAATGCTGAGGATGGAATTTTAGTGCTTAAAAACAAAGAAGATGAATGCTTGGGTATCTTTGGAGTATGGTCTGTTTTTGAATTTTTCTCTTCTCTTTGAAGGTATTCACTTAACCATTATAGTCTCTAGATTTCTTCAGTCATCTGTTAGGTGAATCGTATAGTATGGATATATATTAAAACTTATTTACATTATATACTTCCACATTGAAACAGTATGCTCAAAAACATTAAGACTAGAAATATAAAAGGTGAAGATGAAGCAATTTACTTGAATCTATAATTCACAATGAGCAGAAGTGAAAATATTTGCACAGGACATTTTTATGAGAATAAAAAGTAATTGATAATGTATATTTTAACACTTACTACATGTCTTATATTGAGGAGCGATGTATATACCTGCCATGAAAAAAAGGGAAATGATCTAGGAAGCTTCTTCATAGAATTAAACCTTCCCTCAGAGGTGTTAAATGGGCCAGTACATTCCTCCCCAGGTCATTCTTGGTCACTGCTGCTTGCTAATACCCACCAATGTTTGGGGGATGGAAGTCAATGAATTGGGGATAGAAATGACATGATTATTCAGTATTCACACTACACAACTCATACTCCCCTTCTGAATTTGCTTGCTGAAAATTCTCGAACTCTAATTTCTGGATATCTTTTCCTCTAGAACATCTAAATACAGTTTCTAAATGTATGAGTAGCACAAGTTTTCGTTAAGGTTTTAAAAGAAGTGTAATTAAAATAAAATTTTGTCAAAGTGAAAAAGAAGCCATTAAAATAAACTTCAATTATTGTATTTTTTCAAATTTTAAGAAACAAAAGATAAATATTTGTAAGTACACATTTGCTAAGAAAAGAAGCAACAACGTACTATTCCTCAATAACATGATTACTGTTCTCTTCTATACTTAGTTCTTTAAATACAGAAACAATTTTTTTATTTGAAAGTACTGCCATCCATTCCAATTAATAAGATATGATACATATTACTGTCTCATAGATGTTCTTCAAATTAGTAAGCTATAACTTAAAAGGCCTTCAAACATAAATTTAATGTTCATGTTTTATGTAAAACTTAAATTTCATTTCACATATCTATTAAGTATGTAACATTTTACATATATGTAATGTATATACTTATACACCCACATGCATACATATGTACATACAAACAGACTCAGGCAAAAAGCAAAATTATTTGAAGTGAATACTACCACTTAAAAGTGTAAAGCCACTTAACACTAAAAAAAATTAAAATCAACAGGATTTAAGGTAAAGTGGCCTTTGATAAATAAGAAATAAATATGGGGGGATGTAACTTCATTTGAATTGAATAAGCATAGCGAACAATGTTAACAAGTTACTCATCAACTCCTCCTCAAATGCAGGGAGAGAGATGTAACACAAGACTTTAAAATCTCTCAAATAAGCTAAGGAAGAAAGCAAGCTATTCTTCAAGGATCAATTGAATGATGAATGTGCAGATTTCTATTTTTGCAACCACATTCCAAATGCTGATGTATGTCAACAAACAAGTAAAACAGATGTTATCCACGTCGCCTAAAGAGACAACAACAGATGGGCTGGATGTGTTGCATTAGAGCAAAAATGCACCTGGGCTATGTCTCACTGAGTAGATCCCATTGACCAAACCTCTTTTGCAGTAGCACAAAAATTATTTTTAAAAACGTTTTTTTAAAAAAGAAAGTTTGGAGCTGATGAAGCTGTTTAGCTGTGGTCAAAAATAAAGAACTGGCACACTTTGTAAAATCTATAGTAATGGAACAATAAAAGCATACACATGAGAGGCTGGGTGTGGTAGCTCGTGTCTGTAATCCCAGCACTTTGGGAGGCCGAGGCGGATGGATCACTTGAGGTCAGGATTTTGAGAGACCAGCCTGGTCAACATGGTGAAACCCCATCTCTGCTACAAATACAAAAATTAGCCTGGTGTGGTTTCACACGCCTGTAATCCCAGCTACTTGGGAGGCTGAGGCAAGAGAATCACTTAAACCCAGGAGGTGGAGGTTGCAGTGAGCCGGGATCGCACCACTACACTCCGAGCCTGGGCGACAGAGTGAGACTCCGTCTCAAAAAAACAAAACAAACAAACAAAAGAGCATACAAATGGGACTATATATGAAATCAATATTACGTATTTGTAAAAGGTTGAATCAATGATTATCTGTTGTTCTTTATTAAATTGATTTTTACAACATTCTGAAAAATGAATTGTAATATCCGAACTCCTATTTTATATCTTTCTGAACCTATGTGATGCCCTCAAAGCTAACTTATGCTTTATAAAAAACTTTGAAATGTTGTACCTTTACAAAAAATTATGCACATACATACCTATATTGAGATATTTTTTTCTTCAGAAACTGCAGAAACAGGAGTAACTCTGTAAATGTGTCGTTTTGTAAAGAAAACGTAGATCTCTAAAGGCAATCTGCATTAGTAGAATATCTGTAACAAGCAAGAGGGCTGCTTTGTGATCATTTCCATTACCTGAGATAAATTTATCTGTGTAGCAGGAGGGCCTTTGTTCAGATTGCATTTACTCCTTTTACCCTCCCGTGGTTTATTGCCACCTTCCTTTAATTTGTTTGCCCAGATTGTTTAGCTGGAGATCAACTCTTCAATCTTGTAGTTCCCAATAAAAAAGAAGTCTCAGTGTTCAAAGATATTCTGGTAAACACTCATAGAGAGCTTCTTGAGTTATGCTACCCTGAGATAGAGCTTGCCTCACTGGAAGCAGAAAACAGTATACAAAAGAGAAAAGACTCTCTCTGGCCTTTGAGGGTAAAGTAATTGAGTCTATGAAATAAACTGACAGTAGGCAGGTTAACGAGAGAAAAAGAATACACATTTATTATGTGTATTTGATAGCACAGGAAAAAAAAAGTGAATACTCCCCATAACCCAGTGAGATCTAGAAGCTTATGTATTAGCTTGGGCTACAGAAAGGAATAGGTAACTGGGGCCTGAACCCTAACAACAGCATGGGGATGACCACAGAATATACGACTGACCTCATGGAACAGTAGGTGATATGGAAATCTCTGGTAAAGAGCAAATGATTATGTCAAAGATAAATAGTATAGACAAAAAAAAACTGTATTCTTTCTTTGATTCCTAATTTATTTGTATTTTACTCTATGAAAATGCTGAAAATAAATGATCATATGTTTTCAAATTGTATTCTGCAGTTTCTGAGAATAACCAACTCAAAATATGCCAAAGAAGTATACTTTGGGGTGGCTGGGCGCGGTGGCTCACTCTTGTAATCCCAGCACTTTAGGAGGCTGAGGCAGGCGGATCACGAGGTCAGGAGATCGAGACCATCCTGGCTAATACAGTGAAACCCCGTCTGTATTAAAAATACAAAAAAATTAGCCGGGCGTGGTGGCAGGCGCCTGTAGTCCCAGCTACTCCGGAGGCTGAGGCAGGAGAATGGCATGAACCCGGGAGGCGGAGCTTGCAGTGAGTCGAGATCGCGCTACTGCACTCCAGCCTGGGCGACAGAGCGAGACTGTCTCAAATAAATAAATAAATAAATAAGTATACTTTGGGGTGGCACATTCTGGCCTGCTATAGTCATATTTTGGCATGGTGTGTCCAAAGCAATTTGGAATGGGCACATACTTGTTTTCTATTCATATTTGCATGTAGTACCTCTCATTAATAGGCTTTGAAGTATTCATATGTGATTAATAAATTTATGTAGTGCATTTGCCAGTTGAGTTTTAAACTTTAGTCCATAAATCATAAACTACGTTCAGAATATGTCTATGTACTTTGAAATAATAAAAAAAAAAAAAACTCCCACAAGATGGATACCTCTCATTGGGCAATTAAGACATATATTTATGGAAAAAACTAACAATTAACAGCTGAATAAACAGGCAAAAATGATATAAATAGAAAGAGAGATTTAAAACAACATTGTACATGGTTATGAAAAAAAATTTGAAAGCATCCCAAATTTGGGGGCATATGAGAGAAATACGAGATTGACACAGCTGATTTGATATTAATGACTTGTACCATCTTCTCAAACTATCTTTAAAAAGATGTTACATGAGCTAACAATGTGGTCATTCAATGCTTCTATAGGTACATCTGGAATTACATAACAAGGAAGATATATGATGCACATACAGGCTACACACGGACATAAATTTTGCATATACACACATCCAACATTTTGCAAATTTCTGGCTTCACAAAAACCCGCTAAATAGTTAAAATGAGTGTTACTGTATACGTCTTATTTCTAATTAGTCCATGTTGCAAGTTTTGTACATTTAATTTTTTTAGGATAAGCGTTTGTAATCCCTCCAAGAATTGGTGTTACTCTATAAATCCACTCAGAGGACCTTCACTTACTTTTTTTTTTTCTTTTTTGAGATGAAGTCTCTCTGTCACCCAGGCTGGAGTGCAGTGGTGCAATCTCGGCTCACTGCAACCTCTACCTTCCAGGTTCAAGCAATTCTCAGCCTCCCGAGCAGCTGGGACTACAGGACCATGCCAGCACTTCCTGCTAATTTTTGTATTTTTAGTAGAGACGGGGTTTCACCATGTTGGTCAGGCTGGTCTTGAACTCCCGACCTCTGGTGATGATGTCTATATAACAGTTTGATTTTATGTGTTACACATTACACAAACTTTTGTCTGTTAGGAAAGGGAGAAATGAATGAAGAAAGAAAAAAGGAACAAGAGAGGAAAGAAGAAGGAAAAGAAGGTAGATTGGAAGGAGAGAAGAAAGCAGAGAGGAAAAGGAATGTAGAAAGTGAAGAAGAATGAATATCGGTATTTGTATGTATTATAAACATTATATTTGTTAAATGTATATTTAAATAGAATTTCTTTCTTTGCTCATTTACTTCCTAATAATAGTTTTTATTCATTAAAAAAATCATGTTACCTTTCCTGTGTATTTTAAGAGAGAATGTATTGTAGATACAGAGTAAAGCTAGAAACAAAAATCACATGGCAAGCCAGTTAATCACCATTTGTTTCTTTTGATTTCAGTTAGTTTGAATGGCTGAGAAAGCAGGCAATTGTTTCTGTCAGCCAGATTTGAGCTGGAGAGATTATAGAGTCTCCTTACCCTCTGAAACAGCATCAAGTTTGGTTCCCTAAGGTTTTCAATGAGCTGAATATAAGTTAAGCCAAAGTTGAATACAATTTAAATTGACAGTTGAAAGTACAAGTTACAAGCAGCATGTTGCCTAAATAAATCAGTAACCTTATAATCAGGCACTACTTGCACTTTTCAAAGGCCAGACATCATCACTTCACAATTGGTATGCTTTTCTTCTCAAGTAAAATTTATGATTTTCTTCAAGTGCTTACTTGTAAGAGCACTTAAAAAGACAATGTTCAAGGCTATTTTTCAATATATAATCTTCCTGATTGTGAGTTACCTTTGGCTCTTTCAAGCTGTTCATCTTAAGGGATTTAGTCATTAGAAAAGTGTTAAAAGCTTTTAAAACGTAATTTGTCAAGAACACATACTGATGGCTTTTTATCATACAATGCCCTCATGATTTTTTAAATTGGACAGAAAATTCCACCTTTAATAAAGGCAATGAGTATCATGACCTTGTTAGCTTATTGGTTTCAGCCATCCCATCTCCAGCTGTAAAAGAAAGTTAGATGGGAGGTAAAGAAAACACCAACTTCTGACAGTCATTTTTATATATTTTATTTAATTCCCTTAAAGTTTCTCCAAGGTATTTGTTCTACCCATTTCACCCCTTATTATCTTATTAGTGTAGATTGGGATTGAAACTAATATCAGTCCAGTTTCCAAGTCCAAATGATTTGCATCATGCCAAGCTTTGTGCAAATGAAGGAATGGCACTGTTAGAATTTCTTGTTTTTTATTGGAGTAAACTTGGTTTATATATGTTGAGAACACTACCTATCAATAAATAAATTATATCAATTTAATGCTCCTGAAATAAAGCATGCCAAATATATAGAGAAAATATGACAGGATAGTGATCAACTCTACGTCATTACAAAAAATTTACTGTAGAATTACAAAAGCAAAACTTTTGCAACTAAAAATGAAACAAGCCATTTCGATTAGTAGCACCCGACACCCTAAAATATTTACTTATATTTATTTTTTATTATATAAAGTGGCATATTCCAACTAAACTGTGTTTACAAATTTAGAATACCTGATTGTTACAGGGCAAAGTACTAAATAAGCACAAGAAAATTATTATTAAAAGTATAATTCAAAGTTCATCATTGACTTTTCTTAAGAAAAGTATTTTGCTAAATTAAAATGGATATTGTTTATTAAAAAAATGCACTAGAAATTCAATTTACTACAGACTATGAATGTTTACAAATCATCATTTATTCCAAAAAAGTTATAGCAATGGAACATGATTCTAAATTTATTTTTCAGCTGTACTTGAACTTCCAATTGAAGATTAATATATTCATTTTTACTTGGATTAATTCAAACAATCCAAGCCTGATACTGAGCCAGCAACAGCTGCAAGCATTAGAGATACAAGATGAAAGTAATCTACTCTCAAGGAGTGTGCAATTGATGGAAAACAATACAATTTTTTAAAAATATAGCACCCCAAAGTGAAGGTTTCGATGAGGATAAAAAAAGAGTTATAAATGTATTTCAGTAGAAACCTGAGAATTTTCAACTTCTGTGTTAAACTCACAATTGTTTCAAAATTTCTCACATATATTGTTTGGTAGTGTATTCATTATCTTACTCCAGATGTCCAGAGGTTGCCAGAGAACCTGCTAAATTTTGAGGCTGAGCATTAAACACAAAACCACAGATAATTTAGATTTGTATCTGTTTAATAAAAGGATACTTGAATGTTTTTGTTGAGAGTATATGAATCAATGCTGTCAACATAAATGCTGAACATATTTGGAGTCAATTAAGAAAAACATATTCTATTTTATTTCAAGTTGCAAGTCATTATATATTTAGCAACAATAATGGTTTCTACTACTGAGTACCTGGCATAGGTCTATGTGTCAGGCATTCTGCTAGGATTCGTATTACAAGCACACACATACACACACATAAATACATGAAATCACATAAACACAGATATATGAGGAAATATTAATTACAGCAAAAATAAAAATTAGACATTATTATCCCTATTTCTGTGTTGAAGACATTGACATTTGGAAAGACTGAGTTATCTGCCTAAGGTAACACAGCTCTTAAGAGGATAAGCTGGTATTTGAGGGAAATGAAAATTAAAACAGCAATGACCTATCACCTCACCACTGTTAGAATGACTGTTACCAAAGGACAAGAGTTAACAAGTGTTGGCAATGATATGGAGAAAAGGGAACTCTTGTGCACTGTCGGTGGGAATGTAAGTAAGTACAGCCATTATGGAAAACCATTCTGTCTCAGCTACTGAAAAAAGAAAGTTAGATGGAAGCTGAAGAAAATGACAACTTCTGACAATCATCTTGCTGACTAGATGCTCCTCCAAAATTAAAAATAGAATTACCTTAGAATCTAGCAATCTCACTTCCAGGTATAGATCCAAAGTAAAATAATGAGTGTGCATATTCGCTAGAATACTATTCAGACTTAAAAAAAGAAAGAAATCCTGTCATTTGTTACCACATGAATGAACCTAGAGGACATTATATTAAGTGAAATAAGCCATGCAGAGAAAGACAAATATTGCATTACCACATTACCTCACTAATACATAGTATCTAAAAGTGCAACAAATAGAATCATAGAGTAGAATGGTGGTTTTCAGGGTCTGAAGTTGGGGGAAGGGAGTGAGTGAGACCTGAATGATAGAGGGTGATTTCAGGAAAATAGAACATTCCAGGCAGCAATTTCACATGACTAGCAAAAGGAAACTATTGAAATAGTTGCAGAGGCTATGCGCTGATAAGACCCTGAGAAACAACATGTGGACCAAGTTGTAACTCCCCAGTGGGTTCACCCTGCCCACTGCCTAGACAGTGTCGATTCTTCAAGACAGGGCAATCGCGATAGAGAAAGAGTAATGCACACAGATCTGACTGTGCGTGGAGGAGACAGGAGTTTTTATTATTATTTAAATCAGTCTCCCCATTCATTCAGGGATCGGAGTGTTGAAGGATAATTTGGTGGGATTGCGGGGGCAGTGAGTTGAGAATACTGATGAGTTGGTTCGGAGATGAAATCATAGGGAGTTGAAGCTGTCCTCTTGTACTGAGTCAGTTTCGGGTTGGGGGCCACAAGATCTGATGAGCTAGTTTATGGATCTGGGTGTTGCCAACTGGTTCATCAAGTGCAGGGTCTACAAAATATCTCAAGCAGTGATCTTAGGTTTTACAATAGTGATGTTATCCCCAGGAGCAATCTGGGGAGGATCAGAATCTTGTGGCCTCGAGCTGTATGACTCCTAAACCATAATTTCTCATCTTTTGGCTAATTTGTTAGTCCTACAAAGGAAGTCTAGTCCTCAGGCAAGAAGGGGGCTTGTTTTCGGAAAGCTCTGTTATTGTCTTTGTTTCAAACTATAAACTATTAATATAAACTAAGTTCCTCCCGAAGTTAGTTTGACTTACACCTAGGAATAGGCAAGGACAGGATGCAGGTGTTACTAGCAAGATGGAGTCAGTTAGGTCAGATGTCTTTCACTGTAATACTTTTCTCAGTTACGGTTTTTGCAAAGGCAGTTTCAAAGCCTGCTTAGACAACTTTGGTGCTAGATTTGACATATGTTTCGCCTAGGACCTTATTATATGCTCATTAACATATTAAATCACACACCTAGCAGCGCCATGACAGTTTCAGGAACAATAATATTTGGTGTAAAAATGGGTGGCACCATAGTTCTGAGAAACCACCTTTTTCCAGAAATTTTCATGAATATTTCACTCCTTGATTAAAGAAGCCCATAAAGGCCCCAAAATCCCTTGGCCATGACTGTTTTAAGTAGGCTTGTACTCCCTTCCTTGAGTGTGTGGTTTTCACTGCAATAAATCTCCATAATTTCACATTTTCTGACTCATCCTGACTTCCTTCTCATGATGGTGTCAAGAGTCTGGACACCAGTTGGGGTTGAGGTCCCACTGGTATTTGGAGACCTCCCCCAGCCCACTGGTATCAGAAGATGTTGGCCAAAGGGTACAAAGTTTCAATTAGAAAGGAGAAAAATTTCTGGAGATCTACTGCACAGCATAGGGACAGACTGTTAATAATAATAACATAGTATATAATTAAAGATTCTTAAGAGGGTAGATCTTAAATTTTCTCACCACACACACAAATTGATAGTGATATTAAATCTCTAGAAGGTATACTAATGAGTTTCAATAAAATTAAATTTTCTGGATTGGGGAAACATGTATACAAGAATTGTGATATTGAGAAAAATAAAAAGGTAAATTTTTCCTCCATTAATCTGGGTGGTAAAAGAAGGGTGCTAAGTATTTTAAAGGAAGAAATTTCCTCTAGATTTAGTGTAGATCAGTGTTATTGATTGAATTATGTTTCCCCATAGTTTATATATTGAAGCCTTAAGCTGCAATGTGATTGTCTTTGGACATAAGGCCTATAAGGAGGTAATAAAGATTAAGCGAGGTCATAAGGGTGAAACCTTAGTTTCATAGGACTGCTGGCCTCGTGACAATGGGAAGAGACAAAAGAGACCTCTGTTTCTCTTCATGCATGCATTGAAGAAAGAAGAAAGAGAGAAGGCAGCTATATGCAAGCCAAGATAGAGCCCTGAAGAACTGAATCTGGCCGGGCGTGGTGGCTCACTCCTCTAATCCCAGCACTTTGGGAGGCCGAGGCGGGCGGATCAAGAGGTCAGGAGATCGAGACCATCCTGGCTAACACAGTGAAACCCCATCTCTACTAAAAATACAAAAAATTAGCCGACCGGTGGCGGGCGGCTGTAGTCCAGCTGCTCAGGAGGCTGAGGCAGGAGAACGGCGTGAAACCGGGAGGCGGAGCTTGCAGTGAGCCGAGACTGTGCCACTGCACTCCAGCCTGGGTGACAGAGCGAGACTCCATCTCAAAAAATAAAAAAGATAAAAATAAAATAAAAAAAAGAACTGAATCTACTGGCAAATGGATCTGTATTGATAGCCTACAGAATTATGAGAAATAATGTGTGTTGTTTAAACCATCCAGCTTGTGGTATAATATTTTGTTATGGCATCTTGAGCTGACTAGGACAACAGGGTGATAAAGCCAATGATGTCAATGACTTTTCATTCCTTTCTTTTTTTTTTTTTTTTTTTTTTTTTGAGACAGAGTCTCACTCTGTGGCCCAGGCTGGAGTGCAATGGTTTGATCTCGGCTCACTGCAAGCTCCGCCTCCTGGGTTCAAGCAATTCTCTGCCTCAGCCTCCCGAGTAGCTGGGACCACAGGCACCCGCTACCACGCCTGGATAATTTTTTTGTGTTTTTAGTAGAGACAGGATTCCACCATGTTAGCCAGGACGGTCTCGATCTGACCTTGTGATCTGCATGCCTCGGCCTCCCAAAGTGCTGGGATTATAGGTGTGAGCCACCGTGCCTGGCCCATCAATGACTTTTCTTATTAGAGAGTGTCATTATATAATAGAGTATTTCATTAGAAAGTATTATAAAATAGGTGAAGAAAAAAACTCATGTACCCTCACCTGTTATTCCTAAATCACAGGGGTGAGAGGACATTCTCAAATAACCAAACATTTCAAAGAAAATGTCAGGTTAGCTAGGCATATTTTCTAAAGATAGACAAAGCAAGGCAAGAGTAATTGTAAAATATTCTCAAAAATAAGATGAGGAAAAAGAAAAATTCATCTAATCCATGAAAATATGCTGGAGGACAAGAAATGCTTCTGAAAAACAAATATTGCAAGAATGTGAAAAAATTTGTTCAATATCTAACGGGTTTTTAACAATAGCTGAGGGGATATTGTATTTATAAAACTAGAGAAAGAAAAATTAAAGGGAAATTATTTGACTTTATTTAAGATGAATCTGACAATTGTCTATAACAAATTACAATGGAACAGGATACTGAATGTACAGAAAAATGACTAAAGAGTACAAAGACAATGAAAAAGTTCAGGTACACTCCAAGAATTTATATGAGAAAGATACAAGATAAAGTAAATAAAAACAACAAAAAAACTTTATAAACCGATACAGAAGATCTCATTTTGTATAGAATTAGATTCAATAAAGCAATCCTATGATTAATGACAAGACAAAATAGTACAGACTTCACTTGCCAAAAAAAAAAATCAACTTTTTAGTGGCAGGAAATAATTGATAAAAATATTTTGATACCTATATATAGTACAGTGTTTTTATTTAAAAAAAATTATAAATTAAAATTTCCCAAATCTCCAGGCAAGAAAAATATACACAACAGAAAATGAATAAAATGTCACTCTGACAGTACAATTTTTACAACATAGTATGCTACAATTAAAATAAGACTAATACGATCTTATAATAATGTAACTATTCAGGTAGCTATAAAAATCTAACAGCCACTGCCAAGTCATTTTTAGAGTATTGGAAACCAAAAAAAAAAAAAAAAAGCAAACAACAACAACAACAAAAACAAACAAACAAAAAACTCTTTCTGAATGAAAGTTAAAAAAAAAAATTTCAATCCTGTGGCCTAGATATAAAGCCAAACAAAACAAAAACAGAAACAAAACACATAAAAAGTATCATAGAAGATTTCCTTAAATCAAGTTTAGCCTAAAGCTTCCTCCTTATGTATTTGAAGTTCAGCCTAAAGATTGTTCCGCACATTGTGAACTATATCAAGTGAAGGTGTAAACAGACCAGACATTAGCTTACACTTGCGCCAATCACAGAGTTTTGGCCAATCAAATGTAGCCAACTATTCCAACCATGTTCAAATAAGGCAAAGGTGGAGCTATAGGCAATCCAGCTGTTTCTGTACCTCGTTTCCATTTTCTTCCCCTCACTTTCCTTTTTCTGTCTATAAATCTTCCACCATGAGGCTGCGCTGGAATCTCCAAACCTACTCTGGCTGAGAATGCTGCCTGACTCGCGAATTGTTCATTGCTCAATTATGTGCCTTTAAATTTAATTTGGCTGAAGTTTTTCTTTCATCAATTTTTATCATGAAATATTTTGAAATGTGAGGTATAATGCAGCCAGTTTAAACATGGTTAACTGTCATCATTATCATCATCACCATCAGACTCACCATCACCACCAACAACCCCTTAACTGTATCAATAAAATGCCAAGTAAGGTGAAGAAGTAAAAATGTGCCAAACTTTTAACTCATAAAGTCTCATTGAGTATATTTTACTTTTACCTTGACAATATCAAGGAAAATAATATAAAAATAATTATTAAAGACAATTACTAGTAGAATAAGACATGCCTTCAAATCACTGAAAGGAAAAAAAAAGGAAATTCTAGATTATATAGAAGAAGAAATGTGGTTAAAAAAAAGTTAGGTGACATAATTAAGACCTATGTAACATAATACCAATGAATCCACAGCACACTCATAAAATGCAATTATTAAAGTGCTTATGACTTCATTCATATAAAATAGTCACTTATGTTTGTAGGTGACTAAAGGAAAAAATATTTATATGCAATATAATGTAAGATTTATTTTAAAAATCAGTCACATTTATAACAATGACAAGGATAATAGTAATCCTGATTTATGGAGTTATATAATTAATCTTCAAGACATTGCTATGAGAAAATATCTGTAGCAATGACTTAAAAAATAAACACAAGAGAGTTTCTAAAATTTTACAATTTTTGCATTAAAAGACAGCTTTAGGGCACAATTCTAAATTATGACTATTTGTATCCAAAGCCTGAGTTTGTATTATGATATTGATATTAGCAAATGACAAGTAACTACAATGTTGACAATGTTTACTCTAAAGGAGACACTATTGGAGATTAACTTTTAACTTTCTCAGTCAATATTTACATTATTATAAGAAATATATTTGGGAAATATATATGGCATAAACTCTCAAATATAATATCTATTAAAATGAAATATATATATATATATATATATATACATATATATATATATATATATATAAAACCTGGGTAGCTAATGTTGTATAGCATTCCATATAATAATAATAATATCTTGTCTGTTAACTTTTTTAGTCTTCAGAGAATGCTTAAGACTGCATTAGTGATGAGAAAGTTGTTGGAAGTGTTAAGCTACCTTCATTCAAGAGCAATTGGAGTAGGTAGTGGGAACAACTCAAAAGCATTTCAGAAAACAAAGGGTGGCAGTTTTAATGGCACTAGGGGCTTACTCAAAACCTCTGCCAGCTATAGACTGAACAATAAGCTACTGTGACCCAGGGGTAAGTCCTAGGAAGACAGTCATAAAATATAATTTCACACATTCCTGGCAATCTGAAAGACTATGTCCAGTTCTAAGGATTTATACTCTCAGGAGGAATCAGAGAGAAGAAAAACAATCTAAGCTACTGGTCCTTGGGTGACAGTAAGAAAAAATAACTCTTTAAACTCTAATAGCAACTTCCAACAGCTAAAATGGAAAGAGTAAAATCTTACCAGTAAGCTTCAACATAACGTTTGACAAATATAACTTATGCTGATCTAAAATAGCAAAGATATTGATTAAAAAAAATCTGAGAAGAAACAGCAGAGGATGTATACTGCATAAAAATGAACTGCATGGCCAGGCGCGGTAGCTCACGCCTGTAATCCCAGCACTTTCAGAGGCTGAAGTGGGAGGATCACGAGGTCAGGAGATCAAGAACATCCTGGCTAACATGGTGAAACCCCGTCCCTACTAAAATACAAAAAATTAGCCAGGTGTGGTGGTGAGCACCTGTAGTCCCAGCTACTCGGGAGGCTGAGGCAGGGGAATCCCTTGAACCCGAGAGGCAGAGATTGCAGTGAGCCGAGATCGTACCACTGCACTCCAGCCTGGCAACAGAGCAAGACTCTGTCACAAGAAAAAAAAAAAAAAAAAGAAAAAGAAAATTAACTGCATATTATCAGTTCAGCCAAGTCATTAAACAAGTAAATAAATGACTAAATAAAAAAACAAAAACAAAACATCATTTCCAAGATTGAGTTGTTAAGACGTTGAAAGTCCAGAATATCTATCTATCTATCTATATATATATGTATATCTAAAATGTCCAGTTTCCAACAAAAAATATATCCAAATATATAGGAAAAAAAAGTAAGATAATAAATCTGTTCTTAAAGGAGACCTGATGTTAGACTTGGCTAACAAAGAGTTCCAAGTAGCTCTTTTAAATATATTAAAACAAACAAACAATAAACAAAAAAAACTAGGGAACATGTCATCTAAAGGATGTAAAGAAGATACAATGAAAATGTCTCATAAAATAGAGTATACCAGTTAAGAGATAGAAATTATAAAGCAAACCAATGACAATTCTGGAGTTGAAAAGGATAATAATGAAATGAAAAATTCACATGAGAATTTCAAAGTAGACTTGAGCTATAAGAAAAGTCAGCAAACTTGATGACAGATGATTATGTAAGCCAAGATTAGTAAACAGAGAAAAAAGAGGACAAAGAAAAATTAAGAGACTCAGAGAAATATGGGATAACTTCAAATAAGATAGTTACAAAGATTTTTAAAAAGCTGCATAGCCCCCTCACAATTTGCCCACAAGGAATTCCTTATGGGCATCAAGATCTTTACCCTAAAACAGTTCTGTTGAATTTCACCCTGGCAATATAAATTGATAGCTTATCTTCACAGGTGCAGGACAGGAAGTCACCCCTCTGCTCACCTGAGAAAAATGCTTATCTCCTTGCTTCCTCTGCCCTATCGTTTATGTAAAAATGCAGATTCACTAAGCCAGACTAAGGCATAAATCACTATTCCTGTATCCTGCTCTCACACATAAATTGTGTATTCAGTGAAAGGCTGGTCAAAGACTCAAAAGAATGCAACCAATTGTCCCTTATCTATCTATGACCTAGAAGACACCTGCCCCCTGCTTCCAGTTATCCTGTCGTCCTGAACTGAACCAAACCATGTACATCTTACACATACTGGTTGTTGTCTCATGCCTCCCTAAAATGTATAAAAGCAAGCTGTACCCCAACCACCTTGGGCGCATATCAGGACCTCCTCAGGTTCTGCATGTGCAAGTCCTTAACCTTGGTAAAATAAACTTTCTGAATTGGTTGAGACTTGTCTCAGATAATTTGAGTTCACAGTACCCACCCAAGAAGCTCAAAACTTCCAAATAGGATAAACACTCTCAGATACATCAGAGTCAAAACGTTGACGGCCAAAAACAACAACAACAAAACATTACATATGAGGGAACTGCAATAAAATTAACTACTGTGGACTTTTCATAAAGAAAATTAGGGGCTAGAAGGCACTGGAAATACACATTCAAAGTGCTGAAAGTAAAAATACGTAAGTAATAATTAATACTATTATTGGGTTTATAAATATATAAAGAAAAATAGCACAAAGAGGAGGGATAAAAAACTTTAAAAGACTAGGTTTCTTTATTTCTAGAATCGTTTGCTTATATCTAAATGTATTTGATAAGGTATTAAAGTAAGCTCTGAAGCAACCTGTGATAAAATAATTCTAAGAATATTATTACAAGAAATAAAAGAATTAATAAGTTACACTAGCAAATACCCATTTAATAAAAAGAAATATTTATAAATAGGGGGATCAGGGAATAAAACAGACATGAGACACGTAGCAAAATACAACATGGCAGGAATCTAGGTATCAATTGTACCACTTCAATAACGACAATACAGGTGAATGTATTATACAATCCAAACAAAATGTAGATACTAGTCTTATTATTTTCTAAAAACACAATTAAATGTTGACTCTAGGAGACACAATTTAGATTCAAAGAAGTGAAAGTTTGAAAGTAAAATGATGGAAGATATATTTACCATGCAAATATCAAATTTAAGACAATTGGAGTGGCTGTATAAAACAAGCCAACTTAGGCCCCTAATAAAACATATTACCAGAGATAGACAGACATTTTAAGATGACAAAGGCCATAAAGCAAACCTTAGTAAATATGAAGGGATTGACATCATAAAAAGTATGTTGTTTGATGATTTTTTAATGAAATTAAAAATTAATTCAATTTCCTTCAATGGAATGAAATTAAAAATTAGAAGGAAATTTAGAAATTTTACAAATATATGAAAATTAACATATTTCTGAATTACCAATGGATCATTTCAGAAGTCACAAAAAAATTAAAAAATCAGAAAAAATTACTTGTAAAACATATGGTATGTAGCCAACAGTTATGAGAGTGAAATGTAAAGTTTTATTGCCTATATTAACAAACAAGATCTCAAATCAATAACATAACATCTGCCTTAAAAGGTTTAAAAATGTACAGCAAATTAATTTCTAAATATTTAGAAGAAAAAATGATAATAAAGTAGAAATAAGTTTATTATAGTATATATTACTTTTAATATATAAAGCCAACAAAAGCAAAAGTTGACTCTGAACAGCCACAAAACTGACAAACCTTTAGCTATATAAGTCAATAAAATAATGAATTGTTACTAAAATCAGAAGTGAACAAGGCGATATTACTTACAGATAAAGATAATAATTAAAAGGGAATATTTTGAACAACTGTATGCTACAAGAGTGGATAATATTTAAAAACGAAAAAAGTTTCTAGTAAAATGTAAACTATCAAAATAATTAAAGGAGAAATAAAATTTTGAATAGAACTCTAGCAAGTAAAACTATTCAACTAGTTAATCTTAAAATTCCCACAAAGCAAAGCATAGGACTGGACTGACTTGACTGGAGAATCAAACCATTTAAAGAAGAATTAATATAAATCCTCAAAAACTCTTCCAAAAATAGAAAATGGAATACTTCTCATATTTTCTGGCATCAGTGTTGTTCTAATGCTAAAACTAGGAAAATACACCACAAGAAAAGAAACTATAGATCAATATTTCTTCTAAATATTGATTCAAAACTCCTCAACAATAGATTATTAAATTTAAAAATACTGCAACACATAAAAGGAATCATATGCCATGATCCAGTGAGTTTCATCCAAAGAGTACAAGATTGGTTTAGCATGAAAATCAATGAATGTAACGTACCATTTCCATAGAACAAAGGGCAATAGCCACAGAATTATATCACTAAAATAAAATAACATTTGACAAAATCCAACGCCCTTTTTTGATAAAAGCACTGGACTAACTGGCAATAGAAGAGAATTCCTAAAACTGATAAAGAACATTCATGAAAAAGGTACAGCTAACATCGTGCTTAATGATGAAAACCGAATGCTTTCTTACTAAAATCAGGACAGTAAGAATGCCCTTTCTTTCACTCTTACTGCTTCCACTCAACATTGTATTGAAAATTCTATCTGGGGAAATTAAGCAAGAAAAATGAACCAAAGATATCCAGATTGAAAAAGAGGGTATAAACTCTTCTGTGTTTGCAGATAACATAAATTTATGTATTCTAAAATTTCCATAGAGAGAGGGAAGATATTAGGACTAATAAAAAAGTTTAACAAGATTACACAATATAAAATCAACATACAAAACCATTTTAATTTTCATACACTATCAATGAACAATCCTAAAACAAAATTAAGGAAACACTCTACTTATAGGATCAACCAAATAATAAAACACTAGAATAAATGTAACAAAGGAGTATAAGACATCCATACTATAAACTACAAATCATTTTTCAAAGAAGTTAAAGAAGACTTAAGCAATTGGAAAAACATTTCATGTTAGTGGGCCAGAACACTGACTCTTCATTGTTGAGATGGCTATATTCCTCAAATTTACACATTCAGTGCAGTCACTGCCAACATCACAGATTCCCTTTTTGCAGAAATTGACATGCTGATGCTAAGATTCAAATGGAAATGGGAGAGATGCAGAATACCCAAAATAATATTGGAAAAAAAGAATGATGTTGAGTGACACACACTTCCCAATTTCAAAATGTACTGCAAAATGAGAGCAACATGACTGTGTGGTACTGGCACAAGAATAGGCATTTAGAGAAATGGAATAGAATTGTGAGTCCAGGAAAACAAACATATGACAACAAAAAACTAACACTTAAAATCAATTGATTTTTGGCAGGGTTGCCAGTAAGAATGGAGAAATAATAGACTCTTCAAAAAATGGTAGTGGGAAAAATATACACTTATATGCAAAGGAATGAGTTGGGTCCTTATTTACACCATAGGGGGATATGAATTCTGGACCATAGATGTCAATGTAAAAGCTAAAACTATAGAAATTTCAAAAGGATACATACAATAAATTTTTGTGATCTTGGTTTGAGCAATTGTATTTTAGATGTGACACCAAAAGTACATATGTTGAAAGGAAAATCATTATGTTGGAGTATCTCAAAATTAAAAATGTTGTACTGCAAATAATACCATTAAGAAAGTGAAAGACAATCACAGATATATTTGCAAATCCAATCATCATATATTTGCTGACAAATAAATATCAAAAATATCTGAGAATATTTACAACTCAATAATAAAAAAGACAGGTAACCCAATTAATAATGACACTGGAGTTTCATTTCAAGTCAGCAACAGGTATTAAAAATAAAAATGATAAAATAATGGCACAGTATTTGTATGGAGTTTTTCTCAAAGATAATACACAAATGGGTAAAAAGTATATAAAATAATTTTCAACATTGCTTGTCACTAGAAAAATGCAAATTAACATGATGGTAAGATACCACTTTGGACTCACTAGGATGACTATCTTCAGAAACATAGATAGCAACTGTTGCCAAGAATGTAGAACAATTTTAACCCTTATATTCACTGATGGGGATGTAAAACAGTGCTGACTTTTGGAAAACTGTCTGTTCCTCAGAAGGTTAAATGCTGAGTTACCTTATAACCCAGGACATCTGCTCCTATGTTTCTATTCTAGAGAAACAAAAACATGTCCACACAAAACTTGTTCATAATGTTCATAACAGCATTATTCATAATAGTCAAAAAGTGGAAATAACACAAATGTCCATCAACTAAAAAATGGATAATAAGTCATAGCATATTCATACAATGGAATATTAGTCCACATTAATACATAATGAAATACAGGTACATTCAACAACTTGTATGAAACTTGGAATCATTATGATAAAAAGAACCAGTCACAAAAGATCACCTGGTATATGATGTCATTATTATGAAAATTAAACAAACACAATTGTGTAGGGATGAAATAAAGATTAGCATTTGTATAAGTAAGGGAGGGAAGTGAAGAGTGGTTGCTAATGGGAAGTTTTTTTTTTTTCCTGGAAAGAAGATGAAAATATTTTAAATTTATACTGTGGTGATTGTTTTACAAGTGTTTTAGGATATACTAAAAGCATTGAATTATACACTTTAAATTCTTGCATTTTATGGCATTTTATGGTACATGGATTACGTCTTAATGTAGATGCTGAAAATTATATGTAATTATACTATTGCTATTAAAATGTATTTTTTGCATTAAATAAACTAATATGCTCTAAATAATATATGTAACACCACTTGTTAAGTAGTATTTATATGAAGTGCAACTAATTGAAATGACTTCATAAATATTTCATCTCTCTCCTCTCTCATTCTCTGTCATTTTAATTCTGATAGCATTCAACGTAGTGATAAAATTAATTTCAAAAATAGCTTAATTCTTAGTCATGCCCTTTTTTGTTAGAAATTTGGAAACTACAACAATACATTTCATTTTTATATTTTAAAAAATTTTAAGTTAAATTTATTATTTGAGAATGTATGTGATATTATTCAATACTGTATTAGTCCATCTTCATGCTGCTGATAAAGGCATACCTGAGACTGGGCAATTTACAAAAGAAAGAGGCTTATTGGACTTGCAGGTTCCCCATGGCTGGGGAGGCCTCACAATCATGGTGCAAGGCAAGGAGGAGCAAGTCACATCTTAGATGGGTGGCAGCAGGCAAAGAGAGAGATTGTGCAGAGAAACTCTCATTTTTAAACCGTCCTATCTTGTGAGACCCATTCACTATCACGAGAACAGCACACGAAAGACTGGCCCCTATGGGTCCCTTCCACAACTCGTGGGAATTATGGGAGCTACACTGGATCCCTCTCACATCATGTGGGAATTATGGGAGCTTCACTGGATCCCTCTCACAACACGTGGGAATTACAAGATGAGATTTGGGTGGGGACACAGAGCCAAATGATATCAAATACTAATGTAATTTTAAAAGTAATATAGATCTAAATAATATAAAATTTACCTAATAAATATATCAGAGATTATCAACTCACTAATTGGATTTAACTTAACTCTAAACTATCATATCTTTTAAAGGAAGTAAATTATATGCCTTAGATATTTCTCATTTGTTTTCCAAAAGCTCTAATATGTAGAATAAGAAAATAATATTTCAATTAACATTCCTTTTGTATTCACTCTACTGCTCTATTCAAGAACATGAAATGAGAGTGAAAACAGTGTTGGGAGAGAGAACTAAGATTCTCTCCCACACATTTCGCTTTTCATACTGAGATTGGTTCATTTATCTGTTATCTGAGAGGCTTAATCATCTCTAATGAATTCTGGTGGTATTTTGGGTTAATAGACTTTCTTCGTTTCATTAAGCTTTTATGAATTTTATGGGTTTTCAAAATAACTAGTTTAAATTTATTCACACATATGCTCAACTATTGATTTATTTTACTTTGTTCATGTATGACAGTAAGAGGAAAGTGATTTTAAATTACTCTATTTTCTGACCTTTTACAGTACTCCACACATTAGTATTTCCCAGTTGCTCAATGATACATGACCAGGTTCATCACATTTTGACTCGAAACCAAAGACCATACTAAATAGGAAACTAGTCTGATCTTTCTGAGTGCAACTTCCCACCTTGAAAAAATGATAGAGAAAAAAAGAGAAGATGAAAGACAAATAAGGGGGAGGAAACAGAGCGGGAGAGACAAAGAAACAGAGAAAGAAAGGGACACACAGATTTAGGAAGAGATGCAGAGAGAGCCAAAAAGAAACAAAGACAGATACACAAAGACAGTGATCATAATTCCAAAAGGATTTAAATATTAATTTCAATAGATACACTGTGGCTATTACTGATTTTATAAGGAGGGGGAAGATTATTCTACTTTAATCAACTAGAAGCCTATTGTATTAAAACTATGCTTCAAAGGAAATTTAAAGCCATTAACACAATTACAAAAATTAGATTTTTAAGATAAAATTTACCCAGAGGTATTTGTGTAAAATTGTTTCTTTAAGCCTGTAATGGTTGGTCATTAAGGGTAAACACCAAGAAAGCACTTTCCCACATAGCACATCTTCACTGACCTTCTTTCTAACTTAGTTTACCTTCCTTGGAGAAAGTAATTATATTACCATACTTCAATGTGTTCTTTTAATTTTGTTTTCTTTTGTCTTCGCAGAACTATATATCTCCACCACTTTTTATGGTAGCTGATTATTTAATTTTATAAATAAGAAAGAGATGGAATAAACAAAACCAATTGTGCATGTTTGCCACAAAATTAAATAGTATGGAATTATGAGTAACATCTTCATTGAACTATGAATAAGTAGGAGGAACATTTGCAGTAAGCCACATTCACAGTTCAGAACTGAACATCAATGTGCTTATAAGTAATTTTTGTGAATACTTATAACCAAGTCAAATAAGATTATAAAAAAAGTTTGATTTGTGTCATATAACTGTGAATAGTTATTAAATAATTTTGGTTATAGTTGATTATTTCTGAAGCAATTTACTTTAAATTTTGCTCAGAGTGCATATTTATACAAACTTGCACACACCAAAAAATGATGATGGGAAAACGTATCTTGTATTACATTTTTATTTTAAGAGCTATGTGTATTATTAGCTTGAAAACAAATATCAAAGTCATACAGAACAATAAGATCCATTAAACCATACAGAAATTTTGAATAAACTTGCAGCTTCAAAAGACTAATCAAGAAATAAAATAGCCACGCTAAAATTTTCTCTACGTAATATTGAAACTATAAAAACACTTGCTTGATAAAGGGACATGTACACAGGGAGAAATATCCTGAAATTACTTGTCAAAAGCTATAGTAATTGAGCGAATGTCAGGGACAATTCACTCAATTGACATTCACTCAATTACTGTAAAATGTAGTCTAATTGTCTGTGCCTTTTCCTCCTTCCGCAGATTAATATCTTTGATGACTCCCCACATTAGTTCTAGGATTACAATTTGATTTCCATAGCCAAGTGGACACATGCTTCTGTTCAGCTTTATTTTCTCCATAAATAAAATAATCAGGTGATACGTGACTAGCCTGACCTTGTTTAATGACCATCACCTATATCAGAACTATTCTGGTTCTCAAGTACCATTGATTTAATGCCTCACAGTTTTATACTGTAGTTGGCAACTTGAATTTTATTCTTGAAGGAGACACAGAAACAAAATGTAGAAAGAGACATAATGAATTAAGCATATGGATAAATTAAAACTAACGGCTGGGGAAAACAGACAAGCAACAATAATAATTTTTATATAGTGATTGAACTTAGATGATAAAAGAGCTACAAAACAACTTAGAAAATATAATAGCCTTTAATAAATACAAGAAAACAATTACTATTTTTGGAAAAGGAAAATGAGACTTGGAACATTTGAATGAGTTATCCATCATTACAAAGTGATAGTGTGATAAGAAAAGGACCTAGTTCTAGATCATTTGACATCACTTTGTTCATTTCCAAAATATATTTTGAGAGTGAAAAAAAACTATTCCTTCTTAGGAAGGTAAGTTTTCATAATACTTTATGTTCTCTTTGGTATATCATAATTTTGTCTTCTTTTCTGAGAACATTTTTTTCTCTTCCATTTATGTTTCTTATTTCAATTAATTCTTGCTTCATTTCTTCTATTCTGTAAAAATCCATTATCAGTTTTAAAATGTATCTTTCATATTTTGTTTTTAAATAATATCCCCAGAAGTGTGCTCACAAACATGTATTTCCTTTTAGAGTGTGCTCCTTTGTAGCTGCTTCAGTTTTGTGGGGTTTCTTTAAGAAAACTGTTATCATTTGGCATATTAATTTTCATTTTTTGTTTTGTTTTTGTTGCTTTGCATAAATGATTAAATCGTTTGTCTACTTATGAACAGGATTCATCTTCTTTTGTTAGTCTGGCAAAGAAGTTTTGCAGTTTTATCTATGGTTTCTTTTCTTTCATTCCTTTCTTTCTTTCCATGTTCATTTTTTTTAAATTTTTGGTAAGTGTTTCCTACATCCTTTGATATTTAGTCTCTTTTGTCTTAAAGGTTCTTCAATATTCCTCTCATTATTATTATTTTATTCACTATTTAGTCTCCAAAATCTTACTCCCTTATTTTCCCCAGTAGTAATGAGTTTCAAAGATTGCCTAAAGCTCCCATATTTTAAAATAATTTTTTCTATATCTCTTTGCTCTACCAAGACTTCTTTCTTGTATTTTCACAGTAATGAGCATTTTTGCTTCTTGAGAGCTATTTTAGCTGAACTTATACTCTTTGTTTCCCATTTCAAGCTTTCAAGTAATATTAAGTAATATTTCATGTGCTTCATTCTATATTGCTGTAAACCAGTAATCCAGAAATTCATAATTATTTGCTTCATGATACTTCTTTTTGTGAAATACTCGCATTATTGCTGTTGTTCCTGTTTGTTATTTTAGACAGTATATTTTGTATTGGTGATTTAGACTAGCATTTCTATAGAGTTAAGGTATAAAACCTATATCTTGTATTATAGAAAGACCATCATATAACAGTAATACATGCTGGTCTTCCCCTTTATTCTAGAAAAATGTTAAACTTTTGGGAAATCAAATATGAATGCTATAGCATTAGTCAACAAATCATACAGCACCAGTGCAGCAATATCAATTTCATCTGAAGGGTAAAAAGAAGTTCAGATATTCCACTTGCTACTGACTTGCAATATACACAGGTAAGAAATTTTTATTCTAATTTACAAATGACAGAATAGGAATCCGTCTTTATGTAGAAAGATAACTGACATGAATATCAGTGAAAAACACATTTTTTATAACTTGCTCTGAAATTTTATGCTTGATATCTTACAAAATATGTGATTAAAGATAGACTAAAAATGCAGGAGATGGAAAATAAATTTACGTATCAGTGAAAAACCTTTAATCTTACGCAAAATAAAACTTATCATCAGCACACTGAAGAATTTTCAACACAAGGAAAATGTGGCATTACTGAAGACTCAACATAACCAAAGGTTACAATTTTAGTATTTACTTATTTATTTATTTACGATTGCTTTGTTTAAATGAAAGACATAGATTATCTTTTTCTAAACTCATTTTAAATCCTGCAATTGCCTCTAGCTAAGACTCATTTAAAGAAAGGCCATGCCATTAAAATGTAGCAAGGTAAACTATCATCATTATAAAAGTTCATTATCTTTAGCATTGTCCTAATGCTGAGGACTTGACAAATTTTAAGAAATATAATATATATTTCTTCTTTGGAAGCCATTTTCCTTTACTGAATTTGAAAAATTCAGGCTGGGCATGGTGGCTCCCAGAACTTTGGGAGGCCGAGGCAGGCAGATTGCTTGAGACCAACATAGGCAACATGGTGAAAACCTGTCTCTAGAAAAAATACAAAATTCCCACCTACTCAGGAGGATGACATGGGAGGATAGATTGGCCTGGCTTTAGCCTGCCGTGAGCCATGATCCTGCAGCTACTGCAGACAGAGTAAGACTGTCTCAGAAAAAAATCAAAAGAAAAATTCTTACCTATTTATAGACAAAAATTGTAAACGTTGAATTTTCAATTGATACTAGAATGAAATTACCATTTCTAGTTTGATCAGGCCATAAATACACAGTCTCAATGTTCTCTGCAATTGGCTTTGACTATTGTGTACCATAATTTATCAGTTTGCAGAGTTACTGTACTGAGGTCTCATGACATGACTATGCCTATGAAGAGAGCCACCTGGCATGGAACTGCTGGCAACCTCTATGAGCTGAATGTAGCCCCCATAACAGTAAGAAAGAAAGCAGAATCACAAGCAAATGAATTATGTGGCATAACTGTGAATTCTATGTCACTCTTCTCAAAGCCCGGGATCATAGCCTCTTCTTCTTAATAAAAATGAGAGGATTTGGCCGGGCATGGTGGCTCACGCCTGTAGTTCCAGCACTTTGGGAGATCGAGGTGGGTGGATCACGAGGTCAAGAGATCAAGATCATCCTGGCCAACAGGGTGGAACCCTGTCTCTACTAAAATACAAAAATTAGCTGGGCGTGATGGCGGGCGCCTGTAGTCCCAGCTACTCAGGAGGCTGAGGCAAGAGAATTGCTCAAACCCCAGAAGCAGAGGTTGCAGTGAGCCGAGATTGCACCTCTGCACTCCAACCTGGTGACAGAGCAAGACTCCATCTCCAAAGAAACAAAAAGAGAGAGAGAGCAAGAAGGTTTGTAACTGTGTTGCTCAATTCCCTTTAAGCAAGAGAATACAAAAGTTTCAAAGATGGTGATATGGACAGGAAGCAGAGAAATACTGGGTAGAAGAAGTGGTTCCCTGGCAAATGCAACACCCTCAAGCCTGAAAACCCACAGTCCTAAATGGAAACAGACATTCCTGTTTTCATGACCAAATGTTGCCTTTTGACATGCCACATCCACCTACCCTGTACCCCATCTAAACTCCAAACCCCAGACTGCACCAGCAGAGGAGCAGCAGAGCAGCAGAGTCGCGCAGCAGAGAAAGAGAGAAAAGAAGGATCATCTGAACATAGAGAGGACTTCAGCTGGGGAGAGTCAGTGACGAGATCAGCCATGGGGCAACCGAACTCCAGGGGAAGATAATCTTCCTACTCCATCCTCTTTCTAGCTCTCCATCCAAACAGCTGAGAACCACCTTCATCACTCAGTAAAATCCCCACATTCACAATCCTTCAAGTTCATGTTATCTTATTCTTCCTGGATGCTGGACAAGGACCCAGGTACCAAGAGGACAGAGTGTAAAAGGCTGTCACTGTGACTTTCCCCTGAGCTGGTCTAACACTTGGTCATCCACAGATAGCAACTGCTATAAGAGTATTAATTGTAACAGACTCCTATATGCTACCATGGGACCAGAGCCCAAAAGCACTCACTCCAGCTCCTGCACCTGCTGGTCTGCATGCTCACCTTCCTGTAAGGGGTCTGAGTGTGCAACGACAGAGCAAACGAGCCACACCCCTGTCATAAATCCTGCAAGGGGGTCAGGGAACTCTCCCATTTCATTGGTAATGTTTACTTTTAAGCCAAGTGTGTGTATATGACTGTTCATTGATATTATTTTTGTTGAATTTGTACACTCATATATTCTGTTAGATAAGTCACAATAAAATTATTCTTTGTTAAGAATAAGTAAAATTTGTTAAGAATATAAATTGCCTAAAATTTAGATCTACTTATAAGTACTATTAAGTTGTATCACAGGGTAAGTTTACTAAGAACCAAAATTTTTGTTCACTGCCTGATCCCTAGTGCCCACAAAAGTGCCTTGCCTGCAATAGGTGCTTAGTGCATATTGATGATTGAATAGAGTTAATATATATTAATCTAAACAAAATCGAAGAGAAAAAATATTTTGGGATTTCAGTGTATTATTATCACACCTTCATTTTCTAAATATACAGAGTTTAATTTACAGAATTACTTGTTGATCCAGCTATCTTTTTGACCCTTTTTTCCATAATTTTCCTTGAACTGTCAATTCTTTGCTAATATCGCTTAGAGGTGTCTCCTCTTTTTGTATCCAGCCAACATTACCTTTTGCAATACTTCTAATCTTGCACTTAAATTCCTGATTTTTTCTCAGGTACGAATTATTGTATTCAAAAGATACTCTTCAGCTATCTGCAAAAAGTTAGCAAAACAAGCTCCCTACAAAAGAAAGGTGACAGATAACCTGTAAATAAAGGAATGAGAGGAAAATTAATTATGTTAATCTTTTTTTAATCACAAGGACCATTTCTAAAAGGGACAAAACTAATTTTAAAATTGTTATTTGTAACACATATTATCTCAATATGGAAAATATAAATTCCATGCCAAACAAGTAATACAAATATTTAAGTACTTAATATTCATTTTCTTTGTGTCAAATATTGAGCAAGTTACTCGTGATACAAAAATTAAGAAATAATGCGTGGTCCCTACCTTCAAATAGCTTGCAGTCTAGTTAAAGAAATAGATAACTATAGCATATTTTTAAGTGCTGCAAATAAATATTCACAAGTTTATGTGGAATCCAAGTGAACAATGTGTCCTAAATAAGCAAGTCAAGAAATGTAATTCCAAGTAGTTATTGAAATCTACAGGTTTTCCAGGTGAAGAATAAAAAAAGAAGGGAGGGGAGATAGATTAAGCATTCCAGGAAGATGATACAGAGCTGTCAAAGCATATGAAAAATCCAAGGAATACAACCCAATGAAGCTGGATCATGGGTGTAATTGAGGCAGTGTTGAGAATCCACTAATAAAAAAAAGTTCAAATTTAATTTCAGAACGAAATTTAAAGTGCCCTGCATGCATATTAAACCATATGATCAAGGACATAACTCTTATTTTGTTTCTTTATAATTTGTCTCTTGGTGATTGATAGAATAAAAAGATAGATGTTTTACAGCTATTCTGTAGACCCTCTTCCAGGAAGGAACACCTCGTGTATACATCAAATATGAAATTTGGATTTGCTATAAAGTCACAAAATCAGTATTGAAGAAGGGAAATACATCTTAACTGTCTACTTGGTGTGTCTTTAAGAAAATAGTTATTTTAAGCTTGACTGTTCAGAGACGTTCTTGAGTTCCATAATACCCCAGAAGAATATATTTTATTAATTTCATCTTCTAGAGATTTTCTCTATCCCTAGTTTCCAATAGGCCCATTTGTGAAAGGTGAACACTCGAAATACTGTTTCCATTTTTTTTAGTACTACAGAAAACTAGATTTTCTGCTACATTAAAATAAGCAAAAAGCTTCATGGCATTGGTTTTGGCAATGCTTTCTTGGATATGATACCGAAACCACAGGAAACAGAAGCAGAAATAGGCAAGTGGTACTCTGTCAAACTGAAAAGCTTTTGCACTGCAAAAAAAAAAAAAAACAAAAAAAAACACAAAAAACAAACAAACAAACAAAAAACAGTCAACAGAGTGAAAAGGCAACCTACAGAATGGGAGAAAAATGTGTGCAAACCGTATCTCTGAGAAGGAGTTAATATCCAAAGAATCTCTTACAAATCAATTGCAAAACAAAGCAAAACAAAACAAATGTCCCCATTTCAAAATATTGGCAAAGGACTTGAACAGACATTTTTTCAAAGAATAAATACGAACGTCTAACAAGTATATTAAAGATGTTCAACATCACTAATCATGAGGGTAGTGCAAATTAAAACCACAATGAGACATAACCTCATATCTGTTAGTATGACCATTATTAAACAAAGGAAACCATAGTAAGTGTTGGCAAGGATGTGGAGAAAAGAGAATTCTTATACACTGTTGGTGGAAATGTAAAAAGATGCATAATGTAAAAAGCAATATGGGGATTCCTCAAAAAATTAAAAATAGAACTACCATAGGCTCCAGCAATCAAACTTCTCAGTATTTACCCAAAAGAACTGAAATTATAATCTCAAAGAGGTGTTTGCACTACCGTATTTACTGTAGTATTATTCACAAAAGACAAGATGTAGGGGCAACCTAAATGTCCATAGAAGAATGACGTAATTTTAAAAATGTGTGATATATACATACCATGGACTATTTTGCTGCTAAAAAGAAGAGGAAGATCCTGAGATATGTGACAACATAGATGAATCTTGATTACATTATGCTAAATGAAAAAAGTCACAGAAGAACAAATACTGCATAATTACACTTATGTGCAGTATCTAAATAGTCAAACTCTTAGAAGAGGAAACTGGAATATTGGTTTTCAGGGGCTGGAGGGTGGGGAAGACAGGGAGTTGCTCTTTAACCTGTATAAAGTTTCAGTTACGGAAGCTAGTCACTTCTAGAGTTCTGTTGTTCAACGTTCTGCTCATAGTTAACAGTACTGTACGCTTTCAAATTGATTAAGAAGGTAGATCTCATGTGTTCTTACCAAAACGAAACTCTTTTAAAATACCTGCTATAGGACCTTGTAGACATTGCTCTGCATTTTCTGGCTATCTTCTGCATATATATTTTCCCATCTCCTGATCTGTTCTGAGTTCTAGAACTCAGTTTTTTGATGTACACTTCTATTGTCTCCTTTCTTACGCGTGTGTGTGTGTAAATGAAACTCCCATACCCACATACCAATTTCCCCATGAGCACATTTTCTAGTTTGTGACTTGACAAGCAAATAAACTTGGATAGCTATACATTCATTGTTTCAAAGGGAAAGCTCACTTTACTCCCAATTCAGAATGGTTTATTTTTATATCACTTTTGGGGTCTCCTGGTTTTCTGTTCTGTTGTCATCCAGTTTGATCAATTGTTCCACCAACGAATCTTTATGAAATATTGAGCTATTGCTTTGTTTTAGACACTAGAGTCAAGTAGGAAAAAAGTTCCCTATGTCAAAACTCAAAACTTCCTTTTGCTTCCCCACCTTCATTTTTTAATATCTCTGCTGCCTTTCGCGGCCATATTTTAAGATTTGAAAGAATAAGAATGCAGATACTTACTTGATTGACTACTATATTCTTTGATAGATTAAGATGATTTGTGGCTTGGAAATAACCCCCATCCAATGTTCCTAATTCTTCAAAATGTAGGACAACTGGCAAAGTTTGCATTATCTAGGCCAAAAGAACATCTTGATCATTCCCGTTGCTGGAGCATCAGGATCTACTGACATCTATACTTAATCAGATTCTGATTTTGTACACTAACACAGACTTGATTCTAGTCTTTAGACATGTTTTTACTACTCAGTTCTCTCTTACAACCTTGTTTGTAGTTCATCCTGTAGTTCCAAACTTACAGTAAATTTTTTTGCTTTCCAGACATAACATTGTATAAGCCTTCCTGGCATTTCATTCCTATTAACTTCATCCTCTTGAAATATACTACTTGCTTCAATACTCACTGATTTTTATTTAAGTTACCATATCTAAAACCAGCAGAGGACTTGTCTCTGACAGTTTTCAGAGGCAGTGATGCTAGTTTCTCACAACTAGAAGAGTAGTAGTAGGAACTCAATTAAACTGGAGCGAAAAGGTCAGAATATTACTGAATATAGAACTGACAATTCTAAATTGCTGAGTTTTATACTAGAGACTCCTGCATTCTCTTAGTTCTGAGATAGGATTAGTGTTTCATTAGTATTAGAAAAGGGAAGCAAATGGCTCTTAGCTATAGAAGTTAGAATAATGTAGAAGCAGGAGCTTAGCAGAATCTTAAACAAAAATATATTTTCCATAAGTTTGATTTACATCCCATCCTGCTGGTGCATACTTGACAAGAGTGTGAGGACACCTCTCTTCCTGTGAAAAAGCAGGCAGAGGTGTGATTGTCTCCATTTGACTCATGAGGAGGCAGAGAACAAAGTTGTCAGCCTTGAGTCAATGCTGCCTTGAGTCAATGCTGCCTTGAGTCAATGCTGATGCTTTTAAGAGCAGCTATTTATATCCCCTATGTCATAGATAGATATACAAATATTTTTATTACAGTGTCAGTCACTGAAGAATTGAATTATCTTATAAACTTGCAAACTTTCTAAATATTCATAAAAGATTATTTGTAACCAGTGTTCATTTGAAGTCGTCTAAAAAGACAATTCAGCTTTTCCCCCCAAACATCTAAGATCAGTAAATCAGATACCCTGTAATGTCTTTGGTGGATATGATTGATTCGTCAATTTTTAAATATTCTAATATTTTTTAAAAACTGCATTAGTTCTCTAAACCCAAGTTTTTACTTAAATTAGCTTATTGCCTTTTATCGAAGCTATACAAATTGATTTTAACTATTGGGTATCCTCTTTACATAAAACAGTAGAGGAGGAGGGGAGGGGAAGGAAGAGAAGAAAATTGAGCATTTAGTGTATTTAGTGTAAGTTATAATAATAACTGATCATCTGCTATTATAAAAATGTCTTTTGCTCCAGACCTCGTGTCTTATTTGATGATATCTTGAGTCTTGACATATTTTCATGTTGGCGGAAAATTATTTCTAACTACTTTAATTTAATACTAGAGTATTTTGGAATGGCATTTCCAAGTACATATGGTACTAGAACTTTACTTTTATTGGTTTTTAAAATTTATTATTCTAGTTTTGTTAGTATGGGAATATTTATTATTGTAATACTTATATAAGTTGATATATCTATATATAGTCTGTCTTGAGATTTAAATCGTAGCTTTTTATATTATGATAATATTGATTCTTACTTGGGATTTTATATATACCAATCAATAAATTTTAATTTTGAGAAGCAATTATGTGCTGAATTTTTTTGTTAAAGTATATTTCTTTTCTATACTTAGGAAATCATGTAACTAAACTCATGGATATAAGAAGTATTCATCCAGTTTTTAATGTTAGTGCTCAAACACTTCAGTGACTATGTCCTAGTCTTGGGATTTGGTACATGGAAAAGTTTTGAAACTAGTCTAAATCCTAGCGCTGTTTAGACACATAAACATTTAGATGTCTAGCATTTTTAGGCCTTTTGTCTTCTTATTTTTCTTAAGATAATATCATTTCAAAAGAGTTAACAAAGATAGAAGCAAGTGTGTTATTTGATTGATCGACTTCATACAAAAACATAATGGTTATGCTTTATTATAGAAAAACATGGATAAATTTAATTTTTTCCTTTTTTTCTAATATTCGAACTGTTTTACTTTATAAAAACAAAGTTCTGTCTGCAAAGTTCAAAAAAGTTAATTTTGATTCCAAGGAAATAGCTTTAATTTGCATTGATTTTCTGTGAGGTTCTTTAGCCTAATACTTGAGACCCCCACCTGCTGACAACTTGTACAAAATATATGAATATTTTAGAATAGCAATGCAAGAACATGGCAGAGTAAAAATGATGCTATTAAGTCTTAATGACTAACATTCTGTTACTAAGTTCTAATCTAGTCTAAGTGTCCTGTTCAGAATGAAAAAACAGCCCTAAATGGTAACTCAGAACAATATAACTCTAAGTAGTAATTTAAGAAAATTCAAACATTTTCATAATGTTTTAGGTTTAACATGATAAAGACACATATTTCATTTCTATTGAATTTCATTTATGCATAGTGATGTGGTTTGAGTTTTTTATCTTCAGAAATGTGTGCTTTATTATGATAAAAGCAGTATGATCAACTAATTACAGGTATCATTCCCTACGATGGCCTTTAGTGACATAAAATAATAATTTCTTAAGTGAAGCTTTTTACTTTGATTCACATGTTTGATGCCTGTTGGACAGTTATTCATAGCATAAGTAACTTAAATACTGTTGAATAAACAAAAAATGCACATGAAAAGAATTATAAACGAAACTATATTTTAAAAAGTATATAAAAAAGTATAAACTGTCATATAAAAAAGCATAAACAGTCATAATTGTGATATAAGAGCATAGTTCTCAATGCAAAAGTTTCATAGCTCAAAGTTATTCCTATTTCAATTAATTTATTTATTAATACAGTAATTTTGATTCTAAATTATACCTTTTCTACCAATGTCTTAAAATATATCTGTCACTACGTTGAAGTCTGGCATTAAAAACTGAACAATCAATTAACTTGATCCACCCAGAAATCTTCAAAAACTCATTATAATGTTCTTTACTTCAAACGAAGTAAATCCGGCATCATACAATGAAATGAAATATAGACAGACTAGATCCAGATATTCGGTCATCAAGATGCAAGATGGTTGATCTGCAGGAAAGATACGTGATTTATGTGCTTTGACTGAGAAAGCTTTAGAATGGTTAGAATTGGATCAAGTGAGCCAGGAAAATTGTCAATATGAACAGTACACTGAGTTACTGTTTTCCAGTCAATACCTGCAGCATTCTGTGGGTAGTACAACAATCAAATGAACCAATGGAACTGTCATTAGTAGCTTTGCACTCATGCCCTACTAATGGAAATTGGCAAAAAGACAGATAGTATGCAAAGAGGGCATAAAGGTTTGAAATCTAAATTGGACAAATTAGCAGAGAAAGTTAATAATCTGGAAACACCAATCAATAGCCCAAAGGAACAAACTGCAAGCATTGACTGAGTCATTACTTGGAACTCAAAGGAAGCGATACACTCTAAAAATTTTGCAGCAGTAGGAGAGAAAGGAAGGTAAAGTTTTGTGATTTTACCTAGAAAGCACTGATAACTATACATGCTCCATAAACATTAAATTTACCTCAGGGGATAGAAAAACCAACCAGGTAGCCTACTGGAAAAATGATGACTCCAAAGTCTAAATTGAACACAGGATGCAGTTAGCTACTTCCTCAGGAAAGAAAGCAGCAGAAAACATCTATAGTCTTTTTTGTGTGTTTGTTTGTTTGTTTTGCCTGGTTTTTAGGAAAAGTCCATATATTTTTTAAATTGACAATTGTACAACAAACTGAAGTAGTTCCAATTTACTTTGCAGAAATATTAGTCCAAAGCATTTCCTCTCTTGTATGATTTTCATGATAAAATAAAACTTCAAGAGAATTAGTACAATGAGAAAAGGACAAATTAAAATGAATACACCCTTGCAAATAAACTATTATTTTTTAAACCTGCCTATTCCAGATATATTATTCATTATCATTTAAATTTATTCCTGATTCTAGACTTAAATAACGCGCCCAAAGTCCCCACATTTCACAGGCACCATGCAAAGATGTTTGAATTAATTAAGATTTATTTAGAAGTTAACACTGGGAAATGGACTTTGCCAAAATACTCTTTTTTGTTTTTTTGCTCTATATTTTAAAGTCACACAAAAAATCTTCTATTTATTTGGTCCTTCCTCAGAACATTCTTTGCTCTACACAGTTCTTCCTCAATTTGACAACATTGTTCAATACCTTCAGTTGCCTAGTACTAACCCATCTGTGTCATATAATATGTGATAGGATTTGGGTTCTTGGAACAGAAGTATGACACAACCCGCCACATGTCAGAATCCATTGACTGCTTGGAAATTCTAATATACTAAGAAAAATACTAAGGATGTATCAGAAGAGTCCAGCAAAATCTAGTAATCCATAAGTTAGACACATCTAAAACTTTTTGTTCTACATTTATTTGACATCTGAAGGGCCATATTGAATCAATATTTTAACAGAGGAGCAACATGAATGGCCAGGACATTACTCTAACTTGTAAGATCAGAGTACACAAGATCAGGCATTAAATGGTACCTGGGCAGACTGACAAATGGACTGCTCTGGGGCTCACTAAAAAAAAAAAAAAAAAAAAAGGAATTACAGTAAAAATGTGGAATCATGAGAATATTCACTAACAAATATTGAGGTGCTTTTCATACATATTCTTTGATTTTATCAATCAATCAATGTTTTAGCTTTGAAGAATGATCTCTCTGACATTGCCCAAGTCACTGCCTCCAGATAATGGATTTAGTTTGTTAGAAGCTTTTGGCTTTGGCAATAGAAAAGCTAAGGAATTTGGAGTTGTTCTATCTCTTATTCAATACATTAAACTTTATATATATATATATATATATATATATATATATATATATATATATATATATACACACAGAGATAAATATATAGACAGACAGCAAAAAATAAATTGATGTGTATATATATATATATATATTTCTTCCTCTCATAAACTCTTATTTTTCTGTTTTAATAAAGCAGATCAAAATATTTGTCCAAAATTCACTAAATAGAAACCCGCTATAACTAATCCTGTGCATGCACTAGTGAAAATGTTTACATAATTACAACTTCATAGAAGGGAAAATGACTTGCATTACACTTGCAGTCCATCCATTCTCCTAACAAGATATTGTCTCATACATCTATTGTTTCAACAGATATTTTTGTATCATTTTCCTTCCCACCTTTACAAGCTCTCTCAATTCAAATCACTGCCTAACAGCAAGTTACTATAGCTTTCTACTTCCTCTCTTGAACACCAAAACTTATTCATTTTCTCAATTCTCAAATTGATCACAGAAGCCATTTTTAATCTCCTTTTTGTTTTATGTATGTAAATGCTATTTTATTTTGTAACTGTAATGTATCATTCCATTACTAATTATTATTTGAGCATATTTGTGAAGTTGGATAAAACAATTATTAATATCGTATTGATAAAATAATACATGCACACGTAAACACTCACGCTAATTAAGAGTTAATTAATTAAACAACTCATTCTAGGAATGCTATATAATTTGAGGAAATCCTTAGTGGTAAGTTATACAGAAATTTAAGATGGTTTTAATGCTTTGGGGAGAAATTGATTTAAGCTCTTAAATGAACTAGAGATTTGTTATTATTTTACCACTTAAAATAATGGAATACAAGTTTCTACTCTCTGAAAATTTACTATTACTATTTAATATATTTCAAGACTGATTAGATTCAAATAATGAATGCTAAGTCATAGTATACATGTTATTTTACATTATAAACTTAATATTATACTCCATGTTGCCCTATAGAATTTTCCCTTGTCTACATTGATTTAGAGAAGAGAAATACTACCTACATTTTAAAATATATATTCTTTTAAAATTTTCTATTAAAATTACAAATACAGAACATTTAAAACCTTTGTTCAGCACTTTAGGTATGTTTAGCTTCATTACTGGGAGGCTGTAAAAAGCAATGCTGGCAGCATAGCACCTCAATAATTTGCAACCTAAAACATCCTATAACATTCTGAATGCTGAAATTCCTCCCAAATGGTGATGGCGAATAGATAGTATAGATAACGCAACATGAATAAAAAATATCACGTTTTTATTTGCACTGCCTAATGTCATGTCAGTGGGAGAGAGGCAAGTGGCTGCATTATCCAAGAAGTTTCAGAGCTCACAATCTTGTTCAATGAATTTAATATGCAATACAATGCTATTCACTTAAAATTGCACCTTGTCCATTGCAAAAACATATTTTAAATATTTTATCATATTTCATTAAAGAAAAACATATTAAATTATGTCATTTTTGTAGTAAAATGTAATTTTTGTAGTAAAATGAGGTGAGGTGACTTCTCATTCTCACAGGAGAGGATGTCATAGGATTGTTTGAATATTTCTGCTAGCCATCAAGGAAGTGAAGCCCACAACTCAAAGATAAGTAGGTATTGTGTCTGATCACTGTGATGAAGAGGATTTTTAGCTAGGGAACCTTATCTGCAAGAGCAAGATGTGAAGAGAAACTTGCATTTAAGGAGCTCCTAGTTATTTCCAGTTGAAAGGTACATGTACTAATTGACATGTACTAATTGATTTCAGGCCTCATATCACATTATGCCAATAATCAAAGAACTCTTTGCTTTAAATATAAAAGTTTATTATCAGTTGTATGAAGCAATGAATAAAGAATTACTAATGTATAATGTGTCCAAAAATAGCAGACTTTTGATTGTAACCAATTTTTTTTGTAGAATTTACTTAAGTTTTTCCATTGCTGTTTTTTCTTTTTCAAAGTTTATTTTTATACTTGTATTTAAATTTAAATAAAAAAATTTAATTACTATAAAATATTTTAATTAAATCACAGTAATTTAATTTAATATAATTAAATTATATTTAGTATATAAATTATATTTAGTATATATATTAATAGTTGTTTTATCCAACTTCACAAATATGCTCAAATAATAATTAGCAATGGAATGATACAGTTACAAAATAAAATTGCATTTACATACATAAAGTATGTATATTTAGTATATATATAGTATATATAAATATATATATTTAGTATATATAGTATACTATAGTATATATAGTAACTTAATTACTATACAAATATTTTTGATAATTTTAAATTATTTTAATTACTTTAAATCATATGTACTGTTAACACTTAATTCTATTTTTTAACTTAAATAATCATCTTTTCTCTGACATTATGTTTTTTTTAATGAAGACACATAAGATATCAACTCTTTTTGCAGCTGTCTATTTAAGGGCATGATACAGAAGTCCTTAGAAAAGTGATGTTTTATTTGAATCATAGTAATTGTTACACATATGTTAAATATTATACTACTGAATGTGTCATAAAATCTTTTGAGAAATATGTTTTTTAAGTAATAAATTAAGAAAACACTTAATTTATTAAATCACTTTTATTTTACCAAAAATTTTTATAAAATATCTACCTGCCCAAAAGAGAGTATATCTTTTGTATTTCTTTCTTCTTATTTTAAAAAAAACTATGCAATAATGATATGTTCATTTATTTTTAGCTTTTTTTTCAAACTCATTTATAATTTTATTTTTATGTTTACATCTCGACTCAATCTGACAGTTATTTTGGAGGGATATATAGGATTGTGCTTCAATAATTTTTTTCCAATTTTTGAGGGCAACAATTCTCAGTTTGTTTTTCCTAAATGTTGGAAGTAAACGCTCAGTGACGCCAAGTGAAAATAACACTCAGGCAAAAGTTTTCTCAGCAAGGCAATTTACTTCTATAGAAGGGTGCATCTTGTGCTTGGAAAAATGGCGAGAGCACACCGGGCAAGGGAGGGGAAGGTAGTCTATTTTTTTTTTTTTTTTTTTTTTTTTTTGAGACAGAGTCTCGCTCTGTACCCAGGCTGGAGTGCAGTGGTGCGATCTCAGCTCACTGCAAACTCCACCTCCTGGGTTCATGCCATTCTCCTGCCTCAGCCTCCCAAGTAGCTGGGATTACAGGCACGGAAAGGGGGTCCTATTCTTAACGCTGCTAGTCCCTACTGCTGTGTCTTTCCCCTATTGGCTAGGGTTGGACCACACAGTAGAAGCTAATTCTAATTGGCTATTTTAAAGAGAGCAAGGGTATGAGCTGGAGTGGCGGGGTGAGTAATTTCGGCAGGAAGGACAGTTTACAGATCAGGTAACTAAGGATGACTAAGGCCCGAAAAGGTGACTAAGGATGACTAAGGACAGAATAAGTAATAGGGGCTTGAAGGGGATTGTTTACTGAAACTGGGGGCAAGGAGATATAGAGAACGAGGAAGTTAAACTTTAAAACGGAGAACAAAGAACAGGGAAGTTGAAGATACTGACATATCGGTTCTTTGAAGAGGAACTCAGAACTCATTGTACTTAACAATTTTTCTCCCTCTTAAACTTTAAAGGAAGTTAACAGGCTAAACTTTGAAGAGGAATTTACTGTATCCTACCTAAATATATTAGAAACACTATTTTCATCTATTAGCTAAAATGGGTGTATACAATGGTGTAAAAACTTCCTAAAAATTTTGAATGAATAGTCAACAATATGAATAAGGTTCCTAGACTTTTTAAATTTTAATTCTATTGGAGGAAGAAAAAAGTGCACTAATAAAATAATTCAAGATAATGTTAGGTTATACGAAAATATAAAACAGAAAATAGAAATGTTTTCATAGAGAGAGGATGAGTTAGATAACACAGTCCAATTAAGACTCTCCCTTTTGAGACTTAACCCCATATATTTCCTAGATTTTTTTTATATAACAGTACAAATCTGCTTCCTGATTTTATGTCCTGAATATATACAATTGAAAACATGATTAGAGATTATCTGCAGGAAATCTAAAGATGACTGAATTTGGTTATTTATTGGAAGTTGACTTCAGATCTCTGGTAGGTGACCCTCTTGCTGTACTTCTTTTTTAAACAATGGATTGAAATCAAAATAAGGTAAAGAAAAATATCTATTTAATTTCAATTGCATTTGCTAATGAGTAAAAATTACCAAATTTCTTAAACATCTTTAATCTGTAGCCCATGTAGAATTCAGTTGTGTGTGTGTGTTTGTGTGTATACATTTGTGTTCATTTTTTAGTTTTGACTAGAAAAAAACAAAATAGTAAACAATTGAAATTTCACTAGCAAAATATCATTTCATTTACCAACTCTAAAGCTTTTCTAATCAAGCTCTGTATGAGATTAGACTTTAAACACTAAAGCTGTGCCAAAAATAATAACTGTGTAAATATCCCCATTACATCCATTTTCTTAGAAATGTCCCATCTGAAGAAGATTCAATGAACAGTTGTATCAATCAGGGTCTCTAGGAACAAGTCGCTCACTCAATCTGCGTAAATGGAAGTAATTTTTAAACATTAATTGTTTATAAAGGAATTTTGAAACACTGGCAAGAAACGGTGTCATTAAAATCTAGACTGAAGGGCAAAAGGAGGGAAGCATCAAGATAACTCAGCAAGTGCAGAGTTGTGGCTTGCACAACCTGATAGGGGTTGTGGCTTTTGTTTGCTAGAGGAACACACCAACCTGCGATATTTGAACAAAGAGTATGCTGAAGGCATAAACACACTGATATCTTATTTTTCCTGTCTTTTAATTTTGGTTGGCCAAAATGCAACCCAATGAGGAAAAGATAACTTGTTAGCACAGTCTTAGTGGTCAATCCCTGGGGCAGAAAACTGCAGAATGACAAATAGTGGATTTGGAAGCAAAATGAAAAATATCTAGCACAATTAGGTATAGATGCAGAGAAGCAAAACTTGCTTTGGTAAGCTGAAAATATAGGAGTGAATTTTAAATCATAGTGCACATAAATTTGTCCACTTGTAAACTGTATTCCACAAAATGGTGAGGGCAGCAGCCAATCAAATCACATCATCTTTTTATCATTTAGGGAAGAAAAATTGGAAAAAAGTGATCAGAAGTAAAGAAACTATTAAAGAGAAAAGAGAATATGAGTCCATAAGATTTGTGTCATTAATAATGTAATACATTTTCATAAATAATACCGGGGCTGCTGCGAAGTCGAGATAAAAGGGATTTCCCCCAGCGCAGCAAACCTGGTATGCCAAAGGGCAGCCAGACGCTTCTTCAAGCAGGTCCCTGTTCCCATGCCTCCTGCCTGGGTGGCACCTCCCAACAGAAGTCACCAGACACCTCATACAGGAGAGTTCTGGCCAGTATCAGGTCAGTGCCCCTCTGGGACAGAGCTGCCAGAGGAAGGAGCAGGCAGTCATCCATGCTGTTATGCAGCCTCCTCTGGTGATACCTCCAGGTGTGGGTAGTTGGGGGACAGGTAAACAGGATCTAGAGTGGACTCCTAGAAAACTGGAGCAACTTGCAGAAAAGGGGCCTGTTAAAAGAAAAAGAAACAAATAGAAAACAACAACAACAACAATATCAACAAAAAAAGACCCCACAAAAAACCCATCCAAAGGTCAGCAGCCTCAAAGATTGAAGATAGATAAACCACAAAGATGAGAAAAAATCAATGCAAAAAGGGTGAAATTTCAAAAATCTAGAGTGCCTTTTCTCCTCCAAATAATCGCAACACCTCTCCAGCAAAGGCACAGAACTGGGCGGAGGCTGAGATAGATGAATTGACAGAAGTAGGCTTTAGAAGATAGGTAATAATGAACTTTGCTGAGCTAAAGGAGTATGTTCTAACCCAATGCAAAGATGCCAAGAACCATGATAAAACATTATAGGAGCTGCTAACCAGAATAAACAGTTTAGAAAAGAACATAAATGATCTGATGGAGCTGAAAAACACAACACAAGAACTTTACAATGCAACCATAAGTATCAATAGCCAAATAGATGAAGCAGAAGAGACAGTCCCAGAGCTGGAAGACTGTCTTGCTGAAATAAGACAGGCAGACAAGATTAGAAAAAAAGAAGAATGAAAACAAGCAAACAAACCTCTGTGAACTACGGGATTATGTAAAAAGACCAAACATGAATAATTGGGGTACTTGAAAGAGACAGGAAGAATGGAACCACCCTGGAAAACATACTTCAGGATATCATTGAGGAGAACTTCCCACACCTTACAAGACAGGCCAACATTCAAATTGAGGAAATCCAGACAACCCCAGTAAATCATTCCATGAGAAGATCAACTCCAAGACACATAATCATCAGATTTTCCAAGGTTGAAGTGAAGAAAAAAATGTTAAGGGAAGCCAAAGAGAAAGTCCAGGTCATCTACAAAATGAAGCCCATCAGACTAACAGAGGCCCTCTCAGCAGAAAGCCCCTATAAGCCAGAAGAGATTGGAGGCCAATATTCAACATTAAAAAAAAAATTCCAATCCAGAATTTTATATCTGGCCACACTAAGCTTCAAAAGCTAAAGAGAAATCAGATCCTTTCCAGACAAGCAAATGCTGAGGGAATTCGTCACCACCAGGCCTGCCTTGCAAGAGCTCCTGAAGGAATCACTAAATATGGAAAGGAAAAAGCATTACCAGCCACTACAAAAACACACTGAAATACAAAGATAAATGACATTATGAAGCAACTACATTAACAAGTTTGCAAAATCACCAGCCAGCATCATGATGACAGGATCAAATTCACACATAACAATATCAACCTTAAATGTAAATGGGAAAAATGCCCCAATTAAAAAACACAAAATGGTAAGCTGAATAAACCATAAAGACCTATCGGTGTGCTGTATTTGAGAGACCCATCTCATATGCAAAGACACACATAGTCTCAAAATAAATGAATGGAGGAAGATTTACGAAGCATATGGAAAGCAGAAAAAAGCAGGGGTTGCAATCCTAGTTTTGAACAAAACAGACTTTAAATCAACAAAGATTAAAAAAAAAAAAAGAAGGGCATTACATAATGGTAAAAGTTAAATTCAATAAGAAGACATAACTAGCCTGGATATAAAGGTACCCAATACAAGAGTAGCCAGATTCATAAAACAAGTTCTTAGAGACCTAGAAAGAGGCTTAAACTCCCACACTATAATAGTGGGAGAATTTTAATACCCCACTGTCAATATTAGATGGATCACTGAGATAGAAAATTAACAAAGAGATTCAGGACTTGAACTTAGCTCTGGATCAAGTGGGCCCAATAGATATCTGCAGAACTCTTAACCAAAAAACAGCAGCGTATACTTTCTTCACAGTGCCACATGGCAGTTACTCTAAAATTGATCACATAATTGGAAGTAAAACACTCCTCATCAATTGCAAAGAAACTGAAATAATAACAGTGGTCTATCAGACCACAATTAAATTAGAGCTAAAGATTAAGAAACTCACTCAAAACCACACAACTACATAGACATTGAACAACCTGCTCCTGAATGACTCCTGAGTAAATAATGAAATTAAGGCAGAAAACAAAAAGTTCTTTGAAACTAATGAGAACAAAGAGACCATGTGTCAGAATCTCTGGGACACAGCTAAAACAGTGTTAAGAGGGAAATTTATAGCACAAAATGCCCACATCAAAAAGCTAGAAAGATCTAAAATTGACATCCTAACATCACATCTAAAAGAACTAGAGAACCAAGACCAAATAAATCCAAAAGCCAGTAAAAGACAAGAAATAACCAAGATGAGAGTATAACTGAAGGAGATAGAGACACAAAAACCCTCCAAATAATCAACACATCCAGGAGCTAGACTTTTGAAAAAATTAATAAAATAGATAGACCACTAGCTAGATTAATAAAGAATAAGAGAGAGAAGAATTTAATAGACACAATAAAAAGTGATAAAGGGGATAGTACCACTGATCTCACAGAAATACAAACAACCATCAGAGAATACTATAAACACCTCTATGCAAATAAACTAGAAAATCTAGAAGAAATGGATACATTTCTGGACTAATACACCCTCCCAAGACTGAACCAGGAAGAAGTTGAATCCCTGAATAGACCAACAAGGAGTTCTAAAATTGAGGCAACAATAAATAACCTACCCACCAGAAAAAGCCCAGGACCAGATGAATTCACAGTTGAATTCTACCAGATACAAAGAGGAGCTGGTATCATTTCTTCTCAAACTATTCCAAACAATTGAAAAGTAGGAACTCCTTCCTAACTCATTTTATGAGGCCAGTATCACCCTGAAACAAAAACCTGGCAGAGATACAACTGAAAAAGAAAACTTCAGGCCAATATCCCTGAAGAACATCATTGTGAAAATTCTCAATAAAGTACTGGTAAACTGAATCCAGCAGGATATCAAAAAGCTTATCCACCATGATCAAGTTGGCTTCATCCCCAGGATACAAGGCTGTTTCAACATATGCAAATCAGTAAATGTAATCCATCACATAAACAGAACCAATGACAAAAACCACATCATTATCTCAATGGATGCAGAAAAGGCCTTTGATAAAATTCAACATCTCTTCACATTAAAAACCCTCAATAAACTAAGTATTGAAAAAACATAACTCAAAATAATAAGAGCCATTTGTGACAAACACACAGCCAATATCATATTGAATGGGTAAAAGCTAGAAGCATTCCCCTTGAAAACTGGCAAAAGACAAGGATGCCCTCTTTCACCACTCTTATTCAATATAGTATTGGGAGTTATGGACAGGGCAGTCAGAGAAGAGAGAAAAATAAAGGGTATTTAAATAGGAAGTAAGGAAGTCAAATTGTCTTTGCTTGAAGATGGCATTATTCTATATCTAGAAAACCTCATCGTCTCAGTCCAAAAGCTTACCAAGCTGATAAGCAACTTCAGCAAAGTCTCAGGATGCAAAATCAGTGTGCAAAACCAGAAGCTTTCCTATACACCAAAAACAGACAAGCAGAGAGCCAAAACGAATGAAATCTCATTCACAATTGCTATGATGAGAACAAAATACCTTGGAATACAACTAACAAGGGAAATGAAGGGCTTCTTCAAGAAGAACTAGAAATCACTGCTCAAGGAAATTATAGAGGACACAAACAAATGGGAAAACATTCCATGCTCATGATTAGTAAGAATCAATATTATGAAAATGGCCAAGCTGCCCAAAGTAATTTATACATTTAATGCTATTTCCATCAAACTACCATTTACATTCTTAACAGAATTAGAAAAAAAAAACTATTTAAACATGTATATGAAACAAAAAAGAGCCCTTATAGACAAGACAATCCTAAGCAAAAAAAAAACAAAGCTGGAGTCATCACACTTCATGACTTTGAACTATACTAGAAGGCAATAGTAACCGAAACAGCATGGTACTGGTCCAAAAACAGTCACATAGGCCAATGGATCAGACTATAGAACCCAGAAGTAAGATAGTAATCTACAAACATCTGATCTTTGACAAACCAAACAAAAACAACCAATGGGGAAAGAATTCCCTATTTAATAAATGGCGCTGAGAAAACTGGCTAGCCATATGCAGAAAACTGAAACTGGACCTCTTCTTTACACCTTATACAAAGTTTAACTCAAGTTGGATTAAAGACTTAAATGTAAAACCCCAAACTATAAAAACCCATGAAGAAAATCTAGCTAATACAATTCAGGACATAGGCATGGGCAAAGATTTCTTGACAAAAATGTCAAAAGCAATTGCAAAAACAAAAGCAAAAATTGACAAATGGGATCTAATTAAACCAAAAAGATTCTGCACAGCAAAAGAAACTATCATTAGAGTGAAAAGACAAACTTCAGAATGGAAGAAAATTTTTGCACCCTACCCATCTGACAAAAGTCTAATATCCAGAGACTACAAGGAAATTAAACACATTTACAAGAAAAAAGCAAACAACCCCATGAAAAAGTGGGCAAAGGACATGAACAGACACTTCTCAAAAGGAGACATTTATGGGGCCAACAAACATATAAAAAAAACTCAATATCACTAATCATTAGAGAAATGCAAATCAAAACCGCAATGAGATACCATCTCACGCCAGTCAGAATGGTGATTATTAAAAAGACAACAGATACTGGGGAGGCTGCGGAGAGATAGGAATGCTTGTATACTGTGGGTGGGAATGTAAATTAGTTCAACCATTGTGGAAAACAGTGTGGCTATACCTCAAACACCTAAAACCAGAAATGCTATTTGACCCAGCATTGCCATTACTGGGTATATACCCAAAGGAATATACATTATTCTATGATAAAGATACATGAACTTGAATGTTCATTGCAGCACTATAGCAAAACCATGGAACCCCAAATAACCATCAGTGGTAGACTGGATAAAGAAAATGTGGTACATATTTAGCATGGAATTATATGTAGCCATTAAAAAGAACATAATCATGTCTTTTGCAGGGACATGGATGAAGCTGGAAGCCATTATCATCAGCAAACTAATCCAGGAACATAAACCAAACAATACATGTTGTCAATCCTAAGTGGGAGCTGAACAATGAGAACACATGGACACACGAAGGGCAAGGGAAACTACACACACTGGGGCCTGTCAGGGGTGGTGAGGGGAGGGAGAGTAACAGAAAAAATAGCTAATGCATGCTGGGCATAATACTTAGGTGAAGGGTTGATAGGTACATCAAAGCACCATGGCACACATTTACCTATGTAACAAACCTGCACATCCTGCACGTGTACCACAGAACTTAAATAAATAAAAATAAATATATAAATAAATAAATAAAAGAAAAAATTATACCAGGGCTATATCTACCATGTACAGTATATATGGGATTTTAGAAAGCAAAATTGCATTAATTTATTAATATCTGAACCATTATGTAAGTATTTGCTTTTAATTAATGATAATTCAGAATTCATATCTAAATACGAGAAGTCAAAGGTTTAGGAAGTAAAGAGCATAATGAAGTATGGTACAGTTTAATAAGATCAGTCAGAACGATGCTTGCAAGTCCTCATTTCACAATAGTTTGAGAATAGCAGCATATGTTTAAATGCTAGGTTACTGGTATAATTATAATTACTGTTTTATTATGCTTATTTAGGAATGGGCATGACAGGTTCATTTATTTTCAATTAGTTATAAGAGACCAGATACATATAGTCTAAAGAAATGACCTTTCTATAAACATAGGAAACACAACTCCTCTGGGAATATATGCTCATCCATTTAGGCAAGGAGAAGCATGGTTTAAACTGCCAGTGATTTGTTTCATAGATTACACTAATAAATTACAAATTATTTATAATTACCAATTACTAATAAATTACCAGTAATTATAAATTAAATGTATAAACATAATTATTGGGCTAGAAAACTCACAATGTAAACATCAGCCCCCAAAAATGTGTCATAACTCTATTTAGAAACAAATTTATACACTAGGAAAAAGTGACTAAGGAAATTACAGTGATTAATCATTTATATTTGGTAACACTTTGTCAAATTTTTACTTTTATAACAGATTCTTAAAAGTAAACAAATATTTAAACTCTTTTTCTATCAATGATTTATTTTATTTCATCATGATTATACCACTGTTATATTAATATTAATTTTTCTTGCATGTCTTTGGAAGTAAAAGTACACTTCACAGTGCACATGGCTTGAAACAAAGGGAATGATGTGAACCTACAGCCCAAACCAGATGCGAAAACACTCAACTACTGTTCTGCTTCATCTTTTCCACCAAAAGAAGCAATTTTTACTTGAAAATAGGAAGGCAAAGGGGTTAAACCTTCAGATTGTTAAGATATTTAGAGATTAAATCTACAATTAACAAACCATGATTCATTTTAATGTGGGGTACAAAGTGAAATTTTAGATGATATGGCTGAACCATCTTGAGTATTTAAAATAAAAGCTATGTTTCTGTCCGAGTAGATAATAGAAATAACTGCTATCTGGATAAATTGACAAATTCAGTTTTATATTAAGTCAGTTTTCATTTTCATAATTATTAGTTAACCAAAGCTGATTGTGAAAACTATATTTAATTAATTGCAGATGGTTATTTTATTCATTATCACAAAAAACTCACATACATTTTAGATTCAAAGAGGGCAGCACGTTACTAAAATCACATGGAAGTTTTCTAAACCTTTCTATATCTTACAACAGCACAATATTGCCATAAGAGTCAGACAGTTAGTACAGGAATGATACATAATTTCTTTCTTACAATTACAATATCTTTAGTTGATCATAGCACTACAAATTGGCTTCTCATTTAAAGAAATAGTTTTACTTTAGCATGTAATGTGCTTTTTTAATACTCAGTGTAATTTCAAAAATTGAGAAAATTATAACCAGAGGGTAAGCTTCCAAAGCACTTAGAAACAAATAACTTTGTAGAACTACATTATTAATGTTATCTCTTCTTACCTGTCTGTAGCCCCTAGTTTGCTTTTCTGTAAAATAAAAGGAAATTTATTTATGCATATTAACAAAGGAAAATCTCCAAAAGAAAATATAAATAATTGATGAGCTATTTCCCTGTGAAATGGTGGATGAGAAAAATGCCATATGGTTTACTGATGGGATCTGAGTTAGAAGGCTTCAAATTCTTTTGAAAGAAAACACATTTCCTAGAGTAAGTGCATACAACAATAATTGTTTAGTTTGACTTGCAAATACATTAAGAGCTTCAATTTTTACTGCTTGTAATGTAAAAACATTTGACATGTTAAATCAAACATAAACAGACTTTATATTTTCTTTGTCCTCCTAAGTATTTTTAACACAAACATCAAGAAATGAATATTAAACTATATATTTTTTTTCATTTTTTGGTGCACTACAAGCTGCTGGCATTATTGTCAAATTTTATTTTTTAACACATAAAAATTTGCTTTGCAGAAATCTGTTCTGTACCTGTATGTATAAATAAGGAATTTTTTCAAGAGAGAAAAGAAAGATACATAATGTGTGGTCTTGTTTTTCCAATTGCCTGATATTCCAAATTGTTTTACCAAGTTATATTAGAAAAATCATTGAAAATTAGGTCAACTTATCATTTAAATCTACCTCTTAATAGTTGAACAGGGTCAACAATGTCACTAACCCTCTTAATAAATATAATGAATACTAAACTTAAGAAAAAAACTTTAGCTAGAGATGTGTGTGTGTGTGTGTGTGACAGAGTGTGTGTGTGTGTGAGAGAGAGAGAAACACATTAGAAATCAATAAAACAAACATTTGTAAAATTGTCTCCAGGTAGAAGGTAAACCTGCCTAATGATTTAACAGTGTAAACCTCGTTTTAGAAGAAGGTCCAAGTATAAAGTATTCTGCCAACTTGGAAGATATGATTGAAGTTTACAATATAAATACATGGAATCAAGGTGCCAAGAAATTTGGTAATTTAAAAGGTCATAATATTCTGAGTGAATCTCTAATTTTTAAGGCACAATCCAGAAAAAAAGCCCAGATATGTGTAGAACTGCAGTCCTGAGTCTCAGAAAAAATAGAATTTTCAACAAGGGATGAATGCTGATTGAAATATTATAGGGATGCCTGCTTTAAAATTTAAGATCTCTGAACACAGATTGAGGCAGATGCAAGTGATATAATGCCAACTGTCCTCCTCTGGATTTTTATAAGCTAGGATACAGGGAACCCATGTAGCTCAAAAACTGCTCTCAAAAGAACCCTTTATATTATATCCTCCAGATATATCCTCAAAAAATATACTAACCCTGTGTGAACCCAGAAAATCTGAGACACGTCTCAGTTAATCTAGAAAGTTTATTTTGCCAAGGCCGTGACACAGCCTGAGGAGGTCCCGATGACATGTGCCCGAGGTGGTCTGGGCACAGCTTGGTTTTATACATTTTAGGAAGACATGAGACAACAATCAATATATGTAAGAAGTACATTAGTTACATTTAGAAAGGCAGAGAAAAGTAAAAGCAAACCACTCACCACCCCCCAGCCAGGGGCTTCCAGGTCACAGGGAGGTGAGAGACAGATGGTTGCATTCTTTTGAATTTCTGATAAGTCTTTCCAAAGGAGGAAGTCAGAATATGCATCTGTCTCTGTGAGCAGAGGGATGACTTTGAATAGAATGGGAAGCAGATTTGCCCTGAGGGGTTTTCAGCTTCAAGGGGCCCAAGATATTTTCTTTTTACATTTTCCCCCTTTTCTTTTTAAAACTCTTTTGGAGAAACCACTTTACAAGAAAATGAGTCTCTGGTCTCAGGTTTCATATGATCTCTCATGGCTAGGACGGTTTATTTCTAGATGGGTATGTCCTGAAAGCTCATTTTTTAACAAGTTGTGAAGTCTCATGTCCAGGGAAGGGAAAATAAGGGGGAAGAAGGGAGGAAAAACAACAACAAACAAAAGAGCAATCCTGAAAAAAATCGATATAGGCCACATTACTCTACAGTCCACACATTACTCTGAAGTCCATACCAGCAGGTATGAAAGTGGCTTATGTATGTAAATAGGTTACTGTTACTTTCTTCTGAAGTTTAAGTTGTCTAGCTTCAGTTTGCAGGGCTTTAAGAAAATACACCTTAGTTTTCAGTAACTGCCAATGAGGAAAAAATGGAAAAAAAAAAGAAGAAAACGAAAAAATAATTAAAAACATTGTTCTGAAGACTTGTAGCCAAGAAAAAAATAGAATTTAGCCCTAACCGTGGAGAATAATAAAAATGGAAAAAAAAAATTAGGCAATACTAGAATCTAACACCGGGTGTACTATCATTTTGAAACCTATTTTTTTCTCTCTCTCCAGTTTCCCTTTTCACTAAAGACAAATCATGAGGCCAGGTTTTCCAAAGGCTTTATTGGCTTAAGTCAATTTTGATTCCTTAAAGGAAGGCACACCATTCCAGTCAAAGCCTTGGTAAAATAATCAATTTCTCCAATTGTGTCCTGTTACAAATGAAAACAGATTCTTATTGCACGTATGCAAATAACTGTGTTGCCATAAGTTAAGAATACTCACAAATAGCTTCCAAATTCTGGAGCAATCAGGTAGAGAGAAACAAATATGCTCCAAATTTTGTTCATAGGAGTATACTAAATTTTGAAAACCTGTCAATAGCCCAAAAGAAAAGTTTTATGAGTGAAAAAAAAAACAAAGGATCAGCAAACATTTTAAGCAAAAAGTTAAAAAGATTGGTTCAGTCCATGGAGTTAATTTCTGTTCTACTTGATACTCATGAATATTTTTAGCTCTCCATGAGTCCTGAAAGTTTTCCCTCTATTGTGGTATCACAATCTCCAAAGTTATAGGAAACCTGAATTTAAGAGCACCTGTTGGAGTTTTATAGCTGATTATAAAACCACCTTCTAAAGAGGACCAAAACAAGACAATTGTCCATTGATGAAAAAACAGTTTTAAGGCAGCCATAGTCAAAAGACAATTGACAAGGAAATTTGTTACCTCTGTGGCACCCAATAATTTTAACATAACAATTTTGATTGGAAAGTTTGTCAAATTCTAATGTAACTTAGAATTACAGGAATTTCTAATATAACTTAGAATTACAGGAATTTCCCATAATTTTGGAACATATACCAATAACATATTTATATAAATAGATCCCAAAGAAAACCAAACACCATTTCATATTTGACAATGCTTTCTGTGTAATTTTTATATCAAATAAGCCTAATTATGTAATTTTTGGACTTTAGGGGAACCTAATATATTAAAGTATTAATTAGGTTAGGAAAAGACATAACTTATAATTTGATTGTGGAAAGTTTGTCAAATATAAAAGGTTTAAAACACTTAACATCACAAAATAGGATTACAGGTCATTATAAAGTCATTTATTTAACCAAAGTGATAATTCAAGGATTTCAAAAAAAAGCAAAAACCTTCATCCTTTGAGAGAGGAGACTTAATTTTCTAAACAAGAAGCCATAAAAAAAATGAAGCCAATTACATTTGTTTTTCAAAATTTTCAATATATAAAATTTAAATTAATTATAAAATACAACTTCCATAAGCCTTTTATAACCTTTATTAAAGAGTTAGTTAATGGTTCAAGAAAACCTTGTTATTCTGACACAGGGGTCCATATACTGGTTTTCCATTAGTGTGCCTTTGGCATTAATGATTAATTTATAGAGAAACTGAACTTAGTCTAACAGGGTTTCAAAATCAGCCCTTTGAATTTGACGTGCCCAACTCTTCAGTGATAGTCCCTGGGCCTTGAGGAGTTGAATAGCTTTAATTTATTGCCCTGTGTCTCAGGAATGAAGTTTGTTTTGATTGGCATCTTCTATGGGGCCTGAAGATGATGGTTTAATTGCTGTCAGGGTTTAAGATTAAGCAGGACTTGGTGTCCTTTTTAGATCCAGGAGTTAAAGCCCTGTAACTCAATGTTATAAGGACTTTAAAAGCACATACAAGAAAAGGCTTGGATGTAATAACCTTAGTTAAAAAAATTATCTCAGTTTTTTTCTAAGTAAACCAAAGCTTAATAATAATATGACTTTCTGGTTTGTTCTGAACATCCCTCCTTTTTAAACAAGCAATTATTTTATTTTAGGACTAAATTTACCATAAAAGTTTCTTTCTTATATAAAATTATTTTTCTTTAAGCTTTTTTAACTCAAAAAATCCTTCTTATTTTTATACCTTTATTTACATCTTGTTTTAGTCCTGCTTCCTTTTACCTTATTTTATATGTAACCTTTAAATAAGCTTTGAATTAGACAAAACTTGTTCACCTTTTTTTTTAAAAAAAAAAATAAAAAGAAAGGACACACTTTTTTGGTAGCAAGAATGTTTTTCTACAATATACATTTGTTGAAAAATACCCAAATAATAAAATATCTATCATTTAATTAATATAACTTCATATTTTAAATTATGACCAGTTTGTCTAGAAGTATTTATCCCATTGCATTTGCCTAATTATATAATTTTAATTGTTTACCTAGATTATTTATTATTTATTATTATTATTATCACAGAAAACTGTGATAGTCATGATTTGAAGTTATGAAACCACCATTGCAGAATTATAACTGAGACAGTAAAAAATGATTTGACCTCACTGACTGCATCTTGCTGTTAAACTCCAAGCTGTCCTTGATAATTCCTGGGCTTAGGCTGAACTAACTTTGGGAGGAACTTAGTTTATAGTTTAGTTCTGAATCAAAAACGGTAACAGTCCTTTCGCAAAAAATCTCCTTATTATCTGTGGACCAGATTGCCTAAAGCCACAGGATTAGAAGTTATGGTAATCTTACTAAATTCAAGATGCAGCTATTTTTATTAAACCTATATCAGTGTCTTATTTATTAAAAATTACAAAAGCAAATATCATTCTGTTTTGGGCTGGGTTATACTTTTCTATCCCTATGTCAAATTTTGACACCTTATAATATTTGTCAGGGGTAAGTATGAAATTTGCTTGATTAATAAATGCAAAGATGTATGCTGCAATTTTTAAGACATTTCTAATATTACTTTACCAAAAATTTAAAAATCAGTTTATTTACTCAAGATGTTACTTAAGTTACATAAAATTGAAAAAGCATTTGACTAGTCTTTTTTTTTTAGTATCTGACTTAAGCACTTTTTTAAGCCAATTAATTAGAGCTTTAGAGCTTTTTTATATATTTTTAGTAGTGACATATTTTGTACAGAACACATAAATACATATAAAGACATGTTAGGCATGCCGATGGAACTACATTTTACAGATTAATAAAGACCCTCCTGGCCAGGCGTGGTGCTTCACGCCTGTAATCCTAGCACTTTCGGAGGCCAAGGCGGGTAGATCACCTGAGGTTAGGAGTTCAAGACCAGCCTGGCCAACATGGTGAAAACCCATCTCTACTAAAAATAGAAAAAATTAGCCGGGCATGGTGGCGGGTGCCTATAATCACAGCTACTCGGGAGGCTGAGGCAGGAGAATCACTTGAACCCAGGAGGTGGAGGTTGCATTGAGCTGAAATCACGTCATTGCACTCCAGCCTGGGCAACGAGAGCAAAACTTCATCTCAAAATAAAATAAAATAAAATATAAATATAAATACAAATATAAATAAAGACTCCCCCTTTTTTGTTGTTTTTTCCTATCTTAGACTTTCAGATTCTTGATAACCTGTTTCACAACCCTAAGCAGTTGTCAGCTAAATAGACTTAAATTTGCACATTAAAGGAAACCACTTAGGTGAAAATCAAATAGCAAAATTTACCTCATAAGGTACAGAGAGAAAATGTCTGGCAGTGTTAGAGAGAGACACTTTTACAGTCCACTTAAAATTTTTTTAAACAAAAACATTTCTGAGTGTCTAAACTACATTCTTCTTTGAAAAACCAAAAGTAGACTTTGTTGCAATAATTATTTTAGTCAGAAAATCGGGTGAAAACAGAATTTAGTCAACTGAGAAAGAGAAATTTGCTCAAAAAAGAGACAAGGTCTTAGGACAGAAAAACAAACAACACCCCCCTCAAAAACATAAAGTCTTTTTTAATATAAACATACACATATACACACACCCCTGGGATGTTAACCTTTTAATTAAGCTGATTTTTAACCATTGAGCTCTCTAAAAAAAAAAAAATCTTTAAATCTCATTACCATATTTCAGCTAGGAGAAAATGCTGCTATTTCAGAAGTTCAGCCATTGCTCTTTCAGTTTGGTGTGGCTGGCAAAAGGTGGCCTTATTATGTAAATAAAGCCCTTTAAGTAGTTACAATTAAATTTTTTTTTCCTTTTGCTGGCCATTTTCCTTTCACTTCAGAGACCTTGTTCCCCATGAGTTAGGGTTTCCCTTAGGATTTGACCAAGACAGAAACAAACAAAACAGTTAAGCAAAATGAACTATGATCACACAGATTATATGATATCTGAGTGCTCTAAATGTGAGCAGAAATTAACAGCAGCTGGTTGTTAAATGCTAACTTTAGTCATTTAAAAAGAATTTGCAAGACAGAATCCCAAACCAATTTCTTACCTAGTGTTGGGTCTCAGGTTGTAGACTGCTTTCTACCATTGTAGAAGCAGGGAAAAAAGAAAAAAATTCACCTTCCCTGTTGGAAGCAAGCTCAAATTCCATAAAAGAGTTACTGCCTTCCATCATCACGGAAGCAGGAAAACTTGCCTTCCTGTTGAAAGCAAGTAAAACTCCAAAAAAAAAAAAAAAAAGGAAGAGTTGCACAGCAAAATAAACTTTAGATCTCGACCAAATTTTGGGAGATCAGGGATTCTCTGGAGGGAAATCTCTCAGGCCTCAGCAAATTGTCCTATTGGTTTGAGCCATAAAGTTAGCTCATGCTTGTACAAGCACCTAAGGGAGATTTGTCAAAGGTCAAGGGCATCTCCACTCAGAATCCTTTGGTGGTTACCAAAAAGTGAACCTGGAAAATCTGAGACAGGTCTCAGTTTATTTAGAAAGTTTATTTTGCCGAGGTTGAGGCCTGTGACACAGCCTGAGGAAGTCCTGATGACACGTGCCCATGGTGATCTGGGCACAGCTTGGTTTTATACATTTTAGGGAGACATGAGACATCAATCAATATAGGTAAGAGTCACACCAGTTTTGTTCAGAAAAGTGGAGACAACTCAAAGCAAGGGGACTTCCAGGTCACAGGTAGGTGAGAAACAGATGGTTGCATTCTTTTGAGTTTCTGATAGGTCTTTACAAGAAGGCAATCAGAATATGTATCTATTCCTGTGAGCAGTGAGATGACTTTGAATAGAATGGGAGGCAGATTTGCCATGAGTGGTTCCCAGGTTGAAGGGACCCAAGATACTTTCCTTTCACACCTATCATAGCCTTCTGGCCTGGAACAAGAGCTGAATCATCAGAACTACAGAATTCATGACAATTCAATCCATTAGTTTTACACTCTGAATAAATGGATGTTTTTCCTTTTGTTTGTTTTTTTAAGTGCCCAGTAGAAGAGTGTTCTTAATTCATTTTTCCTCTACAAGTGACTAAAACAGTTTTTTTTTTTTGTTTATTTTTTTGACACAGAGTCTCACTCTGTTGCCAGGCTGGAGTGCAGAGGCATGATCTCGGCTCACTGCAAACTGCAATCTCCACTTCCCAGGTTCAAGCAATTCTCCTGCCTCAGCCTCCTGAGTAGCTGGGATTACAGGTGCATGCCACCACACCCAGCTAATTTTTGTATTTTTAGTAGAGATGGGGTTTCACCATGTTGGCCAGGATGGTCTGGATCTCTTGACCTTGTGATCCACCCCCCTCAGCCTCCCAAAGTGCTCCTGTCCTTAAGATAGTCTTATGTTCTCCTCGCCATGATTGAATTTTAGACAGGTCTTTCCCTGTCTTGGCTCCTGAACTTCCTTTTTCTTAGAGCATTCACTTTAGAAAACTTACAGTTGTACCTTATTTCCATGTACTTTTTAAAAACTCTCTTGCCAGTTTTACAGCCCAATAATGTTTTTCTCAAGGACCTTGAAGCCATTCATTTGAATAAATGTAACCATCATGGAAGATAGGGCCTCTATCTCCCAGCCCATGTGGGAGGGTAGGAGCCTAATTTAATGAGCACCAATTAGCAAACACAGATGGCCTAATCACAGAGAAAAACATTGGCAAGTTCAGAAATAATTCAACATTCTTGGAACACATTCCAGTGACCAACTTCAGAAGTAGGCAAGGAGAGCTCTCAGGCAGGAAGGCTAGTCTGAGACCTGTAAAAGGATAAAAAAGTAGAAACAAATGGTTATATAGAGAAAATAACATATTTCTGCACTCTTTTGAGAAAGAGGCCTACTAAGACACAGAAACTTAGAAAGATTACAGAGCATACCCTTCTAATACATTACTACTATACCAATATAATATTGATATCATTATAATGACATCATAATTACAACAGACTTCAACTGAAAGAGTTTCAACTAACAGACTCTTTTTGAGAAGAAGCACATAAGGAAGCCTCGAAGTTAAGAGAGGAGACAAAAATAGGGACATTATAGGAACTTGAAACCTCTGGTATATTTAACTATAACAAACATTAAACCCAGTCCAAACACTAGACAGATTAATTTAAAACCTCATTTTGAAAGGCCTATTCAATATAATTCCCATACTGGTTAAAACATGTCTAGCATAAAACAAAAAATAAATGAAGAGCTATAGAAAAAGCTTTTAAAAAATCACATAAATCATTAAATTAAAACAAAATAATGCAGAAACAGAGGATGAAAAGAAACAAAAAGTGCCAAAATCAAAAAGTAGTTACAAACATGTTAGACATTAATCTAATTGTAGCAACAACCCTAAATGTGAATGGTCTAAACACATCAAAACAACATACCAATTAAAACACAGAGAGGGTTAGTGTTGAAACAGCAACAACAACAACAACAAAGACCCAATTGTATGTTTTATTTCAAAAAACCCAGTTTAAATTAAAAGATTCAGAAACGTTAAAAATAAAGGGATGAAGAGAGATAGTACAATAACACTAAAACGAAACAAATGAAAACTAAAATAACTATGTCAAGGATACTACCTAAAGACAAAGCACTCCTAAAAGTATAAGACTGTAACAGTTGAACATCAACATACCTGAGGGAAAAACTGAGAATTGAAAGGGGGAATAAATCCACCAGTATGGTCAATAATAAATTAAGGAAGCAGTGATTAAATAAGGATACAGATGACCTAAATAGTACCATCAATCAATTGACTTAACTGACATTTGTAGAATGCCCCATCAACAGCAGTAGAATACACATTCAACTCAATTTTGCACACAGCATTCACCAAGATGGAACACATTCTGTGGCATAAAAGACACCATTCATATTTAAAAGAATAGAAGCCTCAGAATGCAGTAAAATTAAACTACAAGTCAGTAACACAAGGAAAACTAAAAAATTCCAAAATATTTTGAAATTATCCCAAATAACATACCAAATAACGTGTGAATCAAAAAAAAAATGAGTCATGAAAACCAAAATGTGATTATTTAAAAAGACTAAGAAAATTAATAAACTAAAAAACAGAATAAGAAAATAAAAGAGGAAGCATAAGCCATCAATATAAAAAAGAATGAGTCATTCCTAATAATTTCATAGATTAATACTATAAGTAACTCTATGCTTAAAAAATTAACAGCAAAGATAAAATTAATCAGTTCCTTGGAACACACAAACTATTAAAATTTACATTAAGAGTAACAGCTAATCTCGTTGTAATAATTTTAATATAATATAAACTTTTTCAAAGACAAAAAACAACACAAAACCTTACCAGGATCAAAGGTCTTACATGTGCAGTCTACCAAACATTTGAAGAAAAAATAATTGCTGTTCTCCTCCATCTCTTCAAAAAAAACAAAAAAAAAGAAAAAGTAACACTTTTTACTCATTTTATGGGGCCAGCAGTATAATACTATCACCATAAAATACATCATAACAGGAAAACAACAGCCCATTCTTTCTCATGAACATAGATGTGAAAATCTTCAACAAAATATTAACAAATATTAGCAATATATAAAAAGAATAATATATCAAAACCAAATTGAGTTTATCCCACAAATGCAACACTGGGTCAACATTTGTGAGCAATCATTTTGAGCATCATATTATCAGACTGAATAAGAAAAAGTATGTACTATCCGTAGATGCACAAAAATTATTTGACAAGTTACAACACATTTTTATGAAAAAACTCCAAACCTAGGACTAACAGGAAAGTTTCTCAACCTAATAAAGGGAATATACAAAAAACAAAACAAAATCCAAGCTTACTTTATAGTAAATGGTGAGAAATAAACACTTCTCTTTTAAAAATGGGGAACAAAGCAAGGATGTCTTCTTTCCACACTGCTTTTAAGCATAATATAAAAAGTCTTGGCTAATACAGTAAGACAAAAGTCAGTATTTGATAAATAAGACAATAGTCAGAGCTATTCATTGATGACAAGATTTCTTAAGTAGAAACCCCAAATAATCGAAAAAAGAAATAACAGACAAAAAAGAGCTAACTAATGAATTTACAAGGTCACCAGATATAAAGTCAATATACAGGAGCCTGTGACTTGCTCTAAAAATGTTGGAGGCTGAACTGCATCATATTCGGTGAACTTAATGCCAATAATTTACATGTAAATTTGCATCACCCATTAATGTATATTTAGAGCATTTCAACAAAGAAATAAGTTTAGTGACAAAAGTTTTAAAGTATACTAAACAATAACTCCTGGAATTTTAATGAACCATTTAACCAAATGTCCTAAAAATGATGAGTACTTTCAAAAGTAAAAAGTACATAAAATTTAACATTATAATTAAGAAATATCTTAACTTTATGTAAACCTATATTGAAACTGCAAGTTTGTTGATTCCTAAAGTCAATATACAAAAACTCATTCCTTTTTTATAGCAAACAATAAAAACTAGACTTGAAAATTTTTAAAAGTACCATTTACAATGTCACTAAAAAAAGGAAGAGAGATACTTAGGTAAGATTAACAAAACATCACAGATTTTTTTTTTTGTAAAAAAATAAAAAGCACTGAAGAAGCAAATAAAAGATTTAAAGAAATGAAGCATTATTCATTGTCCATGGTTTGGAAGAAGCATTATTTCTTTTCCAGGGATTGGAAAATACAATATTGTTGAGGTATCATTTCTCAACCTGATCTATATAATCTATGCAACCCCAAACAATATCCATTGAGCTACTTTGTAGATAATCAAAAGCTGATTTTAAGATTAATGTCAAAACATAAAACACTTAGAATAGTTAACACAATATTGAAGAAGAACAAAATTTGAGAACTCACAGTACCTGATTTCAATACTTATTATAATACTTAATGTAATACTACAATAATAATAACAACATAATGTTGGTGAAAGTATATACCAAATTTGGATATAGATCATTGGGACAGAATGGAGAGTCCAGAAACACACCCAGACAAATATGGCCAACTGATATTTGACAACAGAGCAAAAGCAATGCAATGAAGAACAGATAGTCTTTCAAAAACAGTGTCAGTACAGCTGTACATTTCTAAGGAAAAAAAAAAAGAACATAGAAACAGACCTTAGACTTTATACCTTATATAAAAGTTATTTCAAATAGATTGAAGACATCATTTTAAAAGCAAAAATACAGAACATCTAGAGTAAAAACTAGGATAAAGTCTATATGACCCTGGACTTAATACTATTTTAAGATAAAACACCAAGAGTATAATCCATGAAAAAGAAAAAAGATATATTGTATTGGATTTATTAATATTAAAAACTTTTGCTCTACAAAATACAGTTAAAAATATGGACAAGTCATAAGATAGGAAAACATTTTTGCAATTTATATATCTGAGATATTACTTGAATCCAAAATATACAGACGTCTTAATATCAACAATAAGGAAATAATAAATCCAATTTAATTGACAAAAGATCTCAACATACACCATATCAAAAAAAACGAAATGTAGGTGGCAACCAAGCTTATAAAAATATGTTCATTATTATTTTTCATTATGAAAATGTGTATTGAAATAATAAGACACCACTTTTGAAAATACACATAGCTGAAAATTCCAATTATTGAAAGAATATGAAACAACAGAAACTTTCAATTATTGCTTGTATGAATACAAATTAGTACAGTAATTTTGAAAAGCAGTTTTTCAGTATCTTAAGCAATAATTGAAGTCTTACTGTAAGAGCCAACAATCATATTCTTAAGTTCTTTGATTTAAAATTTATGTTCTCACAAAAATCTGCATGTGAAAGCTATAACACTTTATTCACAATGGCCAAAAACTGGAAACAACTATGATGTCTTTCAGTAGGTGAGCTGATACATTGCACTACATACATAAAATGAAATAATATTCAGCAATATAAAGGAATGACCTATTAAGTTACACAAAACATTAAATTTCAATACATACTGTTAGGTGAAAACCAGTCTGAAAGTCTACTGCGTAATACTATGTAATTCCTTTTATATAGCATTCTAGAATAACAAAGTTATAGAGATGGTAAAAGATCAGTGATTGTCAGGGATTGGGAGGAGGAAGTTTGAAGATGTCACGCACACAGGATTTTTTAAACTGATGAAATTATTCTAATCTTGTTGTGGTGGAGATATAACACTACGCATTTGTCAAAACCCATAGAACTTTACAACACAAAGTGTGAACTTATTGCATGCAAATTAAAAATAAATCACTTTAGGACATAGAAGGCTCCAAGAATAGAATACGGAATATGACAAGTCAGTCTGACACTATTACAAATGTATGAAACAACTATGCTCAAGGGAGCTGGATAAATGGTGCTTTGGATATTAGTGGAATCTGTAAGTCTAAAGGCACCATATGTCCTGTCTTCAAGTGGAATATGTTGTTTCCCACAAAGAAAAGGATTATCAATTTTGAAACCACTATACGTAATTAAATTAATAATATAGTAATTGGATATTTAGTAAATAGTTTGCTAATGTTGGGAAGCAGATTTATTACTGTTGGAGTTTGAGGTTACATACACCCAGGAAAAGAATGTAAGAATGATAGATATGGTACTAAATTGGAGGTGGAGACATCAAAATGAACTCATATTTAGACTAATTTAGACACAGATGAATATATAGTGTAATACTTACAGATATCTATATAGTTACATGGATTAGCATACACTTTTTTTTTCACATCTGTCAGCTGAACCGGCGTAGCAGCAAAGACACTTCACTATCGATAGCACATAGAGCCCTTAGATCTTGGTTTTCAACGCCATTCTTCAATCAAAGAAATGAAGGCATCTTAGAGAAATGGCTGATTTTAGCACTGGTCTTGGGAATATACAAATGAACCTGAAGCATGTCACAGTATCAGAAGGTAAGAAAATACTGAACAAATATGCATGCACATGCACGTGCACATGCACATACACACACACACACACACACACACAAAATGAAAGGGATAGGTCCAAGTGACACAAGAGCTAAAGAACTTCCAACAGCTAAAGCTGAAGTGATTTGAGCAACAAAATAAATAACTTAGTACTGTTTTAAAACTCAAAGAATACCACAAATACCCACAAGTTAACACTTATATAAATAAATGATTGTTAATAATTGCAGAATAGGAGAAAATAAAAAAAAAAAAGCTGCCAGTGATGAATTTCAAATTATTTTTGTAGACACTTGGACCTTAAGATGAAACCTAATTCCCCATTCCTTAACTGCGGGCTATGCATAGTGACACCCTCCAAAGATTACAGAATAAAATGATGACAGACTAAAACTCCACAGTGAAGAAACCTGACAAAGACTACTTCAGCTAGGCAATATAGCTAAAATTAACAGTAACTATGATGTTAATATATGTGCTTTTTATATGGTATAATGAAAATGTCAGTTTACTCCTTTGATCTTCCTCTCCAAACTCACAACCTTAGTCTAATCAGAGAAAAACATCAGAAAAATTCTAGATAAGGGCCATTTTACAAAATACTTGACTAGTACACATGAAATCTATTGGCGCAGTGATTCTCTATTACGATGATAATCAAAAACATTCACTGTGATCCCTTATTCTGATAAAGATAATCAAAATATTGAATGTAACAACATGTTAGGGAAATAAACTTGATTGAACTGTACAAGAGGTAGCAAATGACAGTATCGGGGGTGGGGCCAAGATGGCCGACTAGAAGCAGTGGTGGTCAGAGGCTCCCATTGAAAAGAACTGTAATAGTATGCAAATCCTGCCCTGCCAACCAAGGTATCTAGGTGGCCACAAGGCTCTCATAAGAACTGACTAGATGGCTGGTGTGACCCAAGAGGAGGAAGGAAGGCCAGTGTGGTGTGGCGGCCCACCTGAGAGCCACAGTGGGTAGGGGAGACCCACCGTGCAGCCAAGGAAGGCAGTGAGTGAGCATGCTTCCCAGCCTGGGAAAATGTGCTTTTTCTACACAACAGTGCAATCCATGGATCGGAAGATCCCACTTGTGAGCCCATGCCACTGAGGTCTAGGGTCTCAACTACGGAGCTGCGCAGATTCTCAACAGCCATTAAGCTAGAAACTGCTTAAGCCTGTGGAGCTCCTGGCGGGAGGGGTAACCAGCACCACAGCTGCCACTGCCTGCTGTCTATGCTGTTTGAGTTCCTTGCAGAAAGGATGACAGCCAACACTGGGACTGATAGCTGCCTAAAGTACTAAGCTCCCAGGGCAAGAGAAGGGCAGCATCCATCTTTATAGCTCCAGGCTGTGCTTTTCCCCTGCTGGATCCAGGGACGCTGGACTGCTTGGTCCCAAGAGTTATCGCCCTCACAGCCCAACACACAGGCTGTGGCAGACTACAGACAGAGCTCCTCTTCAGGCCTGACACTGACCCATCCCTTCTCACTGGGTGGGGCCTCCCTGCAGGAACTTCAACAACTCCAGCCAGAGGCTCAGGGACAGAACTCTGATCTCCCTGGGCCTGAACCCCTAGGGGCAGGGGTGGCCACAGTCTCCACAGACCAGCAGACTTAGTCATTCCTCCTGTTCTGAGGAATCCAGGCAGCACAGATGAGTGAGTTTTTCCTCCACCAAAGCATACCCCCTCCACCAAGGGACAGTCAAAATACTTCATTAAATGCATCCTACTCCCCATGCCACCCAACTGGGTGAGACCCTCCAACGAGTTGTCAGACAGCCTATACAGGAGCAATTTTAGTGGTATCAGTTGGGTGCTTCTTGAGGTCAGAGATCCCAGAGGAAGGAGCAGGCACCCATCTTTTCTGTTCTGCAGCCTCCTCATGTGACATCTCCAGGCACAGGAGTGAACCAGATGAATAGGGCCTGAATAGAACCCCAGAAAACCACAGCACCCCTACAGAAGAGGGACATGACCATTGCAAGAAAAACAAATAAACAGAAACAACAGCATCAACAACAAAAAAATTCCCCACGAAAACCCCATCCAAGGGTCAGCACCTCAAGGATATCAATCCTTGACAAGGGACAGGAGACAAACTCATGAAGATGAGAAAGAATCAATGAAAAACGCTGGAAACTCAAAAGGCCAGAGTGCCTCTTCTCCTGCAAATGATCATAATACCTCTTCAGCAAGTGCACAGAACTGGACATAAGATGAGATGGACGAATTGACAGAAGTAGGCTTCAGAAGGTGGGTAATAACAAACTCTGCTGAGCTAAAGGAACATGTTCTAACCCAATGCAAAAGAGCTAAGAACCTTGATGAAAGGTTATAGGAGCTGCTAAATAGAATAACAAGTTTGGAGGGGAACATAAATGAGCTGATGGAGATGAAAAACACAGCACAAAAACTTTGCGAACCATACATAAGTATCAATAGCCAAATTGACAAAGCAGAATAAAGGATATCAGAGATTGAAGACCACATTGCTGAATTAAGTCATGCAGACAAGATTAGAGAAAAAAGAATAAAAAGGAACAAACAAAGCCTACGAGAAACATGGGACTATGTAAAAAGATTGAACCTGCTATTGGTTAGAGTACCTGAAAAAGATGGAGAGAATGGAACCAAGTAGAAAAACACACTTCAGGATATTATCTGGGAGAACTTCCCCAACCTAGCAAGACAGCCCAACATACAAATTAAGTAAATACAGAGATCATCACTAAGATACTGCATGAAAAGATCAACTCCCAAACACAGAATCATCAGATTCTCCAAGGTTGACATGAAAAAAACAAAACAAAACAAAAACTGTTAAAGGAAGCCAGAGAGAAAGGCCAGGTCACCTATGAAGGGAAGCCCATCAGACTAAGAGCAGACCTCTCAGCAGAAACCCTACAAGCCAGAGGAGAGGTGGGGGCCAATATTCAACATTCTTGAAGAAAAGAATTTTCAACCCAGAATTTCATATCCAGCAAAACTCAGATTCATGAGCAAAGGAGAAAATAAAATCCTTTCCAGACAAGCAAATGCTGAGGGATTTCATCACTACCAGGCCTGTCTTACAAGGGCTCCTGAAGGAAGCACTAAATATGGAAAGAAAAAGCTGATACCAGCCACTGCACAAAAAACACCAAAATATAAAGACCAATGACACTATGAAGAAACTGCACCAATAGTGTGTAAAATAACCAGGTAACATCATGATGACAGGATCAAATTCGCACATAAAAATATTAATCTTAAATGTAAGTGGGCTAAATGGCCTTATTAAAAGACACAGACTGGAAAATTAGACAAAGAGTCAAGACCCATTAGTGTGCTGCATCTGATGGGTCTCACATGCAAAGATACACATGGGCTCAAAATAAAAGGATGGAGGAATATTTACAAAGCAAATGAAAAGAAATAAAAAGGAGAAGTTGCAATCCTAGTCTCTGACAAAACAGACTTCAACAAACCAAACAAAAACAAGCAATGGGGAAAGGATTCCCTATTTAATAAATGGTGCTGGGAAAACTGGCTAGCCATATGCAGAAAACTGAAACTGGACCCCTTCCTTACAAAAATTAACTCAAGTTGGATTAAAGACTTAAATGTAAAACCCCAAACCATAAAAACCTCAGAAGAAAACCTAGGCAGTACCATTCAGGACATAGGCACAGGCAAACACTTTGTGACAAAAATGCCAAAAGCAATTTCAACAAAAGCCAGAATTGACAAATGGGATCTAATTAAACTAATGAGCTTCTGCACAGCAAAAGGAACTATCATCAGAGTCAACAGGCAACCTATAGAATGGGGGAAATTTTTTGCAATCTACCCATCTGACGAAGGTCTATTATCCAGAATCTACAAGAAACTTAAAGGAGTTTAAGAAAAAAACAAAAAAAAAACTATCAAAAGGTGGGCAAAGCATACGAACAGACACTTCTCAAAAGAAGACATTTATGTGGCCGAAAAACATGAAAAAAAAACCCTCATCATCACTGATCATTAGAGAAATGCAAATGAAAACCACAATGAGATACCATCTCACACCAGTTACTACGGTGATTATTAAAAAGTCAAGAAACAATAGATGCCGGCGAGGCTGTGGAGAAATAGGACCATTTTTACACTGTTGGTGGGAATGTAAATTAGTTCAACCATTGTGGAAAGCAGTGTGGTGATTCCTCAAGGATCTAGAACTGGAAATACCATTTGACCCAGCAATCTTATTACTGGGTTTATACCCAAAGGAATATAAATCATTCTACTATAAAGACAGGTGCACACGTATGTTTATTGCAGCACAATTTACAATAGCAAAGGCATGGAACCAACCCAAATGTCCATCGATGATAAACTACATAAAGAAAATGTGGTACATATACACCATGGAGTACTATGCAGCCATAAAATGGAATGAGTTCTTGTTATTTACAGTGACGTGGGTGAAGCTGGAAGCCATCATCCTTAGCAAACTAACACAGGAACAGAAAACCAAACACCACATATTCTCATTCATAAGTGGGAGTGAAACAATGAGAACACATGGCCACGGGGAGGGGAACAACACACACCAGGGCAAGTCAGTTCGTGGAGAGCGAGAGGAGGAAGAGCATTAGGATAAATAGCTAATGCATATGGGGCCTAAAACCTAGATGATGGATTGATAAGTGCAGCAAACTACCACGGCACATGTATACCTAAGTAACCAACCTACACATTCGGTACTTGTATCCTGGAACTTGAAGTAAAATAAATAAATTTAAAAAAAAGCATCTTGCAAAGTGGCCACTTCTCATAAAAAAATCTAACCTGGTTCTTGCAGATTCCAGAAGAAACTGATGACTTTTTTTATTCATCTTTGGCCTTTTGCTTTTGGAAGGGAATATTTATTCTGTTGAAAATAAAAGTCTTGATTTAAAAAATGCCACTATCAAATATTTTATTTACATTTAGAAAAGAGAACCCATGTTTATTTAATTATGCATTATTGAATTATTAAATTATTATTATTATTGGTAGCTCTTTAGATATTTTTTATTTTAGTTTTTTTATTTTAAATATTATTATTTTTATTTTAGATATTCTTTAGATATTAAAATCTTAAAGATATACTTTATTTTAACATATGGAAATTTAATTAGAGGATAATTTAAATGCCATTTATAGAATACTAGATGTGAATTGTATCAAAACTACATATTTTTACTTTACATTCAAATTGTGTGCAATCCATATTAATAGGGCATCAAGTATCCACATTAGAAATGTGATTTTTCTAAGAATTTCTAAAGATTTATTAAATTTGGTTGAATTAGACAAAATATTTTGCTAAATACTTTAACCTACACACTTGGATTTTAAAAATTGGGGTATGCCAAGTTTTAAAAGGAAAGAAAACAAGGTAGTACTTGCAAATAAACAGAAAACATAGCTCAAGGTCCAGTCTCTAGTGAGGTGGAAAAGTGCCATTTGGTGAAGTCGATACTATAAATGAGACAGATGGACTGTGTACTGAATTTAGAGAGGAAAACCTTCTAATGATACATACAAAAATCAAGTTGGATAACTAATACATACCATATATAAATTTCAGGTAGACTATAAACTAAAATATGAATATTAAAGCTAATAGAAGAAAATGTAGGAGTCTCATGGCCATGGTCTCATGACCATAACGTAGATAAAATTTGTTAAACAAAGCTCAAACACTTCAAACTGTAGGGAAAAATATCAATACATTTTAATACATAAAATTAAGAATTTCATTTGAAAACCACAGAAACCTATGACAGATGAAAAACTGGGAGATGATATCTTCCACATTTAAAATGGACATAGGATTAATCTCTGAAATGCCAAGATATTACTACAAACTAGTAATAACATAAAAACTTGAGTTTCAATATTAAAACTTGTGACAAGAATATGAAAAGTAAGTTTATGCAAAGAAAAATGTAATTGGCCAACAAATACAAAGAAAAAATGCTGAAATTCACTAGTGAAAGAAATGCAGATTAAAATTACAGTACAACATGCTTACAAATTTAATAATAATAAATGTTTAATAGACAATTTCAAGCATTGGTTATGAGAGACAATAGTAAATAATTTTTAAGTCCATTGGTTTCTCAGTGTAAATAATATTTTCCTGTATCAAGATGATTCAGGTTTGAAGAAGAATTTTAGATCTAATTTATCTGTAAATATAAAATTGAACTGAATTGTACATAGGAATAAAATACAAACTGTCAGGAAATTAAAAACATAAATACATAGGACAGACATACAATAATAAGAATACATTTTTCACTATGTATTGTGATTCTATTTGGTTGTTGTATTCTAGATGGCTCTTTATAACTGAAATGGTCAGATGCATTGTTCCCAAGGTAACTACTTCATTTACTGCATTTATTACTATTTACTTTCTGTTCTTGACTCCACACAGAGGTGACATTGAATACAAATAGAAACTGCTTAACACAATTTAAGAGAGTATTTTAAAATAAGAAATCAGCCACAAAAATGGAATATAAACTTCAATTTGGTCACTTTTTAGGCAAGTAGAATTTAAAATGTTTTAAAGAAAAAAATGAAACAGCATAAGCACCCTTGACTCTCATCAGCTATAATTGACTACTTCGTTGCAAATTCTGTTGGAATAGCTTAGTGTTTTTCTATTTATTTTTAGTATACAATCATTTACTGTCCATTCTGTACACGACCCCATGCAAGATGCTGCAGCTGAAATAACTGAAAGCTGAGTTGTATTTTCCTTATGTGGTTGGAGAAACAAAACTCAGTCATATACTCACCAAAAAATATGACAAAGCAAGAATATCTGGCATTGAGAACAGAAATGTAAAACTTAGTGGGCAAGATTTGATGTACCCATATATGTAATTTTATATCAATTTCTTGGATATAAAATGAATCCAAGAAATGAATGAAAATGTGGGTGAAAAATACAAGCAATGACAAGTGAGGAAATTCTTCTGACGTGTTTAAGAAATGTAGAATTATTATAGAAAATAAATACACCTGGAAAGGTGAACCAGAATGCAAGAGAAAAATGAGTTTAGCCAGAGAGAAACAAAATAAAAGTATTGTCCTGAATCTCAATCTTGTGTCAATATATATGATTTTAGGGGGGAAAACAATTATAAGCATTAATATATCATTTGTAGTAATATAGGTATGGATTTACAAAAGTGTTGAACAACAGGACAGTGACAATGGAGGGGAAGAAAAACATTTGGAGGAAAAAGTTTGAGAATGTAGAATGTGTGAATAGGAAGAAGAAATAGAGAAGAAAAGGTTGATAAAATGTAGATGTTGACTCTGAGTGAATACTAAAATATTAATACTGCAGGAAAAATACTGGAAAGGAGACTAGTCTGAGGAAAAAAATTATACAAAGTTTTTTTTTCCAAGTACACTTGGAGTTGGTTATTGAAAATACATGATGGTGGCACAAAGTATCAGAGCCTTCACAGACAGAACACCTGTTTACAGGGAGAGGGAGAGGTGTAGAGTCACAAGTGGTGGCCCTAAAACCTTAGAGCATGTTGGAGCACGAGAGGGATGAAGTAGGCATCCATACTGGCGTATGGAAGTAGCACTAAACTGCTGAAAGATGTCAGAGACTGAGCTGGTGCAACAGGCATCTGTGAGGGAAGTGGGAGGATATATTCAATCTAAAATGAAGGGTTGGGCATCAAGGAATGTGAGACGTATGTCCACAGTGAGAAAAGGCTAGAGAAGAGGGTGTCATGAGCAACAAGAAATTGGTTACATACACACAATCTGTCAAGCAAGTATATTTAGTGAGCATAATGAGAGGGTGTGTGTGTGTGTGTGTATGTGTCTGTGTGTCTGTGTGTCTGTGTATTTGTTTTTAACTATTAGAGAAAGATAGTACAATTAGGGATAAAGACTAGAATGAATCCTGTGATACTGGGTTAGAATGAGAGGTACGAATGTACATGCATGGTTTTCAACATTGTTATTATGAATGTGAAACCCCAAAATTAATGTTGGAACCTAATCCCCATTATGGTGGTATTAAGTGATAGGGTTGCTTAGGAAATAATTACATCATGAGGGTTCTGCTTTTATTAATGGGATTTAGTGCCGTTGCAAAACAGGTTGAAGTGAGCTCCCTTGCCCTTCTGCGGTCTGAGGAAAACAGCAACATCGCACCATCTTTGAAGCAGAGAGACCTTATCAGACACTGAATCTACTGGTGCCTTAATCTTGGACTTTCCAGGCTCCAGAACGTTGAGAAAAACATTTCTGTTGTTTATAAATTGCCCAATCTAAGATATTATGTTGTAGCAGCCCAAACAAAGTCAAGTTTATATAGATAGATATATATGTATAATAAATACATAGATGCATAGTTAACATGTATGATATGCATATATATTATTTCTTATCTCTGATCACTGAGAGCCTGGGGAAAATGACACTCAAAAGCAGCAATGAGCAAACATAGTTTCCAGATCTTTGTTTCTAACTACCAGTGTCCTCCAAGAGGAACCAAGAAAAAATTCCAGGACTTCAGAGAAAAATACAAGATAAGTCTGAGATATCTTATTATTCATAAATAAGTGTTCAAAGAATGATTATCTGGGTGTAAAGAATATGGAAGCCAGTTTGAAGGGGCTCCCATTGGACAAATAGCAGCAAATAGAAGCATGATAAATAATGACAGTAACAAATCATAACTCATTAAATAAAAGACAAATCCATGAGTCTATAATGATAAAGACACAAGAATAGATGAAGAAATGGACAGAAGTAAAGCTTTTTCTTTACAGCAGAATGCTAAGAACTATGTAAGGTATTGGATTAGAAAATCATCACTCAGTAAGCATCCTAATATGAATGAATTTAAGCATTAATTATCAGCAAGTCCTTAAAACTGTGAGGGAAAGTTTTATGAACAATAGGATATTTACAAGTCTTAAAGTACTTTCCCACAAAAAGCTACATCTTATATGAGTCCATTTATATAAAATGTCTAAGAAAGGCAAAACTTTAGGAGAAAAAATGATGCCTGGTTACCTCAGGCTGGGAGTGAAAATAGAAATTGACTCTAAATAACCATATAGATCTGTTAAGGGAGTGAAGGAAATACTTTCAAAGTGGACTGTGGTAATGGTTTCAAAATCCTGTAAATTTCTTTAAAATCATTGAATTATACATTTAAAATAGGTAAATTTTATAGTATGTATGTAAATTATACCTCAATCAAAATATTTAAAGTTATTTTCTGACAAAGAGAAGAAAATAAGCTGTATAATCAAGTTATCAAGCAGTATCTGAATTAAGGTGAGTTAATTTAGCATCATCAATAATGAACCAAATGAAAATCATGTATCACCTGACCAGAAGCAATGAGAAGAATACAGCAGTGCTTCTGACATATTTCTGGTAAATATGCATAAACTTATCTAATAAAATATTAAATGAACCAAAATCAAGGCGCATTCTTTAAAATAATCGGCCTTCAATCTTCAAAAGTGCTGCAGTCATAAACATCAAAAAGAACGACTGGGTTACTGTTACAGATTGAAGGAAAAGAAGGACATATGCAACAAAATAGAATGCATGATCCTGAGTTACAGCCTATAGATGTTAAAAAATATTTTCAAAAATTGAAGAAATTTGTATAGGTTCTGAAGATCATATGGTAGCATGTATTACTGTTAATTTTCTTATTTTAATGGTTGCCTTACAGATACAGATAAGAATATATTCCTGTGTAGGAAATCATATGAAAGTATTCATGGGAGATGGAACATCGTATCAGAAGCAGTCCCAAACGGTTCAAGAAAAAATAGTGCCATATTTTCAGCATTAATGAAAGTCTAAAATTATTTCAGAGTAAAAAAATTACAACTTTTGAGCTTCAGTAGAAAAATTCTCAGGAATCAACACATTGGTTTATCATATTTAAAATGCCAATGCCAATAGTGGAACTAATATTATCTTTCAGGGATCTTATTTGTAGGAAGAACAGCAAGAATTAAGTTAACAATCATTCATTAAGCACTTAGTATAAGCATTCCATCAGAACAATTTCCAGAAATTCTAAAATACATACCTAAAGAAAGACATTGCCTCTTCTTTAAATGAACTGCTTATATTTAATGTTGCCTATTGATCTCTTCCCTAGGACATTTTGAAATTTTATCATGTCATATTCTTTATGGTGTATACTAGTATATATTTGTATCTTCTAACTTCAGCAAATGCAACAGTAACAGATACATACTAAACACAGAGAAAGTTTCATGAAATGAATCTAATTTGGGATATTAAAAAGTCAGCCTTTCAAAGAAATTAATCAACAAATAATTCCAAGGTACTTAGAAAAATAAGAAAATGTACAGGTCTAGGATCATTTACAAAAAACATGGAACTCAATGATTGAACTAGCTTCATGTCACTTTTCTCATAGCTTTTATCACTCTTATTAGTCCAACAGTTAGATTTCCTGATACATGCTGTACTTTACATTTCATAGGTTGTTGAAACAACAACCTATGGAATGAAACTGGAATGAAAGCAGTTTCGAACTACCATTGAATTTACTATTGGCAAGGAATTTCAAATGGCATATTCTGCATTTTAAATCTAGCTATACATAAGTCACTCAGACTCCTCAACTTTTAAAATGATAACCAAATCAAAATAGTTAAAATAGCAAAAACATTATTTAATGATGAAATAAAAATCAGACATTTGATGGTGATGCTGGATTCTGACATTTTTATGTTATGACATAAGGGAATCTGTATTCTAATAACTGTTGAGTCGCATAAGAAAATGTTATAACAGTCTAGGTTTTTCTCATTATGAAAAAAATTCTTATTCAATATTTATTATGGATGGATATATAAAACTAAGGACTTTAAACACATATTGCAATTATAAGAGATAGTTGTCTGATTCTTCCATTAACTCATATAGGAACCTGAGTAAAGCATGGGTCACTGGGAAAGTAGAATAAAAGAGTGACTCTTTCATTTATCATAGGTTGAGTTATTAAGTCATCCTTGTCTTACTTTTCACTATTTATTATAGGCACAAAATACATATTTAATTGTCCAATGTACTGCCACTGCATGCAGTGTGTGCCAAGGTTTCATTAACCCAAATTGTATTTTTCTTTATGATTTATGATGTTACATAAGCAATTAATTTGGTCAAATCTCCTCAGATGTTCACTTTCACTGAAAGCCATTGTTATTAAATTTTAAAATTATTTTAAAAATAATTATTTTACATTTAACATCATTTGTGAAGCATACAATGGTACAAAGAAATAACTCAAAACATATTCATTAACATATTTAGTGCAATCCTTAATCTTCTACTTTAATGAAATTTATTAAAATATTTTCAAAAGTACTAATTTGTCTATGTTTTACTTAATATGAATATTGAAATTCTTAATACTTACAATAATATGAAATAATATTTTTATGTTAAACAGTAGAAGACAAAATTGGTAATGCTTCAGACAAATTTAGAAATGACAGTGAAGGCTCGAATGTACAGCGTGGTATTACACAAAAAGCACGAAAGATGAACTTCGGAAAATAGATGTTAATCCCAGGACTATTTACTGTTTGTGTGACTTTAGGCAAGTCATATCACCTCATTTGGTGTTAATCACCACCTCCCTTAAGTAAGAATTTTGGTGTGACCTCTAAAATCCCCTGCTGTTTTATCTTATACATATACTCCATATGATAATTTCTAAAATTAAAGTTCTGTATTAATTATGCCTCATTTTGAATACAACTCTCAGGAAAAATAAATATTTGACTTTTGGTGTTTAAGTTAGTTTTATAACATGTAAAACTTCTTAAATAAAACCTAGTAGTAGCACTCCTGTGATATATTATTATAATATGTCATCAAGGTATCTTCAAGAGAATTATGGCAAGTATTATATAGATCATCATATAGAAACATGGAAGAATAAAGATGCTGTAGGTGACTCTTTCAAATCATATAATCAGTTATTTTATAGAGTTTTTCTTTCCTCCAGTATGTAGAGCAAGTTACCACCTGAACATGAAGTTCCTATGAAAGATAAACTCACATTACATGTATGAAATAATGATTATATAATTCAGACACAGTTCATTCATTGCATCTGTAGGAAATATGTCTGCTAACTGCTAATTGCTAGAGTCTAAACACTGTGTTTTGGATGAGGAGGGGGTCATTTAATATTTCAATAATAAAAGCATTGTGTGAATAAAGTTGATGATGTCTAATGTACCTTGAAATGTGCCCTGAAGTAGATTTCTATCAGTCCAGCTATGGACTTGAAAGAAAACCGATCTTAGTTTTAAGTAAATTAGAAATCCCATACCACTTCATTTCATTAGCAAGATGATAATAATAATAATAATAATAATAATAATAATAATGTGGCTTCTAAGATGAAGAGGACAAAGATTTCCAATGTGAAGCAAAATGCATCTTAATGGCCTCAGATTGGTGTCAATTATGTTAATTGTGGTACTAGTGGCTCTTGACAAACAAGACTATCTCATGACAAGTGAAAACAGAAGCATACTCAAACTTTCAATTAGATAAATATTTAAAAGTCAAACTGATATTGTTAACTCCTTAAAATGTTGAAACAAAAATTATGAAAAGAAAATTATTCTAATTTTAAAGGATTGAAAAATTACAAAATCAAGCTGTGGTAAAAGTGGCCAGTCTGGCTCACAGGATATTAACACATTATGTATTTTAATTTGGGGCACCAAAGGTAACTCACTAGTCATGATGGAAATTTAACTTTTCAAGATATTGACCTTTAAGTAATTGGTTAGTAGTGATAAACTTGTTTGCAGTTACCACCACCAAATCCTTTATGGCTATAGCTCTTGAGATATATTCAGAATCCAAGGACTTCTCATTGTGTTCATTTGTCCCTACCCTCTTGCAAGCTGCTGTCTTTTCTTGTGCAATGAATGTAACATATCCTAAAGGCTTCTCTTATTCAAACTTTGTCTATATGCCTCCTACGCATTGACCCCACATTCAACATAGAAGCTAGAGTTATTCTTTTAAAATATGTTAGATATTGTCACTCTTTTGAACCCTGCAGGTTCTCTCCATTCCAATCAATATGAAAAAATCAGAATCCTTCTCTAGCCTCCAGAAGATGACCTTATCTGACCCCATTACCTCTCTGATCTTCTCTCCTACTACCCTGCTTCACAGCTCACTCTGCTCCTGTCACAGCAGCTTACCTGTTCCTTATATGCATGGCTAACTACCTCACAAATTTTATTGTTTTTGTTTGATGATGCCTAACCTATTTAGTGCTGCAAACTGCTCTCCTATCACACTCACAAACTCACCACCATTCTCTGTCTCTTTTTTGTTTGCCGTAACTCTTACTACCTTCTAACATACAATATGATATACTTGCTTATTCTTCATATTGTTTGGTGTATCTTTCTGTGCTAGAAAAGGGGTATTTGAAATGGTGTGCTGCCAAATTGGCTAAAAAAGAAAGCCATGCTTTGTATTGTTTGCACAATTTCCATGTTGTAAAATATTCCCATCATGGCTGATTTTAAGCTAACAATGGCAATGTTTCAAAAACCGAATCAAAACATGCTAAATATTTAACAATCTGTTCTAGTAAACTGTGGTTTCCCAACTCTAGCCTATCATTGAATATCTATGTGTTTTATTCACTAATACATCCCAAGTGACTATAAAAATGCCTGGCAGAAATAGGTGCTCAATAAATTGAATGAATTCATGGCTAAATTAACGAAGTTGTTTCCTCAAAGTATTTCTTTTAATTTATATCTGCCTAATTAGAAAGACTTAATTTTGATATACAATAGATTTCTCTTCAATTATTATTATATTCAAGTTTAAATGATAACTATCTTTCAGAATCACAAGTGGCAGATTTACACATAAGTTTATAAATCTGCTTAGCACATATATCTATTTTTGTCTGTATCTTAAAACTAAGTGTAACATAAACCAGGAATTCTATTCACTTATGTCAGAATTACTGCATTCATTTGTAATTAGATTTTTATGAGAGTAGTAAAATAATGAAAATTATCTTTAGTCCTTAAATTGTTAAATACTTTTGTATATTTCTTAACTTCATAAATAATCAGCATTCTATATATTGTATTTTTACATGAGATGTGTCTACAGTTATGTTTTACAGTCTAATACACTTCTTTGCAAACTTCAGTACAAATGTAAGCCTTATTTTCAAAGTATTTTTTATTAAAATCACTTCAAATTTTTGTCTTTTATAAATTTAGTAATAAACAATTAACATCATATCTATCTTTCATAATTTTCAAAGCAATGATTAAATCTCATTTAAGATTCTGGGTCCACATAATGAAAATTCCTTTTTAATTGTTTTTAACCTACATTATACTCTGAAATTTGTTTTTGGTTTCTTGACATAATTTAATCCTTTTTACATAGTCAAATTTGAAGGCCAAAAGTTGGCATTGTGTATATGTATATATAAGAAATTAAGTTAAATGGGATGTCTAATTATTATCACTACTTAAAATAATTAATGGTTTTTTTTGTCTGAGAAAGAAAATACCACATAAATAAGCAACAAGCCAAAAAAAAACCTGACATTTTACAGAAAATAACTGGCCGGGCGCGGTGGCTCACGCCTGTAATCCCAGCACTTTGGGAGGCCGAGGCAGGCGGATCACGAGGTCAGGAGATCGAGACCATCCTGGCTAACAAGGCGAAACCCCATCTCTACTAAAAAACAAACAAAAAAATTAGCCGGGTGTGGTGGCAGGCGCCTGTAGTCCCAGCTACTTGGGAGGCTGAGGCAGGAGAATGGCATGAACCCAGGAGGTGGAGCTTGCAGTGAGCCGAGACCTTGCCACTGCACTCCAGCCTGGGCTACAGAGCGAGACTCCGTCTCAAAAAAAAAAAAAAAAAAAAAAAAAAAGTTAAATAACTGAGAAGCCACAATAACATCAGTTTTATATACAAAAATTAAAAATTTTATAAATTGAGCGTAAGTTAAAAATGCAACTTTCTAAGGTGTTATACTTTTAATGTGATAAGTAGTTCCAAATAAAAGGGCTTTAATTTGGAAGACTTTCAGATATATAAAGCAGAAAAATGACTAACAGTTGTTGGAAGCATGAAAGAAATGAATTTCCAGAAAGAAAGCACGAATTTCCAGATGTTGGATTAGAGAATGGCTTCACAACAAGTCTAATTTCAATCTCAAGTGGTATTGAACAGCGCTGAGTCTAAGTTGTTCTTCTTTCTTGTTTGTTTATTTAAATAACTTGCTATCACCTTGAAAATTACTTTATATTCTACTTTCATGACAGATTAGAAATCTCTTTAATGTATTTATGACCCGGAAATTATCTAAAAATTAACTAAACTTTTTCATATACCGTCAGAAATGTAAGACAAGACAGCCTTTATGCCAAAACCAATATTGTGATTTTTGCAGAAAACACTAAATTATTCCATCAAGCAGATCAACATATGGAGAAGACTGGCAAAACATATAGCAACTGCCTTTTCCTGGAAGGTCCATCAGTTTGTAAAAAATCTGATATGCCTTTAGAATAATCAAGAGTTTCTGATATATGAGTTAACAATCAGATAAAATTGTACTTGGTTATGAACAGAAAAGCTGGTTCTCTTTCTCTATATATATGTTTTCTTGTTGTATCATCATTTTAACCTCCTTTCATATTCCATAAAACCATACATTTAACTATTGCAACTTTATAATGTATTTAATATCTGAGAGATGCATATCCCCTTCACCTTTTTTTTTCTTTTTGAGACGGAGCCTCTTTCTATCTCCCAGGCTGGAGTGCAGTGGTGCTATTTCTGCTCATTGCAATCTCCGCCTCCCGGGTTCAAGTGATTCTCCTGCCTCAGCCTCCTGAGTAACTGGAATTACAGGCATGCACCACCACGCCTGGTTAATTTTTGTATTTTTAATAGAGATGGGATTTCATTATTTACAAGTGACCTTGTTAATGTCCAGTATTGTTAAATAAATAGCTCTTCATTGCTAAATTAATAAATTGCTAGTGCTCTCTAACCTGTGGCATGCTCATATTTGAAGCCATTACTTTGTTTTCCGATTTCATTTTAATATGTCTGATGTGCTTTCCCAATGAAGTGTCATATAGACCTCTCACTATAGATTATTTTCTGCTTTTCTGATAGATGATTTTCCGTCTCTTTGAAGTTTATCCAAAGGTGCCTAAAGTGATTTTATAACCCACATAGTCTAAGTCATAAATCATATTATCTGAATTCCATAGCCCAAATTTTATGGATTTATGATCTGGTATTTGGATAGTCTATAAAATGATTGACTATTTTTTAGTGTTCCTTATGAGAACAGCCTACATGTATATACAAAATAACAGACAAACCAAGTGACAAAAACATGGAGACATGTATTGTGCAATGTACAAAGGCTCAGGAGTTAGATAATTTCAAATATCTGACTTTGAGTGTTTTCTCAACAATGGGAAGATTTCACTGAGCTTCAACATCTAGCTCAGTAACTGTGTGAATGCTAACACATGTAACAAACCTGCACGTTGTACACATGTACTCTAAAACTTAAAGTATAATAAAAATAATAAATAAATTTATTTATTTATTTATCAAGTAAAACTTTTTAAGTAGGTAGAGAATATATTTCTTTTTTTTTTCCAATGTAACACGGCACGTTGGTTCAATGATGACTAAATGAAATATTCCAAGTATGTGGGAGTAGAGAGAGAATGCTTATTAAAATGACAAGATCTAAAATGAAATACTCAAGTTAAAATGAAAGAATGACATTTTAAATGAAAAGCAATTTTAATTAAGCTACCAAATACTTAAACTAATCTAAATCAGCATAGTATCTTATGTGTTTTACTGTACATATTATACAGAGAAGCATGCTAAGTTCTTATATACGCTGCCCTATTTATATTTTTCCACAAATATATACATATATATTTACATATATACTAAAGAAATACATAAACTCTATTAAAGAAATGCATTTTATTCAAACTTTGTTGAAGAAATATATATTATTGAACATATTTTTACATTTCTGTAAAATAAGTTGGAGTATGTGTAAAAATTTCTTATATGCAAAACTTTAAAAATTAATTTAAGGTTTTATAATCATGATTATAAATAGATTAAATAAAAAAGAAAATGTTAAAACAAATATAACAAAAAAGCGTATCAAAAATGCCAATAAATTATGACAATTTACAGAAAAATAACAATTTTCTTGACAAACACAGATACAAAAATCTGACAAAAAATAGAAAACCTGAATTTTTCTATACCTTACAACCTACTCAGAAATGACCTCATTCATCAATTCTTCCAAATATTTAAATAAAACATAATATACAATTTACATAAACCCTTTCAGAATATACAGAAAGAGCAAACATTTTCCAAAGCATTTATGGCCCTAGGACTTTAAGAACCAAATCTAAAAAAAACTTTCAAATGAAGAAAATTACAGACCAATGTTTGTAAGGAAAATCCATGCAAAAATCCTGAATAATATTAACAAATAAAATAGAGCTATAAATTAAACTGTTATTTATGAAGATATTTGAATATTTAACAATGAAGGTTTCCACATTATCTGAATAAGATAAAAAAGATCATCTCAATAAATGATAAACCACAATTGATAACATTTAAAAACCAATCATCATAAATAAACACAAGTAATTAAGAGTAAAAAGAAATTTCCTCAGGTTGAGGTGCTTTCAAAACTATTTTAAGCTAATATGCTACTGAATGATAGACTATTGAACACTTTGTATCCTAAGTTGAAAAATATCAACAATCAAATATTAGCAGTATTCTCAACGTTTGTTATAGCTTGTAGCAAGCGCAGAAACATAAAACACTGATAAATTTTTACAGGGAAGAGATAAATTGTCGTTTGTGTATAGATGACTGTATAAGAAAATTAAAGAAATCTACAGGTACTTATTAAAAATTGTTAAATTTTGTAACATCAAAGAATAGGTCAACATACAACATCAATTGTACTTATATATGTTATTGAAAATTTGACTATACGAATTTAAAAAAATTATAACAGCATTAAAGTCAAATATTGAAGAATAAATTTTTGGAAAAATATGCAAGACCTCTAGGATCAAAACATTGATTTCTCCTTACATTTAATTGTATTTTTCTGTTTCTTTGTATGCTGGTAATTTTTTTCTTCAATGTTAGACATTGTGATTTTAGTTTATTGGTTGCTGGACAGCATTTTTATGCTTTAAAAAAATTCCTAAGATTTTTTTTCTGTGAAATAGTTGAGTTTCTTGGGAAAAGTTTGATGCTTTTGAGGCTTCTTTTTATGCTTTATTAGGTAAGACAGCAGAAGCCTTTGAGTCTAAGACTACTTTTCACCCACTACTCAGACAATGCCCTTCTGAGTACTCTAACTCATGTCTTATATATTATCATGCTGTTTCACTGGTAGGAGCAAATCTATTACCAGTCCTGGCGAATTCTTAAGGATTTTTCCACCCATTCCTGTCTAGTGGCTCTTTCCCTACCTCTGGTAGTATTTTTATGTAAATTCACTAATCAGTACTTAGCTAAAGTCTCAAGAGTAATCTTTGTGAGGTGCTTTCCCTATGTGTGCAACTTTCTCTTCTCTGTGCTAATATCTCATTTTCAGTATTTTGTCCCATAAATTATAGCTTCTATTGAAAGAAGCAAGCAATATTATAGCACAAACGTTTCTGAAGGAAGGACATTTTTGGTATTATATATTGAGTCTTTAAACATGTTTAGAGCCTTCTTAATGAGCATATTTTGAGAAATGTAACTTTAGGAAATAAAACTGTGCATGAAGACTTATGAATAAGAAAGTATATTAAAGTTCTATTTATAAAAATAAAAATTAAAGGTATCTGATGTTTCCCAAAATAAAAAACTATAAAGCAGAGTACCTCCTTTTATCCAAATAGAAGTCTACAATTAAAGCCATGTTTTGAATGCTGTTTAATTCTATTGGAAAATGTGCTGGTATAGTATTAAATAAAGAAAAAATACAGTTTCCTGGGAATATGAAGGTTTAGATAGTCTGTTAGCCTTTTTTAAAAAAAATTACTGAATACTTAAATATAAAATGTGCTTTCAAAAATCCATTGAGTCTCAAAAAGATTTCTGTGGTTAAGAATGGGGGATAAAAAAGAACAAAAAGTATATCAAGTGTTAAATCTATTAATAATATAGAAAATATAAAATAGTATAAGCTTAGCCCTGGAGTCTGCTACACACACAGGGTTATTTCAAAAACAAATCTATGAAGAAACAGACAACAAAAACAGTATCTTGAAACTAGGTAGTTGCTTTAAGAATGCACCTGGTACTCAGTCTGATGGTATACTTGTAATCTCTGCTACTGCAGAGGCTAAGGCAGGAGGGTTACCTTAGGGCAGGAGTTCAAAGCTGCATTGCTCTATGCTCTATGATCATGACTGTGAATAGTCATTGCATGCCAGCCTGGACAACATAGCAAGACACCATCTCCAAAATAATAATAATAATAATAAAATATAGTGCATCCAGAGACCTGGAGAATTCGTGAACACTGAACAGTCTTAATGAAGGTTTCTGAGTCTGCCATTATTGTGCTTCACTATAAATGAAGCAATATATTAAAAATGGACCTTGAGCTATTATGTTCTAGATTCCTGGCAGAAGTAATTGCTGCCTCCTCCACAGCTGCTCTGCACTCAATAAGCCTGTCTGCATGCAAAATATGGAGTGCAGCTGTTGCCAACACCTCATTTTTTGGAACCCACTTATCCAATTGCATTGCCACCAAAATTTGTCATTTGCCCTTCTACTGTGTTTTACAACTTCATTTGAATTGCAGATCAAAAATCCGATCTAGAAACTGAGCTTCAAGAGAAACTGGAAACACATTTTGTAAAAAATATTTTTTATTTTTCCAATCTCTCAAAATGGCACAAAGATTAAATGGTGGTTGAATGATCCAATACAAGGGTTGTGTGTTTTTTACATCTTCTTTTGTAATCTATGTATTCTCATTAGCCTAAAATTATTTATATTGCTCACATGTTATCTTTTAAAATGTTTGCTATACGTGAAACAGATACAAAATATTTAAGTATGTGTAATTACCAACTATTAGAATTAAATATTCATGTTCTCACCACTCAGTTTAATGATTGAATTTTGCAGTCTCTTTAATATCCCTTGTTCTCTTAGCAGCTGCAGCACTTTCTGTCCTTGTTGAACTTCCTGTCTCCCACAAAACTACAAACTTGATGTTGTGTTTGTCATTTTATTGGTTTTTCATTAGTTTTACAACAAATTTATTTAGTTAAAATACAGATTTTTATGTGTTTAATATTGAATCTTTTAATAAATGGCAACTTTGTATTCCATTCAATTTTTAGAATCTTGGAATACATTCATGTGAGTGCATGCAGTTGCAATTCACCAATTTTTTTATTGTTATATATGTTTTTGTTATAAGAATAAAAAACACCATTTCATATGTATTAACCTATTATTGGACAATAGCTGCTCCCAGCACACAAGATTATGCTATCAGAACATTGCTGTTAAGAGTTTTCACAGATGCAATAATCTCTAAAATATTTTTTAAGATTTATGTTGTGATCAATTTGTGGATTATTAAGTCAGTTTAATGGTCATAAGAATCATTTAAAAGAATAACACAGAAGAGAGGAAATGAAGCATAATAAGAAAATATGAGGATTCCTGGGCAAGATGGCTGAATAGGAACAGCTCCAGTCTGCAGATCCCAGCGGGACCAAAGCAGAAGGTGGGTGATTTCTGCATTTCCAACTGAGGTACCGGGCTCATCTCATTGAGACTGGTTAGATAGTGGGTGCAGTCCACGGAGGGTGATCCGAAGCAGAGTGGGGCGTTACCTCACCAGGGAAGCACAAAGGATAGGGGGACTCCCTCCCTTAATCAAGGAAAGACATGAGGGACCTGCTGTGAGGGACAGTGCTGTCCAACCCAGATACTATGCTTTTCCCATGGTCTTCTCACCCACAGACCAGGAGGTTCCCTCGAGTGCCTACACCACATGCAGTAAACTGGGCGGCCCTTTGGGCAGACACCCAGCTACCTGAGGGACTTTTTTTTGTACCCCAGTAGTGCCTGGAATGCCAGGGTGACAGAACTGTTCACTCCCCTGGAAAGGGGGCTGAAGCCAGGCAGCTAAGTGGTCTTGCTCAGTGGATCCCACCCCCACAGAGTCCAGCAAACTAAGATCCACTGGCTTGAAATTCTTGCTGCCAGCACAGCAATCTGAAGTCGACCTGGGATGCTGGAGCTTGGTGGGGGGAGGGGCATTCACCATTACTTAGGCTTGAGTAGGTGGTTTTCCCCTCACAGTGTAAACAAGGACACCGGGAAGTTCAAACTAGTTGGAGCCCACCGCAGCTCTGCAAAGCTGCTGTAGCCAGACTCCTCTCTAGATTCCTCCTCTCTGGGCATGGCATCTCTGAAAGAAAGGCAGCAGCCCCAGTCAGGAGCTTATAGATAAAACCCCCACCTCCCTGGGACAGAGCACCTGGGGGAAAGAGTGGCTGTGGGTGCAGCTTCAGCAGACTTCAGCATTCTTGACTGATGACTCTGAAGAGAGCAGCGGATCACCCAGCACCGTGCTTGAGCTCTGCTAAGGGACAGACTGCCTCCTCAAGTGGGTCTCTGACCACCATGCCTTCTGACGGGAAGACACTGCCCAGCAGGGGTCGACAGACACCTCATACAGCAGAGAGCTTCTTCTGGCATCTGGCGGGTGCCCCTCTGGGACAAAGTTTCCAAAGGAAGGATCAGGCAGCAATCTTTGCTGTTTTGCAGCCTCGGCTGGTGATACTCAGGAAAACAGGGTCTGGAATGGACCCCAGCAAATTCCAGAAGACCTGCAGAAGAGGGGCCTGACTGTTAGAAGGAAAACTAACAAACAGAAAGCAGTAGCATTAACATCAACAAAAAAGACGACAATGCAAAAACTTCATCCTGAAGTCACCAACAGCAAAGACCAAAAAGAGATAAATCCATGAAGATGAGGAACAACCAGCACAAAAAGACTGAAAATTCCCAAAACCAGAATGCCTCTTTTCCAAAGGATCACAACTCCTCTCCAGCAAGGGAACAAAACTGGATGGAGAATGAGTTTGACCAATTGACAGAAGTAGGCTTCAGAATGTGGGTAATAACAAACTCCTCCGAGCTAAAGGAACATGTTCTAACTCAATGCAAGGAAGTTAAGAACCTTGATAAAAGGTTAGAGCAATTGCTAACTGGAATAACCAGTTTAGAGAAGAACATAGATGATCTGATGGAGCTGAAAAACAAAGCATGAGAACTTCATGAAGCATACACAAGTATCAATAGCCGAATCAATCATGCAGAAGAAAGGATATTAGAGATTGAAGATCAAATTAATGAAATAAAATGTGAAGACAAGATTAGAGAAAAAAGAACGAAAAGGAACGAACAAAGCCTCCAAGAAATATGGGACTATGTGAAAAGACCAAACCTATGTTTGATTGGTGTACATGAAAGTGACAGAGAGAATGAAACCAAGTTGGAAAACACATTTCAGGATATTATCCAGAACTTCACCAACCTAGCAAGCAGGCTAACATTCAAATTCAGGAAATACAGAGAACACCACAAAGATACTCCTCGAGAAGAGCAACCCCTAGACACATAATCATCAGATTCACCAAGGTTGAAATGAAGGAAAAAATGTTAATGTCAGCCAGAGAGAAAGGCCAGGTCACCTACAAAGGGAAGCCCATCAGAATAACAGTGGATTTCTCTGCAGAAACCCTACAAACCAGAAGAGAATGAGGGCCAATATTCAACCTTCTTAAAGAAAAGAATTTTCAACCCAGAATTTCATATCCAGCCAAACTAAACTTCATAAGCAAAGGAGAAATAATTTTTTTTAACAGAAAAGCAAATGCTGAGAGATTTTGTCACCACCAGGCCTGACTTACAAGAGTTCCTGAAGGAAGCACTAAATATGGAAAGGAAAAACCCATACCAGCCACTGCAAAAACAAACCCAAATGTAAAGACCATCGATGCTATGAAAATACTGCAACAACTACTGGGCAAAAAACCAGCTAGCATCATAACGATAGGATCAAATTCACGCATAACAATATTAACCTTATATATAAATGGGCTAAATGCCCCAATTATAAGGCACAGAGTGGCAAATTGGATAAAAAGTCAGAACCCTTTGGTGTGCTGTATTCAGGAGACCCATCTCACATGCAAAGACACACATAGGCTCAAAATAAATGGATGGAAGAAGATTTACCAAGCAAATGGAAAGGAAAAAAAAAAAAGCAGGGGTTGCAATTCTAGTCTCTGGACCTGGCCACGTGAAACCCCGTCTCTACTGAAAATACAAAAATTAGCTGGGCATGGTGGAGCATTCCTGTAATCCCAGCTACTTGGGAGGCTGAGGCAGGAGAACTGCTTGAACCAGGACGCTGGAGGTCTAGGTTGCAGTGAGCCCAGATCGCTCCACTGCACTCCAGCCTGGGATACTGAGCGATGCTCTGTCTACAAACAAACAAACAAACAGACTTTAAGCCAACAAAGATTAAAAAGACAAAGATGGGCATTACATAATGGCAAAGGGATTAATGCAACAAGAAGAGCTAACTATCCTAAATATATATGCACCCAGTACAGGAGCACCCAGATTCATAAAGCAAGTTCTTAGAGACCTACAAAGAGACTTAAACTCCCACACAATAATAATGGGAAACTTTAACACCCCACTGTCAATATTAGACAGATCAATGAGCAGAAAATTAACAAGAATATTCAGGACTTTAACTTAGCTCTGGGCAAAGTGGACATCATAGACATCTACAAAACTCTCCAGCCCAAATCAACAGAATATACATTCTTCTCAGTGCCACATAGCACTTATTCTAAAATCGACCACATAATTGGAAGTAAAACACCCTCAGCAAATGCAAAAGAATGGTAATCATAACAACCAGTCTCTCAGACAAAATAAATAGACCGCTAGCCAGACTAACAAAAAAGAAAAGAGAGAAGAATCAAATAGACGCAATAAATAATGATAAAGGGGAGATCACCACTGACCCCACAGAAATACAAACTACTATCAGAGGATATTATAAACACCTCTACATAAATAAACTAGAAAATCTAGAAGAAATGTATAAATTCCTGGACACAGACACCTTCTCAAGATTAAGCCAGGAAAAAGTCAAATCCCTGAATACATCAATAACAAGTTCTGAAATTGAGGCAGTAATGAATAGTCTACCAATACAAAAAAAAAAAAAAGCCCAGAACCAGACGGATTAACAGCCAAATTCTACCAAAGTTACAAAGAGGAGCTGATATCATTCCTTCTGAAACTAATCCAAACAGAAAAAGAGGGACTCCTCCCTAACTCATTTTATGAGGCCAGCATCATCCTGATACGAAAACCTTGCAGAGACACAACAAAAACAAAAATTTCAGGCCAATATCCCTGAAAAACATCACGCAAAAATTTTCAATAAAATACTGGCAAGCCGAATCCAGCAGCACATCAAAAAGCTTATCCACCATGATCGAGTCGGCTTCATCCCTGGGATGCAAGACTGGTTCAACATACGCAAATCAATAAATGTAATCCATCACATAAACAGGACCAATGACAAAAACCACATGATGACCTCAATCAATGCAGAAAAGGCCTTCGATACAATTCAACACCTCTTCATGCTAAAAACCCTCAATAAACTAGGTATTGATGAAATGTACCTCAAAATAATAAGAGCTATTTATGACAAACCTACAGCCAATATCATACTGAATGGGCAAAAACTGGAAGCATTCCTTTTGAAAACCAGCACAAGACAAGGATGCCCTCTCTCACCACTGCTATTCAACATAGTATTGGAAGTTCTGGCCAGAGCAATCAGGCAAGAGAAAGAAATAAAGAGTATTCAAATAGGAAGAGGGAAGTCAGATTGTCTCTGTTTGCAGATGACATGATTGTATATTTAGAATAACCCATCATCTCAGCCCCAAATCTCCTTAAGCTGATAAGCAACTTCAGCAAATTTCAGGATACAAAATCAATGTGTAAAAATCACAAGCATTCCTATACACCAATAATAAACAGAGAGCCAAATCATGAGTGAACTCTCATTCACAATGGCTACTAAGAGAATAAAATACCTACGAATACAATTTGCAAGGAAAGTGAAGGACATCTTTAAGAACTACAAAACACTGCTCAAGGAAATAAGAGAGGATGTAAACAAATGGAAAAACAGTCTATGCTCATGGACATGAAGAACCAATATCATGAAAATGCCCATACTGCCCAAAGTAACTTATAGATTCAATGCTATCCCCATCAAGCTACCAATGACTTTCTTCACAGAATTAGAAAAATCTACTTTAAATTTCATATGGAACCAAAAAAGAGCCCGTATATCCAAGACAATCCTAAGCAAAAAGAACAAAGCTGGATGCATCATGCCACCTGACTTCAAACTATACTACAAGGCTACAGTAACCAAAACATCATGGTACTGGTACCAAAACGGATATATAGACCAATGGAACAGAGCAGAGGCCTCAGAAACAACACCTCACATCTACAACCATATGATCTTTGACAAACCTGACAAAAACAAGCAATTGAGAAAGGATTCCCTACTTAATAAATGATGTTGGGAAAACAGGCTAGCAATATGCAGAAAACTGAAACTGGACCCCTTCTTTTTACCTTATACAAAAATTAATTCAAAGTAGATTAAAGACTTAAATGTAAAACCCAAAACCATAAAAACCCTAGAAGAAAACTTAGGCAATACCATTCAGGACATAGGCATGGGCAAAGACTTCTTGACCAAAGCTCCACAAGCAATGACAACAAAAGCCAAAATTGACAAATGGGATCTAATTAAACTGAAGAGCTTCTGCGCAGCAAAGGAAACTATCATCAGAGGGAACAGGCAACCTACAAAATGGGACAAAAATTTTGCAATCTATCCATCTGACAAAGGGCTAATATCCAGAATCTACAAGGAACTTAAACAAATTTACAAGAAAAAACAACCCCATCAAAAAGTGATTGAAGGATATGAATAGATACTTCTCAAAAGAAGACATTTATGTGGCCAACAAACGTATGAAAAAAAAACCCTCAACATCACTGATCATTAGAGAAATGCAAATCAAAACCACAATGCGATATCATCTCACGCCAGTTAGAATGGCAATCATTAAAATGTCAGGAAACTACAGATGCTGGAGAGGATGTGGAGAAATAGGAACGCTTTTACACTGTTGGTGGGAGTGTAAATTAGTTCAACCATTGTGGAAGACAATGTGGCTATTCCTCAAGGATCTGGAACTAGAAATACCATTTGACCCAGCAATCCCATTACTGGGTATACACCCAGAGGATTATAAATCATTCTATTATAAAGACACATGAACTCGTATGTTTATTGCAGCACTATTCACAATAACAAAGATTTGGAACCAACCCAAATGTGCGTCAGTGGTAGACCGGATAAAGAAAATGTGGCACACAGAATACGATGCAGCGTTAAAAAAAAAAATGAGTTTATGTCCTTTGCAGGGACATGGATGAAGCTGGAAACCATCATTTTCATCAAAGTAACACACAGGAACAGAAAATCAAACACCATATGTTCTCACTCACAAGTGAGAGTTTAACAATGAGAACATATGGGCACAGGGAGGGTAACATCACATATTGGGGCCTGTCGGGGGTGGGGGGCTGGGTGAGGGATAATATCAGGAGAAATACCTAATGTAGATGATGGGTTGATGGGTGCAGCAAACCACCATGGCACATGTATACCTATGTAGCAAACCTGCACGTTCTGTACATGTATCTCAGAACTTAAATATAATAAAAAAAGAAATCAAAAAAGAAAATATGAGAATGTAACTTCAGTTGTAATGTTTACTCTCTTTTAATTAAACTCTATTTTAATCACGTGTATGGATGCATGTATGTGTTGTGTGTGTGTATGTGTGTGTGTGTCATCTGAGACATATATTTATTTATTTCTTTGAGTCAATAGTCCGACAATTTAATTATCACTGATAAGGTCTAAGAGTAGCTTGGCTGGATTGTAAGTTTGCAGCATCTTCAACTGTACTATATTTTGTAATATGTGTACAAATTTGCTATATCATTAAAAAAGAAGAATTATGATTATTCATTTTTTCCCAATCACTTACTATTGACGAGCTTTTATTGCTACACTGATAAGTCTAAGTATTACTTCATTGTGGTTTCAATTTGTGTCACATTCTTTATTAAGGAGGCAGAGCCTATATTTAAGTTTATCTGCCACTTATGTTTTCTTTCTTGTAAAATGCACTTTATGTATTTAGACATATATGTTGGATTGTTTTACATTTTCTCTTTGTTTTTCATTTGTAGGAGTTCTTCAAGTACTTATGATACTATTAATAGCTTCTAATCAATTATATATTTTGTACATAAATTTCCCAATATCTTATTTCTCTTTCACTTTCTTCATAATGTCATAAGATGAACATATACAACTAGTTAAATATATTAAATATAGTTGAATTCAACAGAAATTCCCTATGGTCAGTGAAATTTTCATATTTTTAAAGAAATACTGTAATGATAAAATATTTTTTTAAATATATTTTTTCTATCTTTCTACATGCTTAATCTTTTTCCCCCTTACATTTAATTTTCAATTCATCCTGGATTTATTTTCATATATGGTACAATTTAAGCCTAATATTTTCCCATTTTTTCCAATTACTTAGTGGTAGTTAAATGAAAAATTTCTCTTTATTCAGGTTGCAATTCATGCTCTGCAGTAATGATTTTTCTTATACGGATCTGTTTAGTAGTTTAATATGTACTTCTTGCATTTGTCTATCTATCTCTTTCTTTGTCACTCTCTTAATCACTTTAGCTATATGTAAACTTCTAATATCTGTTATAAGTACTTAACCTGATGGAAATTTTAGTTCACTTTAGTTTTATTTTTTCTTCTTATTTATTTTCTTTTAAATTATTTTGTACTTAAAGTGCATGGCTTCTATGGTATCTATTTATATAAAGTATTTGATTTTGCTTTATGGCAAAGTGTGTGAAATATTTTACAATATATTTTTACCATTTTATTTTATGTGTCACAACAGAAGAATAGGTATCCTAAAATGGTTTGTTTTATAATTCTTATAAGTTTTGGATAAATGATAAAGAAACTTCCTTTAAATGCTAACTCGCTATATTCTGGCACTTCACTTAAAGGAATTAATCTTTGGGGTGTTTTTTTGTTTATTTGCTTTTCATGTCTTCATACAAAACTTCAATGAATAAAGGTTATAATCTCATTAGTTTCCTTTATTATTTAAGTTAGCTCATGCACGTCTGATGCCCAGTCTCCTATATTAGCAGAAGTGGTCATGATTTTGATTAACAACAATCTCACAGTCTGCATTCTGTTTCACCCAGCACCAAGTTCTCTTAGCTTTGGGAGTTATTCTGTACTGACTACATAGTCACTGCATATGATGATGAGTTGTGAAACATCTTCAGAAGCAGTCAGCACTGGGGTTGACTTCAGCTGTCACCTCAGGTGTATGCATCTAGCCAAGCATGCAACCCCTTTGCAGTATGATACTAGATCTCATTTTCCAGTGCATCTCAGTAATACAAGTTCATCATCCCCGAATCTCCAGGAGACATAGGTGTTTGGTCTAATATACAAATCTTGGCCAGATTATTAATGATGTTGGATTTAGTATAAATAAATTTCTAATAATTTCTTGGGTTACTGTTTCAAAGAGGATCTATACCTTAGATTTCATTTTTGTGGTTGCAAGACAGCTGGACCAACAGTTAACCATTTTCTCCCCACATTCAATTTTTAACCAGTGTTTGTTAAAACCCACAAGTGAGAAGACCTAAATCTAAATTTCCTATATTAAGTCAAGAATCCAGAAGACAACTCAGTCGATTAGGACAACTTGTTTCCTGTTTATGTTTCAAACCTATTTGGACTAAAGATTTTGCAGTTTAGACCATTAGAATGCTTACAGATAAGATTCAACAAATTAACAGAAAACCAAGTCACTCTGAAAGAGAGTCAGAAAAAAATACAGAGAATATTTAGATTAAGGATTTTATATATTTGAGGTTTGAATTAATAATATGAAATAAGTATGATTAATATATGTTAAAAGAAGAAATGTAACTAAAGGAGTATAATAGATCATTAAAAATAAGAATGATTTGAATACCAACATAATACATTTAGAAATGAATAATATAGACAAGAAAAGTAAAACTATAATTGGTGGGTTTAAAATAAGAGTACACCAGCTGATGAGAGAATCACACATTATATATAATGCACCATAGAGAGATAAAGAGGTAGAATACACTAAAGAGAGGTCAAAAGACAGGGAGGGGAGAAGAGAAGGTCCAGAATACATCAAACGAATGTGAAAATCAAAATCTAAAGCTTTTATAAAAATAGGGGTATCTTTATGACCATAGGGTTAGAGAAGTTTTTCTTAAGACACAAAAAGCTAACTGTAAAAAATTCTCTTCTTCAAAGGACATCAAAAAGAAAATGAAAAGACAAACCACATAATGAGAAAAATTATTTGAAATAGATGTATTTCTATGGTATTATATCTTGAGAATTTAATAAACTGCAAAAAGTAATGAATTGAAAACATAACTTGAAAATTTGACAGTCATTTTAACAAGTATTTCACAAAATACAAAATAAGTAAGAAATTAAAACAGTCAAATTATTTAATCTTATTAATAGTCAGGATGATACACACCAAAACTACAGTAAGATACCAATTTAAGTCTATTAAATTGGCAAATCAGTAAATCTACACAATGCCACAACTAGGCAAATATATGATAAATGAGTATTTTTAATACACTTGGCAATTGGAATTAGTATAATCAATTCTAAAAACAATTTAACTTGATTGCTTAAAGTAGAAAATGCAGATATTCCTAACTAATTGCATTTTTAATGAATGAACTATTAAAGAAAAAATTATTCAATGGTATTTATTAAAGCATTTCATTCAAAGCTATTGCAATAATCATAGGGGCCACTGCAATGGGGTCTTGCAGTGGGGGATAGAGATTGGGCTGAACTTCAAATATAGCATGAGCAAGTGGAAATTTATACCCAAGGAGTAGGATGGAGGTCACTGGATGCAAAGGTAAGGGGCATTCTAGACGAACAGACTTAACAGATTCTTTCTGAATATATGCCACTGTGAGCCAATAACACCTATGAAGCAGTGGCAGATGAAGAATTGGATCAGATATTGAAGGTCATCAGATACGGAGCATTGTAGATTTGTGCTAAACTGACTGAGCTGGATTCTTTGCTAAAACTGGATTTATAAGAAGGTGCACAGAGAGGCCTAAGAGAAGGTTCAGGAACTCAACTAAAGTCCTGCCAAGTAAAAGTACTTTGTCAGTAAGGTAGGAAAACGCTTGTAAATGTACATTAAAAAGACTTTCTAAAGAATGCACCTGGCCATCTTGCTTATAGCAGCAAAATACCAAAGAGAAAACAAAACAAAACAAAACAACAGCAAAAAAGGAAAATAAAAATAACAGCAAACCAAAAGTTTATCAGCACAATTAATTAATAGGGAATTAAAGGTTTGCAGAATCCCTTGAAAGATGGGTAAGCCAAGGGCAGAGAATATTATTTTAAAAATTATGCTGTAGTCATAAAATGGGATGTTTTGCAACACTAAATAATAATGTCCACATATATGTAAAATACCATAGATAAATAATAGGCATATGGTGTTGGTGAAAAAGCAAGTCACATAGGACAATTTTGAGTTTAATATCCTTTTCTGAAGCTCAAAACAACAACAGCAACAAATGTATTTGGGAATTCATACATGCATTGTCCTTGAGGTTCAGACAAGAACACAGATATTTTCCTATGTATAGGAGGCAGAAACAGTAGTTAATAGGGAATTCAAGGCTTACAGAATCCCTTGAAGAATGGGGAAGCCAAAGGTGGAGAACATTGTACTGACTTCTAAATATCAGTATGCTGCAGAAATATCAGAAAATAACCTCATAATCTCATTGGCTAGTAGTAGCATCAAATAGATGATGTGCATGAAGATGCCTACATGCTGATCAAAATCATTCTGTTCTCTTTGGAGGCTGATGGTATTTCCTTCTCTTCTGCCTTCCAAATATTACATGCTTCTTAATATGGAAATCTAACCCAAAATGCTGTTGGCAGTTGTGTCGAAGAAATATAGCTCTAGGCTTCACTCCTATGAGACAGGCAAAATATAAGAGAGAGTGAAGCTGATGCTGAGTTGAAAAGAGATAATCTGGCACAATAGTAAATATATTCTTTTAAAATTAAGGCAATGATAAATACAAAATTCAAGATATTTGTTACCCTTATATAACAAAGGGAGAATTGGTAAACCCCATATGTAATAGTCATGGGCACTGGTAATGTTCTGGTATTCAAGTTGGTTCACGGGAGTTTATTTTTATTCTTCAGAACTTTCACAATACATCTTATATCCATTTTAATGTGTGAAATGCTACATTATAAAATTTGAAAGATTGAAAGTATTTCATTTAAATATTCAAAATCTAAACTGTACCTCTCTGCTGTTAGTGCATAAATTTAACTTACTCCAGGGAAAAATTTTATACATAGAATCAGCACACATTTTAACAACACAAATGGTTCTGATGCATGATATATGAGTAAATTATGTGTTGTTTACAAAAATAGCCCATTTGAATGCAAAGATGCACAAACAAGTCACATCATTTTTCTACTTTCTTAAAACATTAAGAATTATGTTTTCTTTATCTGCACTTTTTTTCTGAACAACATTGATTGTTCTAGGAATAAAGAAAAATTGCTACTAGAGAAATTCCAGAAGAAAATAGTCATCGAATTCAATGCACAGGTTCAGGCACTAATTAACTTTTTTCATGATAATGTTATTTGTTAACAGTACAAATATTAGGTTTTCTTTTAGCCGAAGTAAAATGCCAACATATGGCCTTCAAACCACTAGTCATAGTAGGTTATTTTTTCCATGTTTTTATTTAAAAATGCTGGGTATTAAAACACATTATATTCCCCTAAACTAGATAATATATCTGTTTTATAAAATGCTAATTATAGAATACATATATATAAGAAAATCCAAAGAGATAAAACAAGGCTTATTTAAGCTCCTTGAAAACCAATTGAAAGAAAAAAATATAGTAAGGAATTATCTTAATAATTAAACATCTAGTTATATTAATAAAGATTATTATTTTAATAAACACAAAGGAGAAAAAAGCAAACATTACCATTTTGAGACAGTAACACACTAAAAGACAAATTGACATTGTTTTTTAATGGAAAGAAACTTTATTTCACACTCAAAACATCAGTCCTGATTCTCTCTACTTACATAAACTGTTAGGATTTTTTTGTGTGTTTGTGTACATGTGTAAGTATGATATACAATAAAGTATATCAATGTAATTTTAAAGAAATCCATATCAGGTCTTTATGCTAGAAAACGATGTTACCTAACAAAGGCTTCATTCTCTTTGAAAATACATGTAAAAGTATTTTTCCCATGCGTTTATTTATTTTTAATTTTTTAAATAACAAATTAAATTTTATATATTTATTGATAAAACATGTTATTTTGAACCATGTATACATTTGTGGAATGGCTTAACAGGGCAAATTAACACTGACAATGGCATTTAAAAAAATGACTTTTGCTAGCCAAGAAAACCTCAAACAATACTTTCTGTTTCAGATCTCTAAATTCAGTTCATACGTTTTAAAGGATGCTTACTGAATACATATAATTTATTTCCCTGGAAAAGGTAACACGCCATTTTCTCTGTCAAAAAAAAAGGGACAAATGTTACAGTGGAAAAGAAACAAGGGAATAAAAGAATTGGTAGAACCACAGCTACCGCACAGCTATTTTTCTCTTGATTTCTCATACGGAGTCCTTTTTATTTGCTGAACAAATAGCCAATTGTTGGTGAAGTGAGGAGAGCTGTTCAACTGTGCCAGCTACTACCACCTGCTGCAACTAATTAAGTGTGATTACAGTGAAGAGGTGGCAACATTATCATAAACACCTGAAATTCTTGGTTTGAAAGAATGCCCAGAATTCCAGGGCACTGAACCAACAAAGACAAATCATTCAACTGATAAAGAAGATCTCTGAAGTTATTTAGCCCAGTGTTTCTTTGGCTGCTTATAGCATCAGGTCAACAAGTGAATTAAATATATTTAATCTGCTATCAGATAATACAAATCAGCATGGAAGTCAAACCAACTGCTACAATACAGATGACTTGATTTATTTTTTTTATGAAAAGATTTGACTTTCCCTGAAAGATAAAACATATTACATTTGAAGTAGCAATTTTCCTACCAGAGTAATTTATTAACAGACAAAGCCTACAGACTTATTTCTTCTTGAATACACCCACGATATGACTATAGCAGCCAGTAGTTTCACTGTGCTGGCATTAGACATGAAGGCCCAAGAAATGGCTCAGCCCTCTACAGGCTGGAATCTTCTTTAGTTGCTCCAGGTCTTCATGCAGCTCATTGTCCAAACCAGTGGCCAGGATTTGGATATATTTTCCATCCTTTACATCCTCTATCTGTTCACAAACAAGTCTGGGATTTTGTGCTAGTGTAGATACTGCATAATGGTGATAACACGTTCCACCTCTTCCTCAGTGAATTCTCCTGTCCTCTTGGTGAGGTCAATGTCTGCTTTCCTCAACACCACATGAGCTTACCTTTGACCTACATCCTTAAAGATAGTGATGGCAGAGGCTGTTTTCCACCCCCCATTGATGTTGGTATTGAGTACTCGCAAAATATGCTGGAACTTCTCAGGGATGACTAGAGACATGATGGCAGCACTGGTGGTAGGCATGTAGGCCTCCTGTGGAAAAGCCCAAAGGAATTTACATTATAAAATTTTATCAAAATTTTAGTGCCTTACAAAACACTTGTAATGAGCAGAGATATCAGCAAATCTCAACCATTAAGAAGAAAATTGTTGATTCTCTGAATGTAAAGCCAAGTTCATTGAAACCAGCAACATCAATTACTTTGTCAACATTATTCCGTGTAAATTATTGAAACTAGGAATACTGTCCCCAAAGCAAAAACGGAGATACTACAGAAATGGCAATCACATTAGAAGTCTTTCAGGCCCTTTCCTTCTCTTTATGGAACTACAGTTTATAATTCTACCGGCTCAGTTTGGGATTGCCAATACAACCTAAAGAATATAAATTGATAAACATATAAGGGAATTAGGGAAAGTATCTGATGAATTCAGGCAAAACAAGAAAAACACTCCTAACTAAAACATTTTAGAAATTTGGAAGAAGGGGGAGGTGGAAGTTGCAGGGGGCTGAAATAGCCCACTGCACTCCAGCCTGGGTGACAGAACAAGACTCCATCTCAAAAAAAAAAAAAGTGGGAAGAAGGCGTTCTTTTAAACCTAAATCTCCCGAGTAATTGTCCTGCTTCTTTGTGGGCAATGACATATATTGAGAAGGTGTGCATGTTAAAGGAGAAACAGTTATGCTACGGGAGATACAAATGATTAGCATAAATATATGAAGATGATTTCAGGTAATTACTGCATTACATAGCCATTTAAGAAAGATTAAATTTATGAACATGTTACATAGTTAATCCTTGTGACTGTCAAAATAAGTTCTTGAAAGTAGTTTTAAAATGCAACAGACAACAGAAGATATCAGACAAAAATACCTAGGCTATATATTTAATGGGATATAGGATTCATTTGCAAGGAAGGAAAGAAGGAAAGCAGGAAATCAGAAAAGAAGACAGGAAAGGAGAGTGGATGGAGGGATGAAGAGGGAGAAAAGAAAGGGTGGAAGGTAGGGTTAAGATGTCTTTATTTGAATATTTGATCTATAATAAAACTAGGATACCTGCTACATTTCTGATGAAATGACTATAAGAATGAGGCCTACCTCCTAAAAGTATTGTTCATAAGGAATATATATATATATATATGTATATATATATATATATATATACATATATATATATATTTAGAAAACTACTGATGTATGTGGATTTCATGTACATTCTTTTTCTATGTGATTTTATGAGACATAATACTAAGGGATCAGGGAGAATAATTTAATAAGATATCTAATACAATTGAAGCTACACTTTTCAGATTCCCAGAAATGCGTATGAGTGGACAGGAAAATGGAATTTAAAAGACATGAAAAGATGGGATAAAACTTTGCTTTTTACTCAGACATCCCAAGAATTGAGTATACAAAAGCAGTTCTGCAGACAAATTTGCCTTTCAAAGGTTTGGTTATTTTTCATTAAGTAAATGTATTGGTTTTCCTATTAGAGTAATAAAGTAAAACAGTTATATGCATTTGAAAAGTGAAAAGAAATAAAAAGCAGCAAATGAGAAGAAACTATACACATGATACCTCAATCAATCAACCTCTCAACCCTTCAATCTCCTTCCCCTACCCTCTTTTCCCCACATGCATACACATATTCATTTGTGGAACTGGAATTATGTATAAAATTTGAATGAAATTTTTATTCTACATGTGCAAATTGACTTTGCAGTATAGTTTCCTAGGCTATATTTTTTTCCAAAATAAAACTTCATTTTGGTATTTTCCTAACTCTTTAGTATTTCATATTTGGTTGTGCCTCTGTTTACGTGTAGTTGGACACATATTTTTATGGAGTTTGAATTAAAAATAATACCTTCACCAAGGACTAGATTAACTGCTTGTTGGAACCCAGTAAGGGAGTAACAGTAGAGAGCATTTGCTGAAGGTTATACCTGGTAACTCTTTGGGAGATGTTTCCCCAGAACCCTCAGTGCTGGCAGTCCTTCAATATCTCATGGTACCCAGGAAGCAGAACAACTGCAAGTCTGGCACGAAGCCTTCCTTTCCCAGTGGGAAAAGCAAACCCTAGATATTTATTGGAAGGTCAGGGCCATTACAATAATTAAAGAATAAGTTTTTGTAGTGTTGGTTACAATGTTGTTACTTATACACAGGAGCACATGAGTAACAAAATCATAGCAGAAACACTTGATTACAAAAGCGTACTTTTACCACCCACTTCATATATATATATATATATATATATATATATATATATATATATATATATATATGCACGTATATGCATATATTTTCTGACTTGGTATGTTTTCTTTTTCTGTTGTTTGGGACAAAAACCCTTTTTTGGTTGTCCTCCTTAGGAATAAAGAAATTCTTCAAAATTATTTACAACTTTTCTCAGCACTTCAGGTTTTGAATTTCAACAGGAACTGAGATAAAAGGTTTTCTCCTAAATGATAGAAGGCTCTCATCTTTAATATCCCATAATCCAATCAGAAGAAAGGCAGCAGCCGCCAAGGGTATTTCTCCCTTTCTCAGAAATATTCCTTCAGATGGTTGGATTTCCAAAGTCTTTGGAAAACTCTTCATGGTACAGAAGGCTTATCCAGCCCATTGATGCCCGATGTGTGTACTTTAGAAAAAAGTATTGGAACTAAACCCTTTTAATCTGTATGCTTTTTAGTATGTATATTGTGCTTCAGCAAAAAGTCCTATTTAATAAAAATGGGCACCAAAGGTGCCAATTGACCCCACTCTGAATATGAACTGAAAGCCTGATGAAAGCTTGGCATTGCTGCCCCTTGGGTTGTCCTGCCTGGTACTCAAACCCAGATGAAGAAATACTGTGTTACCAGCATTCAGAAACTCAGAAGGCACCCATGTGGCCTGATGAAACTTTTTTTGGTGGGGGGACGGAGTTTCACTCTTTGTTGCCCAGGCTGGAGTGCAATGGGGTGATCTCGTCTCACCGCAACCTCTGCCTACCGGGTTCAAGCGATTCTCCTGCCTCAGCCTCCTGACTAGCTGGGATTATAGGCATGCACCACCAAGTCTGACTAATTTTGTATTTTTAGTAGTGATGGAGTTTCTCCATGTTGGTCAGGCTGTTCTGGAACTCCTGACCTCAGGTGATCCGCTTGTCCTGGCCTCCCAAAGTGCTGGGATTATAGGCATGAGCCACCACACCGGGCCCGGCCCAGCCTAATGAAACTTACCTAAGTAACTTCGGTTCTTTCTAAAGTATCCACTAACCTGACTTCAAGAGCATAGATTAATTTGCCTGTTCTCGAATTGTATAAATAGAATTACATAGTGGTGGATGTTGTGTCTGGCTTCTTTCACTCAGCATTACATCTGTGATATTTAACCTGCTGTTACATGTGGCAACCATTTGATCTTTCTTTTCTGTTGTACTGTCTTCCACTGCATGTATTTTCCACATTATATTTATCCATTCAACAGAGGATGAAGGTCTGTGTTTAGTGATATTATTTATGATTTGTATTAGGTTTCTAGGGCAGCCATAACAAAATACCAGATTGGGTGGCTTAAACAGCAGAAATTTATTTCTCACATTCTTGGGGCTGGAAGTCCAATATCAAGGTGCTTGCAGGTTTGGTTTCTCCTTTTTCAGAAAGAATCCTCCCTTCTTGGCTTGTAGACAGTCCCGTCTCTCGATGTCCTCATATGGCCTGTTCCCTGTGTGCATACATATCTGGTGTCATGCTCTCTTTTTATAAGGATGCTAGTCACATCAAATTAGGACTTCATCCTTACAACTTCATTTAACCTTAATTACCTCTGTGAAGATACTATTTCCTAGTACATGCAAATTACAGTTTACGGCTTTGACATATGTATTTTGATGGGACACAATTCAGTTCGTAACATCATCTCTCACAGTAGATTAATTTTTACTTTCTAGAATTTTATATAAATGACATCATAATATTTATTTTTCATCTAGCTTCTTTTACATTACATATTTATTTCGAAATTTGTTCATGTTGTACCACATGTCAATAATGTATTTATTTTTATGGATAAGCCGTATTCTATTGTATGGATATGTCACAGTTTATTTATACACCTGTTACTGGACATTTTGGTCATTTCTAGTTTCAGCTCTTATAAATAAAGCTCCTATGAATTTTAATGCACATTTTTAAAGAATATATGTTTTTAATTCTCTTGTGATAATATGTAAGAGTCAAAATGGCTGAGTTGAATAGTAAATGTATTTTAATATTTTAAGAAATCACCAAGATGTTTTCCTAAGTGATTCTATCATTTTGCATTCCTACTAGCAATATATGATTATTTCAGATTCCCCACATTCTTGCAAACAGTTGATATAGTCAGAATACTTAAATTTAGCCATTCCAATAAGTACATGGTACTTATCATGGCATCAATTTGAATTGTCTTAATGACTATTATGGTGAGCATTGATTTATATAAATATTTGCTATTAATATATGTTCTTTGGTAAATTAACTGCACAAAGCTGTTGTCCTTCTTAAAAATAATTGTTTGACAATCTTTACAAATTCCAGATACAAGTCCTATATTAGATATATGCCTTGCAAATTGTTTTCGTGCTCTGTGATTTTTTTTTTTTTAAGTTCTCTTTTAGGTTCTAATCTTGGTCAACTCTAAATTGTTCTTTCATACTCACAACACCACGTCTTGTGAGTCATACCTCAGAAATATTTGTCAAGCCCAAGGTCACAAATTACTTATAGAAGTTTTATAGTTTTAAGTGTTATATTAGGTCTGTGATGTATTTTGAGTTAATTTTTGTGTATATGTTAGCTATATATCAAAGTTCCTTTTTTACAAACTGATATCCAATCTTTCCAGCTCCATTTGTTGAAAAGTTTATACTTTCTCTACTTAGCTTCTTTTGCATGTTTGTCACAATTAGTTTTCATGTATCTATGTGTGTATTCCTGGACTCTGTTCTGCTCCATTTTCTATATGTCTGTTTTTATGCCAATTCTCCACCTTCATGGTTAATGTAGTTTTAGAATAGGTCTTTAAATTAGGTAGTGTTAAGTCTTCCAATTTTATCCTTTATTGAAGAATTTTTTAGCTAATTTAGATTCTTTGGATTTATACATACAAAAAAAAAAAACCCTAGAATTGGTGTCAATTTTTTTTTTTTTTTTTTTTTTTTTTTTTTTTGAGACGGAGTCTCGCTCTGTCGCCCAGGCTGGAGTGCAGTGGCGGGATCTCGGCTCACTGCAAGCTCCACCTCCCGGGTTCACGCCATTCTCCTGCCTCAGCCTCCCAAGTAGCTGGGACTACAGGCGCCCGCCACTACGCCCGGCTAATTTTTTGTATTTTTAGTAGAGACGGGGTTTCACCGTTTTAGCCGGGATGGTCTCGATCTCCTGACCTCGTGATCCGCCCGCCTCGGCCTCCCAAAGTGCTGGGATTACAGGCGTGAGCCACCGCGCCCGGCCTGGTGTCAATTTTTATAAAACCCTGCATAGATTGGAATTGGAATTTTGTTGAATCTATAGATCAATTTGAGGAGAATATAGACTATGTAGAATCTGCTGACCCATGAATGCTTTAAAGCACTCCATTAATTTATATTTTAATTTATTATAGCAACATTTTATTGTTTACAATGTACAGGGCTTGCATATTTTTTGTGCAATTTATCACTAAGTATTTCTTATTTTAAGGGTTATTGCAATGAAAAATTGCATAAAAGGAATTATTTATGAATTTTAATTTCTAATTGTTCATTACAAATATATAAATCAATGTTTTATTCAGTAAATTTCTTAAACTTGCTGATTACATTTTTGTCATAGTAATTAGATTTTCTACATAATGGATCATGTTTTCCTTGAATAAAAACATGTTTACTTCTTTCTTTCCAAACTGAATGACTTTTTTTCTTATCTTACTGCATTAGAAAGAGCCTTCAGTATAATGTAGATTCAACTTCCTCTCTTAACCTTGATTTTAGAAAGAAAGTAATCTAGCTTTCACAATTCAGTGTGATATTAGCTACAGCTTTTTATATATGGGAAAATTCTATTATATTATTAATTTTCTGAGAGTTTTCACCAGGAATTATTGTTGAATTCTATAAAATGTTTATTCTGCATCTATTGAGATGACTGTGTATATTTTATCCTTTTAAAGCTTATTAATATGGTAAATTACAGTATTGATTATACATTTTAAACTAACGTTTAATTTTAGCTAAAGCAATGTTGAGAATTGTTGCATGTTTAGAAATAAGGGTTATTAATCTGCAGAAAAATTTTCTTCTCATTTTTATGTCTAGTTTTTGTATTAGGATAATATTGCTTAATAGAGTTACAAAATTATTATTCCGTTTCCAACTTTCTAGGACAGTTTTGAATAGAATTTTCTTTCGAATTATTTGCAAAATTTACCAAAGAATCCATCTGAACCTTGATGGTTTTATTTTTTCATGAAGGTTTTTAAACTACATTTTCAAGACCTCTAAAAGATATAGAGGTAGGCATGTTTTCAATAACTTTGAGTGAGCTTTGGTAATTTGTGTCTTTTAAAGAATATGTTTTTCCTCTATGTTTCTAATATATTGACTTAGAATTTTGCAATATACACCCTTATTATTCTCTTACATCTAGAAAATATATGATGAGACTATTTCTCATCATCTATCATTCCTGAAACTGGCAAGTTTTACGTTCTCTTCTATCTGAATGAGTCAGACAGACAAGAGTATTATCAATTACACGGATATTTTCAAAGGCCCAGCTTTATTTTATGTGTTATTTTTATGTTTCCTATTATATTAATTTCCACTCTTATCTTTGTTTTTTCCTTTATTGTAATTATTTGCTGTTTAATTTGAAATTATTTCTCAGGTTTTTAAAACAGAACCTTTTTATTTATTTTAGATTGTTCTTCTTTTATAAGAATTTACTTCTATAAATTTCCCCATAAGTACTACTTTATCCATATCTTTATATACATTTCACAAATTTTTGTTCTGTTTTTATTTTGATTCAATTCAAAACATGTTCTAATTTCTTTATTTTTATAACAGATCTATTGATGTATAACTCACATACTATACAATTTACCTATGTACATTATGCAATTCAATTATTTTAAACAGGTTCACAGAGCTATGCGGCCATCACCATAATCAAGTTTCCAATATTTTTGTCACCTAATGATCCCCTCTTACAATAACCCCTTATTTAATAGTAGTCATTCTCCCTTCCGATCCAGCCTTGGGCAACCATGATGCTAAGTTATGATTTTGTAGATTTTTCTATTCTGGACATTACATACAGATTGAATTATACAATATGTGATATTAAGTGGTTGGCTTGTTTTCCTTAGCATTATGTTTTCAAGGTTCATCTAGGTTGAGTCATTTATTGCTGAATAATATTTTATTGTATGGTGTGGTAAGCAGAATAATTACCACTTAAGGAAGTCCATATCCTAATCCCAGAATTTGTTACTAGATGAATTTATATGGCAAAAATAACTGTGCAGATGTGATTAAGAATTTTGAGATGTGATTGAATTAAGGATCTAGGGGACATTGTCCTACAGTATCCAGGCGGGCCAAATGCGATAATAAGGGATCCTAAAAGATGGAATATGAAGGTGAGTTAGAGTCAGGAACAAGATGTGATGAAGGAAGCAGAGGTCAGAGTGATGCAAATACTCTTCTGAAGATACAGGATAAGCCCTCAAGTCAAGGAATAAAAGCAACCTCTAGAAGCTGGAAAGGGTAAAGGTACGTCTATTCCCCTAAAGCCTCCAGAGGAAACACAGCTCCGATAGTGCAGTTATTATAGTTCTTTGACACCCATTTCAGATGTCTAATCCACTAAATTGTAGTATTTTTACAGCATCTATAGAAAACTAATATATATAACACATTTCATTTGCTCTTTTTTCAGTTTTGGATATTTGGATTGGTTCTACTTTTGACTATTGTAAATAAAGCTTTTATTATCATTTGTTCATAGATTTTTATGTAAACATGTATTTTTGATTCCTTAAGGTATATATACATCTAGGAGTGGAGATTTTGGGTCATATGGTAACTCTAGGTTTAACTTTTTGGAGAATTGCCAGACTGTTTTTCAACAAGCTCCATCATTTTATGTTCCTACCAATAGCATAAAAGGGTTCATATTTCCCCACATGCTCACCAAAAATTGTTATTTATCTTTATAATTTCAGCCATTCTTGGGGCTGCAAATGGTATGTCATTGTGGTTTTGACTAGCAGTACCTGATGGTTAATCAAGCTGAGCATCTTATAATATGCTTAGAAGCCAATTTTACATCTTTTTGAAGAAACATCTATTAAGATTGTTGACCTGTTTTTAATTTGGATGTTTCTCTTTTTATTATTAAATTGTAAGTGGATACTCACTTACAATTTATATGTATTTTTAGATAAATGTACTTTACCAAATATATGATTTGCAAAAATGTTCTTTCACTCTGTGAATGTCCAGACTTTATCAATAAGAAGCTTGCAAAAATGGGAGGAATATCATATGTTCAAATGAAACAAGAATAACATAAATCTGTATGTATTTATGCTAAGGTGTTTAAAGAAATTGTTATAAAACTGGTGTAAAGTAAGAACAACTCAATTATAAAATAGAGAGTGCATCCTGTCCAGCAATTCTAGGGAAAATGGAGAGAATGCCATTGTTGGGTTAATTCTTTGTTCTTTTCTGTATCAGTTGTTATGGCTCTAAGCTATCCTGGCTACTCAAGTCTTCTAATTATGTTCACAGGAGGAAAGAAGCTAAAATGCTAATTTATGATGGTGTAAAACTTTTTCAAAAGTCTAACAGTAATAGTGTATGGAAAATGAAAATGAAATTTCCTTTGCTTAGTGTTAAAATTCTTGTTCATATGATCTGACGTTAAAGAATGAAAGCAAAACCTTTTGGCAGAAGGAATTAATCACCCATTTCTTTCTACATATTTCCTGTCAGATATCTTCCTATCATGTATATTATTAGAATTCTTAGGCATTTTATGAAAAATCTGCTATCATTTCATTATTCTGATGAGATGATTTTGGGCTAATACATTTAATTCATAAACACTCTAGACTTCCACGCTTGGCACTTCCAGGACAACTTAGAGCCCTGAATTCATTGGAGCTGAATAAAATAGGGAAATATTTTTGAAGGCATCTGTATTAGTTTGTTCTCACACTGCTATAAATAACTGCCTGATATTGGGTAATTCAAAAAAAGAAGAGGTTTAATTGACTCACAGTTCTGTATGGCTGGGGAGGCCTCAGAAAACTTAAAATCATGGCAGAAGGGGCAGCAAAAACATCCTTCTTCACATGGTGGCAGGAGAGAGAAGAGTCAAGCAACAGGGGAAAAGCCCCCAGTAAAACCATCAGATCTTGTGAGAACTTACTATCACAAGAACAGCATGCATGTAACAGCCCCCATGATTCAATTACCTCCCAACAGGTCCCTCCCATGACACATGGGGATTGTGGGAACTGCAATTCAGGTGAGATTTTGCTTTGCATTTTTGGTGCCTTGGCATGTTGTAATCAGGGTTTTAGCTGGAACTGAGATAATCCGCTTGGCATATTGCACAACAATATGCACAGACAAACCATATCGTTCTGCCCCAGTCTCTCCAAAATCTTATGTCCTCACATTTCAAAACACAATCATGCCTTTCCTACAGTCCCTCCAATGTCTTAACTAATTCCAGCATTAACTAAAAAGTCCAAGTCCAAAGTCTCGTCTGAGACAAGGCAAGAAGCAAAGAATCTGGGCTTGGATGCAGCCAAGACTTAAAGCATCAAGATTCTAGAAAATAGAAGGTACAGAGATTTAAGGCCAATTCTGTGCACTACTTTTCTTTACAAGCATTTTTTATTACTAAGCTGTTAATGATGAGAGAACAACAGAAAGTGACAGAAAACCTGAGAGGAGAATTTGCCATTCTTGTAGTGTGGTAGAAAAAAATGGTCAAGTAGAGAATGGACCCTTGTAAAATTCACAGGTGCTCAATGGGACCCCTCAAGATATATACCCTAAAATCAGGCTGAAAGCAAAGGTTTCCTTATGAAGTCTGACACTCAATCAGAACAAGCTTTATGAAGTCTGGCACTTAGTCTCAAGTCATCTCCATTCCTGAATGTATTGAGGGGATTCCTTACTACGGCAGCTGCCTGACAGTAGTGGATAGGGTAAGAAAACACAGACACACACACACAGAGACACACATATAAAATATATATACATAGATACTTTTTTGTCTGTACACACATACTTTACTTATTTATTTAAATTTTATTTTAATTGTTTTTGAGCCCTTTTGTTAATTATATTATTTTTGAGCTCTTTTGTTAATAATTATTTTGTCGTCTAGCTCTGCCACCCAGGTTTCATTGCGGTGACACCATCTTGGCTCACTGCAACCTCTGCCTCCTGGGTTCAAGCAGTTCTCCTGCCTCAGCCTCCCAAGTAGCTGGGATAACAAGTGCCTGCCACCATGCCCTGCCAATTTTTCTGTTTTTAGTAGAGACAGGGTTTCACCATGTTGGCCAGGCTAGTCTCAAACTCCTGAACTCAAGTGATCCGTCTGCCTCAGCCTCCCAAATTGTTTGGATTACAGGAATGTGCCAGCACATTCAGCCTACATTTACTTCATATATATAGATAGATAGATACGTGTGTGCGTGTGTTCTGTGATCTTGTATACAAAATGTTTAGCATTCAATTAAAACTTACCAGGGACACTAAGGAAAAGAAGCATACAGTTATAAAACAAGAGGACTAGAACCATGGAAAGATAAAAATATTGGAAATATTACCATTGGCTTTAACATTTCTAAATGGCAGTGGCATATGTTGGTTACTTTTAGATCATACATAAGAAATGTATGTAAACACACTGTATAACAAAAACCAAGAAACTGGACCTCTACATTTGGTACATGAAGGCCAAAAGGTAAAAGCATAATTGGTAATAATGGGTAATCTCATTTTTACATTCTTTCCCCCCAAAAATCTCATAATCAGCTTACTTCACTTTACAACAAGTAAAACTGCATATAAATGGGAAGCGATGATAATGAGTCCTCTGAAAATAAGACATGTCTTCAAAGGGCTTGCATTTTTGATGCCTTGGCATGTTGTAATCAGGGTTTTAGCTGGAACTGAGATAATCCGCTTGGCATATTGTTCAATGCGACACTTGCAGCATATTGGAAATCAGTACTCATGATTGTTGCTCTCACCCAGTTTCTTTGTACCAGAACTTGTATAGCTTCTACAGGTTTCCATGGTTTTCACATTAGCAATTAGAGTTTTTCTGATATCACCTTATTTATTTTGAAAACTCCATTAGGGATTATAATTATTATTGTATCTGGTGTTCTCTCTTATCCATTGAGGCAACTAAAATATATCACAGCATATATTTTATTTATTTATTTTATCTGTCCCACCCTCTATTGGAATAAGCAGATATTTTTGACAATGTAGTTACTGCTTTATTCCCAATATGGGGAACACATAATGCAAGGGACAAAATATTTGTTAAATATACACTGCAAGGCCAGATGTGGTAGCTCATACCTATAATGCCAGCACTTTGAGAGGCCAAGGGGTGGATCACTTGAACCCAGAAGTTCGAGACCAGCCTGAGCAACCTGGCTAAACCCTGTCTTTACAAAATTCAAAAATAGCTGGATATGATGGGTTACACCTGTATTCCCAGCTACTTAGAGGCTAATATGGGAGGATGGCTTAAACCTGCAAGGTTGAGGCTACAGTGAGCCATGATCAAGCCACTGCACTCCAGCATAGGTAAGAGATCAAGACCCTGTCTCAAAAAAATAAGAAATATATATATGTATATATTTATATTACACAACCAATACATCAATTAATCATTCAATCTTTTCTTTAGTCTATACATCATACTAATGAATACAAACTTATCTTTGTTACTGGATACCATTTTTTAGAAAACTAAAACTACTTAACATATGAAGACTTACATGTCAATATAAATATTTTTTCCCATGCCCATGTCCTGAATGGTATTGTCTAGGTTTTCTTCTAGGCTTTTTATGGTTTTAGGTGTTACGTTTAAAAGCAATGGCAACAAAAGCCGAAATTGAAAAATGGGATCTAATTAAACTAAAGAGCTTCTGCACAGCAAAAGAAACTATCATCAGAGTGAACAGGCAACCTACAGAATGGGGGAAAAATTTTGCAGTCAATCCATCTGACAAAGGGCTGATATCCAGAATCTACAAGGAAGTTAAACAGATTTACAAACGATCCCATCAAAAAGTGGGCAAAGGATATGAACAGACACTTCTCAAAAGATGACATTTATGTGGTCAACAAACATATGAAAAAAAGCTCATCATCACTGGTTATTACAGAAATGCAAATCAAAACCACAATGAGATACCATCTCATGCCAGTTAGAATGGCAATTATTAAAAAGTCAGGAAACAACAGATGCTGGAGAGGATGTGGAGAAATAGGAATGCTTTTACACTGATGGTGAGAGTGTAAATTAGTTTAACCATTGTGGAAGACAGTGTGGCAATTCCTCAAGTATGTAGAACTAGAAATATCATTTGACCCAGCAATCCCATTACTGGGTATATACCCAAAGGACTATAAATCATTCGACTATAAAGACATATGCACATATATGTTTATTGCAGCACTATTCACAATAGCAAAGGCTTGAAACAAACCCAAACGCCCATCAATGATAGACTGGATAAAGAAAATGTGGCACGTATACACCATGGAATACTATGCAGCCATAAAAAAGGATGAGTTCACATCCTTTGCAGGGACATGGATGAAGATGGAAACCATAATTCTCAGCAAACTAACACAGGAACGGAAAACCAAACACCTCATGTTCTCCTTCATAAGTGGGAGTTGAACAATGAGAACACATGGACACAGGGAGGGGAATATCACACACCCGGACCTGTCAGGGGGTAGGAGGATAGGGGAGGGATAGAATTAGGAGAAATACCTAATGTAGATGACATGTTGACGGGTGCAGCAAACCATCATGGCAAGTGTGTATCCATGTAACAAACCTGCACATTCTGCTCATGTATCCCAGAACTTAAACTACAATAAAAAAAGAAAGAAAGAAAGAAAAAATTACCAGTTGGGTGCAGTAGCTCATGCCTATAATCCCAGCACTTTGGGATGCCAGGCAGGCTTCAGTCTAGGGGTTTGAGACCAGCTTGGACAACATGGCAAAACCCCATCTCTACAAAAAAATACAAAAATTAGCTAGGTGTGGTGGCTCAGGCCTGTAGTCCCAGCTACTTGGGAGGCTGAGGTTGGAGGATCATCTGAGTTTCAGAGGTGCAGGTTGCAGTGAGGCATGATCTTGCCTCTGCACTCCAGTCGGGGCAACAGACCATGACCCTGTCTCAAAAAAAAAAAAAGTTCCCAATTTATTAATAAAATAACATATTTTTTTTAAAAAAGAGAGAAAATGCCATACTGTTTCCAAAGTGCCATACTGTTTTCCACTTACCAGCATTATATGAGAGTTTGAGTTACTTTGCATCCTCATCAGCACTTAGTATTGTCAGTTTCTTTAAAAAAAATAGTCACTCTAGTAGGTGTGTAGGGGTCTCTCATTGTGGTTTTAATTTGCATTTTCCTAATGATTAATGATTGAGCATCTTTTCATGTGCTTATTTGTCACCAGTATCTCATATTTGGTGAAATCTATTCAAACTATTTGCCCATTTAAAAAACTGGAACATTTGGCGTCTTGTTATTGAATTTTAAGAGTTCTTTATATATTCTGGATACAAGTCCTTTGTGAGTGTATGAATTAAAAGTGTATCCCCCCCAAAAAAATATTTTTTCTTCAATTTCAATGGTAGAGAAACATGAATACATTGGACAAAAAAGTCCTAATACTCAAGTAGATTGTTTAACCTATCTTAAATATAAAAACTGGCCTAACAATCATCTACAAACAATAAATATGCCATTATGCTCTAAGATTCCTACCTTATGGACTAATTTTCAAACCTGGAATTAGGTATCTTTAAATATTATATCATAAAGAGATTTGGGAAAATAACAAAATTAAGTTTTGTGTTTTTTTAACCAATCAAACCCAAAGTACTTTTGTTTAGACAGATGATACAGTTTGGCTCTGTGTCCCCAACCACATTTCATGTGAATTTTTGTCCTTAATGTTTGAGGAGGGACCTTGTGCAAGGTGATTGGGTCGTAAGGGTGGATTTCTCCCTTGCTATTCTCATGATAGTGAGTTCTCACAGGATCTAGTTGTTTGAAAGGGTGTAAAACTGTCCCTTTCTCTCTCTCTCTCTCTCTCTCTCTCGCTCCACTACGTGAAGATTCTGCCTGCTTCCCTTTTGTCTTCCATCATGATTTTAAGTTTCCTGAGGACTCATCAGCCATGCCTCTTGTACAGTCTGCAGAACTGTGAGTCAATTACACTTCTTTTCTCCATAAATTACCTAGTCTCAGGTATGTTTTAATAGCAGTGTGAGAATGGACTAATACAGAAAATTGGTACCAGAGAAGTGGGCCATTGCTATAAAGATACTTGAAAATGTGGAAGCAACTTTGGAACTGGGAAATGGGCAGAGGTTGGAACAGTTTGTAAAGCTAAGAAGATGACAGGAAGATGAGAGAAAGTTTGGAACTTCCTAGGGATGTGTTGAATGGTTTTGACCAAAATACTGATAATGATATGGAAAATGAAGTCCGAGCTGAGGAGGTCACAGATGGAGATAGGAACTTACTGGGAACTGAAACAAAGGTGACTCTTGCCATACTTAAGCAAAGAGCCTGGCAGCATTGTGCCCCTGCATTAGAGATCTGTGGAACTTCGAATTGGAGAGAGATGATTTAGGGTATCTGTCAGAAGAAATTAGTAAGCATCAAAGCATTCAGAAGTGACCTGGAGGCTTCTAAAAGTGTACACTCACATGCATTCACAAAGAGATGGACTGAAGTTGAAACTTATATTTAAAAGGGAAGGAGAGCATAAAAGTTTGGAAAATTTGCAGCCTGATTAGGTGGTAGAAAATAAAATCCTATTTTCTGTGAAGGAATTCAAGGGGGCTGCAGACATTTGCATAAGTAAAGAGGAGCCAAATGTTAATAGCGAAGACAATGGGGAAAATCCTTTCAAGTCATTTTAGAGAACTTTGTGGTAGTGACTTCCATCACAGATCTGGAGGCCTAGGAGGGAAAAATGGCTTTATGGGCTGGGCCCAGGGCCCTGCTGTTCTGTGTAGCCTTGAGACATGGTGCCCTGCATTAAGACCACTCCAGTCATGGCTAAAAGGGGCCACAGTATATCTCAGATCATTGATTCAGAGGGACTTCAGAAGCCTTGGTGTCTTCCACATGGTGTTGGGCCTGCAAGTGCACAGAGGGCAAGAGTTGAGGCTTGACAGCCTCCATCTAGATTTCAGAGGATGTATGAAAACACCTGAATATCCAGGTGGAAGTCTGCTTCAAGGGTAGAGCCCTCATGGAGCACCTCTACTAGGGCAGTGCCAAGGGAAAATGTGGGGTTGGAACCCCCACACAGAGTCCCTACTGGAGCACTGCCTAGTAGAGCTGTAAGGAGGCGGCCACCATCCTCCAGACCCTAGAAAGATAGATCCACTGACGACTTGTACCTTGCACCTGGAAAATCCACAGGTACCCAAAACTAGCCTGTGAAAGCAGCTGAAGGGGCTGTACCCTGCAGAGCTGCCCAAGGCCTTGAGATTTCACCTCTTGCATCAGTGTGGCCTCGGTGTGAGACATGGAGTCAAAGGAGATTATTTTGGAGCTTTAAGATTTAATGACTGCTTTGTTGTGTTCCAGACCTGCATGGGCCCTGTAGTGCCTTTGTTTTGTTCAATTTCTCCCTTTTGGAATGGGAGCATTTTCCTAATGCCTGTACTCCCCTTGTGTGTTTGAAGTAGCTAAATTGTTTTTAGTTTTACAGGCTCATAGGCAGAAGGAACTTGTCTTGTTTCAGATGAGATTTTAAAATTGGACTTTTGGGTTAATGCTGGAATGAGTTAAGATTCGGGGAACTGTTAAGAAGGCATGATTGTGTTTTAAAATGTGTGAAGGATATCCAATTTGAGAGGGGCCAGATGTAGGATTATACGGTTTGGCTCTGTGTCCCCAGCCAAATCTCATGTTCAATTGTAATCCCCAATGTTAGGAAAGGACCTGGTGGGAAGTGATTAGAGCATAGGGGTGAATTTCTCCCTTTCTCTTCTCATGATAGTGAGTTCTCACAAGATCTGGCTGTTTGAAAGTGTGTAGCACTTCCCCACTTTGTTCTCCCTCTCTCCTGCTCTGCCATGTGAAGATCGTGCCTGCTTCCTTTTCACCTTCCACCATGATTTTAAGTTTCCTGAGGATTCCCCAGGCATGCCTCTTGTACAGCCTGCAGAACTGTGAGTTAATTAAACCTATTTTCTTCATAAATCACCTAGTCTCATGCATGTCTTTATAGCAATGTGAGAACAGAATAATACAGCGAATTTCACATTTTTCCTGTGTGCAGGAGTTAAATTATTGTTACATTGAATATTTTACATAATCTTCAAAATATTTTAAGGTGCTGATAGATTTGCTTAGCCCCATTTTATAAATAAATAAAGTAATTAAACAAAGAAACGTAAGTGCTATTTCTAATGTCAGATGGATAGTAAAGTTTAGATTTGTAAACCGTGTAGTTACTTCATAGTTACACATGTTAAAAGGACAACTTTAGATGAATTAAATTTAGCAGAGTTTATTTGCTCAAGAAATGATTCATGAATTGGGCAACACTCCAAACCAGGACAGGTTTTTAAAGCTCCACCCAACAATGTGGACAGGCAGCATTTATAGACAGAAAAAAGAAGTGATGTACAGAAGTAGCGTGATTGTTGACAGATTGGCATTTGCCTTATTTAGGCATGGTATGATGAGGCATTTCCTTTATATGGACATGGCCTGAACAGTTGGTAGCCTGTGGCTGACTGAAACTCAGCTATTTCTTACAGGAATATATGCTTAAGTTAGGTTGCAGTGCACAATATATACACTTGATATGGAGGCAGCTTTAGGGCAAATTTAATTTAATTTAACACAATGAGCTAATGTAATGCACTATTTTATCGTTTCAATTTTTCAACAACAGAGAGTTGTTGTCTAGTGTTTTGAGAAACACAGTATATGTCTAGTAATCTAATACTTTGTTGCATGGCAATGGACTTCTTGAAATTTCTTGGTGTATGTGTATGTGTGTGTATGTGTGTGTGTGTGCGTGTCTTCATGTGTTTTTTGTTTACTATTTGTGACTTGCATGGATTCGATTTCATAACTTTTTTTAAAAATTTAGTGCTTTTTGTTTTCTTTTTAAAAATCGTTTGCCAATCTCAAGGTCATAATGGATTACTCATATGTTTTCTTCTAATTTGTTTCATAGCTTTGGTTTTCCTGTTTAGGTCTAACATCCCTTTCAATTATTTTTATGTGTACGATCTTTAAAATTTTGCTTGCCTTCTATTTTCTAGAGTGTTGTCTTTATGTGCCCTAGCTTCACTACAAAGTAGTTGTTTAAGTTTGAACTGATAAGCCCGCTTGCTTTTTCTAATATTAAATTTACTAGTAGTAGAAATAAAACTCCAGTGCCATTCTGATGACCCCAGATCCATGTATATCACAAATTGTCAGCATCATCTGTAAATGCATATCACAGACAGATAATGCCAAAAATGAAGACCAAGTGAGAAACACAATACTTTTTTTTCTTTTTGCAAATAAAAATTATTACAAATAAGGCTATATCTCTTTCCCACAATTCTATCCCTTCAGTGTTTTCACAGTTGCAGATGAATCTACTTGCTATAAGATTAGAATCAGGGGAAATGAAAACAAGAATCACATAATTTACAAATTTAAAAATTACAATTTCTCAGTTTCCTTTGCAACTGTGAAGCAGTACTTAGATAATATCTCCTTGGGGTACATTAAACTCTACTAGAAAATCCTGAATGCAATTATAACACATTAGTAGAGATTTTTAAAAGTAAATTTAAACTGACCTTTTCAGAATGCTGACTACAGGTGGTATTAACCGTATGGATCCACAGACTTTAATTAGACAATTAAAAATAAAAAGATTAATGAAATGTTTTACAATATGATATTTATTTAGTAAGGAAGAATCTGTGTTGTAGAACATTGAATAAAGAGTATAAAAGCTTCAGTTTAGGTGAGTGAGATGTATTTTTGAAATCACAATGGAATCATCTGCAAAATAGCTTTTCTATGTATATTCCAGCCTAAAAATTTATTATTCTGAAAATATTACTGTTAAAATTATCTTGGGCATGGACCACTTTGGAAGTCCTCTAAGATCAATGCTAAGAATACTACTGCTCATTTTAAAACCATAATACTGATAATTTTTCCTTGCTCACCGTATTTATATCTTTCAAGTATATGATTCACTTGTACTTATCACCAACATGTTATAAAATCATAGCCACAAGTATTATGGACATTTTTCCAAATTCCTTCAAAGTAACTGATATAAAATGTATATTGTGAAAAAAATAATAACCTTTATTATGTTATCTGGCATTATACATAGAAAAAGAAAATTTAAAAATGTTAATTATGTATTTGATTTGATATCCATTAAATGATGGGATTATTTAAATTAAACATGTAATTGCACACTTTTGCTCAACACATTAACCATATTAATCAATTATATAACTACCCTTTTGCTTTATTAATTCTTTAAAGACAGAACTAAGAGTTTTATTTTCTGAATCTAAAGGTCTAACATCGTCTTTTATGAGCTTAGCCTTCTAGAAGATTAAAGTTCTTTCCTGTAGAGCTTCTAGTTAAGGAAACACAAGTCTGGATAATTTACATTTTGCAGTAATTTATTTTATTCTGCTCATATACATACTTCAGCCTTATTTCTTGCTCCCATATTTTATTGTCCCAATTTGCATAAGAAATAAGATTTAGTGCATTTTTCTGCTTTGTCTACTTATTACTAAATCAAATTTTCATGCTTTACTAATATTTAAATTTGATACTCCAAAATACTCCCTAGCATATACAGTAGAAAAGATATTAAAATAACCATTAATCATCAGAATTACATATAAAATTTGTAAAACTATTACTATAAAACTTAAGAATACTTTCCATTTATTTAAATACCCATACCATGCCTAGAATTTTGTTAACTGCTTTACATGTTATATCTCATTTAGTATTTACAAAAGCTCCTCATGATAGGTATTTTTCTCATTTTAGAAATAAGTTTCAAATATCTTCAAAAAGTTAAATAAATTGTTCAAAGTTACACAGATATTTAGTTTATAATTCAGACCTCTTTTTAATAAAGAAAAATCCCTTCTTATTGAATACTATGTTACTTTATATTAATTCTCCAACTACAGAAATCTGTATTTGTGATATACTTAAGTACAGAAATACAAAAATAAATATTACTTCCTTCAAGTTAATAAGGATAAAATTAATATTCTTTATTATCTTCGTGTTGGAACTGGAAATTTTTAACAGAAGAGAAAAATTAGAATTTTACCTAAAAAAGGAGTTAAACTACAATTGTTAAGTAATAGGAGTACATATTTAATACGAAAATACAAAAGGTATATTCTCTGACGACTGTGAAATTCTGTTCCCAGTATCTAAGAGGAATAATCAGGTTTGACTACAAAGGAAAAATTTTATGCTGCATATTTTATAGGCTCTTGACAACTGTTTGCATAGTCGACCAGCTCAATTCTTCCAGAGGTTTCTAAACAAAAACACAGAAGAACAATATTTATCCCATCATGAATTATAAGAGAAAGCAACACATTTGTACCAATCTGTGCACAAGATAACATTAGATTTCAAACTATAGTATCCTTTATATCAGGTTTGTTATACAACACATTTCAAAATACTCTTGTAAGAAAGTGGCTAATCTCTTAACACAGAGCAGTCATGCTGGGAGGTAAATGCTGAGAGAAACTTATGTAGGGCATGTCAGTCTTAGGAAGAACTATCAGCATGCATCAAACACTTCTCATGTAACCGACATCATTGTTTAAAGCACTTAGCAAGCCTAAAAGATATAGAACACATCTGCAATGAGACTTACAGTATTTGGCCAGTAGCCTCTTTCAACAGTGACCAAAGCAAAGAACGTTTTTATTTCTACAGATTCAAAGCAAACACACAAAGACAAAGAGTGAACAGAAGAGAAAGGAATCACAGCATTATAAAATTGTTTGACAAAGTTAAAATTGCAATATTTACTCTTATGAGAAGAAATAAATGATAACAGCACAACATTAAAGAAAATATCTTTATGAAAGTATTGTAAGTATTTGGTGTCTACTTTTATGTATAGTCACACAATTTTCACATTTTATATTGCTTCAAATTTAATTTATGGATATTATTACAAGATGTTGTAGAAGGCTTGCCTAAGCAAGTAGATTTCCATATGACTGGTTACCACAAGATGTTTTGAGCTACTAGTTCAATTTATGTGACAATCAAATCCCTGGAGAAAAACTCAATTTTTAAAAATCCAGAAGAAAATAAATGTTTTTAGTATAATACATTCAATTAATTAAAAATGTATGTTATTTGTCTTATTCAGAGGTAGTCCAAAGAAGGTTGCTATTAACGTATTTTGCCTGGGTTTCAACTGAAATTTAAGTTCAGATTAATTGTCTCTCTAATCTATTTATTATTTTAAATACATTTATTCTTAAAGATGCATAATCTTTATCTAGGCTACATTTCATTTTCCCAGAGCTTAAATTCCTCCTCTCCCATTATGTTATCTCTGTGTTTTTCCAGAATCAGGTCATTAAATTCCTATCCAACTCAGGGATATCATCTATATTTCAGCTCATGTCTTGGAAAGCATAGGTATCATATCATTTGTATCTTAATCCTTTCCTCACCAAGTTTATAACAAGGTATCACTCACAAAGTGTCACTATTATATTATCAATTTCAACTTTAAAATATGATAACAACTTTATATAAATTATAATATGTGCTTAAGCTTTTACTTTTTTGTAATTAGTACCCATCAAGTGCTGAAAGCAATATCATATTTTTTAAAACATACTCTCAGATTAGAGATGCAAGTGTGGACATACGTTTTTATATTCATCCTCTTGAAGCTGCACTAAATTATGGTAAAGAGATAAAAGAGTTTAAACTACAAAAGAAGTAAAAATACATTTAAAATAAAAATATCAACTACATTTTGTAAGTGGAAAGCTGATAAAAACATATAAAGTTTTGAGGAACGATCCAAAGTGAAATTCCAGCCATTCAAGAAAGCACAGAAGCAGATTGATTGTATCTCAGAGCCTCAGAAAAGCATAGCCATTAGCCTCTTCATTGAAAGGTAATTGCGGGGCTGGCTAGAAAAGTGGGATTGGAGTACTCTGTATCTTCTTCCACTACATTGTAATTACCAGCTCTCGCTCTTGCAGAATATTTCACATTTCATTTATTGCAACGGTGAAACAGAGACAGTGAACTCAGGACTCAAGCTTGCTGTGAGTTGGAGAAATGTACCAAAAATAGTGAGATTAAGTGAAAGGCTGTATACTGAACACTGAAATTACCAGAAGTTTTACCCTTTAAACTCTGCCAAAAGGACCACTAGCCGTATATCAGTCAGAATTCAGAGAAGTTTTTCATTCAATTATATCTAGCAATTCAATTTCCCCTCCAAATCCATTGCCCATCTTTTGGCACCTGTTGGCAACATTGCCCATCTTTTGGGTGCATCAGTGGGTTCCATATTTTTCATTCTAGGTTAGGTTGGGCCACTAAGCATCCCGGGTAGGAGATCCAGAAGAAAATGAACATTTTTTGTTTGTTTTGTTTTGGTTTTATAGAAGGAAGAGAGTGAAGCTGAACTTCATATGTCTTCAGCTCCCTCCAGGTAGAAACTATTGGATAGCTGTGGATAGCTTACCCACACAAATCTTTCTGACATGATTTTTCTTTGCTACCACTCTCTCCTGTTCTAAGTTTGGGCCAAGGATGGTACCACAGCTTGCCAGTTTGTAAGGCTGAGGTTAGTGCAGCATCCTTTGTGTGGTACAGCTACACACACAACAATAAACCCTCATCAAAGTAATAAATATCGACTGTGTGATCTGTTTTCTAATCTGTTTCACTGATAAACTATTGCTTTTCCTCCAATCCTTAACAAGTTTATTAAGCTGAACATAATTAATTTATTCTTATGATTTGTGTTTCTTAATAACAAAAGTATTTACAGCTCTGATTTTATCTCTGAAAATATCCCTTGGCATTTATCATAGGTTTTGATGTTTAGTACTTGAAGATTTTTCTAAATAGTCAGAAATTTTGTTTGATTTATTGCTCTTCACAAGTCCTTTATGACTATTTTGTACAAGCAAACAACTTTTTAAAGCCTCAAAAGTATAAAAGTTACTTTTAGTATTGTTTTCTTGCACTGTAGTCATATAAGGCAACATATGAAATCTCAGTCATTTATTGAGGGCTTCATTTTGGCTTTACATGAACAGTTTATGTGAATAATCCATGGATATTTAAATACTAGAGGTATGTCACCTTTAAAGCATAAAATTTAGCATTTTACAGGAAAAGAAAACAGAGATAAGGCATAAATAGACAATAAAAGAAAGAGAGAATAAGGCAGAGAGAGGGAGAGAACAGAGAGATTGATGAGGGAGCTGAGACAGAGACAAGGAGTAAACCCGTGTACAGACATAAAGGTGATGGGGTTGAGAGAGGAGAGTAATGAGGTGTCAAGTAGCCCAGAATCAAATTTCAAATTCTGACTCTGATACTTATTAGCTACGTTAGCCAGTTAACTGTGTTATGTTTTAGTTTGTAAATCTGAAAAACGGGGATATTAACTGTTGCATCTCACAGAATTACTATAAAATAATCCATGCAAAATGCCTGGAAGAGAATCTAGCACTGAGCACAAACCAAATAAATGTTTTCTAACAGTATATTTTAGTAGAAGATTTTATGGTCATTTTAATATATATTTATCCACGAAATACTAAATGTAGTGTTTTGAATTTTGCACTAAATTTTATTTTTAATAATTCTATTAATTTTTAGGGCTGCCATAACAATCTACTACAAACTGAGTGGCTTAAACCCACAGAAATTTATTCTCTTACCAGTCTAAAGGACAGAAGTCTGAAATTAAGGTGTTGGCAGAGCCTCCTATGAGGTCTGTAGGAGTGGATTCTCCTTTGCCTCTCCCAGTTCCGACAGCCCCAGGTATTCCTTGGTTTGTGGCAGCGTAACTCTCATCTCCTACTCCATCTTCACAAGGCTGCCTTTTTTCTGTGTGTCTATGTGTCGGTGATGGTTAATTTTAAGTTTCAACTTGACTGAATTAAGGAATACTTAGATAATTGGTAAAGCATTATTTCTGGATGTGTCTGTGAGGGGGTTTCCAGAGGAGAATGGCGTATGAGTCAGTGGATTGAGAAGGGGAGATTTCCCCTCAATGTGGGCTAGCACCATTCAAACATCTGAGTTCCTGGATAGAAAGAAAAGTTAGAGAAAAGGTGAATTCTTTGTCTCTCTCTATCCTGGAGCTGGGGCATCTTATTTCTCCTTCCCTTGGACATCAGAACTCCAGGACCTCTGGCCTTTGGACTTGCACCAGTCTCCCCTAACCCCCAAGATTCTCAATACTTTGTCCTCAGACTGAGAGTTTTTACATCAGCTTCCCAGGTTCTAAGGCTTTCAGACGGGCTGAAACACACTACCAGCAGCCCTGGGTCTCCAGCTTGCAGACAGCCTGTCTGGGACTTCTCATCCTTCAGAATCACGAGTCACTTTCCTTCATAAATCCCCTCTGATACATCTGTATCTTTCTCTCTCTCTCTATGTGTACCTGTGTCTTCTGTTTCTCTGAAGAACCCTTACTAATACAATAATTGTGCTTCTTCCTCTTGTAAGGACACCAGCTATTATTAGAGGCCATCCTAATTCAGTGTGACTTCACCTTAACTTGATTACATCTGCAAAGATTCCCAAATAAGGTCACATTCAAGACTCTCTTTCTGCTAGAGACAATTTAACCCATTACAGGGTTGTTATTATGTTATGTAGGTCATTTTCCATTTTTAATACATTTCGTCCTATATATACTTTGATGCTTTCTTAATTAAGGTACATTATGTTTCTCAAAGATCTTATCTATATATAATGTAATTAATTTTGAACTAATTCTCATATTTCATACTGAGGTTAACTACCTGATAGAACATGTATATGCATGTCCAACACACACAAGATAATCTGAATCATCTTATAGAATCAGAAAGTAGAAAAGTGCTAAAAACAAATAAGCTAAACAAAAACACAGGAATAATGAGAATTTGTCAAAGGGACACAGAGACCAACTGAAAGGGCTCCCGATGGCCAAAGCTAAAACAATTTACATAAAAATAATAAAAAGTAGTATTGAATTAAAACACAAAATATAAAATAAATAAAGTGAATTCATACAAATATACATAAATGATTCAATAAATTGATAAGGCAGAAAAGACTAAACATCTTTGGAGAAAAATGGAAGAAATCTGAATAAAGTATAAACTTTAACAAATTGTCCTGTATCAACATCAGTTCGTTAATTGTGACAAATATGCCTTACTAATGTATAATGTGGGGTATATGCAAATTCTCCAGATGATTGTGACAGTCAACATTCTATAAATCTAAAACTATTCTAAAATAAGTAGTTAATTATAAATACCTAATGTTATACCACACTAAAGATATCTGAATATTAACAAAAACCAAAATGTCAACCTGTAGAATAAAAATTGTTTCTACTTAGAAGACATGCACATATAACGGTGACTAAAGAGAAGAGAGGATATTTGAAACGGCTTCCATAGATTTTTAGAACATGTTTTGCCTACTCAAAAATTTGTCCTCATCACTTTTTTTGTAAAGATGTCACCAAATAGTTCTAAGGAAGAATATGTTCAAAATTAATTGTTACATATAATATCAGCTAGTTTTAATATATTTCACTCTCATTTTACTTCTTGATCTTTAATACTGTATCCATTAGTTAATAAATACTAGAAAGAAATTACCCTTCTTGTGAAACATTTCTTGTGAAATGTTGAAATATTCCCATGGTCAGAGATATGCTTACATTTCACTTTTATTTCCATTCCCAAAAGAAATCAGAAAATACGTGGGTCATGCTATATCTCTCTTTCCTCTCATTTTTTTTTTTGTTTGTTTTTCTCTTTCTCTGTTGCAGGGGGAGAAAGTCTGGGATCACTCTTAATGAGAATGCAAACAAGTTTATATCCTAAGAAGTTTTAACTTAAGCACTATAAATTGTGGCACTTATTTTGATTTACTTCTTTGTTGAAGTCACAATTTTGAGACACTTGTCTATGAATAAAATAGCTCATTAACGCAATGCTCTCCATTAACAAGAAAAATAAACTAGAGGCAAGTGAAATGGCAAAGAAGCAAAAATACTCACCATGAAAATGTTTTTTAAAAGTGAAAACCAAGAAAAATTGGGTATATCAGGTGTCTGTTCAGCTTTTTCAGTTATAAATTAAGGTCACGACAGGAAGAAGAACATGAATATCTCTTTTTCTTTTAAGTAAAACACATGCAAAATTTACACTCACCCTATACTACAACAGCTATGAGGGACAGCACTTTCTCTCAACCTTTACAACTAATGAATTCATCAAGGTTCTTTACGCGCATTTGAAATTCCTTTTTTAATTCTAAGGCAACATGCCTTTTCCTCTTGAGTGTCTATGATCATTCGTTGATACAAATTATATTTTAGGGCATTTCAAGGAGAGCTTACGTGATTTTCTAGAGGCTAAGGGCTTGATATGAACCTCAGTATAAAAGGATTGCATAGTCTAATTTGGAAAGGATGAATGCTTTAGTCATTTGGAACATTTGTTCAATAATTTGCCAGGACACATTTCAACTTGCTTTCAAACAGTGATCAACACATAGCTAATTGACTAGTGTGTGAAGCTGAAAATTCCAGTGAGCATTCCACTGGCTTTTTTTGAGGTTGTAACTTTTAATCAACCTTGTTAGATGAAAAGGAGCATTGAGATTACTGTGAAATAAACTAAGACACTACCTGTGTTGCCCAGAGGATTTTTTCATCATTGTGTTTTCTAAACTGATATTATTGATTCAATCACAGGAATATTCATGTAAAATGATGCATTATTTCATATATTATATCAAGGCATTATTGTATATTAAGGAATAATTTAATATCTTTAGTAAGATTTATATTTAATATGTACAATATTTCTTATATATTGTCACAATTTTGGTATAATGTCTATAAAAAGAAAAGAATAATTCATTATTTAAATGTACTTTTTTTGGCTCAGACAATTATAATTTGTGAGTGGCTTTAAATTAGTTATCTTTAATGTAAAAGTGAGGGCCCTATGATTCCTTGACTTTTACAAAAAAATTGTGTACATTTTTATTTTACATGAAAAGCCCTAGCATCAATCAATATTGCCATAGACTGATTATTACTGTGGAATAAAAACTTATGAGTGACTTGTATCCACAAATATTATGTCCCCAAAAATGCCCTTTAGTACAACTGCCAATAACTGAATAATTAAGAGCTTTTGCAGGAATTTGGTTTTAAATTTGTCCTCAAAATGAGATAAACCTAATTTAGTTACCATGGTGTGCTGTTACAGAAACTCTTTAAAAAAATCTATTGTGTAGCCTAAGATTATGAATCCTGCAGTATTTTACATGGAGAAAGTTAACAGGAAGCTTGTTCCATTTTATTCCTAGGATTAGTTTGTGCAGTAGGATCCCAGAAAAGTGAGGGAAGCTGGTTGATAGAGCTTTAACGGCTTTGATATCTATTGTTTATGTAGGAATTTGGAATTAATATTTTAAACACGTGATGATGACAATTTTATATTTTAAAAAAGCACAAAATAAGCCTTTACCCTCTGGCAATCAGTGGGATGAGTTCAACTGTACAATGAGTGACTTGGATTCTGCGTACCCTGAAGAAGCTTGAGGAAATCTTCTGTGATGTACTCTCACCTCTACTTTCACTATTGCTCCAACTGGTCATCTAGATGAAATGTGTCAGCAACGCTCTTGCAATTCAGCAGGTTTAGGTATGAATGTTGTCTATGCACTTACTGTTCGCAGTAATGTAATTAATTCCCTTAACATTATTGACTTCCGTTTTTCTTTCTTTTTTTTCTTGGCTATGCTTCTTTATTTGTAAATAATGTTTTATAACATTTAACTCTTATGGTTGTCATGAAGACTAAATATAGCCATATAAAGTGCTTCCCATTGTGCATGCCAATAGTTTAAAAGTGCTCATTAGAAATATTAGAGAAAAATTTAATCTTAATGTTAATGCATTAAGTTTACTCCCATTATGCATAATTTCAAATAATTGAATTAGTCCAAATTTTTTATGCCATTTTACCATCTCAAAATAAGTTCTGTGCTAGGATTTATAAAACAGATCTCTTCAAAAGACACTTTTCCTTTTTTGTATGCCCGTCCCTAATGAATAGCTATAGTGTAGGGATATTGTTGTCTGCATGCCCCTTTCCATTAACAAGTGCTGTGTAAAAAGTATCAACTGCTTTCTGATCTTACAGATGAAGTTTGAATTTTTGTCCAGATGGTAAATTATAGTGATATAATTTTAGACCATATCAACTTATAACCTGATTTAACTAAACAAAATATTTCAGGCTGTTGCTTTATGTAAAGGGCACTTTGTGAGAACCAATGACTTTTTGTTATTAAATTATCATTAATGCGGGCAAAACAAAATATTTCATGTAGCTGTCCATAAAGTTTTGTGACTATATTAATTGTTTAATTCAATACTTTTAGTTCAACATAAATCAAGTATGCCTTAAAACAGCCATTTAAATACAAATTAAAAAATAAAACCCTTCTATGTGGCTCCAAAGTTGTCATCATTGTACTAATAGACAAAATATGTATACTTATATATAAATATAAACTTTTTATGTCAGTATAAGTTAATATCATAAAAAATGGGTGAAGTTACAGATGAAGTGGTATGATACCTTTCCTTCATCCAGCACTCTTAATAAGGTGTGTAGAAAAAACAGCTTGTAAGACTTAAGTGATATGACAATCATCTCCAAACATGACAACCCATGGTAATTTTCCACAGTTGTTTTTAGCAGTTATCCTTCTGTAAAATTTACTTGCAATCAGGTTCTCAAATATAAGTGAAACTAAAAAAATCCCCTACATGATTTTTCCCTCCCTCAGCGTATGTTAGAGTTGAGTGGCAAAGGCATTTTTCCAAGTGATAAATTAAAACACTTTTTTTCCTAAATATGTGGGTACCCCTCACCTATCACATATTTGTGGATAAGATATGCTGTTTACTAAATTATTATTTATAAATTTATTTTTCCTATTTGTCTGGTATATAAAGTGCTTATTATTTAGACTTATTCCAATACCTCACTGGTATTTTATTGTTTTTCGAAATATTTCTTTCTCTATATATGTATTTTTTTATCTAATTGGATTAGTTATAAACTCTATGTCCATAAAACTCTGTAAAATATAATACCTACTTCATTTTCTAAAGGTGAAGTATGCTATTTACTAAGACAAACTCAGAACTTATCAATCAATAGAAATTCCAAACTGAAGATGGCTTCCTTCTTGGGATTTAATCATTTTCATTGACATACTGTGTGACATAATAGGAAGTGATTATCATTTAGAACGTTTTAAGTTATTCAGAGCAAAGAAAAATATATACAACAGCATTTAAATATTTTCAGGAAAAATGATTCAGTAGTATCAGTATACAGGGAATGCAATTAACTTATATTGAAGGTTAAAGAAAAACTGTTAGGTAATAAACTTCTATTATTTATTTTAATTCTTACACCACCACTAAAATAGTTAAATGTTTATTTCACACGAGATAAAAATGGCAGATAATTTAGGTGAGTTACTCAAGGTAACACAAAACATGTTGGCATTTTAAAAACTCTCTCTGATTCTAGAGACTAACTTGCCACATCTACATTTTTCTTTTTCTACTCTGACCTACTGCCTTTCTGCCACTAAAAAATAATAAGAAATAACATGTTATCTAAATAAATTAAATAAATTAGTTTCATTTTTTGAGCAAACAAAGCAAAATGCATACTCATACATTTACATGTATACTGTATCTGTATGTATATTCACACACGTTTGCATATACACATACATACATTTACAGGATATATATATATGACGCAAAGTCTGAACATAAAGCAGCAGTTTCCATCCACACAGACAATAGAATGATGTCTCACTCTCCTGTGGTAAGCAGAATTGTGTGAAATGAATAGGACCCACAGGTGATGAAAAAAACTATCTTCTATCTTCCATGATTCTTTTGTGTTTGTTTGTCTTTAATGTGCATTAACAGAATGCTGATATCTGAAAACTGTGCTATTCTACTGTTATCTCACAGAAAGTTAAGAACAGAGTTTTTTTTTTCTTTCAATCACATATTGCGAACTCTCTCCAGATAAACCATTGGAAACTGCGTGAAATATTGTTTTGTGAAGAAACCGCTGAAGTCCTTACTTTGCTACTACAAACCTTGTATATTTGTAGCACTTAAAGAGATTTCAACATTAATATAAACCTAGGCATTTTTTTGAGTCTTGTTTATTTTGTAGTCATTCTTTAGATTATACATAATATGATAGTTCGGTGTGGAGGCTCTGGAGCCAGATTGCCTGGGTTTGAACACAGCCCAGGAAGTTGACTTAGCCTCACTAAACTGCAGCTTCTGCACTGGTAGCATGAGCGTAACAGGGGGAACTACTTCATTCAATTTTTATACACATGTAAGGAGTTATATAAAAACATTTAGAACAGAATATGGAAAATAAGTCCAAGAATATTAGGCTATCTGTAGAATATCTGTAGAATGTAATGACAAATTATAAAAGAAACACACCTGTGTCTACCACACAGGTTAATAAATTAATTGTAACCTATGTCTTGGCAAACTTGTATGCTCTTGCCCCAAATCTCAATCATTTTCTTTCTTTGAAAAGCTAATATCTATTCTGAATATTGTGTATATCATTTGATTGTTTTTCCCTATACTTTTACCACACATATGTATCCACCATGTGGAATACATAGACAATATATAGTATAATTGAACATACCTTTGAAATTTTATACACGGACTCATACAGCATGTGCAGGGTAAATCTACCTGTTTTTGGAAAGCTCGGTTATGTGTGTGTGTATATATATATATATATATATACACACACACACACACATATATATACACATATATATATACACATATATATATATACACGAGAGAGAGAGAGAGATACAGATTATTTTTAAAAGTTGGCTCATGCAATTATATACGCTGAGAAGTACCAAGATATGCAGTTGACAAGCTGAAAACTCAAGAGAGCCAATAGTGTAAGTTCTAGTTCAAGTATGAATCAGAGTCCAAAAGTAGCAGAAGAATGATAGTCCACACTCAAAGACAGTTAGGCAGATAAAGATAATTTTCTCTTTGCCTTTTCATTCTATGTTGGCCTTAAACAGTTTGGATGAGGTCCACCGACAATGGGGAGGGCAATCTGCTTTACTTATTTTACTGAATCAAATGTTAATCTCATCTAGAAACACCTCCCAAGCACTCCCAGAATAATGTTATCCAAATACCCGTGTACCTCTTGCCCGAGTCATGTTGACACATAAAACTAACAATCACAATAGCTTTCACACTGGCTTCTTTCATTTTAGCCATATGAATTTATAGTTTCTCCATGTTCTTTCATAGCTTGGTAAGTCCATTTCTATAGTTGAATAATATTCCATTGAATGGATATGTCACACTTGTTGATCTGTTCATCTATTGAGAGACACCTTGTTTGCTTCCTTTTTTGTGAATTATGAATCAAGCTGCTGAAACTTGTGTGTGCAGGTTTTTGGATGGATATAAATTTTCAGTTCCTTTGAGTAAATATCAAAGAGCATAATTGCTGTATCATATTGTAAGCCTATGTTTAGCTTTGTAAGAAACTGCTGAACTTTCTTCTAAAGCAACTGTACCACTTTGTGTTTCTTCCAGCAATAAGTGAAACCTCTAGTTGCTCCACATCTTCATCAGCATTTGATGTTTTTAAAGATTTGGATTTTAGCCATTTTAATAGCTGTGTAGTAGTATCTGTTTTAATTTACAATGTTCTAATGACATAACATTAAGTATCTTTTTATATACTTATTTGCCATCTGCATATTTTCTCTGGCAGCCTGTCAACTTTCCTTCATTTAAAAAATGTATTCAATCATTTGCTATATTACTATGCACTTATGAATCTTTATTGTATACTTTAAGTTATAATCCAATACTAATTGACCTGTTTTGTTGCTCAAATTATTGTATCTTTGACCACCGATAACTCTTTCGTAATCTTGAAAAGTAGCTACCAATAAACATAAGTGAATTTAGCAAAGTTTTAAGAATACAATAACAATATAAAAAATCCAAACCATTCCTTTCTGCTAACAATAAATAATCCAAAAAGGTAATTTGAAAAAAATAAAAAAAATAATGTCAAAAATTTAAAAATAATTTGTGATGAATCTAAAAATGTTTTTTTCAAAACTTAATCACTGAGAATATAAAACATTGCTGACAAATTAAAGAAAGCTGAAATATATAGAGATATCATGTTCAAAGACTAGAGAAGAAAAATTGTTATCATGGCAATTTCATTTAAATTCATTTGCAGATCTGGTGTAATTCCAATAAAAATCTTAGCAGGTTTTTTTTGGGGGTGTAGATTTTGAAAAGGTAGTTGTAAAATGCATATGAACTTGAAAAAGCTGAAATATCCAAGACAATTTTAGAAATAGCATAATAGGAAGATTAACTTTATCTAATTTAAGAGTTATCAAAAATTTATAGAAACCAAGACATTATTTTAATTGCATGAAGATAGACATTGGTACAGCAATAGAACAGAATTGAGAATCTAGAGATAAACACACACTTAATGGTAAAGATTTTTTAACAAAGTAATACCATTGCTAAAGGATATTTTTCCCCAGAAATAGTGGTGAAATTAAAGAATATTTATATAAAAAAAATGTACATTGACTTTTCTTCAATGATCCACAAAATTTACATCTAGATAACAAATCTGTAGGTAATATAAAACATTGCAGAACTTTTAGAAGAAATCATAGGAAGGCTGGGTGCAGAGGCTCACGTCTTTAATCCCAGCACTTTGGGAGGCCAAGGCAGGAGGATCACCTGGGGTCAGGAGTTTGAGACCAACCTGGCCAACATGGTGAAACCCCGTCTCTACTAAAAATACAAAAAGTGCATGCCTGTAATCCCAGATACTTGGGAGGCTGAGGCAGGAGAATCACTTGAAGCAGGGAGACAGAGGTCACCCTGAGCCGATATCACACCACTTCACACTAGCAGCCTGGGTGACAGAGTGAGACTTCATCTCAAAAAAAATAAAAAAAAAAACTTAAAAAAAGAAAACATAGGAAGCTTTTGGTACTTTTAGATATATAAGAATTTATTAGAACAAGAATTCAAAAATTATAAAAGTAAATATTGGTAAACTGGGGTTCATCACTATTATAATCTTCCTTAATCAAGAGATACCATAATGAAAACAAAAGAGAAAGCCATATATTAGAAGATATATTTGCAAATCATTTATCATTGATACAGCCATTTTATCCAGAACTAAAAAGAGTCCCTTAACAGATTTCTAACAAGAAAATCAGTAATCCAATAAAAAGAGCACAAATATTTGAAAATGATTTCCAGACGAAGTGACTAATTAATAAGCACATAAAAATATGTAGCTGTCATTTGTTATTAGAAAACTACAAGTTAAATCTACTTTGGCATATCAGTGCACACTCAATAGAATAGCTTTATTTGAAAAGACAAACAAGGATATGGTTTACAATGTAGACTCTTAGGCATTGCCAACAGCAAAGTAAAACTGTGCTGTCAAATTGAAAACGGTTTGAGAGTTTTTCCTAAAGTTAAATATATCCTTAACATATGACCTAAGTTACATTTCTAGGCTTCTACTCTAAAGTAAAAATGTATCTACAAACCCTCTGGTATTTAGATGTTCATAGTAGTATATAATAGCCATATACTATTTGTGTTTGCACTTGAATGATTATATGTATTCGATTGTTTATAGTAGCATAAAGTAGTATACAATAGCCAAAAACAAAAAGAACTCAAAAACTCACTCTCAACCCTGATCCCAGTTAAACATAGATCTGCTTTTTTTTCTATAATTTCATGCCTTCAGGATATTTTCTATAAATGCAATCATGCAATCTTTTAAGTCTGATTTCTACCAGTTACTTACCATGACGACTTTTGAGATTGATGGACATCTGTGTCTATCAGCAATTTGTTCTTTCTTTGTATGTGAGAGGATGCTGGGTGGTATTCCACTCTATAGGTATAGGGAATATTGTTTATTCACCTAATGAGTGCTGAAAGGAAAAGGCAAAACATTTAAGGCTAATATTGCAAAATAAAAAAGTTTTCAAATTAATATTCAAATTTTCTACCATAAGAACAAAAAAGAACGAATTAAACTTTAAAATAAACAAAAAGATGAAAATCTTTTGTTGATTATTTAGTAATCAACAAAATATTTAAAAATAAAGCATAAATCAATAAACTCATATTCCAGCTTTTTTAATATATGTATTTTTATTATACTTTAAGTTCTAGGGTACATGTGCACAATGTGCAAGTTTGTTACATATGTATACATGTGCCATGTTGGTGTGCTGCGCCCATTAACTCGTCATTTACATTAGATGTATCTCCTAATGCTATCCCTCCCCTCTCCCCCTACCCCACAACAGGCCCCAGTGTGTGATGTTCCCCTTCCTGTGTCCAAGTGTTCTCATTGTTCAATTCCCACCTATGAGTGAGAACATGAGGTGTTTGGTTTTTGTCCTTGCCATAGTTTGCTGAGAATGATGGTTTCCAGCTTCCTCCATGTCCCTACAAAGGACATGAACTCATCATTTTTTATGGCTGCATGGTATTCCATGCTGTATATGTGCCACATTTTCTTAATCCATTCATTAAAGAATAATGAAATTGATGATCTGCTATCCATATTGATTAGAAAAACTGTATAAATTACCAATATCAGAAATAAGGAAGATTTATCACTTTAAAACCAACAGATTTTAAAACGATAATAAAAGAATATTATAAATTATTTTATTCAAGGTTTTCCAAAAGCTTCAACTAAATGCACAATTCAAAATACTCATAGCTAATAATAACCCCACAAAGTAAATTCCTGGCCCAGAAGCCTTTAATACTAAATTCCACTAAACATTTTAGGAAGATATAAAATAATTCTACATAAACTCTTTAGGAAATTAGAAGAGATGGGAACACTTCTTAAAGAGCTGAATTACCTCAATATTTTAAACAGGCAAATATAAGAAAAATGCTATGAAGTATGTTCTTCAAGAATATGTGTGAACATTTTTTTAAACATTAAAAAATCAAATCCAGCAACATATATATAAAAAAAGAAGATATAATACAACATGACCCAGTGGTGTTTTTCTCAAGAATACAAGGTTAATTTAGCATTAAAAAAGTAATTTATTTGAACATATTACTAAAAAGAAAAAACATGATCATGAAAAAGCAACTCAATCTATAGGGACAGAGAAAGATCAATGATTGCCTTGGGAGGGGAAGAACATGAATGACATGATGAAGAAAGTGGAGAGGGGATGGATATGTTCATATTCTTGATTATGATGATGATTTCACAGGTGTATTCATATGTCAATTTAAATTATGCAGTTTATTATGTTAATTATAATTCAAGAATATTGAAAAAAAACAACAATGAAAAAGACAAGAAATCACAAGCCAGAGACTGGGAAGAATATTGTTAAAACATTGATTTGAAAATTAATCTGTATATATAGAATATGAAAGACACTTACTACTCATTAATAAGAAGATAATCCAACATAATTGAACAAGGATGTTGAACACACATTTTGTCAAAGACTTTAAGGATGCCTTGCAGTTTTGCTTTTGAAGACAGGGGCAGTCAGTTGCCATGTAAATAGGTGACTACCCAGAAACACTGTTCTGCCTGTACAAGCTCAAACTCACCACATGGAGAGGCTCCTTGAAGGAGAACTGAGGCTCTTGTTTCAGCCTCAGATGACAGCACTAATTTGCTAGACTTCTGAGTAAGGCTCTTTTGAAGAGGATCCTTCAGTTCCAAATTAACAATCCTAGGTGATTCAACATGGAACAAAGATGAATTTCTCCCACTAGTCTTTATCTAAATTTTAGAATTGTAAGCCAACTACTAAGCCTGTTGTTTTAAGCCACTAATGTGAAGTTGTTTTTAACCTAGCCATTGAAATTAGAAACCAAGCCAAAAAAGGAAAAATCCCAAGCCACATGGAAAGGCCAAGTGGAGAAAAAAATAAGCCTCTCTGACTAATATTGCTCCCTGATCTCCCAGGTGATAACCAGCACTAACTGCCAGTCAGAAATGTCATGCCAGTCCATTTTGGACCATTCAGACACTGCTACTCCCAAGTCAATAATATATGAAGTAGAGAAACCAAGTTAATCCTCAGAATTGTGAAAAATAAAGATTTGTCTTTGTCCAAGCTACTAAGTTTGTTATGCTTTATGATTCAGGAGTAGGTAGCTAAAATACGATTCTGTAGCTTTCACAACTTGTTTGTCACAATGTCTTTAGAGAAGAATCATTTTCTGTTTTGTGATTCCAAACCTCTATCTTGTCTCCTAATATTAACTCTTTAGAATTTATGTTTTCCATAATTCACACTCTTACCATGTTCAAACAAGAATAGAATGGAGTGAAACATTTAAAGCATTGACAGGAAAAATGTCAACATTGAGAGCTTTATACGGGAAAATTATCCTTCAAAATGAAGGAGAAATAATAGTAAAAATGTGTTGGATTTGGATCATAGTATATGGACAAATAAAATGAATTATAACAATGTAATAAGGAATAAGAGGGAATATTTGGGAATGTTCTTGTCAATTGAGGAATCACAACATTTATAGAATTGGAAAGGAGAGCTTTATTTCTCTTAAAGAATTATACCCTGCAAGCTAGCTATTCTGCAAGCTGGGAAGTATAGCCTCTAGTAGAAGTCCAGAGCAAGCACTTCCAGGACAGGAAAGAGAAAACAGGATTTTATGCTGAGTGGGATGGCTAAATATTCGTATTTAATAAGCTCTGAGAGGAGTCATGAATATTTATGAAAGAAGAGACATGCACATGCACAATTGGGTTTCATGCCTCTTCATGGGTCACATGGTCAACAAACTGCAGCCACAGCATGATCCTAGGGTGGAGTTTCAGCCCTCCTATATCAAAGGTGAAGCACAGGACACACAAACTCTCACTGCAAATCTTCCTCTTTGAGTTGGCTAAAATTAGTCTCAAAGTGATGCTCAGTTTTTATTAATAGCAAAGAATGCATTGTGAAACTCATGAGCCATCACATTGGAACTGCAGAGAGGGAGTCTAGTCGCAACCTCAGATGATCGGCTAAGGGTAATAAAGAAATGAGGCCTTCATTTTTTTTGTTTTCCAGAGCTGGTTTCTGCTTACTCTTTAGGAAAGAATTCTGGTTAAAGGTTAGTAAGTAATGAACATAATGAAGTGTGTCCAACTTTTATCCTGTCATTACCAGGAACTCAGTCTTTAAGATTTCTCTGGGGCCCTGCTGGCCAAGAGAGGTTCTGCTCAGTCAGTTGTGGGGCTTGACAGGTTTAGGATTTTATTTTTATTTCTCACTGTAAGGTATTTGCACTATACATGAATGGTACAGTGTTATTTATGGGTTGCCTAAGATTATTTAAAAATAAATATTGTAAACTATAGTCAACTGCTAAAAGATATAGATAGATAGATAGAAAGATAGATAGATAGATCGATGACAGATAGATGAAATCACATAAAATGCTCAAATAACAAAAGGCAGAAAAACTGAGCTTAAAAAGAAACAAAGAACAAATCCAACAAATAGGAGACAATTGCAGATATAGCAGATATAAATTCAGTTATATAAATAATCATTATACATGCGGATAGTCTAAGCACCCTGCTTAAAATACAGAGATTGTTAAACTGAATTTAAAAAAAGAGCCCAACTGTATGTTTTCTATCAGAAACTAATTTTAAATACAAAGACTCAAATAGGTTCAGAGGAAAGGATGGAGTATGTCAACACTACTTAACAGAAAGCTAGAGCAGCTATATTAATTTCAAAATGAATTTAAGAAGAAGAAAAATTATCAGGTAAAAAGAGAAGTATTACATAACCCAGTTTGCGAAATGATGTAATCCTTAAGCATATGCACCTAACAGAGCATCACATTTTGAAGATGTTGAAACTAACTTTTTTCAGAACTATCAGTTTTGACATATATTAAATTTGGCTCAAATATGATGAGTGGAATGGAATCTAATAAATGAGATTACTTACATTCTCTCTAGAATGTAATGATTTAAAAACACAAATCAAAAATAAAATATTCATATATAGAAACCTAGATACATTCTTCCTCTAGTTAAGTCACATGCATCCAAACCATTCACTGCTGTTTGTCAAAAACAACATAGTTTTTCATAATCTCCTGTCTAGATTTCACATTTATCATCCAGGCAAAGTTAAAGTTAGATAGATTATTTATAGAGGTATCCTTATTGTTATACTTGGAAAGAAGACATCAGAGATAATTACATCATCTTTTATTTTTTTAACTTGTTTCTCAATTCAGGATAATTATATTGAACATTGCAATCAAAAGAGACAAAGAATAATTTCTGTCTCCCTAAAGCAATGACAATCAACTAGTGAGTGAACAGTTTGCCTAATGAGACAGTTATGACACTCGACGATTCTCTAAAATCAAGGTTATTTGAGCTTCTGAAAAGTACTTCACAGTCTCTTCATGCAATAGGGGGGTGGGGCCATAAAGCATTACAAAGATTTAATATAATCTCATTATTTTCTTTAAAATATTTTAAAACACATATTAGTAATGATTGTTTAGGTTTTCATAAGCAACAAATACTTTCCTAACTTAAAAATTTGTTTTACATGAAGAAAGCTCTTCCAGTTTAAGAACAAGTATCTTTGCTTTAATTTTTATATTTGAATGGTACTTTGATTTGTGCTAGAGGTAAGCATGAAACAACTGTTCCATCAAATAGTTACTGTTATTTAGAGTTCTCCTACTCAACAATAATCATCGTATTATATGCATAATTAATAATAATCATAGAGAAGTGGGTCTGTTAGCATCATCTGGGAGAGAGGCCTATTAAAAGCACACCAACTGAGACATTTTGTTAGGTAAGTCCGTGGTGGGAGCTTATTCTTTTGTACTCTGGAAAATATCACATAAAATTTCTATTGCTACCCAATTATAAATAAAACACATAAAAGAATTTGGGCGATTGTATAAGTACCAAGACTATATAAATTATGTAAAAAAGCAGATGGCTGATGGATAGCAGTTACTAAATAGGTGTAACCAAACATTATACTCATAGGAGTTCAGAAGATGACAGAAATAATAAACAGATCTTAAACATAAAGTTATGTAGAAATGAGAGAAGTGATCCACACAGTATAGACAGCTAGACAAGGAAATTGACTAAAAGGCCTCAGTGGCCTCAATATTTCAGGGTAAGATCAAGTAGAGAAGTTATCCCTGCTTCCAACTTTCTTTAAAATTCTAGATTGAAATGTAAAAAGCTAGTCTAAATATGCAAATCAACTTTTCTAAAGCAAAAGTCATTATTTCTGGCCAAATGTGCTTTTCCTACTTACCATTCTTTTCCTAATAATGGTAGTTTAGACATTAGTTTCAGAATCTCACAATAACCTTTGTCTTCTCAGTTTTCTTTGCCCAACATTTACTAAAGTTAACCATCTAATCTTAGCAAAAAGTCTTTTTTGTGGGTTTAGCTAATCATCCATTTGGGAGAAAAAAAAATGCTTTGCTCTTTGGTTCTAATCCTAATGTCTTGGGACCTAAGAGGTGCTCAAAAATACTAGTTTGTGACTTTAAAAAATGAGGTTCCTTTGGTATCATAAGCTTGAATCTTACCCACCATTTCTTTTACACCATCACTATGTGCTCTTTGTTACCTGGAATCTGTGGTATTACTATAGCCTTCCAATCAACCTGCTTCATCTCTCATCAAAACCTCTAACTGCTAACAGATTAAGCTTTACAAGTACATTATACTCTTTTTCTCTTCCTTCTCTTATTTCTTCTTCCCTTTTTCCTCCTCCTCCTCCTCCTTCTCCTTCTGCTTCCTACCATCAGTTACCCTCCACAGCCTAATAAATAACATTTGCATTTCTCTGTCAATCAAGTTATTGTCTATATTTTATTATAAAATACTTTTTAAAAATAATTCCAACTTTTATTTTAGACTTGAGGGTACGTGTGCAGGTTTGTTAACTGAGTATATTGCATGACGGTGAGGTTTGGGGTGCTATTGATCCTGTCACCCAGATAGTGAGCATAGTATCAAATAGTGAGTTTCTCAAACCTTGCTCCACTCTCTTCTCCCTCTAGTAGTCCCAGTGTCAATTGTTGCCATCTTTATGTCCATGAGTACCAATATTTGGTTCCCACTTAGAAGTGAGAACATGCTGTATTTGGGTTTCTGTTGCTGCATTAATTTGCTTAGGATGATGGCCTCCAACTGCATTCATGTTACCACAAAGGCCATAAAGAACACGTTTTTGTTTCTTTTTTATGGCTGGGTAGTATTCCATTCCATATATATATATATATATATATATATATATATATATATATATATAATTTGCTTTATTCAATCCACCACTGGTGAGCACCTAGGTTGATTCCATGTCTTTACTACTGTGAATAGTGCCACAATGAACATATGAGTGCATGTGTATTTTTAGTAGAACATTTTGTTTTATATATACCTGGTAATGGGATTGCTGGGTTGAGTAGTAATTTCATCTTAAGTTCTTTGAGTAATGTTCATAATGTTTTCCACAGTGGCTGAACTAATTTACATTCACGCCAACAGTGTGGGAATGTAAGCATTCCTTTTTCTCTGCAGCCTCTGCATCATCTGTTGCTTTTGACTTTTTAATAATAGCCATTCTGACTGGTGTGAGATGGTATTTTATTGTGGTTGAAATTTGCATTGTTCTGGTGGTTAGTGATGGAGAGCATTTTTTCACGTTTGTTGGTCACTTGTATGTCCTCTTTTGAGAAGTGTCTTTTGCCCAATTCTAATGGGGTTTTTATTTTTTGCTTGTCCAATTGTTTAAGTCCCTTATAGACTCTGGATATTAGATCTTTGCTGAAAGCATAGTTTGTAAATATTTTATCCCGTTTTGTAGGTTATCTGATTATTCTGTGGATAGTTTCTTTTGCTGTGCAGAAGCTCCTTAGTTTAATTACACAATACTTGTCCATTTTGGGTTTTGTTGCAATTGCTTTTGAGGACTAAGTCATAAATTCTTTCCCAAGGCTGATGTCTAGAATGACATTCCTAGGTTTATGTCTAGGATTCTTATAGTTTGAGGTTTCACATTTATATATTTATTCTATATCAAGGTAATTTTTGTATATAGTGAAAGTTAGGGGTCCAGTTTCATTTTTCTGCATATGGCTAGCCAGCTATCCCAGCACATTTTATTGAATAGGGAGTCCTTTCCCCATTGCTTAGTTTTGTTGACTTTGTCGAAGATCAGATGTCTGTAGGTTGCAGCTTTATTACTAGGCTCTCTATTCTGCTCCATTGGTGTATGTGCCTGTTATCATATCAGTACTGTGCCGTTTCAGTTACTGTGGCATTATAGTATAGTTTGATGTTGGGTAATGTGATGCCTAGGGTTTTATTCTTTTTGCTTAGGGTTTTGGCTCCTTTTGATTCTATATGAAATTTTATTCTTTTTGCTTAGGCTTGTTTTGGCTATTTTGGCTCCTTTCGATTCCATATGAAATTTGGAATAGTTTTTTCTAGTTATAAAAAATGGCATTGGTAGTTTGATTGCAATAGCGTTGAACCTGTAGATCACTTTCGGCAGTATGGCCATTTTAATGATATTGATTCTTCTAATCCCTGAGCATGGAATGTTTTTCCATGTGGTTGTGTCACCTGTGATTTCTTTCAGCATTGTTTTGTAGTTCTTCTTGCAGAAATGTTTCACTTCCTTGGTTAGATGTATTCCTTGGTATTTTAATTTTTTGTGTGGCTATTGTAAATAGGATTGAATTCTTGATTTGACTCTCAGCTTGAAAGGATAGAAATGCTACTGTTTTTTGAAAATCGATTTTTTTTTTTTTTAGATGGAGTCTCGCTCTTGTTGCCCAGGCTGGAGTGCAGTGGTGCAATCTCGGCTCACTGCAACCTCTGCCTCTCGGGTTCAAACAATTCTCCTGCCTCAGCCTCCTGAGTAGCTGGGACTACAGGTACTCACCACTATGCCAGGCTCATTTTTTTTATTTTTAGTAAAGACAGGGTTTTAACATCTTGGCTACGCTGGTCTTGAACTCCTGACCTCAGGTAATCCGCCAGCCTCGGCCTCCCAAAGTGCTGGTATTACAGGTGTGAGCCACCGCACCTGGCCTGAACATTAATTTTTGTATCCTGAAACTTATAAAATATGTTTCATTCATATCAATAATCACACTAATGTGTGATTAATTTTGTATAATCAAAATGAATTACTGTTTTTTCATACCTGGTACATATTCACTTGTGCTTTTGCTCAAAATGTCTTTGCTATTCCCTATGCCATCTTTTTAACCTATCAAAAACCTATCCCTAGTCATAGACACAAGGGAAATCCCAATTACTTTAGTAATCTATCCATCAGGATTCCCCCCACAACAACACAACTAGCAAAAACATGAAGACCTCCTCTTTGAAATAAGAAATATATGTGTAACTTATATTCCACATGATAGTGCTGCTATTCATAAACTCGTATTTGCCCCAACCCATTTGTGTTTCTTTGTATTTCCTATAGCTTTGGGCATTATTTCCAAAAGTAGGTACTGATTAACTTTTCATATGAGTAATTAAATTTTAAGTCAAACTTTCTGTCAAAATAGGATGTTGGCAACATTAGTTTATTAACTTGTAAATAATAAATTAATTAAACAAAAGAAAAAAATAAACAACAAAGTGCTTTGCTGACTAATAATATCAATTTATCAAAAAAATTCCATACATGAGCATCTACCAGATAGCTCTTGTGAAGGTCGTATTTAAGCTGAATTTCCCTCCTGATCAAATAAGCCTGTTATTTAGTTGTTGAAATGATCCAAGTATGTTTATAGTCTGTGTAATACAAAAAAATAAATACTTATACAATGCACATTTCAACAATAAAACTTATCAACTTTTTAGTTGAAACTTCTATTTAATTGATTCCATTTAACACTTAGCTGAACACCAAGTAAACACAGAGGCTGACACACAGTATGAAAGTAAGATAGCAACTGATGGAAATTAGTTGTAAACCTTATTTTCCAGAAGGAACAAAAACATAATTTCTGAGACTGCAACCCATTCCAATTAACAATTACATTACTGAAATCATTAAAAATAAACAGACTACCTAAATAAATGTAAAACCCTACTCTGATTGCAGTGAAGTTTAAAAACTTTATTGTAGTTGTTAGGGAAATTAAAAAATATGTACAGAACAAAATGCTTGATATATACCCAATGATTATATATTACTCACAATATGCAATTGTAGTGAAAGTATAATATGAAACTGATTATTTAAAAATAAAGGCAATGATGTGCATTACTTTCTAATATATATGTTATTTATTCTTTATGCTGGTGAATTTTCCACTATTAACATTAAATCTGTTATTTACATTAAATCTACATTTACATTAAATCTACCATAGTTTAATAATTTTAAAACTGCCTTTGAAAAAGATAATACAATTTACAGGCTTTTATCCTCACGATTATAATCAACTTTTGAAAAAAGTAGAGGTGTTTGAAAAATGTTTTGTAAAAGCAAATAGAATTAATTTCTTGGGCTAAGGATTACCCTGGAAAAGAAAACACACACACACACACATGCCCAGGCAGACACACACTCAAACACACACACACACCATAAAATCATACTCTCTTAAATTTCAAGTCAGGGGCATAGAAAAAAATATTTTTTTAATCACATTAGAAAATTGCTTTACTACATATTATGCACGAATAGTGTGTGTGTGTGTGTATGTATATACATATGTTATATATATAGTATAAAATTATTTTGCAACCATATAAATTGGAGTCTGAAACATGGCTTTCTGTGTCTTAAATTTTATCCATCCTTTTCGATATGCCCTGTCACTTATGCTCTTAGTGCAAGATTAATCACTGCTTTCTTGATAACACTCTAGCCTCATATAGACTCTTTGATTGCAGTCTCTCTTAAAAATATACTACTAGCTGGTCCTGAGTGACCTTTTAAAAGGACTATCCTTTTTTAAAGGACATGCATTTTATTACATTATTTCTCTGCTAAAAATACTCGAACAACTTTCTATTACATTTGCTAAAAATACTCGAACAACTTTCTATTACATTTGAGATAATATCTAAATATTTAGCCTGATATTCATAGTCATTTAGAGAGATATAGACACAAATATAGATGACTTATAGATAAAGGCATAGATGTCAATATAGATTGAGATACAGATAATCTTCCCTGTTTTCTTCTCTAGTCTTATTTTTCCCACTGTTACCTGATGTTAGTGTCACATGGAGCTGTTTACAATTCTCCCCCACAAGGGCATCATGTCCTCTTTGAACATGCTACTCTATTGCCTATAACACTTATCCTTACTAATTTTCTTCAATAAAAGTTGTACTTGATCCTTCAATGTGTTGTAGTTGTACCTCCTAAGCTTTATTTATCACTAAAAAATGGGGAAGGAGAAAATGAGAGAAAGGGGAAAGGGAAATGATGAAAGAAAAAGATGTAGCAAGCTATAACAATAGCTCTGAGATCTGCAATGAGATCTGCAAGCATCTTATTGGTTAGGCAAAAAAGACTTTTCTTTTACAGGGAGGAGTAAACAAGGCTAGAAAGAACGCTGGATGGAGGAGTGGGATGAGTAAAGGGGCATGATGGGACAGTAGATATGAATGTTTTTACCTGAGGCCCAGCCTATTCTCAGACGGGGTCATTAAAGAGGAATTGTGTGCTGGCTTAAGGTGAGAGCCAGTCAAAGTTTAGGGCCTTGAAGGAGAAGATAAATCTAATTAAACTTTGATTAACAAGCATTTGGTTCTAATTGATTAGTGGAGACAAAACAGTTCAACTCACTTATGAGGCAAGGAGGGAAAATTTGGAAAGCCTGTCTTGTTGAGCCTTGTCAAGATTTATTAAGAGAGCATCTATAAGTCTTCTAAATCATATGGTGAAGAGTGGGTGTTTGCAGTAAGCCCTTTTCTGAAACACAAACGATGGCAGGCCAAGTCTCACTAACAGCTGAACAGGCAGGCCTCTATGACAAGGGTTTCAGCAGTGACTGAGTGGTTAGGTTAAATATTAAAGATGGAAAGAGCCAGTGCCCCTATACAAAGGCTCGAATGTAACAAAAGCCCACCAGGAGTTTTGCCTAGACCTTTACTGGGCCTTGAAGCATGACAAGATAATGAAGGAATTCTTAACAGGACCTGTTTAAGATTAAACAAGTTTTATTGGGGATCTGAAGAAACCCTTCAGACTGCCCCCCTTAGCTGGAGATAAGATAAAGGTAATCACCTCCAGAACCAGGAACTATCTAGAATAAGCAAATTTACGGAAGTTCCGGAGGAAGGTATCCAGGATCCAGACCTTAGTTATAGATTAGAGAGAACCAATCACTTGTGTCTTCAGATGAATGCACGCTAACATGTAGCTATGTAGCTTAGAAGGTATATAAGCACTGAAAAGCTTTGTAATTTGGAGTTAGTCTGGCGAATTTTTCCTGGCCTTCTCCCTGTACCTGGTTACAAAAATAAACTCTCTTCCCTTCCACTTTGTCTAGATCTCATTATTGGACTGTGAGAACAAGCAGCCCAGCCTTCAGTTTGGTCCGAGAACAAGCCTGTTGGTGGGTTTCTTAATTGTCGCTATTTTCTAAGAGCACAGGGCTCAGATAAAATTCAATTTTGTCACACCCTACAACTCAACATGTTAAACTGTTGAGTTTTGAAATCAAACTCACTCTATTCTTCTTACCAATTAGTCTATCTCCAAACTGTGTGTCACTGTCCATCCAGTTGTTCAATCCAGAAGTCTGAGTTACCATTTGACTCTTCTTCCTACAGACAACTGCTCTTCGCCTATATACTATCTATTCTCCATCTTAAACATATTTCAAATTTTAAAATACTTTTCTACCTCAATAGCCACCTTTTTGTTCTAAACTATTATTTCTCACCAAACTACTATTGCAAACTCTAGTCTAGCTTTCCTTCATGTCATTCTCTCCATTGTAGGCAGATTATCTTTTAGAATGCAACTGATGTCCTGCACTACTGCACTGAAAATATTCCTTGCTTACCTTTGGTCTTCAGATACTAACCAAAACCTTTAACATGACCTCTAAAGCCGTACGTGAAATCTGAGCTTTGTTTCCTTCCAGAGCCTCCTCCCATTACTTTCCACATATGCTCGAACATCTCAACCTGATTTCCAGATCTTTATTTCCCGGACTCTTACCCTTTTCTTTATTTATTGTCAATTGTGATCCCACCTGCAACTGGTGAGTTAGCTATACTGAACTTCTTTCCATGTCCCATGTATATTGACCTGCCATTTCTCCATGTATTTACATGTAATATTCTCTACCTACAAGTGCAAAGCATTTCCATGTTCTCTGCCCCAGGATATCTCCCATTAACTATAATTTTTCTGTGACTATGGGAGAGTAAGTTTTGCCCGCTCATCACACCACTTGGTTCCCACTTTGTAGAGTGCATGACACATCATATGGGGTCTGAAAAATGCAATGAGTGATGAAAATTATTGAATAAAAGGTATAACTTATTAAAAGTGCAAAAATATATTAATAGCTATCTAGCTAGCTTCAAATGTTTCTATATATATATATAGGACAGTACTTATTGGAAGATTATAATTTTGAAATATAAACAAAGTAATTAATAGATGTTAAATGAGGTGAGCTAGTGATAGTTAAAGGACGCAGGCAAATTCCTAGGCAGACAAGGATGGGTTCCTGGTGAAATGCAACCTTCAAGCCAAGGACAACTAAGCTTCCAGCTCCAGATAAAATCCGTGGACCAGAGTGAGAACTCCTATTCCCATTTGCCTTGCTTTCTCCCGATTGGTCTTTTACTTTCACCTATTTTACGTATACCTACCCTCCTCTGACTAGCTCTATACACTATCTTGCCTCTTTCTGAATGGTGCTTTTTCCAAACCCACCCACAAACCAATCAGCACGCACTTCCCCATTCCAAGCTCATAAAAACCCCCGAACTCAGTCATGTGACTGGCAACCCACTTTTGGGTCCCCTCTCACTGCCAAAAGCTTTTTTGTAACTCAATAAATTCTACTCTGCCTTACTCACTCTCCAGTGCCCATGTACCACATTCTTCTCGGGTGTGGAACAAGAACTCAGAACTTACCGAACGACGGGAGTGAAAAAGCTGCAACACTAACTAGATCCTGCTGACATCCTCCCTACAGATACTTGATTTAGTGTATTATACTAAAATGATTGAGAAAAACATGGTTTGTGAACATACTTTATTTCAACTGTACACTAATTTAAAACTGCTTTTCTGAACCAGTCTGAGTATCTAATCACAGTTATAATATTACTTTTAACAAACAAACAAAAAAAAGAAAAATTACAGAGGGTTAAATCTGAGGCAAAACCAAAAAGTTCTGCCCTTTCTTCTTTCATCCTCAGTTTCTTTGTCTATTATTTAGATCATGGTGAATAGTTTCTATTGTATACAAAAGCTAGCCTTTCCTCTACACCTTTGACCTTTGTGCCAGTGGGGGATTGGAAGCCTTTAGGAAACTCACTTATGCCCAAAAAAAAGACATATGATGTTCAATAAGTAGGTGTGAATATCTTATTATATAAATAATTATTCACAGTAAATGAGTCACTTTAATTTTTGTTTTAAGTGATATTTTTTACAGACTTATTTTTGCCTTACATTGTAAGACATATGACTACATTATGCCTCTAAAATTGTAAATAAGAACACAATTTTTTTAACTAAAGTCTATTCCTAAGAAAGAAATTTATGAGTGAAACCTTATTTTATAGTTGATATTTTGTTTCTTATTAGGTGCAAATGTTTCCACAAAATATACTTAAGTTAAACAATTGTTAGCTAATATTGTAAGAAAGGGACAATTGTTAATGAAAGAGCAATTGTTAACCAGAAAATAATTTTATTATACTGGTTTCACTTTTATCTAAATCTTGAGTACATGAACATGCCCAATTAAAGCATAGATAATTTTAAATTAAAAGTGTTTTGAGATTTTTAGTTACAATGTTTGGCAATAATTATGTGGAATTTTATGGTTTTTTTAGGTGAATTCATTTGTACTGGTAACAATGCAAAGAAGAATTTTTTAGAATGTACACATAGAAGTGTATATTTGTTTTCTAGGCTGTAAGTAATTTTATCTTTTAAAAATTGAGATTTTTTTTGTATTCCATGCAACTATCTTAGAATCTATTTCTTATGGTTATTGTAGAAGTACACAAATATCTGGTAAAAACTCTGTTTATATTTTTCTGTTTTTTCATTAAAAGCTTATAGTATATTTAATACAAAATTTAAACAAAAATGTCAAATAGTACTAATGTGACTGAGTACCTCTTTTCCTAAAAATTGTTTTTCCATTTCCCTTCTTTTCCTGTTTTCCATGTGTGCTCACTGCTTACTTAGCCCCTTAGAGAAGTAATTGTGATCTTTGCTGTTTTTCACCAGATACCCCTTGCACTGCTAGCTTATCTATGTTTTCTTAGGAGTTCCAGAGATGGAGTCTTGAAACAATCCAGGTGTCTGTGAAATTCTACCCTACCATCAGAACACTTCAAGGCTGTGATTAATTTACACTCCAGTTGTGCCTGTGATGGTGTCAGCCCATTCACCAGATGTAGCAATAACTCAAGTCATAGGAACAAGTCATGTAGACTTGCACCACCTCACCCCCCATGCATACCCCAAATGCCGAGCTTCCCTTTTTAAACCTTCGCTTTCCGCCCCATATTTGAGGTGGTTCCATTAAGAAAAGAGCCTAAACCACTTCCCCATTACTAGCTTTAGACAATAAAGTCAGTTTCTTTCTACCTAACCTCATCCTTGTTATTCGACATTGCAAACAGTGAGCAGCTGAACTTGCCATTTGGTTACGTTAATGCTGTCTATAAACTGATATTGCTTTATTTACATTGTTTTCTTGGGTTTTTGAAAGCCTTGCAGAATAGCTCATCAAAAATCAAAAGGGAAAGGTGCATATTACCAGTAGGACTACGTGCATATTGAGTTTAAATTTACTGTGCTGGCCAGTAAACCTTTGTATACTTCATGAGAAAATAGTGTTAGCTGGATTTCTGATAGTTTTTGGTATTACAGCACTTCTTCAAATCCTTTGTACACTGCTTGCAAGAACCTAAAAAGAAAAGTTTGTTTATATGAGGTTTGTATCTGCCTCTTATTCTCTTTAAAATTGTGGTTAAATTGACAGAATTTGTAATAGGTTTTCACTAAATGGACAATACTTTTTCTAACACAAAATAAATATTAATATTTTAAAATTAATCATGAAACCAAGCTGAATACATTTATTTTATCTTTATTTCTTCTTCCTTCTGGTAATTATTTAATTTTTTTCTTTTTAAAATATCTTTGCAAGTTTAGTGCTTATAGAGGGCAAATATTAGCTTTCCCAAGATTCTCCTAACAACTTTTGGAAGTTTTTTGGTTTGCTTCATACATTTATAACCTTTTCTCATGCTGCATTTTCTGTGGTCTCCTTGACTCAGTTGAAAAAGCACTTGGACTTTTATACCTGCAAATTTTCAAGTTCCCGCTACCAGTTTAACGCTTTGAATTTTGAGAGTTGCCAATGAAAAAAAAAGTTTATAATTGACATTTGTTCTCCAGGGAAGTAATCTAAGAAGTAGAAATTTGAACTCACCTCTAAAAAAAAAAAGACTTCATTTCTATCTATCTTAACTTTTTTTTTTTGAGATGGAGTCTCGTTCTGTCGCCCAGGCTGGAGTGCAGTGGCGCGATCTCGGCTCACTGCAAGCTCCGCCTCCCGGGTTCACGCCATTCTCCTGCCTCAGCCTCCCTAGTAGCTGGTACTGCAGGCACCCGCTACCACGCCCAGCTAATTTTTTGTATTTTTAGTAGAGACGAGGTATCACCATGTTAGCCAGGATGGTCTCGATCTCCTGACCTCCTGATCCACCCGCCTTGGCCTCCCAAAGTGCTGCGATTACAGGCGTGAGCCACGGCACCCAGCCACTTTTAACAAACAAAATGACAGTGGCTGATGGTAGATCTGCAGAAGCCTATTTCAATCCCCAAACCTTGATGTTTTGTTGTCTTTTCATCATAATTGCTTACATTAGTCTCCATTGAATGTGCATTTAAATAATTTCACAGAATGTTAAGGAGATTAAAAGTTTTAATTTAATTTTAGATGGAGGAGCCTGTCAAAATCATAACATTTTATAAGAGCTCAAGCCTGTTATGTTCTCAATATTATTATTCTCAGCAGTGATAGCTATTATTTGTCTGACAATAAATATAATGAAGCCTCCTGTTTCAGTTTCGCCATGTAAAGGGTTTGAAAGTGTTCACAGCATGCTTACAGTAATAAGGATTTAGACAAAGTGAAAATCAATGAATTTTCTTAAACCCTAGAGAATTGAATTTGCACAGCAAACTGTTACCCTGATCTCTAGAGACACAGGCTAATATAGAGTCACAAATGAGATCAACTTCCCTAGAACAGAAACTGTTGGAATCATAAACTTGTAGAAAATATTAAGCAGTAATTTTAAAGCTAGAACCTGTGTGGACTAAAATAAAAGTGTGAAAACAACAGAGATTGCAGTCTTAGAAGGGTCCCACATTTTCATTGTTTAACCTGCAGGAATTGTGCCAGAGGGTGAAGAGATTAGAAAGATCTCACCAGGACTCCATTGCTCTGGTGGGGAGGGCGGTGGTAATGGTGGTAAAAGAGTAAACTTTATGGAATATATCCAGAGGATTTTATACAGCTAAGTTGTACTCTTAAGGGAAAAAAAGAGGTTCTACTGAAACCTTATCGAAGCTTGGGGGAAAACATTTCCCCTGCAAGTCCCTCTAGTCTTCCTGTCTCAACAAAGAGTGGGAGGAACAAAGAAACACTTGTGAAGGTTATAGCCCAGAAACACATGCCCACTAAAAGTCTGTGGTTTAATCGTAAGATTACAGACTGCTTCCCATCCTTCGTAGTTTACCCTCATGCCTCCAGGGCTCCAGTACAACAACAGGAGATTACAGCTAAGAGAGCTGAAAGTGCAGCCTCTATTGAAGGAGTTCTTAGGGAAACCTAAAGACAGCAAAGAAACCAAAACAAGGACACTAGAGGAATATTATTTAGCACTTATAGCTGCAAGATGTGTTAAAAACAGCTCAACTTCCTGCCATGAGAATAGCAAAGTTATACACACTGAAATTTTTAACAAAAATTACCGGTCATACTAAAAAGCAAAAAAAAATTATTCTAAAGAGACAAACTATTCAGGAAAAAAATTCAGATATGACACAATTGTTTTCATTATTAGACAGGGCTTTTAATAAACTATGAATAATACAGTATGGGATCTAATTTAAGACAATAGAGTGTAAGAACAAATGAATAATATAAACAGAGAAGTAAACAGTAAGAAATATAAAAAAAAATAAAATGCACTATAATAGAAATTAAGAATGTCTTTAGGCCAGGCGTGGTGGCTTATGCCTGTAATCCCAGCATTTTGGGGGGTTGAGGTGGGCGGATTATCTGAGGTCAGGAGTTCTAGAACAGCCTGGCCAACATGGTGAAACCCGTCTCTGTTAAAACCATAAAAACTAGCCAGGCTTAGTGGTGCACGCCACTTAGTCCCAGCTACTTGGGAGGCTGAGGAAGGAGATTTGCTTGAACCTTGGAGGCAGAGGTTGCAGTGAACCAAACACACTATTGCACTCTAGCCAGAGCAACAAGAGCGAAACTCCATCTAAAAAAAAAAAAAAAAAAAAAAAAGGCCGGGCACGGCGGCTCACGCCTGTAATCCCAGCACTTTGGGAGGCTGAGGCGGGTGGATCATGAGGTCAGGAGATGGAGACCATCCTGGCTAACACAGTGAAACCCCGTCTCTACTAAAAAATACAAAAAATTAGCCGAGCGTGGTGGCGGGTGCCTATAGTCCCAGCTACTCCAGAGGCTGAGGCAGGAGAATGGCGTGAACCCGGGAGGTGGAGCTTGCAGTGAGCAGAGATCGTGCCACTGCACTCCAGCCTGGGCGACAGACCGAGACTCCGTCTCAAAAAAAGAAAAAAAAAAAAAAAAAAGAAAACGCCTTTGATGGACTCATTAGTAGAGTTCACAGAGGGAATGAACTAAAAAGAATTAATGAGCTTGAAAGTACGTCACTTGAAACTTCCCAAACTGAAGAACATAAAGAAAATGATTTTAAAAAAAATTACACAGAATTTTTAAATAATAAGGAACAATTTCAAAAGATTTAACACTCAAAACCAAAAATAAAAGTAGGAAAAAAGTCTACATTTGACCACAACATATACATATTACAAAAAAAGACATTTTTGAAAGAAGTCAGAGAATTAAAACATCTAACCTGTATAGAATTACATAAGATATATACTTTCAGTGGATTTCTAATCACAGCCAAACAAATAAAAAGAGATTAAAGTGCAACTTTTAAAGTATGGAAAAAAAAAGTGTAGGCAAAACATTGTCTGAAATTCAATATCCAGTTAAAGGTGAAAAAAAAGAAAGAAAGAAAGAAAGAATTTCCAAAACGAACAAAAACAGAATTTATTTTCAACAGATCAGCCATGCAAGAAAGTTTAGACAAGTTTTTCAGGGAGAAGGAAAAGGATATGGTTAGAAACTCAGATTTTCTAACCACACTTGACTCAGGCAGGAACTGTGTCAGAGAAGAAAAAAAGGTAATTTAAACATTTTCATTAGCTTTAATTAAACTAAACGGTAACTATTTAAAGTAATAATGTATTGGATAATTACAATATATGAATAAGTGAAAAAAATGACAGCAACACCATGAAGAAAGAATTGGAGAAGTTGAGAATTATTTTTTATATTTGCACAACACATGAAGTGGTAGAGAGTTATTTCAAAGTGGACTTAGATCAGTTGAAAATGTATATTGGAAAACTCCGGGGTAACCTATGAAATATTTCTAAAAACCGTAATTGATGTGCTAAAATGAAATCATAAAATATTTGCTTTTAAAAACAGAGAAGGCAGAAAAAAAGGGGAAAACAAACAAAAAAGCAAATAGAAAACCTTTATAAATATGTTGTATATGAATCCAACTATATCAATAATTTAAGTGTGAATATCTAGATAAATAGATAAAAGTATAAAATACAACTATTTGTTGTATATTGTAAATTTCCTAAATATAAACAATCAGGTAGGTTAGAAGTAAATGGATGGAGAAATATATACCACATTAACACAAATCTAAAGAAAGCTATAGTAGGTATATGCACTTCAGAAAAAGGAAAAATAGAGACAAAGAGGAGCATTACATAATGGTAACAGGGTCAATTCTCCAAGAAGGCATGATAACCCAAAAGCTGTATATATCTAACAGCAGAATCGTAAAATATGTGAGGCAAAGACTGATACAAATATAAACAATTCTTTTAAAATTAGCAAATTGATTTCAGCAATGTACAAAATAAGTATACCTGATATCTAAGTGAGATTTATTCTAGATGTGTCAGGCTTATTAAACGTCTTGAGATGATCATTGCAACCCACCGCATCAAAAAACAACAACCAAAGAAAAATCATACAATCACATCAAATGATGAAGAAAGTATATCTGACAAAACCAAACACCAAGTAAAAATAGAGGGAAACTTCCTTAACCTGATAAAAACACATCAGTTAAAAAAACAACCCTACAGCTAACCTACTTAATGATGTGAAACTGGACATTTTTCCCTACATTCAAAAACAAGGCAAGGATGTCCTCTTTCTCCACTCAATACATTGTACTAGAAAGTCCTTGGTACTGTAGACTTAAAAAAAATTTATTCAAACTTGAAGGAAAGTGATAAACTGTTTGCACATGATATTATCTATGTGGAAAACACTGAAAAAATATAAAAGTCCTATAAATGAGCTAAAAACATATGTCCATGGAAAACCCTCCCATGAATGTTTCCAAGAGCTTTGTTTATAATTGCCAAAACTTGTAAGCAACCAAAATGCTCTTCAGTAGGTGAATGGATAAACTGTGGTACATTCAGTCAATGATATATTATTTAGTGCTAAAAAGAAATGAACTATCAAGTCATGAATAGACAGGGAGGAACCCTAAATTCATATTACCAGGTGAAAGAAATCAATCTGAAAAGAAGTACACACAGTGGGATCGCAACTATATGACATTTGGCAAAGGCAAAACTATGGAGTGAGTAAAAATATTAGTGGTTGTCAGGGATTGGGGCATGGAGAGATGAATAAGCAGAAGATAGAGAATTTTTAAGTCAGTGAAAATAAACTATATGAAACCATAATGATAAGTGCATGCACATTTGTTCAACTCTATAGAATGTTAAACATCCGCAATGAACCTTAATATGAACTAAGGGTCAAAGTCATCCAAAACAAGAAAATTCCGAGAAACTGTCACAGCCAATAGCAGCCTATGGAGACATGACTACGAAATGTTATGTGGTATTCTGATCAGAGCTCTGGAACAGAAAAAGGACATCAGGTAAAACTAAAAAATCTAAATAAAGTATGTTTTTTAGATGATAACATTATTATCAATAATTGTTTTAATAATTTTAACAAATGTACTATACCAGTATAATATATTAATAATGGGGAAAACTGGGTGCTGGTTTATGGAAAATCTCTATTTTTAAAAGTGATGTAAAGTTTTATTTCTCTCTCACATAGAAACAAGTTGGAGGTAGCAGTTCAGGGCTATCAGAGGCCCCAGACTGTCATCTTCCACTCTCCTACACATGACTTTCATCCTGTAGCTCCCCTCATTCTCTGGTGTGGCTCCCGGGGCTCCAACTCTCATGTCTGAGTCATTTGTTGGCCTAAGGAGGAAAGGCACAGGTAAAGACCCAGGTAAAGAGGAGGCCTTCCCTGCTGCACCAGCTCTCTTTAAGCAACATTCCCTGAAGTTCCATGAAACACTTTTAGTTATCTCTTGCTAGTCATATGCCCACACCCAGCTGCCAAGGAGGCTGAGAAATGCAGACTTTTAGCCCCAGGTACAATATATACAATTAAAAACAAGGGTTCTAGGCCAGGTGTGGTGGCTCATGCCTGTCATCCCCATGCTTTGGGAGGCTGAGGTGAGCAGATCACCTGAGGTTGGGACCAGCCTAACCAACATGGAGAAACCCCATTTCTACTAAAAATACAAAATTAGCCGGGTGTAGTGGCACATCCCTGTAATCCCAGCTACTAGGGAGGCTGAGGCAGGAGAATTGCTTGAACCTGTGAGGTGGAGGTTGTGGTCAGTCGAGATCAGGCCGTTGCACTCCAGCCTGGGCAACAAGAGTGAAACTCCATCTACGAAAAACAAAAACAAAAACAAAAACAAACAAACAAAAAACCAAAACTGAAAAAACAAAACAAGTGTTCTTTACTAAGGAGAAAAAAGAGACTAGTTGTTGTGGATATGGCAGCAATGGCAGCAAGTAGTATTTTGAAAGTAGTGAAATTGATTGTGGAACTTTGTGAAGTGACCTCCTTCCTATCAGTGAATGCACTTTCTTCACACAGATAATTCCCTCCTTTTATGTAAAATGTATTTATAAAATGAAAGGTTAGATGGAGAATAAGGTGTCTTCCTAACAGCTGCTCTGAAAAAGAGTGATTTGGGACAAGTCAAATTATTATATATAAACATTCTATGTTATAATTAACTAGTCATTTTTTGTATTGTAGCAGTTCCATTACTTAGACACACAAAAAAAGGCAACGTATTTTTGTAGTGCTTTGAATACAGCTGTGTGAGCCATCATCTTTTGGGAAACTTTTTAAGATGCTGAATGTATTTGCTTAGCTATGAAAATGATTACACTTCTAAGACAAAGAAGATCAAAGAACAGCAAACATGGGTACTGTTGCGGATTTCTAAACAAAAGAGCAGATCTCAAATAAGCATTAAAAAATCAGCATGTTTCATATTAAAAAGTGAAAAATATACTATTTCTATAAACCCATCAAATAACAATAACTAAGAGGGGAAAACAAACAGTATTAACTGGATATTTATTATTGTGATGCTATCCGTAACTACCTGGGATATTATTTTTAATGACTATATGTACATGTTTTAGGTTTATATTAATATGTGTATCTTATGTTTACATGCATGATTATATGTTTGATATAAGTATGTGTATATATACACACACATACAGAAGACAATGTATAATTCAATGAGTTTTGAATATATTACCTGGCAACAGTGGGTGTCTGTTTTGAGATGTGACAGAATTTCTCAAATTTAGGACCTGGGAAACTTCAGAAGTCATAATTAGAGCTAAAAATTTTTGCAAGTCTTAGTGATTCTCATTATTACAATAGCTAAAGGCTGGGATTACAGAGGTCGCTGGTTTTGAGAAGCTAAGTCAGAGAACTTTAGTGCAGGATCCAGATGACATAGTTAGGCAATAACAATGATGAAATTAGAATTCAGGCTTCCTGACTTCAGAGGTAGTATTCCCTATATTATATTATTAAGGTATTAGACCACTTTGGGAGCCCGTGTTTTAGATGTGTATACAGAGCATTCACAGGATTGGTCATAATTTGGGTCTACTGAAAAATACCGAATGAAGCAGGCACTAATTCCACTGCTCAGATTTGATACTGCAGACATTCGTTTCAACACTAGAAGGTGTTTTGCGGTGAATGTCAAGCCTTTTGTTTTATAAGCAGGATCTCAAAACAATCTTAAGTAGCATGTTTACTTCATGAACGCAGGTCTTAGGACCTTCATCTAGTAGCACATCTAGGAGGGCACTGCCATTTCATTTAGTTAAGTTTTACAAATACTAACTTTTAACAATGTTTAATCAGCCTAATATTTCTGATCTTGTCTGTCCGTAGGTATTAGGGTTTTCCAGAGAAAAAGAATGAATGGGATAAATATTTATATTTATATATATATTTGTATATTATATTTTTATATATGTCACGTTTTATTATATATTACATCTATCTTTTTATATGTGTGTGTACGTGTGTATGTAAGAGAGGTCACTGGCAAGTCCAGAATCCACAGGACTTGCTACCAGCAGACTGGAAACTCAGGAAACAGTTGATGTTGTAGTCTTGAGTCCAAACTATTCTTCTGGAAACCTCAAACTTTGCTCTTAAGGTCTTTAAGAGATTGAGTGAGATATACGTACATAATGGAGAGTAATCTGCTTTACTATCTGCTAATCTAAAAGTCGATCATATTTTTAAAATATACCATCACAGGCAGCAATATCTGGACGACTGTTTGACCAAACATGCTGCCACCATACTCTAGCCAAGTTGGTATATAACATTGATCAATACACCTTCTGTGCCAGATTGTCTTTCAATCTTTCAGTTTCTTGTGTAATAGAATTATATATCCACATATTTTGTCATGTGACTCTCAGTGTTTCTTGGTTTATCATACAAAGATGTAAACACAAGTAGTTTTTTTGAGGGATGATATATAAAAACATTAAGTGATGTGTGGAGAGCTGACAAGGGAATTAGAAGCAAGTCAATTAAGATGTGTTATTAAGCTAATTATTATCATGGGAAACTAGAGCTCACTCTACTCCAGTTGTTTGGCATCATTGTATGCCAAGAATCTTACTTCCAAATGAGGATAGAGGGTTATTTATAAATAACCAAGTAGTTATTATTTATTAATAAAAATTTGTAAGCTAACTTCCATATGCAATTGTTTGAGGGTCTACTCTCAAGGTACTGGGCGGCAGTCCTTAAATCTGTTCTGCTTTGTGTATGAGAAGAGCATAGACCAATGATCAAAAGCATCTCTGGAGACAGAGAGCACAGGGGTAGCCAATAAGCAGCCAATGGAGAATTCTAAGATAATATGGATATGACACGAAAGCTACTGATATGGTCCACTTCTTATACTGTTTAGATCTGCAGGTGATGTATAGTAAGTCCCTCTGTCCTGTCACTGGTGGGAACCAATCACAACTAGGACCAATCACAAAGAGTCCTAAGGCAGTCATTCCTTGTTCTATTAAGCTACTACTAGTGAGGTGCTATCTCCTTATTCTGTTGCTTATTTTAAAATCTCCTTACATTCTTCCAGCACTTGTACTCTTCTAGGTTGTCTGCCCAATAAGATAAAGGGGTCTTCATCTGTGAATGTCTAAATCATGCATACTTGCACAATTGCTTATTCACAATACCTAAGAAGATATCCTAGTGATTCCTCTGGATTCCAGGCATGTTCCTCCCAATCCAATCTCCTCATAAAAATTCAGAAGAATCACCCCTGTAACTGTAGTCCTGTTTTTTTTCCTTCTTGCATGAGAAACAAAAAAATGACCAGACAGCAGCCACAGTGTTAAAGTCAAAGAAACTTCACTCTGTCTCCTCATATTCTTCAATGACCCATATCCCAAATCTTTAGTCTAGCAGAGCCTAAATTTGCAAAACTAGACGAGCATATCTCAAAGCTGGTTCTTAGGTGACATTTTTGACAGTCAGTGCACATCTCAATTCCAAAGGTCTTTGAAAAATGGGGTGTTCAACTTTACTCAATGCAAATTTACTCAGTAACTAAATAGTAGTCATTTTAAGAGAGAACTGCAGTAATGATTACTGTCTGTATTTGCCAAATGGTTGCTGTCTCCTTCTTCAAGTGAACATAATTTCCCATTCACAATATGGTCTCTATGTCTCAGAAATGACTTTGATCTACAAACTGGATGAGGGATTATGGTATTCAAGTGTGGTGGAAGAAAGCATGCTTCTCACTCACTTTTGAACTTTTTTCTCGTTGCTGTTGTCATTGGACATGTCAAGCAATATTAGTGACTCCATATTTATCTAGCTTCTAGGAACTCCATGTTCTATCAGCCATAACCAATGATCCCTGGTTGCCTTTTTAGCTTTGTTACTCTCTATGTACACTTACATATTTGGAATATATAAATTACTTTATATCTCAGTAATTAAAACTTCCAAATTTTAAAAGTGGCTAAAGAATTGGAATAAACATTTCTCTAAAGAATGTATAGAAATGGCCAGTAAACACAAACAAAGGTGTTTGACGTCATCAGTCTCAGAGGAATGCAAACAAAACCCACAATGAGATAGCACTTCACTCCTACTAGGATAGCTAGAATCAAAAGCCAAATTAAAAAGATTTTAAGCAAGGATGTGGCAAAATTAAAACCCTCATACACTGCTGGTGAGACTGTAAAATAGTACAGCTGCCTTGGAAAACATTATAACTGTTTCTCAAATGATTAAATATAGAGTTATTATAGACCCTGACAAATGCACTACTAATATATAAACCAAAAAATGGGAAACCTATGCCTACATAAAAAAATTACATAAATGTTTACAAAAGCTGCTAAGAGGCACCCAGACTGCCTCCTTAAGTGGGTCCCTGACCCCATGCCTCCTGACTGGGTCAGACCTCCCAAGAGAGGTTGCCAGACACCTCATAAAGGACAGTTCCAGCTGGTATGAGGTTGGTACCCCTCTGGGATAAAGCTTCCAAAAAGGGTGACAGGCAGCAATATTTGCTGTTCTCTAGCCTACATTGGCGATACCCAGGCAAGCAGGGTCTGGAGTGGACCCCCAGCAAACAGTAACAGACCTGCAGAAGAGGGTCTTGACTGTTAGAAGAAAATCAAACAAACACAAAACCACAACAACAAAATCAACAAAAAAGACCACAAAAACTGTATCCAAAGGTCAACGGCCTCAAAGATTAAAGGTAGATAAAGCCACAGAGTGAAGAAAAAAACACTGAAAATTCCATAAACCAGAATGCCTCTTTTCCTCCAAATGATTGCAATGCCTCTCCAACAAGGGCACAGAACTGGGCTGATGCTGAGATGGATGAAGTGACAGAAATAAGCTTCAGAAAGTGGGTAATAACAAACTTCGCTGAGCTAAAGGACTGTGTTCTAACCCAATGCAAAAAATCTAAGTACCATGATAAAAGATTACAGCAGCTGTTAATCAGAATAGCCAGTTTAGAGAGGCACATAAATGACCTGATGAAGCTCAAAAACACAACACAAGATCTTCACAATGCAACTGTAAGTATCAATAGCTGAATCAACCAAATGGAAGAAAGACTATCAGAACTTGAAGACTCTCTTGCTGAAATAAGGCAGGCTGACAAGTACACACACTAACAACACTATGAAGCAACTTCATTAACAAGTCTGCAAAATCAACCAGCTGGCCTCATGATGATAGGATCAAATTCACACATAACATTATTAATCCTAAATGTAAATGGGCCAAATGCCTCAATTAAAAAACACAGAATGGCAAGCTGGATAAAAAAGACAAAACCCATTGGTGTGCTGTATTCAAGAGACCTATCTCACTTGCAATGACACACTCATAGCTCAAAATAAATAAATGGAGGAAAATTTACCAAGCAAATGAAAAGCAGAAAGAAACCAGGTTGCAATCCTACTTTCTGACAAAATAGACCTTAAACCAAAAAAGGTCAAAAAAGACAAAGAAGGGCATTACATAATGGTAAAGGATTCAATTCAGCAAGAAGACCTAACTATTTTAAATATGCATGCACCCAATACAGGAGCACCCAGATTCAAAAAAAAAAGTTCTTAAAGACCTACAAAGAGAGTTAGATCCCCACACAGTAATAGTGAGTAACTTTAATACTCCAATGTCAGTATTAGACAGATCATCGAGACAGAAAGTTAACAAAGATATTCAGGACTTGAACTCAGCTCTGGACCAAGTGGACCTGAAAGATATTTACAGAACTCTCCACCCCAAATCAACAGAATATACATTTTTCTTGGTGCCACATTGCTTTTCCTCTAAAATTGATCATATAATTAGAAGTAAAACATTCCTTAGCAAATAGAAAAATAAACTGAAATAATAACAAACAGTCTCTCAGACTACAGCACAATCAAATTAGAGCTCAAGATTTAAAAACCCACTCAAAACGACACAAATACATGAAAATTGAAAAACCTGCTCCTGAATGACTTCTGGGTAAATAAAATTAAGGCAGAAAGAACTCAAAAAAGTTCTTTGAAACTAATAATAACAAGGAGAAAACATACCAGAATCTCTGGGACACAGCTAATGCATTGTTAAGAGGGAGATTTATAGCACTAAATGCCCACATCAAAAAGCTAGAAAAATCTCAAATTGACACCCTAATATCACAACTAAAAGAACTAGAGAACCAAGAGCAAACAAACCACAGAGCTGGCAGAAGACAAGAAATAACAAAGCTCAGAGTGTAGCTGAAGGAGATAGAGACATTAAAAACCCTTCAAAAAATTAACAAATTCAGGAGCTGTTTTTTTGAAAAAAAAAATAAAATAAAATAGACTGCTAGCTAGACTAATAAAGAAGAAAATAGAGAAGATTCAAGTAAACACAATCAGAAATGATAAGGGGGATACTACCACTGACCCCACAGAAATACAGACAACTATCAGAGAATCCTATATACACCTCCATGAAAATAAACTGGAAAATCTAGAAGAAATTGATAAATTCCTGGGCACATACACCCTCCCAAGACTGAACCAGGAAGAAGTTGAAACCCTGAATAGACCAATAATAAGTTCGGAAGTTGAGGCAGTAATAAATGGTCTACCAACCGAAAAAAAAAAAAAAAAAAAGCCCAACACCAGATGGATTTATAGCTGAATTCTACCACAGGTATGAAGAGGATCTGGTACCACTTCTGATGCTATTTGAAACAACTGAAGAGAAGGGATTCCTTCCTAACTCATTTTATGAGACCAGTATCATCTCATACCAAAACCCCAGCAGAGATATAACATAGAAAGAAAACTTCAGACTAGTATCCCTGATGAACATCAATGTGAAAATCATCAATAAAATACTGGCAAACTGAATTCAGCAGCATATCACAAAGCTTATCCACCACAATCAAGTTGGCTTCATCCTTGGGATGCAAGGCTGGTTCAACATATATGAATCAATACACATAATTCATCACATAAATAGAAATAAAGACAAAAAACACATGATTATCTCAATAGAGTGGAAAAGTCTTTGATAAAATTCAACATCCCTTCATGTTAAAAAGTCTCAATAAACTAGGAATTGAAGGAACATATCTCAAAATAATAAGAGCCATTTATGACAAACACACAGCCAATATCATACTGAATGGGCAAAAGCTGGAAGCATTCCCTTTGAAATCTTGCACAAGACAAGGATGCTCTCTCTCACCACTCTCACTCACAGTACTGGAAGTTCTGGCCAGGGCAATCAGGCAAGAGAAATAAACAAATGGTATTCAAATAGAAAGACAGGAAGTCAAATGGACTTTGTTTGCAGATGACATGATCCCATATCTAGAAAACCCCATCAACTTAGCCCAAAAGATTCCTAAGCCAATAACCAACTTCAGCAAAGTCTCAGGATACAAAATCAATGTGCAGAAATCACAGGCGTTCCTATACACCAACAACATGCAAGGCAAGTGCCAAATCAAGAATGAACTCATGGCTGGGCGTGGTGGCTCATGCCTGTAATCCCAGCACTTTGGGAGGCCAAAGTGGGTGGATCACCTGAGGTTAGGAGTTTGAGACCAGCCTGGCCAACATGGTGAAACCCCGTCTCTACTCAAAATACAAAAAATTAGCCAGGCGTGGTGGTGCACACCTGTAATCTCAACTACTCAGAAGGCTGGGACAGGAGAATTGCCTGAATCTGGGAGGCAGAGGTTGCAGTGAGCTGAGATCATGCCGCTGCGCTCCAACCTGGGCAACAAGAGCAAAACTTTGTCTCAAAAAAAAAAAAAAAGTTATGAACTCACATTCACAATTATCACAAAGAGAATAAAATACCTAGAAATACAGCTAACAAGGGAAGTGAAGGACCTCTTCAAGAAGAACTATAAACCTCTACTCAAGGAAATCAGAGAAGATACAAGCAGATGGAAAAACTTCCATGCTCATAGATAGGAAGAATCAATATTATGAAAATGGCCGTACTGCCCAAAGTAAATTATAGATTCAGTACTATCACCATTAAACTATGTATGACATTCTTCACAGAATTTGAAAAAAATTATATTAAAATTCATATGGAAGCAAAAAAGAGCTCATATAGCCAGGACAATCCTAAGCAAAACAACAAAGGTGGAGGAATTATGCTACCTGACTTCAAACTGTATTGCAAGGGTACAATAACAAAAACAGCATAGTACTGGTACGAAAACAGCAGATAGATGAATGGAATAGACTAGAAAACTAAGAAAGAACACTTAACATCTATAACCATCTGATCTTCAACAAACCTGGCAAAAACAAACATTGGGGAGAGGATTCCCTACTTAACAAATGGTGCTAGTAGAACTGGCTAGCCATATGCAGATAATTGAAACTGGACCTCTTCCTTACACCTTATACAAAAATGAACTCAAGATGGATTAAAGACTTAAATGTAAAACCCCAAATTATAAAAACCCAAGAAGAAAATTTAGGCAATACCATTCAGGACATAGGCATGGGCAAAGACTATATGATGAAATCGCCAAAAGCAATTGCAACAAAAGGAAAAATTGACAAATGGGATCTAATTAAACTAAAGAGGTTCTGCTCAGCAAAACTATCTCATCAAAGCAAACAGACAGCTTACAGAATGGGAGAAAATTTTTGCAATCTATTCATCTGACAAAGGTCTAATATCTAGAATCTACAAAGAACTTAAACAAATTTACAAGAAAAAACAAACAACCCCATTCAAAGTGAGCAAAGGACATGAACATACACTTCTAAAAGAAGATATTTATGCGGTCAACAAACATATGAAGAAAAGCTCAATATTACTGATCATTAGAGGAATGCAAAACAAAGCCTCAATGAGATATCATCCCAGGTCAGGCATTATGGTGATTATTAATAAAGTTAAGAAACAACAGATGCTGGCAAGGTTGCAGAACAATAGGAACAATTTTACACTGTGGGAATGTAAATTAGTCCAACCATTGTGGAAGACAACATGGCAATTCCTCAAAGAATTAGAACTGGAAATACCATTTGACCCAGCAATATCATTACTGGTTATATACCCAGGGGAATATAAATCATCCTATTACAAAGATACATGCACACATATGTTCTTTGCAGCACTATTCACAATAGCAAAGACAAGGAATCAACCCAAATAATGCCTATCGATGATAGGATGGATAAAGAAAATGTGGTACATATGCACTATGGACTACTATGTAGCCATAAAAAGAAATGAGATCATGTCGTTTTCAGGGACATAGATGAAGCCGGAAGTCATTATCCTCAGCAGACTAACGTAGGAACAGAATACAAAATACTGCATGTTCTCACTTATAAGTGAACCTGAACAATGAGAACACATGGACACAGGGAGGGGAACAACACACACTGGGGCCTGTTAGGGGAGGGCAGGGGCCAGAGAGCATTAGGAAAAAGAGCTAATGCATGCTGGGCTTAATACCTATGTGATGGGTTGATAGGTGCAGCAAACCACCATAGCATGCATTTACCTATGTAACAAACCTGCACATCCTGCACATGCACCCAGAAATTAAAAAATAAAAAAACAAACTGCCTCATCTCTCTTGGATGTTTTATTTTGTGGGGTTTTTGTGTTTGGTATTATTATTCTTTTTTTTCTTTTTATATTTCCGTTTTGGAAGTTTCCATTGATCTGTTTTTAATCTCATTGACTCTTCCTTGGTCATGTCCAGTTGCCCGATGCCCACTTTGAAGGCTTTCTTCATTGCTGTAACTAGATTTTTTATTTCTATCATTTCCTTTTGATTTTTTCTTAGAGTTCTATTTCTCTGCTTACATTATTTGTCTGTTCCTGAGACATTACCTTGTTATTCATGGCTATATTAGATTATTTGATAATTCCAACATTAGTGTCATGTCTGAGTGTGGTCCTGATATTAGCCTCTGCCTCTTGCATTTTCCTTGCTTTTTAACATGTCTTATATATTTTTTGTTGTTGAAATCAAGTTATGATTTATTAGGTAATAGGATGTGAGTTAATTTCAAGACACCGTTTTTAACTGTTTTTTAAAATCTATCCTATTTGGAACTTTAACATAATATGTCATCTTATTTTCAAGTTTTTTTTTTTATTTCTTAGGAATGTTTATTTCTGTATCTGTTTTCTGTCTCTGTCTTGGACACTTATAAAAGAGCTTTTCATTATATCTACTTGTTTCTTAAATGTTATCATTTATTTGATGTTTCTCATAACTTTATCAGTTGTTGACTCCTTCTGGTAAAATTTTATATTTGTTGGCTATTCTATTTATCCAACCTCTTGAATTCTTTATTTTTCATGTAGTTTAATCACATTATTCCCATTTGATTCAGGAGAACTTCTATTATCTTTTTTCTCTTTGAGATGAAAGACAGCCCTTAGTTTTATCCTTCTTGGTTACACTAGAAAGAAAGAGGAGTTGGCTGGGCACGGTGGCTCACCCGCCTGTAATCCCAGCTACTGGGGAGGTTGAGGTTGGAGGATCACCTGAACCCGGGAGGTAGAGGTTGCAGTGAGCTGAAATAGCACCACTGCACTCCAGCCTGGGCGACCGAGTGAGACTCCATCTCAAATAAAAAGGAAAGAAAGACGAGTTGAATGAACTCCAAGGTAGAGTATTTCCATGTCAGTCCCAATGAGATGAATTGCCTCTTTGAAACCACCAGCCAAATTCATCTGGCCATTATTATTTATCCTCTGAATAATTACGGAGAACTCAGTGGAAGCCACGTTTCTTCCATATGTGGACAACTCTGTGAAGTACTCCTCTAAAACATTCTCAATTATAGATCATACCTTTTTCACACTGGCTGTAATTTCCCCCTTATAGAGATAAAATTCTCCTCTCTTTCAGCAGTTCCTTATCTCAATTAAGTATCAACTTTTCAGACTCATATACCTCTATCTTACTTCTGTTCATAGCCATTTTTGTGTAGCCTGGCCTAATTTTTCATCTTTCTGGGTAATCAGATAATTTAACCACTGATTCTTTATAAATCTACTTGCATAATTTTTATATTCAAATTGAAAGCAATTCACAAAGCAGATGATAAAATCTTATAATAATATTTAAAATATTCAAATACAAACATGAGTCCTTCAACTTGAAGGGAAAAAAGTTTAGTATACAATATATTTTTAACTGATAGAAAAATCTTAGCTATAAAATTAAAAACATATTCATATATTCTAAGTAAAACATCAAATATTAAACAGAAATTTAAAAAAATCAAATTTGGAATGTCCCTATTGCTTAACATATTGCCATTTAAAATTTTTAAAAAATCCTCCTAGCTATTATATTATCAACATGATCAATTTTAAATGAAATAAAAAATAGCGTAGTTGGAAGAGGATTAGATATGTTTAAAAGCAATGATGTTCTTTTTGTGATTTTATTTCAGGTAATTTTATCTTCTCAGATTGTGACTGTATTAAAGTATAATATGTCAGTTTCACACAAATCTTGTGAGTGAGCCACAGTAAAACGTGACTGTGATGCACAACAGATGGTAATATAATGGCTTGTTTAATTATTTCCATTGAGTACAAGTTTTTAAAATGTAAATTAGTCACAGAGAAGAATAAAAATCAAACAAAACTATTTCAGAAAGAAAACTGATATTGTTTATTAGGTAAGTCAATTTAGCTTTTAAAATGGGCAAAATTATTAATTATTAATTGCTTCAATCTGAGGAAAATAAGTAATCAAAAAGAGTAATGTAAAATCCACTTTAGTGCAGATATTACCTTCCATCCAAATTTGGGGAAAATACAGTTAGAAAATCATTGAATACACAAAGTTAAATAAATAATTCTCAAATAATTTGAATATGTAATTTTTAACAAATCTCTATTAGCAGATTATTTTGATAGATGTATTAAAGAGTGAATTTATAATTGAGAGTAACACAAACATTTAATTGGTATAGCTTCTGGTGAATATAGAATACAGAAATCTAAAATTATTTTAAATTGATTATTGCAGTAAGTTTCTGCAAGATACAATAAAAAAATAAAAATTTTGCCCTTTATTTAAATATATACAAATATTTTCCAATATTATTTAAATAATTACATTGACATAGCTATATTACATTCTCATATATTCTTTAATTTTTTAACTTTTAATGTTTTAATTGCAAATTGAAAATTTATAGTTTTATATATTTAGATGGTACAGAGTGATGTTATTATTTATGAATATAAATTGGAATAATTAAATCTACATAATTGACATATCCATCAGTTACAATTATTTTTATTCATGATTTTCTGTCCATGTGTTATAAGTTTTAGAAAACATATACTATTTCAGAGAATGAAAACATAGGTGGGCACCGTATTTTGGTCTCTTGCATGAACATTAAAGGCATTAAAGAAGGGCAGAAAATTGCATATTTGAATGAGGACGCAGTTTAACCTAAGTATGATAGGCATATTACTAAGCACTTTTCATATGCGAACTCATTTAATCTTCATTACCTGACTGAGAAATTTATCTTATTTTCTTCTTACAGAGATAGCACTAAGACTCAGATGGATTGAATATTTCACTTTATGCAAATGGCAGAAAAATATGATAATCAGAATTTATGATAAATGATTCAGTCAACAGGTTTTTACAAGAAGACATTCTAGAGAAACGAGTGAGTCTGCTGAAGCTGGGGAAATATTCAAATAGAAAAAAAGTGTTTGATTTAGAGATTATTTTGTGAAGTCAAACTTCTGTAAATTTTTTTTTTTTTTTTTTTTTTTTGAGACGGAGTCTCGCTGTCTCGCCCAGGCTGGAGTGCAGTGGCGCGATCTCAGCTCACGGCAAGCTCTACCTCCCTGGTTGACTCCATTCTCCTGCCTCAGCCTCCTGAGTAGCTGGGACTACAGGCACCCGCCACCAAGCCTGGCTAATTTTTTTGTATTTTTAGTAGAGACGGGGTTTCACCATGTCAGCCAGGATGATCTTGATCTCCTGACCTCGTGATCCACCCACCCCGGGCTCCCAAAGTGCTGGGATTACAGGCGTGAGCCACCGCACCCGGCCTCTGTAAATTTTTTTTATAAGATGCCTGCTTCTCTGAATCCAGACTTTGAAAACAATTTACATGAAAATCATGAATCTTTATTATTGACTTCTTACAAATCTCCCCTTTAAAAATAAATAATAAAGGATTTCTTATTCTTCATCTTTTTCTGCTGGAAAATATATAAAATTTAAATATTGAATAAATATATGTAAAAAAATGGTAATTCAAATATCTTCCAAAGTAAGTGCATTAGCACTTGGTTATCCACATAGGGGAGTACATGTAGGACATTAATTTTCCACCTCATAATAATCAAAATAAGAGGGCATTAATCGTGAGCCCAGCTCCCCTTGAATTTTAATAAATTCTATAATATTTCTATAAGATAAATTTACTTAATAGAGCAATAGGCTAAATTATCAGAAGCCCTTTTTTGTAAGGTGACAGTAATAAAAATGCAACTTGAAATCTTGACCTTTGAATTTTAGTTGATTTGTCACAATGTTAGTCACAGATGCTGACTGAAGAACCAATTTGGAATGTAAACTTCATGAACCTAGAAGTTTTATCTTTTGACAAAGGATTATAAGGAATAAAAGGTGCAAAATTATCATAGTGAAGCATACAAAAATATATTGTCTATTTAGTGTAACATAATGAGTAGTCAATACATTTTTATTCTTTTTATATTTTTATTATTGTAATATAGGTGGTATACTATACAAACAATCTCACAAAACTGAAGCTTGGGTTACCATGATGTGGGTAAACCATTTACTTTTTCTAAATCGAATTGAATATTAACAGTGAGGTCAACCTAGAACTCAATGCACTGAATATCTGTATAATGAAGCAATAAGTAAACCAAAAGGCAGAGAGTACTAGGTTTAGGAGAATTGACTGGCTTTTGCTACTTACAATCAGAGTAGGCTCAGTCTAGTTACATAATTTTTCTCAAATTTAATATGAATGGAAATAACTTTTTAACAGTGTTGTTGAAAAGATTACATATCACGTGCTTGCTAAAATCTATGGCACACAGTATGTAGTCAATAAAAAGTAACTGCAATGGTGCACTGTGTAATGATGCTTTGGTCAATAATAGACCACATATATGAACAGGAACACATAGCTTAAAGGGCAAGAGAAAAGGAAACTGCAGGAAAAGAAAAATAAGAACCCCCTAGAAAATTCACAGTGAAGAGTTTAGCAGAAGCTTTTGCAGCCCTCAACAAGCACCTTAAAAATTGAATACACGGGCCCAACACTGAAAAATGTTCATTAATAGAGAGGAGCATTCAGGGCACATTATCTGTTTACAAGCAAATCTATGATAAAAAAAGAATTAAGCCAAGAAAAACAGTAGGAACATATTTCTGAAGAGTACACCTTTTATCTTTTAACTTTCATTTTTGGTCTGGGATACATGAGAAGATTTGTAAACTTGTGTCTCAGGCATTTGTTGTACATATTATTACACCACTCAGGTATTAAGCCCAGTACTCCATATTTATCTTTTCTGCTCCTTTCCCTCTTCCCATCCTCCACTCTCAAGCAGACCCCATTGTTTCTGTTCTCATCTTTGTGTTCATGAGTTCTCATCATTTAGCTCCAACTTATAAGTGAAAACATGTGCTATTTGGTTTTCTGTTCCTGTACTAGTTTGCTAAGGATAACAGCCTCTAGCTCCATCCACGTTTCCACAAAATACATGACCTTGTTCTTTTTATGACTGCATAGTGCTCCCCAGTGTACATGTACCACATTTTCTTTATCCAGTCTGTCATTGATGGACATTTAGGTTGATGTCATGTCTTTGCTATTGTGAATAGTGTTGCAATGAACATTCACATGGATCATTCCACCATAAAGGCCACACCTTCTTAAGAAGAGTTTTAGGTAGGTCTTTCAGGAGGTTTTTCAAAAGGAAGCATTGCTATGAGCAGAGATGACTGCTCTATGCATGTTAACTGCCTCTGAAGACCTTCCTGTGGAACAAGATATGGAGGCAGAAGACAGTGATATTGATGATTTTGACCCTGTGTATGTCTAGGCTGATATGTGTGCCTGTGTCTTAGTTTTTAACAAAATACTTAAAAAAATTAAAAAAAGAAAAATAGGAAAATATTATAAATTAAGTATATAAAAATGAAAATATAATTGTAAAACTATACAGTGTTTGCATTTTAATCTAAGCGCTATTACAAGAGCCAAATTTTTTAACCATTTAAAAATTTATAAAGTATAAAAGTGACAGTGGACTAAAGTTAATTTATTATTGAAATAAAAATTTTAAATAAATTTAGAGTGTCCTAAGTGTACAGTGTTTATAAAATATACAGGAGTGTACAGGAATGTCCTTGGCCTTCACATTTACTCACTGACTCATCCAGAGCAACTTACAACAAATGGAGCCCTGCAAGACCCATTTGTGGTAAGTGTACTATAGAGGTGTGCCATTTATTATGTTTTATGCTAATTTTGAGAAAATGTCTCGCTCTGTTGTCCAGGCTGGAGTGGCATGACCATAGCTCACTATAACCTTGAACTCCTGTGCTCAAAACAGTCTTCCCACCTTAGCCTCCCAAGTTGCTGAGATTATAGGTGCATGCCATTATGCCCAGTTATTTATTTTGTAGAGACAAAATCTTGCTATGTTGTCCAGGCTGGTCTTGAACTCCTGGCCTCAAGCAATCCTTTCACCTTGGCTTCCCAAAGTGCTGGGATTGCAGGCATGAGTTACTGCACCTGGCTTTCTACTCTATTCTTACTGTAACTTTTCTATATTGAGATATGTTTAGATAGACAACAATTACCATTAGTCCATTTTCATGCTGATGATAAAGACATACCCGAGACTGGGTAATTTACAATGAAAAAGAGGTTTAATGGACTTACAGTTCCACTTGGCTGGGGAGGTCTCACAATCATGGAGGAAGAGCAAGGGACATCTTACATGGCAGCAGGCAAAAGAGAATGAGAGCCAAGTGAAAGGGGAAAGCCCTCATAAAACCATCAGATCTCATGAGACTTATTCACTACAATAACAGTATGGGGAAAACTGCCCCCATGATTCAGTTATCTCCACCGGGTCCATCCCACAACACGTGGGAATTATGGAAGCTACAATTCAAGGTAAGATTTGAGTGTGGACACAGCCAAACCATATCAAGGCTATACCACATTACCTACGCATGTATTAGTCTATACCATCTAAATTTGTATAAGTCCACTCTATGATGTTAGCACAACAACGAAATCACATAATGACACATTTCTCAGAACACATCCCCATGGTTAAGTGACATATGACTGTATCATAATTACACACACAGGTTAAAAATGCATGTGAGTATGTAATTCTGTTAGGAATATAACTAGGAGTGCGATTACTGGGCTACCAAATATAAGTAATTTCAGATATTAAATGAATAAATTTTTTTAAGTATTTGGATAAATTTTTTTTTCAAGGTATTGTACCAATTTATAGTCCAATTTGCAGGGTATGGGAGTGCCTGTTGTGCTAATCCTTGCCAATACTTAGTATCAAGTGTTGATTTTAGCTTTTCTGAAGAAAAAGAAAAGAAAGAAAATTAATATCACCATTAAAAGATATGCAGAGATACCTTCTTGATGTTTTAAAATTTATATTTCCAAATTTACTAATAAATTTGGATATTATTTTACATGCTAATTGGTTAAGTTGTACTTGATCATAAATCAAGTGATCATATATGCATTCATCTACTTGTCTATCTTTGTCCTATAGCACACTATCTTTATTACCAAAAGTGGATAAAAGGGCTTGATACACAAAAGAACAAGTTCTTCCATCTTTATTTTTTTAAAAACTGTCATGCCAGGCCGGGTGCGGTGGCTCACGCCTGTAATCCCAGCACTTTGGGAGGCTGAGGCAGGTGGATCACCTGAGATCAGGAGTTTGAGACCAGACTGGCCAACATGGTAAAACCCGGTCTCTACTAAAAATACACAAATTAGCCAGGCATGGTGGCAGTGCCTGTAAATCCCAACTACTTGGGAGGCTGAGGCAGGAGAATTGCTTGAACATAAAAGGCAGAGGTTGCAGGGAGCCGATATCACACTATTGCACTCCAGCCTGGGCAACAGAGCGAGACTCCATCTCAAAAAAAAAAAAAAAAAGTGTCATGCTTACAGTTGGCCTTTGCATTTCTTTACAAACTAGAATCAGCTTGTCAATTTCTACAAAAGAAAACAATGTATACAGTTATTAAAAATGAAAATAAGTATTGGGATTGTCAATCAAATTGCACTGAAACAAACCATGAATAAATTTTCAACGAATTGTCATTTTTACAATGACAACTTTTCCAAAAAATGTTTATGCTATATATGAATATTTATTTAGTTCTAAAATTTTCTCATTTTGTTGTTTCATTGCTTTCCACATAGATATTAAGACAGTTTTTCTTTGAATTATTCCTAAGTATTTGATTTGTTATGTTATATTAAATCATGTTTTAGCTATTATTTTCTAATGGTTTCATCTATAGTTATCTTCCTACCTATGTCATATATTTTGTCTATATATCTATATAGAAAAGCAGAATTATATATTAATTTTTAAAATCCATGAGATATTTAAAAAATGTATATACAATCATATAATTTTGCAAAATATAATATTTGTTTTTCTTTTTTTATTTCCCACTGAATTATTATTACTTTTTTCTTAATGCCATTGATAGGATCTTTGAGACAGTGTTCAACTGAATTGTTAATAGTGGGGTTATTATTGGTTTTTAAAACCTCATTTAAAAATGAAACTTTTCAGCATTTCACTATTAAATCATATATTTTGTATAGGTTTTTGTAGACACTCTTTACTCAGCTATGACTTTTCTTCAAATAATTTCCAGTTTTCTAAAAGCTTTTACCTTTAGATGGTATTTTAATTCTATTTTATCATTTTGTCAATTTTTCTGCATCTGTTGTGATCATATTTTATTTCTATTTAAATCTAATAATGTGCTAAACAGTTTCCTAGAATAAAATCAGTTTGACTTGTATTTTCATCATTACATATGAAATATTTGGTCTGTTACTCTTTTGCGTATATAAAATTTAATGTTTAGGTTTGGAATTAAGTTTATCCTGACATGGGAAAAAAGATGCAATATACACTTTCATTTTATAGTCTATAAAAAATGTATCTTTGGACGGGCGCGGTGACTCACGCCTATAATTCCAGCACTTTGGAAAGCCGAGGTGGGTGGATCGCCTGAGGTCAGGAGTTCGAGACTAGCCTTTCCAACATGGTGAAATCCCGTGTCTACTAAAAATACAAAAATTAGCCGGGCATGGTGGCATGCGCCTGTAATCCCACTTACTCGGGAGGCTGAGGCAGGAGAATCGCTTGAACCCGGGAGGCAGAGGTTGCAGTGAACAGAGATCATGCCATTGCATTCCAGCCTGGGCAAAAAGAGTGAAACTCGGTCTCAAAAAAAAAAAAAAAAAGCACCTCTAAAAGTAGAATTATTTAGATTTTGAATAGTTAGCAAACTCTTCTGGTTCAGTCATGGGCCTGGACATTTATTTCTGAAAAAATATTTAATTTAAAAAGAACAAGTCCTTCCATTTTTATTTTTTTCATTCTTCTTATAATATTCTTATATTTTATTTTTCATTCTTCTTATAAGATTTTACGTGTGACATTAAAAAGGACAAGGAAACAGATGCATCTTTAATCTGCTATTTTAAACCCAAAGGTCCAAAGCACAATTTTGATAGTACTGAAAATGTAAGAGCCTTGTCTTTCACTTCCTCAATAGTTTTTTTTAGAAAAGATGTAATCATTACTCCTATGCAAATATAAAATGGGCATATATCAAATGCTTTATTTAATTCATAAAAAATGAATTCAAAGAGAATTATTTGAATTAACACAAACAGGTAGTCATGAAAGGTGAAACAAATTTTCAATAGATACAAAATATTCTCTATCCACAGACCAAAAATCAATTGCATTTAACTGGACAAAATTCACTTACATTTTTATTAAGAAGAATAATTTGCATTATTATCAATTTTCTATAATTACAATCTTGTAAAATAGTTCAAAGACAATGAACAGTGGAGAGAAAGCAGAACAGCACTAGGCAGAACAACCAAGAATCTCCTTTGTCTATTTCAGTTTTTTTCAACTTTTCCTAAAACATCTGGGTGTGGAAATGAGTTAAGCGTTTTGATTGCCATTCCAGAATTTCAATTTTAACACTTGGGCTGTTCACAGCATGTAAATTTGTTATGTTCCTCAACCTCTACATGTTCAAAGTTGTTTCTGGCACTCCGCCAAGACTCCAATCACTTGATAGTTACCACTTACGACTTTCCCCCAAGGGATGGGTCCCAAATATGTCTCAATAATTTTCACAGAATAGTTCCTCCTAAGAGAAAATATGAATACTCTTTTAGTCTTCTCATTTAGACAGAATACATATTCAATTTCTAGTGTTTTATGTCAATAAAGCTGTCTTTTGGGACATTAATTCTTCACTGTGCACAGTGAGGCCATTTCTAAGTACTAAGTGACAGAGGCTCTCTATGAGACTTAACTTTGAACATGTTACCACTGCTGGATTCACGCCACATGAAATAAATACCCTTAAATATATTAACCTCAATATATGGTAATTCATAAAGAATAGTTTTATTATTTTACACAAATATTAAGTGAACAGCTGGACAAGTTTTTACAGGTGTATACATTTGTGTAACTATAATCCAGGTCAAATGAGAAACATTTACTGCATCTTAGAAAGTTCCCATATGGCCTTTCCCAGTCACCTGATCAAGCAGTATTAATTGAAAAGAGACATCAGAGTATAAATCTAAAGGAATTAAATCAGAATGTCAAAGAGGTATCTGTATTCCTATGTTCATTGCAGTATTATTCACAATAGCCAAGATATGGAAGCAACCTAAGTGTCCAATAATGGATGAATGGACAAAAAATGTGTTATATACATATGGAATACAAAACAGCTTTAATAAAAAAGGAAAATACTACCATTTGCAACAACATGGATGAACCTGGAGGATAATATTGTAGATGAAATTAGCCAGGAACATAAAGACAAGAAGCACATGATCTTACGTATATGTCGAATCGAGAGAAGTTCAATGTGAATGAGCTGAGAGCATATTGGTGGTTACCAACGGATCGGGGAAGGCAGTTGGGATGGGCCAAGTGGAGACGTTGGTCAAAGGATACAAAGTTCCAGTTACACAGGAGAAATACATTCTAGTGTTCTATTGCACAGCAAGGTGACCATAGTTAATAATAACGTATTGTGTATTTCATAATAGCTAAAAGAGTAGATTTTAAATGTTCTCTCACCACAAAAACAAAAAGATAAGCAAGTGAGGTGATAGAAATGTCAATTAAATCAATTTAATATTTTTACAATGTACACATATATCAAAATATCACATTCTATCCTATAAATATATAAATATCATTTATTGATTAAAAACTTTAAAAAAGAAAAGGTGAAGATGATACTTCTTCCCATTACACTGTTTAAATCAGATGACAATACATATACAGCCAGTTTCTATATTACTATTTGTTTCACTGCTCTATTTGTTTATACTTGTACCATGCAATTTTAATTAATACAGATTTTTCTAAGATTTATGTTTATAGTATAATCCTCCAGATCTGTTCATTTTAGTATGAGATTGTCTTTTCTACTTTTGGCTATTTGGGGAATTTTTACAGGGCTTGCCTTGTGTCTTTGGGGAAATTGATATTTTTACAGCATTATTACTTCTAATCAATAAACATGGAGTTTCTCTCCACTTATTTAGGACACAATAAAAATTTTCTCAATCATGTTTTCTAGTTTTCCATGTAGAAGTCTTACATATCTTTTATTAAATGTGTCTCTAATAATTTACAATAACAAATAATATCGTTTAATACTATTTCTATATGTTTTCTATACATCCAGTATTCGGTACACATAAATTGGGGATTGTTACACATTCCTGTGGATGCATTCTACTATGTGATGTTAACATTGTCAGTTTTCTGTATTTGGTGTGTTTATATGGTATATCTTTTTCATTCCTTTGCCTTTAAACTTTTTTATCTTTAAGAATATTTAAGTATATTTTAAATAAATACTGTAAGTTTGGATTTCAGACCGTTTTGTTTGTCTTTTTATCTGATTATTTTTCCAGTGTGAGAATCTTCATCTGATGGTGGACTATGTGATATCCTGGGGTTTATATACCAACTTGCTCTGTGTTATTTATGGAACCAGTTTAATTTTTTCTTTTATTTATTTCTTTCTCTTGCTTCAACCAGGTATTTATATATCATTTTATTTTTCTCATCTATTGTGTTGTGGGTTCACAATCGCTAGTTATTCCTTTAATTGTTACTCTAGAGATTACAACATTTGTTATCAATTTTTAAGCAATAAAATATCTTGTAACGATTTAACTTCTTTGACTCTTCCCACTTTTTGTACTACTATTATTATCTAGAAGAGAATTACAGCAGGCCTGAGGCTGAAATCTTTGCAAGGACCTACTTTCAAAATTGGCCCTTAGCTAGCGTCTGGAATGTTAGTTTCTGAAATATTTCCTAACTGAAAAATTGTTTCTTTACATCTATAATATGATTTATGGTGAACAACTCCTTCTCTTCTTAGAGTCTGGACTATTGGAAGTTCATTAGAATATGTCCACATGACCAGCTCCCAATAAAAAATCCTAAACTCTCAGTCTCAAATAGGATTCCCTAGGCAGAAACACTGCATATGTGGTGTATTTTTTCTGCTGTAAAGACAGTACACTCTGTGTGATCCCTCATGGGAAGAATAGAGTATAGGAAACCTGCATACATATTACTCGAGACTCAGATTGTGTCTTTTTCCCTAACTGAACAAACTGAGTATCCTGACCATGTTACCTGTAAAAATTTGAAACATGGAAGAAACTGTATGCTGAGCTTGTGAGTCCTAGTAAACTACTGAGGATGTGGGTGGTCTTGTGGACTCCTGAAACAGCTGTCATGTATTTTATTTCCACACATATCTTAAACTCAAGGCTGAGACATTATCTTCATTAGCTTGGTAAGTTATTCTATTTCATTCTTTCTTTGCCCTTCTTTCATTTATGTATTTTTATGGCTGCATCTGGGATATTTTTCTTCTGCCAAAAGAACTTATTTTAAAAATAGTCTCAACATATATTTGTTATCTTAATTTTTGATAATCATGAATTTTTTCCTGAAAATTATTTTATATTTATATTTAAAAAGCATATTTGCTAAGTATAGAATTATAGGCTAGCCGATTATTTTCCAACCTTATTAAAACTAATGATTATTGTTCTTTAACAGCTTTTAAGCTTTTCTTTTTTAATTTATCAGCGGTTTGGCTATGTTGGGCCTACATGTGGTTTCCTTTAATTTTGTCCTGTTTGGGGTTCAAATAATTTATTGAATCTGTGGTTTGCTGTATTTCATTAGCATTTGAAATTCCTTACCTAGTATTTTTATAAATATTTATTTTGTCTCATTGTTTCTCTTGTTTTCTTTCTGAGACTCCAGTTTCACATACATGAGAACTTTTTCCCATACCTCACATGTCATATTAGTTGTTAGATGGACAATGCTATCTATGGACCCATCTGAGTTTCTTGTTTTCATCTCCCATGTTTTTCCTTCCCTGCCAAAATGTGACTCCTTATTTTAACGTATTTTTTTAGGTCTTGTTGTTTTACTCTCATATACTTTATTTTAAAATAAATCTCCCCCTGTAGAGATAATTTCCCCTAATTTTCCTTAATCGATTATAATTAATTGTGCGTAAATATAAACTTGGCTTTTGGAATGCCTATGAATAATACTCTATAAACATTTCTAAATATTTTATGTTTTCATATTTTTTATTAGGTTAGAAAATATTGTGTATTAAAAATACATAAATAATTGCTGTTTTCAACTTGCTGTAATGCTAAAAAAGTATCACATATTTATTTTAATTATCAGAGTTTTACAGAATCAAATGGATTTATACAACCATCTGCAATGCTCTCTTCTGAATTAGAAAATTAATGTTGCACATTAGTTAACTGAGATAAGGGTTGGCAATACTCATCAGAAATACCCACATAGTCCAAAAAATTATTTGAGATAATACACATTGGTTACTAAACATTAGTCTTTTAAAACAGTTATATAGTTTCTGCTCTTTATCTGTACAGAAAGAATGAAGTAATTTTATAGATAGCATTCTAGAAATATGGTGACTTTGATCACCTGATTGTTCCTAGTTCACAATATTCAGCGCTATCTAAATTTAATTTTAATTATTAAAATTTAAAATATCTTAAAATAAAAATTAAAACCCATAATTATGATTTACTTCCTACATAACATATGTTAACATTTTATTTATCTTATGTTATTTATCTTAACATTTTGTTGAGTTGAAAAATATTCAAGGCATTACACGTTTTCAATCATATGAAACTTGTATCACAGAAATATATGATATACACTTTTTTTTCATCATTTCTTTTTTTTTTTATTATTATACTTTAAGTTTTAGGGTACATGTGCACATTGTGCAGGTTAGTTACATATGTATACATGTGCCATGTGGGTGCGCTGCACCCACTAACTCGTCATCTAGCATTAGGTATATCTCCCAATGCTATCCCTCCCCCCTCCCCCCACCCCACAACAGTCCCCAGAGTGTGATATTCCCCTTCCTGTGTCCATGTGATCTCATTGTTCAATTCCCACCTATGAGTGAGAATATGTGGTGTTTGGTTTTTTGTTCTTGCGATAGTTTACTGAGAATGATGATTTCCAATTTCATCCATGTCCCTACAAAGGACATGAACTCGTCATTTTTTATGGCTGCATAGTATTCCATGGTGTATATGTGCCACATTTTCTTAATCCAGTCTATCATTGTTGGACATTTGGGTTGGTTCCAAGTCTTTGCTATCGTGAATAATGCCGCAATAAACATACGTGTGCATGTGTCTTTATAGCAGCATGATTTTAAAATAAAATGCAAAATCTTTCCTCACAAATGAATGAATCAAAAACAGTTAGATTATAAAGCACATAAAAATATATAATCTACTTTGTAAATATGGTAAGTACCTAATTATTGATTTACCAAAATCTCTATCCCAAACCAAGTTGAATCTAAAGAAACAAAAGTTAAAAAATTATCGAATTTAAAAACAAGGAGACTCAAACCTACTCAGATTGGATGTGATTTGAACCTTATTATAAAATAAACAACAACGTTAACACCCCATGTAAGCTATTGCTCTGTGGAGACACCTTCCTTACTTCACTTGAACTCTTATATCTCATTCCGGTGGTTAAAATTTCTTCACTTTGCTCTCTCTCTGACTCCTTGCAGCAGTGCACCCCCTATCATGTGGATACCATCCTCAGCCAAGTCCACCTCTGAAACTTGCAATGGTCTATCTCTCACCCCTATCTTTTTTGTGTGTGTATTACCTGCCCTGTTTAACCTCACCATCCTAAGCTGGGCCATCCTGTCATGCAAAAGACTTTTGCTTTTTTTGATTTCAGTTTAATTTTTAGATTCAAGAGGTGCATAGGCATGTTTGTTACATGGGTATACTGTATACTGCTGGGGACGTGGCTTTTAGTGCCCCCCTTACCCAGATAGTGAACACTGTACCTGATAGGTACTTTTTCAACCCTTACCTGCCTCATTCCCTCGCCACTTTTGGAGTCCCCAGTGTCTATTATTTTCATCTTTGTGCATGTATACCCATTGTGTAGCTCCCAATTATAAGTGACAACACATGGTATTTGAGTATTTGATTTTCTGTTTCTGAATTAGTTCACTTAGGATAATGCCCTGCAGCTTCATCCATGTTGCTACAAAGGACATGAGCTTATTCTTTTTTATGGCTTACTCCGCATAATCTTTGACTTCATATACCAAGCTGCCTCTTCAATTGGGTACAAACTTATTCACTCTGCTTGGGGTTTTCTTTCCTTTATCGGGCACTGTTACCACTTGTACATCTCTTTCTCAGCCTTCTCAGGTTTTGCCACTGCAATGAGACATCACATCTCCCTCAAACTCAGCATGATTAGTAATCTTGTGTGGCCTTATCTAATGTCTTTAGGACTGAATTATTCTTGAGTGGAAGATATATCAATACTAATATCCTGATCTTGATGGTTGTGTCATAGATACAACCAAAATTGTCTTCATTTATAGGAAATAAATACTGAAGTGTTTGAGGATGGTGGACACTATCTTTACAGTGAAACCAAGTGGTCCAAGGAAATTAAGAGAAAATAAGTGAGGAATTTGCTATAAGAGTCAATAAACAAAAAGACTATTGTCATAATCAAAATGATAATTTTGCAGAACAAAAAAATACATATTTCTTAAATTCTCAGAAGATTTTCTGCCTGCCATTTAACTCTGTTTAACTTAAATATTTAGATCAGTAAATGTGTTGAAAGAAAAATCTAATTATTTAGGCCTCACAAACCACTGATTTTATTTCTCCATCCCCAGGTAACCAAGACAACTTCTACTATTCTATCCTCCCCAACGGCAACAATCTAACTGGACAAAATTTGAGTTTCTAGACTCTAGCAGTGTGTATTCAAATTTGGACAATGACTTTCTTGCCGTTTTTAATGTAATTGAGGCAAATTAGGGACCCCACTTAGGAGCCTACTGGGTTCCCCTACCCTGCCCTGGCATGGATAAAAAAGGAAAAAAAAAAACAAACACTTTGAGGCCCTTCAAAGGAAATTGCAGGCAGCTAGCTAGTCTTGTGGCCAGCCATTAGGGCAGTAAATTAATAACCTGCTAAGCAAGAAGATAATTTTAGCTTAAATAATAGTCACCCAAGTAAATCAGTCATAAGATGCTCAGTGCTCTACAGAAACTAAAGATAACATCTTGACATACGGCCCTGAGTAGTTTTTCAGAAACTAGGACCCCCACCTGATGGAAAATGCCAACTGCTGTCATATAGACCTCTGCCAGCCTGTAACCAGAAAATGGATGAAGAAGTTCCAGAAATTTCCCAGCCCTTAACTCACTTTGAAGATCCCCTCACCTCTGTCTTGAAAAACCCTTGCTTGTAAGCCATCATTAAGTTCGAGTCTTAAATATTAGCTCTTCATTCTTCTTGCTTGGAACCCTGCAAGAAATGCCTTACTTTCTCTCGCTGTAAATCCTGGTGTCAGTATTTGGCTTTTCTATGTGACAGGCAAGCAGATCCAGGTTCAGTTCAGTAACAAACCCAGGGATAAACCAGCTGCAAAACTTCAGCTCATGCCTCCATATTTCTCCCTTCTCTAGAATTGCCTATCTGTTTCTCATAGCTTTAGTAGTTTTCTGATGTCTTTAAGCAAATGCATTTTGTAAATAAATGGTGGCTTCTTAAGCTGTTTTTAGGGGGAATGGTGTTTTTCTTCAGTTTCTTCATACAACCTAAACATCAGTCTCATTTTCTAGACGTTTTAACTCATTTTTATTTAACATAAACTTGGCTTCTTGGGCCTCCAACACAACATGGCTTTATGCATCGTGATATAAATCAGGTGTCTCCAATATCCTGCTTTTCAGATTGATAAGAAATTTTATTAGTAAAAAATAGTGAGATTCAATATTTTTTTATGAAAAGATACTAATTTTTTTTTTTTTTTTTGCCGGAGGGGCGTATTTGGCATTGGTTGCATGAAATATATATGTTCAGAATAATATAGAAAAAAGCTAGTGTGCACATAAACATCTTATTTACATTGTATTAAAATCAGTGTTTTCTTGTTTGCTTTTCATAATTTTTATCGGTGTGCATAGATATTTTATCTCATTTGTCAGATTTGGTAAACAATAAATACATAGATGCATAATGGACACACAATTAATTTTGGATTTCAGATTGGAAAAAGAATAATTTTTCAGTTCAAAATACAGTTTTTTAAATATAATTGTCCCAATTACTGCATAGAACACACAAATATAAATATACACCTATAGAGATATATTTTTAAAATGTATTTAACTGGAATTCAAATCCAACTAAATGTCCTATATTTTATCCAGCAATCCATTTTCTCCTTAAAGTCAAGAATCTATGTAGGTCAGGAAAACATAAGCAGAAAAAGTCAGAAAACACTGTTGCTTTATTAACCAAATGATATTGATGAAAAGGACAATAGAATTGCTATTGTGCAGAAGATAGTGAGACTTACAAAATATCAAGGTCCAGTGACTTTTCAAGAAAACCTTAGGAATAAAAGCTTCGTGTATATAATGAAACACATAAGCATTGCATTGATTTCTTCACTTTAGGGTTGCTTAAGTATACTTTAGTAAAAACAGAAACAAGTTCCAAAGCATAATCTAATTTGACACTCATAGACAAATAAATGAGAACATAAACTGAAATGAGGATAAATGGGTAGAAGTGAAAGCAATTTCTGTAAGGTTGCAGGATGTTAATTACCTGAAATACTGGCATGAAATACAGTTAAATAAGTTGATGGGCATTTTAAGTGATTTGTTTTTCATTATCCATGCTAAGTTACAAGGTTGTGATTTCCTTTAGTCTGTTAAATACAGGCATTTTGTATCAAATAACTTTGTACTGGGGACAAATTTAGGTTAATCCATCATTAGTTTCTGTTTATAATACCACATTTGCAGGACCAGACTTTAAAACCAACATGCATATAATATTCCGATTTTGAACTCTAATTTTAGACTTTTTGGCAAGGATTTTTTTCTATATTTTCAGTAATAGCCAAATTCTTAAACACTTTACCTGCTTCCTAGTTTTTTTGTAATTCATTTATTTTAACTTCTTTTTGAAATTTACTTTTGAACTTGAGCATATAAAGTTTGTATTTTTCAATTTGCTACTATCTCATTAGTACCTTGAAAAGTGCTCAACATAAAATTACTCAATAAAGATTTGTTAAATGAATGAACACTTTCAATCAGAGGGGAGATTAGAAGGCATTAAGAAAAAAAATCAAAGGAATGGAAACAAAATTATCATGATCCATTTAAAATTATAAAAAATGAATCACAATTAGTTAAGCCTGAATACCGCTTTAAATTATAAGAGTGGCCAAGGTTTAATCATGTCCTATTTACCCCATTAATAGGAGAGAGTTTCCTGCCCTTGGATTATGGGGATGGCCAAACACACAACGCTTGATGCAAGAAAAATGAGATTGGCAGCGGTTTATTGGTTACGTATGCTCATAGCCTGTGAGAGAAGGGCGCCCCATACCACACAAGCCCACACAGAGGTTGCACTTGGGATTACAGTGAACTGCCAGAGGCAGGGGGATGCAGGCTTTGTATTATCAAAAAGGTGAAGTGCTGCCTGGTTCCCAAGGAAGAATACAATCGCCTTATTTAAATAACTTAGTGGGCTGTCAGGGAACTGAAACCCACTCCTCAGGAGTAAGCAGAAACTCACAATTCTTTGATAAGAAGGACTGTTTGGCTGGTGAACATTAACTGCAGAAGCAGTGTGGAAGATAATTTGCTATTAGGTAATTCCAGTCTCTCTCAATTTTACCAGATATCAAGGCAGTATACAGCATTGAACCTTAACTTTAGGCCTCAAACCACAAGCCAACACAGTAAACATTTATGTTTTTGCATATATTATGTTTTACCTTCAGAGGAAGGGAAGTTCAGGGGTAAGATGAAAGCTAAGACTTAGTGTTCTCTTCTGGGATGTCATCAACAATGGATTCTTCATGACCAGTAACCCACACTGGACTTGTCACAATTACCTGCTATTAACCTAGACCTGAGGGTGAGAAAGGAAGGAGGGAAGAAATAAAGAAACTTGGCATGTAAAGATTTTTTTTTAGTCTATAACTTTTCTCATAAAGAAAAAAGAAATGTTATGTTAGGTTGGTGCAAAAGTAATCGCTAGTTTTGCCATTAAAAGTAAAGTTGTTTTGCCATTAAAAGTAATGGCAAAAGCCGTGATCACTTTTGCACCGACATAATATTTTTATCTCTGATATTGTCCTCAGAGACCTTTCAGTGTCCTCTTCAACAGTAATGCTAGAAAGAGATGAAGAGACAACATTTGAAATTTTAGAATTGAAAAATTGTCTCACCAACACATATTAAAAATCGAGATTTATTTATTTGTTTACTTCTGATGAAGACATTACACATATATTATAAGGTTTTAGAAAATATATCACTGTATCTTTCTAAAACAACCACTTGAAAACAGAATTCTGCTGAAATATTGATCAAAATAACCAGCTCAAGAATATTTGCAAACTCTGCATCTGACAGGGAATTAATATCCAGAATTTAGAAGAAATTCAAGCAACTAACACCACCACCACCATCAAAAACAAATCTTCCATTAAAAAGTAGGCTAAGGGCTTGATTAGACATTTTTCAAAAGAAGACATACAAGTGGCCCATAAGCATATGAAAAAATGTTCAACATCACAAATCATCAGAGAAATGAAAATTAAAACAACAATGAGATATCATCTTGCACCAGTCAGAATAGCTATTATTAAAAAGACAAAAAATAACACATATGGACAAAGATGCAGAAAAACAGGGAACACTTATAAACGTATAAAAATGGAAACGACTTATGTTGGTGAGAATATACATGAATACAATCTTAATGGAAAACAGTATAGATATTTCTCAAAGAACTAAAAATAGAACTACCATTTGATTCAGTATACTGAGTATCTATCCAGAGGAAAAGAAATCATTATATCAAAAGGACACTTATACTTGTATATTTATCACAGCACTACTCACAATAGCAAAGATATGAAATCAGCCTAAGTGTCCATCAATGGAATATTGAATAAAGAAAATGAAATACTATCCAGTCATACAAGAGAATAAAATCATGTCTTTTGCAGCAACATAGATGGAACTGGAAACCATTATGTTAAGTGAAACAGCTCAGACACAGAAAGCAAAGTATTGCATGTTTTTACTTATGAGGGGGAACTAAAGAATGTCTACGCAGAGAAATAGAGTATGGAATGATAGAAAACGGAAACTTGAAATGGAGGTGAAGTGGGAGGAAGGTGGATGATGAGAAATTACTTAATGGGTATAATGTATGTTATTCAGGTGATGGATGCTCTAAAAGCTCTGACTTTACCACTACTCAATCTATGCATGTAGCAAAATTGCACTTGAACCCCATAAATTTATACAAATAAAAATTTTAAGAAAGGATGGGAGGAAATGTGTTATTAAATGACAGGTACTGGATAATGAAATGAGTTAGAACAGTAACTATAATTACAATGCAATGGAAATATATTATAAAAGATGTTAGTATTTCTCATTAGATGACTTGAGGAAGAAAAGAACACTGAATTTACTAAATAAAGCATTTTACTTGGGATACAGTCAATATACATAGGAAAAAGCAGATTTAAGTGTATATATAATGTGCACACTTAGAAATATATTCAATTATCCATGATTACATATGGTCATTTATATGTATACAAAATATGAGCTTATAGAGATAACACATTCATGAAATAAATACTTCTCAATATTTAGACAATATCACCTGATATAGGATTATGGGTCATTTAATTTTCATCCTTTTAGTATTCTGCTCTTTTGTATTTCCACAAGAAATATTTTAATTTTATAGGCAGAAAAATCACTTTATTTAAATTTTTGAAAAAAATTTGCAAATATTTTTTAAAGCAAATTTCATTTTTCTTCATGTGCTCCTTCAAGTTTTTTTCCAGCGCCTCTGCATGAGTTCTTCAATCTTTCAGAGAGAGCTTATTTATTACATTTCTGATGGAAATAATCTTGGTATAAGGTCAATTCTCTTCTCTTCATCATTCTTTGGCTCTTTGGATTGCTGTATCCCAAAGAACATTCACTCCACACCTACACCCCACAATCCCCCACTCCCCCACCACACACACAAAAATATATATATACACACACATTTAAAAATCTGTTTTCATAGTTACAGGACTCATTATTGTTACTTAATGGCAGCCGAGGGAACTTTAGGATAACAAAAGATTAAGAGTAGGGAATATTTGCAGCTGACACTGAATCACCAGGGAATACTGTTTTTTGACAGATTTCCCTTTCTTCCTCTTATGTTTGCTTGTGTGACTTAGTGCTTAGCTCACAGATGCCTATTTTAATGAAATGTGTTATTTTCACAGTTTGTACATGGTGAGAAGTGCTTCTCACCATACGAACTTCACTGCATTGATGTGCTTGGATTTTTTTTAAAAAAATTTTAAGATCAATATGGCTCAAATATTCTTGTTCTTTTTTATTTTTACATTTAATTAAAAACACTGTGGTCATCATAAGATTGGCATATCTATAAAACAGCATAAAATCAATATACTGTTTTAGCCAATAATTAATTTACTTGCAATCTTATGATCCTCTTTACACAAAGTATAAACAAACGTTCTTTGGCATTATTTACTTCATAATTTATTAGCTGTCAACCTAATAATAAATGAAAGAAGCCAGCATATCTCCATTCAATTTCAGATTAGACAGTTGTATTGCCCATGTAATAGGGCCGAAAAGCAGCCAGACACAAAGTAAGAAAAGAGAGGTGGAGTTGCTGATGTAGAAATTAGTATTTTTTTGAGAAACGATTTATTCTATTTCTAATATTTATCAACAACATTTGTTAGGTTGACATATGACAATTCTAAAGATGATCTCTGAGTCATCTAGATTCTCTGATACTCCCAGGAACTTTCTAAAGTTTTTAACTCAAATTTGACCAAAAACCTGATATTCTTTATACAATTTAATAGAATAAAAGTCAGAATTATTAGCAGGGAGAAGGTAAAATGAGACCTCTCACACAAAACCACTTTTTACCATGTTAAGGTATTCATCTCCATTTGAAAGGAAAAAAGCAATTATATCCAAAACTCATAGTGTTTAGACCAATATCCTCTTGCCTAAGGACATACATAAATACACATGTAAAATGAAATTTACCATCTTTCACATCCTCTTTTTAATCTTTGTCAATGTGAGAATGAAAAATCTCTGTTTACCCATTAGATTCTAAACTCTCATTTCCTTCTGTCCAATTTATGGTCTTAGCTGATTAAAGTCTTTTCCCCTCCCTAACTCCTTTTCCCATTTTGTTCTCTGGAATGCCTAGTCATCAGGTTCCATATATTCTAAAACTATTTTCTGAATTTCCCCTTTACATCCGTTTTTTGGATGAAATTTTTTTTTCTCTTAATATACCATTTTCTTCAGTCCTTAAGGTGGAAAGGCTTTATTTTCTTTTCATATGCCACATATCTTAAATTTGAGAGCAGTGTTTGTATACTTCTTGCTTTCCAAATATATACTTATTCTCAGTTTTTGGCATTCTCAACAATTAACTGTATACCTTCTCTATAATTTTTCTTAGTGGTCCTCAATCAAAGTTTCAGGCATTATTCTTTTAGACACAGACATTACCAGCTAGCCCATATTCCTTAATCTTCCGTTCTATTCCTCTCTTTGATATTTAAATTATCTTTGTATATCTCATCTTACTCTTCAAGCTCCTTATATATTAAGCTCCAGAAATGTTCTTTTCCTTTATCCTATCATGTTGACACGTGTATGTTTTCATTATCAAAAGTGAACCATCTCCTAAATAGCTCATTAAAACTTCCTATTATAAGATTTTTTTTAACATCAGTAAGAAGTCAAATATACTGATCTTGCATGTTTTGCTATATGGCCTTAAGCAAGTTATTTAAGTTCTTTGTGTCTTTGTTTCATCTGTTAGATGAACATAATGATAATAGTTTTTTAATAGAGTTAATGTAAGGAATAAATGAATTAATACATATAAAATGCTTAACACAATCCTTGGAACACAGCAAATGTGCATTAAATAGTAGCAATCACTATTATTGTTATTTGACTTTATAATCTTACTATCATCTTATCATTCTTTCTTTTCTTATTTTACCTTGTGATCACTATCCTCAAATAGATACTCTCTGTACCATCCATAACATCCTAATTTTTGATTGACAACTATAACCTACCAATGACACAAAGTTAATTTCATTCTATGACATACAGCAATGTATGTAAATAATTATGAATGATGATCAAGTGAGATTTATCTAAAGAATGCAAGGTTGGTTTCACATTCAAAAATCAACTAAAGTAATAAATTGTATTCATAGAATAAAAATAGAAAAAAATTACATGATCATCTCAATATATACACAGAAAGCATTTGACAAAATCTGATACCCTTTCATGATATGTTTCTTTCAACAAACTAGTCATAGAAGAGAAGTTCTCCAACTTAACATATGTGAAAAGCTCATAGGTAACATTATACTTAATGCCAAAAGACAGGATGCTTTCCTCTAATATCAGGTAGAAGAAAATAATATCCACTTTCACCACTTCTATTCAACATTGTAATTGAGGTTCTAACCAGGGCAATTAGTAAGAGAAAGAAATACAAGGTAACAGGATTAGAAAGGAGGAAGTCAAACTATCTCTTTTTGAGATGACATGATCTTGTATATGAAAATTTTAAGTAACCCCTTAAAAAACTATTAGATGAATTCAGCAAGTCTACAGAATGCAAGATCAGTATAAAAAAGTAAGTAGTATGTTCATACATTTGCAATACAAATATAAAAATCAATTTATTTTGGGGGATTGTGGGGTGGAGGTGTGGAGTGAATCTTCTTTGGGAGAAATTTAAAATCAATTTTTAAAATTTCATTTATATTGGAATCCCAAAGAATAAAACAGGAATGTATTTGCAAAGGAAGTGAAAACTTACACTTTAAAAACTATAAAACACTGTGGAAAGAAATTAAAGAAGGTCAAAATAAGTACAAAACATCAGATGTTCATTTATTAGAACACAACAATAAAATAGATACACTCTTAAAGCTGATCTGCAGATGCATTCCAATTCATATCCGAGTATCAGCTAACTTTTTTGTAGAAATTGACAAATTTATGCTAAACTTTACTGCTGGGTATGATGACTCAATCATATAATCCTAGCACCTCCACAAGATGAGATGGGAGGATCCATTGAGTCCAGGAGTTCAAGGCTGCAGTGAGCTATGATGATGCCGATGTACTGCAGCCTCAGCAACATAGTAAGACCTCACCTCAAAAAATAAATAAATAAATAAATAAATAAAAGTGGAAACACCTATTCACAAAATGGGAAAAAACATTTGAAAATTATATATCTCATAAAGGGCTTCTATATAAACTACATAAAAAATTCCCATAAATCAAAATAAAAAAGGTGTTTTTTTAAAAATGGGCAAGGGATTTAATAGATACTTCTCCAAGGAAAATGTATAAATAATAAGCACATGAAAAGATACTTCATTAGTTATCAGGGAAATGCAATTCAAAGCAACATATCATTTCACATTCACTAGATGGCTAGACTAAAAAAGTCAGATAATAAAAAGTATCATCAGGAATGTGGAGAAATCAAACACTGCTGGTGAGACTGTAAAATGGTGCAGTCTTCTAAAAGCAATCAGCTAGTCTCTCGGTTGATTAAACACAGAGTTACTGTATGACCTAGATTTCGCTCTGATGTATGTACCTAAGAGAAATAAAAAACTGACGTCTCCACAAAACTTTTTGCATGAATGTTATAACAAAATTACCCAAATAGCCAAAAGGAGAAAACAACCCAAATGCCTATCAATGAATTAATAGATATATAAAATGTGGTTTATATGTACTATAAAATATTATTCTGACATCAACAGGAAAGAAGAATTGATACATAATGTAACATGGTTGAATATTGAAAACATTATGCTAAATGAAATAAACCAGTCACAAAAAAACCACATATGATTCCATTCATGTGAAATATTGAGAATATTTATAGAGACATGGTGTAAATTTATAGAGACACGGTACAGAGTAGTTCTTGCCTAAGGCTGAGTGGGTAGGAAGTTGGAGAGATAGGGGTTGGTAATTAATGTATATGAAGTTCCTTTTTGGGGTGGTAATTTAATTGAGTTTTCCATTTTATATTCTCTTTTTTGTCTTAAAAATTAACCAAGTTTTTCAGCATATTTTTAGATTTGAAAATACTTTTGAATGTCTACTCCATTAATTAATATTTAGAATGAGTTAAAATATTTGGACTTAGAATTTATCTATTTAGAATTTATTCACACATCTTCCAAAAAGTAGGGGGCCAGGGAGAGAGGAGGAAGGAAAACAGAAAGGAAGGGAATAATAAGAAGGAGGAGGAAGAGAAAAGAGAGCAGTTTAACAAAATACTAATTTATAAATGTACATAGAGGAGGTAAGATAAATGGAGGTTTATTGTACTATACTTCAATTCCATAGTAAGTTTGAACTATTTCAAACTAAAAGCTGGAAGAAATGAATTTCTACTCCCATAACCTCCAAGGCTTTAAGCTTCCATGGAACAGGACAATGTCTATTTTACATAAAGCGACCAGGATAATGCCTGGCTTTGAACAGGTCTTAAAAATACTTGCTGAATAAATGAATGCACATTGTTCAATTCTATTATTTAGAGACAGATATAAGTCAATTTTCACAAAATTTAGAACCAGGAGGTTTTTGTCCCTCTTGAATTATAGGTATGTTTCCTTTAGTCAGGCATTATAAATCAAATTTGGCATCTTGACTTCTTTTTGTTTTATCAAGTAGGAGGTTTAAAATTAAATACAATTGTTAGAATTAGAATCTGTATTAAATCAAATTCACCATCAAATAATCTGCTCATTATTTACTTTAATTGGATTTATATGTATAATCATTATTATTTGGATGTGGAACAGAGTTTGACTCCAAAAAATGTTGTTTTAATTTTTCTTGCTGAAAAACAAATTATCTCAAAACTCAATGCCTTAAAACAACAACATTTTTAGGTCAAAATTTTAGAGATCAGAATTTGGTAAAAGTTGGGCAGCAAAGTTCATACTTGAGTTCCCTCATCAGCCTGTAGTCAGATTCTACTAGGTCTGCCATCTGAAGGTTTGGTGTGGTTGAATATTCGAGATGATTTACTCCAAACTGGTGGCTTCGTGGGGTTGTTGTTCAATATGCCTTTATGTGGCCTCTCCTGCCTGACAATTTGGGATTTTCTATCGTCTTATATAGCGGCTTACTTCTTTCAGATGCAGCTTCTCAAGAGGCTCCTAACGTTCATTTGCATTTTACAACTGGATTCAAGGGAAAAAGTAACAACACAGTATTCCTCCAACTTCAGTCTTAATATTAAACTTCATCCTTCCTTCTTTATGTTCAGATGGAAGAGGACATGTGGAGGTCAGACATGTGGACATCAATCCTTTGAGCTTTAGCAGTATACCTTAGGCTTTTTGTCAGAAACTGTTTGGCTGAGAGTTATGCATCAACTTCCTTTGGGCATTCCAAGGCCGCCTTCTTAGCCTCCCATTGAAGGTATCTTACAAGAGGCAACCACAAGACTCCAGTCTCCCTCCAGCATCCCCAGTAATCTTTTTCACAGTGTCTTGAATACTCGTCATGCACCTAACCTCAACAATACATTGAAAAGCATGTTTTGTTTGGCAAAATATGGGGAAAGATTTTGTGGCAGGGGACATTAAGGAAGTTTTCAAAGTCACAGTTTCTCTCATTGCTGTCAGTGGAACACCAGGAGTTCCCAAATCCAAACATGTTTCCTTGCGTTTTGGAAAGAAAAGTAACTGGGAAGAGGATAAAGGTGAGCAGGTCTTTCAAATACTGCCTCACTTAATCATTTTATTGAGGGTGTTTCATAGGAATTGTTTCAAGAAATTCTCTGCACTGATTTTTTAAAACAACTAACATATATTCCAATAAATCAATTCATTTTTAAAGACAACATTAACGTTACTTGTCCAGATGTAAATAACACTGAGGAAGGAGTTCACATTTCGTCATCATTATTTTCGACATGTTTAGATATTTTTATGTTAGCTGTGCATCTGGTGATGCATTAGTTTAGTGATTAAATGAAAGGGAAATGTCGCTGAGTTACATTGTTTAGTGAAGTCATTTAACCCAACATTTCAGGTTGGCATTTTGCACAGTAACTTTAAAGCTGGCATTTCACAAAAATATTTAAAAAATAAATGTCGTCTACATTATATACTTTTTGTAAAGGTTAAGTGCACAGTGTTTCACTTTTAAGGTGATTCTTGAATTGACAACAAAGTTACTCCCTTTTTTTCAAGATGTCAACCGTAATACATGGTTCATTAAAAAATGACCCATGGTCTTTCTCACTCTTAATGCCTTTCTTTCAGTATTTTAAATAAAAAGCTATACTTGACTCCCTCACCTGGAAAATGTATTTCCATTAACTTTTCTATGTAGCAATCAAGCATTGTAATTCACCTCTTCGTACTCTAAAATGATTTATTTTTCTTTAAAAAATTAAGGCAAAAAATTAAGTCAATAGTTGAGGTTTAGATATGTATGCTTCTAAATGTCCCCCTTGACTACACACAAAAAAATGAGTCACTGAAGAGTCTATAGTGCTATTCACTTTACCATAATATAAAAATCTGAATGCTAGCTAATTGCTTATAGTTTAGATGACATTAGAATTTACTGTAAGTGATGGATTTATTTATCTTGTATAGTACAACCAAATGGAATGCCATGTGAATAGTATAAAGATTTACTATGAAGAATCAGCAGGCAAAATGTATCTCAAATAACACAGAAAATTCAGACAGACAGACAGACACACACACATATATACACATACACATCAGGTTAAATAAATGACTGTGAGAACTTTGGGGCTCAATCTTAATACGCAAATAATATATTGAGCACAGAGTTTCTCAATAATTCTGGCTTTGTGACAAATTTTGTCTCCTTTTAAGTTGTGGAAATGAATGCAACAATGCATTTGCTAAACCAAAAAACACATCTCTTTTTTGGATGTGACAGTGATGTGAATTGTGTGTGTATGTGTGTGTGAGAGAGAGATCTCTTTTTGATCACTGATTGACTCAATTGTTTTAATTTGGATTTGTGCCACTGTGAAACAAGGGTAGATAACAGGACTGATGATTTGCACACTGTTTTTGTCATTACTTAAGACATTAGTGTAAATTTTCCTTAGTGTAAGACTTCTAACATATAGTTTTTTATCAATTAAAATATCAGTGCAAATTACATATTGTTATATGTGAGCATAAGAAAGTAAGCAGGCTTCCATCAATAGTTCTCTTGCCAACTGTTTGTCCTTCCCAACTCCTGCCTTCTCTCCTCCAATCAAAATAGTTGATACTGCAAGCATTCTCCCATTTTCCCATGTCTGAAGTTTCTGAGTAATATAATTTCTTCTCTAAAATATTTTATATTTTAAGGTGTTGACTGGAAATAAGTATGTATCATTTTTGGGGTTCTGAGCAAAAAGTCTGGTTAAAATCAGCACTTGGCACAGTGTAGACAGTTATTCTATTACCTTTAAGCTTTTCTTATACCCAGCCATGTCCTCCCTACTCAAAACTGTAAGTTTCTCGCCAAACTCCAAGTGCAGGTTTAAGGCTAACTGATTGTATACTTTGTATTCTTTTAAATAAAACATGTGCCTAGTAACATGCAATTCTGAAAAAGCAAGACTAGAAAGGACACTATGTTTAATTTTTAATAATGTTGGTAGTCTTTGTTTTTCATTTATCATCATGTAAAAGAACGAGAAAGAGACTACTACTGTGGTTTTCACATGTACTTGTAAACAAATTTTATGTTGTTTTTTATTGAGGTAAAAAATACATATAAAATTTGCCATTTTACTATTTTTAAGTATACAGTTCAATGGTAATAACCATATTTTTATTCTTTTTTCCCTTCATCTGCCACTCCCTGCTACTCTTCCAGGCTTCTGGAAAGCACCATTCTATTCTCTCTCTTCGTGGGTTCCACTTTTTGATCTCCCACATATCAGTGAGAACACGTAATATTTGTCTTTCTAAGCTTGGCTTATTTCACTTAACATAATGGCCTCCAATTCCATCTGCGTTTCTGCACATGATAGGATTTCATTCTTTTAGGGCCGAATAATACTCCATTATGTATATACACCGCATTTTCTTTACCCATTCATCCATTGATGGGCTCTTAGATTGATCCCATATTTTGGCTATTGTGAATAGTGTGGAAATAAATAGGAGAGTGCACATATCCTTTCACTATATTAATTTCCTCTTTTGGATATATACCCAGTAGTGGAATTACTGGATCTTGTGGAGTTTTTTGAGGAACCTCCATACTGTTCTGTATGGTGGGTATACTAATTTACATTCCTAGCAACCGTGTATGTGAGTTCCCCTTTCTCCACATCCTTGCCAGAATCTGTTACTATCTGTCTTTTTGATATAAACCATTGTAACTAGAGTGAGACAATATCTCATGTGGTTTTGATTTGCATTTTTCTGATTAGTGATTTTGAGCATTTTTAACATCTAGCCAGCCTTCCCACAGTGCCATAATAATACCTTTGGGATCCCTTCCATGTATGCTCTTCAAATGGACAATATACATTGGAAATAACCTCTTAATTACATCAGCCAAAGCAAGCTCCATGAAGAACTCTGGCTCTTTGTTTGACTGATTTTGAAGCAGTTCTGACAAACCTTTTTAACCAAACAGCTGGAATTTTATGCTTTTTCCCTTTTCTGAAGTGACTGTCACAACAAATCTCATCTCATTCTAGTGATCACACTGAGATTTTATGTTTTATTTTTCCATTAAGAAAACTTAAAAATCTTCACATTGTAAACTTAAGCTGAAATGTGAAATTTACTCATTTAGTTTACTCATTTTATCCGTTTTGTAAACTCCTTGATAACAATAAGCAATAAAATTAGATAAATATTTTATAAGGAATAAACTCCAGTGTGACTACTAAATAACATTAATCAGCCAACAATGTTTCTAAGAAAAATATGTGCATATTTGAAATAAATGCACTTATGGAAAAAAATGAGAATTTAAAAAGTATTTAGAGAAATACGTGAACTTCCTCAGAAAACCTGCTTCGGATCACATCAGTCTTTGAAACTTCTCTGTCCAAGTGTTGTAGCTCTTTGAATATAATGAACCTCAGAAAAGAAGATTTGGGGCAAGACATATTTTAGACTAATTTACAGATATCAGAAAAACAACATAGTATTAAAAAGTTAAGGAAATCACCAGATATTCACCAGATATTTTGAATTATTAGTTGCTGGTTAAACATCTGTATATGTAACCAAACGTTTGGTATCTACATGGAGGTTCAATAAAATAACGATGCTAAACTAAGAGATAGAAAAGTCAGATTCCACCACCAATTGGTTTAAACATGGCAATGCTGGGCTCACTTTCTTCTTGTGATTATAAACCTTCAATATCTAAGCTTCTGTTAAATTCTTTATTTATATATTATTTACATAAATATAGCCAGAGGAATGAACAGATGTTAAAAGTACATTTGATTTGGTGATGAGTTATTGCTTTTTGTGTGTAAATACTTATTAACATAGAATCATTTCTTATCACTTAGTATTCTTTGTATACAAAAATGAACAAGAACCAGTGCACCAATCAAGGACTCTGAAAAAATTACACTAGTCTTGATTTCTAATTTTAGTTTTTTGTAGAATTGAAAATGGTGATATCAAGTGCATTAGTTAAATATTAAACCATAGTTAATAGAAAAGTTTCCTAGATTATTTCTGTTATTATATTTCTTTATAAAGTGGATTTTTCCCAAATTGTCAGAGTAAAAGAATGTGTAAAGTACATAATACTTGTCTCAGTGTTTGTTATAATAAAGAAAATATTTAGTTTTCCTATTAGAGAATGATTTTAAAAATTACGGTGTTTTCATGTCATGGAATAATTTGTAGGAATTAATATAATATTTCAGAATATTTAATAATGTGGGAAATGTTGACAATATACTATTAAGGAGATAAGGAATACATACTTCTTAGGGAGCATGATACAAGTTATCTATGAGTGTGTATACATGTGAATACAATGGACTTTGTGACATCACTGCGATTTCCTTACAGTATTCCTAAACTCTATCAATAGTGCTTCAGCTCAGAATATGCTGGACATTAGGGAATTAGGTTGGAGCAAAATGCAGAGTTATGGTTTGATAGATGGTGTCCCCTCCAAAGTTCATATTGAAACTTAATCCCCAATACAACACGATTAAGAGATGTGGCCCTAGGTGGGTGATGAAGTCACAAGAGCTGTACCCTCATTAATGGGTTTAGCACCCTTGTAAAAAGGGCTAGAAGTTGAAGAGAGCATTCTCTGGCCCTTCTATCCCCTTTGTCATGTGAGAACATAGTGTTCCCCCACTCCTGAGGATTCAATGACAAAGTGTCATCTTGGAAGCAGAGAGCAGCCCTTACCAGAAGGTGCCAGACCAGACACTAATTCTGCTGGCACCTTGATCTTGGACTTCTCAGCCTTCAGAACTCAGAGAAATAAATTTATATTATTTGTGAATGACCCAGTATCAGATATTTTGTTACAGCAGCACAAACAGACTAAAACATACACAAAAGAACTTAGTTACAAAAAGTAAAGAGGTGAAGTGATAAATATGGAGCATTAGTTCTTAGAAAAATATAACAAGGAGAAAACTATATCAGATTTCTATCACTTGTGAACAATTTATTAAGGAAATAAGTGATGCTAAAGAACAGTGAAATAAAAACGGAAAATTCTGCAGTTAGTCAGTTTGGAGGCTTGGATAGTGTTTGTTACATATTATTCAAAGGGTGAACCCTGAAAGCTGGAGAACCTGGACTCATGTGCATTGTGTAAAAAATATAGGCTAATTTTCTTTGGCTGCAGGCTACCCCAAAAGCAAATTTCTTGAAACATAATATTGTATTTTATTCATTGCCTCATTACAGTAATCTAATTTTGAAAGATAGAATGTTATATTATTTCAATTCATGGTCTTCATTTGTTTTCTACTGACCATATGACAAAACTTTTTGTCCCTAAATCATGATCAATAACTATATAAACTCAGTTTTTCCCAGATTTTACTGGTTGTTTCTATGTTTTAAAAAGTGGCAGAAATCAAATAAGCAGACATGATCTAATCCAGGTCTACAGCTTTCCTATTTTTGTCTGAAGAAATTTATGGGACAAAAGTGTAATTTTGTTACATGAATATATGGTGTAGTGGTGAAGTCAGGGTTTTTAGTGTATCCATCACCCGAATAACACACAATGTACCCATTAAGTAACTTTTCATTGTCCCCCTGGCCTACATTTAATATATTTAAAGCGAAGCTGATATGAGAAATGCATTACAACATTTGTGATGATTAGTTTTAAAGGTTGCCAGATTCAGTGAGGTCACCATAGACAAGAACATACATATCACCAAAGTCAAGAACCTTACTAATTCTTCCATTTAGTGGTGCCAGATTATAGAGAAAGTGTTCATGCTACCCAAAGTTAGATAACATTGAATTATGTTTAATGGCAAATGTATATAAAGACCCAGGTCAAGAGTTATTCAGGAGCTAACAGCATTCTATTGAGTTAGCTGTATTCAGAAAATCCATTCACATTATAAGATGACAGCTTCAAATATAGTGAAATTGAGTAAACACAGTTGCAGGCTGTCAAAACAAACCAAAACAAAAACACTGTAATAGTCATATATCATTAGGAAAACTTAGTCCTTGGATTTTGCTGCGTAAAGAATAAACCATTCGTATTCCACTTCTTATAAAATCAGTGAGCTTCCTACCTTCAGAATTAAAATTTGCAACACATTATTTCTTCAGTTCCTAATTTCTACATTCTTGAGTATATTATCTGTCCTAATGTCAGTCATTACTCCTGTTTCTTGAATGGACTTTAAGTCTATTGTGTTAATTTCATTTTGACTCAATTTTCTCCTGTCTGACCTGCTGTGTTGACTATTTTCACATCCCATTCAGGTGGCTTCTTGTCTTTCAACATCTGTAACATTTTTTCCAACTTCATTATTTTTTTCTCGACATCATAATATACTTGGATATAGAATGAAGCATATGTGTAATTTGTTAATGAATAGAGATCTTGATTTCCTCTTACTTCATTTTGTAAAATACATTTATTGGTTTACAGGCAGGAAACAGGTAAGCACAATAATTTTTATTTATTTCTTATACCTTTACAAAGTATATTCATCCTTAAATATTATTAATATGATTGCTATATCTGAATCCACTTTTAATATTTGATGCCAACAGAATTTTTTTTTTTTTTAGACAGGGTCTCACTCCGTCCCCAGGCTGGAGTGCAAGTGGCACAATCTTGGCTCACAGTAACCACTGCCTCCTGGGCTCAAGCCTCCTCCTGCCTCAGTCCCCCAAGTAGATGGCACTACACGCACGAGCCACCATGTCTTGATAATTTTGTATTTTTTGTAGAGATGAGATTTCACCATGTTGCCCAGACTGGCCTCGAACTCCTGAGGTCAAGAGATCTACCCACCTCCACCTCCCAAAGTGCTAGGATTACAGAAGTGAGCCACCGCGCTCAGGTGCTGGCAGCTTTCATGGCCACCTCTTCACTCCCCCTCTGCCTGGTATCTGGGCAAGCTGGTAAGAATGCCTGTGCCCCTAGGATCCCTTTGTTGCTGACTCTCTAGTGTACTCTCTAACCACTGAAATACCTAACTCAAGGCAGCCTGGACTTATTTGTGCCTGTCCTCCTCTCCCTAGGTTTCTCTTGTGTGAGTACTAAACTTTGCTGTGTACTTTTTTGGTGTGCAATGTTATCAGACTAAACTTTCAGCTTATTCATTGGGAGGGGATCTAGCTCATCTCCATAGATGACCACAAAATAAATATATAAATATCTGTGTGATATCCCTATGTTTATCTCTCAATGATGTACTAATAAAAATGGAGAAAGTACTAGAATATGAAAAAATAGGAGTGGTTCCTCTAGCAAGGTCACACAAGAAGTACTATGAATCCAGATTAAACACATCCCTCATTTTCCAGTTTTTCTATTATCTTAGCACATTAGATAGAAACTTGAAACGATGCTAACATAGATATGTTTGGTAGGAACCTTTAAAATGAACTAAAGGGAATCTGTGGAGAGACATTATTCTAATCTATGAAACAAACCCATTTTCAAACTTACAACAGTAACTACATGGAGAGGCTACTCAGTGTATCAACTACCCTCTGTGTTTCAGAAAGACAACCCATAGCTAGGTTCAAATTAATCTAAAACCAAGTTACCAAAAGCGTACAAATAACTTATTGTCATCATCAAAATTACTGAGGCTTTCCACGTTTATTCAGGAAGATTAATTTGTCATATACCTAAAGGTCTAAAAATTTTGAAATGTTAGATATGTAAACCAATATACAAACATACACATATATATGTATGTAGCTTTCATTGTATATACTTTTATATGAGATATTCATTAAACCAGGATCAATGGATCAATATTCTCACTTTACCATGATTAGACATATAAATCTGCACAGTTAACATAAATTTTTTAAAAAATTTATTTCATTGTGGAAAAAACACAATATGATAGTTCTCCTCCTAATACATTGTAAGTGTAAGTGTATAAAACATAATGTTAACTATTCACACAATGTTGTTCAGAAGACCTTTATAACTTATATTGTATAAATCATATTTTATACCATTAATTAACAATTTCCCATTTCCCCCTCTCAGCCCTGTCAACCACCATTCCACTCCTTGATTCTATAAATTTAACTGTATAAGTGGAATCATGCAATATTTGTCCTTTGGTGACTAACCTATTCCACTTCACATGATGTCCACCAGGTTCTTCGTGTTGTCACACATTGCAGAATTTCTTTTTTAAGGCTAGATAATATTTCTTGTATATGTCATCATTCATCCATCAATGGACATTTAGGTTGCTTTCACTTCTTAGCTATAGCAAATAGTGCTGCAAATAAATATGGGAGTGCTAATATCTCTTGAACATTCTGATTTCAATTCTTTTGGATAAATACCCCGAAGAAGTGGAATTGTTGTATTATATAGTAGGTCCATTTTTAATTTTTTGAGAAGCCTCCATGCTGTTTTAAGTAGTGGCGGAACCATTCTCACCAGCTGTATGAATCACATACTGTATTCTTACCAGCAGTATATTAGGTTTCCAATTTCTCCACATCCTCACTAAGACTGGCCCTTTTTTGTTTTGATAATAGCTATCTTAACAGATGTGAGATCATAGTAATGCCAAGGCCAATGTCATAAAGTTTTTATGCTATGTTTTCTTCTATAAGTTTTACAGTTTCAGATTTTATCAGATTTTATGTTTAAGTCTTTACTTTGAATTGATTTTTTGTAATGTAATATAAAGTTAAACATTTTTCTTTTGCATATGGATTTCCAGTTACCCCAACACCATTTGTTCAGGTGGCTATCCTATCTTCATTGTGTACTCCTGGCAACTTTGTTGAAATATAGTTGTCTGTATATGTGTGGTTTTCTCTCTGGGCTCTCTATTCTGTTCCACTGACCTGTGTGTCTGTCTTTATGCCAGTACCATATTATTTTTAATTGCTGTAGCTTTGTATTGCTTGAAATCAGGAAATGTGATGCCTCCAGCTTTGCTGCTCTTTCTTAAGATTTATTTGGCTATTTGGTGTCCTTTTTTGGTTTCATATGAATTTTAGGTTTTTTAACAAATAATTGCTATTGAGATTTTGATATGAATTGCATTGAATCCATAAATTGCTTTGGTTAGCATGGAGAATTTCACAATATTAAAAATTCCAATTCATAAATATATCTTTCTATTTATTTGGATTGTGTTTAATTTTTCATCACTATTTTCTAGTTTTTAGTTTATAAGTTGCTCATTTACTTAAGTTTATTTTTAATCATACTTTTTTGTACTATTGTAAATGGAATTATTGTCACAGTTTCCTTTTCAATTTGTTGTTAGTGTATATAAATACAACTGATATATAAATACTGAATCTATATCCTGGAAGCTCTCTTAATTCATTTATTATTTCTAAAAGTTTTTAAATGGGGTCTTGAGTGGTTTCTATACACAAGATCATGTCATGTGTAAAGGGACAATTTCACTTATTCCTTTTTGATTTCATAGCCCTTATTTCTTGTTCTTGCTTAATTCCTCTGGCTAAGACTTTCAGTACTGTGTTGAATAGAAGTGGTGAGAGTGGGCATCCTTGCCTTGTTTGTGATCTCAGAGAAAGGGTTTTCAATTTTTCATTATTAAATAAAATGCTAGCTGTGGGACTGTCATATTTAGTCTTCATTATGTTGAGGTAATTTCCTCCCAATCCTAGTTTTGTTGAAAGTTTTTATTATAAAAAGGTATTAAATTTTATCAAATACTTTTGTGTACCTATTGAGATGATTGTATAATTTTTATCTTTCCATTTGTTAATGTGTTGTATCACATTAGTTAATTTTGGTATGCTGAACTATCTTTGCATCCTACTCACATATCTTACTTGGTCATGGTGTATAATCCTTTCAAGATGCTGTTGAATTCCATTTACTAGTATTTTGTCAAGAACTTTTACATCTGTATTTATCAGGGATATTGGCCCACTGTTTGATTTTCTAGTAGTGTCTTTGTCAGGCTTTGGTGTTAGGGTAATGCAGGCCTCATAAATTTAGTTTGAAAGTGTTCCCTTCTCTTGAATTTTTGGAATTTTTGGAAAAGTTTGAGATTGTTGAAAAACAATCCTCAAACAGTAAGGAATGAAAATATTTAACTGTTAGGTAGAATTCACCAGTGATGCCATTTGGTCCTGGGCTTTTTTAAAATGGAAGTTTGTTATTTACTACTATAAACTTCATACTACATACAGGTCTTTCAGACTTTCTATACTTTGATAATTTTGCTTTGGTAGGGTGTATGTTTTAAAAGTTTATCTATTTCTGTTAGATTATCTAGTTTTTTGGTGTATAATTGTTCATACATGTATCTTATGATCATTTCATTAAATTTTGTGGCATCAGTTATAATGTCTGAATTTTCCTCTCTTATTTCTGATTTTATTTGAGTCTTTCTTTTCCAGTTAGTCTAGAAAAAGGGTTGTCAACTTGTTTATCTTTTTCACAAACGAACTCTTAGTTTTGTTTATTTTTTTCTACTCTCTTTGTCCTCGGTTTCTGTTATAATTTTATCATTTCCTTCCAGTTGCTAGATTTGTGAACACTTTGTTCTTCTTTTTTTAATTCCTTGAGGTGTAAACTTAGATTGCTTATGTAATATCTTTCTTATTTTTCAATGTCGATACATCACTATAAATGTCTCTTGTAGTCTGCTTTTGCTGCATCTCATAAGTTTTGGTGTTTTATGTTTTTATTTTTATTTGTTACAAGTTATTTTCTAGTTTTTCTTTTTATTATTCTTCTTATTATTATACTTTAAGTTTTAGGGTACATGTGCACATTGTGCAGGTTTGTTACATATGTATACATGTGCCATGTTGGTGTGCTGCACCCATCAACTAGTCATTTAGCATTAGGTATATCTCCTAATGCCATCCCTCCCCCCTCCCCCCACCCCGCAACAGTCCCCAATGTGTGATGTTCCCCTTCCTATGTCCATGTGTTCTCATTGTTCAATTCCCACCTATGAGTGAGAACATGCGGTGTTTGGTTTTTTGTCCTTGTGATAGTTTACTGAGAATGATGGTTTCCAGCTTCATCCATGTCCCTACAAAGGACATGAACTCATCATTTTTTATGGCTGTATAGCATTCCATGGTGTATATGTGTCACATTTTCTTAATCCAGTCTATCATTGTTGGACAATTGGGTTGGTTCCAAGTCTTTGCTATTGTGAATAGTGCCACAATAAACATACGTGTGCCAGTGTCTTTATAGCAGCATGATTTATAGTCCTTTGGGTATATACCCAGTAATGGGATGGCTGGGTCAAATGGTATTTCTAGTTCTAGATCCCTGAGGAATCGCCATGCCGTCTTCCACAAGGGTTGAACTAGTTTACAGTCCCACCAACAGTGTAAAAGTGTTCCTATTTCTCCACATCCTCTCCAGCACCTGTTGTTTCCTGACTTTTTAATGATCGCCATTCTAACTGGTGTGAGATGGTATCTCACTGTGGTTTTGATTTGCATTTCTCTGATGGCCAGTGATGATAAGCATTTTTTCATGTGTTTTTTGGCTTCATAAATGTCTTCTTTTGAGAAGTGTCTGTTAGTTTTTCTTTCGATTTTTTTCTTTGACTCATTGATTATTCAGGGGTGAGGATGTGTTGCTTAATTTCTTCTTAGTTGAAAATTTCCTGTTCTTCTTATGTTATTGATGTCTAGTAGAATTCAATTTTGGTTAGAAAAGATAACTTGGTATGAGTTGAGATTTTATAAGTATTATTAAGTCTTGTTTTGTAAGTTAACATGTGATCTATCCTGGAGAAGTTTCCTTGTGCTTGAGAAGAATGTATATTCAGCTGCTGTTGGGTAGTATGTTATGCAAAGATCTGGTATGTCCATTTGGTCTACAAATGCTCCCTGACTTTTAAGATGGGTTATGTCCTGAACAACAAATTGTAAGTCAAAAATGCACTTATTCCCTTGGTAAATATACCATGAGGTCAAAATATTATAAGTCAAATCATCATAAGACCAGATTCTCCTCTTCTTACTATGGAGTTAAGTTCCAAAAAACACATGGTAAGTTGAAAAAGTAATTAGTAGAACCATTGTAAGTTGAAGGCTGTGTGTATATTGCTGCTAAAGGTTGCTATTTTGTTTATTTTCTATCTAGTTGTTCTATTAATTATGGAATATGAACTATTAAAGTCTCTCACTATTATTGTACTGCTATCTATTTCTCCCTTAAGTTCTGTCAGTATATGCTTTACAGATTTAAGCGCTCTGATGTTGAGTGCACATATATTTATAATTGTTATATCTTCCAGTAAATTGGCCCCTTTACCATCATAATGTCCCTCTTTGTCTCTTGTGGCCAATTTTGAGTGGAAATCTATTTTGTCTGATACAAGTAAAACCACTTATGTGACTTCTCCCCTTTGTTTACTATTTGCATGAAATATATTTTTTTTACTCCTTCCTTTTAGGCTATGAATATCCTTAAACCTAAAGCAGGTTTATTGTAGACAGCATATAGTTAGATTTACATTTTGTCTTGTTTTTTTGTTGTTGGCTTAAAAAAAAATCCATTTCGCCACAGTAGTTTTTTTTTTTTTTCAACTATTATTTTAGATCCTGGTGGTACATTTGCAGGTTTGCTTCAGGGCATATTGCACCCAAAAAACCAATTGCACCCCAAAACCATGCCCCTTCCTTTTCTACTCCCTCTAGTAGTCTGCAGTTTTGATTCTTTGTATGTTTTTGTCCATTTGTGGTCAATGTTTACAACCTTCTTATAAGTGAGAATATACACTACTTGTTTTTCTGTACCTGCATTAGTTTGCCTAGGATGATGGCCTCCAGCTCCATAGTTGTTGATGCAGAGAATGTGACTTTGTTCTTTTTTTATAGTTGCATTGTATTCTATGATGTATATGTAAATTTTTTTTTATCCAATTAAACATTGATGGGGATCTAGGTTGATTCCATGTCTTTGCTTTTGTAAATAGCTAGGTGATGAACATACTAGTCTGTGTGTCTTTTGGGTATAATGATCTATTTTCCTTTGCTTATATACCCAATAATAAGATTGCTAGGTTGAGTGTTAGCTCTGTTTTAAGTTCTTTGAGAAATCTCTAAACTGCATTCTACAGTAGCTAAACTAAATTGCATTTCCACCTACAGTGTATAAGTATTCCCTTTTTTCTGTAGCCTCTCCATTATCTCTGTGTGTGTGTGTTTGTGTGGTGTGTGTGTGTGTTCTTTTCAGTAACAGCCATTCTGACTTGTGTGATGTGGTATCTCATTTTGGTTTTGATTTGTGTTTCTCTGTTGATTAGTTAGGATGAGCATGTTTTTCATATGTTTATTGGCCACTTGTATATCTTCTTTTGAGAAGTGTCTGTTCATGTCCTTTGCCCATTTTTTTTTTGATGGAGTCATGCCCTGTTGCCCAGGCTGGAATGCAGTGGTGCAATCTTGACTCACTGCAACTTCTGCTTCTGTGGTTCAAGTTATCCTCCTGCCTCAGCCTCCCAAGTAGCTGAGATTACAAGCCTGCACCACCACACCTGGCTAATTTTTGTGTTTTTAGTAGAGATGGTGTTTTGTCATGTTGGCCAGGCTGGTCTCGAACTCCTGACCTCATGTGATCCACTTGCCTTCGCCTCCCAAAGTGCTGGGATTCCAGGCGTGAGACACCACAACCGACCCTTTGTCCATTTTTTAATTGAGAATACAGCAAGCCAAAGTGGTTGAACATATGTACAAGGAGAATGATGAAACACTGCTGAAAGAAATCAGAGATGACCCAAATAGATGAAAAAACATTTCATGCTCATGGATTGAAAGAATTAATATCATTAAAATGTCCACACTGCCCAAATCAATTTACAGATTCAACACTATTTCTATCAAACTACCAACATCATTCTTTGCAGAATTAGGAACAACTATTCTAAAATTCATATATAATAAAAGAGTCCAAATAACCAAAAAAATCCTAAACAAAAAGAAAAAAACTGGAAGCATCACACTAGCTGACTTCAAACCCTACCATAAGGCTACAGTAACCAAAAGAGCATGGTACTGGGATAAAAACAGACACATAGACCAATGGAGCAGAATAGAGAACCTGGAAATAAAGCCACACATGTACAATAATCTGAACTTTGAGAAGGTTGGCAAAAGCAAGCAATAGCGAAAGGATACGCTATTCAATAAATGGTGCTGTGGTAACTGGCTAGCCACATGCAGAAGAGTAAAACTAGACACTTACCTTTCAACATATACAAAAATTAACTCGAGACAGATAAAAGATTTAAATGTAAGACCTCACATTATGGTGAGAGCCAAGATGGCCGAATAGGAACAGCTCCAGTCTACAGCTCCCAGCGTGAGCGATGCAGAAGACGGGTGATTTCTGCATTTCATCTGAGGTACCGGGTTCATCTCACTAGGGAGTGCCAGACAGTGGGCGCAGGACAGTGGGTGCAGCGCACCATGCGCGAGCCAAAGCAGGGCGAGGCATTGCCTCACTCGGGAAGTGCAAGGGGTCAGGGAGTTCCCTTTCCTAGTCAAAGAAAGGGGTGACAGATGGCACCTGGAAAATCGGGTCACTCCCACCCGAATACTGTGCTTTTCCAATGGGCTTAAAAAACGGCGCACCAGGAGATTATATCCCGCACATGGCTCAGAGGGTCCTACGCCCATGGAGTCTCGCTGATTGCTAGCACAGCAGTCTGAGATCAAATTGCAAGGCGGCAGTGAGGCTGGGGGAGGGGCACCTGCCATTGCCCAGGCTTGCTTAGGTAATCAAAGCAGCCTGGAAGCTTGAACTGGGTGGAGCCCACCACAGCACAAGGAAGCCTGTCTGCCTCTGTAGGTTCTACCTCTGGGGGCAGGGCACAGACAAACAAAAAGACAGCAGTAACCTCTGCAGACTTAACTGTCCCTGTCTGACAGCTTTGAAGAGAGCAGTGGTTCTCCCAGCATGCAGCTGGAGATCTGAGAAGGGGCAGACTGCCTCCTGAAGTGGGTCCCTGACCCCTGACCCCCGAGCAGCCTAACTGGGAGGCACCCCCCAGTAGGGGCAGACTGACACCTCACATGGCCGGGTACTCCTCTGAGACAAAACTTCCAGAGGAACGATCAGACAGCAGCATTCACGGTTCACGAAAATCCACTGTTCTGCAGCCACCGCTGCTGATACCCAGGCAAACAGGGTCTGGAGTGGACCTCTAGCAAACTCCAACAGACCTGCAGCTGAGGGTCCTGTCTGTTAGAAGGAAAACTAACAAACAGAAAGGACATCCACACCAAAAACCCATCTCTACATCACCATCATCAAAGACCAAAAGTAGATAAAACCACAAAGATGGGGAACAAACAGAGCAGAAAAACGGGAAACTCTAAAAAGCAGAGCACCTCTCCTCCTCCAAAGGAACGCTGTTCCTCACCAGCAATGGAACAAAGCTGGACGGAGAATGACTTTGATGAGCTGAGAGAAGAAGGCTTCAGACGATCAAACTACTCCCAGCGACAGGAGGAAATTCAAACCAAAGGCAAAGAAGTTAAAAACTTTGAAAAAAATTTAGACAAATGTATAACTAGATTAACCAATACAGAGAAGTGCTTAAAGGAGCTGATGGAGCTGAAAGCCAAGGCTCGGGAACTACGTGAAGAATGCAGAAGCCTCAGGAGCCGACGCGATCAACTGGAAGAAAGGGTATCAGTGATGGAAGATGAAATGAATGAAATGAAGTGAGAAGGGAAGTTTAGAGAAAAAAGAATAAAAAGAAATGAACAAAGACTCCAAGAAATACGGGACTATGTGAACAGACCAAATCTACGTCTGATTGGTGTACCTGAAAGTGATGAGGAGAATGGACCCAAGTTGGAAAACACTCTGCAGGATATTATGCAGGAGAACTTCCCCAATCTAGCAAGGCAGGCCAACATTCAGATTCAGGAAATACAGAGAATGCCACGAAGATACTCCTCGAGAAGAGCAACTCCAAGACACGTAATTGTCACATTCACCAAAGTTGAAATGAAGGAAAAAATGTTAAGGGCAGCCAGAGAGAAAGGTTGGGATACCCACAAAGGGAAGCCCATCAGGCTAACAGCGGACCTCTTGTCAGAAACTCTACAAGCCAGAAGAGAGTGGAGGCCAACATTCAACATTTTTAAGAAAAGAATTTTCAACCCAGAATTTCATATCCAGCCAAACTAAGCTTCATAAGTGAAGGAGAAATAAAATCCTTTACAGATAAGCAAATGCTGAGAGATTTTGCCACCACCAGGCCTGCCCTAAAAGAGCACCTGAAGGAAGCACTAAACATGGAAAGGAACAACCGGTACCAGCCACTGCAAAATCATGCCAAATTGTAAAGACCTTCGAACCCAGGAAGAAACTCCATCAACTAATGAGCAAAATAACCAGTTAACATCATAATGAAAGGATCAAATTCACACAACAATATTAACCTTAAATGTAAATGGACTAAATGCTCCAATTAAAAGACACAGACCGGCAAATTGGATAAAGAGACAAGACCCATTAGTGTGCTGTATTCAGGAAACCCATCTCACGTGCAGAGACACACATAGGCTCAAAACAAAAGGTTGAAGGAAGATCTACCAAGCAAATGGAAAACAAAAAAAGGCAGGGGTTGCAATCCTAGTCTCTGATAAAACAGACTTTAAACCAACAAAGATCAAAAGAGACAAAGAAGGCCATTATGCAATGGTAAAGGCATCAATTCAACAAGAAGAGCTAACTCTCCTAAATATATATGCACCCTATACAGGAGCACCAAGATTCATAAAGCAAGTCCTGAGTGACCTACAAAGAGACTTAGACTCCCACACAATAATAATGGGAGACTTTAACACCCCACTGTCAACATTAGACAGATCAACGAGACAGAAAGTTAACAAGGATATCCAGGAATTGAACTCAGCTCTTCACCAAGTGGACCTAATAGACATCTACAGAACTCTCCACCCCAAATCAACAGAATATACATTCTTTTCACCACCACACCACACCTATTCCAAAATTGACCACATAGTTGGAAGTAAAGCACTCCTCAGCAAATGTAAAAGAACAGAAATGATAACAAACTGTCTTTCAGACCACAGTGCAATCAAACTAGAACTCAGGATTAAGAAACTCACTCAAAACCACTCAACTACATGGAAACTGAACAACCTGCTCCTGAATGACTACTGCGTACATAACGAAATGAAGGCAGAAATAAAGATGTTGTTTGGAACCAACGAGAACAAAGGCACAACATACCAGAATCTCTGGGACACATTCAAAGCAGTGTGTAGAGGGGAATTTATAGCACTAAACACCCACAAGAGAAAGCAGGAAAGTTCCAAAATTGACACCCTAACATCACAATTAAAAGAACTAGAAAAGCAAGAGCAAACACATTCAAAAGCTAGCAGAAGGCAAGAAATAACTAAAATCAGAGCAGAACTGAAGGAAATAGAGACACAAAAAACCCTTCCAAAAATTAATGAATCCAGGAGCTGGTTTTTTGAAAGGATCAACAAAATTGATAGACCGCCAGCAAGACTAACAAAGAAGAAAAGAGAGAAGAATCAAATAGACACAATAAAAAATGATAAAGGGGATATCACCACCAATCCCACAGAAATACAAACTACCATCAGAGAATACTACAAACACCTCTACGCAAATAAACTAGAAGATCTAGAAGAAATGGATAAATTCCTCGACACATACACCCTCCCAAGACTAAACCAGGAAGAAGTTGAATCTCTGAATAGACCAATAACAGGCTCTGAAATTGTGGCAATAATCAATAGCTTACCAACCAAAAAGAGTCCAGGACCAGATGGATTCACAGCCGAATTCTACCAGAGGTACAAGGAGGAACAGGTACCATTCCTTCTGAAACTATTCCAATCAATAGAAAAAGAGGGAATCCTCCCTAACTCATTTGATGAGGCCAGCATCATCCTGATACCAAAGCCGGGCAGAGACACAACCAAAAAAGAGAATTTTAGACCAATATCCTTGATGAACATTGATGCAAAAATCCTCAGTAAAATACTTGCAAACCCAATCCAGAAACACATCAAAAAGCTTATCCACCATGATCAAGTGGGCTTCATCCCAGGGATGCAAGGCTGGTTCAATATACACAAATCAATAAATGTAATCCAGCATATAAACAGAACCAAAGACAAAAACCACATGATTATCTCAATAGACGCAGAAAAGGCCTTTGACAAAATTCAACAACCCTTCATGCTAAAAACTCTCAATAAATTAGGTATTGATGGGACATATCTCAAAATAATAAGAGCTATCTATGACAAACCCACAGCCAATATCACACTGAATGTGCAAAAACTAGAAGCATTCCCTTTGAAAACTGGCACAAGACAGGGATGCCCTCTCTCACCACTCCTGTTCAACATAGTGTTGGAAGTTCTGGCCAGGACAATTAGGCAGGAGAAGGAAATAAAGGGTATTCAATTAGGAAAAGAGGAAGTCAAATTGTGCCTGTTTGCAGATGACATGATTGTATATTTAGAAAACCCCATTGTCTCAGCCCAAAATCTTCTTAAGCTGATAAGCAACTTCAGCAAAGTCTCAGGATATAAAATCAGTGTACAAAAATCACAAGCATTCTTATACATCAACAACAGACAAACAGAGAGCCAAATCATAAGTGAACTCCCATTCACAATTGCTTCAAAGAGAATAAAATACCTAGGACTCCAACTTACAAGGGACGTGAAGGACCTCTTCAAGGAGAACTACAAACCACTGCTCAATTATATAAAAGTGGATACAAACAAATGGAAGAAGATTCCATGCTCATGGGTAGGAAGAATCAATATCATGAAAATGGCCATATTGCCCAAGGTAATTTTTAGATTCAATGCCATCCCCATCAAGCTACCAATGACTTTCTTCACAGAATTGGAAAAAACTACTTTAAAGTTCATATGGAACCAAAAAAGAGCCCACATCGCCAAGCCAATCCTAAGCCAAAAGAAGAAAGCTGGAGGCATCAGGCTACCTGACTTCAAACTATACTACAAGGCTACAGTAACCAAAACAGCATGGTACTGGTACCAAAACAGAGATATAGATCAATAGAACACAACAGAGTCCTCAGAAATATTATGCTGCATATCTACAACTATCTGATCTTTGACAAACCTGAGAAAAACAAGCAATGGGTAAACGATTCCCTATTTAATAAATGGTGCTGGGAAAACTGGCTAGCCATATGTAGAAAGCTGAAAATGGATCCTTTCCTTACACCTTATACAAAAATTAATTTCAAGATGGATTAAAGACTTAAACGTTAGAACTAAAACCATAAAAACCCTAGAAGAAAACCTAGGCATTACCATTCCAGGACATAGGCATGGGTAAGGACTTCATGTCTAAAACACCAAAAGCAATGGCAACAAAAGCCAAAACTGACAAATGGGATCTCATTAAACTAAAGAGTTTCTGCACAGCAAAAGAAACTACCATCAGAGTGAACAGGCAACCTACAAAATGGGAGAAAATTTTCACAACCTACTCATCTGACAAAGGGCTAATATCCAGAATCTACAATGAACTCAAACAAATTTACAAGAAAAAAACAAACTACCCCATCAACAATTGGGTGAAGGACATAAACAGACACTTCTCAAAAGAAGACATTTATGCAGCCAAAAAACACATGAAAAAATGCTCACCATCACTGGCCATCAGAGAAATGCAAATCAAAACCACAATGAGATACCATCTCACACCAGGTAGAATGGCAATCATTAAAAAGTCAGGAAACAACAGGTGCTGGAGAGGATGTGGAGAAATAGGAACACTTTTACACTGTTGGTGGAACTGTAAACTAGTTCAACCATTGTGGAAGTCAGTGTGGCAACTCCTCAGGGATCTAGAACTAGAAATACCATTTGACCCAGCCATCCCATTACTGGGTATATACTCAAAGGACTATAAATCATGCTGCTATAAAAACACTGGCACACGTATGTTTATTGTGGCACTATTCACAATAGCAAAGACTTGGAACCAACCCAAATGTCCAACAATGATAGACTGGATTAAGAAAATGTGGCACATATACACCATGGAATGCTATACAGCCATAAAAAATGATGAGTTCATGTCCTTTGTAGGGACATGGATGAAGCTGGAAACCATCATTCTCAGTAAACTATCACAAGGACAAAAAACCAAACACCGCATGTTCTCACTCATAGGTGGGAATTGAACAATGAGAACACATGGACAGAGGAAGGGGAACATTACACTCTGGGGACTGTTGCGGGGTGGGGGGAGGGGGGAGGGATAGCATTAGGAGATATATCTAACGCTAAATGAGGAGTTAATGGGTGCAGCACACCAGCATGGCACATGTATACATATGTAACTAACCTGCACATTGTGCATATGTACCCTAAAACTTAAAGTATAATAATAATAATAATAATAATAATAATAATAAACCTCACATTATATAAATCTGAGAAGAGCTGGGCGTGGTGGCTCACGCTTGTAATCCCAGCACTTTGCGAGTCCGAGACGGGCGGATCACGAGGTCAGGAGATTGAGACCACGGTGAAACCCCGTTTCTACTAAAAATTCAAAAAATTAGCCAGGGTTGTGGCGGGGGCCTGTAGTCCCAGCTACTCGGAGAGGCTGAGGCAGGAGAATGGAGTGAACCCGGGAGGTGGAGCTTGCAGTGAGCCGAGATCGCGCCACTGCACTCCAGCCTGGGCTACAGAGCGAGACTCCCTCTCAAATAAATAAATAAATAAATAAATAAAAATCTGAGAAGAAACCCTAGAAAATACCATTCTTGACATCAACATTAGCAAAGAATTTTTGGCTAAGTCCCTAAAAACAATTGCAATAAAAACAAATATTGACGAGTGGGACCTAATTAAATTGAAGAGATTCTGCACAGCAAGATAAACTAGCCACCTACAGAATGGGAGAAAATATTCACAAGCTATGCATCCAGCAGAGGTCTAATACCCAGACTCTATAAGGAACTTAAGCAATTTAGCAAGTATTCTATATCTTTCGATAGGGGGATCTTATCAATTTACACTTAAAATACTTGTCTATCTTACCATCTGGGAAATTATAAAGATAATTTTACACAAATTCTATTGCAGGTGGTAGAGAGGAAAATTCTTGGCATTCTGATAGTTGTAAGAGCAATAAATGGTGTATTCAAAGGGCTTACAAAATATGCAGACATATAAGCATGCTGTTTATTTATAGTCATGTCTGTAAATTGCTTTAGTTTACGTTGTATGAAAACAGATGTTAGAGTTAAGCATCTACTGAAAGAACCAACTGCACCACATATGACAATAATGTTGTCTCTTTTATTAAGAATAAAGGTTCTGAAATAATACTATATACAGTTGCTATGAATTCATATGGTCTTTTTAATATTAAGCTGTTAATATTCATTGACTGATACTTGTTTTCACTTTTCTTATTGATTCCCTTTTTTGCTTGTGCTAAACTATCCGTTATAAACCTAGATTTATTTATAAAAATACCTTTCGCTTGGTTAGAGACAATCAGAATTTAGGCTGTAATGGCATTTCATACCTTTTTTTGATCCCTGTGGAGAAGGAAGTCTCAAGTTGACCTTCATGTACCTATTTAAGGAAAGCTATTATTGAACTGCTGTACTTGATAAGGAGATCTAATTCCACAGGAATAGTAAAACTGAAGAAGAGGATAATCATATTTGAAAAAGGGTAGGCTTATTCATTCAACAGAAAATAGAGAAGAGCAAAGCAATATTAGGGATGATGTTCTCATTTGGTAAAAGGTGAAAGGGGCTTAAAAAGGGACACTGGTTCACAATCCTCCAAGAACAAATTTTAAAATATTAATTCACACGTGTAAACAAAGACAAAGCTTTACAATTTCTTCACTACATTCTTCGTGGTAAGCAACTTGTCATTATTGAGCTAGTGACTTGTTTATACTACTTAAAGATTTCTATTAGAATACACAGGCATCTATTGTTCATTGATTGTATTTAAACTATAAGTATAAAATATACATCAATTGGGGTTAGACTGAGTTAAAATGACAAATGATAATGTTGATTTAAGAAACAAAAGGGAAATTAAGTAACTGTATTTCATTCCCTAAGCATCGCTTAATTACATGCCTTTGATTTCCAGTGCTAAGACCAGAAGAAAAGAAAGACTAGGTAAAACAAAGCAAACTAGGGAAGCTTCACAGGTTTAAAAAAAAACCCAAAAGCTAGTTAGTTCAATGTAGGGTGTTCCAATCTTCTCAAGAAACTGTTTTCTTCATAGACGTGGCCAAAAATCCCTCATTGAAATATAAGATTTTTCCTTTCACTTGTCTCTTTAATTACTCCTATTCATTTAAGGACCACCTCGTAGGTAACAATGCTCTGGTGGATTCTGTGAATAAAAATGGGTAATTCATATTTCCTTACTTTCAGGAAATATCCTAGGAAACAATTACAAAACAGTAAAAGGCAAGTACTCTTACGTCCTCATGAAGGTAAGTACAATATACTATAGGAGTAAAGTAGGTAAATCGGTTAAGAATAGATTTTTATTTAGTTTTGATGAAGTTTTGCAATTAACTAATTGATGGCAACTTTCCCAGAGAAATATTACTGAATTGAACCTAAACTTCGATTGTGGTATCACAATAAGTGGATGAAAATTGAGATAATTAAGACATCAAATGAAAGTTGAGGCAACAGCTCTTGAAGGGAATGATGAATTAATTGGTAGAAATCTTAAAATATTAAAGGGGTAAAGATTCCTCACTACAATTCTAAGACAAGTAGTATAGAATATCACTTTTCTACACATTTTCATTCAATTCAAGAGTTAAATTGAAAGTCTTTATTGTTGTTACTAATATATATTTATCAAATGCACAAATAAACTAATTTCAGAAGTTTTTATTGAAATGCAATTTGTATTTAGTTATCGCAAGTAGATTATAACATAGTGAATTATGCTGTTGATTATTACAAGTTCTGAGTATTCCTAGACTTCTTTCAGCTTACAGTAAATCTGCAGTCACTTTAATCGTCAGAACCATAATAATACACAGGCCTACAAAAAAGTAAGTGGGCAAGCTCTTAGTCATCACTTTATCCTACCTTCAAAGTATCCACTAATAAGACATATTCAAAACTTAGAAATAAAGGAGAAAAAGGATTGCATGTCATTTCAATGTCATATTAGAACACTGCCTAATAAAATCTCCTTAGGGTTAATGAACTAGAAGAATCCAATTTTTTTGACTTGCTATTTACTATTGTTTAGAAAGCAAACTCTATATTAGTGGTTAATTTGTAGAAAATTGATAATGTGAAAATGATTCTTCATCTGGTAGAGAAAGTATCTCTGAAGGTTATGGTTTAATTACCTTTTAGGAGACTAGCCAGTTTTGTATTTTATTGACCATCGTCTCATTCTAGCATTCTTTGTTCTTTATTTATATCCTCCTTTAAATTAGTTGTTTTGTTTTTGTTTTTTGCCCTGCTGATTCCAGTATTAACAAATTAAGTTAAATTCAGCCATATATAACTAAATATATAAGGGTCATATTTTTAATATTTTGAGAATTAAGTCTTGCCATACCTCGAGGAGATCCAAGGTGATACTCCACATGTGATATTACTTTCAGGTAGGTCATATGGTCGCAGCTTATTACTATTGTAGTTTAATCACCATTTTCATTAGTTTCCTGCTGCTATATAAAATTTATCACAATCTTGGTAGCTTAAAACGATACAAATTTTTTTATCTTATAGATTCCATGAGTCAGGAGTCTGGCATTTCATGACTGGATCCTGCGCTCAGGGTCTTACGTAGTTGAAACTGTGGTGTCATCTAGGGCTATATTTTCACTTGAAGCTCAGGATTCTCTTCCAAGCTCATAGAGTTGGTTTGTAAAATTCAGTTTCCTGCAGCTGGGACTGATATCCAGATTTTATTGCTGGTATGAACCAGGGACTCTTTTTGCCTCTTAGTGGATGTGCACCATTTCTGCTGCATGGCCCTCTCCATAATGTGGTGTTTGTGCCTTCAAAGCCATCAGGGGAATGCTTTGTTATTTCTAATCTTTGACTTCTCCATCTCTGATCTGCTGACCAATATTTAAGGGCTCATATGATTAGTTCAAACTCATCCTAATTATCCCCTTTTTGATTAACCTAAAGTCAACTGATAAATAACCTTAGCCACGTCTGCAAAAAAATTCATTTAAATATAAAAAGTGTTTCATAGGAGTGATGTCTCACAGTCCTGTTCACATGCAGGGAGCAATTTTGCAAGGGCCAGAGTTGTCAGGAATTATTCTACCTACCTGAGTTCTCCTTCCGTCTTAATGAATTCTGTCTTCTAAATCCTGGAAGTATCCCTTTGCAATTAAAAGTCAGTTTAATCTTTCCATCACTTTCTCTAAACATGCTAACATATACCTATAGATTGGGGTGGAGACTGTTCAGACTCTTTCAATATGCACTTGGCCATCATGGAAAGTAGAAAAACATAGGATTTGGAGTGGTGGCAGGGAAGTGGTAAACAATAGTTCTGACCAAAAGAGAACACTGTTATAATGTCCCTCCAGTAAAACTCTTGCAGAAATTCATGTACTGATTAAAATGAAGTGGATTTGCAGATATCTCAAGCTGTGAGTGACAACCTTGCTTGTCACTTCAATAATGGAATCTAAGCAATGGGGAATCACATAAGCTTCCCTTTAGAAAATAACTGCCCTCTCTGGATATTGACTCCGACGTAGGTTCCATTATGGAGGAATGCAGCTGTGAGAGACAGCATCTTTGCAGATTTAAAATGTTAGCAGAGCACAGTGGGTAGAGTACAAGTTCTGGACTCAGGAAATATGTGTGTGTCTGTGTTTGTGTGTGTGTGTGTACAATTTGTGACAGATGCAACACCTGTGAAACTGTCACTGCAATAAAGATAATGAATATAATCTTCATACCCTATTTCCCCATACCCCCTCCTAATCCTTCCCTTCTATCCCCTCAGTTACCCTCACCATATCCTGACAATGATTGATTTGCTTTCTGGGGTTATACAGTATGTATTTCTTCACTTAACATAATTATTTTGAGATCCACGTTGTAGCATGTTCAATAATTCTTGCATTTTTTCACTGCTAAATGTTTCTGAATGGTTGTGTTCATCCCAAAATTCATGTGTTAAAATCCTTACCCACAAGGCGATGGTATTAGGAGGTAAAGCCTTTGAGGTAATGATTAAGTCATGAGAGTGTGGCCCTCATGAATTGATTTTGTGCCCTCAGAAAAGAGAACCCAGAGAGCTAGCTGGTCTCATCCATGTAAGGACACTGCAAGAAGGTGCCACTCCATGAATCAGAGAGTGGAGCCTTACCAGACACCAGATCTGCTGACACCTGAATCTTGAATTTCCCAGACTCCAGAACTTTGAGAAATAAATTTCTGTTGTTTATAAGTCACCTAATTTATGGCATTTTGTTATAATAGTCCAAATGGGCAGAGGCACTGATTAATATTCTATTGAATAGATAAACCACACTATAATTATTTATTTTGATGAACATTTATTTGTATCCAGAGTTTAGCTATTGCAAATAAAACTCTAATGCACCTTCATATATAAGCATATATAGACATTTTCTTTTATTTCTCCTGAGTAAATACCTAATACTGGAATAACTAGAACATATGTTATATATATATTGAAATTTTTAAAAAACTGCCAGCCTTTGTCCAAAGTGATTTTACCATTTTATATCCCCACTAGCAATATATGAAGATTCTACATCTTTCACATCTTTGCCAACACTTAGTGTGATTTGTCTCTTTAATTTAATGACTCCAGTAAGTGTGTGTAGTATCTCTTTGTGGCGTTATGCTACATTTCCTTAAGAAGTGACAATAGTGAACACTATTGTGTTTATTTTCCTTGTGCATATTTTATTTGATCAAGTGTCTCTTTCAAATATTTGCCTTATTTTTAAATTAAAGTTTGAAACTTACTGTTATATTCTGGATACATGTCCTTTTGTGGGACATATAATTTGTAAATACTTTCACCCAATGAATAGTTTGTCTTTTCATATTTGTGTGTTTTATAGAGCAAACTATTTTAATTTTGGCAAAATACTATTATTTTTGTGCCTTACTAAGGAAATGTTTGCCTAGCTGGGGTCACGGTTTTCTCATGTTTTATTTTATAAGTTTTATAGTTTTCAATTTTATGATTCATTATCTATTTTTAATAAAATATCTATGTATGATGCAAAGTAATGATTGAAGTATACCTGTTTTATATAAACACCAATTGGTCTAGTGCCTTTTGTAAAAAGACAACCCTTCATCCACTGAGTTTCTATTTAACCTTTGTCAAAAATTGGTTGTATATTTATATGTGGGTTGTAGGTGCCAAGGGAAACCTTCCCTTCCACCCTTGGAAGGTTTACTGAAAAAAATCAACTGACAAAAGGCAGATTAATAGGATAAGTGTTAAATAAATTTATTATTGTGCCTGAGGGAGAATCAAATAGTGACTGCCTCACCACACAATGGGGTACGAATGGTTATAAGTCCTACATTTTAGGGGAAAGCATGATGGGTAAGTGTGGATAATTTTAAGGGGTTAATAAATAATTTTTAGGTAAATTCAGTGGGCTTGAATAATGTACAGTGGGCTGGGACAAAACCTGTTGGGCCCACAGAGCAGAGAATGGTTTGTGACAAAAGTCTGTCCATGTGCGTTGACAGATTTCAGTCTTTCTTCCTGCTCTATGAGTTCATTCAGTTAACGAAAACTCAGGGAAGAGACCAGAGGTAATTGTTTTCTTTTTTGATGGGTCTAGATGTTATGTACATAAGGAACTTTAGAGAATAACTTCATCTTGTGCTTACAGAATGATAGAGGATTGAAAGACAGGAGTAGGGGAGAGTTCTTGGAGGCCTTAAGACTTCTTCAGTTCAGCATGTGAAAGTGCCATATTTTAAAGTATCAGTTTCTGGGCTCCAACAGTGTATATTTCTGGACTCTGTTCTATTCCAGTGACCACTTTGTCTATCTTTAAACTATGTCTTCTTGATAACTTTTGCTATAAGTTTTGAAACAAGGTAATCTAAGTTCTGTAACTTTGTTAGGTATACCACGTATATTTTTGGCTCCTGAAGTGGTCTCATGAGTTCATCAATGCTTGCTTGCTTTCTTTTCTTTTTTTTTTTTTTTTTTGTCGCTTTTCTGTTTGTGTTTCTTTTGTGTCATTTCTATTATGATGGATGCATGTTCACCAACCTCTGCTTTTCCATTTTTGCTTTTCTTTGATTTGCTATTTTTGGTCCTTTGCTTTTTCATATGAAATTTATAATAGGTTTAGTTTTTACAAATAAAAAAGCCATTGAGATTTTGAATGGGATAGCATCAGATCTGTAGATTAACTTGAGAAGAATTCACATCACAACAAGATTTATTCTTCTAACTCGTAAATATTATGTCTCTCCATTTATATGTATTTAGGCTTATTTAATATCTCCCATCAATATTTTACAATTTTCAGCATACAGGATTTTCACATTGTTGTCAGATGTTTGTATGCTAGTGATTATTTCACATGTTCTGTTTCAGAAAAAAAAATATTTATTTATCTTTGAAAGGTATTTCTATTAAACTAGAATTCTTAGATGACAGGTTTTTATTTGTTTTTTTCTTTACTGTTTCCTTGAACACACAATTTCCTTTTTTTTTTTTTTTTTTTGTTCTCCTGTCTCAGCCTCCCAAGTAGCTGGGACTACAGGAACCGGCTACCACGCCCGGCTAATTTTTGTATGTTTAGTGGAGACGGGGTTTTACCGTGTTAGCCAGGATGGTCTCGATCTTCTGACCTCGTGATCCGCCCGCCTCGGCCTCCCAAAGTGCTGGAATTACAGGAGTGAGCCACCGCGCCTGACCCTTGAACACAGTTTCTAACCAGGAATCTATTGCATTCTTACCTTTACTTCTCTATGAAACATGTATTTTCTTCTTTAGTTACTTTTAAGATTTTTTTTATGGATCTCTGGCTTGTTTAATCAGTTTTATTAAAACTGATTAATAATATTTCAGGTCAGACATAGTTACTAAAAGGATAAACACATTTTAAAGTTTTCTAATTATTTTTATCACAATGTTTAGAGAAAAAATTAACATAGAGACAAAAGGAAATCAGAAATTTAAATCTGATAGCCTGTGATGGTATATCTGCAAGATAATCGTATTTTACAGTATAAATGCAGAGAAGCAATTAGATATTTAAAAATATTCCTATTAAAACATTTTGGATAGAAAACCTATAGGACTTTGTGTATGTTAGAAAACAGCAAGATAGAAAGAAACGAAAATTATCAACTCATAAGAAGAAGCACCATTATAAAATGGGGAGGAAGAATAAAGATTGAGATGAATTGGGAAGATACACATCAAGTGATGAAATTTTAAGTTTAGTTAGAAATTCAAGTGTATATGTCAAGTAAACAAAATGTATGAGTCTGCATCAAAGCATACAGATATGAGCTGGAAAAGATAGCATCATTTAGTATATAGACAATATTTAAATTTATGATGTGATAGAAGGTGAATTATTAAATACTCATACAAATCATTGTCTTTAAACAACAGAAAACATAAATAATAATCCAAACAGTACAGATCAATATACTGTATTTTTGAAATAACTTGAATCTTTCATAAACGATTTCAGGAAAAAAATTATTCTCACTTTACTATTTATTTGGGGTTTGGATTAATTGGACAAAATTCTGAACAATGTATACAGAAGTGTTCTCAAAAGAAGCCATTTGCTTTTGGGACTTCTCTGTTTTCATCTTATTACCTGGGACATTGGACAGCAACATGAATGCCATACTACCCTGTGGTGTCTTGTCATAGTTTAGGCTATCCATAGCGTTCCCCAAAATGTACCAAGTTAGCCTTAGTCACTAGTCTTACTTACTAACTACAGATCTTTGACAACACGAGAGTCCATACTGTCTTTCCTGAGTCATGGTACAAGCCCTCTATCAGAACTACTTATAGGTTTTTTTGTTTCTGTTTTTGTTTTTGATTTTGACTGAGTCTCGCTCTGTCGCCAGGATGCAGTGCAGTGGCACGATCTCGGCTCACTACAACCTCCGCCTCCCGGGTTCAAGTGATTCTCTTGCCTTAGACTTCCAAGCAGCTGGAACTATAGGTGTGTGCCACCACGCCCAGCTAATTTTTGTATTTTTAGTAGAGACGGGGTTTCACCATGTTGGCCAAGATGGTCTCAATCCCTTGACCTCGTTATCCACCCACCTCGCCCTCCCAAAGTGCTGGGATTACAGGCGTGAGCCACCACACCAAGCTAGGATTGGTTTTTCATCAGTTTGGTGACAAGCCTAGCCAACACACAGGTTATATTTTATCTTTCCTATCTGACTGATAGCTGATGCGATTCTCCTGGAATAGTGCATCTGTAAGATCCCTAAAAACATGATTAAAATAGACAACTAAAATTCTAACATCACAGCTAGATTGACATGTCCAGTTCTAATCAAGTCACTACATAAATTCTTGCCACAGGATATTTGTAGCATAAAACAGGATGGGTACAACATAGCATGCAGATAAAATATGTAGCCCACTAAACTGTCCATTGGGCTGTCTTGTCCTAAATACAGCTTGGTATGAGTGGTCATGAATAGCATGTCTGCATCTCAAAAGTAGAGTTATTTGTGATATTTGGCCACAGTATCAATTCAAAGTCCCCATCTCTTGGGGCTGCTCAGCTACCATGCCAGTTTTTTGAAAGGCATTTAATCTTCATTCACTTTTAGTATATTCAAAGGAGCAAGTCAAGTGCTGACCTTCCGGGAAGGTGGAATAAATTGGCTTCCGATCATCCCTTGGCAGCAATCTTAATTTGTCAGGTCGTTTCAAATCCACACCTTGGACAGAAGCTAAGCAACATGATCCACGTGCAATATTTATCTCAAGATACATTACAATAAAAACAAAATAGTAGAGTCTACAAATCATGAATCCAATGTTAGCTCCAATTGATTGAATCAGAGGACAATGCAACACATTTTTTCTCTATATTCTGCAGATTGAGTATTTAGACAGAGCCAATAAATCAGCAAGTCAATTTCCATTCTTTGTGCAAATGGCTATTTTTACAGATCAAGTGGCTTTTCTCACACATGCCATTAGTTAACACCAGATCTTAATCATAGCTAAGACTATTATTCTCTTGCTCTGAGATACTGTTATGGGATTAAAGTTGCTGCATTCATCCCTGGGATTACAACCAACATACAGTTCCTTTCCCATTTGCCATGAACTCTTCTTTCTTTATTACTTAACTGACATTCTTCCTTTTTTGAAGGAGTGCTCTGGCTTCAACATAATGCCTTACCCATAGACAGAAACATCAGTGATAATTGCCTCACCATATCCTGTTGTTATCTCATTTCTAGGAAGAAGTTTCAGGGCTTGATAGGTAAAAACTTAAAAGACTGTTTCTGCCACTTGGTAATCAGGACACAGTCATAGTTATACCTAAATTAGCTAGAAGGGCTAAAATTTTGTCTGACCCTAAAGTTTATTTAGGACTATTCCCTGACAAAGTTAGCTAATAGATATTACATCTTATGCATCCAATTTTTCTCTGCCCTGGCACATGTAAATGCAGCCCTTGCCTTAGGGCAACAAAATCAGGCAAATCCAAAGAACACATTTTTAAAACTGGACAGATACAAAGTTGTATTATTACATTATTGCTCAAGACCTCATTCTCATCTCCTCATTGTAGTAATTGTTCTGATGAAGTTCTTCCTTTATGTCTATCATATTCTGTCAGGACATGTTCATTTAATTGATTCAGCCAGCCTCTCAAATTTTTGTACCACCCATTTTATTATAAGTGTATGTTATTCAAAATTGTGGATTCAGTGAAACTACTCTGAGGATATTAAAAATGTAATATATATCTTTAAAAGTATATTTTCTTGCTTGCTTGCTGTACAATGGTAAGAGTAATGTGTGTAGGTTAATTAGAATAAATATATTTTGGTGAGCCAAATTAACAACCTGTTTGCTATTCCAAACCTTAATTGTATTTTTCACAGTTGCTTCTGAAACTGAATAAACGAAACATAGAGTAAAAATGCTGGAAATTCTAAAGAACACCCATCAGTAACCCCCAGCTTGGGCTACTGGCAGTAGTTCAAGTATTCCAGCAAGGTGCTGGCCCCTGAGCACTAAGAATTCCACCTAGAGCCATCTTAAGGAGATTGGTTTCCTGCTGGCACAAGCAGAGTTTCTTACCACATTAGTGGTTTCATCTGATTTGAGGAGCAATTGTGTGTGCACAGTCTGAGCATATTATGCCTACTCATTTCATGAACTTGGGAAGCTAACTGTAAGTATCTGACTCAAGTAGTCTCTGTAGCATTCCAATTCCTTAGCTGACCACTTGACCTTTTTGGAGGACATCTACATGAATGACCTGATTGTTTCTGTAAATTCCCACAGAGACTTCCATAACTGAGTAACTCAAACTGAAGTCTTGTTTGTCACACAGTCAGCTAGGATCTCCCTGTCTCAATATACTGTAAGGACAATGGCTACAGCACAAGGGTTAGTGCATGTCAAAACACTATTCTCAGAGTGGGAGCCTCACTCCTTATGTGCCTGTTATTTAAACTGATCTCAGCTTTCCCTAGTGTAAAAATGTGGATTTTCCTCTTCCCCTGGGGTTTTACACTATCCACCAAGTATACTGCGATCAATTTCCAAAACAGCCATTCAACTCTCAGTTCTAGACATTAATTGTGGCCCAATCAGCATTATTTGCTTTGCTGAAAAGAAAACATAGGGTTTAGAACATACTGGGTAGGGGTCAGGGAGGTCCCTCAAAAGCTCTATCATCAGTTGTGCAGGCAGGGGAGAAACCTGGTCCAGTATGTGGGAATGCGTAATGAAATTTCTCTGATATATGGTTTTGAATATCATCTCCACTTTATCAGTGAGAATTATTGTGCTGCTCTCTCTCTTTGGGACTCTTTCTCCAATATTACCAAAGACATAGTAGATATTACTAGTCTCAAAATTATCTGATATCCTTAAGTAGCAGGAAAATTCTCTTTCAATGCCCAATTGCAAATTAGAAATTTTCTTCCAATAGGCTCTACAAGGGGCTGCATCCAGCAGTTTTAGAACTCAAAACACAAGAGGTTTTGGATGAAAATAGTGGTATTTACTCTCTGCCAGAGGGTTCAGTCTGCATAAGTTCTAGTTACAAACACATTTAAAATCTTATGATCCATAAAGTTATAATATACCAGTGAGAGTACCTGAACAACTGCCTTTAGTTAATATTTTAATAATTCTGCCCAAAACCATTTCCAATTTAGATTTAATTTTAGTGGCTTTATGAATAGAAGCCAGCAAAATTCCTACGTGGGAATTTGGGTTCATAAGAACCCAATTAGTACCATCAGTCTTTTGGAATACTTTTAAGTGGTGGAATTAGAAAATTATAATTGATTCTCATAGTTTCAGGAGTATATCTGATTTTATTGGAATACATGATTTCTCTAAATCTCACACATTGGGCTAGACCTCGACATTTAGCCGTATTCTGCCAGCCTTTTATATTTCACATGAGTGACTGCAGTTTTTAACTTGTCCTTCATTTATTTACATAAGGAGTCCACAAACTGGCATCACCAATACAGCGCACTCTCATACTTAATGGTTTTCAGATCCAGGTACTTACAATACCATATTAAGACCATTCTGGTGAATTCAAATATCTTGGGTAAGGACCATAAAGGCAACAAATGCGGGTCATGCATATACTTTTAGTGATGATGTCTTTTGCTGGCTCCAGGCTCAACTGCAGACTTTCTTAATCCTTTCATGAGCATTTCATTCAGATATTTCTAAGTGAAAAAATGATGTCAAGATACAAAGTTAAGAGATTGGTATCTATTTCAACTATTTTTAAAAAATGGGTGAAAAGTAATTGTCATCTAGTTAATTTGGTTAAGAATTAAACTAAATAAATGTAACAATTGAGACAGTCTCTGGTAAAGAAAAAAATATAGTTTTTGGAGTTTGACACAGATGGGTTTCTATCTTACCTATATCACTTAGAAACTATGTAATATCAAGAAACCAAACTGAACTATCTTTACTTACAAACTATATTCATCACTGTTTTTTATTAAAAATTGAGGGTGATAATGCATCATACCTTGTAAGGATATTCAAAGAATTAAGAGAAAATTTCTGAAAAAAATGCGTGCTTTAATAGAGCAGATGATCCAAAAAAGTTGGTGTTATTAATTTCAATCAACTGAGATAATACTTACATAGGATAAAATAGTGTAGCATATTTAGAAGGAATTACTTGGTAGATTAAGTTAAATAATCAGTCAATTCTATTGATACAAAGATACTAAAAAAGACAGTACAGAGTTAAATACTGCAATCTTGTTGCTTATATTTTAGGCCAAGTAGATGAATTTTCTGCAATGACTTAATCTTTCTTTGGTATCTAAATTGGTTATAAAATTGTGGCATTTTTATATTTCATTATGACCTCATATATTAGAAAATTTTGAAAATTATGACAAAAATTAAAAATTATATTTCTACAGATTCATCACTTCTGGTTTTAGTCCTAGAGTTTAGAAAATTGAAGAATTTTGGAATGAGGCCATATAACACCTGTATAACTCTCCTGATATTATTTTTAATAATTAATTAATGTGTAAAAAATCATAATGATTCCACAAAAGAGAATCTTTTCAAGAACAATAATTCGACGAATTTCTACCTGTTTTTAAGTTACATAGAAAATTTCATTTACATAACTAGTTCCAAGAGAAGGGGCTCACTATGGCAAGTCTGTTTCTTGATCTCCTTCCTCCCACATAGACATGTTTTCTTACATCTATCCGGACAGGCATCACAGATAACAGTGGTATACCCAAGAATGCTCATACAAGGAATTTTATCTAGTTATATGTGAAATATTGTACAACACAGACATTTTCTGATTAACAATAGGGATTAAGAATAATATTTTGTCGATACCCCATTTCCTCTGGGAACTGGCATTCTTTGCTGGCACTCCAGTAGACTTTTGACTTGCTAGTAGCAAACTTTGACCTTCTTGTTTCTGCAGATTACTTTGCACCCAAGAGTCAATGATGCAAAGTATTTTACTTTCCTTTTGTGCCAGGGCTATTGTTTCTCTTGATTCTTCTGAGCATCTTCTGCCCGCCTAAGTTAACTCATTATGGTAGGGAATCTGTTCTTCACTCCTGATTTAGTATGTTTTGATAAAAGCATGCTAGTAGCAAATGTTTCTGAGAATCCCTTAATGATAGAAATAAGGTTTATTTTCAAGACTGTTTTAAAATTATTTTATGAGTAGTAGCAGGAAAATTTTTACTCAAATTTCTGTTACAATTTTCAACTGTTAATGGATTTATTTTGCTCTACTTGTAAAGCATAGCGATGCATTATGTATACATGCTGAAATATCTAATGTCACTAAAAGTTATCTTAAAATGAAAATATAATAACAGGATTATCTCTAAACAGAGTAATATTTTTTAAAAGAGAATTTGGTGTTTGTATCACATTATGACTAAGTTTTTAAAAATCGAGAATTAAATATGATTATTTGAAAACAGAAATTAATGCACTTAACACTTTAATTTTTCTTTTTCACAAAACTAGTAATTATATAGGATTGAAAAATAAAGAAAAACAAAGGGGAAAATAAAGAAAAAAAGATTTGAGAGACATATGGTGAATCATTTAAATCAAATTAAAAAAAACTACTGGGTAACAGAAACAAAAGGGAAAATGTGAATTTATATCACGGAGACTGAGTTCCTCCAGATAATTTCTATCTCATTAAATAAGAAAAAAAAATGTCACTTGATTTAGAAAGACAGATGTGGAGTTTTATATAAATAAGAAATAAATTCTACATGTTCAGAGAAGAGAACAGTGGTTTTAAATACATGTTGCGGAATTCCCCAGAAACTGTGTCGCTCCCAAATTGGAGAACTCCAAAGAAGGGTTTTTAAGTCTGAGAACAACATGTAAGTACTATCTCAGTCTCTACCTCCCCATGGAATACCTGCAGGCAGTTCCCTGACTGAGGGAAAGGCAGTGACTGTTACTTAGTCACTTGACCCATTTCCCTATAGGAAGTTACTAGTGCCCTTTTCAAAATCAAACTACAGAGGGAAAAAAAAATCTCTTTACAGTCCATTTTGGATGGAGAAAATATCACAATGCATGGATAATTTGGTAGGGGTAAGGGAGAAGACAATTATTTGAGTAAGTGTTTACTGAGCCTGGTCTGCTAGCTAACTTATTTTATAAACACTTTTAAAGTATAAAATTTAGTCATGCCTTCATGAAACTTACATTGAAGGATAAAGAAAAACTCATATGAAACCAGTATTCACATTCCAAAGTAGGCAATGGGGGAAAATGCTACATATTTTAAAAATAAAATGTTAGAGATATATATCACTCTCTATGTATACATGTGTTTATATTTATAACATATAAACACACACATAAAAACTAAATATATCTGTTTTTATTTTAAGTATTTCTTATTCTTCAGAATTTACTGTGAAGCATGTTTACAAAGTTTTAGAAAAATAAACCTTTTTTCTGATTTTTAGTTATTAAGTGGAAAGTACTATATGTATAATGACATCTATTTTGCTTCTATTATTGAGCAATTAAGCCAAATATGTACTCTATCAATCAATCATTTAAACACAGGAGGAGTTGATCTCAGCAAGATCCCCTTTTCAGTCCATCACTTATGATAAATAGGAGTCTGCTAAGACTGTACAACACACTGTGTATGCAAAGAGGGGTATCCCACTGTGTTTTTGTATGGCTTCGATTCCAAAGGGTAAAAGAGACACCCTCTACGTTATAATATAGTTCACAGTATTTGCCATTGTGCAGTCTTGCAGATTCCTGAAAAATATATTTTATTAAACTCAGAAAATAAAAATTGGCTTTCAATTTTTTCAAAACTAGAAATCAGATTATTGATTTATAAAATGGAAAAAATGGTTCAATGCTAATTGCCCAACTATGACTAAAAAATTAGATCAAACATTATTTTCAAATACTATTTAGAGTCAAATGAAATTTGTACTATGATAAGCTAATACAAAAATGAATTTAATGGAAATTCAATTTGTATAGAATAACTACGGTTATAAGAAATGAGTAAGAACAATTTTTTCTCATGTTTTTCTTTAATGTGTTTCCCCAAACAAGCTCTCTAAGGGTACTTAATTCAAAGCAATTGCATAAGTCTTCACAGAAAGAAAAAAGAGGGAGTGGGAAGCCAGAAGACAGAAAGAGGTAGAGAAGGAGAAAAAAAAGGGGGGAGAGAAAAGGAAAAATAAGTAAGTAATAGCAAAAGACAAAAACTAGTGTTTAAGAATCAAACAGCGCAGTTTATAAATTTGATGTTTTCTATCAAAGACAAAGTTTACAGTACCTGGAATAATAGTGTAGTTAGAGTATTATTCCATAAATATTCCTTGATTTCTTGACTTGTTGTAGTAAACCTCAAATCATTTTTCCAAGGTGTTCCATAAGGTGTGTGCACTCCCATCCAAAGAAAGTGTTCTGCCTTCAGTATAAATGATCCCATCTAATTTGCCTTATTTAATTTTGTATACCTAATCTTAAGATCTAGGTGTGGCACAGAGTAGCTGGCTAAAAAGTTGTTAAATGAATCAATAAGTTAAACTTAGAAAATTTTGTGTAGTCACTTCCTTCTCTAGGAACATAACATTTTAGAAACATGTATATACATCAAGAATATAATTACATCCTTCTAACTCAAGTGCCCAAGAAACACGATATCTTTAATTTCTATATGATTTAGTTCTGGACTTTTAGCCCCTAGGTGACTAGGAGGCAAAACAGTTCATCTCAAACCTCCTAGAGCATCTTCTTTTATTTAAGGTGATGCTATAACTCTGGATTCTTCTTAATAATCTTAAAATATTCAATATTAATCTTAAAATATCCAAGATCGAAGATTCAGATCTCTATCTTGAGTTAATGAATGAATTTCACACATAATATTAGGTCTTAATATAACAGAAGCTGTTTGTTTACTCTAGCAGCTTTTGGATCAGTATAAACAAACAAAAACAGTCAGTAGTTTCAGAAAAATTGGAGTTATGAATAGAATGAGTTAACTGTCCATGGAGGAACTTTTATGTTTGATATTCAGAAATGTAACTAAATTTTCTTCTCCGAAGAACCTAAATATAATTTGAAGAGATTAGAGGCAGGTGTTCTGTAAAGTATAGTATCTAAGAAGGAACACACCGGGATGACAAGACTAGGTGGAAAGAAGTTATCAAAGTTAAATTTGGGTTTGCTTGTCAATTTGTTTACTTTTTTCCCTGTGACCAATTCAGATGCTACAGAATAAGGCCCATTTATCTAAAAATGAAGATAAATCTCATATTTGGATGTGCAATATCTGGTCTTAAAACACCTCTGCTTCTCAACAGAGAAAATCCTGTAACTTGTAAATTGCTTGTCATCTCCTATCTTTGACCACCAAACACATCAAAATCACAACCCTGCCTTTTTCTTAATAGTCAAAAGTGGCTATGATTCAATGATGGTATCATAATGTGTGAAACAAAGTATATTCTCAAAACATGCATACCCCTGTATTAATTGATATAAAAAAAATTCTTTAATTCTTGCCTCAAAACCTACCTGTTATAGTTGCTTTTTGTAATTCTATGCATTTGTTTTCCTTTCAACTATTGATATAAAAAAGGAATATATTTTCTCTGATGCAAAATGAGAAACCAAGTTGATAATGTTGTGGATAAAAATTTATGGATATTATATTTGATATTGCATTGACTATGAAATATTAACCATGAAGTTTAATGTTTATTTTTTAAGATCTGAACCCTGAGTTATTCATACAATAAAATGTCTGAAAATAGTTGCAAAAAATTAAAATCTTGTTACTAATATTTTTCTATTAAATGTGGTTTACAACAGTTAATATTTGAACCTCTTTATAATGGTTACTGAATTTACCAAATGACAAAGTTTGGTATTTTTGGCACATTTTATCTATATTTATTTTATTTAAGAAAATAAAGGCAACATCTATTTGTTTATCATGCAAAATGTAATCAAACTTAATTTAAGTTTTATATAGTATATAAGAAAAGTGCTGCTTCAGATTCTGTGATTCAAATATTAAGTATAAAACAGGGTGAATTTTGACTTACCCCCCAAAATATGTGTTTTATAATAAAAAAATCACATTTTGAATATAAACCAAATTTAAAACTTCTGATACTATCATCAGGTAACTCAATTGCTACAAGTATTATTTCATATAATAGTCCATCAAATTTTGGAAATGTGCCTTATGATTTTAAAGAAAATATTTTTTATCTGTGTTAGCTATCCAAGAATATTAATAGGAAGAATGGCATAAAAAATAATTTAAGTATTATATAACAGATCTTTTGGCTTACATCTTATAACCTCCCTATGGCTCCTGAATACACATGATGGGAAAGAAGTTGAGCATACTAATTTTTAAAATATTGTTTGAGATAAGCTGACAAAAGCAGTAAATAATTAGAGTTGAATTCAGCAATTCAGGCTATAAATATCACTTTCTTTTATCCTGTCCACTGCATAGACAATAAAGAATACATTTAGTTAATATAGGCCAAGCTTCATGAATAGATGGAATAGAGGATATGAATTGGCATTCTGTTTCAAGTCAATGCCAAAAAAATGCCCTTTTCAAATCTAGATATTTCCCATTTAATCTTGTGAATTTTCTTCCATGAGATTCTCTTATAAAATATAAACATTTGTGGGAGGTTTTTTTTTTCTTTTTTTTTTTTTTTTTTTGAGACAGAGTCTCACTCTGTCACCCAGGCTGGAGTGCAGTGGCACGATCTCGGCTCACTGAAACCTCCACCTCCCAGGTTCAAGCAATTCTCCTGCCTCAGCCTCCTGAGTAGCTGGGATTACAGGCGTGTGCCACCATGCCCGACTAATTTTTGTATTTTTAGTAGAGACGGGGGGTTTCACCATGTTGGTCAGGCTGGTCTCAAACTCCTGACCTTGTGATCTGCCCACCTTGGCCTCCCAAAGTGCTGGGATTACAGGCGTGAGCCACCACGCCTGGCCTCATGGGAGTTTTTTTGTAATAATAAGAATAATCATGATTGTCATGACAATGGCTAACATTTCACAATGTTTACTATGTGCAAGGTACTATTGTAAGTAATTTACATATAAGGATTTATTGCAACATTACAATAAATCTAGAAGGAGATATGTTATCAGTTTTATAGACAAAAAAGCTGAAATACTGAAGTGTTAACATGTGCAAGGTCACATGTCTATTATTGACAAATCTAGAATACATTATACAAAATTTCTCTGTGCTGTTGAAGACAAAGAATCGCATTTCTCCTAAGATAATGAAACAAAATGCACCATTCGATAAAAATATTAGCTGTCTGGATAAGGCAGCATATATGCATGAAGAAGGGAGATAAGACACAGAAATTGTAAAAGTGCGTCCCTGATGAAGGAAACTATAATTATTCAAGAAATGAAATCATTTTAATAACAACCTTTAGCTACTCTAGGGTTTTAATTTACAGCTTTTAAGCATTTTTTTCTGGGTTGAATTTATATATAATACTGTTTGTTGAAATCTTTTTATTATTTTCTCTCTTTTTTTGATATTTGAGTAGCATTACATTGCATGAATGTACAATACTTTGCTTCCCTAGCTCTTAAAAGTAGACATAGTCACTTAGCCAGTCAGATGCTGCCTCCCAGGACCTGAAATTCCACTGAGCTAACACAAAGACTTCATCAAAGTGGGGAGATCATTCATGGTGACAGCACGGGGAAAGTCCAAAGGCAGCAAAAATCCAGTGATAGCGATAGAGGTCAGAATGGAATTCTAAACACACGTTTCAGTTGTATCATTGATACGGTTTGGTTCTGTGTTCCCACCTAAATCTCGTGTCAAATTGTCATCCCCGCATGTTGAAGGGAGGGCCTGGCGTGAGGTGATTGAATCTTGGGGGCAAACTTCCCCCTTGCTGTTCTCATGATAACAGTTCTCATGAGATCTGGTTGTTTGAAAGTGTGTAGTACTTCCCTCTTCTCTCTCTCTCTCTCTCTCTCTCTCTCACTCTCACTCTCTCTCTCTCTTTCTCTCTCTCTCTCTCCTGTTCTGCAATAGTATGACATGTTAGCTTCCCCTTTGCCTTTCGCCATGACTGTAAGTTTCCTGAGGCCTCCCAGCCATGCTTCCTGTACATCCTGCAGAACTGTGAGTCCAATAAACCACTTTTCTTTATAAATTACTCAGTCTCAGGTAGTTCCTTATAGCAGTGTGAGAACAGACCAATACAATGATCATACCTACAAATTTTCTACCTAGGTTTCCTTAGCTCTGCCCATATTCTTAGACTGATTCTCCAGCCTTGCTATGAATTCTCAGAGCTTAATGATATCCTTTGAATTAAGTTTCTGCTTATTATAGCAGAACCGCTTTCTATTACTTGCCACCATGAATCTTTATTGGTCAACTCAGTTCTTTCAATACCTCAAGATTATATGTCCAACACCCTTATTTTATACTAATCTGAGGTTTAAAAAAAAGTTTAAAATTTCTGATTATACCAATAGAAGCAGTTAACGACAGTGGTTAAATTTCCTTGTCGCCAGGTCAATAGTTACCTATAATTCTGAAAGGTATAAAAGTTAAGAATCATGAGTCTTCTCATTTACTTCTTTGTTTATTAATTCATTCATTTAGCAGAAAATAAGTACAACATTATTGACATAGAAAAATGTCCATTTAGGTATAGAAAAATTGTGTGTAAATAGTAATATACATATGGTCATGCATAAAAGAGATGTGTGTACATTTTTGTAAATATATTGAGATGCTGTATTTTAAAATTAAAATAATGTTTGTATATGGGTAATGATAATTTAAAAAATTATATAATTAATTTTTTTTGTATTGTCCACAATAAACACAAATTGCTTTAAAATTAGAAAAAGATGTGAGGGTATTGGGAGGCCGAGGCGGGCGGATCACGAGGTCAGGAGATCGAGACCATCCCGGCTAAAACGGTGAAACCCCGTCTCTACTAAAAATACAAAAAATTAGCCGGGCGTAGTGGCGGGCGCCTGTAGTCCCAGCTACTTGGGAGGCTGAGGCAGGAGAATGGCGTGAACCCGGGAGGCGGAGCTTGCAGTGAGCCGAGATCCCGCCACTGCACTCCAGCCTGGGCGACAGAGCGAGACTCCGTCTCAAAAAAAAAAAAAAAAAAAAAAAAAGATGTGAGGGTAGATGACAGATAACAGGGTTAATGTACAGCTCCCACATGGATGGACAGAACAATGTGTGGAGACTCACACTATGAACTTTTGCTCCAAGAATCATCACAGGAACATACCGGAAAAACTGAAACAATTCACAGATTATTTGAAAGAAACAGCACGCCACTGCAAATTCCATGAGACAGGCAAAAACTGTGAGCTCCCAAAGTGTGAGGGGGAGGGAAAACCTGCCTCCGAACACACATTCTCACTGGGGAATCTGGAAATCCAGATTACAGGAGAAGGATTTAACCTGACCTAGAGCTAGAATGGATTTAGAAAGCTGCATGAAATATAAAAGTAGAAGTATCTTCAGGAAGAGCCTTATAGGCACTTCTATTCTCTAGCTGGAGCCCAGGGAAACCATCTCTAACTACACCTCACAGAGGCTCTCGAGGAAGGCATCCAGCGGAGTTAGGGAGGGGTCATGGGGTATAAGAAGCTTCCAGCTGAATTTTATAATAATTTTGAATGGGCATGAAGTTTTTTGAGCAGAATCTGAGGGGTGAACAGGAACTGCTGCAGATATGAGTGCAAGAACCCGTGGTTGAAGTTGTGGACAGACAGGGAGGAGTTAGGCCTAAAAGCTGAGCATTCTTGCTCAATGGGGAAGCTTACAGCCTGTGGCAGGTTTGAGTTCCACACTCAGGCTGGCCAGATCTAAACTGTTGTTGGTGGGGGACTAGGGGAGTGAGAACAGACTCAACAACAGTGTGGGAGCTGGGTGAGGCCTTTCACTACTGGCTATCCCCCACTTCCCTATCAAATTATATGCCACAGCAGAGGCAGCCATAGTCCCCTCTGGAACATAACTCCCTTGGCCTAAGAACCACACCCTTGTCCCCCACAGTGGCTATGGCAATCCCTGCCCAAGGAGAGTCTGAGCTAAGACCCATCCAACCCTGCCCCCACCTGATGGTATTTCTCTACCCACCCTGGTAGCCAAACACAAAAGACATGCAATCCTGAAAGCTTTATGGTCCTGCTCATCCTTGAGAAACCAGAATACTTCCCCCAGCCAACTTAGGGCAAGCTTATACCCCACTGCTAATACTGCAGCTGCTGCTCTCCTGCAAGCTCCACCTCTGGGCTAGAGGCCAATCAACTCAGGCCATTATAGCAACTTATTACAGAATAATCCTACTCCCAGGAAGAAGAAAACAACAGATAATACCACGAACTGCAACATCCTCACTAACCAGAGGTCCATGTGACAATTTCACTACTAGCGTAATCAGCATTCAAGAAAGCCAGCACACTAAACATCTACAACCAAAGATTCTCACAGAGTCTCTTCTCTCCTCTGCTACCCCCACCAGAGCAGGTACTGGTATCCATGGCTGGGACACCTGAAGACAGATCACATTACAAGACTCTTTGCAGACATTCCGCAGAACCAGCCCAGAGCTGGTAGCCCTGCTGGGTGACTATCCTGAGAAAAGCAATAATAATCACTACAGCGCAGCTGTCAAGAAGCCCATCCCTAGGGGAAGAGGAAGAGCACCACATCAAGGGATCATCCTGTACAACAAAAGAATCTGAACAGCAGGCCTTGAGTTCCAGATCTTTCCATTGGTGCGTGGTTTATTCTAGCAGAGACACAACTGCAGCGCTGGGTGCAGTAGGCGAAGTCTGTACCTACACCCCAACAGGCAGGCAGCCTCTGTGAACATTAAGGGCTTTGGAGAAGGGGTCCTTGTTCCCCTCTGGTACTACACAGCAGACACAGGTGGGGCTTCCCCCAAAGCAGTGCAGCATGAAGGCACAATCCAGGGTGAGAGCAGTTCCAGCCTTTCTGGAAAATATCCAGGGTGAAAGCAGTTCCACAGGAGGAGCAGACCCCAGATTCAGGCCTGCACGAGAGGCAGAGTCATCATTCCTCCCTACTTGGAGCATCAACATTCCTATAGATGAAAAGAGATGCCTATCTTATCTGAATAGCTGAAATGCTACAACAAGAGTGAGGCTGTGAGGTGAATAGATTTCCTGCTGACCCAGCAGGGGAGCTGAGATGGTTCCCACTCATCACACTGATAAAACGTCAGCACATCTAACTGAGATCTCCCCCAGCCATCCTCATCAAGGCTGGGACCTCAGCCCACTGTTGGTTATTAGATCAATCTGCCTGCCTTAGCCACAGCCAATGCCTACCCAAGTTTACCTCACCAATTGTCCTGAACCCTGAATCATCAATTGAGTAAATAAAACAAGGGAAAAAATTAAATAAATAAATAAAATATACACCACAAGAGAACGAAATAAAATTCAAGATATTCCTGCTATTCCAACACAATAGGAGACAGTGAAGTAGCTTGCACACCAAGAATATAACCACTACAACCAGCTTCAGGGAAAGCCAGCACACAAAGACATTCTATGACTAAGGAATTCATACAGAATCTTCACCCCTACAAATACCAAGAACCAAATTAGTCTAAGGTAAACATTAGTCTGTTCCTTAAGAGGGGAGAAAAACAGTCCAATTAAAAATACATTAAGGAATAATTTGAAGAAATAGTCTACCCAAATGGGAAGGAACCAGAAAAGTAATTCTGGTATTACGACAAAACAAGGTTCTATAACACCCCCAAAACATCACACTATCTTCCTAGCAATAGATCCAAACTAAAAAGAAATCTCTGAATTCTCAGATAAAGAATTCACAAGCTAGACTATTAAACTACTCAAAGAGATATCAGAGAAAGGTGAAAAACAACTTAAGAAATTTAAAAAAATAGAGGATATGGATGAAAAATTCTCCAGATAAATCGATATTATAAAGAAAAAACAATCACAACTTCTGCAAATGAAAGACACATTTAGAGAAATGCAAAATGCATGGAAAGTTTAAACAATAGACTAGAACAAATAGACATTGAGATTACTGAGAAAGAATATAAATCTAAAAGTTTATAAAACATATTTAAGGAAATAATCAAGGAAAACTTCCCCAGCCTTGCTAGAGATCTAGACATCCAAATAAAAGAAGTTCAAAGAATACCTGGGAAATTAATCACAAAAAGATAATCGCCTAGGCAAATAGTCATCAGGCTAATCTAAAGTCAAGATGAAGGAAAGAATCTTAAGAGCTGTGAAGCAAAAGCATCGTGTAACCTATACAGGAAAACCTATCTGATTAACAACAGATTTCTCAGGAGAATCCCTACGAACTAGAAGGGATTGGGGTCCTATTTTTAGCCTCCTTCAAGAAAACAATATTGAGTCAGTATTTTTGTATCCAGCAAAACTAAGTTTCATAAATGAAGTAAAGATATAGTCTATTCCAGAGAAACAAATGCTGAGAGAATTTGTCACTACCAAGCCAGCCCTGTAAGAATTACTAACAGGAGCTCTAAATGCACCAAAATAGAACCTCCTTAAAGCATAATTCTCACAAGATCTATAAAATGATAACACAATGAAAAAAAAGCCCCACAAAGTATTCAGTCAACAAGAGCAAGATCAATAGAATTGTACTTCACATCTCACTGCTAACATTGAATGTAAATGGCATAAATGCTTCACTTAAAAGACACAGAATGGGAGAATGTATAAGAATTCACCAACCAAGTATCTGCTGTCTTGAAGAGACTCACTTAACACTTAGGAACTCACATAAACTTAAGGTAAAGGGGTGGAAAAATATATTCCATACAAATGGACACCAAAAACAAGCAGGAGTATGTATTCTTATGTCAGATGAAACAGACTTTAAAGCAACAACCATTAAAAAAGACAAAGTGGTACGTTATATAATGATTAAAGGACTAGTCCAACAGGAAAATATCACAATCCCAAATATACATGCAGCTAATACTGGAGCCCCCATATTTATAAAACAATTACTACTAGACCTAAGAAATGAAATAGATGGCAGCACAATAATAGTGGGGGACTTCAATACTCCACTGACAGCACTAGATAGGTCATCAAGACAGAAAGACAACAAAAAAACAACAGATTTAAACCCTAGAAAAAATGGACTTAGCAGATATTTACAGAACATTCTATCCAACAACTGCAGAATACACATTCTTCTCATCAGCACATGGAACCTTCTCCAAGATAAACCATATTACAGGCCACAAAACAAGTCTCAATATATTTCAGAAAATCAAAATCATATTAAGTATCTTCTCAGATGACAATGCAGTGAAACTAGAAATTAACTCCAGAAGGAGCCCTCAAAACTATACAAATTCAGGAAAATAAAATACTCTGCTCTTGAATGATCTTTGTTTCAACAATGAAATCAAGATGGAAATTAAAAAGTTCTTTGCACTTAACAATAATAGTGACACAACTTATCAAAACCTATAAAATTCAGCAAAAGCAGTGCTAAGAGGAAAGTTTATACCATTAATTGCCTATATCAAAAAGTCTGAAAGCACGAATAGACAATCTACAGTCACACCTCAAGGAACTAGAGAAACAAGAACAAACCAAATCCAAATCCAGCAGAAGAAAAGAAAATATCGGAAGAAATATCGAAAAGAGCAGAACTAGATGAAATCGAAACAAACAAAAATGCAAAATATAAACTAAACAAAAATCTATTTATTTGAAAAGATAAGCAAAATTTTTAGACCACATGTCAGAATAACCAAGAAAAGAAGAGAGAGGATCGAAATAAGCTCAGTTAGAAATGAGATGGGAGATACTACAACCAATACCACAGAAATATAAAAGATCATTCAGGGTTACTATGAACACATTTACACATACAAATTAGAAAATCTAGAAGAGCTAGATAAATTCCTAGAAATATACAACCCTCCTAGAATAAATCAGAAAGAATTGTAAACTCTGAACAGACTAATAACAAGTACTAGAATTGAAACCATAATAAAAAACATAGCCAACAAAAAGAAGTCCAGGACCAGATAAATTCAGGGCTGAATTCTAACAGCCATTCAAAGAATTGGTACCAATCCTGCTGCAACTATTCCAAAAGATACAGGAGAGAATCCTCCCTAAATAATTCTATGAAGCCATTATCACCCTAATACCAAAACCAGGGAAAGGACATAACAACAACAACAAAGAGCTACAGACCAATATCTCCGATGAACATAGATACAAAAATCCTCAAAAATACTAGCTAATGGAATACAACAACATGTCAAAAAGAAAATACATCATAATCAAGTGGGTTTCATACCAGGGATGCAGGGATGGTTTAACATACCCAAGTCAGTAAGTGTGATACATCATATAAACAGAATTAAAAACAAAAATCATATGATCATTTGGATACGTGTATGCAGAAAAAACTTTTGATAAAATCCACATCCCTGTATAATAAAAACCCTCAGCAAAATGGTCATAAAAGGGACACACCTCAAAGTAATAAAAGTCATACATGACAAATCCACTGCCAACATTATACTGTAAAGGAAAAAGTTGAAAGCATTCCCCCTGATAACTGGAACAAGACAAGGATGCCAACTTTCACCACTTCTATGCAACATATTACTAGAAGTCCTAGCCAGAGCAATCAGATGAGAGAAAGAAATAAAGGGCATCCAAATCGATAAAAAGGAAGTCAAGCTGTGGCTGTTCAATGATGATATGATAGTATACCTAGAAAACCATAGAGTCAACCAAAAAGCGGTAGAACTAATAAATGAACTCAGTAAAGATTCAAATCAATGTATACAAATCAGTGGCACTTTTCTACACCACCACTAACCACACTGAGAATCAAATTGAGAACTTAATCCCTTTAAAACAGCTGCAAATAAAATAAAATAAAAATAAAATAAAATAAAATACTTAGGAATATATCTAACCAAGGAGATGAAATATCTCTATAAGGAAAACTAAAATCTTGCTGAAAGAAATCATAGATGACACAGACAAATGGGAATACATACAATGCTCATGAATGGGAATCAATATTGTGAAAATTACCATACTGCCAAAAGCAAGAATCAAATTCTCATCAAAATACCATCATCTTTCTTCACAGAAGTAGTAAAAAACACTCCTAAAATTCTCAAAAAGAGCCCCTATAGCCAAAGCAAGACAAAGCAAAAAGTACAAATCTGGAGACATTACCTGACTTCAAGCCGTACTAGAAGGCTACAGTTACCAAAACAGCATGGCACTGGTATAAAAATAGGCACATAGATGAATGGAACAGAATAGAGAACCCAGAAATAAAGCCAAATATTTACAGCCAACTGATCTTTGACAAAGCAAAAATAAATAAATAAATAAATATAAAAATAAAGGGGAGAAAGCACACCCTATTCAACAAATGGTGCTGGGATAACTGGCAAGCCACATGCAGAAGAATAAAGCTAGATCCTCATCTCTCCCCTTATACAAAAATCAACTAAAGATGGATCAAATACTTAAATCTAAGACCTAAAGCTAAAAAAATTCAAGAAGTTAACATTGGAAAAACTCTTGTATACATTGGCTTAGGAAATACTTCATAACCACGAACCCAAAAGCAAATGCAACAAAAACAAAAATAAACAGGTAGGACCTAATGAAAGTAAAATGCTTCTGCACAGCAAAATAAATGATCAGCAGAGTAAACACAACCCATAGAGTGGGAGAAAATATTCACAAACTATGCATCTGACAAAGAACTAATATCCAGAATCTACATGGAACTCAAACAAACCAGCAAGGAAAAAACAGATAATTTCATCAAAAAATAGCCAAAGGACATAAATACACAATTTTGTGAAGAAGGTATACAAATGGCCAATAAACAAAAATATGTTAATTACATTAATATATTAAAATATGTATGTGTGTATTTTAAAAATGCCCAGCATCACCAATTATCAGGGAAATGCAAATTAAAACCACAATGAGATACCACTTTACTCCTACAAGATTGGCCACAATTAACAAATAAAATAATAGATGTTGATGTGGATGTGGTAAAAAGAGAACACTTTTACACTGCTGGTGGGAATGTAAACTAGTTCAACTACAATGGAAAACAGTATGGAGATTTCTTAAAGGACTAAAAGTAAATCTATCATTTGATCCAGCAATCCTACTCCTGGGTATCTATCTACCCAAAGAAAAATAAGTCATTATCTGAAAAAGACACTTGTACCTGTATGTTTATAGCAGCACAATTTGCAGTTGCAAAAATATGGAACCAGCCTAAATGCCCATCAACCAACAAGTGGACAAAGAAAATGTGATATATATATATATATAACATTTCTATATATATTCTATATATATACATAGATCTATCTATCTATCTATATAGAGAATGCCCATCAACCAAGTGGACATTCTATATATATTCTATATTATTCTATATATCGATATTCTATATATCTATATGTATTCTATATACCGATATTCTATATATATTCTATATACCGATATTCTATATATATTCTATATACCGATATTCTATATATATTCTATATACCGATATTCTATATATATTCTATATACCGATATTCTATATATATTCTATATACCGATATTCTATATATATTCTATATACCGATATTCTATATATATTCTATATACCGATATTCTATATATATTCTATATACTGATATTCTATATATATTCTATATACAGATATTCTATATATATTCTATATACAGATATTCTATACATATTCTATATATATTCTATATATCTCTATATCTCTATATATCTATATATCTATATATTTATACAGATATAGAATTATATAGAATGCATATTCTATATATCTGTATATGTATATATATTCTCTCTATATATATCTATATGTGTATATATTCTCTCTCTATATATATATTCTACATATATATACACACATGCACACACACACACACACCATGGAATACTACTCAGCCATGAAAAGGAATAAATAACGTTATTTGCAGCAACCTGGATGGAGTTAGACACTATTTTTCTAAGTGAAGTAACTCAGGAATGGACAATCAAACATCGTATGTTCTCACTTATACATGGGAGCTAAGCTATGATAAGGCAAAGGCATAACAATATAATAGACTTTGGGGACTGTAGAAGTGTGGGAGTGGGGTAAGGGATAAAAGACTACACATTGGGTACAGTGTGCACTACTTTGGTGACAAGTGCACCAAAATCTCAGAAATCACCACTAAAGAACTTACCCATGTAACAAAAAACCACCTGTTCTCTCAAAACTACTGAATAAAATAAAATATAATAAAATTTTTAAAAATAAATGAATAAAATAACATTGGAAGAAAATAGATTTTATGAAAAGTATAATCCAATAACTAGTTTGTTCTGTCTATTTTTATTAAGGTTTTATTAGGTGAAATTGCCCCATAATTAAGATTAAAAGCCTTTGGTTTCAATCTTAATCAACTTTTTTTTAAAAAGAGTATATCTATTGATTTCATTTCTCTGTTTCTAGTATTTTCAACTATTAAATCTAACAAAATATATGTTCTGTTAATGTAATTAGTCTAATGTAGTATACGGCTTGAATGATTGCAACACATATACTTATCCTTAAAATTTGTAACCATCCTTCTTTAGAGAAGAAATTGCTACTGGTCAACATACAAATGTTTTTTATTTAGATATCACCATTTAATTCAGGAAAATGATTGCACAAATGCCTAGTTAAGTCAACTTTCCAGTAAAATCAGACACATAATGTGAGTAGCTGATACCAAAAGGTTGTTTTTTCTCATTTTTTTATGTAGAACAAAGAATCTCATTCAAAAGTCTTACCATCAATAAAATGCAACAATTGAAATAGATTCAGATTCACTTTATAGAGATTTAAAAATAAAATGTAGTTTGGCATATCTGCAGAACAAATCTATTTAAACTCCACAGGGCACTTATCTCTTTTTTTTCCCTGAGGCAATCCTGTCTGATGCTGAATAGAGTAGCATATAGTAATTACCATCAGATTAAAATGACAAAATTTAGCTTCTAAAAGGGTTAGAGGACTAGGATGAAAGAAAAAAGGATTAAAAAACACAGAGACACACAAAGCAAAACCATTAAGCATTCATTCCAGAAGACAGGAGAATTTAAAGATGCATTAAAGAATTTGGGTGTAGGTTTTACCATCATTTATGGCAGGTATTTAGGGAAATGATGAGATTCTGATTTCAATTTAACCTTGACATAAGAAATAAGATTTTCAGATAAAAAAATATATTTATGAAATGTAACCATTTACTAAAGGCTTAAAACATTTTGGATATATTTTATTTGTAAACAGTTTCAGACTTACAGAATGCCATGGTCTGGATATTTGTGTCCCTCCAAAATTCATGTTGATATCCTAAGCTCCAAGGTGATGTTATAGGGAAGTTAAGCTAATTTTTGTTGTCTCTATAGTTTTGCCTTTTCCACAATGTCATATAATTGGAAAGATGCAATAGGTAGACTTTCAGACTGGCTTTTAAAACTTAGAAATAGGAACTTTGAATCACCTATGTATCTTAATGGCTTAATAATTCATATTTTTATTGCTGAATATTATTCTTTTGCATGGACGTACCGTATTTTATTTCTTAATTCTCCTATCAAAGAGCATCCTGATTGCTTTTAATTTTTGGTGATTTCGAATAAAGCTTCTACAAACATTCTTGTATATATTCTGTGTAGACATAGTTTTCAAATGATTTAAGTAAATGTCTAGGAACACGATTGCAGGACTATATGGTAAAATTTGGTTTACATTTGAAAAAACTACCAAACTGTCTTCCACAGTGGTTAGGCCATTTTGTATTCCCACTGTAAATGAGAGTTTTCAGTGCTCCATATGCTCCCCAGGAACTGATGTTGTCAGAATTATCGTCCTTCAGCCTATGTCCAATAAGGCTATTACAGTGTTTACATTAGAGGGCAAGCCTTTGTTATGGAGAACATATGGGTTTATTTCACTGTGGTTACTGTTTTCATTCCTCTGCTTCTGATTTTACTTGGTTTAAGAACCTCATGGATTTCCTGAAAGTGAACTCATGAAAGTAAATGTATTCAAAGACTGTGGTCCCCAGAAATTTCTTACTCTCATACTAGTTTACAGTCCTCAGAATTCATGAAAAGAATCATACAAGTGTTCCAGATAGTGTAGGACTCCAGTGGCTTCTGGTCCAAATAAGCCGATTTTGACTGTGATTTTATGTATTCTCTTGTCTCTTATAGATCCTGGGTGGTGGTTTGCCCAGAGTCCTCAATTCTCCAGTGAGTAAGAAAATGTCTTTGATTTTTCGTTTGCTCAGCTTTTGTCTTGTTGTAAGGATGCAATTGATGTTTTCAGTCTTGTTATATGTAGAAACTGAAACTTAAAAGTCAGCTTCAATTAATATTTTCATTGTTAATTTAGAATATATTTACTGGTATTGTGTAGTCACTGTAGTCCAATGAATCTTTTCTTATCTCTCAAAATATTCTCTTACCTATTACTAATTGTTCACCTTTTCAACCCATATAGCCATGAATCTTCTCATGCATCCACAATTCATTTTCAGTGTAAAATGCATTGAGTTATGCGCTGAATGATTCACTTAATATCCTTGTGTCTCAGTTTCTAAATATCTCAAATGAAAGTTAGAATGTGGAATACCATTCAGGATTATTTGTAAGTTATTTTTTTTCATGGTTAATATTCTATATACAGTTGCATGTAAAGCAACATTTTAAAAAAGGAATCACAGTTTGAATGTTTTAAAGCAGTGGTATTCAAAATGCAGTTATTGAACTAGCAGCTTCAACCTTATCTAGGAACTTTTTAGAAATGCAAGTTTTTGAACCCCACACCTGAACTAAAGATACAGAAACTCTGAAGGTGGGATGCAGAATCTGGTTTTAACAGGCCCGGCAGGTGACTCAGAGTCAAGTTATAATTGAGAACCACTGATTTAGAACAGTGCATCCATTGTTTTACATAATCTTTCTCTAAATTGTTATTAAATTACATAATCATAATTTAGTGTACATTTATTATTCTTTTCTATTTGGACTTTCATAGATTAGTTTTTAAAACATGCTTATATATTTACTTATAAATATAGTCATTTGTATGAGTATCTTAATAGTGTAACTTAGTTCTGTAGGTATGTGGGACTGTAAGCAGGTGGATCATTCAGTATGCCTAAAGATTCAGTTGAAAGCAAGTGTCAATATAAATGGAAAGGAGTCTATAATGATATGAGGCTTCATGAGCATGGATTTTTTAATGAATTTGTAGTACATGTTTAGAGTTTGAACTTCCACATTGACACATGTAAACAAAATTAGGATCAAATTACCGGTTATGATTATTTCAATTTATAGATGTGAACATAATTGGAACTTTTTTTTCTAACAGGCTTAACAGCCTTTTCCTGTTACTGAGTAAACATTTGTGTGATATTGTGCTTTACCACAGACAAATAATCCCATATTTTCTCTGCATCTATGCCTACTTGTTTTCAATATGCTTAATATCTGGCATAGATCAACATTTATGTCAAAGAACACATTATTTTCTCAGGTGGGAAAACTTTAAAAAGATAACCTTAGAGGTTTTCCATAGATAAACACTTCAGGTGAGGTTAAGGATAAGACAACTGATTGGTAATTTGTGAGCAAATAATTTTTTGATAAGATTAGAAAAGTTTGTTATAAATTGAGGTAGATGTTGAGAAAGATGAAGTCAAGATTTTCTATAACACATACTATTGTGATTCCTTTATAAAGCAACTATTTATATGATATATCTCACATCAAATCCATCTCCTCCACTGTGTCTGCACCAATCACTTTCTATGTAAAATTGGTTAGGATGTAAAGCATTAAGTATTATACAACGAGTTATTAATATTTTAAAATACTGATTCATCTCTCTAGAGATACAATATAGTAGGGAACATTTCTATTAAAACAATTTAAAATAATAATAAATATAATCACCTCACTTTAGACTATCTGATGAGAATGAACCTAATTTGAAAAGCAGTAACTTATCAAAAGAAATCATAGCTTTCCATCCTTTCTATTATTTTCCTTGTGTCCTGAGAAAAAAATAAAATAAGACTTACTGGTTTCATGATATTTTTATATTGTGCATTAATGATGGGTTTCACGTGGTGATGGTAGCTTAGACTGAGAGGCATTGTTCACTTTTAGAACCACATTGATTTTTTTTCACATCTGTTTTATGAATCACAAAAGCTAAAGCCATAATGTGTTAGCAAAAGGGTACTGGTATAATTTACAGTAAAACAATGTTGACCTGAAAAGAAAAAGCTGGTGGTATTTATATCAATATGTAGAGTAATTCTTGAACTATATTAGCAGTTCAATAAATACTATTGAATAAAAAATAATACAATTAAATGTGTAATCATTTGCTTAACAGAATATGTACATGGGATAGATTAGGAATGTAAATAATAATAAAACCTAAAATTAATTAAGAAACACATTATTTACAATTAATTTCTAAATAAAATAAAAAAATACTAAAATATTAAAATATTTCATGTTTTTAAATCTATACCATGACAAAGTAATAGCTCATCTGGGCCTGGTGTGGTAGCTCACGCCTGCAATACCAGCACTTTTGGAGACCGAGGTGGGCAGGTCACCTGTGGTCAGGAGTTTGAGACCAGCCTAACCAACATGGTGAATCCCTGTCTCTATTACAAATACAAAAAAAAAAAAAAAATGGCCAAGCATGGTGGCACCCATCTGTAGTCCCAGTTACTCGGGAGGCTGAGAAGGAGAGTCGCTTGAACAGAGGAGGCAGAGGTTGCAGTGAGCCAAGATCGCTCCACTGCACTATAGCCTGGGCAACAGAAAGAGACTCTGTCTCAAAAAAAAAAAAGAAAAAAAAAGAAGTCATAGCTCATCTGATTTTACTCAGAGAATAATAAAATACAAATAAATCTTAAGGGGTCCCATGACCTTCTGATCTTGTTTTCCCTTGCGAGGATGGCCATATTTTCCATTAAACATTGATTTAATAACTAATTTTAGGAAGTTACTCTCCTGAAAACATGCTACCATGAGCTGTAGTCCTCTTAGTGCCCACTCTTTCTCTTTGGATAAGAGGTTAATAAATTTGGAAGAATATATTAAGCATGGAACCCCTTGCTCTGTATTAATAAAATACTATGCCCACAGAGAGGGAAATTTGTTTCTTTCTTCTTCAGGGACAGGTCTGTCTGTGGCAGAGACCTACCCACATTCAGGGAAGATAAATATGTATGTTAAATTCTGGGCTTTCTATTAGAAAGTATAGTTTTCCGTAAATAGCAGCAATACAATCTAACCTACAGATAATCAATAATTACACCTCACTCCCTTTTATGAAATACTTTTTGTACTTGGCTTCCAAGGGACTACTTTTGACTCTCTTTTCTGTCATGAAAATTTTACGTGAAATGTGATATGCACAAATGTGAAAAATATATACAAAATTGCATAAACATATAAATGTAGCTTTATAGTGCAAAAACTCTATGTATCTACAACGATGTCAAAAAATAAAACATCACTACATACCAGAAACTTCTATTTGTCCTTTATTAATGAGAACTCTCTCTTTGCACAGGTAGGTAACTGTAATATTATTTTTATGGTATTCATTTCCTTACTGCTCTGTTTCTTTTCACATATAGGTAACTGTAATATTATTTTTGTGGTATTCACTTCCTTACTACTTTGTTTTATTCACACATCCATCGACCATATATACCTATAAAATATTAACTTAAGTGTTTGATTTTGAATATATAGAGAGCTATATATATATCTATATGTACACATATATAGAATATATATGTAGATATATACATTTATATCTATATATGCATGTGTATATATAGATATAAATGATATCTATATATAGATATATAGTATATATATGCACACATATATAGAGAGATATACATGAATATCTATCTATCTATCTATCTATCTGGGCATAACTTGGAGATAAGTTTGGTTCCAAGTCACACAAATATTTTGTTTTCCCAGTGCATATAAAAGTTACGTTTACACTATAGTCTATTGCTATGTAAGTGTGCAATAGCATTAGGTTTAATAAAAAAAAGAAATCTAAATTAAAAACACTTTATTGCTAAAAAATACTAACAATTATCTGAGTCTTCAACAAGTCATAATCTTTTTGCTAGTGGAGAGTCTTGCCTCAGTGTTCATTGTTGTTGAGTGAGCAGGGTGGTGGTTACTTAAGGCTGGGGTGGCTGTGACTATTTCCTAAAATAAGAAAATAAAATTTACTGCATGAACTGACTTTTCCTTTCAAGAAAGATTTCTATGTGGCATGCAATGTCATTTGATAGCATTTTACCCACAGTAGAACTCCTTTCAAAACTGGAGTCAATCCTCTCAAATTTTACCACTGCTTCATCAATTACATTGATGTAATATTCTAAGTCCTTCATTGTCATTTTAACAAGGTTCACAGTATCTTTACCAGAAGTAGATTCCATCTCAAGAAACCACTTTCTTTGCTTATCCATAAGAAGCAACTACTCATCCATTCAAGTTGTATTCATAGGATTGCAGCAACTCAGTCACCTCTTTGGGCTCTACTTCTAATTCTAGTTATCTTTCTATTTCTTTGCAGCTGTTTCTCTACTGAAATCTTTATCCCCTCAAAATCTCAAAATCATCTATTGGGTTCAGGATTAATTTCTCCCAAATTCCTGTTAATGTTAATGCTTTGATCTACTCCCATAAAACGTGGATGTTCTTAATGGCCTCTAGAATAATAAATCCTTCCTGGAAGGTTTTCAATTGAATTTTCCCAGATCCATCAAAGGAATAACTATCTATGACAGCTATAATCTTATAAAATGTATTTCCTAACTAATAAGACTTGAAAGTTAAAATTACTCCTTGATTCATGCACTGCAGAATTAATGTTGTGTTAGCAGGCATAAAAATAAATGCACTGAACACCAGAGCACCCAGATTCACCAAACAAATACTACTACGCCTAAGAAACACATGGATCACAATGCAAGAATAGTGGGGGACTAGACATACTAGATCTGATATTATTATATAGATCATCAAGGCAGAAAATTAACCAAGAAACTCTGGACTTAAACTGGACTATAGACCAAATGGACCTAACAGACATTTACAGAACATTCTACTCACCAACCATAGAAATAACTTCCTCATCTTCTGCACAGGGAACATTCTCCAAAATCAACCATGTGCTTGGAGAAAAGCATATGGTTTCAATGAAATAAAGAATCAAAATCATATCATGTATCTTCTTGGACCACAGTGGAATAAAACTAAAAATCAATACCAAGAATAATGCTCAAAACTACACAAGAATATGGAAAGTAAGTAACTTGCTCCTGCATTACTATTGGAAAAATAATAAAATTAAGACAGAAATTGGCTGGGTGCAGTGGCTCATGCCTGTAATCCCAGCTCTTTGGGAGGCTGAGGTGGGCGGATCACTAGTCAGGAGATCGAGACCATCCTGGCTAACATGGTGAAACCCCATCTCTACTAAAAATACAAAATTTAGCCGGGTGTAGTGGTGGGCACCTGTAGTCTCAGCTACTCGGGAGACTGAGGCAGGAGAATGGTGTGAACTTGGGAAGTGGAGTTTGCAGTGAGTTGAGATCATGCCACTGAATTCCAGCCTGGTAACAGAGCAAGACTTTGTCTCAAAAAAAAAAATTAACGCAGAAATCAAAAAAAATTTTCAAAACCAAAAAAATACAGACAAAATGTACTTAAATCTCTGGGATGCAGCAAAAGTAGTGCTAAGAAGAAAGTTTATAGTGCTAAATGCCTACATCAAAAATATAGGAAGATCTCAAATTGACAACTTCATGCGGAACCTCTTTCAGGGAACCTGCCCTGAAAATCACGTAAGTTCTTTTCTATTTTCCTAAGTGTTGGCTGGCTTGAGAAATAAAGGGACGGAGTACAAAAGAGAGAAATTTTAAAGCTGGGCATCTGGGGGAGAAATCACATGTTGGTAGGATCCGTGATGCCCCACAAGCCACAAAAACCAGCAAGTTTTTATTAGGGATTTTCAAAAGGGGAGGGAGTGTGCGAATAGGTGTGGGTGACAGACATCAAGTACTTAACAGGGTAATAGAATATCACAAGGCAAGTGGAGGCAGGGTGAAATCACAGGACCACAGGACCGAGGTGAAATTAAAATTGCTAATGAAGTTTCGGGCACCATTGTCATTGATAACATCTTATCAGGAGACAGGGTTTTGAGATCAACTGGTCTGACCAAAATTTATTAGGTGGGAATTTCCCCTTCCTAATAAGCCTGGGAGTGCTATGGGAGACTGGAGTTTATTTCACTTCTGCAATCTCGACCATAAGAGACAGGTATGCCCCGGGGGGGACAGTTCAGAGACCTACCCCTAGGTGCGCATTCTCTTTCTCAGGGACCTTCCATGCTGAGAAAAAGAATTCAGCGATATTTCTCCCATTTGCTTTTGAAAGAAGAGAAATATGGCTCTGTTCTGCCAGGCTCACTGGCGGTCAGAGTTTAAGGTTATCTCTCTTATTCCCTGAACAATTGCTGTTATCCTTTTCTTTTTTCAAGGTGCTCAGATTTCATATTGTACAAACTCACATGCTGTACAATTTGTGCAGTTAATGCAATTATCACATAGTCCTGAGGTGACATACATCCTTCTCGGCTGACAGGATTAAGAGATTAAAGCAAAGACAGGCATAGGAAATCACAAGGGTATTGATTGGGGAAGTGATAAGTGTCCATGAAATCTTTACAATTTATGTTTAGAGATTGCAGTAAAGACAGGCATAAGAAATTACAAAAGTATTAATTTGGAGAACTAATAAATGTCCATAAAATCTTCACAATCCACGTTCTTCTGCCATGGCTTCAGCCGGTCCCTCTGTTTGGGTCCCTGACTTCCCGCAACACCTCTAGGAACTAGAAAAACAAGGACAAACAACTCTCAAATCTAACAGAAAAAAAGAAACAACAAAGAACAGAGCAGAACTAAGTACAAGTGAGACCAACAAAAATGATACAAAGGATCAACAAAGTGAAAAGTTGGTTATTTGAAGGATAAACAAAATTGACTGATCACTAGCTAGATTAACCAAGATAAAAAGATTCAAATAAGTACAATAGAAATGTTAAAAAAGAGACATTACAACTGATACCACAGATACACAAAAGACCATGAGAAACTACCATAAACACCTTTATGCATACAATCTTGGAAACCTAGAGGAAAAGGGCAAATTCCTGGAAACATACAATATCCCAAGAATTGAACCAGGAAATAACAGAAATCCTAAACAAGCCCATAATGAGTAACTAAACTGAATTCCTAATGAATAATATTTGAACAAAAAAATCCCAGGATGAGACCGATTCACAGCTGAATTCTACCAGACATACAAAGAAGAGGTTGTACCAATATTACTGAAACTATTCCAAAAAATCAATTAAGAGGGATTCCTCTCTAACTCATTCTACAAATACAATATCACCCTGAAGTCCAAATCAGGCAAAGACACAACACAAAAAGAAAACTGCAGGTCAATATTCATGATGAACATAAATGCAAAGATCCTCAAAAAAAAATACTAGCAAACCAAATTCAACAGCACATCAAAAAGATAATTCATCACAATCAAGTGGGTTTTATTCCAGGAATGCAAGAATGCTTCAAAATAGGCAAATCAATAAACAGAAGTAAAAACAATAACCACATGATCATCACAATAGATGCAGAAAAAAGCACTGAATAAAATCTAACATTCCTTTTGATAAAAACCTTCAACAAACTAGGCGTTGAAGGAACAATACTTCAAAATAATAAGAGCCATCTATAAAAAACATACAGCCAACATCATACTGAATGGGGAAAAGTTAGAAGCATTTCCCCTAAGACCTGGAACAAGCAAGGATGTTCATTCTCACCATGTCTACTCAACATAGTACTGAAAGTCCTAACTACAGCAATCAGGTAAGAGAAAAAAATAAAAGGCATCCAAGTTGGAAAAGAGGAAGTCAAATTATTTATTTGCTGATGACATAATTTTATACCTAGAAAACCCTAAAGATTCCTATAAAAGATACTTGGACTTGATAAATACCTTCAGTAAAGTTTCAGGATACAAAATCAAAGTAAAAGTATCAGTAGCAATATTGGATATCAAATTTTGTAACACATATTTTTGTATATTCTTAAGATATATATGTACATATATATGTCTTTTAAAAAGAAACGTAAATACAATGGAATAATTAAACAGATATCACCTCTATTTAACAAAAAATAACAATAAGTTTATTTTTGACTTATGATATAGTAAGACATTTTACTCTTTGTTTTTCTTTTCCAAAAACACTCCTCTGAACTGTATCAAGCCTTTAGGACATCCATCTTTTTCTTGATGCATTGGGAAAACTGAATAGGGTCAAAAGTAAAATTCAATCTGACTTGCAGCTTTGCCCTTATAAATCATACATTACACTGACTTCTACTGTCAGTGTAATATGAGGGCATTAGTTAAATCTCTGAACAAAAGTGTTTGAACATGGATTACCTAGACTTTTAATTACTGGCAACTGCAGGTTTTCAGACTTGTATGAATTCATTTCTAGCTGTCCAAAAATGTCCATCCATTTAAACATAAAGGCTTTTTTTTTTTTTTTGCAGTACAGCTGTTTCTGAATCAGGTTGTTTGCATCTATGAATTCATCAAATAGGCTATCCATGTCTAAAATATCCTCATTTTAAAATATTCTGAAGCACATTGGATGTCATCATAAATAAAACATCTATTCTCAGAGAAAATAGTTTTAAATCATAGAGATAATTTGAATTTGTGAAATCAAAGTTGGATTCCAAATTAGCAACAGTTTTAGCAAAAAAAAAAAAGGTGAGAAATTCCTTTAACATTGTGGGTAAATTTTTTGAATTCTGAACTAGTAATCCTTCAAGAAATGAGTGATTTTATTCACAAAATGGGTTTTTGAGAAAACATACCAAGAACGCAGAAAACATAGCTGTAGTCAGTTCAAATTTTCTAGGCTCCCTGCGGCCTTTTCAAAGATCGTCAAACAATTTTAGATCACAGGTCTTAACAAAAACAAATGGTGGATCCTATTTGACCCAACCCTTATTCTAGGCGATGAATATAAATAAAGATACGGTATTCAAAATCTCATCTTAGTGGAACTAAAAGAATTCAAGGTTTTGAGTAACAGAAAGATATATCATAGAAGACTAAAAAGTGTTATGTAAGATGAGAAAAGATTAGAAGTGGATATTTTAGACATGGATAGCCTATTTGATGAATTCATAGATGCAAACCACCTGATTCAGAAACAGCTGTACTGCAAAAAAGCATTTATGTTTAAATGGATGGACATTTTTGGACAGCTAGAAACGAATTCATACAAGTTTAAAAACCTACAGTTGCCAGTAATTAAAAATCTAGGTAGTCCATATTCAAACACTTTTGTTCAGAGGAGATTTAACTAATGTCCTCATATTACACTGACAGTAGAAGTCACTGTAATGTATGATTTATAAGGGCAAAGCTGCAAGTCACACTGAATTTCACTTTTGACCCTATTCAGTTTTCCCAATACATCAAGAAAAAGATGGATGTCCTAAAGGCTTGATACAGTTCAGAGGAGTGTTTTTGGGAAAGAAAAACAAAAAGTAAAATGTCTTACTATTTCATGAGGCAAAAAAAACTTATTTTTTATTAAGTAGAGATAATGTTTAATTATTCCATTGTATTTACGTTCCTTTTTAAAAGACACACACACACATATATATGTATCTTAAGAATATACAAAAATATGTGTTACAAAATTTGATATCCAATATTGCTACTGATATTTTTACACTGATTTTGTATCCTGAAACTTTACTGAAGGTATTTATCAAGTCCAAGTATCTTTTATAGGAATCTTTAGGGTTTTCTAGGTATAAAATTATGTCATCAGCAAAGAGATAATCTGACTTCCTCTAGCATGTATAGAAATGGGGACAAAGTACAAATGTGATCACATAGTATAATTCCAAACATTCAAAATATAAAAATCAAAATAATAGTTACATAAAAGGTGACATATCCACGTACTATGAAAAATAAGAATCCACATTGACAAAATTAAAAAAGAAACTTGAGTAAAGCTATGATTTATCTATTGGTAAGCAAAATATAAAAGCAGCATTAATTATTATAATACATGTCTGTGATGATTTGTTCATGTTATTGAATAAGCAAATAAATAAATATACTGCATTTAACAAGTCATTATGCATTCCAAAAAATGTTTATCTTCTCTTCATTTTAACAAAATCAATAATTATGTAGTAATAATTTTTCACATTTAGATTAATTTGATAATAATATAAATATACATAAAACTTACCTGTATTTGACTATATAAATTTTCAATAAATTTTAACTAAAAATAATTGTCAACTATTTGTATCAACTGTTTTTATACAAATACTTCTCAACTTACAATGGAGTTATATTCTGATAAATCCATAAGTTGAAAATATTGTTAAGTCAAAAATTCATTTAATAAACCTAACTTATCAAACATCATAGCTTACCCTAGCCTATCTTAAACATTCTCAGAAAAATTACATTAGTCTACCATTGGGGAAAACTAACACTAACTCTATTTTATAACAAAGTGTTGAATATCTCATGTAATTTATTGATTACTACACTAAAAGAAGTGAAAAAGAGAATGGCTTGTGGCCACTGCCGAGCACTGTGAAATAGTATCATATTGCATTATCACTAGCCTAGTAAAAGATCAAAATGCAAAGTGTGGTTTCTACTGGATGTGTATTCTGCAGTTGTATGGTACAATTTTTGATGTATTGCATTAAAGCATATTATTTCCAGAAATAGTAGCATTAAGTGGAACACAGAAGAAGCAATAAATAAATAAATAAATAAATAAATAAATAAATAAATAAGGGACCTCAGACTATTGAAAAATAATGCTAAGTTATAGAGGGATTTCAGCTATATGAGAGAAAGACTTTGATAAATTCATAAATTTGTAATTTCTGTACTTCTTTTATTATACTTTAAGTTTTAGGGTACATGTGCACAACGTGCAGGCTTGTTACATATGTACACTGTGCCATGTTGGTGTGCTGCACCCATTAACTCGTCATTTAACATGAGGTATATCTCCTAATGCTATCCCTCCCCCCTCACCCCACCCCACAACAGTGTGTGATGTTCCCCTTCCTGTGTCCATGTGTGTGATGTTCCCCTTCCTGTGTCCATGTGTGTGATGCTCCCCTTCATGTGTCCATGTGTTCTCATTGTTCAATTACCACCTATGAGTGAGAACATACGGTGTTTGGTATTTTGTCCTTACGATAGTTTGCTGAGAATGATGGTTTCTAGCTTCATCCATGTCCCTACAAAGGACATGAACTCATCATTTTTTATGGCTGCATGGTATTCCATGGTGTATATGTGCCACATTTTCTTAATCCAGTCTATCATTGATGGACATTTGGCTTGGTTCCAAGTCTTTGCTATTGTGAATAGTGCCGCAATAAACATACGTGTGCATGTGTCTTTATAGCAGCATGTTTTATAATCCTTTGGGTATATACTGAGTAATGGCAAGGCTGGGTCAAATGGTATTTCTAGTTCTAGATCCCTGAGGAATCGCCACACTGACTTCCACAACGGTTGAACTAGTTTACAGTCCCACCAGCAGTGTAAAAGTGTCCCTGTTTCTCCACATCCTCTCCAGCACCTGTTGTTTCCTGACTTTATAATGATCACCATTATAACTGGTGTGAGATGGTATCTCAGTGTGGTTTTGATTTGCATTTCGCTGATGGCCAGTGATGGTGAGCATTTTCTCATGTGTCTTTTGGCTGCATAAATGTCTTCTTTTGAGAAGTGTCTGTTCATATCCTTCACCCACTTGTTGATAGGGTTGGTTTTTTCTTGTAAATTTGTTTGAGTTCTTTGTAGATTCTGGATATTAGCCCTTTGTCAGATGAGTAGATTGCAAAAATTTTCTCCCATTCTGTAGGTTGCCTGTTCACTCTGATGGTAGTTTCTTTTGCTGTGCAGAAGCTTTTTAGTTTAATTAGATCCCATTTGTCAATTTTGGCTTTTGTTGCCATTGCTTTTGGTGTTTTAGACATGAAGACGTTGCCCATGCCTATGTCCTGAATGGTATTGCCTAGGTTTTCTTCTAGGGTTTCTATGGTTTTATATCTAACATTTAAGTCTTTAATCCATCTTGAATTAATTTTTGTATAAGGTGTAAGGAAGGGATCCAGTTTCAGCTTTCTACATACAAGCAAATGCTGAGAGACTTTGTCACCACCAGGCCTGCCCTAAAAGAGCTCCTGAAGGAAGCACTAAACATGGAAAGGAACAACTGGTACCAGCCATTGCAAAAACATGCCAAATTGTAAAGACCATCGAGGCTAGGAAGAAACTGCATCAACTAACAAGAAAAATCACCAGCTAACATCATAATGACAGGATCAAATTCACACATAACAATATTAACCTTAAATGTAAATGGGCTAAATGCTCCAAATAAAAGACACAGACTGGCAAATTGGATAAAGAGTCAAGACCCATTAGTGTGCTGTATGCAGGAGACCCATCTCACGTGCAGAGACATATATAGGCTCAAAAAAAAGGGATGGAGGAAGATCTACCAAGCAAATGGAAAACAAAAAAAAGCAGGGGTTGCAATCCTAGTCTCTGATAAAACAGACTTCACACCAACAACAAAGATCAAAAGAGACAAAGAAGGCCATTACATAATGGTAAAGGGATCAATTCAACAAGAAGAGCTAACTATCCTAAATATATATGCACCCAATACAGGAGCACTCAGATTCATAAAGCAAGTCCTTAGAGACCTACAAAGAGACTTAGACTCCCACGCAATAACAATGGGAGACTTTAACAACCCCACTGTCAACATTAGACAGATCAACAAGACAGAAAGTTAACAAGGATATCCAGGAACTGAACTTAGCTCTGCACCAAGCAGACCTAATAGACATCTACAGAACTCTCCACCCCCAATCAACAGAATATACATTCTTTTCAGCACCACAACACACCTATTCCAAAATTGACCTCATAGTTGGAAGTAAAGCACTCCTCAGCAAATGTAAAAGAACAGAAATTATAGCAAACTGTCTCTCAGACCACAGTGCAATCAAACTAGAACTCAGGATTAAGAAACTCACTGAAAACCGCTCAACTACATGGAAACTGAACAACCTGCTCCTGAATGACTACTGGTTACATAACAAAATGAAGGCAGAAATAAAGATGCTCTTTGAAACCAACGAGAACAAAGACACAACATACCAGAATCTCTGGGACACATTCAAAGCAGTGTGTAGAGGGAAATTTATAGCACTAAATGCCCACAAGGGAAAGCAGGAAAGATCTAAAATTGACACCCTAACATCACAATTAAAATAACTAGAGAAGCAAAAGCAAACACATTCAAAAGCTAGCAGAAGGCAAGAAATAACTAAGATCAGAGCAGAACTGAAGGAAATAGAGACACAAAAAACCCTGCAAAAAATCAATGAATCCAGGAGCTGGTGCTTTGAAAGGATCAACAAAATCGATAGACCACTAGCAGACTAATAAAGAAGAAAAGAGAGAAGAATCAAATAGACACAATAAAAAATGATAAAGGGAATATCACCACCGATCCCACAGAAATACAAACTACCATCAGAGAATACTATAAACACCTCTATGCAAATAAACTAAAAAATCTAGAAGAAATGGATAAATTCCTCGACACATACACCCTCCCAAGACTAAACCAGGAAGAACTTGAATCTCTGAATAGACCAATAACACTCTGAAATTGAGGCAATAATAGCTAACCAACCAAAAAAATTCCAGGACCAGATGGATTCACAGCTGAATTCTACCAGAGGTACAATGAGGAGCTGGTACCATTCCTTCTGAAACTATTCCAATCAATAGAAAAAGAGGGAATCCTCCCTAACTCATTTGATGAGGCCAACATCATCCTGATACCAAAGCCTGGCAGAGACACAACAAAAAAAGAGAATTTTAGACCAATATCCCTGATGAACATTGATGCAAAAATCCTCAATAAAATACTGGCAAAACGAATCCAGCAGCACATCAAAAAGCTTATCCAGCATGATCAAGTGGGCTTCATCCCTGGGATGCCAGGCTGGTTCAACATATGCAAATCAATAAACGTAAGCCAGCACATAAACAGAATCAACGACAAAAACCACATGATTATCTCAATAGATGCAGAAAAGGCCTTTGACAAAATTCAACAATGCTTCATGCTAAAAACTCTCAATAAATTAGGTATTGATGAGACATATCTCAAAATAATAAGAGCTATCTATGACAAACCCACAGCCAGTATCACACTGAATGGGCAAAAACTGGAAGCATTCCCTTTGAAAACTAGCACAAGACAGGGATGCCTTCTCTCACCACTCCTGTTCAACATAGTGTTGGAAGTTCTGGCCAGGGCAATCAGGCAGGAGAAGGAAATAAAGGGTATTCAATTAGGAAAAGAGGAAGTCAAATTGTCCCTGTTTGCAGATGACATGATTGTATATCTAGAAAGCTCCATTGTCTCAGCCCAAAATCTCCTTCAGTTGATAGGCAACTTCAGCAAAGTCTCAGGATATAAAATCAATGTGCAAAAATCACAAGCATTCTTATACACCAATAACAGAGAGCCAAATCATGAGTGAACTCCCATTCACAATTACTTCAAAGAGAATAAAATACCTAGGAATCCAACTTACAAAGGATGTGAAGGACCTCTTCAAGGAGAACTACAAACCACTGCTCAATGAAATAAAAGAGGATACAAACAAATGGAAGAACATTCCATGCTCATGGGTAGGAAGAATCAACATCATGAAAATGGCCATACTGCCCAAGGTAATTTATATATTCAATGCCATCCCCATCAAGCTACCAATGACTTTCTTCACAGAATTGGAAAAAACTACTTTAAAGTTCATATGGAACCACAAAAGAGCCTGCATCGCCAAATCAATCTTAAGCCAAAAGAACAAAGTGGGAGGCATCACGCTACCTGACTTCAAACTATGCTACAAGGCTACAGTAACCAAAACAGCATGGTACTGGTACCAAAACAGAGATATAGACCAATGGAACAGAACGGAGCCCTCAGAAATAATGTCGCATATCTACAACCATCTGATCTTCGACAAACCTGACAAAAACAAGAAATGGGGAAAGGATTCCCTATTTAATAAATGGTGCTGTAATTCTGCAATTTAAAAGATTCTGCTGTTCACATCCTCCTTGTAACTTGAAGTATTGTTTATCTCTAATAGTAGTGGCAGCATTACCCACATTTCAAGATATTTGCATGTAATTAACTTTCTTTTCAAATATAAAGCAAGTGATGTGGAGATTTTTCCTGGAGCCCTAAGTGCTGTTTGTTCACCAGAAAGCATATTAAGATAAAACTCCTCATTAGATTTAGCATTACTATTATGCTTAAATAGATTTTTATATATTTATATATTTTAACAAATTTAACATGAAATTTGGTTTATCATTAATGTTTCTTCTTTGATTTGGTGAAAAGGAAAATGTATTTTTTAGGGTTGTTGACAAATAAACTCCCTTACTTCAACATACATCCTTGAGTTAGTCAGGACCATGTAACTTACTTTGGACAATGGAATAACTGCAGAATTTCTATGTAATTTGCAAGTACAAATATTTCAGCATCCACGGAGAACTCATCAGATCCTTTTCCCTTGCCAAGGTGACTGTTATTCCAAATGCTAGAAGTCACATCCCATTGCATTTAGATGGAATTAAAACAGAGGCCCCAGACAATTCATAATGAACATACAATATAAATAATAAATAAATCTTGTTTTTTAAGCAACTTCAGAATAACATAGCCTATTCTGATTGAAACAGGAAATATTATAATAATCAAATTACTTGAACTTCATGTCAATGAAAAATTTCTATGAATATGTGAAATGTAATTATTTATTTATTGTCATTATTGATTGATGATCCTGCCAAGTAAAACAAATTGTTTCATATTTGTAAATATTTCTGTCAAGAGTTTTCAAGATAGAGTTTTATTAAAGTTGTGTAAAGATGCCCTATGTGTCCTTTTATTAGAAGTCCAGGTTATTCTTAGTTTTTGCATGTTTGTGTGCATATGTTGGGTTTCTGTAAACATTAATATATGTATTTACATGAGAAACATTAAACCAAGATCATTTTCTCATATGTCAAAATACTTTTGTAAGCAATTTTAATTATTTAAATTATGACCACTCAACAAACTAATGATAGCCAGGATAAGGAGTGAAAAAACATGGAAAGAACTGTATGCCAGAGTCTAAATTGATTATTTCAGGTTGCGATATCTACTCCAAAACATAGAATGAGAATCCCCATGGGTTCCTATGCCTAGAGAAATTTATGCATGGATTTTTAATAATATCAATCAAGGATGTTTTTCTTCTAGATCTTATTTATTACTTTTACTATGAGATATTCCACAAATTGACTATTTCTCATCTGCCTGTTTTTAGAATATTCTGTTTACATAGTTGGGGAAAGCAGTACAGTATAGTGACAAGGAGCCTGAATTTTGTGCTATATAGGTAAGGATTTGAACCCATGCTCCTCCACCGTACTACCATGCAGACTGGAGCACATAAGGTAACTTCTTTGAGCCTCAGTTTTTAATTGGAAAATTGAAATTGAAATGTAATATTTATATACTATAATGGATTATACACTTAAAATGAATATCAAAGAGATAACCCCCATAAGATGCTTAATATCTTCACTGAATAAGTATATTCATTATGTTTTATTATTTTCTATATTTTATGATGTTTTGACATCTCTTGGGGGCCTTCCAGACTTGGGAAATGACTAGCTCTCCTAGCTAATTCTTGGGGGTGGTAGACAACTTGCCTGGAGCATGCCTTTTATGATCAAACTAGCTAATCCAAGGCCAGGCCCTCACCTGGCTCTTTATCCCCTCAACTCCTTATCTCTCACACAACAACCCACTATCTTCTCTGCAGTAAATCAATTCAGTGCCAGGTTCCAAACCACTCTTATATAGAAAACCACTCACATAGAGACCACTCTCATAGCCCAAAGCCTGACGGAATTATTCAAAGTGGCCAATCCTAAACTGTGTATTCCTGCAGAAACACCACTAAAGGCTCTGGCTTAAGCCTTTCCCCTGACTCCTGCTTCTGTTTCCTGACCAAAATCTGATGCTTCCCTTGTGATCTTGCCTGGTGTGTTGCACCTCGAGATTCTGGGGGGAATGTCAGTAACGTTAAACTTTCATGGCATCGATCTCTCCCAGTTGTCATTCAGTCACCTTCATAAATTAAGACCTAGGCACAGAATAGGAAGCTAATATATATTAGCTAATATATATTAGCTAATATTAGTTCTAGTAATTGTAATTCTAGTAATTGTAGTACATACAAAGTAATACTTGATGGTGATGCAACCACAAATATAAGAAACAATTTTTTGTTACTTGAAGAAATAAATAAAAATAATATATAATTGTTCAAAAAACACTGAAATGACTTACAGGAAAGAGAGTATGTCTCCAATCACTTATCTGAGATGTTTTCTGTATTCATGGACATTTAGAAAATCATTTAGCTCCAAAGTGTTTAAAAATGATGTGGTAAATAACGAAGTTATGAAACTGCTAACAAAACATTCTTAGAAGTTATTACAAAAATTTTATATTCTCCGTGATCAGAAACAAATAAATATATTTCACTTCTAGATGTTGGTTTCTTTTCTTTCTATTGGCCAAATAGAAAACAAAACAAAGCAAAAAGTTATAGAGTCAGTTTTCCAATGTCCAAGTTGGTAGTGAGACAAATATTTAAATCTATAGGTTGACATTTTTTCATGGCAGTACCGTTTTAGAAATTTAAGTTTCCTGTTTGCAAGGAATGTGATTACATTTATAATCAAACATTTAAGGAGAACTTACTCTTTTCCTAGAGTTTTCAATGTAAATATCTTTTAGCAATCAAATTAAAATTTTCATTTTTATTTTTCTTCTTCAGCTTAAAGAAGAAATAATCATCAATGTCCAAGAGACTAGATGCAGAATGGGCTTGAACTCACACACCTTTGTAGTGAACTATTCTTAATGTCAAAATAAGTACTTTTCCCAAATAAATCACCTTGCATTAAAAAATTAGTTCTTTTATATAAAAAAATTATGTGGAATATTAGTTCATACATCTGGAGCTCTTCCAGGGCTGATATTTTGAGAAAAAATAAATGCTTCCAAAGCATTGACAAAGATTCTGCAAATTCAAAAGTAAATGAATATTAGCTGGCTCCTTAAAATTTTGTTTTTCAGAACTTCCATTTGGACCTTGCTTATATACTTACATAATGTGTGCATGTGTATTTGTGCATGAGTGTGCACACGCACACGTGTGTGTGTAGGAGAACAAAATACTTTAATAAACACTTGTAATCTAAAAAATAACCTAAGTTCATTGTAATTTTTTTAATGAATGCCTCAGTTCCACAAAATTTGGGGTTAGCATCTCAACCTAATTGACAATATCTAAAAACGTTTTTTTGTAAAATCTGTTCTTAACATATAATTTGTTTTCTGCAATAATATAAAACGCTTAAAACACAAAAAAAGTTGATAGTAAATAAATATATTTTAATGACAATTATTTTGAAATTAAATTGTATTAGCAATTACTTAAATGAATTTTTATACTTTATATATTCTCAAAAGTTACTTTATTCAATAATTGATGAGCTATGTAGGTTGCTGTCATCTAATTGATACAAATTGAAATTATTTTCTGAAGTTTATGATCCTACAAGTATTTGTATTCTATTCCCTGATAACTAAATAATCCATTTAAGAAATATTTTCTTTCATAGTTCCTACATAACTTATTAAAGTCACAGTGTATAGTGACAAGCATAACGATATTCTAAAGTGCATGATCACCTCTGCTGGGTGCTGAGTGCACCATCACACAGTACAAAGATCAAACATACTTACCAGGTAATTGGCATTCACCTTACGGGCATGTGCTTTTCTCGTTGCCTCCTATGAGCTCCTGATCTCTGGACCCTTGCGTATACACTTACATTGAATGTTTCCTGATTTTTTTGCATGACTGAAAAACTTCTTTGGAATTGACTTTCTACTTTTACAGATGTAAATTGATATACTGAAAATTTAACTTCCCTATGAAACTTGAGGTTAGGTAATTTCACAAGTTTGTCAAAAATCTAAATCTCAGATCTTTTTATACTACCTTTCCCCATTCTGTAAATTGTACATGACCCAGTGGACTTTTTTGACTACAAAAACTAGTGAAAGTCCTTGTTAGAATTCTAGTGCTGCCCACCCAGTGCTTCCAGTGTAATAGGATCCAATGGAAAAGAAAAGGCACATCTAAGTCCTGGGATATATTAGGACACAAAAAAGCAAGCACCTCCAGCACGATTAAAATTAATTCCACTTCTGTGTAATCCCTCATGTTAGTTAATAGCTTCATTATAACCCCAAGCTAAAAACTTAAGAATTATACTTGGCAATTTATCCACTTTGCACCCACATAGAATCAGTTAACAACCTCAGCAGAGTTTCCTAAAATTGCCCTGCTGCTTTTCAACCCCATTGCCATTTCCTTGCTCAGACCTTAACTATCTCTTATCTATAGTGTTTATCTATTCTCTCTGTTCTCCTTACCCTCAAGGAAATCAGCATTTTCATCCATATTTTCCTTTGATACCAGAATTATTTTTGCAAAGGGAAAATACAATTTATCAACTTTTTGCAATATATTTTAAAATTTTATTTTGCAGATAACAAACTGAGAGTCATAGTTTGCTATCTATGAAACAAAATAAAAAATTTAACATTGATGAAAAGTACTATTTACTAGTGAAATGCACACTTACATTCAGTTTTATCTTCTTCTCTGTATATATGTCCCTATACTCTATTCCCTTTAATCTTGCTGCTCCTAAAACATCTTCTAAAGCTGTTGGGCATTTCCTTGGGAATAACTTCTTTAATTTGGTTAAATCCTGGTGATCCTTCAAAAGCTAGTTTGAATATTAATGTCCAAACTCTGCCTTCTCCTTTGTAAATTCACAATATTCTACCGTTATCTCATCATATTTTAGTACTTTGTTTTCACCACTGTATCTTCCACTAGATCATGATCACATCAAGGAAAGAGATCATGTTGTATTAGTCCATATCCTTGACTCATAAGTAATTGTAAAAGAAAGGATATATTGTTTGCTTAGTTATGGTTCCATGTAATAGAAAATTCTGATTATAAATAATATGTCCTGATCTTCCAGTGATATACATTTATGTATTTATTTTTATAAACAGGGTCTTACTATGTTGCTCAGCCCAGAATGCAATGGCTATTTACGTGTGATCATTGTGCATTACAACCCAGGACTCCTGGGCTCAAGTGATCCTCCTGCTTCACCATTCTTGAGTAGCTGGGACAATAGGTGTGCATCACCATGCCCAGCTCTATGACATACATTTACTATAAATTCATATAATCTAGTTAGGGTCCAAAAATGATGTCAACATAATCATATTAATTTTAGAGCTAACATTTAAATGTTGAGATTTATGATTCAGGGGTAAGTGAAAGTTCATGAAGTCTGACAGAGTTCCATGCCTGTTCTCACACGTTTTCCCATCACAACTAATTTAAATGCAATAAAAATGCCTACTTGGTTGTTTACAAGCAAGGAAGGGCTTAAATTTCTTCATCCAGGACCACCAGAGACTCTGGATGAAGTACTAGAATAAACAATTTAATGAATAAATAATTAACACACAATTAAAAAGTTATTAAAACATTCTGGCATTAGCTATCTGTGTATTGAAAGTCTCATAGGTCTTCTGTAAATTAGCATTTAATACTTTTATCTCTATTATTAATCTTGGTTAATGGCAATTTTACTCTTAAGAGAATTTTTATATTATTATTTCTCCTAAGATTAAAAGGTATATAATGCCATATAACTAAATGCTTAATTTTAGTGTAGATTTTAGAGCAATATAGCCGAATTATTATTGTGTTTTACTTTAAAAAATGTTTCTAAATAAAATGCTACCAATTATTCCAGTCATGACAAGTACAGTCTTCTCATTAAAAAAAAAATCCTTCAGTTGGCCTTTCAGCTGTAATGAGCTTATTGTCCTAGAAACTCTGGAAAATAGTGAGCAAATTAGGTTATTCCCAATGCTAAACATTTTAATTTCTTCAGTAACTCCTATTAAAATAGTTTGTAGGGGCTTCTTTTCTGTATTACTTCTACGCTACAGTGACAAACTTAGGGATAATTCAGGTTATTTTCCAAATTCTAACGTTTGTTTCTTTGATCATTAAAACACTTTCCTTATAATAACTTTTAGACCTCTCAAGGCCCTAATAGAAGTTACTTTGACATAATTATTTGAATTATCTGTGCCTTCGCTCACTTAAAAACTTATCATGATTCAAGAAATAATTCTGAAATGTTATATCAATTATTGCATGTCCCCCCAAAAATGTTATATTTATTCTTATATAACTAATTCAGTTTTAACTCATCAGGGTCAAATTGCTTGGGGATTTTACTATTTTATTTTCTAAATCAAATGTTTGTATTTTTGATTTAAAAAAGGAGTATAACAACCATAAATGCACATATGCACACTCATACATGCACACATGAAGTAAAATGCTGTAACACGACTGGGAAAGGCTTGCAATTGTGAAACACACCAACTGTTTTATTGTGTCATGTTCACTAAGTATAAAGTAACAGCATGTAGACTATCAAAGCTGCTCTGGCACTTTGACATCATTTCTTCAATTTTTATATTATTTTAGGCTATAGCACAAAGGTAAGTGTGAATGTAAATCACTCACAAGTTTTAAGAAAATCCTTTAGAATATTGATAAATAATTGCATTACCAATTTGTTGTTGGGATTCACACAGGTCAAATACCCCTTATCTGACATGCTTGGAACCAGAAGTTTGGATTTCTGATTTTTCCAGTGTTTGGAATACTTGTATATACATAATGAAATATCTGGGGGATGGAACTCAAGACTAAACACAAAATTCATTATTGTTTTATATACACTTTATACCCATAGATCAAAGGTAATTTTACATAAAGTTTGTCAGGATTTTGTGCATAAAAGAAAGTTTGTGTTAAGTACTTATGTGTTGCAAAATTTGGAGCATTTTGGATTTTAGATTTTGGGGTTAGGGATTCTCAGTCTGCATCAGTAAATCCAAATCATTTCTGTTTTTTACATTTAATTATATCTCAGGAATTGACTAAGTGTCCTTATACTTATAAAATATTAATAATCTATGATGTCAACTATATTATATCCTATGAGTATTAAAAAGAGTTATTTAGGCTTAATTTTCACTGATATTACTGTTTCATTGTTATCAACTATTCTTATTGTATTAGTACCTGTCTACCTAGTAGAGTGAAGAAAAGAAAAAAATATATATGAAGTGCAAAATTTCAGATATATTTTAATTGTTATGTAGCACTGCTTTGGAAGCATTAGAGTTCATATTTACTTTTTGTTGTTGATTTTAACTTATATTGACAGTTAAATTTGAACTTTTATATTAAAAATACACATGTACAATAACACAAAGAGTACATATTCTCTTAGCAGATTGTATGACATATTTTTACTTGAATTATTGAGATAACTTGCTTTTGTTAGGCCTCTTAGGACACGTACCTAACTTTATAGGGAACAAAGATGATGACTAAATGATATGGTTTGGCTCTGTGTACCCACCCAAATCTCATTTTGAATTATAATAATCCCCATGTATCATGAGGGGACCTGGAGGGAGGTAATTGAATCATGGGAGCAAATTTTTCCCAAGTTGTTCTCGTGATAGTGAATAAGTCTCATGAGATCTGATGGTTCTATAAAGGGCAGTTCCCCTGCATATGCTCTCTCTTGCCTGCCACCATGTAAGACGTGCCTTCCTCCTCCATTGCCTTCTGCCATGATTGTGAGACCTCCCCAGCCATGTGGAGCTGTGAGTCCATTAAATCTCTTTTCTTTATAAATTACTCAATCTCCAGTACGTCTTTATTAGCAGTGTGAAAATGAACTAATCCACTAAAAGAAGAAAAATGTTGGAAAACCTTAGTAGATACTGAACATAGGCTAAAAGTTGCAGGAATGGAAGAGGCAAGAGAAGAGAGCAAGAAAGAAGATGGGGCCATGAGAGAATAGAAGAGAGGGGAGAGAAAAATGGAGGCATTGTGAAAAAACAGAAAAATACAGATTTTTTCAGAAACAAATATCACAATTGGTGTTTTGTTTTGTTTTGCTGGTATGTGTGGACACTAGACCGTGTCTTCCTTCCTTTGTTTCCATTCTATTAAATTCTGTATCTATATATTAGTCATACACATACGTGACTTGGAGTTCAGAGGGAAGGAGAAAAGGAGAAAAGCATTTTCTGTTATATCTTGCCCACTGCACTTGTAAGAATTTTGGATGTATAATTACAACATGTAGTGTGCAATTAGGAGATGGTAAGACGTAATAATCAAAAAGTATTATGCTTAGGGAAAAAAAACAGTTTCTGGAGTAAAATAATTAGGTTGAAATTCCAGCACTGTTAGATCTTGGGAAATCAATAAACTTGTTCTATCTTAAGTTCAGTTGTATAGAAAGGAGAAATAATAGTATATAACTCAAAGGGCTTTGATGAAGATTAAATGAAATCTTATGAGGTCACCAGAATAATGCCTGATGTAGTTTTTGATCTGTAGACACATATTCATTTCTTATTTCACAAAGCAGAGAAAAAAGTCAATTTTTGTTAATTTTTTGAAAATATTTCCAGATGTTCAGATAACGTTTTTATACAATTCTATAAAAATTATCTACTAGTTCAAATTGGTTCATTAAACTGTGAAAAAGGTGGTGCTTACAACTGCTTGGTGCAAATTCACAGATACTCTCTTCATTGTATAAATTTTTATCACTAGAAAGGCATATGTAATTAGTATTGCTTCTGTTATAAAATTTTATTTTTGAAAAAGTTTGATTTTTTTAAAAAAGTCATTCTACACTAAGTTATGCTGGTTTGGAGAGATCTAGGTAGTTTTACAGGATAAAAGGAACAAATGTGCCCATTCATATCCCAGTAGGTTAGCTCTGTAGATATGCAAAGCATTAACACTGATGTAAACAAGTAGGAAACTTTACAGATGTTTCCAGCTTACAATGGGATTGGTCCGGATAAACTCATCATGAGTTGAAAATATTATAAGTCAAAAGTGCATTTAATACACCTGACCTATCGAACATCATAGCTTAACCTAGTCTACCTTAAATGTGCTCAGAACACTTACATTAGCCTGCAATCTGGCAAAATCATTTAAGACAAAGCCTATTTTATAATAAGGTGTTGAATATTTCACGATTTATTAAATACTGTACTGAAAGTGAAAAATGGAATGGTTGTATGGGCACTGAATGAGTTTAGTTTTTGTATGATCACAGTCAAAAAAGCATATGTCAGGCTGGGTGCGGTGGCTCACACCTGTAATCCCTGCACTTTGGGAGGCTGAGGCAGGTGGATCACGAGGTCAGGGGTTCAAGATCAGCCTGACCAACATGGTGAAACCCCGTCTCTACTAAAAATACAAAAATTAGCCAGATGTGGCAGTGCATGCCTGTAATCCTAGCTATTCGGGAGGTGGAGGCAGGAGAATTGCTTGAGCCTGGGAGGTGGAGGTTGCAGTCAGCCATGATCATGCCACTGCATTCTAGCCTGAGTGACAGAGCAAGACTCCATAAAAAATTTTGAAAAAAGTGTATGTCAGACCACTGTAAGTCAGGGACTATCTATATTCAGTTCCACTGGCTTACCTAAATAGAGAAAGTAAAAACACCAACCTCTTTTTTACCTTACTATTTCTACCCTTACTGTTTTTATTTGATTAAAGATATTGTCTCAGCTCAATTAGGAAAACTAGTCAAGTGAGTGGTTTGATGAAACCAGCTTTCTGCCTTGAAACATTTACTAGAGACTTGTGTAGGGATGCCTGAATGCAGTGACTTTGCTGAGATTGGAAGACAGGAATCAAAATTCAGAGAGTCAAAGGCAGCTGGAATTGCAGAGCAGAATACCAATGACTAGAATGTTATACAGAGACAGACATCTAGAAATCTGTTTTGGTGTGCTATCAGTTTGGGTTTTATAAGATATATGTCAAAGTAAGACTCAGTTAGACCAAGGAAAAGTTTTTCAACTTTTGTCTGAAAATGTCCTATTTCACCTTTGATTTGAATAACCAAAGGTTATGTGTGTGTGTGTGTGTGTGTGTGTGTATATATATATCTAAGATTCATAAAGAGTTCAAGTCTCATTTCTACCTTTGAAGAGAACAGAAAAGTGATGCTCAGAGTTCCTGTATTTATTTCTGTTTTTCCAATATTAAAAAATAAAAATAAAAGACAAGTAATATGTTGGTACCTTCCACTTTGGAAGGCAAGGGCAGCCAGGATGAGACTCAGGAAAATGGGCAATCATTGGAACTTACCTCTTAGACTTGGCTGGAATTTAGGCTTTCAGGGAGATGAGCAAAAAGAAAGAAAGAAAGAATGCATAGTTCTTTTGTTTGCCAGTATAAAAAGCAAATATGAAATGTGGAAAAAAGACCAGCCAGAAACCAAGACTGCATGTTTCACTGGAAGATCTAATCAGGAATCTGAGTACTTCAGTAGAGAGATGTAAAGAGTCATTACATCAGAAAAGAAATGATTAATAACATATGTGAAGACCTACACAGTGCCTAATTATCCATACAGTAAACATTTTTTCCTTCTCTCTCCATTCTAATTGTGCTTAATCATCACTCTGAAACTACAAAGAACCTATAACAGAGTGAGGGCCAATTAGGATAGGAGGAAAAATCATTACTGCTTCTCATGTGTGTGAGCTAGGAGGAACCCAACATCAGGTGCTGGGTAATATAGTGTTTTAGCTGCTCATTTGTGCTTTGGAGCAGTGCTGTCAGACCAGGAAGCTGGTAACTGAAGCCCACAGTTTGCAAACATGGGAAAAATAAAAACACTGCTATATATCAAGACTTGAAAAACAGAGCTCAGAGAGGAACCTTTTCTTTCATGACAGATCTCCAAAAGGTGTCAGTTAATAATAAATCACTGACACAGCTCAGGAAGCCTTGCTGAAATCCCAAACTCCTAAATTATTCCAGTTCAATTCAGTTTTTGGTAGAAATGATCTAGAGGTCACACATCTTCAAAATGGTTGAAAACATGTTGATCAAATAGTCTGTACTTTGAACCATGGGAAATTTTTGTTTTTTTTCTTTACTATGTTTATCTGTTACTAAAATGCAAACAAATAAAGATTCAAGCATGTCATGTAAACTTTTCTCCTTTTTTAAGAACCTGGATATTGTGACTATCAGGAAAAAAGAATTCTATATTTTCATTGCTAAATTAATAACTTTAAAAAGATTGTGGTGTCACTTTCAAAACTACAGTGCAACATAAATAATATCCTGCTGGTTGCACCTCATTTGTGTAATGCAGCATAAAGAGTGCATTGGACAAATGATGTAATAGTTCCATAAATATGTTGACATTACCTAAAGTACACAGCTGTTCTGTTCCAAGGAAAAAATGTTTACCCATTATGCAAAATTTCATTTAAAACTAATTATTCTAGGGTTCATGTAGAAAATTATTTTGCTTTTGAAACTTTATAGTTAAGTACAGGTACCAAAAAGTGACTTAAACAATAGTCTTTATAAAAATTGTCTTTAAATACAGTTTGTATGTTAAGGATTGCTTATTACAGGGAAGCGATTATGTTATTTTACCATAGCAAATGTTTTTTTCCCTATGCTTTCTGATGGCCTTATACTTTGTTAACAAGCCCTAGTTAGAGATGCAAATTAGTAAAAATGGCATTAAAGTGTTGTTATGAATATAAATAAAGGTGATACCATTAAATTTGATTATTTCTTAACCCAATTCCATTGTAGCTATATTATTTACTTAACTAATATATAAATCATCCTGGATTACTAATCCATTTGACTGTAAATAATTTATATAATACTAAATAATATTTTTATTTTGGCTATATGATTTGTTAAATTGAATGATTTTATGTGGAAACATTAATTTAAGTACATCATTCAGAAGAAAAGAAATAAGATTGTCTTAAAGTGTAGAGTATATATGAAATATTACAGAAAGTATTAAATATTCTGGATGAGCTGAGAATTTAAATTTTTATATTTAATAAATTGTTAGAATTTACAGTCTCCTTAGCCATAGTAGTACCTACATGAGCAAAATGAATTATCTGAATTTTTTCAATAAGATTCAATTTTTCAGATGCTGCCTTATTAATTGACAAAATGAAAAAGAAATTTGAGCAAGATACTTACTATATGAGGGTTAGCTATCTTAAGAACAAAATTAGATTCCAGCTACATTAAAGGGCATACCTCAGAGACATTTCCCAAATCTAAATATCTGCAACAAGTTTTAGTGGAATGAAATTCAAATAAGATAGATAATATTAGATGACAGTTTTAAAAAATTATTTGCAAGACATTAGTGCTTAGAAACCCAATGTAGGCAGAGTGTGATGTACAGAACTAAGGCCTGGAATAAAGTCATTTCCATAGTTTTCGCTAACTTTTTTTTTTGCCATCTGACTGTGTAAATAATTACTTATCAGTAACTAAATCAACTACACTTCCTTGAATCCATGGTAAGACTTGCTTAGCAGAATAGACCACTGCCTAGCAGGCAAAGTTGAGAAAAGTTTGGGAGAGAAGATGAACAAGAAGCAGGGGAATGAGTAGTATAAAAAGGAAAGAGGGATGGTGGAGAAAGGAACATTGGAGGATTACATTTTAGGGAAAGTGCACTTAGGCTATAGCATGTTAGGTATATATGTTCAGAATGTTTAATGAATGATTAATATATAGCCAATAGTTATGTTTTCACAGCATTCTTGTTAATATATTCACCTTTTCTCTTCTATTTTTCAGATTTAGATAGAAAAAGCAAAACAACGGGCACCACTAAAAATTCAGATCCATTTTCTTTTTTAGGTTTTAATAATGGTTTACTAAAATTTAGCTGACATAAGATGAGCTATATATTTTTAAAGGATACAATTTGATAAGTTTTGACATCCATATGCATCTTTGAAACCATCACCACATTCAAGGTGATGAAGCATGCCCCAAAGTTTCCTCATGCCCCTCTGTAATATTGAATTCTCATCTCTCTCTCCCCTCAGACCCGACCCCAGGCAACGACTGATCTGCTTTCTGTATCTACATGTTAGTTCTCACTTTCTAGAATTTTATAAAAAAGCAATCATATAGTATGTACTCTTTTTTTGACTGTTTTTCTTTACTCAGCGTAATTACATTGAGATGCATTCATGATGTAGTGGGTATCACCTACTACTGAATGTAGTAGGTTTATTTATCTTCATTAATGAGAATTCCACTGTGCAGATATACTAGTTTGTATACATCCAATATTCCCAGCATCATTTGTCGAAAAGACCATCCTTTCTCCACTGATTTGTTTTAGCATCTTTGTGAAAAATCAATTGCTTTTATATGAGTGAGTCTTCCTGTGTTTTTCATTCTGTTCCACTGATGTATTTGCCTTTATGTCAGTACTACTGTTTTGATTATTGTAGTTTTATAATAAGTTTTGAAATCAGGTCATGTTAATTCTCCAACTTTGTTCTTTTCGGAAGTTGTTTTGGCTCCTCTGGGTCCTTTGTGCTTCCATATGAATTTTAGGATTAATTTTTCAGTTTCTACATTGCTGGGATTTTATTGGGATCATATTTAATCTATAAACAATTTGGAAGGAATAACATTTAGTCTTTCAAAATATGAATTCAATATGGATTTTGTTTATTTAGGTCTTTCTTAATTTCCTTCAACAATGTTTAAAGTTTTTAGTGTAGAGTTGTTTTATATTTTTGGAAGATCCATCACTGATTATTTAACATACTTTATGATATATAAATAAAACAGAGGCCTCAGAAATAACACCACACATCTACAACCATCTGATCTTTGAAAAACCTACTAAAAACCAGCAATGGGGAAAGGATTCCCTATTTAATAAAATGGTGTTGGGAAAATTGGCTAGCCACATGCAGAAAACTGAAACTGGACCCCTTCCTTACACCTTGTACAAAAATTACCTCAAGATAGATTAAATTTTTAAATGTAAGACCTGAAGCCTTAAAAATCCTAGAAGAAAACCTAGGCAATACCATTCAGGACATAGGCATGGGCAAAGACTTCATGACTAAAACACCAAAAGCAATGGCAACAAAAGCCAAAATTGACAAATGGGATCTAATTAAACTAAAGGGCTTCTGCACAGCAAAATAAACTATCATCAGAGCGAACAGGTAACCTACAGAATGGGAGAACATTTTTGCCATCTATCCCTCTGACTAAGGGTTAATATCCAGAATCTACAAGGAACTTAAACAAATTTACAAGAAAAAAACAAACAACCCCATCAAAAAGTGGGCAAAGGATATGAACAGGCACTTCTCAAAAGAAGACATTTATGTGGCCAAGAAACATATGAAAAGAAGTTCAACATTACTGACCATCAGAGAAATGCAAATCAAAACAACAATGAGATACCATCTCACATCAGTTAGAATGGTGATCATTAAAAAGTCAGGAAACAACAGATGCTGGAGAGGATGTGGAGAAACAGGAATGCTTTTACACTATTGGTGGGAGTGTAAATTAGTTCAACCATTGTGGAAGACAGTGTGGCGATTCCTCAAGGATCTAGAACTAGAAATACCATTTGACCTAGCAATCCCATTACTGAATATATACCCAAAGGATCATAAATAATTCTACTATAAAGACACATGCACACGTATGTTTACTGCAGCACTACTCTCAATAGCAAAGACTTGGAACAAACCCAAATGCCCATCAATGTTAGACTGGATAAAGAAAATGTGGCACATATACACCATGGAATACTATGAAGCCATAAAAAATATTGAGTTCATGTCCTTTGCAGGGACATGGATAAAGCTGGAAACCATCATTCTCAGCAAACTAACACAAGAACATAAAACCAAATAGCGCATGTTCTCACTTATAAGTGGGAGTTGAACAATAAGAACATATGGGCACAGAGAGGGTAACATCAACCACCTGTTTGAGGGGTGGGGGGCAAGGGGAGGGATAGCATTAGGAGAAATACCTAATGTAGATGAAGGGTTGATGGGTGCAGCAAACCACCATGGGACGCGTATACCTATGTAACAAACCTGAACGTTCTGCATGTGTACCCCAGAACTTAAAGTATAGTTAAAAAAAAGAAAAAAGTAAAATAAAAATACTTTTTTTTTCTGTATCTGATTTTTCACTGCTAGCATGTAGAAAAGCAATTGAGTTTTGCTTGTTGACACTTTGCAAAATTCACTTACTAATTCTAATAATTTTTAATAGGTTCCACCAGATTTTTCACAAGGATTATCATGTTATCTCTGTTTTTCATTTTTATTTATTTATTTATTTTTATTCTGGGGATACACGCAGAGGATTGTTACATGAGTATATCGAGCAATACTGACATTTGGGATAGGGAGGGTGCATTCACCCAGGTGGTGAGCATAGTACCCAATAGATAGTTGTTCAATCCATAATTGTCTCCCTTCTTTCACCTTCTAGTAGTCCCCAGTGTCTGTTGTTCCCATCTTTATGTCATTTTGTACTTCAAGTTTAGGCTTTGAGATTAAAATTCTTCATAAACAATGCCATTCATATAGAAATGAATTTTTTTCCTTAAATTTCTACATATACTACTTATACCATGGGGTCCAAAAGAGAATCAGGATACCACTATATACTTTCGAACAGCCCTTTGAGTTCTACACTTTTATGATTATAGTTTGATTTTTAATTAGAATTTCCATATAGAATCTAAAAAGACCCACTGCTTCCTAAAACAGGGATCAGAACAAATTTGTTCTATATGATTTTTACGGAACACTGTATATACTTCAAATAATGTGTGCTTCACAAAAAAGCCTGCAGTAGTGAATATTTAAGAGTTAACAAAAGAATATAAAGTTTAACTTATTGTTCTAGAGAGTAGATCTAGGACCAAGAGGTGGAAAATAGAGTTAATAAATTTCTACTCAACATAAGGGAGAACTTTTAGCAATGAAAGCTAGCCAAGCATAGAAAAGGCTGCATCTCAAGTAGTCAGTTCCCTGTCATTGGAATTATTCAAGCAGAAGCCAGATATATGACTATTATTTGGGGATGGTGTGCATGTGGTGAGAAGTAAGATTATATGACCTTTAAGGTCCCTTCAAACTATGATATGATTATAAGTAGATGTCTGATTAAAAATAGTTCACCATGCACATGGTGATGCTAAAATAACAAGCATAGTCAAATTCAACCACAGCAAGAATAAATTAAATATAACGTGTTTGAGAGAAAACAAGTATATTTTCTAAAATGTAGTAGCAATAAGTTGCAGTGCAAGACACTGCAATGAATCAGTGCTTGGCATGAAGGAGACACAATGATTTAGTGCTTCGGCCTCAGTCCATATGGAGTTACTTATCAAATGGCAGCAATTGCTGTAAAGCATGCTAGAATGAATTTGCTGCCCACTACGCAAACACCATGTAATGTCACTGTCAATTGTAGAGTGCTTGCTTCTACATGTAACAAAAAACCAATGACACAGTGATTCCCTACCCCCATTACAATTTTGATTATAGGATCCACCTACACTTCCACTTTCAGTTATAAAACAAAAAGAAAGCTTGACACTAGGATAAAAACATATTAAAAATGAAATTTTAAATAGAAGTATTCTTTAACTTTTATCAAAAAGTATAAACAATGTTGTAGGATTGATATGAAATTAAACTGGCTGGACTTTCAGCTCTACGGTATATCCTTGTCCACCCAGGTCTGTGCTCTGAGACTGCTCTGTGTGGACACATCAATGGACTGTCTTGCTTCTGGCTTCTGGTTATAATCTGACAATGAAGAGACTGGCAGGAGTGTGGAGGGGGAAAGTTTAAGCCATATTAATTACTCCAGCTTCCCCTTTTTGAGGTTGGTTTCATTTGATTGAATACATGACCCACTCTTCCAGCATCTATAAGGTGATCCTCTCTCCTTAGTCTCTTTGTCTCTGGGTTCCAAGGAACTGCTTCCTCCCCTCTCCATATAGGTCAAGGAAAGGAAAGATCTTGGCTACTGGGTACTGGATACCTTAAAGCTCCACTACACCTTGTGCCCATCTTTTAAAATAATTCATTTATTAAACCCTCTGCAAATAACTCACATGGAGCTTATTCTCTGTTTCCTTTCAGGTTCCCAACTGATGCTCTTGATGATCTGTTCCCTGTATCACAAGTCCTATTTCACCACTCAGGCTTTCATAAATGTTTTAGGTAAATTCTTGCTTCTCATTCTCAATGAGAATGGAATGAAGACTGTTAAGTATATGTACTGTATCACATTATTTGTAACTAATATATTTTAGCTACATGTTTTAATTTTTAACAAGTGTTAAAAAGATAAGTACTGGAAATGTTCATATTACAAATGATACAGTTTGGGGTACAGCCCCACAACCCCAGAGCACTAAGTTGATTGATCACTCTATAATAATGATACAGTCACATAAATGGGTATATGTGTATATTAATTAGAGTTTGGGCCAATAGTGACCAACTCGGTTATTTTGCTTTAGACTAACAGTATAATTTTCTCCCATAGCATTTAATAAACTGTCTAAACACTTTATCCATGCCATTAAAAAAGTATAAAATATATATTTAAATTATTTAATAAATTCAAATCCTTCCTGAAAACTCAGAATGCAACTTTATTTGAAAATAAGATCTTAAGAAATGGAATTCATTAGGTTAGGAGAAGGACATACTAAAGTAGAGTGAGTCCTAAATCCTGTCTGACTGGCATCCTATAACAACAGGGAGAGAGATCAAAGACACAAAGAAAGGAAGTCAATCTGAAGTCAGAGACAAAGATCAGAGTGATATATTGACCAGCCTATGAACGCTAAGCATGACCAGAAACTACGGAGCTGGAAAGGGGCAAGAAAATAGCCTCCCTTAGATTCTTCAGAGAAAAAATTATTCAACTCTGTCGACACCTTGATTTCAAATCTCCAGCCTCCAAAACTGTGAAAGAATAAATTTCTGTTCTTTTACGCCACTCAGTTTGTTGTACTTACTTATGGCAGCCCTAGAAAACTAAAGCACATACATGTTTAATATAAAATGTTATCCTAGTTTCTTCTTAAAAAAAATCTTATTTAAAATAAATCTGTAATTTTGAACTTAACTCAAGATTAAATTTTATTTTTGACCTGATGTATTTAATGTAAAATGTTTGGTTAGCATGCAAAAAGAAAACACAATTATTTTACATAAATTACTAATTTTATTATTCAGATTAAAAATCATATTTCACTTTCAGTCTGGTCAAATACATCATATTTGTATGTCTTCAGACAATCTCACATTTAGAAATATATGCATTTATTTCTAAAAATAGCACATTTTTATCATATACACACAAAAAAGCCGAAAATAAGTTATTAGGAAGAAAAATATATTATACTTTGTATAGAAAACCATGTCATTATTCTATCTATTTCAAAATGAAGGATGATACTTAAATAAAATTTAAATCAAGTGAAAATAAAATGCGAGATTTTTAAAGTTTAGTCAAATTTTATTTACTTCAACATCTTAAATTTATTCCATCATTTCAGTGAACAATAACAGACTATTGAAAACCCATCGATTTGCATTGTTTAAGTAAAAGGGCTTCAATTCAACTGAAAAAAAATTCTTAAAATTAATTAAGATGTTCATTAATTTCCAATATTAATTTCTACTGAAGCAATAGGAGTCCGACATTTTTGTTATGATAACAATGTTATTGTGTGGCTAATTTCCCTTCCCTATAAGTAGTATAGAAATGACTAACAACAGGCCAATCGCGGTGGCTCACACCTGTAATCCTAGCACTTTGGCAAGCCGAGGCGGGCAGACTGCCTGAGCTCAGGAGTTCGAGACCAGCCTGGGCAACACGGTGAAATCCCGTCTCTACTAAAATACAAATAATTAGCCGGGCGTGGCCGCGTGTGCCTGTAGTCCCAGCTACTCGGGAGGCTGAGGCAGAAGAAGTGCTTGAACCCAGGAGGTGGAGATTGCAGTGAGCCAAGATAGCACCACTGCATTCCAGCCTGGGTGACAGAGAGAGATTCCGTCTCCAAAAAAATAAAAATAAATAAATAAATAAACAAATAAATAAACGACTAGCAACAATAATAGAAAAATTTTATTTGAGGGCATAACATGGGAGAGAGTAACCACAGCTTCTTAATTAAGTCTATGTGAGGCATAAAAAGGGAAGCAAATAGACATGTAGTAATACCAAAATATGTTTACTGATTTTGGACTATAACTACCAATTTTATAATTTATCTGGCTAGTAATCTCATTTGGTGAGTATGTGATCCTAATAAAATCAAAGTCTTTCTGTCAGTTAACCTCTCCCTTACCATTTATCTTCCAGTACATGCATTTGGTTTTAAAAGGACAAGCAAATAAAGCCCTTTTTTTTTTAAGTACAAGAAAGGAAACTCATTACAACTACTGGAAAACTGTACAGTGTTAATCATTAAATTTATTAATTCATATAATAATTATTTATTGTATATCATACTTATTCCAGGTAGCATTTAAAATACAAAGTGTGGCAGGCAAGGTGTGTGCACACATCCCCTTTCTTGCACCTACACAGGGGATATTGCTGCTCATTCAAATTTGCTACAGCATTCACTCCAAAGCCACTGGAGACTTCCAGAAAATTGCATTGAGATCTGAACCTATTCTTTCCTAATTCTGCTTACTTTTTCCACTTTCCTTTCACAAGTGTCAGACCCGTGCCATGGTCTAAAGGCACTGTCATATCCTCTTGCCTTCACCTGCTTTATTCTTCATAGGTATTCCTCCCCAGTAAATCTCTTGTATGTCTAATCCTATTTGGGGGATCTGCTTCCTAGAGGACCAAAAATAACCCCCAAGGACAGTGAAAAATTGTTACACCATGAGAAGTAAAAGACATGCAAATAGGTGAATATAAAGCAATTATTTAAGTACCATAAAAATTATATGGCCAGATTGCTCAAGCAACAAAGAGATGTCATCCTGGGGAGCCAAGGAACAATTACCATTTGAACTTGCTCTTCATAAGTGCCTAAGGATGGATCAAATTAAATGTTGAGCATGGCGGGCTCCTTTTGCTCTGTACCGCCTTCAGATTCCTTGTCTAACTCACATATTAGGTACAACTGGTTAATGCCAGTGAAGGAGATGTCAGACAGTGAATGGGATAGAGCCTAAAGTAGGAAATCCAATGAAAGCATTCCAGATACAAGAAACAGCATCTTCCAAAGTGAGGAACTAAGAAAGGGTGAGTGTTGTGGAGTACAGTGAGATGTTCAGAGTGCAAGAAATGTTGACTTTATTCTGTTGTAATTTTTACCTACTTGGTGGTTCATTTACAACTCTGAGACTTGTCTTCATGATCAGCCTGGCACCTGTGACTGTAATGGCCAGGTATATGGTGAGGATTTGCAAATCTACACTGTCAGTTCAAATCTCTCCCTGAGCTCCAGATACCTCTGTACTGCCCTGCTATTGTATAATATATAAGAATAACCTTAAATTATGCCATAAACAATTGTCTACCCCAAACTCTTTCTCCCCTCATCTCACCAACATATTTAAACATTTCCCTTCATTATCTCAATGAGCTTCTCTACCCAGATGCACAGGCCAGAAGCTGTGCCATCATTCTTCACATTGTCCCTTTTCCTGACATTCTGCTCCCCCTCCTGTATATTAATTTCCCAAGAGTTATTAATTCTCTATTTAAATTCTTTCAAATCCTTCTTTTCTTCTTACCTTCATTGCTACAACCTCAGTACAGAGTCCAGATATCTCACGATTGTTACAGGAATAGCATATTTGGTCTTTCTGCCATTTCTTTCCTCCTTCCATATTTATACAACTAAACACTCTAAAACAGACATTTGATTGTATATACCCTGTTAAAAATTTCTTAGTAGATTTTATATAAAATATAAACAATTTTTCCTTATTGAAGATATTTTTTGCATGTTTGTTAATTTTTACATCTTTATTATTTTTACATCTCTCAACCTCATTTCCAAAATATAAACAGGGACACACACCCACATACATATACAGACACACTTGCTCACACATGCAACTCCAATGGTGCGTGACTCTATTTATTCCCAGATCAGTTTTTCCTTTGTTCTCTCTCTGTAATTTAAATCATAGTTCCCACTGCCTGCACTGTTCTTTACATTCTTTTTTCAGGCAGACTCTTTAACCATCTTTGGGAGAGCCTGGCATTCTTATCTAAAGGTGGAAGCATCCTTCAGAATGTAAAATCATCTCCCAGAACTCAGAATCCTTCAGTTTAACAGAAAATTGCCTTCTAATAGATATTTGTGAATATGTGTGTGATCCTCTGGCTGTGACCAGAAATGCCTACACAAATAACCAGTCCCCTAGAGACCATTCTCATTCCCCTAGAGGCTTCCTGGAGCATCAGGAAGTAGTCATCATAAAATGTCATTCCAATAAGCTGGGTGGTAACTGGTATAAATAAATAAATGTAATGAACAAAATGTTATATCAACAAGTCAACCCTGATTTGTAAAATAATTTCTATCCACAGCGAGAATCCTATGCATAGATGTGTTTTTAAATATGTGCCACCATCCAAAATCTAGACTCTTTTTAGACTTATATTTATGATAAAAAACTAAAGCCTTTAGATATCAATAAATAGTTAAATGGGTGGTCAAAAATATACTGGGCTATTTTGTAGTTGGGACACCGGCTGTAAAAAAATAACAATTTGAGTCACTGTTGAGGCAGCAAATATAATGTAACAGCAGAGACAAGATGACAGTTTGATGTGAAAATATCCATCAACCCACATGGTTTGTGTGACACTGATTCTATAGAATGGCTCTAACCTATCCATCCAGTGGATGTTTTATGAACTCAGACAACCAATGCTTTCAACTTTATGGATAGAATGGTACAAAACAAAAAAAAGTCATTTAAATTCATTCAATGATACATCAATTTTCTCAACTTCCATGATTTATTAATGTAACGAGAAAGTACAATTGAATTTCAAATAATGTTGATGCTATTCTGAGGTGAAAAATAAGCTTCAGCGGATGTTCAAATCAACAGAGGAGCTAGAATATGAGAAACATGCAACTGTCATCTACTTTTCCTGAGGCATATCTGCTGTGAAAGGTTAGACAGCCCTCTATAGTTCAAATGGCTAAAATGTATTTCCATTTGATTTCTCACTCATTTATTCAAAAACAATGTTAGGACTGTATTATTTGCAAGACATTGTGCTCCATATTAAAAATGTAAAATGAAAAAGACAGAATTCTAATCTCAAGAACCAATTGCTTGTTGTTGAGTACCAACAACCGAAGTGCAATGCATGACTGAAAGACAACTAGCACAGACCCTAAAAACATGACTTCTGAAGACAGAATGTTTGTTTAATCCTGACACATTTACCTAATAACTATGTTGCTTTATACAATTACTCAAACTCTATATGCTTTTCACAATTATAAAATGAAGAATAATAATAGTATCAATCTCAGAGGGTGTTATGAGGATTAAATAAGTTCATACTAATAAATTGCTGAAAACAGGGCTTAGCATACAAGAATAAGGTGGTTAGCAATTATTAGCTATAATTAACATTTGTGTAAAAAGAGTAACAACAGCAATTCAGAGAGGGAACACAAATGCAAGGTTGCCTGATGCTCTTTAGTGAAAAATAATTTGAAAATGATTTCCAGGGAAATTGCTTCTCCTAGAGCTTTAAAAAATGAGTAGTAATTTCCCAGAATGATAGGTGGGCAGGCATTTCAGCAGAGAGGGCAACATGTGAAAAGGTAAATAGATGAAAGTTTGGAACATTATGATAATTATAGCAGACATTTATAGGAAAATCCATCCAACCCATTTATTCAGATAACCTTCTCGCTGTAAAAAAGATACTGAGGAGTACTCACAGTATGTTAAATGCTCACAAGTAGCTAAATCACACTTTTCCCCCATCAGGTCCATTTGTATATATACTTTCTTTTTCATTTTAAGTTGTATCATCAAAAGCAGTTGGTTTTCTTTCTAATCCTATTTATGCCACTTACAATTACTATGATAAGTATGTAGTTAATTTGAATATTACATACATCAACTAAATTAGTTCCCAATAGTTTTTATGATAAATTACTTGTAACTACTTGACAAAGGTGAGCCATTTAAAATTTTATAGTCAAATTATGTGTGAAAAGATAATAGTCTTACCTTCAAAAGTTAATCATCGATATCTGGAATAAATCTGGAAAAACTGTCTTCAGAATGTTTGTTTTTCTTTATAGAAACCACAACTGGAAAATCTAGCTTATGATGAAAATTTAGAAGTAATGGAGCATTAAACTGCATCAGCAATACCATACACAAAGAAAAATGACCCTACAACAAAAGTTTGACAAATGAATATCTATGTATATGGTTCATGTTAAATGCAATGTTTATAATACCTAAGTATAATTTTCAATTTACTGCTTTAACAAGTATTTTTAATTAAATACTACTACAGATTGGTTAAGATACGATAGTTTCAGTTGTAACCTGGTTTGGTCAAAATGAAATGTGCCTATTGAAAATTGGTGGGAAATTAACCTGGACAGTTAAGCTAGGTCAGATTATAAAATATCAGTAACAACCAGAACTTTATAAATACCAAGATTCATTTGTTGATCATAAGACATTTTTGTGGAATTGGAAATACTTTCATTTATATGGCAAAATAGCCCTTTAATTTATATAACTTTGAAGGACAAATGTACTTATTCACAGTTTCTAAAGGTTGAAATAAAGTTTAGAGAATGTCTGAAGTAAAATAGGTTTTGTTTATGGTATCTTTTCATAAGTACTTGCCCACTTCTCGTAATCCTACACATTTTAAAAATTCTGCTTCATCATCATTCACTGTGTGACATCTTCCATGATGTCTCCTGAGTTAGTTGGTTATATTTCAATTTCCCTGTAATATTATTAAAATGTCTCTGTTAAGTCACATTGTCAGATAATTCTCAGCTTTGTTTAAACATGCAACATATTCCTAGATCATGAGCTATTCAAAGACACTTCAGTATCTTGCACAATATTTCAAGAGGATATCCCAAGTAAATGTTTGGCTAGGCTGGCCAAAAAGCTAGATAAAACACTTCGAAAACACAAGTTTTATTACGTTACTCTTCTGCTCAAACATGTCATAACTTTGTCATTGTCTAAAGAGGATAAAAACTAATTCTATTTTCTTGAATTCTAATTTAATATAAAATCTCCTCACTTGATTTATTAGGCATGTTTCTTGCTGTAACCCCAACTGAAAGCTTTCATTTGAACAGGTTCATATCCTTACTAAATTCTTAATGTCTCTTAGGATCCCTGAGCCTCAGTTGATACCTTTTGTTCTTGACCCATGTATACGTATAATTTATATGCTACTCTCTTCTCCACTTCCTGCATTTTCCCCGACTTCTAGGCTACACAGGTATTTTTCATGTATACTCTTCTCTGTGTCAGAAGCTCAGCTAAACTCGAAAGAGAACCTAGCTTCTGGACGTCAGAGTAGCTGCTTAAGACAAACAGTCAAAATGGAAGTAGCATTTAAGCCTTTCAGTACTTACTGTTGATGGGATAAAGTGGAGAAAGTGTTAATTGCCCCATGTTCCAATTTTCCCCATGGAATAGCACCAGTTCAAGATCAGGTGGATCAGCATAGACAGAAAAGACATAAGGGTAATTCCACTGCAGAGGGAGCCTAAAACAAAAGGATCCCATAGTTTTATCGACCTAGATGGTGTGGAGGACACGGAGAAGGGCAGAGGGAAAGCAAGAAAGGGCTAACAGTGGAAAAAAGCTGAGTTAGAGTAGAGTAAAAGTGTCAAGTTTCCCTGCCTTTTCTTTTACCCATAAGCTCTCAATAGAGGCGACTGAGGAAGGTCCCTGCTAAAGTCCTCAATAAAGACACCTCCAAATGAAGGCACTTGGGCTAAAAATGCAGCTATGCATAAGGACATGGCCAGGCAGGGAGAGCTGAGTCCTTGACTACAACTCCTTCGGAGACTGAAATGTGCTGGCTGTGTACCAGCACATTTCCCCGCAAGCGGAAGATTTCCCTGCTAAGATCTGCGAAGTAAAGCTTTTATAACTACCTATGTTTGGGCCGGAAATATCGCACATGGCATTTCGACCTGAAGTTGGACTCCTCACCCTGTAGCACTTAATCTAACATTGCCTAGTTTTACTATTTGCTTCTTGATGGCAGGAGATCTATTTTTATGTTTTCCACTTATCACACCAATATTTTTGATTGACTATAGAAAGCTCACAGATACTATTCCTTATAATTCAGTTGTGGAGTTGGAAGGAAAACTTCCTTCCTGGAACATACATGTACATGGGATGGTGGTGAGTGCTATATTTACACAATTTGTAAATACTTTGCATACAGTAAGTGCCTGATAACTTAGTAGTCATGACAGTTTCCTAGAAAATACATGTTTTAAATATTAGCGAATAAGGTAATTTAGTAGATTAAGGAAGATAATAGAAGAGGAATAAAAATCACAGAAATCTATTTTACTTAAGTAACAAGAGCACTGGTGCCTATTGAAATTTTCATGTTCAATATCTTCAGACAAAAAATGAGCAGAATTAGTTTTCACTGAATAACTGTTAAGTGTAAAAACATGCCTAATATCAAACACCATTAAATCAAAATTTCTGAAAAAGGTAATATTTTTCCGATGCACATAGGAAAACAGTGCAAGAAAACAAGAGTATCTTACTTTGGCAAACTGAAATATGTTCAGTACTCTCAAGTAAACTGTCATAGATGAAATGTCTGCCCCAAAACAATGGAAGTTACCGTAATGGAATCTATACTGGCTTACAGTGACCAAATGTTAATTTCCAAAATGCTCCCCAGGTATTTTGCTGTAACCAGTAAAAATAACGACACTCTCTTATACTTGGTCTCAACATTGTTTTACTATATTTACATAAGTATTTTATCAACCTGTATGTCTAATGTCTGCTTATCTCCCATCGGGTCCATTGTAAAGAGGCATTAAGGCAACAGAAAAAGGTACTTTGTTTGCATGTATGAGACACCACATTAATCAGATGAAAAATTAAAAAGTGACTATGACTAAATATATTATTTTGTTATTTGGGGATTACCAGGGAGATACCACAAAAAAAACCGGAAATATTCCTTAAATCACGGAACTGTATTTTTTTTTTTTACTAAGTTGACCAAGCTGACACATTTGGGGCATTAATAACAGAATATATTTGATTTATTTAATTTTAATGAATATTTTTGTTGTTTATGTGGAGAATTTTTGTTTTGTTTTATTCTTTATTCAATAGTGTCAGAAATATCTAAATGAAGACCTTCGGATGAGTTCTTTTTTGGTCACACTCTTAAATAAGATTTAAGTATCATTGCAGCACCCCAAAATGCCTTAAAAAAAAGCAAAGCTTTTTAGACTTACAGACGTGTTTTAAAAATTGGTTTACTTGTTCTTGATTTAATTTTGTTTTTAATGAAATCCAAACAAAACTTCAGAAATCATTTTTCATATGAAATATGCTTCACAGTCATTTATTGCAAGCAAAATCTTATCTGTGTAAACTTGATTGGGAGAATTTTGTGAGCATTCATTCTTTTGTTATAATCTCAACAGCATCTGTCACAATAATTTGAATGTGGCAGCTATTTAATAACTTCTGGTTTGTTTATTTAATAGAATGTATATTTCTTGTCTGCCTAAAAACATCCCCTTATGATACCCTGCTTTTCTGAAGCAACAATATCAAAAATTTAGATTTATAATTGGTATCAGCTAGAATTATAAGAATGCAAGATCTAGCTTTATCTACTGGAAATTAAAGTATTATTCATTCCCACAGAAATTTAATTTATAATTAAGCATTTATTTCTTCAAATAGCCTGAGCATTTCAGAGAAAAACTTAAAAATCCCTTTAATTCTTAAAAAAACAAAACTGCAAAAATAGTCTTGTCAACTTATCAAGATTCTTTTAGAAGATCCTTTTAAGAGCTGAACTACTGCAAGCTGATTTTATGATGGATATAACAGTCACATCAAATGAAGTAAATCCCTTTTTCCCCTTTGACAGAAATTTCTTTTAAGTTCTTACGTGGTGAACAGAAGCTCAGTAAACACAAAGTAGATCTATCAATTCCATTTTCTGAAAAATTAAACCTAAGGTACTTAGAAACATAATTTTAAAGATTAGGGATATGTAAGATAAGATTCCAAGAGAACCTCTATTTGCTTTGGCAATGAAAGACAATTGAGTCACTGGTAATATTACTCCTTTAAATAGCTGAAAGGGATTTGAATTTCCCACTCTCATCTGTGACAAAAGAGAAAGCTAGACCTGATGTACAGCAAGTATTAATCAATAGAAGCCGTCCAGGCCTGTAAAGGTGCTTTGGCTTGGTAAGTGTTCATGCTGAACTGGTTTTTAAAAAATACATTTGATGAATGGAAGAACATTCCATGCTCATGGATAGGAAGAATCAACATTGTGAAAATGGCCATACTGCCCAAGAATCAATATTGTGAAAATGGCCATACTGCCCATTGAATTTATAGATTCAATGCCATCCACATCAAGCTACCAATGACTTTCTTCATAGAATTGGAAAAAACCACTTGAAAGTTCATATGGAACAAAAAAAGAGCCCGCATTGCTAAGACAATCCTAAGCCAAAAGAACAAAGCTGGAGGCATCACACTATCTGACTTCAAACTATACTACAAGGCTCCAGTAACCAAAAACAGCATGGTACTGGTACCAAAACAGAGATATAGACCAATGGAACAGAATGGAGCCCTCAGAAATAATACCACATGTCTACAACCATCTGATCTTTGACAAACCTGACAAAAACAAGAAATGGGGAAAGGATTTCCTATTTAATAAATGGTGCTGGGAAAACTGGCTAGCCATATGTAGAAAGCTGAAACTAGATCCCTTCCTTAAACCTTATACAAATATTAATTCAAGATGGATTAAAGACTTAAATGTTAGACCTAAAACCATAAAAACCCTAGAAGAAAACCTAGGCAATACCATTCAGGACATAGGCATGGGCAAGGACTTCATGACTAAAATACCAAAAGGAATGGCAACAAAAGCCAAAATTGACAAATGGGATCTAATTAAACTAAAGAGCTTCTGCACAGCAAAAGAAACTACCATCAGAGTGAATAGGCAACCTACAGAATGGGAGAAAATTTTTACAATCTACCCATCTGACAAAGGGCTAATACCCAGAATCTACAAATAACTTAAACAAATTTACAAGAAAAAAATCAAACAACCCCATCAAAAAGTGGGCAATGGATATGAACAGACACTTCTCAAAAGAAGACATTTATGCAGCCAACAGACACATGAAAAAATGGTCATCATCACTGGCCATCAGAGAAATGCAAATCAAAACCACAGTGAGATACCATCTCACACCAGTTAGAATGGCGATCATTAAAAAGTCAGGAAACAACAAGTGCTGGAGAGGATGTGGAGAAATAGGAACGCTTTTACACTGTTGGTAGAACTGTAAACTAGTTCAACCATTGTGGAAGACAGTGTGGCGTTTCCTCGAGGATCTAGAACTAGAAATACCATTTGACTCAGCCATCCCATTACTGGGTATATACCCAAAGGATTATAAATCATGCTGCTATAAGGGCACATGCACATGTATGTTTACTGCAGCACTATTCACAATAGTAATGACTTGGAACCAACCCAAATGTCCATCAATAATAGAATGGGTTAAGAAAATGTGGCACATATATACCATGGAATACTATGCAGCCATAAAAAAGGATGAGTTCATGTCCTTTGTAGGGACATGGATGAAGCTAGATACCACCGTTCTGAGCAAACTATCACCAAGGACAGAAAACGAAACACCGCATGTTCTCACTCATAGGTGGGAATTGAACAATGAGAACACTTGGACACAGGGTGAGGAATATCACACTTCTGTGGAGTGGGGGAAAGGGGAAGGGATAGCATTTGGAGATATACCTAATGTAAATGACGAGTTAATGGGTGCAGTACACCACCGTGGCACATGTATACATGTGTAACAAACCTGCACGTTGTGTACATGTACCCTAGAACTTAAGGTATAATAACAAAAAATAAATTAAAATATATATATACATTTGATGTTACCCTACCCTAGTGAAAACTCCAATTAAAGCATATTTACTAGATTTTTTTGCACTTGTTTAGGGAATATTCTTTTGTTATTATAATGAGTTATTGTATAAGAGTTTTACTCTCTTTAATATTTAAACTTCTGGTGTCAAGATTTCCATATTGTTTTGTTAACTTACTTCTTTGGAAAAGCAATTTCCCAAAACCACAGTTAGTCATCAAAAATATCGAGAATTCTTTTCTAAATTGCAATGAGACAATGAGGGTAAAGTCATACTCAAATTAGTTATAATTATGTCTTTTCTACCTACCCAAGTACCATATGGCAACTTAAGTATTCTCAGAGCCATGTTTGAAAGTGTAGAGAATTTGTGTGGATCAATCTTTAGGTCATGTTGCATTCTTTGCTAATCTATATAAAGCCCTGGTGTTATCTTCAGTTCATCACTTGAGCTTTTTCTCTAAGATACTTAGAAAAGCCAACACGATACTGAAGAAGAAGAGTTGGAAGGTCCATACTGTCCAAATCTGAAGACTTACTATAAAGCTACAACAATCATGGCGGCATAATATTTATGAAAGAATCTACACATAAATCAAAAGAACAGAATATACAGCCCCAAATAGATTTACACAAAAATAGTCAACTTGTCTTTGGCAATGGCTGAAAGGCAACTCAAGAGAGAAAGGATAATCTTTTCATCAAGTGATGCTAAAACGATTGAACATCAATACCCCCCATCCCTCAAAAAATAACTTAAATATATATTATATATTTTTTCACAAAATTAATTCAAATGACTTACAGGCCTTAATATAAAGCACAAAATTAAAATTTTTAGAAGGAAACAACAGAATATTTAGGTGGCCTGGATTTTAGTGATAAGTTTTTAGATACAACTCCAAAAGCACAATTCATTAACAAATTTGAAATATTAGGCATTATAAAATAAAAATTTTCTGCTGTGAGAAATACACTGTTACAAAATGAAATAACAACTGATAGTATAAGAGAAAGTACTTGCAAAACAAATTTCTTATAAAATACTTATATTCAAAATATAGAAAGAATGTTTAAAGGTCAACAGTTTCAAATATCAACAATAAGAAAACAATTCAATTTAAAAATCTGAACAGATATTTTACCAAATAAGATATGCAAATGCAAATAAACATAAGAAAATGATTAATTATTCATTATTAAGCAATTCCAAATAAAACAATGAGATGCCATTACACATCTATTAGAATGGTTAAAGTATAAAAATAGAAATAGAAAGTAAGGATATCAGTGGATGGTGATTGCACAGTGCAGGAAGAAGTACCCTTCATTGACAGTGGAAATTCAAAGTGGTAAACCACTTTTGAAAACAGTTTGGAAGTTATTACAAAGGTAAACATAGTCTTACCATACAATCCAACTAAGTATTTATGCAATTGAATTGAAAACCTATGTCCACACAAAAACCTGTCCACAAATGTTTATAGTATCATTACTTTTAATCACCATAAACTACAAGTAACCAAGATGTCCTTCCACAGATGAATGGATAAACAAACTGTGGTACCTACAATGAAAATAATATTATTCAAGGATAAACAGAGATCAGTTATCAAGGCATGAAAATATATGGTTGAATGTTTAATGCCTACAGCTAAGTGAAAAAAGGCCAGCCTAAAAAAAAGATGCATAATGTATTATTCCAATTATATTATATTTTTGTAAAGGTAAAACTATAGATATAATTTAAAAAATCAGTGGTTATCAAGGGTTTGGTTGTAGGAGAGTAAATATTGAATAGGTAGAGAATGGGAATTTTTAGGATTGAAAATTGTGCTCTATGACACTGTAATGTTGGATGTATGACATTCAGTGTTTGTCAAAAGCCATTAACATTATACAAATCGTAAACTGTATTGTATGAAAATTTTAATAAAAATAATTTGAGAGTCTGGGGAATCCATCAATGCAATGCAGAATGTAACAATGCAATCTAACTATATTAAAAATGCATAAAACAACCTCACTAATAGTGATGAGTTGGGAGAGAGGTGCTGACCTAAGAAACTTTAGAAATTTGAATTTCTAAAACATCCATAAAACTAAAAGAAACTATACCTAAGTACGATGCTCTAGTTAAGGTGATTGTCTTGTGGGTATGAATTAACAATTCTGAAACTGACATACATGAATAGTAAAATTAAACAATTCAGCAAGTGGATGACAGACGTTACAAGCCAGGTTCTTATTGTCAGACTGGGAGTTTACAGATAAGTAAGGAGAGGAGGCTACAATGAACCATATGTTAACAGATTAGAGTTAGAGACATCTGTATGAACTCATGTTTAGCTTAATACAGATGCAGACATTTATATATAGGAATAGTTATTGATATGTGTACACAAAGTTTAATATATGTGCTTGTATTTCTTAACTATGTCAGCTTGAGAGGGTCTAGAAAGAATGGTACACCAGTAACAAACCTAATTCACAGAGCTTGGTTTCTGTTACCATTCGCAATACTTCAAATACATGTCAAAAATACATATTATTTGACTTAAGATTTCAGATATTCCAGTTATCTAATTAGTATTTAATTGCTTTTAAGAAATGTATTTTTAAAAATTAGCAATAATGGCATGGCAGCTAATTTTTTAAAAAACTAAAATCGTTATAAACATATGATCTAAAATATTATAGATCAAATGATATGAGAATAATTGTTGAAAAGTTGATGTTAAGTAATGTGGACCCATTCTACTATTGTTTGCATTTTACAAATGTGTGCAATATTTCAAAACTATAATTAAAAAAATTAATGAACAAAGTGCAAGTCCTTGGGAACCTTTTTAACATTTTATAAATAAATTATTTACTACTAACTACCACAGTATAACTGATCCTGACTATAATAGAAAATGACCTGTGTGAATTAATTAGTAAAAATAGTTTAATGTATTTATAAACATATTTTATACACACAGACACAAAAGCATATACACAAAAGGGGTTTAAAGAAGAAAGTGTATGCTATTTTTCTTGATTTTCTTTGACAAATCAACAAAGACCCTAGAAAAATCACATAAAAACCTTATAATTCACTGATACTTCTCTAAATATTTGCTTGTGTTCTTTTTATTATTCTCCTCCCTCTGTATCAACTTATCAAGCTGTTACCTAGAATAAAATATGAATGCTCTTTTCTTAACATTTTTTCCCTTCTACCAGTCTATTTCATGCCTTTTCAGATTTCATTCCCAAATCTGTATCAGCAGAACAAGTGTTGTTCCTGATCTCTAGATGCCCCTAAACAGCATCACTACGTAAGACGCCCCTGGAAGCTACCAAACCAAAATCTCAGAGATCTTGTAATACAGTTAATAGTTTAGTTTTGTTTAACTCAACCTTTTCCAATTTCAGTGACATAATATTTTCCAATGATGTAATGCATATTCAAGTCTAAATCTGCAGATAAGACTTTATGGTACATACTCTAGGAAATGCTTGAATTAAAGTCTTCTTTGGAAAGACCTCCAAAGAGAAGATGATTTACCTGTACCATTTCTGTTGCCCTTTAATTGGCAGTGAAAGACACAAATAAAATATTTGATGTTTCAACTGGAAAATGGCCGGGGCCCAGTTGGAAAGCAATGAGGTTCTTCTTTTGTTTAACTGAAGACAAACAGATTCTACTTCTACGAATTCTTCTGATAAAATACTTTCCTGTTTCATGAAACAAAATAAGATAATAAGATAAAAATGTAACTGTACTTTTAAATGTCAAGAAATGAAAAAAGCTACAAGTGAAATGTGGAAAAATAAATGATCTACCTGTTTTAACTCACTGTAAATATTTTTAAATTTCTCTAAGGTACTGAATTAAATTAGGTCTTTTTTAGATCTGCTTTTGTTTTATTTTATTTGTTGCTTTTTCATGGGAACTTAAACTTATCAAATATGAATGTATATGTCTTCCTCCTACAGATGACAGCTGCTTTTTCTCTTTGAATTTTAAGTGAAGAAGTAAAAAGTGAAAGCAATAATTGTTTTTAAAAAAGATGACTCATGTCATGGATATAGTGTAATGTTATTTTGTTTTGATTTCTAGTAACATTTTACTTTTTAGATATGGATATTTGCACATTAGATAAGGAATGTTAGAAGAGAATTAGTTTTTTTTCCTAAAACAAGTTGCTTCTTCCCATTACTGCCATACCAACACTACATTGTCCCAAGGAAAATTCATTCCTAAGGTTTTCCTCAATTGTTTTTTCTGCATTTAACTAAAATTTTTCAAATTCTTAACAGAGAATTGAATGAAAGCAAATTATCAAAATTACTCAGATCAACATGGCTAATTATATGTATACACATACACACATATACATGGGCACATGTACATATATATAGGATTACCTTGAAACTATAATTTTACTGTGAGGTTTAATTCTGGGAGAGTTTTTACTCTATGTATATAACACATATGTATGTATATATGTGTATATACATATATATGTATATAGCACGTATGTATGTATATATGTGTATATACATATATATGTATATTTATACATACATTGTATTAGTCCATTTTCACATTGCTATAAAGAACTACCTAAGACTGAGTAATTTATGAAGAAAAGAGGTTTAATTTACTCACAGTTCTGCAGGCTGTACAGGAAACATGGCTGGGGAGGCCTCAGAAAACTTACATTCATGGTAGAAAGTGCAGGGGAAGCAAGCACCTTCTTCACATGGTGGAGCAGGTGGAAGAGGGAATGAAGGCAGAAGTGCTACATACTTTTATACAAATAGATCTTGTGAGAACTCACTCACTATCAAAAGAACAGCAAGGGGGAAATCTGCCCCCATGATCCAATCACCTCCAATCAGGTCCCTCCTCCAACACTGAGGATGATAATTCAACATGAGATTAGGGTGGGGACACAGAGCCAAACCATATCATACATATATGTATGTATCACAAATGAGATACATGTTAAAACACAGAAATAGTTCTATGCAAATAGTTTCATATAGAAGCTAGACCAAATGACAAGCAGTTGCATACATAAGCAAAACCCAATTTCAAATCTTATATTAAAAAATGCCGTAATGTTCCTGTTAAAGGGGGAGATACCCATATCTGTGATGAGGTAAAACTCTCCCAGAATTAAACCTCACAGTAAAAATATTGTTTCAAGGTGATCCTAGGAAATTTTTCACGACTCTTTTCCCCTATAGATTTCCCATAGAAACTTGAAGGTAAGGTGATGAAAAGGAACGAAATAGAGTAAAACTAGAAAGACGACATTTATAATATACAGTATATGCTTTAGGCAGATATGGTAGCAGCATCAAAATATTCTTTGATGACACTTTGTCTTAGTCCAATTTTTTAGTGTGCATTCATTATTCTTTTTCTTACCTTTTATTTTAAGCTCAGCGGTGCATGTCCAGGATGTGCTGGTTAGTTACAACTAAATGTGTGTCATGGGGGTTTGTCGTACAGATTATTGCATCGCCCAGGCATTAAGCCTAGTATCCATCAGTTAATTTTCATGATCCCCTTCCTCCTCTTACTCTTCACCCTCTGATAGGCCCCAGTGTGTGTTGTTCCTCTCTGTGTGTTCATGTGTTCTCATCATTTAACTCCCACTTACAAGTGAGAACATGTGGTATTTGGTTTTCTATTCATGTGTTAGTTTGCTTAGTCCACTTGATGTTGCTATGAAATAATACCTGAGACTGGGTAAAGAGGTTTATTTAGCTCTTGTTTCTGCAGGCTGAGAGGTTCAAGGACATGGCTCTGGCTTCCGACTAGGACATTAGTGCTGCATTGCAACTTAGCAAAGAAGGTGAAAGGGGAAGCAGACACATGCAAAGAGAAAGAAACCTGTGGGGTGTCCTGGGTTAAACAAGTCCCTCTCAAGAGAACTAATCCAGTCTGAAGAGAAGTAAACTATCTTGTGAGAGCAAGAACTTACCTCTGCAGGAACAGCACCAAGCCCTTCATGATGGATCCACCCCATAGATCAAACACTTCCCACTAGGCCCAGGCAGTACCTCCCCAAACCACATTATTGGGAATCAAAATTCAACGTGAGTTTTGTTGGGGACAAACAAACCATACCAAAACCATAGCACACCTTAAGATTGAGGATACTTATAGCCTCCAGATGGATCTTATTTAGCAAGTAATACCTTATGGTTTCTAATTTGAATAATTTTTAAAATGTAAAACAAGACAGGTGGTTAAATAGAAACAGCAATAAAATTGAATTTTCTGTCACCAAACAGGGCATATTTCCAAAGTAACAGTATTTGTTTAAATTTATGTAAAATAATTATAACTTGTTAATAACAAATGACTGTTTATTTGCATTATTCAGGTTTGGGCCATACTGTATTATACTTAATTAGAAAATAAGTGAAATAAATATCATACCAATCATTTTTTTTATTTCAAAGCTCCTTTGTCCCTACTGGACTTCTCATCATCTAGCATTTAAATCTCACCACTTATCACCTTCATGATCCAACTTCTGTGCCAAAGTGGAACAGCAACAACTCCTGTCTGTATTTATTTCCACACAAACCTTGTCTTCATGAAGATCATAAACCTTATGCTGAACAGAGAAGACTGCTGTTTAAATTCAGTGATGTCAGAGAAAGAGTCTTGACCATCAGAACCCTTAAGTTTACCTTTGTTTATTAAATATTGACAAATTATAGTTGTATACATTTGTATGGTACAAAGTGATGCTATGATATATTTATTATTTTTATGGAATCAGTAAATCAAGCTGAATAACCTATCCATGCTCTCAAATGTTTAATTTTTTTCTGATGAGAATGTTTGATTTCCTCTTTTAGCAGTATTGAAATGTACAGTATTCAATTATTAGCTATAGGGCCGGACGTGGGGGCTCATGTCTGTAATCCCAACACTTTGGGAGGCCGAGGCAGGTGGATCACTTGAGAGCAGGAGTTCAAGACCAGCCTGACCAACATGGTGAAACTCCCTCTCTACTAAAAAAATACAAAATTAGCCAGGCGTGATGGTGAGCACCTGTAATCCCAGCTACTTGGGAGGGTGAGGCAGGAGAATTGCTTGAACCCAGGACGTGAAGGTTGCAGTGAGCCGAGATCATGCCATTGCACTCCAGCCTGGGCAACAAGAGTGAAACTCAGTCTCAAAAAAAAATTATTATTATCAGCCATATTCACCATGGTGTGAGATAGACTGCGAAAAAACCCTCAAACTTATTCCTTCTAATAACTGAGACTTTGTACCCTTTGATTACCATCTCCCCATTCCCCCTAACCCAGCCTCTGGTAACCACCATTTAACTCTTCGCTTCTGTGAGTTCAACTGTTTTATATTCCACATGTAAGTGAGAACATGCATCTATTTTTCACTGTTTGGTTTATTTCACATAGCATAATGCTCTCCAATTCCATTCATATTGTTGTAAATGAGTTTCTTTCTTTTTAAGGCTGAATAGTATTATATTATGTATATATACCACTTTTTAAGTGGTATTTGATTAATTGATGCACTGAGGTTGATTTCATAACTTGGCTACTGTAAATAATGCTGCAATCAACATGGGCATGCAAATATGTCTTCAGCAAATGAATTTCAAGTCTTTTGTGTGTCTACAAGTGAGATTGCTACAAGTTAATATTGCTAATGGTCTATCCATTTTATTTATCTTCTCAAAGAACCAGCTTTTTGTTTCATTTATCTTTTGTATTTATTTTTTGGTTCAATTTTATTTCACTTAGTTCTGCTCTGATCTTGGTTATTTCCTTTCTTCTGCTGGGTGGGTTTGGGTTTGGTTTGTTCTTATTTCTCTATATCCTTAAGATACGACCTTAGAATGTCAGTTTGTGCTATTTCAGACTTTTTGATTAAGTGTTTGGGGCTATGAACTTTCCTCATAGAAAGATGCCTTTGCTGTATCCCAGAGGTTTTAATAGGTTGATAGGTTGTGTCATTACTGTCAATCAGTTTGAAGAATTTTTTAATTTCCATCTTGGTTTTGTTTTTGACCCGATACTCATTCAGGAGCAGGTTATGTAATTTCCATGTATTTGCATGGTTTTGAAGTTTCCTTTTGGAGTTGATTTCCACTTTTATTCCACTGTTGTCTGAGAGAGTGTTTGATATAATTTCAATTTTCTTAAATTTATTGAGGATCATTTTATGCCCTATCATGTGGTCTATCTTGGAGAAAGTTCCAGGCACTGTTGAATACAATGTGTATTCTGTGGTTGTTGGATGAAATGTTCTGTATATATCTGTTAAGTCCATTTGTTGCAAAGTATAGTTTAAATCCATTGTTTCTGTGATGACTTTCTGTTTTGATTACCTGTTAGTGCTGTCAGTGGAGTATTGAAGTCCTCCACTATTATTGTGTTGCTGTTTATCTAATTTTGTAGATCTATTAGTAATTGTTTTATAAATTTGGGAGTTCCAGTGTTATGTGCATATACGTTTAGGATTGTGATATTTTCCTGTTGGACAATGCCTTTTACCGTTATATAATGTCCCTTTTTGTCTTTTTTAACTGCCGTTGCTTTAAAGTCTGTTTTGTCTGATATAATAGCTACCCCTGCTTGCTTTTGACATACATTTGCATGAAATCCATCCCTTTACTTTAAGTTTATGTGAGTCCTTATGTGTTAGGTCAGTCTCCCGAAGGCAATGGATTGTCGATTGGTGAATTCTTAGCCATTCTGCAGTTAAGTGGAGTATTTAGGCCATTTACATTCAATGTTAGTATTGAGATGTGAGGTACCGTTTAATTCATTGTGTTATTTGTTGCCTGCTACTTTGTTTTTGTTTTTTGTTTTTGCTTAACTTGTATTTTCATTTTATAGGTTCTGTGTGATTTACACATTAAAGAGATTCTGTTTTGATGTGTTTCCAGGATTTGTTTCAAGATTTAGAGCTCCTTTTAGTAGTTCCCGTAGTGGTGGCTAGGTAATGGCAAATTCTCTCAGCATTTGTTTGTCTGAATAAGACTATCTTTCCTCAATATATGATGCTTAGTTTGCTGGATACAAAATTCTTGGCTGATAATTGTTTTGGTTGAGGAGGCTGAAGATAGGCATCCAATCCTTTCTAGCTTGTAGGGTTTCTGCTGAGAAATCTGCTGTTAATCTCATAGGTTTTCCTTTATAGGTTACCTGGTGCTTTTGCCTCACAGCTCTTAAGATTCTTTCCTTCATCTTAACTTTGGATAACCTGATCACAATGTGCCTAGGCAATGATCTTTTTGTGATGATTTTCCCGGGTGTTTTTTGTGCTTATTATATTTGGATTTCTAAGTCTTCAACAAGACCAGGGAAGTTTTCCTGGATTATTCCCCCAAATATGTTTTCCAAGCTTTTAGAATTCTCTTCTTCCTCAGGAACACCAATTATTCTTAGGTTTGATCATTTAACATAATCCCAGACTTCTTGGAGTCTTTGTTCATATTTTCTTATTCTTTTTTTCTTTGTCTTTGTTGGATTGGGTTAATTCAAAGATCTTGTCTTTGAGCTCTGAATTTCTTTCTTCTACTTATTCAATTCTATTACTGAGAACTTTCCAAAGCATTTTGCATTTCTATAAGTGTGTCCAATGTTTCCTGAATTTTTTTTTCTTTAAGCTATCATCTATTTCCTTGAATATTTCTCCCTTCACTTCTGTATTATTTTTTTGATTTCCTTGCATTGGGCTTTGCCTTTCTCTGGTGCCTCCCTGATTAGCTTAGTAACTAACCTCCTGAACTGTTTTCAGATAAATCAGAGATCTCTTCTTGGTTTGGATACATTGCTGGTGAGCTAGTGTGATATTGGGGGTGTTAATGAGCCTTGTTTTGTCATATTACCAGAGTTGGTTTTCTGGTTCCTTCTCATTTGGGTAGGCTCTGTCAGAGGGAAGGTCTAGGGCTGAAGGCTGTTGTTTAGATTCTTTTGTCCCACAGGGTCTTCCTTTGATGTACCCCCTTTTCCTATGGTGTGGCTTCCTGTGAGCCAAGCTGCAGTGATTGTTATCTCTCTTCTGTGTCTAGCCACCAAGAAGGTCTACCTGCCTCCAGGCTGGTACTGGGGGTTGTCTGCAGAGTCCTGTGATGTGAGCCTTCTATGGGTCTCTCAGCTGTGGATACCAGCACCTGTTCAAGTGGAAGTGGTGGGGAGAGGGGGGGTTAATAGACTCCATGAGCGTTCTTAGCTTTGGCGGTTTAAAGCTCCATTTTTGTGCTGGTTGGCATCTTGCTGGGAGTTGGCACTTTCCAGAAAGCATCAGCTGTGGTAGTATGGAGAGGAACCAGTGTTGGGTGGGGCCCTAGAACTCTCAAGATTATATGCCCTTTGTCTTCCACTACCAGGGTGGGTAGGGAAGGATCATCAGGAGGGGACAGGGCTCAGTGTGTCTGAGCTCAGACTCTCCTTGGGCAGGTATTGCTGTGACTTCTTCAGTTTCTCCAGTGGGTGTGTGTGTTCGGGAGAGGAGGCTCTCCCTTACCCACTTCCACCGTTGGGGCACTCACAGTATTTGTGGTGTCTCCTGGGTCCTGCAGGAGCAGTCTCCCTCCTTCAGAGGGTCTATGAGTCCTCTTAGGATTGCTGATTTTCATAAATTGACATTTTAGAATACTGCCTCCACAGACAAAGTGTGATCCAGGCGGCTCCGCCCCCTGTCACAGTTGCCACCACCAGATGAAAGTATCTTTACATGCAGCTGAAAAACCATCAGTGATTGATATTTGATATTTTAGGCAGAAAATAAATGAACTGTGATGGTGAAGGTTAGAGTAAAAAATAGAAACTTAGGCAACCAGTTGAGATAAATAAAAAAAGAAACATATTGAGAAAGAAGAATAAAAATTCAATTAATTTTACAACAATAAACACCAAGCTAGGCATTCTGTTGAGGGTATCAACACATCATATATGGGTTACTAGTCCTCCAGATCTTAGATATATTAAGGAAGTTGTTTGATAAACAAATCTTGTTCATGCATGGTAAGCTTGAATGAAGATGTCTGAGCAGGATGATAAGAAAACTGAAAAACACATACACACAGTTATGCCTATTAGTTTAGAGAAAGTTCTGAGAGCAGAGATCCTCTCAGCTATGCCTTGACATAGATGCTTGGAATGCTTAATGAAATTTGCCATCTTTAGATTTTTCTAGTACTTATCAAATACACTCTCTAATATTTTATTTTATTTTATTTCATTATTTTCTTTTAACCTACTTTTCTAGTAAGCTTTATTGGGCCATGGTTCCTTGGAGTAAAGAAGAGTTACTTTGTTCAGGAACACCAGGTATTCTCTGCTTTTTCATTCCTGGACAAGGAATTACCCTTGCAGCATTCCTGTACATGAAAGTATCTAGATTTTTAGAGCAGATTATTTCCAATGGTTAATACAAACTTCTCTGTAAAAGGGCTGTGGCTTAGTGAAATTTTGGCTTCTTTCTTGATTTTATTAGGGATATATGCATCACTATTGACAGCCTAACACTCCAAACCATTTGACAGTTCTTTCCGCCATAGGCACTTGACTTAAGTCCCATATATTTAATTAAACATGTTTTCAGTTATGTTTGTGTGCTATAGTTTGGATGTTTGTCCCTCCAAATTTCACACTGAAATTTAATCTTCAATGTTAGCGGTAGGGCCTAGAGGGAAGTGTTTGGATTACAAGGTGGAGACCTCATGAATGTGTTGGTGCTGTCCTCACAGTAATGAATGAGTTCTCACTCTACTAGCTCCCAAGAGAGCTGGTTGTTCAAAAGAGCCTGGCACTTCCTCTCTCTCTCTTACTTCCTCTCTCACCATGTGATCTCTGCATGCATGGATTCCCCTTCCCATTTCTTCATGAGTGGAAACAGCTTGAGGCACTCACCCAATGTACACACCAGCACCATGCTTCTTGTACAGCCTGCAGAACAACTGTGAGCTGAATAAATCTCTTTTCTTTGTAAATTACTAAGCCTTAAATATGTATTTACAACAACACAAAGGAGTAATACAATGTGTATATGGAGAAGGGAAGTCCCTTCCCCAAATTTTCAAGCTTAATCTACAATCCAAAATTTCATGAATTTTAAACCTTTATCCACTAATCCACATCCATTTATATAGCAAAGGTTGACTGGAGGATTACAATGTTCCTAAAATTATCTTGGGTGATAAGGAATCAGCAAAGCACACTCGATGTATGCTACCCGGGCTGAGTGAACAAATACTATACCAGAGGAAGAAGATAAGCAAATATTAAAGAGTATGATATTTATAACACTGGAAGTGCAGTGTTACTGTAGTACTTAGAATGGCTTCTAAAGTAAGGAATGGATTCATAAATGAAGTGATATCTAGACTAGCATTTGAAATAAAATTAAAAAATTATGAGTTAAACAAAAAATATTGTGGGGGAATAGAAAATTATCTTCTAGATTAAGAAAATAAACTGTGCCAAGGCCAGGAGTGAAAGAACATAAGATATTAGAATAACTACAAGATGTCTGGTGAAAATGGAGATAGAATTCAAGGGTGGATATTAAAAAGAAGAGTGGAAAAGAGTTAAATAGTATAAAATATCCTCAAAGCCTTGGAAGCCACATTCATAAACTGGAATCCATATTTCAGTAATGTGAAATCACTCAAATGTTAAATGTTTAATTATTAAAGGTATGCTATAATTGTTTTTAAATTTTATAACGACAACTCTTACCATAGTGGAGATAACTATTTTCTGGGAAGAACAATTTAGCTAGGGATCCAAGTGACATTTGCTGATGATCTAACTGTGGGAAAGCTATTGCAATGGAAAGAAAAATATTTATTTTTAGTTATCATTTGCTTCATGTCATTTATTGTTATCTGAATTTACATATTTGAGGAGAATATCTATTATGTTCCAGAGATAGTAAACATTCTTAACAGCCTTAAATAACAGAAAATTTGTTCATGTTCTTTTTCTTACCTATAAATACGATTACTACTTCCAACAATAATGTAAATAGTACTTATTTTGCTGTTAAGACATCCTCTATAGGATCCTCATATTTAAATATTTTCTTAAAGAATATTAGAACATAGACAAGAGTAAGTCCTTTTTTGGTAGAGGAGAACATGTCAGCCAAAAACAATATGCAAGCATTGGCTATAAAATGGCCACTACAGTCTGGGAATTATAAATAAATTCCTAGATTATTTATATTATTGGGACACAGATTAGAAAGATAAATTTAGGTCAGTTTGTAGATAAGTCTCCATATCAGTCAGAAAATTTTCACTTAATTTTGTGGAATATTAGCAACCAGTGGGTTTTTTTTTAGAAGAGCCTATGGTGTGCTTAGTGTAGAAGAAATGAAATTATAGCATACGTTATTTTAAATATTAGAAGTAGACTGGTTCTATCTAAAAATATTTTGTGTTATTTCAATCTAAGGATAGTTGAAAAGAAATAGATGAAATACTCATAAGTGGGGAAGAAGTCAATGTATATCAAACATACTTTAAAATGATCAATTCTTCTGTTGATGTAAACAAAGAAAAGACAGAGACTGGGATGGAGACATGAATGTTGTGCTAAAGTTTTTTTTAGCAGGTCAGCAACTATCCTGGACAGTAGTAGATGAGAGTGTTTCGGGTGTGTTTTAAATAAATGGTGTGTAAACTTTGAAAGAAGACAGGCTGTTGAGACATGGTGATTTAACAATGGTTTATGGAACACATTTAGAAGTAATAATTTTGCTGAATTTTCCTTGTTATTCCACAAGAAGGAGAAACTGGAATAATAATCATGATCTTTGGAGCAACTAAAGTCATATATATTGTTATTCACCAGGAAATTTCTATGGGTCTGTGTCAAAGCCTAAGTACACCAGATGGAAAATACTTAAAAAAAAAAAATTCTGAGAGCCATCAATGTTATGTGGGATGTCAGATACAAAAAAACAAATGCAATAGATTAAGACAAGTTCTAAGTATGCCTAAAAATTGTGATAAACTCTAAATAATTCCACTCCTAACTTATTTCACATGAAGATGAAGGAAATATACAAGTTATAATCAGTGGAGCGAAGTCTAGAAATTAAGTGTAAGTTGGATCCTTTGGGAGTTTCATAAATGTGCATACTGTATAGAATATTTTTAATTTGACTGTGATCAGGGAGTCATTTCAATGACTGAAATCAGTAAAACTATTTCAATTATGATAAATTTGATTTAACTTGAATAAAACATGAAATGAAATCATTGTTTACTAATCTTGCTTTTAGCTTACTTGATATGTCTGATACCCCATGAGTCAATCATTCCACTAATATGTTCAGTTTTTCCCATCGTGAAATGGTCTTTATTCCTGCTGCACTAAAGCAGCAACATAAATAACACTATACTTATTTTATAAATCTAGGATTGAACAGAAAACACTGGATTATATGATTGAGAAGAAAACACCACATCCTCAGATTACAGATACTATTTTACACTTTTAAAAGTATTCCATTCTTCAGTATAATTTTTCTGGGTTTTAATTATAAAAACTAATTTTTAACAGTATAAAGTATGAGGCTTAATGAGTGGAAATTCTGTGATTATGTGTCATGTGAGAAAAACTTGATACATAAAATTTTTTTAAAACAAGAAAAAGCTGTGTACCTGCAAAGAAGTAAAGAATCACAACAATTCAGCAGACACATTTGATTTGAGTATTTTTTAAAGATTTTGGTGAATCCGTGATATTTGAGTTTTCATGTAAAATAGGTTAGATGCTTGTTCTCTAAAAACAGTGTTCTTTTAAAAACAACAGCAACAAAACCTATCAAAATATTGTGAGGTCAGCTTGACCAACTTTATCACTCCCTTGGATATTAAGAAAAGCACAAATACGGTATTGCTGTTTTTGTTGTCTCCAGTAAGAGTGAAAATAGCCAAAGGGGAGAGAAAAATTTACAAGAAGCACCAAAGTTCAAACATAAACCAGTTCCAAATTTGTGATGACTTGATAGTGAAACCTGTTACCTGGATCCCGGAAGAGATGCCCATGCAATCACTTACAAATCCAAGTACCTCCATATGCAGCTCATTCAGTAAATGGGAGATAAAAAGGAAGGGGGAGTTGTTTTCTCAGGGTTCATTTGGCACTGTTTCTTAAGTTTTTGTGCATAGTATTACTTGAAAAACTTGTTAAATGTTCTATGCCCCTATTCATTATATTACACTTGGAATTGATGTTGCCCAAGATATTCATTTTTAACAAGATCCCTAGATGATTCTGATGTGATACTAGATCAGAGTTGAGACACTACTAAAAACTATACAAATAATCAGAACTGCAACCTTCCTGGAATCCAAATGCTGTTTCCCAATCTTTTCTCCTTAGAAACTAGGTCTTCTCTCAGACTTATCTTAACATTTACAGGGACAAAATAATAGCAGCTGGAATGTATTAAATTGTTTGTATGCCTGACACTGTTCAGGAACTTTATGTGCATTTTCTCTTTTAATTCCTATAGCCATTTTAGTATGCAGGTCGTATTATTACCATATCCATTTACTAGATAAGTGGCAAGTAAGGTAGCTAAAATAGGTCATTAGGGCTCACACTAGTAAGTGGCAGAGCAAGAATCCTGGTGCAACTGATCTGGAACATAAGCTTTAGTCATGATGCTGTTTTGAGAGAAGCAAGTAAAGTCAGAAAGGAGAGAAGAGGAATTGGCTGGTAATTTTCTTTTTCTATCTTATGTCAGTTCTCTGCCTCTGCATTTTCTAGATTCCCCTCCCCTTTGTCTTCCTGTGAGCTTTTGCTCAGGAATATTACAGAGGAGGAGAAGGGAAAATGCAGAGAGCATCACTACCCATTTAGACAGCTTCTCTAAAATAATTGTGTCATCTCTATGGTCCAGCTCCAATCTGGCATCCCTACAATGGATCAAGCCTATAATAGGTGGCACCAACTTCTGGTCTCCAGTAATAACACCTTGTAATTTGATTCTTCCTGTCTTAGGTTGCAGCTTCCTACAGTTACAAATACCGTTTCCTCAATTTCCCCAGTTTGAACTTTCAGTTTTTCTATCTGTAATTCGTTCCCTGTATTTTCTCTATGAAACTATCTGATGTAAACTTTGTTTTCCTAATTGGAAACAGATGGACTCTAGAAGGAAATATGGTATAGCAGCAGTAAAGGTAAAATAAATCTTTAAAAAATGCTGATCCAGAAGCAAACATTCTTCTATTTTTTATTGTATTTACTCACGACCCTTGTCTATCTTGTCTTAGAAACCAGCAGTCAAGCCTGTATGTACTACCTCAACAGGCAGTTTTGATATCTGGATTGAGCAATGGGTGGGTGGGGAGGGGGTACCTGTTGGAGGCTAGAAGCTAAAGGAAAGGCAGATAAGTATATTTTTGTCCTGGCTTAATCCCATTGCTTGGCTTAGGATGATAGCATCCTTTTACTAAACACTAAGCTACTATAAAGTAAACATCTCCACATTCTTGGTACAAGTAATTCTTTCTTTTTATTAACTGGCAGGCCTAGACCTTCTTTTATGGTGGAAACTGCAATGCTTCACTCAGATTGCCCTTCGACAAAGAATGCGTTACCCACCTCCACCTCCTCTGGGGCAGCATAACTCAAGCAACTCTGATTTTAGCTACTGAGCTACTACCACATGGTTAGCTGTGGTTGTCTTGAGCTCACATTGTGCTGGAATCTTATCTCTATCCAATGTTGGTTTTTTCCTTTTTTTTCTTTTCCACAGCTGTTGGTCCTGGATCTGAGAGCACTCCTTAATAAACATCCTGTATGCCAAACTCAGTCTCAGAATCTACTTCTCTAAAAAAATTCCACCTACAAAACCCAGAAGACTGTACTTTCTTTTTTCCTTTTTCTTTCTTTTTTTTTTTTTTTTGTGACAGCATCTCGCTCTGTCACCCAGGCTGGAGTGCAGTGGTGTGATCTTGGCTCACTGCAACCTCAGCCTCCAGGGTTCAAGCAATTCTCTGCCTCGGTCTCCCCAGTAGCTGGGATTACAGGCACCTGCCACCACACCCGGCTAATTTTTTTGTATTTTTAGTAGAGATGGGGTTTCACCATCTTAGCCAGGCTGGTATTAAACTCCTGACCTCGCGATCCACCCATCTCAGCCTCCCAAAGTGCTGGGATTACAGGCGTGAGCCACTGCGACTGGCCAAGACCACTTTCTACTGTGTTGGTCTCCATAAACACTAATCAGACCTCTGTAAATAGATTCAGTTATCTAGTTTGAATAGGCCATCTGTTGCCACTAGGAAATGAACTGATACAGCCTTGTTAGACACTTTATTTCCTCTGAGTATGATGAAAGCTACTAACGACTTTTGGACAGAGGGGTGATATGATGAGATTTAAATCAGATAGACTGCTCTATGAAGAATACACTACAGGAGGACAAGGGCAGAAGGAATGAGATAGGTGAGAAAGTTATTGCAGTAATACAGATATGAATGATGGCAGCTTAGGCCAGGGTTGTAGTGGTAGTGAAAATCACTCTGATTTGGAATACATTTTAAAGTGGGCCTACAATATTTACTAAGAAGTGATGTGAAAGAAAGAGACCAGCCCACTGTAATTCCACATTTTTTATTTCTATCAATTAGAATATTTGAGTTACATTTTCTGAGATGGATATGGTTGCAAAAATTGCAATATAAGACATGAAAATAAAAAGGTAACTTTTGAATGCTAGTTCTTGGGTGCTTTTGTATACCTGACTGAAAATGTCAACTCGACAATTTATATACCAGTCTGTACATGAGGGATAATATCAGGGCTGGATAAGTATAGTAGAAAGTCATAAAACTTTAAGACAACACTTAAAGCAATGTCAATAAGAAACAGTGAGTGACACTAGAAAAGAGAAGGGGTTCATAGGTTGAACCTTGGGTACTGTAAAGTAAACAAGTTAGAAGAGAACAGCAAAGAAGACAGAAAAACAGCAACTAATGATATAGGAAATGAACCAAGGAAAATGTGCAAAAGTGTTTGAAGAATGAGGAAGTGGGCAACTGTATCAAATTCTATTGACAGAAGTAATAAAAGACTAAGAATGAAACGTGGTATATCAAAGTGAAGATCATTGCTGAGTTGGCAAAGACTGTTTTGTTGTACTGGTAGAGATGAAAGCTTAATTGTAGTTTGATTTACAAAATTCATGGAAATACATTAAAGAGATTATACACCGTAATCAAGTGTGATTTATCCCAAGGAGCAAGGATTGTTCAAAAGACAATCAATAAATGTGCTACATCATTTTAACAACATGAAGGATAAAAACTACACAGTCATCCACAGATGTAGAAAAAGCATTCAACAACATTTTACACCTTTTCATGATAAAAATGCTTGACGAATTGGGTATACAAGAAATGTACCACAACATCATAAAGTCCACATATAAGAAATCCACAGCTAACATTATACTCAATTGTGAAAAAATAAAAGCTGTTCTGTTGTAGGAAGTCAGGGAACTTATAAAATCAGCAACAACATGAAAATGCTCAGTCTTACTACTTCCATTCAACTCAGTACTAGAAATCTTAGCTACAGCAATTAGGCAATAAAAGGCACCCATATTGGAAAAGAAGAATTTAAAATGTCTCTGTTTGCAGATGACATGTTCTTGTATATAGAAAACCCTAAAGACTAAAAAACATAAAAATAAAAAACAAAAACAAAACATTATTAAACACTGATGAAAGAAATTAAACACAAATAAAAGGAAAACATCCCATGTTGTTTGTTGGGAAGAATTAATATTATTAAAATATCTGTACTATTTAAGTGATCTACAGATTTAATATAATCCTATCAAATTTCAATGTCATTTTTCACAGAAATAGGAAAAACCAATTTTTAAATTCATATGGAACCACAAAAAACTCCAAATAACCAAAGTAGTCTTGGGAAAGAAGAAAAAGCTGGAGGCATTGCACTTACTTACTTTAAAATATATTACAAAGCTACAGTAATTTAAATAGTATGATATTGGTATAAAGACAAAAATATAAACCAATGTAGCAAAATAGAGACCCTAGAAATAAATGGATGTAAATATTTTCAGTTGATCAACAAGGGTGCCAAGAATACATGGGAAAAATTATAGTCTCTTAAACAAATAATGCTAGGGAAACTGAATTTCCATATGCAAAAGGATGAAATTGGACCCCTATCTTACACGATATATGAAAGTCAACTCAAAATGTATTAAAGACAAATGTAAGATCTGAAACTGAAAAACTTCTCAAAGAAAACACAAGGGAAAAATTTCTTGACATTTGTCTGGGCAATTATTTCCTGAATTTGACACTGATAACGCAGACAACAAAACCCCTCAAAATAAATGGGACTACTTCATATTGAAAAGCTTCTGTACAGGAAAGAAAATGATCAAGAATGAAAAAGACATCATATGAAATGGGAGAAACTATTTGCACACCATCTATCTCATGGTTTGGTTAATATTCAAACTATATGAGCAGAATGTGTAAGGATATCCTACAACTCAATAGCAAAAGAAAAAAAAAGAAAAAGAAAAGAAAACCTAATTTAAAAATGAGCAAAGGGCTTAAATAGACATTTCTCCAAAGAAAACATACAAATGTCCAACAGTTACATGAAAAGATACTCAATACCACTAATCATCAGAAAAATGCAAATATAAACCACAATGAATTATCACCTCTCATCTGTTATGATGACTATTATAAAAAAAAAAAAGATAACAAGTGTCAGTGAGGATGTGGAGAAATTAGAACCCTTATACACGATTGATAGGAATGTAGGATGGTACACTCACTATGGAACACAGTATGTAGTTTCCTCAAAAATGCGATAATAATATACACTATTATTGTCATTCAATGATGAGCCTGATGAGTTAAAAATATACATAGGAAAAGCAGAACTGCGGCATAAACTTGTTATCTCTATTCTAATTTTAGCTCTTCTCTTTCTCTAGTACTCAGAGTTTACTGACTATGGTAGAGATTTGTAAGAGATAAATGCAGGTATAAATAGTTAATGCAAAAAATTCAAAATCATTCCATTACATTTCTGTTTTATGCATGAACTACCTGTATACAGGGTATTTTTAAAAATACTTTAGCTTTCTTTCACTTATTTTCCATTGTCCAAATTGTTATTCAAAATGTGAGTACTTTTTATAAAATTATTTTATTTGCTAGATATCTAAATAACTCCATAGACAAGTCCTATATATTTTTCCCAACCATGAAATTCTAAGTAGTTGTGTTATAAATTAGATTTTTGTGTGTGATTCTAAGAAACTAATATGCTTATAATGAAATGAGATTCCATTTCAGTACTGCAGAGGATTACACAGCATAATGATGATTAAAAATACTTTGAAAGAGTCTTATTCAGAGACAAAGCTTTAAGAAAATCCTATATTATTAAAAAAGATACTAAATCATTCAAGTATTATATACATTATTTCTTAATAGCAAAGTATTTGTGATTTACAATATAAATTGTTACTTAGTATTCTATTTAAGCTGTCTCAAAAAATGGCATATAAAAATAAATATACATTTATAATATTATTTGATAGCACAGAAGTCAGGAAATTGTTATAGCTTCCTTTTACAGTACAAGCACTTCATTCTCCATATGACCACATAATATTTAAATTCTTTTCTCAAAAGCACTTATACGATCTCTGAAGGTCATAAATGAATTTTGGTCTAGGAATAAAAGATATTTAATGTATATATAAAAATTATCAACATTATTTTGAATTTCTACTCATAAATGGAAACAGAATTGGCTCACTTAAAGGAATTTATCTATTTTAAACCTCTAAGATTTCAAAACATTCAACCTAGTGTTCATTTATTACTATAATTTGTCATTGATTTAAATTTAATCCTATGATTACATTTTTTCTATTAAGGGTGAATTTTCTATTACTCTCTACTTACTTGTAAAATGACAAGGATTATTAGAAGTTTTCCAGTACATATCATAGATTATTTTGAAAACGGCTGAAAGTACTCCCCTTTTTTAGTCACCTTTTGCAATTTGACTTTGAAGTTCTTCTCATCAAGTGGTAGTTTATGTTGTTTGTATTTTGGTTCAGTTCTTGGCTTCATAAAGGAATATTGTAGCATCAGTAACTGCTAATTGTAATTAGAAGAAAACAAGCTCTGAACAGAAGATAGTTCCCAAGTCAAACAACTTTTGATCAAATATAATTTCAAGATACATGTGTATTGAATGAGAATACTCTGAAAAAGTATCAAAAATCTTACTCCTTCATCTTTATTACTAAAATGCATACTGTGAAACCCATGATTATAGAAATGCTATAGCCCATTCCTCAACTTCTATTTTAATAACTAAGAACCCTGGAGAGCAAGTCATTATTCAGAATGATACTTTACAGCATTGAGAAATTTGACATGAACTGTGATTAATGTGACTCTGATCAAACACTGTGCAATGCTGAGATTTCAATTTGAGTTTTTAAATTAGCTTCTTTCTCACCATGCTAAAATCAAACATCCACTGATTAAATGAAAATAAATTATAAAGCAGAAGGATAAATTTTGAATCAGAAATTACATTTTTATCAATTGACTTTTAACTTATTAAAATATATATATTTTCTATTTGACCTACAGAGAGGCAAGTGAGAGAATTAAAAATAAAATTGAAGAAAGCACAGCATGACTCCTCAGGACAAACTTTTTAAAGGAAACATTGGCAAATCATCATAAAAATGTTTTTAAGAAAAGTCAAACACATAGATTCTACTATTCTATTGTAAGGACCAAATACAAATTTAAAACTAGGGGCTTAATTCTCTGTTGAAAATAAGGGAAAAGATTTTCCTTTCTCCCTTTTTCTTTGGGCATTTACTTTAAAACTTATAAGTACACACTTTCTGTTTTTTGAAATGTATATAAATCCTTTCGAAGACTAGATTGGCCTTTTGTCAACTTTATGACCCAATAATGTCTTTCTCAAAGACCTGAAACATCTCTCTGACATGTAAACATCAAGAGAGATAGCACCCATATCTCCCAGTTTCTTGGGAGGGTAGAAACCTAATGTCAGTGGATACCAAGCTTTAAGTTGTAAAATTACCTTCTGCCATGAAAACCTGATAAGCCTGTTTTTCCTCCAGATAAAGTCAATAAGCTAACACAGGTGGTCACCACAATTGCCAGGTAAAGTTAGGATAAACTACATGTGATAAATAGTACTATCAAGTGCTCTTACTTAAAGACTATTTTTTATCTTGAAAACATATATGTAATGGGTTATATCTGCTTGGCTATGTACAAGAGTGAGATTTACAATCTTTTAGCGGATTGCCTGTGATGTTCGTTATACTCTCATTTAATAGAGCTGTGTTTGCTCAACGATGGCGACACATTTGAGAATGTGTCCTTAGGCAATTCTGTAATTGTACAAACATCGTAGAGTGTACTTACACAAACCTAGATGGTATGGCCTACCATACACCCAAACTATCTGGTATAGCCTATTGCTCATAGGCTGCAAACTTGTACAGCATGCTACTATAGACCACTGTAACACAACGGTATTTGTGTATCTAAACATATCTAAAAGTAAAAAATGTACAGTAAAAATAAAGTGTTACAATCTACAGCACCGCTGGCATATATGCAGTTCATGACTGTACTTATCCAATGGTAAAGATGCTATCTTTCTCCACTATTACTGTGGAGTTTTCCAGATTGGAAAATTTTTGTTTTTAATTATAATTACTCACACTATCTTGAATTAAATTAATTAAATTAAAAACTTTAGCAACACTGCAAATCACTTAATGACTCAAGGTAGGACAGAGGTGGAGCCCAGAGAGTGTATAGACAGGTGCTATGGTCTGAATGTTTGTACCCCACAAAATATTCAGATGTTGAAATTCTAACCCTCAACGTTATAGTATAAGAAGCAGGGCATCTGGGGTGGTGATTAGGAGCAAGAAGGTGCCATCTATGAGAAAGAAAGTCTTTACCAGACATCAAATCTGCCAGAGACTTCATCTTGGACTTCTCAGCTCTCAGATCTGTGAGAAATAAATTTCTATAGTTTATAATTCACCCATTCTGTGGGATTTTATTATAGCAGCCCGAATGGATAATCTAAGGGAACAGTTATTTTAAGAAAAAAAAAAAAAGGAGCCTCATCGAAACTATGCTTGGGATACTTGGAAAAAAATTATCTGTAGAAGAAACACCAGAAAAATAAAAACAAAGATGCCTAACACATAGAGTACTTTAAAGAATACTTATATTATAATGCATATGTTAAAATATTTTACAGCATTATAATTATAATATTACACTTTTTACCATACTTGGCCTTAACATTTGTAGGAGAAAAAAAAATCTCCAAAAATTGCATTTAACAATGGCATTTACTAAAAATAGAGTTTTATACGTTGAAAATTTGTTGCTTTATTTCTTTCCCTCTCTTAATTTATTTAAATTTCCACCCCCTAAAAATAAATCTCATTTTATAAATATGCAATAAGCATACTGTAGGAGTTTTAAGATACAATAAGCTTTCTTCCTATGTTTAAATTCATTTAAAATATTTTATTTCAGATTTTTGTAGGTTTGTCAAAACACTCTTCATTTGTCTTAGTGCATGAGTTTAAGTGTTCATTATAAGCAAATGATTTCAGAGTATAACAGGTAAATACATGCATAGCTAAGTTCAGTCTAGAAAAATGAATCTTAGTGATTACTAATTCTGTCTCTTTTTATACTCTAGGTCCTTTTACAACTGAATAGCTAAGAGAGCTGCATTTTTTTCTTGAATTAATTATATTTTTACCACAAACAAATATTTAAGATATTTCTAAATTATCATTGCCATGAAGAAGCTGATTACATTGTAGGCCATATAAAAGTGCATGATTTTCTCATAATTTTTAGAATTTCCAAATTCCTATTTTAAAAGATCCTGATCTTGACTGGTGGCTCACACTCTGCAGCATGCAAAAAAGGTAACCAACCTCAAGCTACAGACTATTCTCTTTACCTTATTTGAATCTTGAGAGTATCAAGAGTTTGGTTTGCTAACTACCCTATAAAATGAAACAGGCTGCGCCCGGTGGCTCATGCCTGTAACCCCAGAACTTTAGGAGGCTGAAGCGGGTGGATCACCTAAGGTCAGGAGTTCAAGACCAGCCTGGCCAATGTGGAGAAACACTGTCTCTACAAAAAAATACAAAGAATTAGCTGGGCGTGGTGGCAGGCACCTGTAATCCCAGCTACTCGGGAGGCTGAGGCAGTGAATCACTTGAACCTGGGAGGCAGAGGTTACAGTGAGCTGAGATCACGCCATTGCACTCCAGCCTGGGCAACAAAGAGTGAAACTCTGTCTCAAAAAAAAAAAAAAAAAAAGAAAAGAAAGAAACAATTGTCCTAAGGTGTTAAAAATCTTCTTGTTATTGTTATTAGATCTGAAATAAGCTGAGCAGTATATTTGTCCTTTGATTCTGTTTAGGGCTACTGCAAATTACAAAAATATAAAGATTAGTTTTTCATATTGGTTAGAAAGATAAAAGGTCATATTTAAACAAATCAATAGAAAGTAATTTTTCACCAAAAACAATCAACAGTCATGATGGTCATTATGATCCGAAACAAACCAGCTGCAGATATTAGTGAAGGAATTGAAGCACTGTGTGGCAAAATGTAGAAGGCAGGAATTAATTGAGTGTTGTCCTTTTATTTGATTGCATCTATTTAAAGTTTGCTTCCACGCCCTCAACCTCATGCCATAAATCAATTGCATAATATTTACATAGAATGTCCCAGTCAATGTATTTGTCCTTACTTCAAGATCACATCTGAGTTTTTTTTCAAATCTTTATTTTAACTTAGAAATCATAATAGAATGTTCTGTGTCCTTTAAATTATGTGGTCCAGTTAGTTTTTAAAAGATAAACTAATTTTAAGTAATTTACTATGTAATGAAAATTATGATAACAAGGGTGCAACAAAATAGTTGTGGCAAATAAACATCTAAACATGATGGGGCTATAAAATAATATCTGTATACATTTTATGGTGTTGCATAATAGTATTAATTCTATTAACAATGCATATTAATACCAGAGAGTACTATTTAAAGATAATACCAGAGACTACTATTGAAAAAATAGGACTAAACATTCTCTACCTACTCTCGTCTACCCATTTTGTCAAATGTCTCTCCATAAGCAGTAGCTCTAATTGTGCAGGATAATCAGGAATCAGGGAGAGTATTTTATTCATCCAACAATAAGACTAGACTTTCTGTATTTTAATTATAGAAAACCAACATCTAAATCTCAAACCAATGGTGTGTGTGTGTGTGGGGGGGTTATATGCAATTCAAAACATGACTATTTATTTTATCCACTCACCTCTAGAATTCCAAGTTCCTCATAATGAGGCAGCTTGTTTTCTTAATTTTTCTCATTTCAGATACCGTCTCTATTACTTCAGAACAAGAATATTGATTGCACTTGGTGAATTAAGATATGAAGGACTGAAATTTAACCTTTCAGTGAAAGTTTTTAGAAGATTGAAATGGTTTTGAAAAATTGAAGTTTGCATTCATACCAATAAAATCAAAACAATGGGCCAGGTGCAGTGCCTCATGCCTTTAATGCAAGCACTTCGGGAGGCCAACGCAGATGGATCACCTGATGTCAGGAATTTGAGACCAGCCTGGCCAACATGGTGAAACCCCAGCTCCACTAAAAATACAAAAGTTAGCTGGGCATAGTGGCAGGCACCTGTAATCCCAGCTACTTGGGAGGCTGAAGCAGGAGAATCACTTGAATCCAGGAGGCAGAGTTTGCATTGAGCCGAGATAGTGCCACGGCCCTTCAGCCTGGGCTACAAGAGCAAAACCCCACCTCAAAACAAACAAACAAACAAAAACAATGAAATTATTTAACTCTGCATTTACAAAGAAAATGAAGTTAAAAGGTATAGAATGTATGTATATATACACACATATATATACATATATATTCCTCCATATATATGCCTTTGTGCCTATATACATGCGCACACACACACACAAAGGAGGGTGCACATATGTGTGCATACACACACACACACACACACACACACACGGAGAGAGAGACAGTATGGTCCAGAAAAGGCCACTGATAAAGCTGCAGAAAACTGTATCTTAAACTATTTGTTATGAAAATATACCACAACAAATAGACAAATAGCCTCTATAGATCATTAATAAATACTTTGCATTTAAACACATAAGAGGGTTTGGGAGGTATAATTAGCAGGGTAAAGCCATGAGGAATATTATATTTGGGTTGAAATGAGGTGTGACTTTGAAGCAATAGTTTTTTTTCTCTATAGATGTAGTTTTGAAAAAGCATGATAAAAATGAATTTCTTACCCCCAAACTAAATAAATAAATATTTCAGTTACTGTAATATAATTATTTACACTTGACTTTGTCACTTCTTGTGTTAAAATTTAAGAACTTATTTTATATTCTTGAATCTTATTTCCTTGGCAGTAAAGATTATTAGACTAAATATTGGTGTTTTTGAATAATAATGTCTAGTGGTAATACTGTTTTAAGAAAAAAAAGAAAAAGCAAGGGAGGAAGGGAGGAAAGAAGGAAAGAAGGGAAGGGAGGAAAGGAAGAAGGAAGGGAGAAAGGAAGGAAGGGGAAACAAAGGAGGAAAGAAAGAAAGGAAAAAGTGATAGGGAGGAAAAAAGAGTCATGTTATTTAAAGGTGCAAAACCTGAATGCTTAGAAAACAAAAACATATTCAATAACTTACTTTCTAAAAATAGTACCTCAGCACATTTATTTATTATTTTAAAATATGTGTCTATTCATATATGTATATAAACCGATTAGATAAAAACTTTCAATTTGTCTAAGATTCAGGTTGATTGGTTGATACTGCCAAAAAAAAAAAAGAAAGAAAAACATGTCTTTTTAGAGCAGTAAATCTCTCCGACAAATAGATTAAATGAGAAGAATTTTGAAACTTAATTGTTTTCCAGGCTGCACACAACATCTGATGCTTGATTCATTTTTTTCGTAAATAGATGTCTCCATGTACAAATAAGTGTAACATTTGATATATTTTGTAGGCATTGATATATTTGTACAACTGGAGCTCCATTTACCTGCCTTTTCCAGCACAAAGTATTGGTGGTTAACTTTAACAGGTCTTGCCTTTGATTTTATTTAATTGCACCGTATATTTAAGCTTTATGTTATACTATTGCTATCATGTGTCTGTAGAAAAAGTCCAAAATGTTTGGAATCTTTCCTTTTTGCTCTGCTTTTTTCTTTCATTTTATTTACTGATTCAGTTTTTCTTTTCCTGTGATTTACTTGTAGTTACAGCAGACTTGAATGCCTCTCATCTTGCCAGGAACGGGGACTTTCCATCACATTACCTCCTCTGTATTTAGATAATTCCACTAGGTCTCAATAAAGCAGAGAATTGATTTTTAAGATCTTGATGTTAACTCTCCGGATTTACACAATATCAATCTATGAGTTCTTCTTTGCTTTATTTATTTTTTCCTTTTTTTTTCTTCCTGCCAAAATGACTTCATGACTTAGCCTCTGAAGAGGCTTTTCCTGCATTAAGCTATATTTTCTGTGGTGTTATAAGATCCCGGGGCAAAAGCATTAGTAGCATTATTTCTTCTTTTTACTTAATTGCATTTTAAACATAGTACCAAACAAGGTACTTTCTGTTTACCCCCATTTGGACATATCCTGTCCCCTTTGGAAGCAGCAAGTGTCAGCGAGGGCAATCAATGAAGCAAGCAGCCATAACTGCCAAGCAGAAAAGCTGGCTTGCAAAAAGTCACTATACCAATAGAATGAGCCTAATTTTATCCCAATTTTGTAATTCTCTCTATAAAGCAGTCCAATATATAGAATATGTGAAGGGATATGGATGAATAACTTATGTAGCTTATTTGTAATAGCTAACCAGTTTTGTAAGAGATACAAGTATGCAGGAATTAACTCAGTATTCTAAGTTTTATTTATTAACGCCAAGAAAGTGATTTTCCACTGTAAAAGCAATTTCATTCTTTGTTACCCCACCCTTCATTTCAACCTTTGAGTTTTTCCTCAGGACTGCTTCTCAGATGAACTCAGCTATAATTCCTATTTAATATTTACTTCTCTTTAAATATGACATTTCTAGTTTTCACTTAATTATGGAAGGAAATGTATCATCAGTAATCAGAAACAGATCATAAATGGTTTTGTCTTTGCTTCTTTGTCTCATCCACCAAATATTCTTAGTTTTTCCCATTTTTATGATGATAAAAAGTAAATATTACCCTTATCCCCTCTTCCTTTTTTGAGGACCAGGAAAATTTCAGTATAGCACAAATAAACATTTATTTTTCTAAGTATATTTCTGCACTTTTCCTGCTTAAAACAATAATTGCATTATTCTATACTAAATTGGCTACCCAGTACATGGGACGACGTTAATAATTGAACTGTCAAATCAGACTAATACAAATCAAATATCTTGCTTAATATCAAGCTTTACTAATAATTTGAAGGGTGCCATCATCAGTCAATAGGCTCAGATGAAGCAGAGAGGGGCCTGGAACATCAAGAGCAGCTCCCTATGTCCTGTTTTCCCACAACAGAAATGTGTCCTTCTCTACAGAGTAATAGATGAGGTCTCCAAGAGAGCTAACAGCAGAAAGAGTATGTGAGTTTTCAAACATTTCTGTTTTGTACAACAAGGTGTTGTACAGCTTGCACTAACTACTCCAGGGAGCCATGGTTCATAAATCCATAGATACTCTTTACTATAGGCAATCCTTAACCAAGGACATTCTGCTAAAGGCACTTCAAAGATAAAGTTTCTTCTTCCTAGCAAATATCACTTGTCTTTCAACCTAGAGTCCAGATGACACAGTTATTAGACCTGGTAAACCGCCTCTTTTCTTCCCTTGGGAGGTGACCCAAGTAAAGAAAATGAGTGTTCATCCGGTCAGCTTCTGTATGTATCTATGTATCTCCTCCTTTGCCAGAGCTATAATTTTGATGTGAACACAATAGATTTTCCACAGTTTGTGTGACCCTATCATATACAGAGTAAACATCAAGTTAGAATTGTAACTTGTCCTTCCTCACATTGATCTAGTCTCTGCGTCTCTGTTTAGTTGTATCTCCTGCCATATTCCTCCTCATACTGTGCCCTACTACATACCTGAGTCGTTTTTCCTCAGCCGATTTGAGGTTTCTCCACAAACAATGACGTTACATGCTTCCTTGCCTTTATCCTTGCTCCTTTCTCTGGCAGGACCACCTTCAACCTGTCTTCCCTGACATATTGATGCCAGTTTGTCCTTATAGATTCAATATAGGCATCGCCTACTTCAGGAAGTCTTCTATCTCACCCCAGTATGAGATATGATGACCTTTTCTTTGCACCTTGCATCCCATACCTGTCTTTCTTTAATGTTACAAACTTTATTGGCTTGGACTTTAACTCCACCCCACTTTTTTCCCACATAATTCAATTTGAGGACACCATATTTATGTCTCCTACATATTTATTTCCACAAGTTCTGGTTTATTGAATTACAAATACTGATACAATCTTTATTCAATACATTATTCCTTATAAGGATGGGATAAGGATGGGATAAATTGGAACAGTAGGGATTTATACACTATTAAATTATTTGTTATATATCAATCCAGGGGCCCCAATGATATTGTGAAATTTAGTATAGGTTTTATCTCTTCAAATCTGTCGAGTTCTGAATATAGTTCAATCACTTTAAAAAATGTTTTACATGTTTTAAATAATTTCAACTTTTATTTTAGATTCAAGGGGTACATGTTCAGGTTTGTAACATGGATATATTGTGTGATGCTAAAGCCTGCCCAAATGATCACGTCACCCAGGTATTAAGCATAGTGCCCAACATTAGTTTTTCAACCCTTCCCCCTCCCTCTCTCTCACCTCCATATCCCCCAGTATCTATCGTTGCCACTTTTATGTCCATGAGTACCTAATGTTTAGTTCCCATCTATAAGTCAGAATATGTGATTTTTGGATTTTTGTTTCTACATTAATTTGCTTAGGATAGTGGCCTCCAGCTGCAGACATGTTGCTGCAAAGGACATGATTTCCTTCTGTTTCATGCCCATGCCTATTTTAATGTTCAAATTGTATTAACAATTTCTCATATATTTCCTGATAGGTAGAAATCTTGTTTTATTGCCGCATTCCCAAAATTGAATCCATAATCCCAGTATAAATATTCAAATTCCATAAATAAAGGGCATTTTTAAATTACTAAATAAACACCTACTTAATGAACTAAGCTTCTCTTAAGACAATCTCATTCTTTCCATTAAAAAAAAAAAAAAAAAACTGTGCAAGTTGCTGTAGATATGGCAGTAGGTAAGATAGCCAGAACCCTGCTCTCATCTGACGGCATAGGGTAGTGCTGCTCAGGAAGTTCTCTACTAGCCACCTACGTCAGGATTTCTTGCATGGACAGAAAACTAAAATGCAGATGTCTAGGCCAAATACATGGCCAAAATGTCAGAACTCTGAGCATAGATTCCAGGCATTTGCATTTGCCAGGTTGCTTATCATACACACAAGACTTGTGGATCTCTAGCTTACTTGAGACAAAATTCCAAGTATAATTTCATAAATTAAGATTGATTCAATGGTTAAGTTTTACTATACAAAAGCAGCCAGGCCATAAAGCATGTGTTTTCTTCATTTCAACAATTATAGGATTCCAATAGAGTCACATAAAAATCATCCGTGCTATGATAGGAGACACACACATACACACACACATTTTACTGCAGGAAGCAAAACTGCTCAAAATTAGACACATTTCTTAATACTTGGTAAACCCTGACAACTTACAAAATAAAAAAGACCCCTGAATACTCCTGAATTTTTGAGCTTTATAGATATTAATCATATATCACTCATAATCATTACAATATATGCCAATTTGCATCACTGTAAATTATATAAGGTTTCTGGAGAATATATATGTATATATATTTTTCCCCTGAGGTGTGTTTTTATTTTATATGTGTAGAAAATTTTTTAAATATATGTCCCTTTTCTTCCAAAAAATTGGCTATTACTTGAAATCAGTGACTGAACATCCTTTATAATTCCTATTTGTCCATAGCAAAATGAGAGTATCAGAGAACATCAAAGCTAACAGAAAAGCAGTTGAAAAGTAAAGTTTCTACTTTAAAAAGCAAAATATAATATATAGAAAATAAAAAGTCCAGTTATGATTTGTTCATTTAATTTGTTTAGAAATAAATATAGGGACACTGTTTCTATACTCTTATCATACTTTCTTACACTATTATTATAAAACTGGAAAACTCCATTTGCAGTGGCTTTAGGGCATTGCAGTTATATTTAGAGAAAACTGAACATCAGCCCTAGAATTTTAGGAAAGATGGACCCAGACTATCAGAAAGAGTAAGAGAGTGTTAATCTGAATTTTTTCCCTGAGGTGTGTTTTATTTTTCAGTAGGACATAAGAAATATGTATCTCCCAACTCAGTACTGTTAAAGAAAAAAAAGACTCTTAATATTATTTCTTCTCCAAACAGTTTTTGAGGACCTTGTAATATCATAATCACACAGTTTCTCTGTAAGCCTTGCTCAAATTTTTTTAAAGAGCCCAGTTTCAACTGCCTTCCACTTGGAAGAATGGGACCTTAATTGTCTTGTTTTTTTTTTTGTCAGTCTTATCTAACAATGATTGTTTTTGTCTTACCAGTTAATTCTTAAATTCAAAAACTAAAATTCACACATTATTAAATAGGAATAATACACATAATTTATGTTAATTTAATGTGTATGAAATATTTTAACAAGTATTTGCTGTGACAAAGTCACTCAGACTTTAAAAAAGAGAAAATCAGACTCATAAATATATTTTATGTTATTTCACTTTTATTCAATGCGTGTGTAACCACATACTGAATTTCAGGTCATAAAGAAGGCATGATAGTGATAGAAATATGAATAAGACATATTTTACATGTTAAGGAAGCTCACAGCTTACTAAATGAAAGAGAACATGTAGTCAAAAAATGTACTAGGAGCTAGAAAGGATTAACACCAAAATACAAATAAATATAAATCATGTTTTATGAATTTTGATAAGATATTTAACAGCTTTATTTCTTAATTTTCTCATTTGAATATGAGAATAATAATGACAAGATGGAAGAATTGTTTATAGGATTAATGACAATATGATACAGTATTGTTTCATTCTATTAGTAGGTCCTCAAGAGATTAGAACTATTATCATTTTTACTTAAGAGACCTTCATGAAAGCAGAGAAGTTTTATCTGGAATTAAAAGAAAAGAGAGAGAGAGAGACAAGGAGACACATGTGATGTTCCCAGTGGGAGCTCAGAAGCAGATAAAACATTCCAGGTGTATACAAGAAAAGACATTAAAAGAGCATTTTTTTATTCCACAAAGACTAAGAATAAATTCTTAATAGAAAAACATCTCCACTGATTTGATTTAATAAATGAATATTAATTAATATTTTTTCACAAATGTTCTAGAAAGGTAGGCCACTTGGATCATGTTATTTTTTTTTGTATAGTAATGCATTATTTTTCCCTCAAAAAAGAAAGCAGAATAGACTAAACAACTCAGTGTAAATTGGTCAGTAAGGTAGGATCTATGCAGATAAATAGAATAAAACCATTAAAATTTTAACAATTCAAACATGACCACCACTATCCATGAACAATGATATGACGTGTAGTTTAAAAAATGTGATTGCCGTTAGAATATAACCATATCTTTACAATGAATAATACACATGTTGGCTTTGAGAGTAAGTGTAAGCATCAGAATGGAGGGAATGCTGCTGTTTTCGGAAAGAAGAGAGTAGCGCACATTTATCACTGCTCCATAATGTGCATGCACATCAAATAGTTATTATTTAGTCTGGGAATACTGATGCACTTGAGACAACTCATACTAAAACTCCTCAAAAAAAAAGGAATTCGTTCTTCGATAACCCTTTATCATTGTAAAACAATGTCTTTTAATATTTCCTCCTACTTTGTTTAAACAAAATCAAAATTATATGAAAATAAATTTTGGTAGAATTCTGATGCTTAGAGATACTTCCAAGCTTTTATTGGCAGATACTTTTTACTATTAACTGTGCCAAGAGAAACAGCAGGTATTTCTCTTGCCTGTCTTTTGGGGTGGAACTAAGTTCCCTAGTCATTTTATATTTTATCAAAGCTGCCAATGTCACCATATTTGAATGTTCAATGGACAGAACTAGCATATTTCTTGCTGCTCGTGCTACATATTTTTTCCTAAGAATTATTCTCTCATTACTAGATTGTTTTACTTTTTTTATCTTTTCAAGGTAACATTAATAGGTTTTGCTGCCAGTTCTTCAAATGAAGTTAGGAAATTTGCCATTTATCTAAGTTGTTGAATGTTGCTGAAAAATCAAAATTTCATTCTGTAAGATTTTTGCTTAAGCCCATGCTTGTATTAGAGTTCTCCAGAAAACAAGATAAGCAACAGGATGTGTGTGTGTGTGTGTGTGTGTGTGTGTGTGTGTGTATACACACACAAAGAGACTTATGGGGAATTGGTTTACATGATTTTGGAGGCAGACAAATCCCAAGATCTGCTGTTGGCAGGAGTGAGATGCATGAAGAGTGAATGTCTCATTTCAAGTCCAGAGGCAAGGAAAAACTAACGTTCCAGCACAAAAGCATTCAGGCAGGAGGAATTTTTCTCCTATAATGAAGGGCCAGGCTTTTTGTTCTATTCAAACCTTCAACTGATTGAATGTGGCCCACTCATGTTATGGAGGGTAATCTGTTTTATTCAGTCTGTCAGTTTAAATCTTAACTCATCAAAAAACACCCTCGCAGAAACACCCAGAATAACGCTTGACTAAGTATCTGGACACCCATTGTTAAGTCAGGTTAGACACACAATTTAACCATCACAGCACCTGACTTCACATTAAAAAAATGCAAGTAAAAAGATGCAAATTTTTAATAGCACTAGAAGGTAGGTATGTTGATTAATGTTATGACAGGCTCTAGAATAAATGTTCATTACCTACAGCAGGAAGAGATCCTGAGAAATATTAGTGGAGGGTGAGAACTATAGAGAAGAATACTATACCCTTTTTAAATTGAATCTATAGATTTACTTTAGGGGAATAGAATCTTAATTGATTGAAGAAGAAAACTGTCTCTTACTAAATCTATGTGACTTCTTAGGGCATATTCACAGTATTTCTATTAGGACTTCTCTATCTATTTTAAGATTACATTTCCCAATATTGTACAAATAGTGTTAGACAATGCACATGCTATTACTGCATTTTAAGATAGTAGGAAGACCAAAAAATTAGGAAAAGCCACAGGAGCAATATACTGTGGACACAATATTGCTTTACACATTTATGCTAACTAAGGAGAACCTCTAGTTCTCCAAAAACAAAGTACTTTCCATATAGCCAGAGCTAAATATGCAACTAAATAAGTGTTTTATATTATAGCAGAGCCAGTTTAAGTAAATAACTTCCAGATAAAGAAGTTAGTTATAGCCTATGAATGATACTGAGATACTGAAATCATTTACCTGGTGAATGAGAGATACTGAGATGATCCAGCAGTCAAGACTCACTAAATTACACACACACACACACACACACACACACACACACACACCCCACATACACAAATATTCAAAAACTATTGCTTTGGAAACACAGAAAAAAGTTATATCTTTAAATTAAAGTTTTAAAATGAATAGCTGAATGTTAATTTATTTTCTTATGTTAATAACTAATAAAAACAATTTTTTGATGTTGTAAAAAAATGGAAAATAAATGAACCCACAGATCCAAGAAGTTCAAAGTCAAGCATGGAAACACAACACAACACCTTAGTTAAACGGCTTAAAACCAGTGATAACGTCTTAAAAATAGCCAGAGGAAAAAGACACATCATGTACAGATTAAACTGGACAGCAGATTTCTCACTTGAAACAATTCAAGTGAGAAAATTGTGAAGCAATTTATTTAAAGTAATAAAAGAAAAAAGGAATATTTTTCAAATACAAAGACCAAATCAAGACATTCTCAGTCATGCAAAAGCTGAAACAAATCTTACAAAGTCAGAAGTAGGAAAGCTGAAGCAATACAGCAGATCTGTACTACAAGAAAGTCAATTTTGCTTGTCAGACCACATCATCTCAGCCAACTCCTTAGCCTGACTAAGAGAAAGAAATGTCAAAATTAGTCCTTCAGCAAGAAAAATGATGCCAGATGTCACTGTGAATCCCCACAAAAATGCAAGAAATAGCAGAAATGGTAAGTGCGTAAGTATAATAATCTTTTATCACATTATTTAAATATATTTAAAAGATAATTGTGCTTAAAAAAAGACAATAATTAATAGACTTACAGCCTATGTAAAATTAAAATGTGTGGTATGAATAGAGCAAGTATCAGCAGAGGAGAACTGTACACATACCAACATCTGAAATTAAAATAGTCAATTCTGTTTTTTCTTTTTTTTAATTTATTTTTAGAAGAAGTCTCACTCTGTTGCCCAGGCTGGAGTGTAGCACTGGGATCTTGGCTCACTGCAACCTCTGCCTCCCAGGTTCAAGCAGTTCTCCTGTCTCAACCTCCTGAGTAGCTGGGCCTACAGGTGTGCACCACCACGCCTGGCTAATTTTTTGTTGTTGTTAAAATAATCAATTCTTTAAATAAAACCCACTCTTTTCAAACAACTTTTTCTAAAACACTTAGTCCAATGGACTTCAAACTAATCTGAAGTTACAATCCACTAAACCTACCACCTCTTTATTCTCTTTTTACCCTTATTAGAGTCTGTGGCCATCATTATCTTGATTAAACCTATGGTTCACTTAAGCCTGCCCCCTTTGTTACACACTTCTGGAAAATGTTTGGTTTAATCTGTCTATAGCTTACTACAAGCTAATAGAATCTCATTCCTGTATAGTACTTTTTATTTCTCTTGCCTTTAATCCAGGTAACTAATGAAGATTTTCTGAAAATCTGAAAGGGTTTTGGTACCAATTTGAGTTGACTCTAAGGGCCCTTAGTTGAAATAAAAGAAACTAACTTCCGCTAATTGAGTTTTCAGTGTCAGTAACAATGTCCCAAATCACTGCTCAAAACAGGTGAGAAAACCATGACCATCTCCACTGTAATCTAGATGTGGTTCTACTGACACTAATAGCACTAGATCAGTAATTGGCATGAAGCACATGCCACCTCAGAGTCCATCTTGCTGCAATTAGCCTGAACAAGAGAAAGAGATACTTATTGTCCCCAAATGGTTTAACCTTTTACTCTTAATTCAAAGTCTAGGGCAGTGCATCTGATAGATGTAGCTCAAATCACATGCCCAAACTCTGGCAACAAGAATGGCTGAGAAAATGATTATATACATTTCAACCTCCTTAGGCCTTGCCTTCCACTAACACTGATAGAATATTTATTATATATCACATCATAGGTGATAATGATAATATTTCAAGTTCCTGAAACTTAAAAAGATTGTTAAGATATGGGTGTTCAAGACTGGCTCAGGCTCCCAGCCTTCATCTTTCTTCTGTGCTGGATGCCATTGAACATAGGACTTCAAGTTTGTCAGCTTTGAGTCACAACTGGTTTCCTTGTTCCTCAGCTTGCAGACGGCCTATTGTGGGACCTTGTGATCATTGTGTGAATCTTTCACCAGCAACCAAGGTATTCAGGTTCTCTCATCAAAACTGACTAAGAGGTTGGCATGAGCCATGAGAGGAAGGAAGAACAGTGTAGTGTGGTAGCCCACCTGAGACCCACACTGAGCAAGCGACACCCCTCTCCCTAGCTAAGGGAGGCAGTAAGTGAGTGTGCTACCCAGCCGGGGAAACCATGCTTTCTCCACGGAACTGTGCAACCCACAGATCAGAAGATCCCACTCGCAAACCCGTGCCACCGGAGCCTAGTGTCCCAACCCTGGAATGCACAGATTCTCAACAGCCTCTCAGCTGGAATCTGCTGAAGACTAAGGAACTCCAGGGGGGAGGGGTGACCAGCACCGGCTGCCACTGCCTGCTAAGCCAGTTGAGCTCCTTGAGGGAGGGGCAGCAGCCAACACTGAGACTCTCAACTGCCTAACACACTAAGCTCCCTGAGCAGGAGAAGGGTGGCATCCATCTCAATAGCTCCAGACTGGGCTTTTCCCCTGATGCAGCCAGGGAGGCTGGATAGCTTGGTCTTCCACAGCCCAACACACCGGCTGTGGCCATCTGTGTGTTGACCCTGACCCATCCTTCCTCATTGGGAAGGGCTTCCTTGCAAGAACTCCAATAACTCCAGCCAGAGGCTCAGGGATAGAACCTGGATCTCCCTGGAAATGAGCCCCTGGGGGAGAGGTGGCCATAGTCTCCGGAGCAGCAGACTTAGCCTTTCCTCCTGGTAGTTCTGAGGAATCAGAGCAGCCCAGATGAGCGGGTTTCCCACAAGCAAAGCACACCCTCTCCACCAAGGACAAAGTGCTTCATTAAATACATCCCCTTCTCCATGTCACCCAACTGTGTGAGATCATCCAAGAGGGGTTGTCAGATACCCTATACAGAAGCGATCCTACTGGCATCAGATTGGAGCCCCTCGAGGTCAGAGTTCCCAGAAGAAAGGGCAGACACCCATCTTTCCTCTTCTATAGCCGCCTTGAGTGACATCTCCAGGCGTGGGAGTGAATCAGATGAATAGGACCTGAAGTGAACCCCTAACAAACTGTAGCAGCCCTGCAGAAGAGGGACCTGACCATTGAAAGTAAAACAAACTAACAGAAGCAACAACAAAGCATCAACAACAAATAAAGCCCCCAACAAAACCCATCCAAGGGTTAGCAGCCTCAAAAATTGAATCTAGACAAACTCACGAAGATGAAAAAGAATGAATGAAAGAATGCTGAAAACCCAAAAGGCCAGAGTGCCTCTTCTCCAAATGATCGCAACATTATTTCCATCAAGGACACAGACTGGACAGAGGATCAGATGGACAAATTGACAGAAGTAAGCTTCAGAAGATGGGCAACAAGAAACTACGCTGAGCTAGAGGAGCCTGTTCTAACCCAATACAAAGATGCGGAGAAACTTGATAAAAGGTTAGAGGGGTTGCTAACTAGAATAACCAGTTTAGAGAGGAACATAAATGACCTGATGGAGCTGAAAAACAGCATGAGAACTTCGTGAAGCATACACAAGTACCAATAACTGAATCAACCAAGCAGAAGAAAGGATATCAGAGGTTGAAGACCACCTTGCTGAAATAAGACATTCAGACAAGACTAGAAAAAAAAAAAAAAAGAATGAAAAGGAATGAACAAAGCCTCCAAGAAATATGGGACCTCATAAAAAGACCAAACCTATGATTGACTGGAGTACCGGAAGGAGACGGGGAGAATGGAAACAAACTGGAAAACACACTTCAGGATATTATCCAGGAGAACTTCCCCAACCTGGCAAGATAGGCCAACATGCAAATTCAGGAAATACAGAGAACACCACTAAGATACTTCATGTGAAGATCAACCCCAAGACACATAATCATCAGATTCTCCAAGGTCGAAATAAAGGAAAAACTGTTAAGGACAGCCACAGAGAAAGGCCAGGTCACCTACGAAGGGAAGCCCATCAGACCAACAGCAGATCTCTCTGTAGAAACCCTACAAGCCAGAACAGGGTGGGGGCCAATATTCAACATTCTTAAATGAATTAATTTTCAACCCAGAATTTCATATCCAGCCAAACTAAGCTTCATAAGTGAAGGAGAAATAAATTCCTTTCCAGACAAGCAAATGTTGAGGGATTTCATCACCACCAGGCCTGCCCTCCAAAAGTTCCTGAAGGAAGCACTAAATATGGGAAGGAAAAACCTGTACTAGCCACTGCAAAACACAACAAAATATAAAGACCAATGACACTAAAAAGAAACTGCATCAACTAGTGTGCAAAATAACCAGATAACATCATAACAGGATCAAATTTACACATAACAATACTAATTTTAAATATAAATGAGCTAAATATCCCAGTTAAAAGACAAATTGGCAAATTGGATAAATTGTCAAGACCCATTGGGGTGCTGTATTCAGGAGACCCATCTTATGTGCAAAGACATACATAGGCTCAAAATAAAGGGATGGAGGAAAATTTACCAAGCAAATGGAAAGCAAAAAAAAAAGCAGAGATTGCAATCCTGGTCTCTGACAAAACAGACTTTAAACCAGCAACGATCAAAAAAGACAAAGAAGGGCATTACATAATGGTAAAGGGAACAATTCAACAGGAAGAGCTAAATATTTTAAATATATATGCACCTAATAGAGGAGCACCCAGATTCATAAAACAAGTTCTTAGAGATGTACAAAGAGACTTAGACTTCCACACAATAATAGTGTGAGACTATAACACCCCACTGTCAGTATTAGACAGGTCAATAAGACAGAAAATTAACAAGGATATTCAGGACTTGAACTCAGCTCTGGATGAGGTGGACCCAGTAGATGTCTACAGAACACTATATCCCAAATCACCAGAATATACATTCTTCTCAGTGCCACCTGGCACTTACTCTAAAATCGACCACATAATTGGAAGTAAAACACTCCCCAGCTAACGCAAAATAACTGAAATCATAACAAACAGTCTCTCAGACCACAGTGCAGTCAAATTATAACTCAGGATTATGAAATTCACTCAAAACCACACAGCTACATGGAAACTGAGCAACCTGCTCCTACATGACTCCCAGGTAAATAATGAAATTAAGGCAGAAATCAAGAAGTTCTTTGAAAACAATGAGAACAAAGAGACAATGTACCAGAATTTCTGGGACACAGCTAAAGCATTGTTAAGAGGGAAATTTATAGCACTAAATGCCCACATCAGAAAGCTAGAAAGTTCTTAAATTGACACCCTAACATCACAAGTAAAAGGGCTAGAGAGAAAACAAATCCAAAAGCTAGCAGAAGACAAGAAATAACTAAGATCAGAGAAGAACTGAAGGAAACAGAGACATGAAAAGTCCTCCAAAAAAAAATTCAATGAGTCCAGGAGCTGGTTTTTTGAAAAACAATTAACAAAATAGACCACTAGCTAGACCAATAAAGAAGAAAAGAGAGAAGAGTCAGGCTCAATAAAAAATGATAGAGGGTATCACTACTGACCCCACAGAAAAACAAACTACTATCAAGAATACTATAAATAGCTCCATGAAAATAAACTAGAAAATTAAGAAGAAAGAGATAAATTCCTGGACACATACACCCTCGCAAGGCTAAAGCAGGAAGAAGTTGAATCCCTGAATAGATCAATAGCAAGTTCTGAAATTGGAGCAGTAATTAATAGCCTACCAAACAAAAAAACCTCGGGACCAGATAGATTCTCCAATGAATTTGATCAGTGGTACAAAGAGGAGCTCATATCATTCTTTCTGAAAGTATTCCAAAAAATTGAAAAGTGGGGACTCTTCACTGACTCATTTTATGAGGCCAGCATCATCCTGATACCAAAACCAGGAAGAGATACAACAAAAAATGACAACTTCAGGACGATATCCCTGATGAACATCGATGTGAAAATCCTCAGTAAAATACTGGCAAACTGAATCCAGCAGCACAACAAAAAACTTATCCACCACAATCAAGTTGGCTTCATCCCTGGGATGCAAGACTGGTTGAACATGTGCAAATCAATAAATGTAATCCATCACATAAACAGAACCAATGACAAAAACCACATGATTATCTCAATAGATGCAGAAAAGGCCTTTCATAAAATTCAACATCCCTTCATGTTAAAAACTCTCAATAAACTAGGTATTGATGGAACATATCTCAAAATAATAAGAGCTATTTATGACTAACTCACAGCCAATATCATATTGAATGGGCAAAAGCTGGAAGCATTCCCTTTGAAAACCAGTACCAAACAAGGATGCCCTCTCTCACCAATTCTATTCAACATAGTATTGGAAGTTCTGGCCAGGGAAATCAGGCAAGAGAAAGAAGTAAAGGGCATTCAAATAGAAAGAGAGGAAATCAAATTGTCTCTCTTTGCAGACGACATGATTCTATATTTAGAAAACCCCATCATCTCAGCCCAAAACTCCTTAAGCTGATAAGCAACTTCAGCAAAGTCTCTGGATACAAAATCAATGTGCAAAAATCATAAGCATTCCTTTACACCAACCGTAGACAAGCAGAGAGCCAAATCATGAAGGAACTCCCATTCATAATCGTTACAAAGAGAATAAAATTCCTAAGAATACAGGTAACAAGGGATGTGAAGGACCTCTTCAAGGAGAACTACAAACCAATGCCCAAGGAATAAGAGAGGATACAAACAAATGGAAAAACATCCCATGCTCATGGATAGGAAGAATCAATACCTGAAAATGGCCATACTGCCCAAAGTAATTTACAGATTCAATGCTATTCCCATTGAACTACCATTGGCATTCTTTGCAGAAACAGGAAAAACTATTCTAAATTTCATATGGAATCAAAGAAGTCCCGGTATAGCCAAAACAATCCTAAGCAAAAAGAACAAAGCTGGAGGCATCACACTACGTGACTTCAAACTATACTACAAGACTATGGTAACCAAAACAGCATGGTACTGGCACCAAAAAAGACATATAGACCAATGGAACAAAACAGAGACCTCAGAAATACCACACATCTACAACCATCTGATCTTCAAAAAACCTGAAAAAAAACAAGCAATGGGGAAAGGATCTCCTATTCAGTAAATGGTGCTGGGAAAACTAGCTAGAAAAATGCAGAAAATTGAAACTGGACCACTGCATCATATCTTATACAAAAATTAATTCAAGATAGATTAAAGACTTAAATGTAAAACCCAAAACCATAAAAACCCTAGAAGAAAACCTAGGCAATACCATTCAGGATGTAGGCATAGGCAAAGACTTCACGACAAAAATGCCAAAAGCAATTGCAACACAAGCCAAAATTGACAAATGGGATCTAATTAAACTAAAGAGCTTCTGCACAGCAAAAGAAACTATCATTAGAGTGAGCAGGCAACCTACAGAATGGGATAAAATTTTTGCAATCTACCCCCATCTGACAAGCATCTAGTATCCAGAATTTACAAGGAACTTAAACAAATTTATGAGAAAAAAAAACAAACAACCCCATCAAAAAGTGGGCAAAGGATATGAACACTTCTCAAAAGAAGACATTTATGTGGCCAACAGAGATATGAAAAGAAGCTCAACGTTACTGATCAACAGAGAACTGCAAATCAAAACCACAATGAGATATGATCTCATGCCAGTCAGAATGGTGATTATTAAAATGTTGGGAAACAATAGATGCTGGCAAGGCTGTGGAGAAATAGGAACTCTTTTACACTGTTCATGGGAATGTAAATTAGTTCAACCATTGTGGGAGACAGTATAGCAATTCCTCAAGGATCTAGAACCAGAACCATTTGACCCAGCAATCCCATTACTGGGTATATACCCAAAGGATTATAAATCATTCTACTATAAAGACACATGCACACATTTGTTTATTGCAGCACTGTTTACAATAGCAAAGAAATGGAACCAGCTCAAATGCCCATCAGTGATAGACTGGATGAAGAAAATGTGGTACCTATACATCGTGGAATACTATGCAGCCATAAAAAGAATTAGATCACGTCCTTCGTAGGGACACGAATGAAGCTAGATGCCATCATCCTCCACAAACTAACATAGGAACAGAAAACCAAACACTGCATGTTCTCACTCGTAATAGGTAGTTGACCAGTGAGAATACATGGACACAGAGAGCGAAACTAAAGACACTAGGGCCTGTTGGGGGGTGAGGAGAGAGGGGAGGGAACTTAGAGGACGAGTCAATAGGTGCAGCAAACCACCACGGCACATGTATACCTATGTAACAACCCTGCATATTATGTATATATATCCCATTTTGGTTTTTTTTTAGAAGAAATAAAGAAAAACAAAAATAATTTTTAAAAAGATATGGGTGTTCAAAGAGAAGGGCTTATATGCAGCACAACATCTAAAATAAAACATGCTGGCTTGCCACTTTTATTTCTGGTTGCTCTTTTTCCTTCTTTAGTCATTTAAAAATTCTAATTTCTGGCATGTATCTTAATGTGACTTATTTTTTAAACAGTGTCTTTACTCTTTTCACAACAACACACCTTGAATATAAAAAGGAATAAATATTCTTCACTTCTACTAAGAACAGTGCTTACTACCATTTATCTAAAGTGCACAGACCACTAGCCTTTTTTTTCATATTTTCATAGACGCATGAAGAAAAATCTTTCTCCTAAATTTACAATTAAATAATCCAAGCTTCCACAAAAGTTAACAAACATCTCAATCTGGCAGATAATAAGAGAAATAAGTACTATGGCAAAGGAATGTACACAGTCTAAAGAGAGCGGAGCTCCAGCAAACTATTTCCATAGCAAATTGTTGGCCTGGTATTTTCCCATATTTCTCTCTTCTAAGCGAAGTTGAAAATCCAGATTTTTATGTGAAGGGCCATGAATTTTATAGGTTAACATTATTATGCTATAGGTTAATATATTGTAAGCCAAAATATCACACACACACACACACACACACACACACACACACTATATTTGGTGTGTGCACACATAATAAAAGCACATTCACACATAGAAAAGCATGCACATGCACAATGCACAAGCATTCATACACATGCAACCTCCCATCAACACACACAAACAACTGCAGGGTATATTAGGTACATGGGTCTTCATTTCTTTAAAAAAAAGTTCATTATTTTTGTCTAACTTGAACATTAGGCTTTTATGCTTTGAAGCCTAAATATTATACTAAAAATATATTTTCCAAATACAGATAGATAGATGACAGATAGATAGATAGATAGATAGATAGATAGATAGATAGATAGATAGATAGAGATAGATAATAGTGTTACCAGAAACAAAGGAAATAGGAAAAAACATTTTTGATAGTGTTACCACCATAGGAAGTTAACATGAATTGATGGCCATTTAATGAAACTAATTTAGCACAGGAATTTTTTTTTTCACTTCTCTAGATTTGTTAATTTTGGGGGTTACAACTCTTGATTTGATCTGGCTTTCCAGCGTTATCATTGTTGTTTTTAAATCTACTTTTTTGAAAAGATTTTTGGAATTTACTTTCTCTTTGTTGCCTGTAACTGGACCTGTATCATAAACTCGCAATGAAGCTTTCTGCCTCACTGAATCACTTTCACAGACTCTGTATTAAAACCCAGTTGGGCTCTTTCTTTCCTTCTTCCTTTCCTTTACTCTTTCTACATGAGGACAAAGAACTCCTTTGAAGGAAGCCTACAGGGCTCAACATCTCATGAAAGAAGATCGATTATGTTTTTTTTTTTTTTCTCCACAAGTCCCATAAGGCATGAAGTCGCCAGACCAATATCATTATTTTGGGTCAGCTAGCTACAAATTTGAAATTGAGGTTGGTCAGAGTACGACTTCAAATATAGTAACTATATAGATTGCTTGTGCTTAAAAGAAAAATGATATCTTAGATTTGAAATTCTCAATAATACATGTCCATTGCTGCTTCTCTTAATTTTAAATTGCTCTCGGATAGCAAAAATAAATAGTAAGTTTAATAAAATATCAATAAATGCTGTAGTTTGAAATAATGGTTTTCACATTCAAAGTTTTTGGTTATAGTAAAGGTGTGTTACAAACACATATACAATTATATCACACTTGATTGTAGTTTACAATTCTCAGGTAAGGGTAAAATCTACATGTACTAAGGGAATACAAATGTTGGTTTAGTGCTTATCTTGATGTAGTAGACTTCTAGAAGATACCATGAAAGATTATCTTACTTAATTTTTATTAAATATTTAAATCACTAAACCAGATACTAATGCACTCTTCTGTCATTAAAGATATGTAGATGATAGATATTTATATTCGCATATATAATATTAATGTAAATTGCATTTATATTTTCTATATATATTCAATTACAAATATAAAATATCAATATTGATCTATAAAGAGTTAAATAAAATCTATAAAAAGTTAAATAAAAATTCTAGAATTGGAAAAATATAATTAAGATATATTAGTGACTCAGTAGATATCACCAAAAAGAAGAGAATAAATAAACTGGAAGATGAGACAGAAAAAAATACCCAAATTGAAGCACAGAAAGATGAAAAGTGTAAAAGACATACCGCAAAGATCCAATATTATTATGGTAACTGAAATCCTAGAAGCAAAGAAGAGAAAAAAGACTTCGCCAAGTCAAATACACAAAAATCTCTGCGAAATCTAGGAAAAATGATTTCTAATAATTTTCAATTCACACAGACATATCATAGGAAGACTTCAGAAAACAAAGAACAAAAAATTCTACCTGAATGAGCAAGATAAGAAGCATTACCTTCAAAACAGCAATAATAAGAGAGATGAATTTCAACAGAAAATACATGAAAAAAATTAAAAATCCTAAAATTTCCATTAGGGAAAAAAAAATCCCTTCCAATCCTGCGTTTCATATTCAATGAAAATATCTATCCCTACCTGTTTCCTGGCGTCCGCCGGCTGAGGCTCCTAGCCCTGGACTTCTGGCCGTCGCCCCAAGATGGCGGACACGATGAGGTGGCGCTGCGTCGGTTGCCCCTGAGGTGTCTGTGAGGACTAACGGTCGGCGAGGCTCCACAGTTGAGGCGGAAGACAGTCGTCCAAGCAGGAGGAAGAAAAGGAGGCGGCCCCACTGCCGGCCGACTTCTCGCTAGCCACCGGCTCAACACCGCCGCCACCAGGGGTTGGCCCCTCAGCAGCCCGCCCGCTGCCAGTCCCGGCTGCCTTCCCCACCCGCCGCCATGAAGCTGACCGACAGCGTGTTGCGGAGCTTCCGCGTCGCCAGGGTGTTTTGCGAAAACTCGGACAAGATTAACTGCTTCGATTTCAGCCCCAACGGCCAGACGGTCATCTCAAGCAGCAACGACGACTCCATCGTGCTATATGACTGCCAGGAGGGCAAACCAAAGAGAACCCTGTACAGTAAGAAATATGGCGTGGACCTCATCAGATACACTCATGAGGCAAACACAGCTGTTTACAGCTCTAACAAAATAGACGATACTATTCGTTACTTGTCCTTGCATGACAACAAATACATCAGATACTTTCCTGGACATAGCAAAAGAGTGGTGGCCTTGTCCATGTCACCTGTGGATGACATTTTCATTTCTGGGTCTCTTGATAAGACCATTCGACTCTGGGATCTCCGGGCTCCTAACTGCCAGGGCCTCATGAGTCTACAGGGGAAGCCAGTTTGTTCTTTTGATCCAGAAGGGTTAATTTTGGCTGCAGGTGTCAACTCTGAGATGGTCAAACTTTACGACCTTCGTTCTTTTGATAAAGGGCCATTTACTACCTTTAGGATGCAGTGTAATCGAACTTGTGAGTGGACAGGACTTAAATTCAGCAACGATGGCAAGGTCATCCTCATTTCCACCAACGGCAGCTTCATTTCCCTCATTGATGCTTTCAAAGGAGTGGTGATGCACACGTTTGAGGGTTATGCCAACAGCAAAGCTGTCACACTGGAGGCTTCATTTACTCCAGATTCTCAGTTTATTATGATTGGTTCAGAGGATGGCAAGATCCATGTCTGGAATGGAGAGAGTGGTATAAAAGTAGCTGTGTTGGATGGTAAACACACCGGCCCAATTACCTGTTTGCAGTTCAACCCCAAGTTCATGACTTTTGCCAGTGCGTGTTCCAGCATGGTCTTCTGGCTGCCCACCATTGATGACTCACCCTGATGCTGCTCCGCTATTTCTGTACAGTGAGGGCGGCCATAGGAAGAAACTCAGAGGGGTCTGAGATAGTAGGGGGATTGGATCATTTGACTGGGCTGGAGAGCATCCTTTACTTGGCCTTCTCATGGATGTGCTGTACATCTGCTCAAAAGAAAATAATTACTTTGCTGAGCATCTTCAAAAGAACTCTGGTGCAACAGACTCAATTGGAACTCAGCTTTTCTAGCTGTCACTGCACCAAGCTCTGCTAGAGGAGTGACCAGACTCACGATTTGGGTATAGTGGGGCTCTCAAGACATCTTCAATTTGAATGTACATGCTGCTGAGGAGCCAGTGAAGTCATCAGCTCTGCACATCCCTTCTCCTACCCCGCTGAATGTATGGAAAGCTACAGTCCTGGTTTTGAAATGCTAGAGCAGCTCAGCGCCCCTTGCCCTCACCTTGCATGTCTTGTTACTGGGTCTTCCTGTGTACTTGTGACATTGTCCACAACCATCATGTTTATTAGGTGCCAGACATTTACAGAAATGTTTTCATATTGGGGTCAGAGAAAGAGACAGATACAGAAGGACCTTGCTTGCAGGAAGCCATGAAGTTAGTCACTGCAATTAGTCATGTGAAGCTAGGTAGTTTGGCAGGCCTCAGGCTCTAGGTGTTGGATGGGAAAAAGCCCAAGGGCCTAAAAGGGAGTGTAAGGGGATGGTAGCAGGTGAGTTCCTAGGGCTGGAAGGTTTAGCAGCAGTGTGGTGCAGTGCCCTGTCATCAAGACAAACCCACGGTCCTCCTGGGTGCCTACCAAGCTTGGTTTGCACAAAAGCAAGGTTAGAGTCTATTTATGTACATGAGATAACATCACACATTCCTGTGGGCCAGTATTGTGAAGTGAGTCTGAGTTCTCTACACTGATGCCTTCCCTGCCCACCACTAATTGTGTACATAGTTTTCCCAGCCCACCACAAATTGTGTACCTTTCCCCAGCTCCCAACCAGGAGCTAGTTCTAGGCCTGTGTTATATTTAGCCTTTTATTATATGACCTTTGATTTCTGTTGTTTGTATTTTAGCCCAGTGTATGCACCTTCATTTAAATACATCTGTGTGCATACAGATATGTGTATATGTATGTGCATATGCATATATCTCTCTCATCTGTAATTTCTGAGAGTTCAGCTGAAGCAGACGGAGTCCTACAGCCCAGGAGACACATTGCATCCTTGCTAACCGTGTTCACCACAAGTGTTAGTGAGTCTTCCCTATTAACGTTTCATTTCGGAAGACTGAATGAAGCAAAGCTTATAGTGTTTGCTGTTTCCATGGCAGCCAAGTGAAGGTCTTGGGATGACTCCCTGTGTTCCTCAAGCTGTACTTTGGGGCTCTCTCTGCAGTATTAACCCCTTTCTGCTTGGTGGTACTCTGTACCTGTGTGTGATAGTCACTTTTGCATGGCTTCTGTGTCTGGCTTGTGGCATTTAGGGATAGGGTGTTATAAAGTATATCAAACTCTTTATATGCTAAATTCTAAGGAAAATTTATCATATGACTTCTTACATAGGACACAATGAATGATATTATGGCCACTGCTTTGTTTCATTTGAAATTAATAAACATAACACGAGATTAAAGGGATACTTTATATCCATGAGTTCATTTATTTTTACACAACATTACATTTGTCTTTTCATAATGTTTATTTATAAACACGTATATGCACATACCATTTTTCAATTGGAATGGAAATATTTTCGTTGTCAATACCTGATAGTGAGGAAGTATTACAAGATAATTTCAGGACACTACTCCTTATTATTTTAACTTTAAAAATTATAACCTGGCCGTGCACGGTGGCTCAGGCCTGTAATCCCAGCACTTTGGGAGGCCGAGGCTGGTGGATCACAAGGTCAGGAGTTCGAGACCAGTCTTGCCAATATGGTGAAACCCCGTCTCTACTAAAAATACAGAAAAATTAGCTGAGCTTGTTGGCGCATCCCTGTAATCCCAGCTATTCAGGAGGCTGAGGCAGGAGAATTGCTTGAACCCGGGAGGCGGAGGTTGCAGTGAGCCGAGATCACACCACTGCACTCCAGCCTGGGCGATAGGGCGAGACTCCGTCTCAAAAAAAAAAATAAAAAATAAAAAATAATAATAGTAATCATGTTCAATTAACTATTGAAAAATATCACATTTAAAAGAATCATACAAGGGACATTTAGTCATTTCCAGAACTTGAGTTACAAAAAGTATATATTATATTTATAAAGTTAATTTCTGAAGTGGGACTAATTATTTTAGCCAAGTCACCATGCCTGTAGTGGATAGACCAAATGGAACACTTGGAGGGATGGTTTCTCAACCTGAGCTTCACATGATTCTCCTGGGGCACCTTTTAAAAGTGGCAAGAGAAATCTCAAATAATAGTGACTTGAACAAGATTGAGGTTTATTTTTTTCAAGTAACAACAAGAATGAAAGCAGGCAGTCTTAATCTAAAGTAGCAACCCAAAGATTTCTGGGTTGATGTCACTATAAGTCTGTGTCCTTTCCCTTAAGGTCAATTTTAAGATGGTAACTGTAGCTTCAGTTGTTTCTTCAATTAGTGCTACAGAATACAGGATTTTAACAGGGTACTTGTCATCTCCAATAAATTTAGATTCTGTTAAAAAAGACAAATATTTGTAGATTAGAAAACAATCTTTACTACTCCTGTGATGTTCTATGAAGTCCATCACTTCACTGTTCTGAAGTTACACTTAAAATATAAAACAATAACATGAATAGGAAAGAGATAATGTAAAATTATATCACCTCCACACTAAATATAATTAGAAGCTATTATGATAAAGACAACTTATAAATGAAAATATACAAATTTTGCACAAACTTTATTTTCCATGAAGTAACCATGTCTACACATTAAAAATGTTAAAAAAGCAGCTGAGAACAATATTTTTACAGAAGGCCACTACAAAAATTACTACTGTTAAAAGGTTAGAAGGATCTAAATTTGAACTACATTGTCTTTAGTCCAAACCTCTTAGTGGATTCATTAACTCCACCAAAATAAATTTTTGAAGTGAAATAACCCTTGTTCTCAACATGTGATACTACATTTGATATAAAAGTTTAAACAAATTTTTTAGAACTGAGGACAATAATGACCTGACCCTTGAGTAAAAAAGTATGGCCTTTTTGTTTTATTAGTTATGCTGACCATAGTCCAATTTTGAATAGTGTGCTTTATAAAGTAAAATTTTCTGTGTCAGCATACCTTAAAAGTTAGAAACTTTTGCAATTATTTCCCAACAGAGATGAATTAATTCACAGCAAACTTCTCAAAGCTGCTAATGACTGCATGATCAGGTAATTTTATTGTTTTAGCAATGATAAAATGCATTTAAATTTCACTCAACTTTTCCTTGCTTAATGTATATCTAATAGAAAAAGATATCTTCACTCATTTGCAAGGTTATTAGTTTTTATTTCGTTTGGTGGAATGTTAGTATGATAGATCTTCTAAATTTTGAACTACATTGTCTTTAGCCCAAACCTCTCCCTTGCTCTTAGACATTTTTCAAGGATGTCTTTAAGCTTGCAACTTTACTATTACTTTAAAGATGTGATTAAAGAACAGTGTATTATTTTGAAAACTTGACCATGGACAATGACAAAATAACTAAAATGAAATAGGGAATGAATTATCACATTTCAACAAAATTTTTCTTAATCATAAGGGCTAGAATAACTGAATTTTATTTCTAGTTCCTCTTCACTAAAGTGCCTGAATAAAATTACACTTTTTAAGAGATGAAAATATGGTAAAGACCATCCACCTTCTAATGACAATCTACTCCAGGGTTATGATCTGAGCACATTCATTCATCTCCTTTCCTATGATATCATAAAAGTTCAGTAAAGAGTTAAAAGACCAACTCGCAGCAATAAAAAGTGTTTAGATGATATAAATCAGGTGAGAAGTGGAGCCTGATGAATCGAAGACAAAGTGACAAAATAAAATCTGCAATGAGAAAGTCTTTGACTTCCAGAACCCTGATGAAGGCAAGACCCCCAGACAAGCAAGTTCAAGTCAGAAGGCTAGCTGAAACAATGAATAGATTGAATGTCCATATAGACCAGCTGCAAGTTTCTCTTGCTCAAGCACCACTCTGGGCAGATAGATTGGCACTTTATCATCAAACAATAATCAATAAATCAATCAGTAACTCGACTGAAGAATTCTCTTAAAAAAGTCCACAAGTCATGCCTCAATACACAGTAATTGAGTCCAGCTTTTATGTTGCCATAAAATAAAAATAAATGGATATCCAAGAGCCTCCAATATCTTACGAGATTGCAGTATCAAAGAGAAAAACTGAGATAATCAACTCAAACTCATATACTGAAATCATGAAGAGTAAGGAACTTTAGCAAACAGATAAGCACACAGATCATAAATTGTGATTTGTATTATCAACAATATTTGAAAAACACAGCATCTAAACTTAGGAAGATTAAAAAAAAGTCCAAGAACAAGAACTAAAGTCAAATATTCAGTAAAAGAGCTGAAAAGTTTTTTAAAAGAATATTTAGAAGAAAAAAAGAACAAGAAATGAAGCATATGCGAATAAAACAGTAAGACGCTGATTTTATCTGATTTTTAAAAGTTACAGAGATAACATAAGAAAAGTAGATTACTTGGATGGTAATAAAGACGAATTTATTAAATAAAAATTACAGGAAAATTTTCCAGAGTTTAAGAAAAGGGTCTTTCTATTGAAAGGGCTCACACTGACACATTACAAACAAACAAACAAAACCCTTACTTAGGGCACTATATTCTGAATAACAGATGATTCTTGGCCAAATAGAAATACAATTTGAGCTGCATATGTAATTTTAAATTTTTCAATAGTCACTTCTGAAAAGCAAAAGAAATAGGTTAAAAATAAATTTATTGATACGTTGTTGAAGCCAGCTATACCCAAAATATCATAACTTCGCTTTTAATCAATGCTGAATTATTGAGATATTTGGAGCTCATTTTTGTATAAGTCTTCAAAATTCACTATTTATTGTTATAACACATTTCATTTGGATGCTAAATTTTTGTACAAAGTATTTAATCTATATTTAGATTTTATAAAATCTACAGCTCAAAAAAATAGATTTACATGAACAAGTTTTTCTAAATATTTTTTAAAGTTTTTAATAACTAGTTAAACTATCCAATACAAATTTAAACTATTTAAAATAAAATGTAAAGACATTTGCATCAGTTGCATTAGACAAACTTCACGTACTCAATACCAATAAATGTCTAGTGGCCATCATATGGGTTAGCACTGTTCTAGATCACCTCGATTAAAATTAAATTCTAGAGCTTTTAGAAAGAATGTAAGAATAGGGCAAGCAGGGAAATGAGTACACAAATATTTTACAAAAGAACAGAAATCTGTCTAGCATCTTAACACCCATGTACAAAATTCTTTGGTACAATAAACAGAAAGAAGGCCTACAAGGAGATATTTGTTAAAGGGTACACTGTTTCATTTAGGATAAATACATTCTGGAGATCCATTGTACAGTATGGTGACTATAGTAAACAATAATGTGTTGCACACTTGAAAATTGCTAAGACAGTAAAGCTTAAATGTTCTCACCACAAAAAATGATAGTATGTGAGGTGACAGATACTTTAATTCGCTTGATTTAGCCATTCCATAATGTCTACATACATACAAACATATTCTATACACTATGAATACATAAAATTTTTGTTTGTATTATGTATTAGAAAAATTGGGGGAGAAAAGAAAAAGGACCTAATTTCTGAGAGACAAATTATTTTCAATGTAGAATAATGTATCTACCTAAAATATAATTCAAGTGGAAGGGAAAAACAAAAGCATTTCAGGAATAAAGAAATTTCTAGTATTCAGAACTATTATTTTCATGTACATTTCTTAGAAATTATTTAAAGATTCATTCTATCAAAGTTACTGTAGAGAAAGATGTGCTATTAAGAAAAGTGTATATTTCAGGATCAAAGATCAGCAGGTCCGTAAAATGATAATAACAAATTTGACAAGATGACAGAGCCTTCAAGAGGAGATTGAAGAGGGGATCTCTGGATCTGGGAGAGGACAATTCAAATATTCACATAGTAAAGTGCCTATGAAGAAAATGAAAATACTGTAATGGCAGAATAAAAAATAGAGCACATCAGAACGTGATTAAAGGATCATTGTACAATGACTGGAAAAGAAAACCACAAAACATAGTTATAGAAAAAATTATGGATTGTATTCACCTTAAAAATATAAAAGTAAATCAATGAACAGAGATGGAATATTAAAAGGAGATGGAAAAGAGAGGGAAGGAGGAATATTTTATAATCATTAAAAAGAAAAAATAAAGATATTTATATGGTTGATTAAAAAATTAATATATAATACTGATTTGTTTGAAAGCTGGAGTGACAAATAGAGGCTCTGAAAATACTGATATAAATATGTCAAGAGATAACAGGAAGAAGAGGCATCACATTGTTTGAGTAAGCTAGGATTTCATCCATCATAATGGGAGCACAGAAAAAAGTGTACATAATTGATGAATAATGAAAAAGTGTCTTGGCATAGTATTTAGAAAATTGAGGTAATCATAAGATGTACTCAAAACAGAAAGCTGGTAAAGGTAACTGCCTGAAAGAAGAGAGATAAGACAAAAAATATTATTTTGCATCATAAAATATTCATTGATTTTACCTGTCGTGTTTTGTTGTGTTTTTAACCATATATAACATACAGTATATTATACATATATAACATACAGTATATTATACATATATAACATACAGTACATTATACATATATAACATACAGTACATTATACATATATAACATACAGTACATTATACATATATAACATACAGTACATTATACATATATAACATAGTATATTATACATATATAACATATAGTATATTATACATATATAACATATAGTATATTATACATATATAATATATAATTATAAATTATATATAGTATCTTACAACTATATAATATAAAATTATAAATTATATATACTATTTTATAAATATAAAATTATAAATTACATATACTATATTATAAATATAAAATTATAAATTACATATATTATAAATATATAATTATAAATTATATATATTATATTATAAATATATAATTATAAATTATATATATTATATTATAAATATACAATTATAAATTATATATATTATATTATAAAGAATGAGAAATACATATTTTGCTCCCTTAGAGATAAGCATGTTGAAAAAATCTGTTTACCTATCTATATCTATCTATCTGTCTACCTATATTTATATGTTAAGTATTATACTAAAAATGTGAAATGAAAATACAGAAAAAGGAGAATTTTTGATTTAATATTAAATGTATTTTTGATCTGAATATTATTCTACTCAATTATTCAAAATAAATTCCAAATGCCTATTATTGAAAAAATAATTTGGTTCAAATTTTAAACAAAAAGTCCCTCAGTGATTTTAAAAATTATGTCACCTTGAAATTTTTTTTAGTTAACAACAAAAGTGACAAAAATTGAAGAAGACAAAATAATTTGACAGAAACATGTTGCACAGCACAGATCTAAAATCTAGTACTATGGACAAATTCAGAATTTCATCACAAAATTTTTACATGTGAAATAATGCTTTCACAATTGATTTGCCACAATACTGGGGCATTGATTCTTCTGATGAAAAAGTATCTTTGAGACAGCCATTCTTGCTATAATTATTGTTGATACAGCTGATGATTTTGAAAAGCTCTTGTATCAGTTTGCTGTCACCACAAACTATTGCAAAATAAACAACCACACACCTCAGTGACATACTACAATATGTGCTGATTACTCACAAGTCTAGGTTTCTGCTAGAAGTTATCTGATCTCAACCAAGGCCGTTCTTGCGTCAGAGAGGCATCTGACTCATTCTAGTCTAGGACATTTCTACTTTACTTTACATTATCTCTTACCCTTCTAAGACCAGAAGACTAACTTAAGTATGCTATTCCCTTTGTAATGATAAAAGGACAAAAGAGACAAAATCCTATCGCATAAATCCTTTTCAACACTCTCACTGGGCAAAATACGGCTGACCCCAGGGACTGAGAATTATATATAAGAGCAAAAAGAAGATCAAGACAAATTCACAAGGCAAAGGTCAAGGGCATGGGGGTTAGTGGAGATTTTGGTCCAGTGCTAAAATCTACCACACATCTAAAGGGAGGTTTTTGTTTTGAAAAAAAATCAACGTATGATAAAGGGATTCACCAACAATTCAAACATATATTATCCTTTTAAAAAAGTACAAAATTTCCTAAACAAGCATGGTAGCTTGTGGCATTATTTTTATTATGGCTGTTATTCTGACCATTTGGAGTAGATGTGCCTCTTGTTTACAGTGAGTAAAAGTAGTATGGTGATGCATGAAAGATAAAAAAAAAAAAATAGCTCAAGTAACACAAGCTGACGCATGAAAATAAAAGGAGAAACTAATTAATAAAAAATTTTCTAGGCTGGGCATGGTGGCTCATGACTGAAATCTCAGCACTTTGGGAGGCCCAGGCAGGTAGATCACTTTAGATCAGGAGTTTGAGACCTGCCTGGTCAATATGGTAAGACCCCATTTCTAGTAAAAATACAGAAATTAGCAGCTGAGGTAGGAGAATCGCTTGAGCTTGAGAGGCGGAGATTGCCGTGAGCTAAAATCGTGCCACTGCACTCCAGCCTGGGTGACAGAGGGAGACCCTGTCAAAAAAGAGACAAAAACAGTTATTTTACTACAGAAGAAAACAAGTGTTATTATTTTCTTATTTGAAAAATACATGAATTTCAAGCCATAATACATATTTGTAACAATGGAATTCAATTATAGTGAGATAAGAGTGACCTGAATTTGAATTTTATCTTTAAAGCATCTGACTACCACACATTTGTCAAATTTTCACATTTTAGACATGATAAAGAGTGATTAGTGGGAGAATATTTTTAAGACATTACTTTAGCAACCAACAATGAGGCAAGACCCTCCGCCAGAAAAAAAGATTATAATTTGCTGAAGGCTGATGATCGTTAGCATTTTCTAGCATTAAAGTATTTTTAAATTAAGGTAGGTACATTTTTATTTATTCATTTATTATACTTTAAGTTCTAGGGTACATGTGCACAACGTGCAGGTTTGTTACATATGTATACATGTACCATGTAGGTAGGCTGCACTCGTTAACTCCTCATTTACATTAGATATATCTCTGGAGTTTCGCTCTTGTTGTTCAGGCTGGAGTGTGCTAGGGCGATTTCGGCTTGCTGCAACCTCCGCTTCCCAGGCTTGAGCGATTCTCCTGCCTCGGCCTCCTGAGTGGCTGGGATTGCAAGCGCCCGCCACCATGCCTGGCTAATTTTTTGTGTTTTTGGTAGAGATTAGGTTTCACCATGTTGGCCAGGCTGGTCTTGAGCTCCTGATCTCGGGTGATCCGCCCGCCTCGGCCTCCCAGAGTGCCGAGATTACAGGCGTGAGCCACTACACCCAGCCGGTACATCATTTTTTATGACATAATGTAACTGCACACTTAATGGACTACAGTATAGGGTAAATATAGCTTTTATATGCACTGGGAAACAAAAAACTCACATGACTCAATTTATTGCAATATTTGCTTTATTGCAGTGGTCTGGAGCCAAACCCACAAGAGCCCCCTGGTATCCTTGTAACACTATACTGCTCTGTGAGGAGTGCAAGTATCTTATAATTACAAAACATTTCTAATTCCTCCCTCCCATCTCTTGTATCATTGCTGTCATTCCTTTCATTTGCACGTAAGCACATTGTTGCTATTACTATTTTGAACAAACTGCCTACTGTCACACCAATTAAAAATGAGAAAAATGAAAGTTTTTATTTTACCTTAAAAAAAAAAAGACATTAATTTAACTGGAGTCATTAAGTGATTTCTACTTGGATGCTTATAGAGGTACTAAATTATTTCTAATTTTCTTCTGGATTATTGATTTAATGAATTAAAATATTTGCCACACATTCAAGATTGCCTACCAAAGTTAATGAGTTAATTCTCTTTTTTTTTTTGCCAATTTTGACAAGCTCTATAGAAATAAACCAATATACATATTTTAGAGCTAAACATACATTGTTAATGTTTTAAAATTTTAAAATGTAATATCAAATATAAAATTATTTTTCAAAATGTTCAAACATTTCTAGGAATTTGATTTTATTTACAATAAGTGAATCATGTGTGTTCCATATGAAAACACTTTATATAAATCTTTCATCATATTTTATTTTAGCAAAATTAGCTGTAATTTTCTTAATTATTCCAAATTTCATGAAATAAATAAGGAATCTGAGAAGCATATGAAAATATATTTCATAAATTTTCCCAAGTTTGATTAATGAAGCAAGAATATTATTCACTATTCACAAAATGAAGTTTTCAGTCTATCAGACAGAGGTTGTTGAAATATAGGAGAAAAGTTCACACAGGTTTTTTATAACAATATGTGTGTATATTGATAAATAGATATAGATCATAGATAATGATATAGAGATATAAATCTGATATATGATATAGATATATAATTCTTTGTAGCCATACCTACTAAATGATGAAAAGCTTTTTATAAACAATATTTATAAAAGTATCCAAAGTCTTTTGTGTGAGAAATTATTTCTGATGATATTTAAAATGAAACAGGAATTAAGAGAGGAAATGTGTCATGAAAACTAGCCTTGCAAATATACGAAAGTTATTGTCTTAAGATAAATGTAAATATCCTAAAGACTTAGTAAACTGTTCTCCTCCAAAATCCATACATGAATTAAAAATAAAATAGCAGAAATTTAGATCCAAATTGGAGCTTGGAGAAGATTTAATCTAATTATTTAATGAGAAAGTAAATCCCTATCAAGTTATAGAGATAGGGTTTCAGCTATTGCATCTGTCATACTTATCTGTTAAAGTAGACCAAGGCCAGAACCCAGGTTTCTTGTTTCCCACCCTGATGCCCTTTCAGCAATTCCATACTAACCCTGAGAGGAAAGGATCCTTGTAGCAATAAAATGCATTATTCTGTTGCTAACTCTTTTTTTTTTTTTTTTTTTTTTGAGACGGGGGTCTCGCTCTGTCGCCCAGGCTGGAGTGCAGTGGCGCTATCTCGGCTCACTGCAAGCTCCGCCTCCCGGGTTCACGCCATTCTCCTGCCTCAGCCTCCCGAGTAGCTGGGACTACAGGCGCCCGCCACTGCGCCCGGCTAATTTTTTGTATTTTTTTTAGTAGAGACGGGGTTTCACTGCGTTAGCCAGGATGGTCTCCATCTCCTGACCTCGTGATCCGCCCGCCTCGGCCTCCCAAAGTGCTGGGATTACAGGCGTGAGCCACCGCGCCCGGCTTGCTAACTCTTTGGACTTTGAATCTGGAGCAATGTGAGGGAAAATTGAAGTCACAGCTGAGCAGACAAATCTGACAAAATACACGCCACTGTTTTCTTCAGTGAGCCACCTACAAAGAATTTCTGATACTAACAAGTATAGCTTGAATGTCAGAATGTGGCAGGCACCCAGGGTTGTCACTCCACCAAAATAACAGAGCTGTCAACACATCTTGATTTCCTCTATAATTAGACAGATTTAGTCTATTAACCACTTGAATGCCCAATGGACAAATGGTATATTCATAAAGCAGCACCTGTAGCAAGAAATGAATTCTGAAAAAATTGCTTTTTAAAAACAAAAAAACTAGGTTTAATAGGCAGAAGGTTTCTTTCAAAAGTACTTCTAAGAGACTGCCTAGATGATAGTGGAAAAAAATTGTGAATCAATTTAAGTGAATCAAACATCAGCCAGTTCTGGAGAAAATAAGACACATGATTGAACTGATTACATGTTTGTCTAACTTGATGGTTATGAACACAACCTATTCTGTTATTCAATTCATAAGATTTTTCCCATAATTTGAATATATCTTGGTTGCATGTTTTCTGCAAAATTTATATACATTTATATCAAAATATGCAAAAGATACAAATAATCAAATAATCACAAAAAGAATCATTTGTCATATTCATTATCAGCAGTTGATATAGATGCCGCAAAGCTTTTTTCTTACATATATCCAAGAGTTACACTTTACATATCTTTTTGTAGTCCAAACATTTTGCTATCTAAATTATCTTTCTTCCATTAATTTTCCAAAAACAAGTTTAATGTCTCTATATTATGAATGAATAAAAATAAATGAACCACGTTTTTATCTTTGTAATATAGATAAGTTTTTTCAGATAAATGACTAACTTAAGAAAAAAACATCTGACATGTATAACCCATCCAATTATGGTAATTCAGTATCCTGATTGTCTAAAAAATAGGAGTAGATGAGAACACTGAACTTGATTAATTTTAGTAGGAATATTTTAATCATGAATTTCAAATAAATAACAAGATATTGGGTGAAAGGCTTTTCAATTGTGAAACAAAAGTATCCTATGCTCTTAAATCTTCCAGACTTTTTCCATGAAAGAGAGTTTAGTACTTTTGTGAAAATTAAACCAATAGTGTATGATTAGAAATAGCAGACAGAGGTACAAAGATAATGAAAATAGTGTCACTGAGAGAGATTTTAGTGTCTGTGTCTTCAGGCAGATGTGTTTTTATGTGAGATTAAAATATGTGTAACATTTATGTGACAGAAACTTTAAAGCAATTTCATTTAACTTTTGTGTTAACGTGATAGACAATTATACATTATCATTACTGTCATACAGATTAGGAAGAAACAGTTCTATAATATTAAATAAACTTCATGACAGCTGGGATCCAAATTATTGCATCTGCATATCACTCATATAGTAAGTGGAAATCAAGACAGTTTTACTTTCTCTTCTCTCTAGTGTTGGTGGAAAATATTAGCGTTATGAAGAGTTTTCATAGGGATCTCCAAAATAAGGCCTATATTGGAGACCGTTCTACATACACTTGAAAATTATATGTATTGTGGTGCTGTTGAACAGAGTATTCTACCATTAACAATTAGGTCAAGTTGGTTGCTACAATTTGTTTAAGTCTACTATCCTACTAATATTTTGTCTACTTCTTATGTCAACTACTGAGAGTGAGGTGTTGAAATCACTAATATAATTATAATTTGTTTATTTATCCTTCTAGTCCTATAAGGCTTTTGCTTCATTATAATTTATTTATTTCTCCTTCTAGTCCTTTGAGGTTTTTGCTTCATGTATTTCTTCTTCTAGTCCTGTGAGGTTTTTCTCATGTATTTGCTATTAAATGCATAAATGTTTAAGATGAATTTTGATGAATTTACCTTTTTGATGAATTTACCTCTTTATCATTTATGAAATGATTCTTTTTATTCCTGGTAATATTATTTGATCTGAAATCTACTTTTATCTGACATTAACAAACCCAGCCCATCTTTATCAGTTTAGCCTGATACAACTTTTGCCACTCTCTTTTTTAACCTATTTGTATCTAGATATTTAAAATTGTTTTTTGTAGGCAACATATAGTAGGGCCTTGCTTTTTCATTTTGAAAATCTATGCTTTTTAATTAGGTTGCTCAGATCATCTACAATTAATATATTTAATTTATATAATTGGATTTAAACCAACTGTATTGCAATTAATTTTCTGTTGTTTCTTATTTTCTGTTTGTTTGTTTGTTGTTTGTTTGAGGCAGGCTCCTGCTTTGTTGCCCAGGCTGCAGTACAGTGGTGCGATCATAGCTCACTGCAACCTCAACCTCTTGGGCTCAAGCAACCCTCCCACTTCAGACTCCTAAGTAGCTAGGACTACAGACATGCACCACCAGATAATTTTTAAATTTCATATAGAGACAGAGTCTTCCTATGTTGCCTAGGCTGGGCTTGAACTCCTGGCCTCAAGCAATCCTCCTGACTCAGCCTCCCAAAATACTGGAATTATAGGCATGCGCCACTGATTCTGGTCTCTGCCTTTTCTTGATGCCACTTTATTTTCTCTTTTTTCTGCTTTCCTTTGTGTTGAGCATTTTTTATGATTCATTTTTTTCTCCCCTGCTATCTAATTAACAACAACTTGTCCGCTATTTTGATTGCTTTAGGTTTTATAGCATGTATCTTTAACTTAACACATCCTATCTTTAACTGATAGTACTTAATGAATTCTGTAATAACTTTACAAATGAATACTTCTCTTTCTCCTTCTTGGCCCTTTGACTTGACTCTCATATATTTTACTTCCGTATATACCACAAACCACTTTAGTAGCCTCTACGGATTTCTTTTAATTTTCAAAGCTTAGCAATGGACTTTTTAAAATGTTATATTTTCTCCAGATATTTCAAGAAATTTTGCAATAGGTATTTTTATAGTACGTCTACTTTATTTCTACAAACACAAACACAAGAATTTTAAGTATATCAAAAAATAAGAAAATATGATACTCTAATCAATCCCAGTAGTCCTTGCTAAAAACACATACACAAAATGGAATTACTAAGAGGTTTTTGATGGGCAAATCCAGCTCCAATGTTCAGAAATGGTAATATGAAGTCATATATTAGATTGAGAACATACTATTTCAACAAGAAAAATTCAGACAAATGTGTTAATTTTAAAAGAACAGAACTATAGTCTTATTTATTAAACAGATAACTTAAGGAATTTCTGTATGACAGTTAAACAAGCTAATAACACAGCTTGTCCTCCCCCCCAAAAAAATGAACAAGTGAAGAAAGGAAAATCTAGGAATGAACATACATCTGTAGCACTCAAGTAACAAATAAAGAAGTAGAAAAATAGCCTTAAAACATGACCATTGAAAATTGCCATGTTAGTTATATAACAAATGTTCTAGAAAGTAGTGCAATAGCTACTCCCACCAACATTCCTTTTTCCTACTTCACAAAAACAAGGGTACAAAATTGAAAAGAAAAACTTATGAATACTTTCACTGTTTAAAGAGAGACAGAATGTGGAACAGAGAAGAGTATATAGGTCAAGATAAAATGAAAGAATGACTCATATAATGAAAGTCTTTACCCACTACTGTAATTGCCTACTAAAACTGGTAACACTTCCAATCTTCCATTTGCACCAACCTAATATTATGGATGCAATTGGTCACCCAAAGAGAAAAGGCACATAGCAATCCACATTTAATAGACTCTTTCTTTCCTGGGAATCAATAGAGTCATATTCAAATGTCAAGTTTTTGTCTATCTTTACCTTCATTTGATTGGGGCGGAAGTGAAAATAGATAATAAGGATATTTAAGTTGAGATTGAAGAAAAATGTGTGCCATTTTTTTTCTACCAGAAGTAATCCTTGAAATTTTCTTTTTCTGAATAGTTGTAGCAGTCTAAAACCAGACAATTACCTCTGCCAACGCAGTTGTATATCAAAAGCACCCAAACATGATGAATGGTACTACTTTAAATTCATGAATATTAATTTATTGAGCATTCCCTTAAGGGTGCCTGCAATAATGCCATATTGGTTTAGTTCTCTCAATTTCCACTTTCCTAGGTAACTACCTACATGTTCTTCTCTACTCTGAACTGTGCAACATCTCATCTCATTTTCATTCTTGGCTTATGACTTTTATTTTAATCTTATTTCATTGAGAAAATAGAAACAATTAGAAGACAACTTCTACATTTGCACACCATAATCCCTGTCAACATAGCAATGATGGCATCCTTACACGCTTCTTCTCCTGTTATTACTATGGATAAACTGTACTTTCTCTGATCTAAGGCAACCCTTCCATTTGATTACTAAATTCTGTCTCTGTGCATATCTTAGTCTCTTTTACTGCAATAAAAAAATACCTGAGACCGAGTAATTTGTAAACAACAGACATTTATTTCTCACAGTTCTGGAGGCTGGGAAATCCAAGATTAAAGTTTTGCCATTGGTGTCACATGGAAGTTGCTCTCTCCTCTTCCAAGATGGTGCCTTGATGCTATGTCATCATGAGGTCACCAATGCTGTGTCCTCAAATGGTGGAAGGCAGAAGGGAAAAAAGGACAAACAGTTCCCATGTACTTTTCTTATGAGATTATTAATCCCCTTCGTTAGGGCTCTGCCATCATGACTAAATCACTTATTCAAGGCTCTACCCCTTAATACTGTTGCATTGGAGATTCAGTTTCAACATACATGTTGGAAGAGGCACAAATATTCAAGACATAGCAGTGCCTAATAAAAAATTACTATCCATTCTCTTTTCAGAATCATCTATTTTTTCCCCTACTACACTCAAGAAGTGTTGTGCCTTGGAGCTGATCTAACTTGGCTTAAATTCTGGCTCTGCAACTTATTAGCAGTGTGAAATTGAACAAGTTAATTTGTTTCTCAGTTTTACCCATCTAGCTAAAGGGGAAGAAAATGATAGTGTCTACCTCATAAGTTTGTTGTCAGGACTAAATTGATTCATTCATAAATTCATAGGTCCTGGCACATTTTAAGTGCTACATATCTATTAATAGTATTTCATTAATATACAAGTTTTTGTGATATTTTCTATACAAAATATACATATAATCCACATTTTTTCACTTCTTTTAAAGAAAAAAAAAAAACTTCTTAAAAAATAGTCCACTAATGTGACCCTCCCATCTTATTACATTCTGTCCTCAACTTTTTAATTGTAAAGAAGAAAACTCCTACAGCCATTGTTAAATCTTTTCCTTTTTCCACACCGATATTTCACTCATGAAGAATTACTTTGGGCTGTATATTCAATACTCACTTCTTCAATTCCTCCCACTCTATTTCTCTTGAATCCATTCGAGTTGACTTTTTCTGGTACTATTCCACAAAAACCTATTTTTAAAGTTGATAAGAACTGTGTGTTGATAAATCTTATCATGAATTCTGAATTATCGTCTTATTTGACCTAACAGAAGCATTTAACACGGTTGCCCACACTTTCTTTTTGAAACTCTTCTCTTAACTTGCAATTTATCACTCCTGATTTTCTTTATTCTTCTTTAAACTAATCTATTATTTTTGCTTTCAGGCTGATGTTTTCTCAAATTTGTAATTTCTAAATTTTGGAGTTACTAGGACTCACCTCTTGAACCCCTTTTATACCTACGTTATCCATTCTTCTAGCTTTAATACTATCTATAGTGCTTACAACTTTCTATCTTCAGTTCAGGCTGAAGACCTGAACTCTTGACTCATTTACTCAACTGCTTCTCTCAAATCTTCTTGGGTATTTAAGAGATGTCTCAAACATAACATTTATAAAACCCAAGTCATGACACTTCCTCCCACCTTCATTCCCCAGACCTGTTCCTGTCACAGTCCTCTTAAAGCTACCACTGAATGTCTCTTTTATACAAAATATTGGGTCTTTTAGCAAATCTTGTAGGCTTAGAATCACTCACACTTTCTCCTACTGCTATAGCTAACATTGCTGTTCATCATAGTAATATTTCTCCTGTGGATTATTGCAGTGACCTCCTTTCTGATATCTTTGCTTCTCTCAATGCTCATTTGCAGACTATTCTCAATACAGCAGTCAGCGTACATTTTTAAAAACAGAATAAATCATGGCCTTCAGTTCAACACCCTCTGCTCAAGGATTAAAATTTTACTCAGAATAAAAGGTAAACTTCTTACAAGAACCTGGTAAGGCTGGGCATGTTGGCTCATGCCTGTAGTCCCAGCACTTTTGGGGGCTGAGGCAGGTGGATCACTTGAGGTCAGGAGTTCAAGACCAGCCTGGCCTGCATGACCAAACCCCATCTCTACTAAAAATACAAAAATTAGCCAGCTGTGGTGGCATGGTGTAGTTCCAGCTACTTGGGAGGCTGAGGCAGGAGTATCACTTGAATCTGGGAGGCAGAGATTGCAGTGAACAGAGACTGTGCTGCTGCACTCCAGCCTGGACAAACAAACAAACAAACCCCAGGAGTAATCCAACAAAGACCTGTGATACAGTCCTCAACTCTATCTTCAGTCTACTTCTCGCAATTCTGCTGCTTGTTCCACCTTTCCTTCCCTTTAGGTTTCTTTAATTTGTCAAGCACATTTCAGTTGCATCTTAGTATTTGGAGTTCTTTCTGCCTCCAGTAGTTGTCTGGATATCTTCATGTTTCACTTCTTCAATTTTTTTTATATTTTTGTTTAAATGTCACCTAATTAAATAGAACACCTCCACAAAACAGTAGTCTTTCCCCTCTGCCCTGCCTTCCCAATTTTCCTCTCCTCTCTATTTTTCTTCATAGAATTAATGACCTCTGGCATACTATGCATGATTTGCTTATTTTCTACACACTCACTGAAATGTAGACTCCAAAGAAACGATTTTCTTTTTACATTTTGTTTAATGTTATAATTCCATTATCTACAATAGGATACAGGTAGGTGCTCAAAAATATTAGTAGGATTAAAGATTAATAAGTGAATAATGTTCTCATTTTCTATCCCTTAAACTCAATAAATAAAGAATAAGTATAATTAACAAATAGAATCTTATTGATGTTTAAAAGAGCCTAATAATAAAAATGTAAATGTTGTAACTTAGGAGAGGAGAAAGAAAGATCAAAGATAGAAGCCGAATAATGTTACTACAACACCAAGATGGCAATGTCCTAATTCCACAATCTATGAATGTGACCTTACATGGTAAAAGGAACTTCACAAATGTGATTACACGATTCCCTAAATATTGAGAACTTTTTCTAGCAAAGGTCAAAAGAAGATATACCAATGGAAAAAGGGTCAGAGTTTCTGGCTTTGATGATGGAGGAAAGCGTTACTGCTTAAGGAATATGGGAAGTCTCTAGAAACAGGAAAGCAGCAAAATGGGTTCTCCTTTTAAAGTTAAAAAGTGACACAACCCTGTAGATACTTTTACTTTAGCCCCAAGAGACCCATCTCAGACTTCTGATCTACAGAATGACTGATAATAGATTTTTGTTGTTTGAATCTGTGTTAATTTGTTATAGCCACAGTAAATACCAATCAAATAGGATGAGATAAATTCATTAAGTAATAAACAGAAAAAAAGCAAAAATAAACATAAATTACAATGAGAAAGAAAATATAACAAATTTCATGTTAAACAATATATTGACATAATCACAAACACAGCAAAAGTTCATAGAATAATATTATTAGAGTACTTTTGAAACCTTATGAAAATCCATCTATATTACTTTCTACTAACTGTATAATTTTAATAGTGTTGATATATGCAGAAAATTAAAATAACCATATAAGTCTGGAAACTTCTTGAAATTATTCAAGAGTTTCCATAATCTGCCCCACATCAACACAGAAAACATCAAGCCTGGAGGCTTCAGTCATAAATAATATGTAGTATTCAAAGATTAGATAAATTCACTATTATTTAAACCATTCCAAACCACAGAAAAGCCTTAAAACTTATTTCAACCATAATAAAAGCAAAAATCTAAAACAAAATATTTGTCATGTTAATAAAACAAAGAAGAAAAAATATGCAATGTTAGCTGCAAAGTTATTTTTCCAAAATTTTAACCTTCTTCTTTAAGAAAGAAAAGAAGAAACTTTTAAAATCTGAATAATGTAAAATTCCTTTGAAAAGGCAAAAAAATCCAAAATAAATGTAAATGTGAAAAGCTATTACTTTACAAATGGTGATACACTATATGGCTTTTCTTTAAAGTCAGATACAAGAGATCAGTGACAAATATTGTATTATTCATTATTGATATTAAAGTATTAGGCAATACAAGTAAAATAGAAAATATGCAATTTAAAAGTTGAAAAAAATTCATACGTTCATTATTTATATATGGTAAGATTTCATAGTTGAAAGACCACCAAATCAGTTGAATGATGATTGAGAAAAATAATATGTCTAGTCACAAAAATAATTTATTTAATCAGTGGTTTGTCTATGTAGAAGCAGCTGCAAGTTAGAAAACATACTGGATAAGTAGATTACATTTTAGGCATAAATTGAAGTGATAAATATACCTAAATATAACTTTCATAAAAATGGGCTGGAAATATGTGGAGAAAAAGGTAAAATTTGTCTTAGGTGTATAAAGAAGGCTTCTTTAGCATAGGTAATTGGATATTGTTGTTCTCTTAATTTACATGATTATTCCTAAAGCAAATCCTTTCCCAGAAGAACATTAGGTAAAAGCTTACTTTAATCACAGACTCCAAATCTCCAAGACCTGAAAATGGTTTATTTGAGGATGAAAAACCTTCTGAAGGTGTTTGTGACTGAGGATTTGAGCATTACCTTGCATTAAATGTAATAGGGGATTAGTCCTTGATGCCTTTCTCAGCATACATTGTTGACAATAGCCAGTCATGCCCAGGAAAGTGAGCGCTCATATAACTGTAGTTGACCTGGCAATTTTGAGGATAACCCTCACTCAGGAAGAAGACGGGCATGCTCTCCTGCAGAGCAATTCTGCCCTAAGTAAAACATTCAGGATACACATAACTGTTGTAACTCTTGAGAAGGCTTGTGATCTCTGTGTGCTAAAAATGAAATAAAATTATAGACTCTCTTTTAATGCTAGTATTGAGGAGACAGCTAGTAAAGGTCACTGATATATTGAATAAAAGTCACAATATTCAGGAAACGTAGATTCATGCAATGTTCTAAGAATTTGAAATAATAAAGAAACTTTCAGGGTAACCTTAAAGAATTCTAATCAAAGATACTGGAGAACATGAAATGGAAAAGAACATGAGAGACCACAAAGATTAATGAATATAAAAAGAAGGTAGTATATAATGCTACCACTTAGTGGGACTGCATTTTATTAAAAATATGTAGGTAAGTTCGTTTCAGTGGGAAAAAAGGAAAAAATTACAACAATTATTTTATCGTGTCTGGCACAAATCCATGTTTCTTTAATGAGATGTGTACTTTTCTACGATTTTGTATAGAAAGGCTATTGGAAAAATTGAGAAGTGTTTTAGTTGAATTCAGCATTGTCTTAACTGGGTAAATATGTTGAATAAATATGAATTTGTTACGAGTTGAGAACAAAAATGGACAACAGAGAAAAAATATGTATTTTGTATTTGTGAGAGAGTAGATTTTGATTCTTACAAGCGATTAAGGCAGAGTGATCTCACATTTCTACTAAGCAGAGAACTCTAAATAGACTGTATCTGAGGGAAAATATATAACATACCTAAACTTAAAAAAAGAGGTTTTATTTTATTATAAATAAGGGAGAAGTAATTCTGTACCTGCATATCAATCTAAAATAGAAACTCCTGTCTCCCCCAACAACAACAAAAAATCGGTACAGATGTAAAAACCAGTAAGACTTTTAGGGGATCCAACTCTTGAGCTCTGTGATAATGAGCTTTTAACCTTAGATACTACTTAAGCATGCTAAATACATAAATACCAATATGATCTAGTGGCAATAATTGAAATAATTGAGCATAAATGTTAATAAAGTTTTCCCACACTGCCCTAAAAAGAGAAAGCGCTTGTTGTGCATTTTGGGCATAATTCTAATCTCAGGTCAGACATTGGAAAGGTTTTGATATAAGGTTGATTGTCTTGATTTTTTTAATGTATATCTTTCTTCTCAGAGAATCCATAGCTTATTACATAAAAGACTTTGTAAAAATTCTCTACATTTACATGGATTTTGTTCTGTAGTTCAACCTCTATAAACTCTCTGTTTACTTCCTAAAATTTGAAAGCTTTTGATTTATAAAACCTAAGTTACCTTTTCTTATCTTGGCAATTTTTGCAAATACTAATCAGCTACCATAGTAAGTTCAGTTAATGTTTTTGTCTACCAAACAATACAAGTGGATCACATTTTTTATTACATTTTAGCAAGTAAAACACAACAAAAGCAGCCAACGCTGCTTCTAGAGCAATTTCAGAGGCATTTTCTGTACCTAAGTGTTTATGAGAAACACTTTCCATTTAGTCAGATATTTTTTTTTTAATTTTGCTTGCAGATATAATTGTCACAGGTATTAGTCAACTAAACTCTGTTGATACTCCACACAGTCTATTCTTTTTTTTTTTTTTTTTTTTTTTTTTGACAGTCTCGCTCTGTCGCCCAGCCTGGAGTGCAGTGGCACGATCTCGGCTCACTGCAATCTCCGCCTCCCGGGTTCACGCCATTCTCCTGCCTCAGCCTCAGCTGGGACTACAGGCGCCCGCCACCACGCCTGGATAATTTTTTGTATTTTTAGTAGAGACTGGGTTTCACCATGTTAGCCATGATGGTTTCGATCTCCTGACCTTGTGATCCACCCGCCTCAGCCTCCCACAGTGCTAGGATTACAGGCCTGAGCCACCGCGCCCGGCCCACATAGTCTATTGTTTATGGCACATCCAGCAATAATCCCTAGCCTTGTTGAGTTCCAGTTTTAGTAACAGGATCTTCAATGAGCTACTTTCCCTCTTTTGCCACGCTTTCTAAATACAAGGATCTTTATTGTATAAATACATTGATTTCTGCCCATCTAGAATTATAAAATTCTATGTAATGTCCATTAAAGTTGCTTTTATATTTTTGCATCTCCTCAGAGTAGTAATTCTTTTATTGAATGCCTGAGATGATGTTTCTACATAAAACATATGTGTATTATGGCAATATTGTTCTCAACTAGGCAAGAGTGTCTTCTTAAAGATATTTGAATGATTTCAGTGTTTGGAAGTTATAATAACAAGCTTTGCTTTAAACTATAGATGGCAATTGAAATAAGTATTACATGAATCAAAAGCATCAATAAAAAATGAGAGAGGCATATATCTTCCAAATGAAGAGTAATTCAGTCCACTCAAGGATGCTTATGTTTGAATAGGGCAATAAAGCCCTTTCAACATGGCTTGTATATTAATATCATTGTTATCAGATGTAGGAATTAAATTTAAAAGTATTGATTAATGTGTAGAGAATAAGCATAATTAATGTGTTTTAATATATTTTATATCCTAATAACATAGCATAACCATTATTTTCAAGTATCTGTAAATGGCCTAGTTTATGTTCACCATTAGCCTAATCAATTATAGACATAACACCAAATCTTTTAGTAAAAACCCACTGCCAGGATTCCAAAAGTGTGGGAAGAAGGAGCTCCAAATGAAAGAAGAGTAATAATATGCTAATAAATCTTTAGCAGCCAGCTCCTTAAAACAAAACCAAGCAAAACAACCAATCAAAACAACCACCAAAAATATATACCATTAACAGATTTCCATGGTGTAAATATTTTCTTTGTGGCCAATTTCAAGCTGCCATTGGTATATCATTAAAAACGAAACTGTTAAGAGAAATGCATCATTGAGTTGTATGAGGTGGCTTCAAAACAACACTGGAAAGCTTAAACAGTGAGCAGAGAATCCCCAAAAAATGTCTACAATTAGTAGACTCCATGATGGCAGGGGAATTGACTGTCCTGACCATAGCAAGCTGCTGCTTCTCATATGTATGTGCTCAATAAATAGCTACTAAATAAATGTATGTCCCAAATGAGCAACAGTAATTCTTGAGCTCGTGAAATCACATTTAGTATACTTTATTCACTTCCGGATTATACAATTTGATAGGGATATAGACAAATAAGAAAATGCATCAGAGGATAGCGATTAAAACATGGATACATAGTAATAGTATTTCACAAAGGGAATATCTGAAACAAATAAGGTTTTGCCTATATAAATTGAAACTTTGAATTTATAGGACAACGATATTCAAATATTTGAAGTATCATTTTGAGAGACATTTGATTTTCCAATGGTATGACTTTAAAAAATAGAAATAAGTAAAAGGAGACTATACGTAGATATAATTTAGCTGACTATGAAGATGATTTTTTTAACAATTTGAAATTTTCAAAGACATAGTAAAACTCTATAGCAATTAAGGAACCCATTAGCATTGGTCCAAGAAGGAGAAGAATTTTGTTAAAAATCTTATTCTGGAAATCCAAATGCCTAGTAGAAGGTTAGACTGCATAATCCCAAAGTCTTTGGCAGTGTCTAGATTTTATGATGATGTGTAAATAAATCCCACGGCAGAGAGAAGTAGGCACTCATTCTGATCCCAAAATAAATGCTTTCTGTATGTTATTATACAATCTCCCCAAAGGTGAAACTACTCCACTGTTACGCAGATGGAGAGAAAATTCTCCACTTGTGACTCAAGGGAAGTCTGCTTAATTTGGTTTCTCAGATATCATGTTTCAACAGCATTTAGAAAAAATGAATATTATATTTATGTAATGTGAGTAGAAAACATGCCTCCTTTTAGGATTACTATATGAAAGTATTCCTTTTTGTCACAAAATAAAAATATTCTCTACCCATATACAACGGAACATATATATGTATATGAAATGTGAATAATTTTTTTTCAAGTTACTTCAAATATGTTTAGAGAGAAGAAACATATCTAAGACCAAAACTTTTATGAGTGCACCTTCACCTCATGTTTCCTAATGGGGATATATATATTTTTCCCTAGTTTATATATTATGGCATTCTTTTTTACCCTACCCTGGGAAAATGCTATGTTGCTCAGTTTTTGTTTCTCTAAGTAAAATACATTCATTGTACTGATTTTCATCTTTTTAAACATGTTTTGCCAACTAAATGATCATTTTTAAGCCTTTAATAATAACTAATTTTTTGGCAGGCATTTAATACTTTGGGCTGTCAATATTGTCACCTAAAAATGGAAGAGATTAAATTAAAAGAATCTAAGAACACTTTTATTTCTATAATCCTTATTCTCCAAGAAAATTATTGCAATACTTCTTTATAAGTGTGGTTTGAGCTGTTACTTTGTATCAAACTGTAAATTAGGCACTGGTGACAGAAAGGAATAAACCCTGAGGCACAGGGATTGGTAAACAGGCATAAACATCTAAAGCGTTGTTAAAACATATGCTCACCTGTGCTCAAGTTACAGTGTGGGTACAAGGGCACAGTGATTTGCTCCATCAAGAGGACGGCATAGAGGGGATGCATTACAGGGAAAGTAATATTTGAGTAGTTTATGAAAGAGGAGTAAAAGTCACAAAAGGCTCACCATTTGTTGCCTTTTAAAACAAATCAATATACTTAATGCATATATAGAAGGCATAGTTATATAAATACTTCATATGGTTCCACCTTACATGTTTAAATTATTTACAATACCCTTAAGGGTCATTTACTTTCAAAAGGATAAATAAATATGAAGATATCTGAAGATCATATAGTAGTTCATATAAGTATTCTTGTGGTAGTTCTTCTAAATCTAGAATTTCACTAAATTGTAGGACTAATTACCTCCACTCCAATCAAGTATAATATAATTTTTGCAGGGGCTATCAGTTATCAAATATGCCTAAGAAAATCATGTAAAGAAAAATGTCCAAAGATTACCAAATTCAAGGTCTTTGTCTATGAATAGAGAAACCTGAAAGTGATAAAAATATCCTAGGATTAAAAAGTAGTGTTCACAACTTGTCTAGTTGAAGCTAAAAAACATCTACCTCATCTTAGTTTACTTGAGCTTCCACCTTTATTAAAACGTCAGGACAACTTCCTTCCAAAAATATATTCCCTTCCCTGTTCAGTCCATGTTTCTTTGCACCGCCAGCCTTTCTATCAGTTCTGCTGATATTACTTTGTCAAGAAAACTGCTATATGTCGGTGCATCTCCAATTTCTGTTTCAGGACTTCTACTCTAACACATACCAACACACCCTCAGGTCATCTCCTCCTTCTCATAACTTCAGTTATGAGGTGAGAAATTGGAACTCTAAGCCATACTTTCCTGTCTACATCTTCTTTTCAATCTGTCACATAGTCAAAGATTTCACAAAACATCATATTCTTCCCCACAAAGTGCTCATCTTCATTCCTTTTTTTTTTTTTTTTTGAGACTGAGTCTCACTCTGTCGCCCAGGCTGGAGTACAGGGTCACGATCTCAGCTCACTGCAACCTCCACCTCCCAGGTTCAAGCGATTCTCCTGCCTCAGCCTCCTGAGTAGCTGGGACTACAGGCGTGCACCACCACACCAGGCTAATTTTTGTATTTTTAGTAGAGACGGGGTTTCACCATGTTGGCCAGTCTGGTCTCGAACTCCTGACCTAAAGTTATCCCCCTGCCTCAGCCTCCCAAAGTGTTGGGATCACAGGAGTGAGGCACCACACCCAGACGATTTATTTTTTATATCAGAAAAGAGTGCATGCATGTAATATACATCAAGGTGTAAGGGCAATATTCTTATCTTTTCTCAAATCCTCAACCTCTTATATCCCCAATCTACTTTCAAAGTAGATATTGTTTTCATGTTTAGTGCCCTCCATCTCCACAGACCACCCATGAGTCCAGGCCACAGTGTTCTTTGAGTGTTGTAGAATCCTCCAGGTGTGTATCATGGTCATACTAATCAGTCTCTTACTGCTCTCATACCTACTGTTCTGCCTGCAAAAAAAGTACTTAAAAAATACTTATACCTCACTTCTGCTTAATTCAACATTCTAGTATTTGTGCTTCCACTTTCAGCTTTCCCGAGCCATGCCACTTCCCAAACTATAATTATTTTGACTTTAGCATTCTTCACTTTTACTTTGAAGCACTTAAAAAACCTGTAATTTTTTATTTAATAAATATATTTTCTCTAAAGTGTACCTGAACCTGAAACATCCTATAAGAGTTATGCTAAGTTTTAAAGTAGACAGATAATCATTTCTATATAAACATGATGCCTTATACATCTCATATTTTAAATATGCAAAATTTTATATACATATATATATATATATATATATATATATATAATTATAATGTTTCTAGAGACCAAGGGAAAATTTCCTCTTTGCCCTCTGAAAGTTTGCTGAAAATTACTGAGAAGAAGCAGATTAATAGGAGAAAAGGCATGCCAATTTATATATCACCATTTTACATTACATGAAAGCCTTCTGAATGAGGACCTTAAGATACAGGAAAAAAAATGTTCATTTTTATGCTTAGGTTCAAAAAGTATGAACAGCCAAGTAGAAAGACAATTGGACAAAAAGGTTATGATTTAATGCTAAAAGACTGTTGGAATCTGCCTGACCTGTCCAGATTCCTCTTGGCCTCTCTGTGAAGCATTCCTTCTTTTTTGGTGTGCGACATCTATCTCTGGAATGTGGGTGTTCTGACATACCGTCAAAAAAGGTAAGTCAGATCATTTCTTTATGGCAGTTTTTAACAAAAAGGAGTGGAAAAAGTTAGAGTAATTTTAAACATTTAATCCTGGCTTCTTGGAAAAAGGGTTCTGGTTTCTCTGACCCACTTTGGTTAAGAGAAATTCTAGTTTCTATGGCTATCCTCGAGGGAAACTGAGAGGCCAGAGATAGCAGGACAGGAGAAAGTCAGAGAGAGTTGCTTCTGAGGCCTTCATTCTGGAGTATCATTTTCTGAGATCCTTCATATCATATGTATATTATTTACATATATAATTAGCATGTTTATTTTTTCTCTTCAAAGTATATGAGAATCATTCTATTAGAACATATGCAAAAATATTTAGATTTTTTCTGTATACTGCAAGTGACTTGAATGATGAGAGAGAGAGAGAGAGAGATACGAAGTGGGGGACCAGGGAGGGAGGTAGTAAGAAGGAAAGGAGACAGTCTTTGCAATTTTTAATTTTCAGAAAAAAATAACAGTAGTAAAAATGAAAATTTTATATGTCAGAGAACTGCTGTGATGATACCATGCTGAAGTGTTAGTTTTACTTGTTAGAACAGTTTAAATCAGTCTCACAGCAATAATGGTTAAAACATAGTTGCTTGTAACAGCCTCCTAGCAGAAATTCACATGTGAGATGACACATTATCTTCCCCAGAAATTTGTCTTCAACCCAACAAATTTCAGCTGTTTAATGAATGATATTTAATATATATTGATCCAAAATGGACATCTCAGAGAATAATGGAGTGAAGAAGTAACGCAATAATAATAGATGACTCAAAACCAAGAAACACTTTTTAACTGAAATATTGAATGATAGAGATAAGGTTTTTTTATTCGCTAAAACTAGCCAGAAGTTATTAATTCTTAATTCCCTTGGAAATAGAAAAGGCTGGATATTCATCCACAGAGAAAAATGTTTGTGGATTTGGTACCTGAATTAGCTGTTTGAAGCCTAATACATGATAGGCACACTAGACATTTCTTAGTACCTTCTGGACTTAAGTAATTAATATACCTTTCCGAAATCCTAAGTATGCTCTTAAAGAATAGGCTTTTTTCAGTCTAACATTTGCAAAAGAAATATTAAAAACATAATTTCTAGCTTCTAGAAATTTTAAATTTGAATATAGCCATATGTGTAATATCCTCTCACATTTTTTTCTCTTTTTTAATTTATAATTTTTCTTTAAAATATCTATGAGCAAATTGAAAGCCAAAAGAGAGAAAAGTGGAAGATGGAAGGTAAGGTGGCTTGTAATGAATAAATCTTATTAATCATATCTACCAGATTATGTTATATCTCTTTTAGCATGAGTATTTACATGGCAATGAACTATACCATCGGGTTCATTCTAGGATCCTTTGCTTGGTATTTGACATGAAGCTGTTAGGGAGATAGAAATGCGAAAAGATGACAAAAGTTTTCTATAACATTACATATATCGTCAACTTGAAACTAAGAATTTTACAGGGGAAAAATATCTCAGAACTCCAGTGCTAAATCATTTTGAATTAGAGTGTAATTTTGCCATACAAAAAATACAACTTCAGCATAAAATCTCCATGCACATAGGTCTTATGCAGCTATATAGAAATCCAATACAAATTTGGCCGGGCGCGGTGGCTCACGCCTGTAATCCCAACACTCTGGGAGGCAGAGGCGGGCAGATCACAAGGTCAGAGATCGAGACCATCCTGGCTAACACGGTGAAACCCCGTCTCTACTAAAAATACAAAAAATTAGCCAGGCGTGGCAGCGTGCGCCTGTAGTCCCAGCTACTCAGGAGGCTGAGGCAGGAAGATGGCCTGAACCCGGGAGGCGGAGCTTGCAGTGAGCCGACATCTCGCCCCTGCACTCCAGGTTGGGAGACAAAAGCCAGACTCTGTCTCAAAAAAAAAAAAAAGAAATCCAATACAAATTTAAAATTTAAAATTATACAATTTTAGTGAAAATCAGATGAATAATTCAATTATAACGAGATAGATGATGCTGTTTTGGTAAAGCTAACTTGCACCTCAAAATGTGAATAATATTCAGACAACCACTACAGTATGTGTACCTATCTACACACAATCAGTTTTGCTGTAATGCTAGTTATAAAATTGCAGATTTGTTCCAAAGTGAATGATTTATTAGGGAACGACTTAAGCATAACACAAATACTGTGCTTGCTTATGAATGGTATCTTCCATGAGAAAGTACATGAATGCGGAAAACTGCAACTGAGTGAACTGAGTTCAGTAGGAATACACAAAACACACACACTTCAAACATCTCCCAGCCTCCTCAGTCCATCTCATTTGATGTGAGCCACACCCATTCATATCTAGTGTGACAACTTTTCACGGGATTTCAGATAACCCTCTAAATTCACAAATACAACTGTGACTCCAGTGAGTACTTGACTAAAAAATAATTAACATAATGATTAAAATCACTTAATCACTACCTTAGTTATTAATTTTTTTAGATTGTCTTCCAAATTTAAAAGCAATAGAAAAATTCCCCAAATTCTCAAATTTGACAAGCCATTGTCTTGCAGACACTAAAGTGACCTGGATTTCAGAAACACTCCATTGCATTTCCAAAGCATGACTTAGTACCAAAAGAAGCAAACCATCCATATGATTCTAACTGCATTTTCAGATTAACCATGTACATAGAGCTATAAATGACGTCTCCTTCTCCAAATCTCCTCCTTGTCAGCCCCACAATTAGAAACATCACTAACTTCCTAGTCTTAGATAGACTCATTTTATCTGGCTCATCTAAGTCCTTTATTTGAGCTGTGGTCATTATATCTTTTTTAAAAAAATTCTTCTTTATAAGCCCTCCTTTCTTCTACTTATGAATCTGATAAGTAGCAATATGCCTCAGGGGTTTGGACACTTCTGCAGTGTGTGGTGCTATATATAATCTGGACTCCTGTGATTGAACAGGTTTATAAACTCAAAAGTTCCTCAGCACTTTCAGGCAAAAATACTTACGCTTGAAAGTAATTGGTGCAATTTTGTTCACCTCAAGTAGCCCAGAGGTACTTGGTGCTTATGAGAATAGTTTATGTTTTACCAGAAGATAACCTGTCCAGGGAGGAGTGACACAATCAGAACAGAAGGAAATTGTTTGTTTATTTGTTTGTTTGTTTGTTTTTTCTACGATAATTTGAACGGATTGGGAAAAAGCCCAATGCAATAGTCTGAGAAAAGTATTTCCTTAGGAATCAAGAAATAAGATCACCAGGTTAAAAGTTTAGATCAAAAAACGAGATGGAAGGCACCATCTCGTGTTGTTTCGAGCCCTGTAGCACAATGACAATGGCTGCAATGGAGATTAAAAGTATAAAGATATATTTTCAATAATACTGTCAATATGCTGCTAGAAATTCTCCCAATAATAGTTGTTTAAAAGTCCCTAATATTCCCATGTGCAAATGCAGTTGTTTCTAAGATGATTTAATTGGCATTAGGTACTAAACCTATAAGTCAATGTCACTCAGGGTAGAAGAGGTAAATAAACATCCATTTTAAAACATAGCTTTCAAGCCAGATAATTACTTAAAACATTTCTGTAAACAGACATTAATCAAAGAAAAAAAAAGTTCCATAAAAATCTATTCCTGAAATAGGGGTTTGATATCTAATTTTAGGTTCCTTTTCAGTATTCTTTACCACAGAAAATTCAATCTTATCTATAACAAAGTGATGCAATGTTTAAATAATTATAACAGAAAACTAGAAATTTTTATTTTTAATTCCTAAAATAAATTGTACAATGTCCAAATAAATTATTTGTGACAACTTAATAATATAAAAAGCAATTGTGATGGAAGTTATTAAATAGTAATGGATGGTACCTAAGCATGGCAATAATAGCACTCATCACAGGTCACTACTACAGCAAATTATCAGAAAGAGACTTAAATAGGACCAGACACCTAAATCACTCAATTTACCACCCATCAGCCTGTAGCAGGAAGATTTTCATCACAAATTCCTATGAAGTAAGCCAACCATAACTTATTTTTCTTTGGCCCATACAGACTTAGGCATCAAAGTATACTATAGTGTTGTTTCGTGGAGCCTCATAGCATAGGCCTGGGACAAATAAACTCTAAAATACAAATATTAAGATATTTCGCCCATCAGAAAACATACATATATTTTCATTTCCAAAAGATATTGGGGCTGGGTGCGGTGGCTCACTCCTGTAATCCCAGTGATTTGGGAGGCCAAGGTGGGTGGATCACCTGAGTTGAGGTCAGGAGTTCAAGACCAGCCTGGTCAACATGGTGAAACTCCATCTCTACTAAAAATATAAAAATCAGTTAGGCATAGGAACGCATGCCTGTAGTCCCAGCTACTCAGGAGGGTGAGGCAAGTGAATCGCTTGAACCTGGGAGACAGAGGTTGCAGTGAGCCAAGATTGTGCCACTGCACTCCAGCCTGGGCAACAGAGAAAGACTCCATTACTATGGACTTTTTCAAAGCAAAAGATAATAGAAGGTCAAAGGGTGAGAAGTACTTTTTGTTTTACCAAAATAATATATGCATGTGTGCGTATACAATTGCATGTCTTGCTTGATCTGCACAGCAATAGCTGTGACAGAGCCGGGTCTCACCTGTGTTTATATTCACATTCCCTTGTCTCTCTTATTAATCATTTTTCTTCTTTCTTCTCATGTTAATTAGTAATGATTTAAATATCTATTTAAAAAGGTAACCGTGTGCATGCATGTGTAGGTGTGTGTGCGTGTGTGTGTGTGTTTTAGAGACAGGGTCTTGCTCTGTTACCCAGGCTGGAGTGCAGTGTAACATTATGTTTTACACATTATTTTAAAAACTGTTTACTTCCAAGTGTAATGTTTTCAACCATGGAAAGCCAATTCTATATTTTGTATCATTTTAGATTGTTATAGTTCAGTACGTAAGGAAGCCTCAATCAAGGAGTTTAATTAATGTGTCGCTAGTTACAGTGAAGACTGTGGTGCTGATTAGGAGTTCACAACTAGTATTAGGTAAAAGGTGAATTCAGGTTGAATCAGAGGAGACTCCACAAACAATGAGAATGCTGGGGAAAAGAGGGAACATGATTCTTTATGCTGTTCATTACTCTCAGGATATCCCAGCACTGAAGCTGTGCTGGCGGCTTCAGTGATCAGAAAATGTTAAACTTATTAGAAGTCAAGCAGAAGCAATAGCACAGCTTTAATCAAAATGCCTAGCTTGCATGGGATCTGGCAGTAAATTTCAACAGGGTCTTATCAAACATGTTGTCACTGTCAAATTATTCTGTAGCCACTTCGCATTCACTTCAGCTTTTCTTGGAAGCAGAGTAGCATGGATTCCAATAAAACCAGCCCAGGCCTCTTGTTCAGAATGACTGTCAAGGTGAGCTGGGAAGGTAAAAATAATTCTCTCTCCCTCTCTCTCTCTCACACACACACACACACACACACATACACACACACAGCTGAGGGCCTCCTCCTGGTTTGAAGTAGTCATAGTAACATGTCAGGCAATTCACAGTGTCCATGTGTAGATAGAGAAGAAAAAAAATCACACTGTGAAACAGAAAGCGAGACAGGTCATTGAATTTTTGAGGGTGATGTATAATACAACAACAAAAACAAACAAACAAAACAGAGCCTTGTAGTTAAATGGGATCTTGGACATTATCTGAGTTTACTTTAATTTTATGGAAATAAATTTAAGCCTCTGGAAGGTTAGATGACATCTCTAATGTCACAGAGGCACCAAGAGTTGTTTTAATTTCTAATAATTCTCAGTATGTGACTCAATGAAAGGAAGTCTTAGGTTCAAACTTTTAAACAGATTGATCTGATACCTATATAATAATAACACTAAAGAGATTTTGTAACAAGCTTCTTGTCATTAACAAACATACTAGTGCTTCCTGTTAAATTTTATTAATGTATTGGAAAACAAAACAAATTTTAGTTCTTTCCACGTGGAAGCATGTAGAATTCATTTTTGAAGAAATGTTTAATTTAAAGAAAATTTTAAAGTTAATTGGAGCCCAAGGTAAAAAAGAATAAGAAAAATGTGTAATTTTTATGAGTTTAATTTTCAATACAATCTTTTCAAATGTAACATAGATTACCTGAAGTCTGACTACTTAAAATATTGGAAAATATAGATATCTTTTTTTCAAAAAAAAAGAAGTAATTGCTAATTTGTATTTGAAGCTGAATGGATACTGCAGTTTTTTATTTAACTTATCTTTGTATTTTGATTTCTAGACATTTTAATGAAATTTCTAATAGAAAGAATGTAACCAGAACTAAATTATGTTTTTTTAAATGACATATTGTATACCTAACTTTCATTTTCTCATTCAGATGTCAAATTTATTGATTTTACATTGCCTTCTACTTATGTTGTTAAAATTCTAGTTTTGACCAACTACGGTTGTGATGTTTTACTCAGATTCTTTTTACTTTTATATTATTTACAATTATATCCAAAATAATGTCATGTGCAAACCTAATGGTAACCTTGTCATTATTAGTTACTTTTGTATTTGCCACTATTTAACTCCTTATTTGAAGCAATAGCAGTAATCATATTCCTTGTATACAGTCATACAATAAATATGGTACACACTGATGTCTAAGTCATAATTGATATGGAGCATTGATTCTTAAAGAACAAGATAAAGCTTAACAAAAAGTGAGTTCTGCAGATAACTGTAACTAAGAAAAGAAAGAATAAAAATATTTTGCACAAAATAGCACAAACAGTAGTAAAATTAAAAATACAAAGGATCAGGAGAAAATAGAATCATGAATTCCCGGGAAGGAATTAAGGGTAAAGCATCATAAGTGGAGAAATCAGCCAATAGATAAATCACCTAAGTTGTGGTTACAGATAGACATTCATACTGGATTTAGAAAAGATAGTTTGTAATACCAGTCAGAATAATTTGAGAGAAAAAGAAAGATGGAAATTGTATTGTAAAGAATGCCAAAAGGAATCAAAGTCAAAAATGAATACATATGTATGAGTGCATGTATATGTAAATATTTTAAAATCTACATCTAGAATTTTCAGCCATTTTATCAACACTACCTTCTCTGCTTCCTCCAAATTTATTGAGACCCAATGTCTTATTGAAACTGATCAGTTAACTGATGGTGGCAGTAACTTCACTCTTGAAGTGATTACATTTACTGTTTCATTAAAGTTGAAATGTGGAACATAGTCTCACATTTTTCATAAGGTGATCTGGCTACTCTTTTAATGCTCTGCTTTCCCTTCCGTTTGCTTCTTACTAGTAATGGTGCTTTTGGGAGGGCAAATGTGGACTATTGGCATAGCTTCAGAGTTCCTGAACCACACAGGCTCTGTCTCCTATTATCAGGTAGATAATAGAAGTTACTGGTACCATCACCTGCACCAAGTCAGGTCTCCATCCACATCACCACACACAACAAATGTCCTACTAGAACTAATCATATCTGACAGATGTTTAAAGAAAATTAATTTAATCAAGAAACTGATATTTTGGTTAAATCAATCACTTTTAATTTTTTTAACCCTTCTGGGAAAGGGGTTTTATAGCAAAGAAGCTGTCAGGCCTTGTTAATCCACAATTAGTCCCTCTACATACCTCCAAGTCTGGCTCTAAAAGGTCCTTAAATGCAAAGTACTGGAAAACAGTGCATAAGAATTTAATATTTCACTGAAAGTTCAAAATTAGCTTAGCTGAATATTTACAAACATATCAGTGTTGAACTATAAGTTTTCCTTACTATGTATAGCAAAAACAAATAAATATCTGGATGTTCGTTGAGTGTCACTATGAAAAACTGGCAGCAAACAAAAATTTTAGAGACATTAGATAGCCAAAAGATTAGATGTAAAAAGGTTGTTAAAAAAAAAATGTGAAATGATACTGTCAAGGCTGTCTCCCCAGATTCTTTTTTTATCAAATTCATTTTGTTACCGACAGCACCAAAAAGAAAGGCATATTTCTAGTCTCTCTGAATCAGGACTGTGTATTTAGTTGGATCATATGTTACCTGTCAAACTACAAACCTGTTCAATTGTGATCTAAAGCTTCACATAGAAATTCTATCAAGGAGTCATCTAATAACACAGTCTTTATTTGAAATAGGCTTTCAGGACCTGGCCTCAAACTAACTCAGTTACAAATATACAGAAGCCTGTTTCTGCCGTGAAAATCAAGTCCATTGTTGTTGTTCAGTAACTTCTGAATCCCTTCACTGAAGCTCTACCACCAGTTTTTAATACAAAATTTATCTGTCTTCTTTTGAATCCATGAATTATTTCAGATTCAGTGCACAGTAAACAATCCACAAATGAAACCAGCTTTTTATATTTAAGCCATAGTTCCAGTTACTTGTGTGAAATCTTTCAGAATTATTTTATGAAGAGGGCTCAAAAATATTTGTATTTTCTGTTTGTAAATGGTCTAAGAGTCACTCATTTTAACCATACAAAGGCAAAGAAAATTTGATTTCCATGTCCTTTTTAATGTCTACAAATTTGTACATGTATAGCATTGTTCTCAGTGCTATTCTAAATGCTTAATATTTAAATATATTACAGTTTCATTATAATATATTTTCATTTGAACCAAATTCCTTGTGAAGATATGGGAAATTCAAAATCCTTTAACTAAGAAGCAAGCTCGTTATCACCTGAATCAAATTCCTTGTGAAGATATGGGAAATTCAAAAACCTTTAACTAAGAAGGAAGCTTGTTACCACTTGAATTCTTGTGGGGCTGTGATCAATGCTGGTCATTATAGAACTAATGATGATGGATCAATTGATGGTAGCATTTCTGAGAAAACACAAACCTTGGCAAAAGAATGTATTATGGGCAGTCACTTTTTCACTCACCCAGGCAATGTAGTGTAAAGACAGTATAAAACTCATAGGGAATAAAAGACAGATGCTACCCAGGTCTACAGAGAGGAGCTTCTAGATTAGAAAACTCCCACTTAGAAAATACTATCTGACTTAATCTGGTTTGTTTACAGAATGTGATAACCGTTATATTGAAACATTTAAAAAAATCTAATTTAATTGAGAATTATTTTATTTATTTACATAGACCATAAAATATACTAAGTATTTTTTTCACTACTGTTTATGAGAATTAAAAGGCTAAAAAGATGTTATGCAATTTGTATAAAATTATAGAATTAATAAGGGGTATAGTTGTGATTTGAACCCAGATTTATGTGGCCTTAGAGTAAATTGTTTTCCAGCTATGACAATGGAATAGCCTCATATAGTTAGTTAAACAGAATACTTGGGTAATGAAATGTTTCTGCAGTGTATATAATGGCAAATCAATAATTGGAAAGGCTCAGAAAATTGCTAAAAATATGTTCAAATCACATGCACAAGCCCTAGTGAATAGATGAGAATTACATAAACAGTATATGCATTTATTGTTTGAACTCATAAAATGGGCTTATAAGAAAAACCTTTTAGATAATCAATTCAATTTGTGAATTCATGTAACCAAAACACTTTTCTTGAACTCTAACAGAATGAAGACTTATAAACCTGATTAGTCATTTTCAGCAGGTAAAAATCTTACATTCATGGGGCACCTAGATTCCAAAGGCCAAACATCAAAATGGCACTAGGTATATAATAAGTTCAATACAAAAAATATATTAATTTAAAGGCTTTTTAAAACTATATTACTTTATACTTAAGTCCATTCTTAATATACAGTTTGAAAAGAATATGCTAACAACATCACAACAATTTAGTCTGCTTTTTAAAAAAATTTTACTTTAGTCTATGTATCTTGCTATATTAGTAGGACAATTACACATAAATTATTTTGATCCTGATTCTACTACTTATTCTTTCATTTTTTTCTGGTTTTTATTTAATTATGATAGAAAATAGATAAGCTTTTGAGATGAAAAAAAAGATGTCTGACACCTTTTCCTAAAAATATGTTTGTCGCTGCATTGGCTTTTCATCTCAGCAGACAGACAAAGTAAGCACGTGGGTCAGTGAATGCCTTGAATGCTATGGCATGAATACAGCAAAACCAAATGTAAAATAAATAGCTCCTGCCAAAATGCAAAAGACTCTCTTTTTTTAATGAATCTAATTTTTCAGTAGTAAGTATTGAGTACGTCCACTCCTTGCCGTCCATCACAGATTGCCAATCATACATGAGCTTTTCTCTTATCTCCAAAGTTTCCAGAATCTAGACTTTAAATCCTTCTCAGGCTCAACTTCTTTAAAATAGTTTCCCAAAAGCAGGAGAGAGAGTAGGAGAAACTGTGAGAATTAGGGAAGGATAAAGAAAAGATAAAAAATGTAAGGCTAAAAGCTACAAGCTATAGGACCTAGGGATGTTGACAAAGGAGTAGACAACATCGACTGATATATGCCAAAAACTTTCAGACAGAAACCCCAAACACTCTGTCCTCTCACTGTGTAAAACTGATATATTTTCAGATGGATGTGTTTTGGAATTAGCCTAAATAATTAAGGCTAAAATGACCAACTATTCCTGTACAATTGATTTTTAAAAGCTGGTACTGGTAAATGCTAAGAAAAAAGCAGTGAACAAGCAAAGAGGAAGTTAGTTCAATTTAGAGGCATCCTTATATTCTCACCATTAATCATGATCTTAAGACTTGTTATTTTTATTTCCTCTGAGAGAATTTGAATATTCCAGGTAAGCTAGAAAACTTTTCTTGGCTTTGCCAATAAGTGACAGGGAATCACTCAGAATCTTCTTTGAAATAGGACAAAATATACACATGTAAATAAATAGTAATTAGCTCAGGATTTATCTATTTAAATAAAAAAATATAGATTGGCAATCTTACTGATGTTAAATATGAAAATCCACCAATTGTTTTAAGGCTTGTCTAATGTTTAAGGCTCTGGAAGGGGCTTGCTATTTATTCAGTAGAAAAAAAAAGTGTTAGGGAAATTATCCAAGTAAAATTAGAGACATATATAAATAGCCACACAGTATCACTAGTTCCCATGGTGATTTTTATGTTAATTTATATAACCTGCTTTGATGATCAGCCTTTAAAATTGGGGAAAAAGAATAAAAAACATCAACAATCTTTATTACCCATAAAAAAGATCCCTATATTTACATTCTAGAATCATGTAAAACACTGTGAAAATACATCCTGGTTTCCCTAGAACATACAAAAGTTGATTAATTTTCTTCCTGTTTTTTCCAGCAGTGGAATGATCAGGTACTAAACTGCTTAATTTCATAAATTCACTGAAATTTTCATTTGCTTTTAAGATCTTGATAATTAGTTCTAATATTTAACAAGTCTGTGATTTCTTGGTCATTTTTTCTGAATATTTTATAGTATATTTATAATAACTTTTTAATGACATTCTACAATGAGGATTCCTGTGATATAAAATATGTATTGCTTATAAACACTTTAAGAAAAAATAAAACTACTTACATGTGGATAAGCTGATATTGTGTTCTGTGTTCTAATCCTAAAGTTACTATTCCTACAGTTACACTTATAATCCATAAATATTGTTTCCAATCTTAGAGTATAAACAGAAAATGCTCATATTTTTTCTTCTTAAAATTTAATGTTACACTAATCTTTAATCGTGAATAACAGAACGTGAGTGAAACTTTTGTCAAAAACTAAGAGAAAATCAATATCTAAACTTGAATCAAAAGGTACTAAAAATGTCATGTTCTTTTACTCAGCAATTTGCTTTCTGAAAATACATCATAAGTAATTATTAATTTACATAAACAGGCCACTTTTAATAATAAAAATATTCAGTACAGAATTATTTATATCAGTAAAAAACTGAAGATTAAATAAATATATAATTAATGGGAAATGATTTAGTAAATTATAGAGTAGCCATCAGAGAGAAATTTAGGTTTGTTAAGTTTTTGTTAAAAACATAACACGAATGATGTTTAATATCACTAAATAATAAAAAAGTATACATGTGAACAAACACTAACAAAAATATTAAAAGAATAATTTTTCAAGAGAGGTGGGATGGCACTAATCTTCAGCACATAAATATGAATTTGTTATTACTGTGTATGGTTTTGAGAATGAAAACTGATAAAGCTGTACTTTAGTATGATTTAAGTGGTAGATATCATTGTTAGCATGTTATGTATAATGTAAATAACTCATCATCTGTATGCCAAATAACAAATTTACAATTATGGATTCACTCTGGAGTTGGGTTAAGTCCTTGTCAGACCAGAATGTAATTATTTTAATCCATTATATTCTTAGGAGATAATTAACATTTTCATGAAAATTACATATTTGACAAACTTCTGCCTTCCAGTTTTGATTTTGCAACTCCAGTTTCATAAATTTCCACGTTTTATGTCAAATCAATAATACTAGAAAAGAACATTCACTGCATGTCTTACAAAGGTTCAACTGTTTCTGCTTCTGCATCTTTTCTGTATATAGCAAAGCTATAGCACAGGTTATATAATTATAGAAGTGGCATTTATAACTGCAGGCTTTCAGTGTTGTGTAATCATATCATGCAGTGTGATATACTAAATGTAAGGTTAGAATAGGGAGACAGGCTATACTTACAGTCAAAAAGAGGCCATCAACCTAGAAGAAAAAAACAGTGACTATAGCATGAATTATGACACATCAGACTGTGTGAGGTATGTTCTTTCAACCACAACCATTAATAGCTTGTGAAACTACCATTAAAGGAATCATGTCAAAATGGTAATATTTATCAAGTGCAGGCAGATTCATATGGTATTTGTCCAATTTGGAACAATGCTACTGGAATTTCATTGACTGTTGTGAACCATAAAGGCTTTAGCCACACTTCTTCCCATAACCGCTGTTTAATATGTTACTTCACTATTTTGTCGAGATGAGTGCAGAATATTATTAAGAACCCCGAATTCTAAGTCACATTTGGGTCCTACTTTGCCATGTAAACTTGAACATGACATTTAACCTATCAAGACTTCAATTTTTAATCTAAGAAACAAGTTTTTAAAAGATAGTTATAGCATCTTTTAATAGATCTTTTTTGTTATTATTATTATTTGAGACGGAGTCTCGCTCTGTCACCCAGGCTGGAATGCAGTGGTGCCATCTTGGCTCACTGCAAGCTCCACCTCCCAGGTTCACGCCATTCTCCTGCCTCAGCCTCCCGAGCAGCTGGGACTACAGGTGCCCGCCACCACGCCTGGCTAAATTTTTTCTATTTTTTTAGTAGAGACGGGGATTCACCATGTTAGCCAGATGGTCTCGATCTCCTGACCTCGTGATCCGCCCTCCTCCGCCTCCCAAAGTGCTGGGATTACAGGCGTGAGCCACCACGCACGGCCAATAGATCATTTTTAAACTAAGATACCTCTTGGTTTTCACAGCTTGTAGCAGCATTCCCCTAACTTTATTTTTTTGTTGTTGTTTTCCTTTTTAGGAAAACAAAAGAGAAACACTTGTATTTGTTTCCCTTTTGTTAACAACTATCTCCAAAATAAAAATAAAGAAAGGAAGAAATATCAGAAGTGTTGTGTATGGGATTCACGTGAATCTTTAAGGTATGGTAAGAACAAAAGTAAAGGGGCAAAAATAAAATGATATGGCAATCAAGACTTAGGAATTTTACACTGTCTATGAGAATTCAAGTTCGTAGGAATTCTAGTCACATCCCAAAGCAGAAAAGAATTAAGAAAAATGAACACTAATATATTGCAAAGTAAACAATAATTGCCCTTCATTCAGCAGAGCCAATACCATTGTGTCAACTGTGTAATAAATTCAGACCTTCTAGGTTAAAACTAGTCATTCTTTACCTATCAAATGAAGATAATTTATCAGTCTTTCCAGGAGGAGGAAAATTATTCCCGTTTTGTACAACAATAAGCACACCTCTCACTTCTACTCCCAGAACTGTTTGTTTGAAAGGATTAGTTCCCTGAAGAAAACCCGGGATTTCTTCAGACAGTAAGTATCCACCTAGTGTTGGGGATAGCTGAGAACGTAGCAGGAAGAATAATGATCTCCCTCAAAAAATGCCGACGCCCAAAAGCTCCAGATCCTGTGCATGTGTTAGGTTACGTGACAAGGGACAATTAAGAATTTAAAAGGTTTCAGATCGAATTGTTTGCTAATTAACTAGCCTTAAAATAAAATAGATTATTCTGGATCATCCAGATAGATACAATGCAATCACAATGGTTCCTTAAATGCAAAATAGGGAAGCAGAAGAGAGTCAGAGTGTGGGATGTGAAGAAAACTTGGTTGGCTATTTGCATCCAGAAAGACATGTAGCCCTGCTGATATCTTGATTTTAGTTGATTCATACCAGTTTTGGACTTCTGATATTCAGAACAGTACAATAATAAATACCTATTGCTTTAAGCCACTATGCTTGTGTTAATTTGTTACAGCGGGTATAAGAAATTGATACCAAAGACTTAAAGCCTCTAGGAAAAAACCTGCTTATGTAGTACAAATTCACAGAAGCAACTGTTTCCCCGATGTATTTCTTCAGCAAAGACTAATCCCGCTGAAGCTAAACTTTTCCCCCGCAGTTGGTCAAATTGATAAACTAAAGATTGACACAGATATAGACTTGACTAACGTTTTCTAATTAGACACCTAATGTTGATTATCATAATTAAAATTCTATTTGCAAAGAACTAGTCCTATGTCTAAACTAAATTGGAACTATAATATTCTACAACTCTTTTCCCATATATGCACTCGATGGATTTTATTGAAGTCTCACCTATTCCCTGACTCTGATACATGTGAATAATAATAGAACTTAAAATGAAATCGGAATTAAAATAAGGTTAAGAATTTATTTTTCCGTGATATGCACTGTTGCATTCTTAGAACTTAGGACGCTGTTATCCTTTTAATGCATGGCATAAAGGAAGGCAGGTCAAATGTAGGGCACGTAAAAGACAATGTTTCTGTTTTTACTGCATGTAAGTATATGTAAAAAGAGTTAGGAATAAGAATTAAAACAACAGTGAGTATTTGATTGTAACATAAAGGAAGAAAAGTTATCGACTCTAGTAAGCCTTAATTTTTATATGTGTGTGTGTGAGAGAGAGAGAGACAGGGAGAGAGAGCGAAAGAGAGACAATATTTAATTGCTCTTGTTAAATACTATATACAATAATATGCATTATTCTTATTTTTCAATTGAGCCTCCACTTTTAAGCCTGTAAAAGCCTTGAAGAAAGATAAGCTATGACAAGATATAACTAAACTCTTAAGCACAAATACTCTAACAGATGCCATATAAATATGAAGACTAAGAAAGTACAGACAACTATAATGAAATATACAGTAAAGAAAATTCTGTAGGAAAACTACAGGCAAACTAAATTCAAAGAAATGAAATAATGAAAACCATTGTAAGATGTTTTATAGAATCTGATTCTCCCATCTTATAGTGTTTTATAAATATTTTTAGATGGAAAGAAGGAATGAAAGAAGTTATCATTTTACAGGTGAATAACTTGCCCAAGGTAGTATAGTCAAATTAACCTTAAATAACAAGATGCAGAAAATATAATTAAGGCCGGGAGCGATGGCTCAGGCCTGTAATCCCAGCCTTTGGGAGGCCAAGGAGGGCGCATCAGCTTGGTCGGGAGTTCAAGACCAGCCTGGCCAACATGGCAAAACATCGGCTCTACTAAAAATTCAAAAATTAGCTGGACGTGGTGGCCAGTGTCTGTAATCCCAGCTACTCAGGAGGCTGAGGCAGGAAAATCACTTGAACCCAGGAGGCAGAGATTGCAGTGAGCCGAGATCACACCACTGCACTCCAGCCAGGGCGACAGAGTGAGACTCCGTCTCAAAAAAAAGAAAGAAAATATAAAAATATAATTAAGTATAGAGCTTATTTGCCCACAAAGCTTGAGGACAGCTATCTGGAAGACAGCAACTCCAAATCAATGGGGTCAGTGCTCCGAAGTGGAAACGTTAAAGTTTCACTTTTACAGGCAGAAATACAGAAGTTTTACTGGTATTGCAGCATTTTCCATAGAAGACAAGTGCGCATATTACAGTGATTTGATTGGTTACAGATTGCTACATTCTGAGGAAGATGATTACTCTATTAAAAGGTGTAATGACCTAAAGGAGTCTTATCTCTGGAAATACTTGGTCTTCTTAACTATTTACAGAGAAAACAAACAAAAAGGCAGAAGCTGCAGCTGCATGCACAGGACTCAGACCACATAGCCACATTCCTCTGAAGGCTTAGAGTAATTTAAGGTTTTAAGAGCTTTGAGTTTCAGTTGTTTAACTTCATATTTCCCCTTTTTCATCAAGATCTTTCAAAGAAACCATCATAGATGAACTCAAATGATTTTGACTCATTTTATGTTCAAGAGTTTAGTCCGCTATCACCAGGAAGGCTTATTCCTAGAGTATCATGTGCCACAGCAGAGATGCATTTTAAGGCTATAAAGCTGATGGGCTATAGCCAAATTTAAAGCAACATGAAGGAAATGATTTTGTGGTTTCAGTCAGGCAACATGGCTTCATCTTCAATTAATACAATTTTTGAGCAACCATTATTTTAGTTTTGTTTTCGGTTGTGTATTGACTCCATTGCAAACAAATATCACAGCAGCAGTAAAGACAAAAACAGGACAAGACACAAGTGCTTTCTCCAGTGAGTGCCAGTGTCTACCACTAAGTCCCCCAAGATTCAAACCAGCTGCCTAGCCATTCGTTTAGAGAGGAGATAGGATCTGAAAGTTTAGTTATTTGGGTTTTCATATTAGCTATTAATAAAGTGATGTTTTCTGATTCATCTGGGATATAGAAACAACACTCAGCTTTTACTATACTGCAGGTCCTCACTTGGGCTGCAGTGAGAATGTCTAAAGCCATGCAGTTCTGTAATACTGCATTTCTCATAACAGCAACTTCATTACTTAAGAACTAGATATTCATGGAGATATCATTTAAGGCCTTTTTTGTATGTAATTCATTATGGCTTCTACATGCTGAATGACTTCTTCCATCCTTAGCTGTGGCAGAAAGATGGAAGCTAAATCATCACACCAATACAATACAGAACTAACCCGACGAGATTGTAAATGAGGAAAATATGCAGGCTTTGAGAGGGTTTTAACTATCTGACTTTGTGCTCAGTCATAACCCAAAGAACAAGGGTCTAGTCTAGCAGTAAACATGACCATAGACAAGACATTCAATTCAGAGCTAGCCAATAAATATCTGGTTGCAGTGACCATTGAGTGGCTTGCCAATTATTATGTGGATACACTATTCCTTGGATATCCAACCCATATTTCTAGTGCTCTTGGGGCACGTATCTTTTGTGTGATTGTTTTGTTTCCAACATAAAAATGCAAGCTGACTAAGCTAAACAAAGAGGAAGTAAACCAGACAAAAACCATTCCAAATTTATGCCATACATCCCGTAATTGAGTTGTCTTATCTTTCACTTGGGGCAGTGCCAGCATTAAGGCTAAAATGTTTATTTTATTTACCAAAAAGTAGTTCTTTTCATGTCCTTTACTTTGTAAAGTTTTATTAATAGGCCAGTAATGTACATTATACTTACTCTTACTAGTATTAAGCACTAATGATTGTTCTTGAAAACACAAATATATATATTTCCTTTCTAAGGACAAGATTTTGTCCTTGGAAAGAAGATCATTGGAAAGAGCATGAGACCACATACACAATAAGTGTTTTTCTATAATCTATTAGCATAGTCCTGAGCTCATTGCAAGAAGATGTTTTCTTCATGGTCAGCAGCTAATGATAGTAGCAACAAAACATAAGAACTAGGGATGAAAAAAAATTTAGTGGTAACTTGCAAAGAAAGACATTTTCCATCTATGAATGATTACCAATATTCATTGGTAATCAATGGACTGGTCTGGTATCTTGGGAAAGCTATCACAGATGTCTTTTTCTCATTCTTGCTGGTTTTGACAAATTTCAATTTTAGATCACTGGTATGAGATGAAGTCCAAATTGGCAAAGCAGTTGTCTTTAAATTCGTGATATGAATCCAGAAATTGATTTTTTTCTTTCTTTTTTTTTTTTTTGCTTAGCAGCACGGGGGTTGGTTAGGAACACCTGATAAGGTCCTTTCTACCTTGGTTGAAGAGAATCTTTTAAAAGATATCATTTCTAATAGACAAAACCTCCTGGTTGAATTCTGTGGTACTTGAGATTTCATATCATGGGCACTCACCATGGAAAGAGTCTTCTGAAATACAGTTTTGTGTTAGCTGCCTCATAAGGCTGCTGCAATAATACAACATATTCCCTTTTAATATCATAGATTGACAATTTTCTGGAGACAGTTGTATAGGTGTGCTTGTTAGGATTTCAAATGAAGACAGTTGGTATTTACAAAAAGGGGTTGATCTTAGGTCAAATGAAACAAATGGAAGAGCTTGCAGCCAAGGAATTTTTAAAACCTCAGTTAATTTTGCCAATTAAGTTTTGATGATTCTGTTTGTGCATTCCACTAACAGAATGATAGTGACTGGGCATGACAGGCACACTGGAAATGTTGGAGAATAGGCCAAATTTTACATACTGACTGCATTATTTGTCCAGTAAAATGAGTGACTCTGTCACTATGAAGTACTAAGGGAACTCCACAAGTTGCAATAATTCTTCTAAGAGAATTTTACTTACTGCTAAGGCTGTTTCTCTTCTACATAGAAGTGCTTCTACTCAATGAGAAAGCATACAAGTCATCATTAGAACGTACTTGTATTCTTGTGATAGTGGTAGCCAAATAAAATTTAGTGGTCATCCCTTGAAAGGGCCTTCTGGTAAAGAAAAATTACCTTGAGAACTGTGTAAAGTTTATCTTGGATTATGTTTTATGGAGATATAGCAACATCTTATGAACAACCACTGGAGAATGTTCCTATTAATATCGTTTTCCCCCAACAAACCATCTTTCTGGGGCCCCACTGGGTTTAATCATGGAAATATATAACTTGAGAAAGATGACTGTAATTTGGTTGGAAGTGTAATAAACTGTTTGGTCCATACCATATCTCAGTTGTGGAGGAATACATCCGCCCTTTTGTTTCCCAATTTTCTTGTTCTGTTTTTGGAACTTTTGATTGTGTTAATTGTTGGAATTTTTGAAATTATTGTATCAAAATCAAGTGCTTTCTAAAAAGATAAAATGGGTTGGTTTTCTTGTTCTAATACATTAAGGGCACTCTTTTTGCTGTACTATCTTCTAATTAATTTCCCTTGCTTTTTGGAGTGTCTGACTTTGAATGGCTTGGGATCTTGATAATATCTAATGATTTGGTTAATAGTATGGCTTCCAATAATTCCAGTAATTCTGCAACAATGTATTCATTTTTATGGACTGACTACAATAAGTTAAAAATTCTATTTATTTCCAAAGCATTTCAGAGTCATGAACTACCCAAAAACTGTATCTGCTATGTGTATAAATATGAGAAGTTACTCTTTTTAAAAATTTGCAGGCTCCAACTAATGCTATTAATTTTGCTCGTTGAGTTCTGGTCAATCCTGAAAGATAAGAATGTTCTATTTCTTCGGTCAAGGATGCTATAGCATAACCTGAGTGATAAATTTCACATTTGTCCTTTAAGTAAAATCCATCTATATACCAAGTAACATCAGAATTAGCAAGGGAGGCTTCTTACAGGTTTATTCTAGGAGAGAGAAGCTGGTTGGTTAAGATTATACAATTATATGGCATTTCTCCTGAAGGCAGGGACAGAAGAGTGACAGAATTTAGATTATTTCATCTGGAGATAGTAAAATGGGGAGCAGAAGGAAGAACATCATAAGAAACTAGTTTACTAACTGAATAAGTTTGAGTGTGGTACAAGTTTAGAAGCACTTCCACAGAATGCAGACTAAAATAGTGATGAGAGATCCTATCATTTGGTTGCTCTTATTAACAGGGAAGTAGCAGTTATTGCTGTTATAAAAGGTGACAGTCCTTTAGACACAAGATCCCAGTGTTCATTATAGTACCCTACGGGTCTATTTTGATCAGAATGTTTTTGATTCAAAATGTCCAAGGCATTTCCATGAATTCCATGAACAATCAATGAAAATGAAACATGATTTCAATGTTGTATTAGTCAGGGTTCTCTGAAGGGACAGAACTAATTGGATCTATACATATAAAAGGGAGTTTATTAGGTAGTATCAACTCACATGATCACAAGGTCCCACAATAGGCCCTCTGCAAGCTGAGGGGCAAGGAAACCAGTCAGAGTCCCAAAGCAGAAGAAACTGGAGTCCAATGTTCAAGGGCAGGAAGCATCCAAAGTGGGAGAAATATGTAGGCTCAGCGGCTAAGCCAGTCTAGCCTTTTCACATTTTTCTGCCTGCTTTTATATTCTAGCTGCACTGGCAGCTGACTAGATGGTTCCTACCCAGGTTAAGGTTGGGTCTACCTTTCCGAGCCCACTGACTCAAAGGTTAATCTCCTTTGGCAACACCTTCCCATACATACCCAGGATCAATACTTTACATCCTTCAATCCAATCAAGTTGACACTCAGTATTAACCATCACAAGTCCTTGTCAACTTGAACCCATACACCTCACCTGAGATCATGCATAACCTTCAAATAAAAACAGTAATAAGGTCATAATTACACCTAACATAATACAACTATCCTTCGTACAACCAGAAATGCACCAATCCCCAAAACAAATGCTATTACATAAAGTTAACAATACTTAAATGCCGATATGAAGTCAATAAATCTTATGTCACATAATAAAGGAAAAAGGAAATAAAATGAAGATATTTTCTTAGTGAAAGTGTACACATGTACAAACTTTTTTTTTTAACAGAAGAAGGAGAAAATACTGATGACAATTATAGTCCTCTTTTCTGTAACTGGTCACATAGCTGGTATTGATGACTAACTTCTTCTGCTACGCATTCTGTATTTTCTTTGCCTTCAGCAAGCACCTCAGCAGGTCATGGTTTCTTTCCTGGTGCAGCGACCCAAACCTTCATTTCTGAAGGGTCTGGAACACTTGTAGTCCTACTTGGATTGGGCTGTTGTAGTTTCCCACTGACCTTAATTACAGGGCATGGTAATACTAAAAGATGACCTAATGGATCTCCTGTATACCATGCAAACTCTTCCTTACCTCTGTTGTGGAGTCATAGACTGATTTCCTCTTGATAGTCTGGGTAAATCAACCCAGCCAACACTTTAACTCACTTCTTACCATATTGACTAATAATAATTCAAATTAGTGCTTTGTCCATTCGACCTGAAAGTTTTCTGCTTATATAAATTAAGTAGGAATGCAGTAGGCTTCCTATTAATTTCACTTCTAGGAACAGCATGGTTAATTAGCCAATGCCAGATAGCCACATGACTCAGACTATTCTGATTGCTGCTTTTCCTCTGCTGTCCATTATGGTAGCTTTGACCACCTTGCCTTTGATGGTTGAGTGCTGCCACTTGGCCCCTGCCACTTCAGGGTCCAATGATTCCCCTTGTATTTAAATTTTGTAATTGAGTGACTGTGGTTCCCACTGTTAGATCTGACATACAGAGAAGAGCTATTAAAGGTTCTTCAAGGATGCAGGTGCTGCCCTCACAAATCTATTTTGCAAGCATTGGTCAAGGGTATATGTTCTGGACCCTCCCAGCTGTGATGTGCAGGTCTAAAGTGATGAATGCACTCCACCATCTCAATCTCCCTAAGCCTGTGGATCCCTTCCTCTACATTACCCCAAGGGAGATCAGGCATTTTTAGCTTCCTCACAGTGGGCCATCTTTTAATCCATATTTCAGCTAACGAAGCAAATTAACTATTAGAACTTTTTAAAACTCCCTGAGCTGCAACATTAAATGCAGAATCCCTACTTAATGGGACCAAATCAATGTTCTTTCCACCATTATCCACCCTCAATATCCATTTCCATGCCTCTTCTCCAGATTTCTGCCTATAAAAATCATAAAACTCAAGCAGTTCTTTTTGAGTGTAGTGTACCTCCTCATGGGTCACACTCTCAACCTCATCTCTAGGGACCCACCAGAACTTTCATCTAGTTATAGGCCTAGAAGCAAACAGGGTATTGGGGGTAGCTCCTGAGGAGAAGCAACATTATCTTGCCTGGCAACTGCATTAGGGGAGGCCATCACTGTTGCCTCAAGCAGCACAGGGTTTATTTCCTCAGACAGAGGTGAAAAGGGTGATGTCAGTGTGGGTCATGGAGGGGATGTTGCCACTACTGGGGATAGGGAAGCTCTTTTTACTAACAAAAAAGATTTATCAGAGTTTACAAGCTCAGTGTCCCCAGCTCAATCATAGTCCTCCCAAATGTCCCCAATCCAAGTTGCAGGGTCCTATTCTTTTCCAATCACTGCCCTCACTTTCCAGTAGACATATGGCAAGGCTGTACATGCACCTTTCATTGCAGGTCAGCCACTTGCATAAGAGCTTGTATCTGTTTTTCAGCCCTTTCTCTATAGGAGATAAGGAGAATTCTCTACAGGAGAATTTCAGCCCCTTCTCTAAAGGAGATAAGACTCTGACTCAGCGCGTTCTTAGAAGATTTGAGGCGCAGTATCTGCTTCTGAAACCAGGAGGAGTTAATGACCTTGATTTCATCACTTTCTTTCATAACTTTGTCCACTGAACTTAGGAGTAACCAACTACCTTCATTATTTTCTTTGGTTCTCCACATATAGTCAAAGGTATTATGTATAGAGTCCCTAAAGACTTTGCCTCTTACGAATGGTGAATCGGGAGTGTCATATGCACTCATTTTGCATAACTCTCTAGACAGTTTATTTTAAGGACTATCAGTGTTCTCCATACTACTAGAAGTAGAGTTCTTACCATTTTTGGGTCTAATCATATTAAGCAGCCAACTCCAGAAACCCCAAAACCAACAAAAGAACTTTATCTTTAATATTTTTTTCCTCCAGAGCTACTCCTGGTACCCAAACCTGTATTAGTCAGGGTTCTTTAGAGCGAGAGAACTAACAGGATGTATGTATATATAAAATTGGAGTTTATTAAGTAGTATCAACTCACACAATTACAAAGCCTCACAACAGGCCACCTGCAAGCTGAGGGGCAAGGAAGCCAGTCCGAGTCCCAAAGCTGAGGAATTTGGAGTCCAGTGTTTGAGGGCAGGAAGCACCCAGCATGAGAGGAAGATGTAGGCTGGGAGGCCAAACCAGTATAGCCTAGTCACATTTTTCTGCCTGCTTTTATATTATAGCCTGATTATTCTATTATAATCAACTGTGTTGGCAGCTGATTAGATGGTGCCCACCCAGATTAAGGGTGAGTCTACCTCTCCCAGCCCACTTAATGAAATGTTAGTCCCCTTTGGCAACACCCTCACAGACACACCCAAGATCAATACTCTGCATCCTTCAATCAAGTTGACACTCAGTATTAACCATCACAGATGTCCTTATGGCTGGGGCATCTACAAGATTCTTTCTAATTTTTTCTAAAGTATCTGATTTTCCTCTGTCCATTTCAAGGTTCCTGGCTCATGTTTTTTTAAAAGAGTATATGAAATTTGCATTTTTAAGGAAAAGTTTCTGCAGTATTCTGACAAACCCCCAAATCTTCTCAGTTGTTTCTTAGTTTGGGGGGTAGGGAAGTACAATATTCCTCTTATTTCATCAAGATTGATTAAAAAAAAGGCTTCCTTTGATGTTAGGTGATGTAAATATCTTTCTTTTGACAGAATTGAAATTTTCTCTTTTGAGACCTTGTGTACCTTTCAAGCTAATCATAATAAATGAATTGTATCCTCTGTGGAGGCTTGCTTATCCACTGAGAAGAGAAGCACATCACCTACATACTGCATCAAGGTAGATTTATTAGGGAACTTGACACTTGAAAGGTCTCCTTTTAATATTTGTGAAAAATAAATTGTGCTCTCACCATATGCCTGAGGCATAACCGTCCATATGTACTGCTTATCTTCCCAAGTGAAGGCAAAGAGAAATTGACTATGTTTATTCCCAGGAATGCTAAAGATTTTACTACATAGGTCTATCATGATAAAGAACACATCTTTATTTTGGATGGCAGTCAACAACGTGTGGGGTTTGGTACTACTGAATGTTGAGGAATGACTATGTTATTAATTGCTCTCAGAGCCTGTACAAATCTCCATTCTCTACCATTTGGTTACATGGGCTTGTACAACTAATAATTAAGTTTCTTTCTATATCATCCAAAATTTTAGGTCTTATCACTTCTGAAGCCTCTGATATTACAGGGTATTATTTAAGGTCTAGAAGGTGATTTGATAGATTCATTTGAATTTTAATTGATGCAGCCAATATATTTCCTCAGTATGAGTGGAGGAATTTAACTACAATTGATCAGGTACTATTTTTAACAGCTCTTATAATTCTTAATTATTTAACGATTTAATTTCCCTCTATGACAATATGAATTGCAATCTGTAAACTAAAAGGAACATATTTTGAAAACATTTTGTATGTACTGAACCTAGCTTTTTTTTTTAAAAAAAAAAAGGATAAAAAAGAAAAACATTTTGGACCTAATGATTCTATTTTATCTTCAAATTCTAAAAATATTTCCCTCTTTTGAGAGAAAGGAATGTAATTCTTATATAGTACTAGAAGGTCTTTCACTATCAAATAAATGGGGGCAATCTGGAGAGGATGCTGGAGAGGATACGGAGAAATAGAAATGTTTTCATACTGTTCGTGGGAGTGTAAATTAATTCAACCATTATAGAAGACACTGTGGCAATTCCTCAAGGATCTGGAACCAGAAATACCATTTGGCCCAGCAATCCCATTACTGGGTATATACCCGAAGGATTATAAATCATGCTACTATAAAGACACATGCACACGTATGTTTATTGCAGCACTGTTCACAATAACAAAAACTTGGAATCAACCCAAATGCCCATCAATGATTGACTTGATAAAGAAAACGTGGCACATATACACCATGGAATACTATGCAGCCATAAAAAAGGATGAGTTCATGTCCTTTGCAGGGACATGGATGAAGCTGGAAACCATCATTCGCAGCAAACTCACACAGGAACAGAAAACCAAGCACTGCATGTTCTCACTCATAAGTGGGAGTTAAACAATGAGAACACATGGACACAGGGAGGGGAACATCACACACCAGGGCCTGTTGGGGGTGAGGGGCTAGGGTAGGGATAGCATTAGGAGAAATAACTAAGGTAGATGACGAGTTGATGGGTGCAGCAAACCACCATGGCATGTGTATACATATGTAACAAACCTGCACGTTCTGCACGTGTACCCCAGAACCGAAAATATAATAACAGTAATAATAAAAATGATAAATGGGGGCTGAGGAAACCAAGAGGAAAACGTGCTCCATATAGGAGGCCTAACTGGAACACTGTAGGTTTTTATTTATATACTAATATAGAAGTATTTTGTTATATAAATCACTTATATTATTATTAATTATTTTATTCCAAGAAATGGGACCTTGTAAAAATGTATTTCTAGTGTTAAAAAAAAATCTAAGCAATATTCAGACCTATAACCAGCAAAATAATACTCTCCTTAACTCAAATTTTATAAATAGATTACATAAAGAATCTCTCCTTAAAAAGGAAGGCTCAGTTTCAGAAGTATGATTAGCCATAATTCAGACTTTGTTTTTGAATTATTAAAATAAACTAGTGAAAAGTGTTTTCGATTGTATGTGCCACTTGTGGAAATAACTCATCAAGGTGTCATCCTTGAGTCAGTTCTTTCCGTTTAACACTTATAATATCACTAGTAGTTTAGCTCAGTGTCATTATCGTCTTGTGTTTTTTTTCCTTATTTAATTAATTTTAATTTCACCTAAGGTATTAGTGAAGAGAAAAGAGGAGATACCTTTGATTTCCTCAGAGCATTCCTATTTTAATTTTTTCTTTGGCTTGTAGATGTTATTTTTATTTTAATTTCATACAATCATCTCATACAGGTTTGCAGTAACTGCAAAGTGGTAGATTGGGTTGGTTTTGGAACATATTAGGTTGTTGAAGACTTATATATTGAACAATTGTTTTATTCATAAATTCATAATCTTTTTTACTTTTCCTGTGTGTTTAATTTCCCTTTCCCTTTCTTCCTTGATTAGGTTATAACATTTGACTGGCAAAATTAACTACATTATGAGTTTGACAGGTAGCCCAACTAGGGTATTGCCTCTTTATTATAATTGCCAATTCTTTATGTAGTCTACTTATAAACTTCAAGTTAAGGATAGTATTATTTTGCTGGTTATAGGTCTGAATGTTGTTTAGATGTTTTTTCAAATATTTCACAGTGTGTCTTGACAGGCTCATTAAGATTTTGTTGGCATTATTGCATTTGTTCCAAACAATGACTCTTTGGAAAACTAAGGAGACAGCCTCTAGTAAAGCTTTGGCAGAACTGCAAGCCTCTTCACAATCCACTTCAGAAAACTTGTGGAAGCTTTCTAGAGGATTTCTCCAATTTACCTTTGTTATCCAATCTTTGGTTTTACTTTCTGACACAAACATGTAAACCAAATATAAATCAGTGAGTCCAGGGTCATAAGTTTGAATGTTTAATGTGAATTCTCTAGCAAATCCAATAGGGTTTTAAAGAGGAACTGGGAAATTTTTAATTATGTCTTTAAATTCTACTTTTCATCATGATTGATAAACCAAGTCAGGTTCTCCTCTACCAGGCACAGGATTTTACCCAAATGGACCTGGATTAGCAGAAAAAGGCAGATGAGGAGGAGAAAGAAGGAGATAAGTCCAGAAAAGAACATTCTGACAAAAGAGAAAAAAGAGCTGAAGAAGGAGGAGAAATTACAGCAGTCTTTTTCAATTCAGAAATTGTTTTAGATAATCTTTTGTTTCCCTTTTGCAAATAAATGACTTTATCAGAATCCCTTTTAGAGGTTTCTATGCACTACTTAAAATAGCTCTCCCAGGAATTTTATTTTATTTTAGAGCCAGTTTTTTTTTGTTTTTTTGTTTTTTGTTTTTTTTGATTGAGCACGCAGATAAACTTCTTTAGGTTTATTTCAAAGGTACTCCATTTTGACCATTGTAATTTGGGGCCATCATAAGTTATGTGACACCATTTTAAAAAATATTTTCATGTAGAGGGACTATGGTGTTAAACATGAATCCTTTTGGTGTTTCTAGTGCTATATCTCTCCTTAAGGAGGAAGACTCAGTTTTAGAAGTATGGTTGTCCATAGTTTAGACTTTTCTTTTGAATGACCAAAATGAACTAATTGGAGGTGTTTTGGATTGTGTGTACCACTTGTGGAAATAGCTTCTCAAGGTGTCACTCTTGAGTCTATTCTTCCCTTTTAACATGTCTTGTTGGTCCCAAGAGACTGGGTACCTAAGGCACTAGGTGATCAACCTTTATGTGTGCCCACCAAGTTAAGCAAGATTCCTTGTAAGTTCTTCTTAAGATGTTCTTTGTGAGATTGTTTCATATCACAAGTGATAAACTTTAACACACCTATAAGATCTTAGTTGTCTGCAATGCCTTTTGGCCAGGAGAAATGGTATCTCTTATCTTCTAGATTTATCTCATACTTATAGAGAGCCTTTTACAAATTTGTTTGCTTAGGAAGAAACATTCGATTTGTCAATTGAACCAAGCTTCAGAATCTGTCTAGTTTTAAAGATTACAAATTTTTAATTTAAGCAACAAAGATTTACTTCCTTGTTTCAAAGATAAATTGTTTCTCCCCCGACCAGACTTTCAAATGGGAGAAAAGACTGAAGACTCTAAGGAGTAATTTGAAACAAAACCTTAACCTCATAGAAAAGCAAAAATCACAAATCCACAATTATCAAAATCTCTGAAGAATAACAAATGAAATTCCTACCTTGTAGTACAGCTTAAATTCCAACCTCATTGAGTTTCAGATGTGTGCTGCTTGAATAAAATCTGTGTCTCAACCAAAGCAGGAGATGTGAACCTGAGAAGGGTCTTACCAGAGATCCCCACTGACTCTAGCAAGGTCAGATGAACAAAGTCATTCATGCTGGTACCAGAGCTTCTATTGTCAGCAAAGTGATGAACATCACTGGAGGTCCATTTCCAGTCTTTCAGTGGTTGCCAAAATGTCCATCTTAAATGACATGCAGAAAATATGATTTGGTATAGCATTTATTTGAGCACAAAACGTAAGGATATCCACCTGGGAAACAACTCTAAATAAAAGAGGTCAGCATTCTGAAGGAGAAAAGTTAAGGTTTCACTTATGTAGGCAGAAACAAAGAAGTTTTAGCGGATTACAACATTTTTTCATACCCAGACCAGTGCATATTTTACAGTGATTTGATTGGTTACAGATTGCTACATTCTAAAGATTATTACTTTATTACTCCATAAGGAGGAATAGTGATAGAGAGGGTGTGTCTTATATCTGGTCCTGCTTGGTATTCCTAATTATTTACAGAAAAAAAAAAAAAAACAAAAAAAAAAACAAGGCAGGAGTTGTAGCAGCATGCCATGTGACAGATAACCACATTCGTTTCAAGGCTCAGAATAATTTAAAGTTCCAACAATTTTAAGTTTGAGTTATTTAATTGCATAGTAACAAGATATATATCAGAGATTTGGTCCCAGTCTTTTGATACCAAGCCAAGTTAATTTTCTGATGCACTGTATACAGTGATGACTAGAACTATTAGTGGGAGACTGTATTTGGCAATCTTATAGGAGTTTAGGAAAATTAATTACTTGGAAATTCTGGACTTCCAAGTACAAATAAAATTAGATCTGTTTATTCATATTAAGCAGTTCTGAAGTTTTTTCTATCCAAGCAGGATTTAGGCATATAGAAAAAACTCTTTCAGTACATACTGAAAAGTATACCCAAATAAATTGTAGCATACTCTTTTGAATCAGCTAATTATAGCAAAAAAAAAAAATTCTTCTCTTCATGTCCCATTTCATTTGTCCATAAATTTAAGTAGTAAGATGCTCTTTCTTTTCTTTTTGTTGAGATGGGTTCTCACTGTTTCATCCAGGCTGGAGTGCAGTGGTGTGATCACAGATCATGGCAACCTCCACCTCCCCAGGCTCAAAAGGTCTTCCCACCTCAGTCTCCCCAGTAGCTGGACTACAGGTGTGTGCCACCATGCCCAGCTAATTTTTGCATGTTTTATAGAGACAGGGTTTTACCATGTTGCCTATGCTGGTCTTGAACTCCTTGGCTCTGTGATCCACCCACCTCAGCCTCCTAAAGTGCTAGAATTATAGGCGTGAGCCACTGTACCTGGCCAAGATGCATTTTCTTACATCTAAATCTTGCCCTTTTCTGCTTGGTCACTTTTGGATATTCAGAATGTCTGCTCAGTGCTCTTTAGTAAGTAAAGGATCCTTTGACCTTTTCAATTTAGATTGATTAAGATGGTCTCATTGCCTAAATACCTTACTTAATGATTATATTTTTGACTCTAGTTATTTGGACTACTTGAAGAAGTACTTTCTCTTCAAGTAACCTCTTCTAAATTACAATAATGTTTTGGAAATTTTAAACATGATTCAGAAGAGTATTTTTTATTTTCAAATCCAGAGAGATATAGGGCTACTAAGTAAAATTTTTTTCTCAATAAGTTATAAAGAAAAAAAATTCAATTTAACAATACTCTGCCAAATAAGTTTGCTTTAATAATAATAATTCTGTTTTGTAGTACTGTGAAATTAAAATATTCTCAGTTGGCTAAATTAAAAAAAAAATTGAAGAACAACTTTTATAAATTAGACCATAATTTATATGTCTATATTATCTCCCAAATCTGGAATCTTAAAGAAAGTTCATCATATTCTCTGAGATGCTTCATTTGAAATGTTCTTGTGTTTTTGTTGACTCAGATTTAGAATTTTAGACAAACATGGGGAAAATACCAAACCTCCTGAGAATTTGGTATTTATCTTGCTCTTTTATTGTTTCACTTGAATTCTCCTCCATTTAACCCTACTCAGTTGAATGATTTTTAGCTTTCTGGTTTTCAAAAAATTACTTTACTCAAGATTTTCTCTAAAATGCTAGGGTTGTAGCCGAACTCAGTTTTGGCTGCCAGCTGCTCAAAAAGCCAGGCATAAGAAACGAGAGTTGGTGGAAAGAAAGCAGGTTTTTTTCAAATATCAGCAGCTGGAAGACTCAAGTCTCAAAAAAAAAAAAAATCTCAGACTTTCAGGCTGGTTACAGGAATTTAAGGGAGAAGGTGGCATGGAAGCTACATGCAAAGTAGCATGGAAGCTACATACAGGAGTAGTGTGCAGGGTGCAGGTCTGCTTGTCATTTTCCAATGGTTATCTTGAATAGTGGACTCTCTGGAGGTCTACTCAGCATCATTCAGGTGGGGTCAGGTTGTGGATTAACCATGCACTCATTTCTTCTCAAACAAGAGAAAATTGTAATCACCATCTCTACTTCATGCTTGGATTGTTTAAAGATTAGCCTTTGGAATTTCTAAGGAAACAGGTATTTAGATATATGTGTAACAAGAAACAAGCAAGGGATGTGTTACTTTCTTAAAAAAAGCAGGCTAGATGACTGGCTGTACTGATTCCAGACTCCCCTCTGTCAATGTCCATTCCATTTCTATGGGATACGGGGGCATAGACTTCATTCGGACTGCTTCCTGCTGACAGAGGGCCTAGTTAGGGAGCTAAAGAATGCAATTTATTTACCTGGAGTTGGAAATAATCATGAGGTCTTGGACCCATAGAAGCAATGTGTTGAATCATTGCATGAGGATTTAATAGTCTTTGAGAAAAGCAGTCTTGCAACTCATGCATATTGTCCAGAAAGAGTACAATCCACAGCAAAGAAGAATGCCTATTCTTATAATCATAGCAAGGGTTACTGATAATTTTCTCCACCAGGAGGGTCCTGGCCCAAACCAGGAAGATAACCATTGACATAGTGACATCATAAGGTTGGACATTAATTCACTTATGCATGTCTTGGAGGGCTAGGGAAACATTTTGTGAATTAGCTAGAATATACATGTGCAAGAGTGGTGTAGAGTGCAGATCTGCTTGTTACTCTTCAAAGCCTATCTTGAGTAATGGACCATCTGGAAGCTTAGTTGGTGTGATTATGGCAGGATCAGGTTATGAATTAACTGCACATCAATTTCTTCTTAGAAGAAAGAAAATTGTAACCACCATTTCACTTCATGCCTGGATTGTTTCAAGATTAGCCTTTAGAATTCCTAAGGAGACAGGTAGTTAGATGTATGTGTAAGAAGAAATAGAGCAATGGGTACTTACTTTGTTCTTAAGGTAAGCTAACAAGCTGGCTCTGCCAGTTACAGGATTGCTATTATAAATCTATGTTTGGCCTTTATTTCTTTGTAATAAAATCTTGCTTCCTTGTATCCTCTGAACATAAACCTAGAAAATTTACCTCTTTATACCAAAAGAATATAAACAAAGAATAGGACTATTTCATTTCATTTGGCTTTAAGATCTTTCGAATCAATGCAACAATTAGGTGTATCTTCTATCCTACTGTAGGAGCCAAGGGAAAACATTCCCTTTGACCTCTGAAGGTTCTGAAAATAAACTGATGAAAGAAAGATTAATAGGAGAAGTGAAGTGGCATACAAATTTATTAATGTGCATGGGAGACTTTACGAAGATTTAAAAGAAATGGCTGTAGGAGTTGATGATTTTATAATATCTTCAGGTTACAGAATTGAATGGGGGCTTGGAGAATGGACAAAAACACGTTACTGTAGTAAATTAGGTTATAGTGGCATGGCAGGTTAGGAGAAGGAGAGAAGTAGAGGCCTGGGGAGCAAAGGCAGTCTTGTTATACAGATGAAACCTCACAAGTAGCAGCCCACAGAAAGAATGGATGGTAAGTGTTTCTTTGAGACCTTAAAGGTGTCAATTTCTCAATTTATCTTTTCTAGACCAGAACAAGGAAAGGCCCACAGAGAAAGCCAAGCTGCATCAAGGCAAATTTTCTCTACAAATGCAGATCTCCTCCATAAAAGATAGCTTTTTAGATATTCTAACATTTCCAGCTTTTCCGAATAACCATCTTGAAATATGTCGAAGAAGTATGTTTTGGAGTGAAAGAATTTGGTTTCCTTCAATATATCAAAACCATCTCTAAAATTATATCCACATGAGGACCATAATTTAATCAACGGGGCAATAGACTCAGCAGTTACACAAAAAAATAGAAGGAAATTTGCCTTTTTAAGAAAAGATAAACTTGCTTGAACATGTATAAGATTTTTGAAGGAAAGTGCCATCTGACTCTCATTTTTACTAAAGAGAAATGTTTACCAGTCCTTTGCTGGTGAACCGTTTTTACAACTTTTAAATATATCTAGTTGCTTAATGTTCATTTTGTTTAAAAATAAATGTAAGGTGGCTTTTTATACTTAATCATGTGTACAGAGCAATAACAAAAAAGTAAATTATTTTTGCTTGATTTAATAGCTCCTAGTTATCTTACCTTTAGTTGAAATAAACTGTCCTTTGAGCTTTTATAACCAGCAGCTGCATTTTGACTAGCAAGTTCCTCCAGTCTCTATTCTAACATGAAAAGCTAATATGTGCCCTTAATAAAGCCATAGAATTTGATTTCAGCAAAGGAATGTTACATGTGAACTGAGCTGTTTTAAGATTTTGTTGATAATAGTTGTAAAAAGGTATAGTTCATGAAGAGACAAATTATCTTTCTTGATTCTATCTCTAAAGGAATAGTCCATATCTTCAAATATGCCAATGGGTCTTTCTCCCTTATGGAACTTAAACGTACTGACTCAGAAGGCCTTAATGTGTCTATCAGCTTGACTAAACTTTAGACAGGCTTCTGCCTTCTTCAGGCCCATACTTTCTTTTTTTCTTAAAGCATTTATTTTAGATTATTTGTAGTTTTTTCGCTATCCCTTTGAGATGTAAATTTTTAAAAAATTTCTTGCCAGTTTTACAACCAATAAATGTCTTTCTTAAGGCCCTAGAGACCATCTCGTTTAAATGGGATCAGAAGGAAAATAGTGCCAGTATCTCTCAGTTGTTATGGGAAGGTAGAAGCCTAACTCCAATGAGAAAACACAGAAAACCGAATCACAGAGAAAAACATTTCCAAAGTCAGGAGTAACTCAAGGTGCTCCACACACGCCAAGGATCAGCTTCCTCTCTGAAGTCCTCCAATATTCTTCAGCTAACTCAGCCCAGCACTTAAAACTTCTCCAGTCCTTTATTTCAACAGATTGAGTTCAGACTCAGCTATGGCCTATCTTCCCTATCACAGAAGCCTTGAAAAAGCTCTTGCTTGCCTGTTAAAGTTTGTCCAGTGCAGGTTTGTTTTGATGGTATCTAAAACTTCTATTTGATGTGTTCAATTTCCTGATGTTGCAATCATTTTTTAAGTGACATTTTTGTTGGGAGTTAACAAAGCTTTTTTTAGTTCTCATTCCAACAAAGATACACCCTGAGAGAGGCATGAAATTAAAGAAACTTGTATATTTTAATAGCACTTTGAACCCCTCAGAGAGATTTCACTTATATTCAGAAGAATACCTTCAAGTGACCAAAAAAAAAAAAAAAAAAAAAGAAAAGAAAAGAAATTAAAATCCCCCCTAGCCTACTTACACAGCTTCAGAACTGGACAAAGCTACAGATCTGGACCCAGGGAGAATTGAAAAATGGACTATGTGTTAAAAGCAGGGGTCAGTTCCCATCTTTACTGAAAGCCTAGAGTTACCCATGGATCCAAAGATTTTAAGTTTATTTCAGAAATAAGAGATGACCTATAAAATATTCTCATGGGAATAAAAAAAAAATTCTAATACTTCTTTGGGGTCAGTTTATTCTGTTTTATCATTCAATTTACCTCCAGGTAAAAACAACTTTCTGGGTTAGTAAAGGGAACAGTATACAAAATTGCTATTTAAAAAAAAATTTAAGGAAAACTGACTGCCTCTCAGTATCTCTTGTCAACCCTAATATATCCAATTAGCAGAAAGTTTGTGTCAAGAGGAAAATTCAGAAGAAAAATTGAATATCAAAGGATTTATAGATGAAATGTAAGACGAGCTTAATGGGGGAATTGGGCAGTGAGTATTAAGAATAATTAGGAAAGCATTATCATTATGATTAAGACTCTGATGACTAATTTTTGACTCCGTTCAAAATCTTTGCAGATTTTTTTATTTCTCCAACTCTTTGAAAAACTTTTTTCATCCAGATTCTTTATGTTTTATCCTAACAACAGTAGTGACTTAAGAAATTAGTTACCAAATTCTTCCTGCTGAAAATATCTTGCCTAAATTATTTGATCAATACAACTGAAGGCAGCAGTGGCCCATGTGGAGCAGCTGCTGCAAGAACTCCAGCTGCAATGTGGGAGGTGTGGCCAGAGCTGAGCACTCTCTGGAGCCAGCAGGAGCCACAAACAAGTGGGAGCCCTGCCCCCTTCTGAGTTGGTGAGGTAGGAGCCCTGCCCTCCTGGTTGCAGCTACAGCTGCCCAGCTGGGGCTGTGGACCCGGTCATCCCTGCACTCCTGGGGGCTCAGAAAGTCTCCCTGCCCCAGCAGGCTCAGAAGTGCCTGCCCCTGCTGCCTGGCCTCTCCCTGCTTCCAGCACCTGCTGGGAATTCACAGCAAAGTTGAGGCTGAACCAGAGTGCTGTCTCAACCCAGCCGGGTATGCGGTGCTCAGGGTGGCGCTGACACACCAGCCCCTGTCACCTTGGTATCTTCCAGACTTTGGGCACTGACAAGCATGGGAGGGGGGCTGAGGAGGTGATGAGGGTGGTTCATGGTGGGCCTGCAGGTGCCTTTCAGCAGGAATAGCTTGTGTGCCATCGATGACATGATTGGCAGGAGTCAGACAGGCTACTGGGTGAAAAGAGGTGGGTCCCCAGTGAGCCCCACCTTCCAGCCAAGAATGTCCTGAAGCATGGGGGCTGGACTGTCAGTTCCGAGTGGATTCTGCAGCCTGGAGTGAGAATTTATGGTTCTTTATCCGGGCCCACCCATGGCTGCCCATGGACCAATCATCACACACTTCCTCCCTTCTGTGCCCATTAACACCTCTGCCACCCGCCACTCAGCCAGGCTCAAACAGATTTCCGGTTGACCTGCTTGCAGAAAGGAGCTACCAACTGCAGGTCTCCTTCCTGCTGAGAGCTGGACACTCTTTGGGACAACTTGCCTTCAGAAAGGAGCTACCCCTGAAGGTCTTCTCTCCACTGAGAGCTGGACACTCACTGGGACGACCTGTTTGCAGAAAGGAGATACCCACTGCAAATCTCCTGAGAGCTGTTCTGTCACTCAGTGAAGCTCCTCTCCGCCTTGCTCACCCTGCAGTTGTCCACATACCTAATTCTTCTTGGACACAGGACAAGAACTCGGGACCCACCTAATGGCAGGACTGAAAAAGCAGTAACATAAACAGGGCTGAAACACCCCTCCCCACCACCAAGCACCACTACTTGCTCTGTTGTAGGCAACGAGAAGGAGAGAAGTGCTGCAGCCCTTTGAGGAGCCAAGACCTAGGGGCTCCCCAAGCTAGTGGTGTGACACCCTGTTTGGGTCTCTGCAGTTCCTGGCATCTCCAAGCTTCTGGGAACCACTGCATTTTCCTCCACATGGGTGCCTGCAGCAGAAGCCATGTGCAATACATCTTGTCCAGCCACAGCCTCACATGGAGCCGGCACCTATGCCAGCGCTTGGAGCTGTCCATCTACTGTAGCAGGCAGCATGCTTGGCTGTGCACACTGGCCAGATCCTGCACTCACTTGCTCACACACCCCTTACCGCTCCACACGTAACTGGCCCTTGGTAGATGTGGAATCCGGGCTGGTAGCGTGAGCTAAGCACAGCCTGTCACGCTAAATGAGTGGAAGGACCCCGGTGGGCGCAAGCGATACTCAGGCAGAAGGTGCTGTGGACAGCAGGGCTTTCAGCTGGTGAAGTGACACCCCAAGGATCCTGTGACACAAATATATCTGTGTATTAGTTCTTTCACTTGGTTTTGTCACTAGAGAAGTAGACAAATTATATTAGGTGTGAAAAAGACATGGTGGGACAAATTAAAGGAAATGCTAGTGATACTAAAATCATAGGCATGGTCTCAACTATTGTTTTATTGTAAATGTTGCTTGATTCTATTAAAATGGCCCTTATTATAAAACAGATACTTTATTCTTAATGCTACACTATGAATTTAATGACATATTTTAAAATTGAAAATAATTAGTTTTTGCTATTTCTATGCATACTGGGTATTTTAAAATATTACATATGACTACTCTCAATGTCCTCTCACAAAAATGAAAATTCAAAATATTTTTATTTGCCTCTTTCCTCCAACCAATACTCAGTACCACTGCCATTTGGATAATAAACTTTAACAGATAAAACGTTTATAAAAGACATAATAAATAACTCTTAATATCCAACACTCATAATTTTAAATTATAGATCATTTTCTGGTAGTATGACATTACAGAACGAGTATGAGTCAGTTCCAGAAAATTAAATGGCATGTCATTGATTATGTTTAATTTAAAAGCAAACTCTCATTTCCTTTCATCCTTAATGCTTGCTCAGTCTTAGAGTGGGATGAACGTCTCAGTCACTACTAACTCTTCACTTTCTTAAAGTATATAGCAGTGGATGGGGTGAGATTTGAAGGCCCATAGAAGCACATTCTAAGGGACACTTGGTATTCTATTTTGGGCAATATAACTGAAGGCTGCAATGTGAATTGTCTTCTTAGATCGACTGTTATTACATAGCAGATTCTTGAGTGAATAGGGCTAAAGACCCCTTAAAAGACTTTAAACAAGGCATACATTTTCATCATGACCTGGACATTAAAACAAAAATGGCAAGTGGCCTGCAAATTTAGTTCGATCAATCAACAGTTTTACAAGTGAGTTAAGGACTTTTTTTGACATGATCAATCCTCTTAGCAATAGCAGTAGGTATAACAATATAGATTTAAAGAGAGTAAATTAAATATACAGATGTCTTTGAACAAATATCCTGGTGACTTTATGTGCTAAGTACTAGCCACATCAATTCATTAATCACTGAACATTTGATATTGCTAAATTATTTCTATTGGCCTAGGAATTGAAAAAAGTATAGCTGTAGGCCAAGCTCTGCATATGAGTTACTATATATAACCCTGAATATGTATTCTAACTCTTACAGGATTCAGTTTTTTTCATCTGTAAAACAAGAGCCATGATTGGATAATCATTATGACCTTTTCAGATTTAACATGAAAGTAGAATGTAAGCATATTACATTTAATAAAAGGCTGAGAAAAAATCTAAGGCAATAGCGATTACAAAAAATTACACATGACAAAGACCTTAATTAATGACTTCATTTATAATTCATACTTGCTGTGAACCAGAAACGTACATTTAAATATAGGGCTAACAAAAGAAATTGACATAATCTTTTTTTAAAAAAATTATTTTATAGTATAAATAACAAATTTAATATCAATGTAATGAGAAAAAAACTCAAAACTTCTAACTAGTGTTATAAATATGTATTCACTATATTCACTATAGTTCAAAATTGCTAGGCACTAAAATGACTACTATGGTTTTGTACATTCATTAGACTGGGTAATGAATATGAATTTTAGTTATTCAAGGCTTTTGTAAGAGGAACTAGAGGTCAGATCTCAAGTCTGCGCTCAACTCTACTGAAACAAAGAGCTAGAGAGTTTTTAGGAATTAGAATGAGAATATCATAGGCCATCTGTGTCCACTAATTTACTCAAGATTCTCTCATCTTCATGATAACAGATAGTGTTATAGGTAGCAAGGCACCAGTAAAGTTAGGCTCCTGGAGATCCACAGAAAATGAGATATAGGGCCCTATCATCTATGATGATTACATGTCAAAGACATGGCTTCCAAATTCTTAGAAAGATGTTCCTGGGTTGTAAGGACTGGCAGAAATGGTTTTTAAAGATCTATTATTTCAAAGAGGCATAGACAGAATTTATAAATACAAGTTTTTTGAGGTAAATGCTCTAAGAAAAGGTGAGGTCAGAGGCCTAGAGTTGGGAAGAATCTTGCCTAAAATTTAGTCAAGATGAAGGGAAGTTAAGGACATCATGGTCAGGTGGCATTGATTTGGGAAAAAATTAGTACTTCATAATACATCAAGATAGAGTGTCAGATTCTTACTACACATAGCTATTTTAATCTGAAAATAGCATTTGATTTGAGTCATCCAAAATTATTTTTAAATGATATTAGCTGCATGTTCCACATCTTGTACTTTTAATGTATTTGCTTTCCCTGTATGTATACTCTCTTACCACTGTTTAATATCCTTATAATAGCTAAGAAGGGCTAAGTAGGATAGAAAACATTAACCTTATTCATGTATAGATTATAGGATTTGGGTAAAAAAAAAGTAAATCCACTTATTTATGCTACACATTTGTAACAGGATGGACTATATGCCATGACTTTACTATTTCAGTATAAGGTGTTCCCCAGCATGGCTCATTGCTTCAATGAGTCACATGCGGTGTGTGATTGTGTGGGTGTGCTGTGTGTATAAGCAATAGGTGAAAATAATATATATTTATATATGATAAGAAACTAAACATTTGCCCAGGAGGTATAGCAACAGAAAACTTAAAGACAAAGTAACTTAATTTGACTACTTATTTTGTAAACGCTAGTATTTTTTACTTAGACTTTTCAAGATCACTATAAAATAAAACAGATCTTTCAAAAAAGAGATAAAATAAGTTCTTTAAAAATACTATTATAGGCTGGGCGTGGTGGCTCATGTCTGTAATCCCAGCATTTTGGGAGGCCAAGGCGGGCAAATCAGGAGGTCAGGAGATCAAGACCATCCTGGCTAACACGGTGAAAACCCGTCTCTACTAAAAATACAAAAAAATTAGCCGGGTGTGGTGGTGGGCGCCTGTAGTCCCAGCTACTCCGGAGGCTGAGGCAGGAGAATGGCGTGAACCCAGATGGCAGAGCTTGCCGTGAGACAAGATCACCCCACTGCACTCCAGCCTGGGCGACACAGCGAGACTCCGTCTCAAACAAAAACAAAAACAAAAACAAAAACAAAAAACAAACCAAAAAAAAAAAAAAACTATTATATGTCCATAATATGATGGGGAATTACTATTGAATGTTTGATTGAAAAGAGAAGGTTCATATTCATCCAGCTAATTAATACAGCCCAGATTGTTCTTATAGTTGAAGATATGTTTTGGGTTTCGTTTCCCTGAATTAACATGTATAAGCAACAGTGAAGAGCTTGATTGCAGCTTATTTGCAAAAGGTTTAAATTTTCTTTTAAAATAATTCACTTTAATCAATTAAAATGTTTGAGCCATTTAACTACTTTGACTGCTAAACCCTTTCTTGTGTTACCAATGCTGTCAATATTTGGTATGGCTCAGCAAAGAAATGATGATGAAGTTATGTATGACTGAGATATAAAGAAAAGGCATATGGGAACACCTTCATATTCTACCTCATAACAGGATTGTAAATTTTAGACTCCCCTAAAGAGAAATGCTATTCGTGCTAGAGAAGACCTGTCAACATAATAGACAGGAGTTCTATAAACTTCCTGGTCATTGGAAGTTTAACTTGCTCCAGCTCTGAAAACCACTAGCTCCAAAAACAGCTCTATGTCTCTTTGAAGAGAAATCAAAGTCACGAAATGTGAACAAACAACTAACTACATAAAATTTATTTTACTTGTACTCAAAATAATATATTTATAGGTAATATAAGTGCTATGAACATTTGATCTACCAATAATGGAGCTATCACGAAACTATAGAAAAATAAAAACCAAAATAGGTTTATTATAGGAAAGAAAGTTCACCAGAAGTGAAATGTTTTTATAGATTTTTTGTCATTTACAATAAAGCTTGAGTTAATATATCTATTTTAGAGGGCTTTTTAATAAGAAAGGAATAATATAGAAGTTTATATTATCTTCATATGGGCTTTCTGAATCTCATTCAACTTAGTATGAAGGCATCTATAAACAACAACAATAAAAAGTTTATTTGGCATTTAAGCCTAGGCTTTCACTGGATAAGTTAAGAAATTGGTTTATATTATAATTTGTGGGATTATATTTGTATATTTGTAAAATGAGTGTTCTGGATGTATTCTTATATATTTCTCCAGCATAGGAAAAAAAATTGCACAGTTTAGATAACAAAAAGCAGGATCAATTAACATTAGCTTGTAACTCATGCAGCCTGAATTGATTTCCTGCTGATAAACACATTTTTCCAAATAACAACAGAATTTGGGAAGGGCAGTCTACACACATTTTTTGTATCAATGGAAACTACATGCAATAGTTTCTTAATAGGAATCAATAGAAAAGCTAAAATAGATGAAAGGCTTTCAACAATTACGCAATTCAAATAAGATTTTATAAATCACCTTGGTTTCTGAATAATAAAATAGAAGTTTGGTGAGGGAAGAGAATACTTATCCAAAAACTTCTGCTTACTTCACGTTGTTACTAAATGGCAGCTTATTCAAAAGTTGCACAATACCACATTTTTATTCATCTGGGATTTGATATTTTCCAAACACTTACTTTGATACAAGAAAACTAACTTTCTAAATATACTTTTTGGACTTATATTCAAAGCACTTTTATTCCATATATAATTTTATAAAGTTTCCCAAGTTCTAAATGGCCTATAATTGGTTAAGCAGTACTCTTTTCTGCTGAAGATAAAGAGGTTAAAAGTATAATTATTGCCCTAGTTTTTTGAAATTCATTTTTCTTTGAGTTACAAGCAATGGCATCTAACCAGCACATTTTGATTATTTTAAGGGTGACTTTATATATTTATAGTTTTGCTTAGTCCAAATACTTTTTTCTTTAAAACTAGTGTAGAAAAATTATATTATCTAATATATTTTTATTATAAAATGTTTATTTTAATTTCACTTTAAACATATATTACATATTTACTCAGGAAACAAGAATCATTCATTTTTCTCCTCAATGACACATATACATAGTCCACAAGGACTCTATCATCATTCATGAAAACTTGCATTATATGAACACATTATGGATAAGCTACTTCTGTTATGTAAGCAAGTTATGAACTACTTGGAAGAAGTATATTTGGAAAAAAGACCATAGAAGACAAACTTTTAGATTTTGTAAACAATAATTTTTATAAAGTTTTATATATCTTATTCAACTATGACAACCATATTCTCATATATGACCCAGAGAAACTTTTCATGAAGAACATCAGATTGTATTTGAATATGATTTAAAATTTTTGATATGTTATTGATAATTTTATGTTACTAATAACCCCTTTTTTCAAAAAATTTCACAAGCATAATAAAATATATTTTTAAAAAATTAAATGTTTTAAAAAATTAAATTTTTTAATCCCAATTTAATTATTTAGTCAATTTCTATTATGCTCCAAAATTTCTACTTATTTATGTGGGCTAATTGGAATAGGCAGAGTTCCAAGAATTTAGGGACATTCCATGGATAACAACATATTCAAAGAGAATAGGACAGAAAAATTAACAATGAAAGCAACAGTGTTATTGGTTGGATTGTAGAGAGAAGTTGATTAGAAGAAACAAACAATGTCAGTCAGTTTTTGAGAGAGGATGCTGCTAAAGGGGCCATCTCACAATTGGCTTTAAAATCCTATTAAACATACATTCATGTTAAAAACTCTCAGTAAACTAGATATTGAAAGAAAAATCTCAAAATAACAAGAGCCATATATGACAAACCCACAGCCAACATCACATTGAATGGGAAAAAGCTGAAACACTCCCCTCGAAAACTGGCATAAGACAAGGATGCTCTCTTTCACCACTCCTATTCAACATATTATTGGAAGTCCTGGCCAGGGCAGTCAGACAAGAGAAATAAATAAAGAGCATCCAAAGAGGAAGAGAAAGAGTTAAACTATCCCTGTTTGCAGATGACATGATTCCATATCTAGAAAACACCATAGTCCCAGCCCAAAAAATTATTAAAATGATAAACAACTTCAGTAAAGTCTCAGGATACAAAAATCAATGTGTAAAAATCACTAGCATCCTATACACCAACAACAATCAAGCTGAGAGTCAAATCAGGAATGAACTCCCAGTCATAATTGCCACAAAAAGAATAAAATACCTAGAATACAGCCAACTAGAGAAGGGAAAAATCTCTACAAGGGGAACTACAAAGCACTGCTGAAAGAAATCAGAGATGACACAAACACATTGAAAAGCTTTCCATGCTCATGAATAGGAAGAATCAATATCATAAAAATGGCCATATTGCCCAAAGAATTTGTTGATTCAATGCTATTCCTGTTAAACCATTATTGACACTCTTCCCAGAACCAGAAAAAACCATTTAAAATTTTTGTGGAAACAAAAAAGAGCTCCAATAGCCAAGGCAACCCTAAGCAAAAAGAACAAAGCTAAAGGCATTATGCTACTCAACTTCAAACTATACTAGAGGGCTGCAGTAACCGAAACAGCATGGTACTGGTACAAAAACAAATACATAAACCAATGTAATAAAACACAGAGCCCAGAAATAAGACTGCACACATGCAACTATCTGATCTTCAACAAACCAGACAAAAACAAGCAATGGAGGAAGGATTCCCTATTCAATAAAGGGTATTGAAGGTTGAAACTGGGCCCCTTCCTTATACCATAATTAAAAATCAACTCAGGATGAATTATATACTTAAATGTAAAACTCAAAACTATAAAAACCTTGGAAGAGAACTTATGCAATACCATTCAGGATGAAGGCACTGGCAAAGATTTCATAATGAAGAAGCCAAAAGCAATTGCAACAAAAGCAAAAATGTACAAAAGGGATCCAAATAAACTTAAGAATGCATAGCAAAATAAACTACCAACAGAGTAAACAGACAGCCTACAGAATGGGATAATATATTTGAAAACTATGCATCTAAGAAAGGCCTAATATCCAGCATCTATTAGGAATATAAACAAATTCACACACACACACACACACACACACACACACACACACAACAATCTTACTAAAAAGTGGACCAAGGACTTGAACAGACACTTTTTGAAAGAAGACATATCTATGGCTAACAATCATATGGAACAAAGCTCAATATCAGTGTTCTTTAGAGAAATGCAAATCAAAACCACAATGAGATACTATCTCACACCAGTCAGAATGCCTATTATTAAAAAGTCAAAAAGTAACAGATGCTGGCAAGGTTGTGGAGAAAAAGAAACACCTATACACTATTGGTGGTACTGTAAATTAGTTCAACCATTGTGAAAGACAGAGTGGCCATTTCTCAAAGACTTAAAGACAGAATTATCATTCAAACCAGCAATTACATTACTGGGTATATACTCAAAGTTATATAAATCATCCTATTACAAAGTTATATCCACGCATATGTTCATTGCAGCACTATTCACAATAGCCAAGACATGGAATCAACCTAAGTGTCTATCAATAATAGACTGGATAATGAGAATGTGATACAGACACAGCATGGATTACTACATAGCAATAAAAAGGACATGTCTTTTACAGGGACATGGATGGAACTGGAGGCCATTATCCTCAGCAAACTAACACTGGAATAGAAAACCAAATACCACATGTCCTCACTTATAAGTAGGAGCTAAATAATAAAAACACATGGAAACATAGACAGGAACAACATACACTGGGGCCTATCAGAGGGTGGAGGGTGGAAGGAGGGAGAAGATAAGGAAAAATAACTAATGGTTGCTAAGTTTAATACCTGGGTGATAAAATAATCTGTACAACAAACCCCCATGAGACAAGTTCACCTATGTAACAAACCTGCACTTGTAGCCTTGAACTTAAAAGATAAAAAAAAAATTAAGAAAATCTACTGACTTGTTAAGTAGGAGAGACAAATGAGCATGTTTTACTTTCAGAATAATTATCCTGGCAATGACATAGTGAATGTATTTATGTAAACAATAAGAAATTTTGGAAGCTTTTCTAATTCAGAAGAAATATAATGGTGGTCTAATACATTGCCTGAAAGTAGACATATAAGAGACACATATAGAAATAGAATAAACAGTACCTAGTAGGAGATTATATGTACTCATTGAGAAAGGAACCAACAATTATATTAATATTTTACCATTCACTGAGATTTGAGTGTACAGAACTTGGTTTAGATTTGGAGGAAAATGATAACATCAGAAGGGGAACTACTGTCATCCTATGGACTTCTTAAAATCAGCAGTTACACATGGATTATGAGCATAGAAAATCTGGAATTAAAATAAAAGTATTGAAAAAATCACCATATGGCTACTAAAAAATGAATGAATTGTCAGCGAAACTATGTGGAAAATAGTGGAAGTCAAAACTGAATTTTTAGAAAGCTAAAGATTTAATGCTGTGGGAAATAAACTTGTCAAAGACCAAGTGGAGCAATGTAAGAGGGTGTGGGAACCATGCACATTATAGAAAACAATGTTTTAAAAATATGTTTAACCCCAAATCCCAAGAAGGAAAAGGTGGGTAACCAGCCCCAGTGATGGCATTTTGCTTATAAAAGTGAGTGAAGTTCCCAGATGAGAGAGGGGCAGTGTCTATCTCTGTGACTTACATTTCCAGTGGGGATTCATGCAACCAAGACCAAGGGAAAGCACTTAGTGTCTCCCAAGCCTTAGAGCTAACTTGGGAAGAGGCTTGGAGACACTAAGAGGGAATGACACTGGGAAAAACTGCAGGCATTTTCCCCAACTTCGGATGGAGATCAGGCTGCCATTTTTAATCCAGGTTCATGAAAAGTCAGTTATTCTTTGGTGATCTGGCAGTGTGGCTCTGCAGGCATTGTAGTCCAGAGATTGCTGTACTCACTCTGGAGTCAGGTAGGGACCTCTGCAGTCAGAATTGAGTGGCAAGTGTGACACTGGAACTGTACTTTCCTCTGTGGCAGGTCTGGAGTGGGAGGAGAGCTGCTGCAACCATAGTTTTTCCAGGGTGATAAAACTTGCAGCCAGAGGCAGCTTGGAGACCTGGAACTGGTCTGTGTGTGACGTTGTTGGGTATCCCAGTCTGCTCCACTGAGATCTTGGCACAGCAGGACCCTCCCTTCTCCAGTCTACTCCCAGGTAGATCTTTAGGCATCCAGAGTGCCCACTCATATGAGTTAGCAGCCTGAGTCACTCTATCCTCCTTGTGCATAGATCATGGTGCAGAGGCACCCTCTCCACTTCCCCTCAGGCTGATCTTCAGGCAGTCAGAGCACATCCTTACCTGGATCAGTAGCCTGAGCCATCCTACCTTTCCTGTGCATAGATCATGGTATAGTGGAGTCTTCTCCACTCCATGACCAGGCAGATCTCAGGCAGTTGGAGCACTTCCTAACCTGAATCAGCAGCCTGAGCTGCCCCACCCTTCTTGTGCAGATTATGGTGATTGGGGCCCCCTAAACTTCATGCCCAGGCAGATCTCGGGGATTTGTAGCACCTATTCTCTTGGATTAGGAGTTTCAGTGGCCTCCCTGCACCATGCAGAGAACTTGGGCCTGAGGAGGTTCCCCAAATCCATGCCTAGGCACATCGCTAGGGGCTTGGTGGCCACCTACCAGACACTCTTCAGTGCTGTTTTTTGTGACTGCCGTTGGGTGACTTGTAGGCAGGATTATCTGGTCCAGCCCTGTTGTGGGAAGTCAGGGACCCCAAATGGAGGGACCGGCTGGAGCCACAGCAGAGGAACATAAATTGTGAAGATTTCATGGACATTTATCAGTTCCCAAATAATACTTTTATAATTTCTTATGCCTGTCTTACTTTAATCTTTTAATCCTGTTATCTTTGTAAGCTGAGGATGTACATCACCTCAGGACCACTGTGATAATTCTGTTGACTTACAAATTGTTTGTAAAACATGTGTGTTTGAACAATATGAAATGAGTGCACCTTGAAAAAGAACAGAATAACAACGATTTTTAGGGAACAAGGGAAGACAGTCATAAGGTCGACTACCTGCAGGGTCGGGCAAAAAGAGTTATATTTTTCTTTCTGCAGAGAGCCTATAAATGGAAGTGCAAGTAGGTGAGATATCGCTAAATTCTTTTCCTAGCAAGGAATATTAATATTAATACCCTGAGAAAAGAATGCATGCCCGGGGGGAGGTCTATAAACGGCCTCTCTGGGAATGTCTGTCTTATGTGGTTGAGATAAGGACTGAGATATGCCTGGTCTCCTGAAGTACCCTCAGACTTATTAGGGTGGGGAAAAACTCCGCCCTGGTAAATTTGTGGTAAGACCAGTTCTCTGCTCTTGAACCCTGTTTTCTGTTGTTTAAGATGTTTATCAAGACAATAAGTGCACCACTGAAAGTAGACCCTTATCAGTAGTTCTGCTTTTGCCCTTTGTCGTGTGATCTTTGTTGGACCCTTGGCAGTAGTTCTCCTTTTTGCCCTTTGAAGTATCTGATCTACTCCCTGTTCTTACACCCCCTCCCCTTTTGAAACCCTTAATAAAAAACTGCTGGTTTGAGGCTCAGGTGGGTGTCATGGTCCTACTGATACGTGATGTCATCCCCAGAGGCCCAGCTGCAAAATTCCTCTCTTTGTACTCTTTCTCTTTATTTCTCAGCCAGCTGACACTTATGGAAAATAGAAAGAACCTATGTTGAAATATTGGTGGCAGGTTCCCCTGATACAGCCCCACCCATCTTGCCCCCTGCCACCCCCACCACTCAGGGTTGAGAAGAGAGCTCAAACTATGCAATGCACTGGATCAGCCCATTGAGTGTGGTGACAGAGACCTCCCAGTAAACAAGGATGAAGTATATACCCATCCACATTGGCAGCAGCTGGACTTTAACTATCATTGCCATCTACTGGCCTGTAGGTTGAACTGCGCAGGCCAATAAAAAGCCTGCTGACAGAAATGAATAGAGCTGTAGAAGCAAAACCAAAATACTCTAGCCGACATTCTCTAATAGGATACGCAGGGATGAAGGGGAAGAAAATAATAATAATAATAGTAATATATAATAAATAATAATATTAAAACTTGGAAAGAAAAGAAAACAATTTTATCTGCATGAAAATAATCACAAAAATTAGAAGTTTTAGCATCTCCAGATAAGAAAGAACCAGCACAAAAATTTTGACATCATTAAAAATCTGAATGTTTTGAAATCACCAAAGGATTACACTAGCTCTTCAAAGCATGGGTTGCAAGGAAACTCAATAGGATCCAGGACAATGTGTAAAATAACACATAGAAACTTCTAAGGCAATCTAGGAAATGAAGGAGGAGAAAAACATTTTAAAAATAAATCAGTTAGAGCTTCTGAAATTAAAAAATTCACTTAAGGAATTCCAAAATATAACTGAAAGCCTTAACAATAGAACAAACAAAGCAGACAAAAGAATTTCAAAGCTTGAAGACAAGTCTTTTGAACTAACCCAGCCAGACAATAATGTACACAAAATTTTATTTTTAATTAACAAGGTCTTCTAGAAATATTGGACATGTAAAGAGACCAAGTCTACAAATTATTTGCATTCCTGAGAGAGGAGAAAAAGTAAACAATCTGGAAAATATATTTGAGAGAATAATATAAGAAAATTTTTCTGGTCTTGTTAGAGAGGTAGATATCCAGGTACAAGAAATCCAGAGAGTACCTGTGAGATATTTTTTAAAAAATGAAAATCACCAAGGCATGAAGTCACCAGACTGTCCAATGTCAACATTAAATAAAAAATCGTAATAGTAGACAGAGAAAAAAGTCAGACCACATACAAAGGGAACCCATCAGGCTAACAGCAGACTTCTCAGTAGAAACCTTGCAAGCCAGAAAAGGGTAGGGTACTATTTTCAGCATTCTTAAGGAAAAGAATTTCCAACCTGGAATTATATATTCTGCCAATCTTAGCTTCATAAGAAAGGAGAAATAAAACATTTTCCAGACAAATAATTGCTAAGGGAATGTATTACCACTAGACCAGCCTTACAAGAGGCTTCAAGAAAGTTCTAAACATGAAAACTAAAGAAAGTTACCTGTTACAACAAAAACATACTTAAATGCACAGTCTACAGTCCTTATAAAGCGACTATACAATAGAAACTGCAAAGCAGTCAGCTAACAACTCCACAATAGGATCAAAACCACACTTGTCAATATTAACCTTGAATGTAAAAAGGTAAATGGTGTAAATGCCACACCTAAAAGGCACAGAGTGGCAAGTTGAAAAAAAAAAAAAAAGCTCATCAATCCACTGACTTTAAGAGACCTGTCTCATATGTAATGACACTAATAGATTCAAAGTAAAAGAGTGGAGAAATATCTATCATGAAAATGCAAAACAAAGAAAAAAGAGCAGGATTACTGTTCTTATATCAGATAAAATAGACTTAAACAAACAATAGTCATAAAGGACAAAGAAGGGCATCACATAATAATAAAGGGGTCAATTAAACAAGAAGATGTAACTATCCTAAATATATATGCACCCAACATTGGAGCACACAGATTCAGAAAACAGGTACTTCTAGATCTATGATAAGACTTAGACAGCCTTACAATAATTGAGGGGGACTTCAACAGCCCACTGACAGTATTAGATAATTGAAGCAGAAAATGAACCAAAAAATTTTGGACTTAAATTTAACACTTAATCAATTGAACCTACTAGACATCTAAAGACTGCTCCACTCATCAATCACAGAGTGTACATTCTTCTTATCTGCATACAGGACATATTCAAGGACTGACCACATGCATGGCCATAAAGCAAGTTTCAATAAATTAAAAAAATTTGAAGTCATACTATTGGGGGAACCAGCCCCCAATATTTCAATGTAGGTTCTTTCTATTTTTCCTAAGTGTCAGCCAGTCTGAGAAATAAAGAGAAAGAGTACGAAGAGAGGAATTTTACAGCTGGGCCTCCTGGGGTAACATCACATATTGGTAGGTCTGTGATGTCCCTTGAGCCACAAAACCAGCAAGTTTTTATTAGGGATTTTAAAAGGGGAGGGGGTGTACAAAAAGGGATTAGGTCACAAAGATCACATACTTCAAAGGGCAATAAAGATCACAAGACAAAGGCAAAATTAGAATTACTGATGAGGGTCTATGTCCCACTGTGCACATATTGTCTTGATAAACATCTTAACAGAAAAAAGAGGGTTTGAGAGCAGAGAACAGTCTGACCAAAATTTACCTGGGTGGAATTTCCCAATTCTAGTAAGCCTGAGGGGACTGCAGGAGACCAGAGCATATCTCAGTACTTATCTCAACTGCATAAGACAGACACTCCCAGAGCGGCCATTTATAGACCTCCCCCCAGGAATGCATTCCTTCCCCAGGGTATTCCTTGCTGGGAAAAGAATTCAGTGATATCTCTCTTACTTGCACATCCATTTGTAGGCTCTCTGCAAGAAGAAAAATATGGCTCTATTCTGCCTGACCCTGCAGGCAATCAGACCTTATGGTTATCTTCCCTTGTTCCCTGAAAATCGCTGTTATTCTGTTCTTTTTCAAGGTGCACTGATTTCATATTGTTCAAACACACGTGTTCTACAATCAATTTGTACAATAGTGGTCCTTAGGTGACGTACATTCTCAGCTTATGAAGATAACGGGGTTAAGAGATTAAAGTAGAGACAGGCATAAGAAATTATAAAAGTATTATTAGGAAAGTGATAAATGTCCATGAAATCTTCACAATTTATGTTCAGCAATTGCAGTAAAGACAGGTGTAAGAAATTATAAAAATATTAATTTTGGGAACTGATAAATGTCCATGAAATCTTCACAATTTATGTTCTTCTGCCGCGATTCCAGCCGGTCCCTCCATCTGGGGTCCCTGACTTCCTGCAACATCATACCAATGATACTCTCAGACCACTGTGGCATAAAAATAGAAATCAATACAAAGAAAATCTCTCAAAACCAAACAATTATGTGGAAATTAGACAACTTGTTTCTGAATTACTAAGTAAAAAAATAAATTAAAGCAGATTTTTTAATGGAAATAAATAAAAACAGAAACACAACATACCAAAATCTCTAGGATGCAGCAAAAACAGTGTTAAGAGGAAAGTTTATAGCTGTAAATGCCTATATCCAGAGGTTAGAAAGATCTTAAATTTACAATCTAACATCACACCTAGAGGAACCAAAAGCTGGCAGAAGAAAAAAAATAACTAAAAATCAGACAGATTTCTATCTAGATTAACAAAGAGAAAAATAATAAGCAGAGCTGACAAGGGTGATGTTACATCTAATCCCACAGATACAAAAGATTCTCAGACTATTATGAACATTTCTATAAATACAAACTAGAAAATCTAGAGGAAATGATAAATCCTGGAAATACACAACTTCCCAAGATTGAATCAGGAAGAAATTGAAACTCTGAACAGACCAGTATTGAATTCTGAAATTGAATCTGTCATAAAAACCTACAAACTGAAAAAAGCCCTGGACCAGATGGATTAACAGCTGAATACTATCAGATGTACAGAGAAGAGATGGTGCTAAATCTACTGATACTATTTCAAAAACTCTAGGAGGACGGACTCCTCCTTAACTCATTCTGTGAAGTGAGCATCACTCTGGTACCAAAATCTGGCAAACAACAACAACAACAACAACAACAACAACAATAAAAATAGGAAACTGCAGGTCAATATTTCTAATAAACAGATCAAAATATTATCAACAAAATATTAGCAAACTGAATCCAGCAGCACATCAAAAGTAAACTCATCATGATCAGGTAGGCTATATTCCTGGGATGCAAGTTTGGTTCTACATGTGCAAATCAATAAATAGAGAAAGTTTTTTGTTGAAATTCAACATCCCTTCATGATAAAACCCTGAACAATCTAGACATTGAAGGAACATGCCTGGAAATAATGTGTCATTCATGACAAACCCACAGCCAACATCATACTGAATGGGCAAAAACTGGAAGCATTCCCTTTAAGAAAAGGAACAAGATAAGTGTGTCCACTCTCACTACTCTTTTTCAACACAGTACTGGAAGTCTGAGCCAGAACAATCAGGCAATAGAAAGTAATAAAATGTACCTAAATAGAAAAATAAGTCAAATTATTTCTGTATGCTGACAATATTATTATATATCTAGAAAGCAATAAAGACTCCACCAAAAGGCTCCCATATCTGATAAATGACTTCAGTAAAACTTTAAGAAACAAATTCAATGTGCAAAAATCAGCAGCATTTCTATACAACAGTAATGTTCAAGCTGAGTGCCAAGCCAAGAATACAGTACTATTTACAATAGCCACAAACACACAAAAATAAAACACTTAGGAATACATCTAACATAGGAAGTGAAAGATCTCTATAAGGAGAACTATAAAAATCTGCTGAAAAAAATCATCGATGACACAAACAAATTGAAAAACTTTCCATGCTCATGAATGGCAAGAATCAATATTGTTAAAGTAGCCATACTGCCCAAAGCAATCTACAGTTCTTACCAAACTACCAATGTCATTTTCCACTGAATTAGAAAAGCTATTCTAAAATTCATATGGAACCAAAAAACAGCTCAAATACCCAACACAATCCTAAGCAAAAATAGGAAAGCTAGAAGTGTCACATTATACATACACCCAATATCATAAGACTACAATAACCAAAACAGCATGGTACTGGTAGAAAAACAGACATACACCAATAGGGCAGAATGGAGAACCCAGAAATAAAGTCGCACACTTACAACCATCTGATCTTTGACAAAGCTGATAAAAACAATAAGTGTGGAAAGGACTCCCTATTCAATAATTGGTTCTGAGACAACTGGCTAGCTGTACGCAGAAGAATAAAACTGGACCCCTACTTTTCACCATACAAAAAAATTAACTGAAGATGGAGTAAAGGTTTAAACGTAAAATCTCTAACTAAAAATCCTATAAGAAAACCTAGGAAATACCATTCTGTTCATTGGCTTTGGCAAATAATTGATGACTAAGTCCTCAGAAGTAATTGCAACAAAAACAAAAATTAATAAGTGGAACCTAATTAAACTAAAGAGCATCTGCACAGCAAAAGAAACTAAAGAACTTTAGCACAAAAGAATAAACTATCAACAGATTAAACAGACAGTGTACGGAATGGGTAAAAATATTTGCCAACTATGCATTTGACAAATGTCTAATATCCAGAATCTATAAGTAACTTAATCAACTCAACAAGAAAAAATGAATAACACTATTTAAAAAATGGGCAAAGGACAAAAAGAAACAATGGGAAAAGACTCCATATTCAATAAATGGTGCTGGGATAACAGGCTAGCTGTATGCTGAAGATTGAAGCTGGACCCTTTCCTTATACAAACTTAAGATGGATTAAAGACTTAAATGTAAAATCCAAAAGTATAGAAACCCTGGAAGATGACCAAGGCAACACCATCCTGGACACAGGAATGAGCAAACATTTAATGACAAGCACACCAAAATCAATCCCCCAAAAAGCAAAAATTGACAAGTGGGACCTAATTAAATTTAAGAGCTTCTGCACAGCAAAATAAACTATCAAAAGGGTAAACAGACCACATACAGAATGGGAAAAATTTTACAAATTATGCATCTGGTGAAGGTCTACTAGCCAGCATCTATAAGGACTTAAAAAATTAACAAGATAAAGAACAAGTAACACCATTAAAAAGTGGGCAAAGGACATGAACAGACAATTTTCAAAAGAAGACATACATGCAGCCAACAAGCATACAAAAAAAGCTCAGTATCACTGATCATTAGAGAAATGCAAATCAAAATCACAATGAGATATCATCTCACACCAATCAGAATGGCTACTATTAAAAAGTGAATAAATAACAGATACTGATAAAGTTGTGGAGAAAAGGGAACACACACACTGTTGATGGGTATGTAAATTAGTTCAACCATCATTGAAAGCATTATGGTGATGCCTCAAAGACTTCAAGACAGAACTACCATTCAACACACCAATCCCATTACGGGATATATATCCAGAGAAACATAAATCATTCTACCGTAAAGACACATGCACATGTATGTTCATTGCAGCCCTATTCATAATAGCAAAGACATGGAATCAACCTAAATGCCCATCAATGACAGGTCGGATAAATAAAATGTGGTACACACACACCATGGAATACTGTGAAGCCATAAAAAAGAATGAGATCATGTCTTTTGGGGGAACATGGATGGAGCTGGAGGCTATTTTCCTTAGAAAACTAAAGCAGGAAAAGAAAACCAAATATTACATGTTCTCACTTATAAGTGAGAGCTAAATGACAAGAACTTATGAATGCAAAGAAGGAAACAACAGACACTGTGGTCTACTTGAGGGGGGAGACTGGGAAGAAGAAGTGGAGCAGAAAAGATAACTATTGAGTACTGGGTTTAATACCTGGGTGATGAAATAATATGTACAACAAACCCCTGTAACACATGTTTATCTATGCAACAAAACTTCACATGAAACCCTAAACCTAAAATAAAAGTTAAAAAAAGTGGGAAAGGATACAAATAGAAACTTTTCAAAAGAAGACATACAAGTGACCCACAAACATGGAAAAAAAATGCTCAATATCACTAATCATCAGAGGAAGTCAAATCTAAACCATAAATCAACACCATCTCATACCAGTCAGAATGGTATTACTAAAAAGACAAAAAATAGATGCTGAAGAGGCTGTGTAGAAAAGGGAATGCTTATATATTCTTGGTAGAAATGTAAATTAGTTCAACCACTGTGAAAAGCAGTTTGGATATTTTTCAAATAACTTAAAACAGAACTACCATTAGACACAGGAATTCTGTTACTGGGTATATACTCAAAGGAAAATAAATTATTCTACAAAAAAGCATATGCACTGTTATGTACATCATGGCACTATTTACAAAAGCAAACACATGAAGTCAACTTAGATGCCCATCAACAGTGGATTGGTAAAGAAAATGCGGTACATATATACTATGGAATACTACACAAGCACAAAAAAGAGTGAAATCATATTCTTTGCAGCAACAGGGATGTTGCAATTTTTTTCAGCTCTGTGGTTTGCCTTTTTACTTCATTGACAATGTTTTTTTTTACAATTTTTAAAAAGTTTTTATGATGTCCAATTTGTCTATTTTTCCTGTGTTGCCTTTGCTTCTGGTGTCATATCCAATATGCCACTGCCAAATCCAATGCTGTGAAGCTTTTGTGCTATATTTTCTTTTAATAGTTTTATAGTTTTAGTTCCTACATTTAGGTTATGAATACATTTTGCATTAATTTCTGTATACAATGTTAGGTAAAATTCCAACTTCATTCTTTTGCATGTGCATATCCAGTTTTCCCAGCACCGTATACTATAAAAGATTATCTTTTCCCTGTTGAGTGGTCTTTGTATTGTTATTGAAAATCATTTGACCTCATATGTGAGGGTTTATTTCTTAACAGTTTGTTCTATTCTGTTGGTCAATATATCTGTCTTTATGCCAGTACTTCACTATTTTGCTTACTATAGCTTTGTGGTAAGTCTTTTTTTATTATTATACTTTAAGTTCTAGGGTACATAAGTCTTAAAACCTAGAAGTGTGAGTCCTTCAGCTTTGCTATTCCTTTTTCAAAATTGTTTTGAATTTGAGGGTGGATTTTCTATTTTTTCAAAAAGGTCGTTGAGATTTTCATAATATTGAATTAAAACTATAGATTAAGTAGCATTTGCGTCTTAATAACAATAGATTGCTTTGAGTAGTATTTATATCTTAATAATATTGTCTTCCAATCCTTAAGCATTAGATGTCTTTCTATTTTTGTGCGTTTTTAAATTTCTTTTAGAAATATTTTGAAATTTTTATTTCATGAGTCTTTTGCTTCCTTGGTTAATTCCTAGTATCTTATTCTTTTTGATTCTAGTGTAAATGAAATTGTTTTCTTAAATTACTTTTTAGATTTTTGTTAGCATATAAAAATGCAGCTGACTTTTGTGTGTTTTCTTTTTATCCTGCTATTTTGCTGAATTTATTGATTAGTTCTAACAGCTTTTGCATATGTGTATTTTTTAGATTTCCCATATATAAGATCATCATGTGAAAATGGATAATTTTACTTTTTTATTTCTGATTTAGATGTCTTTCATATCTTTTTTCTTGCTGCACTGATCTTAGACTTCCAGTGCTATGTTGAATAAAAGCATGTAAAAAGGGTTATCATTTTCTTGCTTTATTTATTTACTTATTTTTTTAAGATGAAGTTTTGCTCTTGTTGCCCAGGCTAGAGTGCAATGGCGTGATCTAGGCTCACCTCAGCTTCTGTCTCCTGAGTTAAAGCGATTTTCCTGCCTCCGCCTCCCGAGTAGATGGGATTAGAGGCATGCACCACCATGCCCAGCTTATTTTGTATTTTCATTAGAGACGGGGTTTCTCCACGTTGGTCAGGCTGGTCTCTAACTCCCGACCTCTGGTTATTCACTCTCTTTGGCCTCCCAAAGTTTTGGGATTACAGGCATGAGCCACCGCGCCTGGCTTATTTTCTTGTTCTTTTCCTTATTTTTAGTCTTTTACTATTGAGTATGATGTTTACTGTGGAGTTTACATATATGAGTTTTATTATGTTAAAATTGTTTCTTTCCATTTCTAATATGTTGAGTGTTTGCATGCTGAAATAGTGTTTGTTTTTATTAAATGCTTTTTGTGTATGAATGGAGATTGCTATAAATTTTCTTTTCCTTCGTTTGGTTAATGTGGTGTTTTATGTTAATCTAATTTTATATGTTGAACCATATTTACATTCCAGAAATAAATATCACTTGGTAATAGCATATAATTCTTTTAGCATGCTGCTGAATTTGGCTTACTAGTAATTTTTGAGGATTTTTGCCTCAATATCTGTAAGAAATATTAGTCTTCAGTTTTCTCATAGTGTCTTGCTTGACTTACATTGCTATTAGGGTAGTGTTCATAGATTGAGATAGGAAGTGTTCTCTCTGCCTCAATTTTTTTTGGAAAAGCTGGAGAAGCACTGGTGTTAGCTATTCTTCAAATATTTGGTAGAAATCACCAGTGAACCCATCAGGTCAAGGGCTTTTTTTATTGTCAAGAGATTATTTTATTACTGATTCAACTCTATTAATAACTTTATAGTAAACTCAAAGTGCTTATTATTTTTCAAATATGTATAATTGTTCAATTTTCTTGCTGTATAAAACATTTAATTAATATATAATGTACTACTTTGTCTCTTGTAAACTTTTGTGATTTTGTCTAATACTGATATAGCCACCCCAAGACTGTTTTGCTTATTTTTGCATTAAATATTTTATTACATCCCTTCACTTTTAATCCATGTGTGTCTTTTGATCTAAAGTGAGTTTCTTCTAGATAGCCTTTAGTTGGATCATGTGTTTTTAATCTATTATGCCAATTTGTGTCTTTAGATTGAAGAGGTTAATCCATTTATATTTGTTTTAGTTTACTCAGGATGCTATAACAAAATATCATAGATCAGGCAGCTAAATAACAGATATGTATTTCTGATAGTTCTGGAGGCTGGAAATTCAAGACTAAGATGCTGGTTGATTCAGTTTCTGATGAGGGCCCTCCTGTTGGTTTGAAATTGACCAACTTCTTATTGTGTCTTCACAGGACAGAGAGAGAGAGAGAGAGAGAGAGAGAGAGAGAGAGAGAGAAAACACTCTGGTTTCTTCTTATAAGAGAACTAATCCAATAATTAGGACTTTAGATTCAATGTCTCATTTCAACTCAATTACCTACCAAACCCCCAGCCTCCAAATATTATCACACTGGGGCTTAGGGCTTCCAAATACAAATGTTGGAGAAACACATTCAGAGTATAACACATTTAAAGTAATGACTGATAAGGAGGGAGTTACTTCTGTCATTTTGCTATTTGTTTTCAGTAGGCTTTTTTACTTTTTTTGTCATAGTTTCCTATATGACTATCTTCTTTTGTGTTTAGTTGACTTTTTGCAGTGAAATGTTAAATTCTTTTCTAATTTCCTCTTTTGTGTATTCTTTATCTACTTTCTTTGCGATTGCAATGGAGATTACATATCTCAAAGTTAGAATATGTTAATTCAAATTTATAATAGTTTAATTTCAATCATGTAAAAAATTCTGCCCTTTTAACAGCTTCATCTTACCATTTTTAGTAGTTTGTGTCATAAAATTACTTATTTACACACTGTGTATCCAAAAATGCATAATTTTAATGCATTAATTTATTAAGTTATGTAGAAAATAAAATGTGGAGTCACACACCAAATTTACAATAATACTAGCTTTCATAATTCCCAGTGTATTTGTCTTTGCTGATAGCTTTATATTTTTATATGGCTTTCAGTTGCTGTGTAGCATCCTTTAATGTCACCTGAAAGATTCACTTAAAGATTTCTTGCAAGGAAGCTCTACACACCCTCAGCTTGTGTTTATCTGGGAATGTCATGATTTCTTCCTCATTATTAAAGAACAGTTTTGCCAAATAAAGAATTCTCGGTTGCTAGCTTTTTTTTTTCTTTTAGCACTTTGAATATATCAGCCAGCTGCTTCTTGGCCTACAAAACTTCTGATGAGAAATCTGCTGATATTCTTATTGAGGGTCCCTTGTATGTGACAAATCACTTTTTTTTGCTACTTTCAAAGTATTATCTGTGTCTTTGGTGTTCTACAGTTTGATTTTATTTTTTTTATTTTTCTTTTTTTCTTTTTTTTTATTATTACACTTTAAGTTTTAGGGTACATGTGCACATTGTGTAGGTTAGTTACATATGTATACATGTGCCATGCTGGCACGCTGAACCCACTAACTCATCATCTAGCATTAAGTATATCTCCCAATGCTATCCCTCCCCCTCTCCCCACCCCACAACAGTCCCCAGAGTGTGATATTCCCCTTCCTGTGTCCATGTGATCTCATTATTCAATTCCCACCTATGAGTGAGAATATGCAGTGTTTGGTTTTTTGTTCTTGCGATAGTTTACTGAGAATGATGATTTCCAATTTCATCCATGTCCCTACAAAGGACATGAACTCATCATTTTTTATGGCTGCATAGTATTCCATGCTGTGTATGTGCCACATTTTCTTAATCCAGTCTTATCATTGTTGGACATTTGGGTTGGCTCCAAGTCTTTGCTATTGTGAGTAGTGCCTCAGTAAACATACGTGTGCATGTGTCTTTACAGCAGCATGATTTATATTCCTTTGGGTATATACCCAATAATGGGATGGCTGGGTCAAATGGTATTTCTAGTTCTAGATCCCTGAGGAATCACCACACTGTTTTCCACAATGGTTGAACTAGTTTACAGTCCCACCAACAGTGTAAAAGTGTTCCTATTTCTCCACATCCTCTCCAGCACCTGTTGTTTCCTGACTTTTTAATGATTGCCATTCTAACTGGTGTGAGATGGTATCTCATTGTGGTTTTGATTTGCATTTCTCTGATGACCAGTGATGATGAACCTTTTTTCATGTGTTTTTTGGCTGCATAAATGTCTTCTTTTGAGAAGTGTCTGTTCATGTCCTTCGCCCACTTTTTGATGGGGTTCTTTGTTTTTTTCTTGTAAATTTGTTTGAGTTCATTGTAGATTCTGGATATTAGCCCTTTGTGAGATGAGTAGGTTGTGAAAATTTTCTCCCATTTTGTAGGTTGCCTGTTCACTCTGCTGGTAGTTTCTTTTGCTGTGCAGAAGCTCTTTAGTTTAATTAGATCCCATTTGTCAATTTTGGCTTTTGTTGCCATTGCTTTTGGTGTTTTAGACATGAAGTCCTTGCCCATGCCTATGTCCTAAATGGTAATGCCTAGGTTTTCTTCTAGGGTTTTTATGGTTTTAGGTCTAACGTTTAAGTATTTAATCCATCTTGAATTGATTTTTGTATAAGTTGTAAGGAAGGGATCCAGTTTCAGCTTTCTACATATGGCTAGCCAGTTTTCCCAGCACCATTTATTAAATAGGGAATCCTTTCCCCATTGCTTGTTTTTCTCAGGTTTGTCAAAGATCAGATAGTTGTAGATATTTGGCGTTATTACTGAGGGCTCTGTTCTGTTCCATTGATCTATATCTCTGTTTTGGTACCAGTACCATGCTGTTTTGGTTACTGTAGCCTTGTAGTATAGTTTGAAGTCAGGTAGTGTGATGCCTCCAGCTTTGTTCTTTTGGCTTAGGATTGACTTGGCGATGTGGGCTCTTTTTTGGTTCCATATGAACTTTAAAGTAGTTTTTTCCAATTCTGTGAAGAAAGGCATTGGTAGCTTGATGGGGATGGCATTGAATCTGTAAATTACCTTGGGCAGTATGGCCATTTTCATGATATTGATTCTTCCTACCCATGAGCATGGAATGTTCTTCCATTTGTTTGTATCCTCTTTTATTTCCTTGAGCAGTGGTTTGTAGTTCTCCTTGAAGAGGTCCTTAACATCCCTTGTAAGTTGGATTCCTAGGTATTTCATTCTCTTTGAAGCAATTGTGAATGGGATTTCACTCATGATTTGGCTCTCTGTTTGTCTGTTATTGGTGTATAAGAATGCTTGTGATTTTTGTACATTGATTTTGTATCCTGAGACTGTGCTGAAGTTGCTTATCAGCTTAAGGAGATTTTGAGCTGAGACAATGGGGTTTTCTAGATATACAATCATGTCGTCTGCAAACAGGCACAATTTGACTTCCTCTTTTCCTAATTGAATACCTTTTATTTCCTTCTCCTGCCTGATTGCCCTGGCCAGAACTTCCAACACTATGTTGAATAGGAGTGGTGAGAGAGGGCATCCCTGTCTTGTGCCCGTTTTCAAAGGGAATGCTTCCAGTTTTTGCTCATTCAGTATGATATTGGCTGTGGGTTTGTCATAGATATCTCTTATTATTTTGATATACGTCCCATCAATACCTAATTTATTGAGAGTTTTTAGCATGAAGGGTTGTTGAATTTTGTCAAAGGCTTTTTCTGCATCTATTGAGATAATCATGTGGTTTTTGTCTTTGGCTCTGTTTATATGCTGGATTACATTTATTGATTTGCATATATTGAACCAGCCTTGCATCCCAGGGATGAAACCCACTAGATCATGGTGGATAAGCTTTTTGATGTGCTGCTGGATTCGTTTTGGCAGTATTTTATTGAGGATTTTTGCATCAATGTTCATCAAGGATATTGGTCTAAAATTCTCTTTTTTTGTTGTGTCTCTGCCTGGCTTTGGTATCAGAATGATGCTGGCCTCATCAAATGAGTTAGGGAGGATTCCCTCTTTTTCTATTGATTGGAATAGTTTCAGAAGGAATGGTACCAGCTCCTCCTTCTACCTCTGGTAGAATTCGGCTGTGAATCCATCTGGTCCTGGACTCTTTTTGGTTGGTAAGCTATTGATTATTGCCACAATTTCAGATCCTGTTATTGGTCTATTCAGAGATTCAACTTCTTCCTGGTTTAGTCTTGGGAGAGTGTATGTGTCGAGGAATTTATCCATTTCTTCTAGATTTTCTAGTTTATTTGTGTAGAGGTGTTTGTAGTATTCTCTGATGGTAGTTTGTATTTCTGTGGGATCGGTGGTGATATCCCCTTTATCATTTTTTATTGAGTCTATTTGATTCTTAGTCTTGCTAGCAGTCTATCAATTTTGTTGATCCTTTCAAAAAACCAGCTCCTGGATTCATTAATTTTTGGAAGGGTTTTTTGTGTCTCTATTTCCTTCAGTTCTGCTCTGATTTTAGTTACTTCTTGCCTTCTGCTAGCTTTTGAATGTGTTTGCTCTTGCTTTTCTAGTTCTTTTAATTATGATGTTAGGGTGTCAATTTTGGATCTTTCCTGCTTTCTCTTGTGGGCATTTAGTGCTATAAATTTCCCTCTACACACTGCTTTGAATGCGTCCCAGAGATTCTGGTATGTTGTGTCTTTGTTCTCGTTGGTTTCAAGGAACATCTTTATTTCTGCCTTCATTTCGTTATGTACCCAGTAGTGATTCAGGAGCAGGTTGTTCAGTTTCCATGTAGTTGAGCGGTTTTGAGTGAGTTTCTTATTCCTGAGTTCTAGTTTGATTGCACTGTGGTCTGAGAAACAGTTTGTTATAATTTCTGTTCTTTTACATTTGCTGAGGAGTGCTTTACTTCCAACTATGTGGTCAATTTTGTAATAGGTGTGGTGTGGTGCTGAAAAGAATGTATATTCTGTTGATTTGGGGTGGAGAGTTCTGTAGATGTCTATTAGGTCCGCTTGGTGCAGAGCTGAGTTCAATTCCTGGGTATGCTTGTTGACTTTGTGTCTCGTTGATCTGTCTAATGTTGACAGTGGGGTGTTAAACTCTCCCATTATTAATGTGTGGGAGTCTAAGTCTCTTTGTAGGTCACTCAGGACTTGCTTTATGAATCTGGGTGCTCCTGTATTGGGTGCATATATATTTAGGATAGTTAGCTCTTCTTGTTGAATTGATCCCTTTACCATTATGTAATGGCCTTCTTTGTCTCTTTTGATCTTTGTTGGTTTAAAGTCTGTTTTATCAGAGACTAGGATTGCAACACCTGCTTTTTTTTGTTTTCCATTTGCTTGGTAGATCTTCCTCCATCCTTTTATGTTGAGCCTATGTGTGTCTCTGCACGTGAGATGGGTTTCCTGACACAGCACACTGATGGGTCTTGACTCTTTATCCAATTTGCCAGTCTGTGTCTTTTAATTGGAAGTTTAGTCCATTTACATTTAAAGTTAATATTGCTATGTGTGAATTTGATCCTGTCATTATGATGTTAGCTGGTTATTTTGCTCGTTAGTTGATGCAGTTTCTTCCTAGTCTCGATGGTCTTTCCATTTTGGCATGATTTTGCAGCGGCTGGTACCGGTTGTTCCTTTCCATATTTAGCACTTCCTTCAGAAGCTCTTTAGGGAAGGCCCGGTGGTGACAAAATCTCTCAGCATTTGCTTGTCTGTAAAGTATTTTATTTCTCCTTCGCTTATGAAACTTAGTTTGGCTGGATATGAAATTCTTGGTTGAAAATTCTTTTCTTTGAGGATGTTGAATATTGGCCCCCACTCTCTTCTGGCTTGTAGGGTTTCTGCTGAGAGATCCGCTGTGATTCTGATGGGCTTCCCTTTGAGGGTAACCCAACCTTTCTCTCTGGCTGCCCTTAACATTTTTTCCTTCATTTCAACTTTGGTGAATCTGACAATTACGTGTCTTGGAGTTGCTCTTCTCGAGGAGTATCTTTGTGGCATTCTCTGTATTTCCTGAATCTGAAAGTTGGCCTGCCTTGCTAGATTGGGGAAGTTCTCCTGGACAATATCCTGCAGAGTGTTTTCCAACTTGGTTCCATTCTCCCCATCACTTTCAGGTACACCAATCAGACGTAGATTTGTTCTTTTCACATAGTCCCATATTTCTTGGAGGCTTTGCTCATTTCTTTTTATTCTTTTTTCTCTAAACTTCCCTTCTCGCTTCATTTCATTCATTTCATCTTCCATTGCTGATACCCTTTCTTCCAGTTGATCGCAGCGGCTCCTGAGGCTTCTGCATTCTTCACGTAGTTCTCGAGCCTTGGTTTTCAGCTCCATCAGCTCCTTTAAGCACTTCTCTGTATTGGTTATTCTAGTTATACATTCTTCTAATTTTTTTTCAAAGTTTTCAACTTCTTTGCCTTTGATTTGAATGTCCTCTGGTAGCTCATAGTAATTTGATCGTCTGAAGCCTTCTTCTCTCAGCTCGTCAAAGTCATTCTCCATCCAGCTTTGTTCTGTTGCTGGTGAGGAACTGCGTTCCTTTGGAGGAGGAGACGTGCTCTGCTTTTTGGAGTATCCAGTTTTTCTGTTCTGTTTTTTCCCCATCTTTGTGGTTTTATCTACTTTTGGTCTTTGATGATGGTGATGTACAGATGGGTTTTTGGTGTGGATGTCCTTTCTGTTTGTTAGTTTTCCTTCTAACAGACAGGACCCTCAGCTGCAGATCTGTTGGAATACCCTGCCGTGTGAGGTGTCAGTGTGCCCCTGCTGGGGGGTGCCTCCCAGTTAGGCTGCTCAGGGGTCAGGGGTCAGAGACCCACTTGAGGAGGCAGTCTGCCCGTTCTCAGATCTCCAGCTGCGTGCTGGGAGAACCACTACTCTCTTCAAAGCTGTCAGACAGGGACATTGAAGTCTGCAGAAGTTACTGCTGTCTTTCTGTTTGTCTGTGCCCTGCCCCCAGAGGTGGAGCCTACAGAGGCAGGCAGGCCTCCTTGAGCTGTGGTGGGCTTCACCCAGTTTGAGCTTCCAGGCTGCTTTGTTTACCTAATCAAGCCTGGGCAATGGTGGGCGCCCCTCCCCCCAGCCTCGCTGCTGCCTTACAGTTTGATCTCAGACAGCTGTCCTAGCAATCAGCGAGACTCTGTGGGCGTAGAACCCTCCGAGCCAGGTGCAGGATATAATCTCGTGGTGCACCGTTTTTTAAGCCCATCGGAAAAGCGCAGTATTCGGGTGGGAGTGACCTGATTTTCCAGGTGCTGTCCATCACCCCTTTCTTTGACTAGGAAAGGGAACTCCCTGACCCCTTGCGCTTCCCAAGTGAGGCAATGCCTCGCCCTGCTTCGGCTCAGGCACGGTGTGCGCACCCACTGACCTGCACCCACTGTCTGGCACTCCCTAGTGAGATGAACCCGGTACCTCAGATGGCAATGCAGAAATCACCCATCTTCTGCGTCGCTCACACTGGGAGCTGTAGACCGGAGCTTTTCCTATTTGGCCATCTTGGCTCCTCCCCTCTACAGTTTGATTTTAATGTGTCATAGTGTATGTCTTTTTCAGTTAATCATACTTAGAATTTTTTGATCCTGATGGATGTTTATGTTTATGTCTTTCATCACATTTGAGCATACATCCCATGACTTTATATAATTTTTCATGTATATGCAGTTGCTTTTGAATACCCTAGTCTTCAATGTCTAATGCTCAAAAGAGAAAAAATGAAGGGAGAGAAAAACTGCTGGCCTTTTAAACGCACTAGAAGTCACTTCAACCAGAGGAATTTGCCTTTGTGAAAATTCCTTTCACAAAGGAAAAAATGCCTTTGTGAAAACAAATGTGACAAATTTGTCTACACCTGTTTGCACCAGAAGCTGCAATTAGCAATCACAGCACTGATTGTCAATATTTGGAAAAAAGGATCACTTTAGCTCACACTGGCTCTCAGAAGTTGTGTGTAAGCTACTTCTAAAAAGCATGCCCCGCTTGCTGCCATAGGAATGAGGGGTTGTGGCTGAGTATCTGCAACTGTGCTGAGTTAAAATTGACCCAAATTAACAGTTTATTACCCAAGTTTTCTGCAGAAAGTTGCAAGCCTTCAATTGACTTCCTAGTTCCCAAATAGTTACATGAGATTGATTCTGCTAGTGCGGTTTTTATCTAAGAGAGAAGATATATTTCTTGTGTTTCTTACTCTGCCATCTAGTATAACTTCTTTTTTAAAAATTTTTAGAATTATTTTGCCAGATGTGATGTGATATTCTTGGATGGTAGTTTCTTTTTGTTACTTTAGTATTTTGACTATATCATCTCACTCCCTTCTGGCCTGTACAGTTTCCACTGAAAAACCTTCTGATTGTGTCAAAGAAGTTCCCTTGTATGTGACAAATCACTTTTTCTGCTTTCATCTTTGTCTTCATATTTGACAAATTGATTATAATTAGGGAGAAAACATGAATCGGGTGCCTTCTCCTGATTGTGCCAATTTATGATAGTCTCTGTTTTCAGCTCCACAAGCCAGCTGGTGCTGTAGCAAGCCACTCTTAATCCCTGATTTTCAGGGTTCCTCAGGTATCCAAACTAGACTGATTCCATTAATGTTCTGAATTAGGCAAGGCAGAAACAAGTCCTTTGGATATCCCTCCCAAAAGCTGGAACATTGGATGCATGTTCCACTTAAAAAAAAAAATTCCTCCAAGGGAGAAGTTGCCAGCTGAGCTGAGCTGTGCTGGCCTGGGGAAGAGGCAATCAAAGAGATAATAAAACAGCTTTTTTTACACATTTCAATGTGGCTGTTTTCAACTTTGTGCTCACCTGTTGTACTGAAAATTTTTAACTAATTTCTTGAATTCTCACAGAAGTACTTTAGCCCATGTATTATTGTTACTTTGGTGTCTCTGTAAGATAACGAGGACTGGGACTGGTTATTTCACCATCTTGCAACTCCACACCCCATCCTAACATTTAGGTAAAACAAAGTGTCTAAAACTTTTTAAAGTTTAAAAATCATAAAACAAAATTTTAGATTAACTATATAACTTCTATTAAATTTTTATTAGTGTATATACCAAGAATTTAATATTGAATAACCTTTTACTAAAATTCAAAGAAATAAAAGAGGGAAGATAAAGATCTAGAGAAACGTGTTAGTTTTCTATTGCTGTGTAACAAATTTCCACAAACTGAGGGGCTTGAAATAGCACCCATTTTTAATCTTAGTTTGCATAAGTCAGAAATCTAGGCACATATTAGCTATATCTTCTGCTCATGGTTTCACCAAGCTGTAATTCAGGTATTTAACTGTGTCTCACCTGAGGCTTAACTGAAGAAATCCTCTGCTTCCAAGCTCCCTCAGGAAGTTTGTAAAATTTATTTCTTTGTGGTTGTAGAAATCAGGTTCATGTTTTCTTCCTGGAAGTCAGCTGGTCAGCTGTTCCTCAGTATTAAAGAACAGTTTTGCCAAATAAAGAATTCTTGGTTGCTAGCTTTTTACCTTTTTAGCACTCTGAATATATCAGCCTGCTGTTTCATGGCCTACAAAGTTTCTGATGAGAAATCTGCTGATATTCTTATTCTTATTCTTCTAGAAGCTGCCAGAGTTCCTTTTCATGTGACCATTTCCATAGGGACCTTCTATAAAACATGGTAGTTTGTTCCTTCAAGACCAGCAAGATACACTTTCTCCCCAGTCTCCTAAAAAACGTTTTATATAGCAAAATATAATAATGAGACTTATATCTCATCCCCTTTGACGTATAACATAAAGTAATATAGAGAGTGGCATCTCATCATTTTTGCCATATTGTATTGGTTAGAAGCAAGTCACAGGATCTGCCTGCACTCACTAGGAGATTACAAAAAGATAGAAATCATCATTGGCAACCTTAGGGTGTGTCTACCGCAAGTCAGATAGCTTAATTTTCAAATATACCAATAATTTGTATTCATGACCAGAAAATATTTTGAAGTGTGATTTTAATTATTCCTGTCAAATTTTTGTAAAAGTTTAAATGTACCTCTGTCCTTTCTAGAACAAGCACACGGAACATAAAAACAAACAAAAAGACAATTTAAAGACAAGCAAATTCGTTATACCTTGAAGTATGCATACATAAGTATTCTAGGTTTAAAAAAGCTATTAGAAATCAGCAGTAGAAATGACTACATTACACTTAATTTGATTAGATCTCAATTCATAAATCATGTTAGTTTTCATATTAAAATGGTCATTCTAACATATCTGTCCCATAGGTAATGAAATTTGGGAGCTGTCCTGTTTTTACACGTTTTTAAGTTAGCAGAAAATACCTTGCTGAGCTGAGGATTTTGATGAGTCTGAATGCTTTATGGTTTATTGTTCTCTGATTTTTCTACTAGGTCATTTATAAAGTTTTTTTCCTGCTTGAGGTAGAGGTTCACTAATTTAGGTCTTGCAGTGAAAGATTACAAAAAATATATATATATTTGAAAAACTTTTATGATGAAAATTATTTCTCTTTCCTCCTTTTTCCAATATAAAAGATAGCTACACATATTAACTAAAAAATACAAGAAATCTGAATGCTTTAGTTTACATTTACTCATCATTAAACTACAGTAATTTATGAGATTTTAAGCTAAATTTTTTTATGAAAATAAATCAACAGTCATTTCAATCTTTTTTAATATCAACATAATATTTGATGATGCCAAATCAATAATATACAGACAGATATGATCATTAAATGTCACAACTGAGCTGTGTGTACATAAAACTGAAATAACCATTTAAAAATGAAAAGTTATACAGAAAACTGGTCACTGCAGACTTCTCACCAAAAAACAGATTTGACTTTTTAAATGAGTGTGTTCAGTTGTTACATAGGAACAAACTAAATGGTAAGTAGATAGTTTCATATTTATCTACTCTAAATCTCTTGTCAAAATGTAATCCCCAATGTTTGAGGCAGGGTCTAGTAGGAGGTGTTTGGGTCTTGGAGACAGATCCCTCGTGAATGGCATGGTGCCCTCTCTGTGGCAATGAGTGAGTTCTCTCTGTTGGTTTTTATGAGATCTGGTTGTTTGAAAGTGTGTGGCAGCGCTCCCTCTCTCTCTCTCTCTCGTTCATGCTGTGGCCATGTGAAGTACCAGCTCTTTCTTTATAAATTACTCAGCCTCAAGTATTTCTTAATAGCAGCATGAAAATGAGCTAAAACACACAGGCATTCCTTTATAGCAATGCAAAATGGATTAACAGTGAATTTAATCGTAATTCTTGCTTTAATAACGTAAGATAGAAATATTCCATTTTCTATTTATTTGGGCAATATTTCTCACTGAAAAAAGTTAAAAATTGAAAATCATACGTTATTACTTTGAGATATTTAGTGCCTGCTATTCAAATGACCCTAAACTTTGGTTAATTTTAAAATGTGCTATGTAGTCAATACAGGCTTAACTTGAATTTTGCAATAACTTTTTTTTAAAATTTTATTATCATTACACTTTAAGTTTTAGGGTACATGTGCACAATGTGCAGGTTAGTTACATACGTATACATGTGCCATGTTGGTGTGCTGCACCCATTAACTCATCATTTAACATTAGGTATATCTCCTAATGCTATCCCTCCCCCTCCCCCCACCCCACAACAGGCCCCAGATTGTGATGTTCCCCTTCCTGTGTCCATGTATTCTCATTGTTCAATTCCCACCTATGAGTGAGAATATGCGGTGTTTGGTTTTTTGTCCTTGTGATAGTTTGCTGAGAATGATGGTTTCCAGTTTCATCCATGTCCCTACAAAGGACATGATCTCATAATTTTTTATGGCTGCATAGTATTCCATGGCGTATATGTGCCATATTTTCTTAATCCAGTCTATCATTGTTGGACATTTGGGTTGGTTCCAAGTCTTTGCTATTGTGAATAGTGCCGCAATAAACATACAAGTGCATGTGTCTTTATAGCAGCATGATTTATAGTCCTTTGGGTATATACCCAGTAATGGGATGGCTGGGTCAAATGGTTTCTCTAGTTCTAGATCCCTGAGGAATCGCCACACTGACTTCCACAATGGTTGAACTAGTTTACAGTCCCACCAACAGTGTAAAAGTGTTCCTATTTCTCCACATCCTCTCCAGCACCTGTTGTTTCCTGACTTTTTAATGATTGCCATTCTACCTGGTGTGAGATGGTATCTCATTGTGGTTTTGATTTGCATTTCTCTGATGGCCAGTGATGATGAGCATTTTTTCATGTGTTTTTTGGCTGCATAAATGTCTTCTTTTGAGAAGTGTCTGTTCATATCCTTTGCCCAGTTTTTGATGGGGTTGTTTGTTTTTTTCTTGTAAATTTGTTTGAGTTCATTGTAGATTCTGGATATTAGCCCTTTGTCAGATGAGTAGGTTGCGAAAATTTTCTCCCATTTTGTAGCTTGCCTGTTCACCCTGATGGTAGTTTCTTTTGCTGTGCAGAAGCTCTTTAGTTTAATTAGATCCCATTTGTCAATTTTGTCTTTTGTTGCCATTGCTTTTGGTGTTTCAGACATGAAGTCCTTTCCCATGCTTATGTCCTGAATGGTATTGCCTAGGTTTTCTTCTAGGGTTATTATGGTTTTAGGTCTAACATGTAAGTCTTTAATCCATCTTGAATTAATTTTTTTATAAGTTGTAAGGAAGGGATCCAGTTTCAGCTTTCTACATATGGCTAGCCAGTTTTCCCAGCACCATTTATTAAATAGGGAATCCTTTCCCCATTGCTTGTTTTTCTCAGGTTTGTCAAAATCAGATCGTTGTAGATACGCGGCATTATTTCTGAGGGCTCTGTTCTGTTCCATTGATCTATATCTCTGTTTTGGTACCAGTACCATGTTGTTTTGGTTACTGTACCCTTGTAGTATAGTTTGAAGTCAGGCAGCGTGATGCCTCTGACTTTGTTCTTTTGGTTTAGGATTGACTTGGTGATGTGGGCTCTTTTTTGGTTCCATATGAACTTTAAAGTAGTTTTTTCCAATTCTGTGAAGAAAGTCATTGGTAGCTTGATGGGGATGGCATTGAATCTATAAATTACCTTGGGCAGTATGGCCATTTTCACGATATTGATTCTTCCTACCCATGAGCATGGAATGTTCTTCCATTTGTTTGTATCCTCTTTTATTTCCTTGAGCAGTGGTTTGTAGTTCTCCTTGAAGAGGTCCTTCACATCCCTTGTAAGTTGGATTCTCAGGTATTTTATTCTCTTTGAAGCAATTGTGAATGGGAGTTCACTCATGATTTGGCTCTCTGTTTGTCTGTTATTGGTGTATAAGAATGCTTGTGATTTTTGTACATTGATTTTGTATCCTGAGACTTTGCTGAAGTTGCTTATCAGCTTAAGGAGATTTTTCGGCTGAGATGATGGGGTTTTCTACAAATACAATTATGTCATCTGCAAACAGGGACAATTTGACTTCCTCTTTTCCTAATTTAATACCCTTTATTTCCTTCTCCTGCCTGATTGCCCTGGCCAGAACTTCCAACACTATGTTGAATAGGAGTGGTGAGAGAGGCCATCCCTGTCTTGTGCCAGTTTTCAAAGGGAATGCTTCCAGTTTTTGCCCATTTCAGTATGATATTGGCTGTGGGTTTGTCATAGATAGCTCTTATTATTTTGAGATATGTCCCATCAATACCTAATTTATTGAGAGATTTTAGCGTGAAGAGTTGTAGAATTTTGTCAAAGACCTTTTCTACATCTATTGAGATAATCATGTGGTTTTTGTCTTTGGTTCTGTTTATATGCTGGATTACATTTATTGATATGCGAATGTTGAACCAGCCTTGCATCCCAGGGATGAAGCCCACTTGATCATGATGGATAAGCTTTTTGTTGTGCTGCTGTATATGGTTTGCCAGTATTTTATTGAGGATTTTTGCATCAATGTTCATCAAGGATATTGGTCTAAAATTCTCTTTTTGGTTGTGTCTCTGCCAGGCTTTGGTATCAGGATGATGTTGGCCTCATCAAATGAGTTAGGGAGGATTCCCTCTTTTTCTATTGATTGGAATAGTTTCAGAAGGAATGGTACCAGCTCCTCCTTCTACCTTTGGTAGAATTCGGCTGTGAATCCACCAGGTCCTGGACTTTTTTTGGTTGGTAAGCTATTGATTATTACCACAATTTCAGAGCCTGTTATTGGTCTATTCAGAGATTCAAGTTGTTCCTGGTTTAGTCTTGGGAGGGTGTACGTGTCGAGGAATTTATCCATTTCTTCTAGATCTTCTAGTTTATTTGCATAGAGGTGTTTGTAGTATTCTCTGATGGTAGTTTGTATTTCTGTGGGATCAGTGGTGATATCCCCTTTATCACTTTTTATTGCATCTATTTGATTCTTCTCTCTTTTCTTCTTTATTAGTCTTGCTAGCGGTCTATCAATTTTGTTGATCCTTTCAAAAAACCAGCTCCTGGATTCATTAATTTTTTGAAGGATTTTTTGTGTCTCTATTTCCTTCAGTTCTGCTCTGATTTTAGTTATTTCTTGCCTTCTGCTAGCATTTTAATGTGTTTGCTCTTGCTTTTCTAGTTCTTTTAATTGTGATGTTAGGGTGTCAATTTTGGATCTTTCCTGCTTTCTCTTGTGGGCATTTAGTGCTATAAATTTCCCTCTACACACTGCTTTGAATGCATCCCAGAGATTCTGGTATGTTGTGTCTTTGTTCTCGTTGGTTTCAAAGAACATCTTTATTTCTGCCTTCATTTCGTTATGTACCCAGTATTCATTCAGGAGCAGATTGTTCAGTTTCCATGTAGTTGAGCAGTTTTGAGTGAGTTTCTTATTCCTGAGTTCTAGTTTGATTGCACTGTGGTCTGAGAAACAGTTTGTTATAATTTCTGTTCTTTTACATTTGCTGAGGAGTGCTTTACTTCCAACTATGTGGTCAATTTTGTAATAGGTGTGGTGTGGTGCTGAAAAGAATGTATATTCTGTTGATTTGGGGTGGAGAGTTCTGTAGATGTCTATTAGGTCCACTTGGTGCAGAGCTGAGTTCAATTCCTGGGTATCCTTGTTAACTTTCTGTCTTGTTGATCTGTCTAATGTTGACAGTGGGGTGTTAAAGTCTCCCATTATTATTGTGTGGGAGTCTAAGTCTCTTTGTAGGTCACTCAGGACTTGCTTTATGAATCTGGGTGCTCCTGTATTGGGTGCATATATATTTAGGATAGTTAGCTCTTCTTGTTGAATTGATTCCTTTACCATTATGTAATGTCCTTTTTTGTCTCTTTTGATCTTTGTTGGTTTAAAGTCTGTTTTATCAGAGATAGAACAGCACACTGATGGGTCTTGACTCTTTATCCAATTTGCCAGTCTGTGTCTTTTAATTGGAGCATTTAGCCCAGTTACATTTAAAGTTAATATTGTTAAGTGTGAATTTGGTCCTTTCATTATGATGTTAGCTGGTTATTTTTCTCGTTAGTTGATGCAGTTTCTTCCTAGCCTTGATGGTCTTTACATTTTGGCATGTTTTTGCAGTGGCTGGTACTGGTTCTTCCTATCTATGTTTAGTGCTTCCTTCTGGAGCTCTTTTAGGGCAGGCCTGGTGGTGACAAAATCTCTCAGCATTTGCTTGTCTTAAAGTGTTTTATTTCTCCTTCACTTATGAAGCTTAGTTTGGCTGGATATGAAACTCTGTGTTGAAAATTCTTTTCTTTAAGAATGTTGAATGTTGGCCCCCACTCTCTTCTGGCTTGTAGAGTTTCTGCCAAGAGATCTGCTGTTAGTCTGATGGGCTTCACTTTGTGGGTAACCTGACCTTTCTCTCTGGCTGCCCTTAACATTTTTTCCTTCATTTCAACTTTGGTGAATCTGACAATTATGTGTCTTGGAGTTGCTCTTCTCAAGGAGTATCTTTGTGGCGTTCTCTGTATTTCCTGAATCTGAATGTTGGCCTGCCTTGCTAGATTGGGGAAGTTCTCCTGGATAATATCCTGCAGAGTGTTTTCCAACTTGGTTCCATTCTCCCCATCACTTTCAGGTACACCAATCAGACATAGATTTGGTCTTTTCATATAGTCCCATATTTCTTGGAGGCTTTGTTTGTTTCTTTTTATTATTTTTTCTCTAAACTTCCCTTCTCACTTCATTTCATTCATTTCATCTTCCATCACTGATACCGTTTCTTCCAGTTGATCGCATCAGCTCCTGAGGCTTCTGCATTCTTCACGTAGTTCTCGAGCCTTGGCTTTCAGCTCCATCCGGTCCTTTAAGGACTTCTCTGCATTGGTTATTCTAGTTATCCATTCGTCTAATTTTTTTTCAAGGATTCTAACTTCTTTGCCATTGGTTTGAATTTCCTCCTGTAGCTCGGAGTTGTTTGATCGTCTGAAGCCTTCTTCTCTCAACTCGTCAAAGTCCTTCTGCGTCCAGCTTTGTTCCATTGCTGGTGAGGAACTGCGTTCTTTTGGAGGAGGAGAGGCGCTCTGCTTTTTAGAGTTTCCAGTTTTTCTGCTCTGTTTTTTCCCCATCTTTGTGGTTTTATCTACTTTTGGTCTTTGATGATGGTGACGTACAGATGGGTTTTGGTGTGGATGTCCTTTCTGTTTGTTAGTTTTCCTTCTAACAGATAGGACCCTCAGCTGCAGGTCTGTTGGAGTTTGCTAGAGGTCCACTCCAGACCCTATTTTCCTGGGTGTCAGCAGCAGTGGCTGTGGAGCAGCGGTGGCTGTAGAACAGCGGATTTTGGTGACCCGCAACTGCTGCTGCCTGATCATTCCTCTGGAAGTTTTGTCTCAGAGGAGTACCCAGCTGTGTGAGGTGTCAGTCTGCCCCTACTGGGGGGTGCCACCCAGTTAGGCTGCTCGGGGTTCAGGGACCCACTTGAGGAGGCAGTCTGCCCGTTCTCAGATCTCCAGCTGCGTGCTGGGAGAACCACTACTCTCTTCAAAGCTGTCAGACAGGGACATTTAAGTCTGCGGAGGTTACTGCTGTCTTTTGTTTTGTCTGTGCCCTGCCCCCAGAGGTGGAGCCTACAGAGGCAGGCAGGCCTTCTTGAGCTGTGGTGGGCTCCACCCAGTTTGAGCTTCCAGGCTGCTTAGTTTACCTAATCAAGCCTGGGCAATGGCAGGCGCCCCTCCCCCAGCCTCACTGCTGCCTTGCAGTTTGATCTCAGATTGCTGTGCTAGCAATCAGTGAGACTCCGTGAGCGTAGGACCCTCCAAGCCATGTGTGGGATATAATCTCCTGGTGTGCCATTTTTTAAGCCCAATGGAAAAGCGCAGTATTAGGGTGGGAATGGCCCGATTTTCCAGATGCCATCTGTCACCCCTTTCTTTGACTAGGAAAGGGAACTCCCTGACCCCTTGCACTTCTGGAGTGAGGTAGTGCCTCACCCTGCTTCGGCTCGTGCACAGTGCACTGCACCCACTGTCCTGCACCCACTGTCTGGCACTTCCTAGTGAGATGAACCTGGTACCTCAGATGGAAATGCAGAAATCACCCGTCTTCTGCATCGCTCACGCTAGGAGCTGTAGACCGGAGCTGTTCCTATTCGGCCATCTTGGCTCTACCCTTGAAATAACTTTTTTAAAATGTGGTGTATTCCCTATTTACCATAAATGCCTTTTTATTATGTAATTACCACAGAATCTCTCTCTCCATCTATCTCTATCTCTTTCTTTCTCTCTTTTTCTTTATGTCATTGTTAGATTTGAAAAATGCACTTAACGTGGTTACAGAGATACTCTGTGACTATTGACATATATTAGATATTTTACACAATATGCTGTTAATTAGATTCTACTGGGATATTAAATCAAAGTTTTACCTTTCCTTTTTCTTTTGTCTTTTTAACTATGCTTTCTAACAAGTGTCTTCATTGGAATAACCCCCATTCGTGGAGTTCCCATTGTTAATATTTTTGGTTAAGCATATAACATTTGTTTCCCTCTTTCATTCTTCTCATTAAGATTGAATGCCCAATTTTCTGTAGATATCAACCACTTCCCACCACAGACCATGCAACAAGCATGGCTGCTTCAACTTTCAGCTCCTGCAGTTAGCCTGTGTCTTAGGATCACGCCAATCCTCTTGATGATCGTTCAGGTTTGGGCATGTGACACAATTCAGACTGATAAGAAATATTGTTGTTTAGTCATAGCTGGAAAATTTATTCTTTTTTCCTCTTATAAACCATCTGGAATCATCTCACTTTTTCTACTTCTGGTATTGTCATGCGAGTTACAAGGCTTAGAAGCCCTGCAGTCATCTTGGTTCCAGACTTGCCCTAAAGAGATCATCAGGAGAAGAGATCTTTGCCAAAAAGTAGAATGTTCTGTATTGATCCCTAATCTGAGACCTCTAGTTACTGAAGCAAGAAAAATGTGTTATCATTGAAGTTTATTTATCTTATTTAAAACTATTTTAAAGTATATATGGAATCAAAAAAGAGCCCAAATAGCAGAGGCAAACCTCAGCAAAATAAAAAAACTGGAGGCATCACATTACCCAATTTCAAACTGTATACCACAGGGCTACAGTAAGCAAAACAGCATGGTAGTGGTACAAAACCAGGACTATAGATCTTTTGTTGATCTTTTGTTTGTTTGTTTTGTTTTGTTTAGTTTAACTTTTATTTTACATTCAGGGGTACATGTGAAGGTTTGCTATGTATGTAAACTTGTGTCATGGAGATTTGTTGTACAGATTATTTCATCATCCAGGTAGTAAAGCTAGTACCCAATAGTTAATTTTTCTGCTCCTCTACCTCCTTCCATCCTCCACCCTCATATAGACCCCATTGTCTGTTGTTCCATTCTTTGGGTTCATGAGTTGTTATCATTTAACTCCCATCTGTGAGCAAGAACATGTGGCATTTGGTTTTCCATTCCTGTGTTAGTTTGCAAAGGATAATGGCCTCCAGCTCCAACCATGTTCCAGCAAAAGACATGATCTCATTCTGTTTTATGGCTTCATAGTATTCCATGATATATCTGTACCACATTTTCTTTATCCAATCTGTCATTGATAGGTATTTAGGTAGATTCCATGTCTTTGCTATTGTGAATACTGCTGCAATGAACCTAACATATGCATGTGTTTTTATCATAGAAAGATTTATACTTTTCTGAGTATATAACCAGGAATGAGATTGCTGGATCAAATGGTAGTTCTGCTTTTAGCTCTTTGAGGAATCTCCATACTACTTTCCACAATGATTGAACTAATTTATGCTCCCACCAACAGTGTATAAGTGTTCCCTTTTCTCTGCAACCTCACTGGCATCTGTTATCTTTTTTACTTTTTAGTAATTGCTATTCTGACTGGTGTGAGGTAATGTCTCATTGTCGTTTTGATTTGCATTTCTCTAATAATCAATGATATAGAGCTTTTTTTCATGTGTTTGTTGGCCACATGTATGTTTTCTTTTGAAAATTGTCTGTTCATCTGTTCTGCCCATTTTTTAATGGGGTTGTTTGTTTTTCTCTTGTAAAGTTAAGTTCCTTATAGATACTGGATATTAGGCCTTAGTCAGATGTATAGTTTGCAAAAATATTCTCCCATTTTATAGGTTGTCTGTTTACTCTGTTGATAGTTTTCATTTGCTGTGCAGAAGCTCTTAAGTTTAATTAGATTTTGTCAATTTTTGCTTGTGTTCGGATTGCTTTTGGTGTGTTTGTCACGAAATTTTTGCCTGTTCCTGTGTCCAGGATGGTATTTCCTAGGTTGTCTTCCAGGGTGTTTATAGTTTTGGGTTTTACATTTAAGTCTTTATTTCATCTTGAGTTTATTTTTGTATATCATGTCAGGAAGGTGTCCAACTTAAATCTTTAGCATATAGCTAGCCAGTTATCCCAGCACCATTTGAATAGGAAGTTTTTTCCCCATGACTTGTTTTTGTCAGCTTTGTCAAAGATGAGATGGTCATAGATGTGTGACCTTGTTTCTGTACTCTCTATTCTGTTCCATAGATCTATATTCCTGGTTTTGTACCACTACCATGCTGTTTTGCTTACTGTAGCCCTGTGGTATACAGTTTGAAATTGGGTAATGTGATGCCTCCAGTTTTTTTATTTTGCTGAGGTTTGCCTCTGCTATTTGGGCTCTTTTATGACTCCATATATACTTTAAAATAGTTTTTTTTTTTTTTTCTAGTACTGTGACGAACATCGTAGGTAGTTTGATAGCATTGAATCTGTGAATTGTTTTGGGCAGTATGGCCATTTTAATGATATTGATTCTTCCTATTCCTGAGCATGGAATGTTTTTCCATTTGTTTGTGTCATCTCTGATTTGCAAGTGTTTTGCAATTCTCATTGTAGAGATCTTTCACCTCCCAGGTTAGCTTTATTCCTAGGTATTTTTTTTTTTCTTCTTTTCTGGTGGTTGTGAGTGGGATTGCCTTGCTGATTTGGCTCTCAGCATGGCTATTGGTGTATAGGAATGCTAGTGATTTTTGTGGGTTGATTTTGTATTGTGAAACATTGCTAAAGTTTTTTATCAGCTGAAAGAACTTTTGAGCCAAGATTATGGGTTTTTCTAGATATAGAATCATGTCTTCTGCTAACAGAGATAGCTTGACTTTCTCTCTTCCTCTTTGGGTGCCCTTTATTTCTTTCTCTTGTCAGATTGCTCTGGCTAGGACTTTCTGTTTTGTTTTTTTCTGAGCATTTATAGCTTCAATGATCTCTTATGGTATTTTCCCTTCTAATTTTCTCCCTCTCAGTGTTAACATGTTAATGTTAATATTTTAACATTATAATGTGAATTAGCCACATTCTCAGCAAAAATAAAAGCAAATATTAATATTTGATGATGCATATAACATACACATATACACACACACACACACATTTTTTATTCCTTTTTCTTATAGTGAATTGTAGCACCAGTATACAAGGCAACTTTTTTACATAGTAATTATGGATAGAAGGAAAAGAAAAGAAAAATATTGCTTATGTGAAAGATACTAATTCAACAAACAAGACACCATAAAGGAATATGAAGACAGGAAATAGAGCACAATCTATATAGTTTACAATTTTGTTTCTTACACCATATAAGCTAATAACATCTCTCTCAGACAAATTGTAAAATTTGAAACTAACATATTCTGAATAATTTAACTTGAAAAATATTACTTGTAATATCTGACTTAACAAAAGTGTAGATTTTTGATGTTATTTTATCCTAATTTTCTAATTATGACCTTCTTTTACTATCTTCACATGAAAATTGGTTTAATTAAGATGCTCACACAATCACATAAAAATCTTTGGTAAAATCATTGCAATACGTGCATAATGGATTCCAAACATGTTCATGCTCTAATAATCAGAACTTGTGAATATTACCTTAAATGGCAAAAGGGACTTTGTAGATGTGGTGTAATTAAGGATTTTGTGATAAAAGATCTTGAGATGAACACATTGTTAAATTATTGAGGAGGGTTCCAAACGCAATCACAGTGTTCTTAAAAGAGGGAGGCAGAGAAAAATTTGACTACAAAACAACAAGTAGGGGATGTGGTAAAGAAAGCAAGAGTTTGGAGTTATACGAGGAAGACATCATGAGCCAGGGGATGCAGATGACTTCCAGGCACAGATTCTTCCCCAGAACCTCCAAAGAAAAAAAAAAAAAAAATCAGCAGTGCCTGACTTTGGTCCAGTGAAACAGACGTCTGATTTCTGGCTTCCAGAACTGTATGAAAATAAGATTGTATTTTCTTAAGCTGCCAAATTTGTCGTCAGTTTCAAGTTCAAGGCATTAAAGAAAGATTACTAAGTGGTCTACTACTTTGTTTTGTTCTTATCTTCTTGCAGAATCCATCATCTTAACCCCAAAGATGTGCTCTTATCTCTTAAAACCTTCCTTTCATAGCCTCTTCTTCTCCCAGTCTTGAGAATTTATGCAGATTTTACATGTTTGAAACTATTAACCCTAATCTACCTGCTAATTATTGAACATAATCTGAAAGACTTGACCTTCACTGATTTTAGTGGAATATATAAGTTTTGCTTGGCTGTCTTAGCCATTTTTATTTCTTCCCATTACAGAAAATTAGGATGGAACTTACAAACTTCAGATATTATAAATTTATAATTTTAAAACATGGCCCAAGAACTCTTAACTCTGCAGGTGAAGCACCAAGTAATTCTGTAGCGACACTGTCCTCTTCATATTCCTCCTCCCACCATTTAAACAAAACTACCCTTTAAATTGTTGTATTTATTAGGTTTGATACACGCCATTTAATTTTTGTAAAGAGTTCCTTGGCACATAAAATTTGAAAATGATATATGTTAAGTTGATGTCAACAGTCTCCTGTTTATTATCCAGAAAAAAACCTATATATTGTTTATATTTATTATGTAGGCATGAATTCTTAACTTTTTAAAAACTTACCATTGTGAAAAATGTTTTATCTTGCATTTACTGCATAGAATGTGCTCAATGTCTTTTAGCTTCAAGAAAAACCAGCCTGGATCCAGCTTCTACTAAACATGGAGAGGAGGGGGAAAAAAGCAAATTTCTTCTTCCTCTGAATAGATTTTCATATCCTATCCTAAAACCAAATTTACATCCATTTCAAGCAACTTATTAGGAACATCTCTATCTTAGAGTTTTTTGCCCCTTAACTACTGTGCTCTCCCCATGTTTGGTGACTCAGATCTTTCAGGAATGTAAACAAAATTGTACATAGTATGGTTTGAGGCACTATGGGGTCTTTCTTAGAAGATGTTGGCTTTTGACAAAACTGGATTTTATTTCAAGTGTTTGACCTTGGGCAATTTTTAAAAATCTTTGTGATGATAAGACTGAGTTTCAACATGATTGGATTGAAGGATACAAAGTTTAGACCCTGGGTGTGTCTGTGTGGGTGTTGCCAAAGGAGATTAACATTTGAGTCAGTGGGCTGGGAAAGCTAAACCCACCCTTAATCTGGGTGGGCACAATCTAATCAGCTACCAGCACAGCTAGAATATAAGCAGGCAGAATAATATGAAAAGAGAGACTACCCTAGCCTCCCAGCCTACATCTTTCTCCCATGCTGGATGCTTCCTGCCCTCAAACATTGGACTCCAAGTTGATCCCTTTTGTAACTCTGACTGGCTCTCCTTGCTTCTCAGCCTGTAGATGGCATATTGTGGGACCTTGTGATCATGTGACAATACTTAATAAACTCCCCAGATAGATAGATAGATATAGATTTTTGATATATATTCCATTAGTTCTGTCCCTCTAGAGAACACTGACTAATACAATCTTTTTGTTTCAATTTCCAAATCTGTAAAACAGGAAAAATAGTTCCTACATTTCCAGATTGTGGGTAGAGTAACTGTCTATTGCCAAGTAGGTGTGCATACATTTTAGCTGCTATTAATCAGCTACACAATAACAATAAATATTCAGCTGTTTTGTTTGTATTGGGTTTAGAAATAACAAACATGTTCATTTTTTCCCAACAAATTGGTCACTTTTTTCAAAACATGCGTAGTAGTTTTTGAGGAAATACATGGGAGACTAGGTTTGTTTTAAAAATCTCTTTTTAAATGGCCTGAAGCAAATGCACTTTTAAATATGATGTAAGTGGAGGAAGGAAGAAACCAGTCATGCAGGCAGTTAGGTGGGTGCTCAGTAAAACTTCTTCAAACCAAGAACAGACTGAAAAACCAGCTGCAGGCCACAGATAAGAAAATACCTGCATCCTTGAATGAACATGCCTACTCTGTGAACCCAGATGAACAAATTCCACTCCTTTTTTGAACACATTTCCCTCTCCTTGGTGCACCTTTGTCTCATTTTATGCACTGCCTCTGGATTGGTCCTTACCTTTTACTATTTTATGTATACCTATCTTTCTGTGATTGACTATAGGTTGAATCTTCGTTTGCATAAAGTATAACATCACTCTATCCCTGATTGGTCACAGTCCAAGCCTTCACTTCAGTCCCTAATTGGTTCTTTACATTATCATACCTTTTTCTGAATGGTGCTTTTCCCAAGCTTACCCATAAACCAATCAGCCTGCATTTCCTCATTCTAAGCCCATAAAAACCCCAGACTCAGCCTCGCATTTAGCAACTCTCTGTTGGGTCCCCTCTCCTTTCTGTTGCTTAATAAATCCGACTCTGCCTTACTCACTCTCTGGCGTCTGCATGTCTTATTCTTCTTGATTATGGGACAAGAACCTGAAGCTCACCAGTGGTGGGAGTAAAAGAGCTTTACCACTGCCTCTCACTCCCCTGAACAACAGGAGTGAAGAAGCTGCAACAATGTCCTGAGTATTTTAGAATGGAATCCTACTATTAACATTTAATCAATTTTCTACTTTTGTAACAAAATCTAGAGACAAATGAAAAGGACAATAATAAGTGCCAGATACACAGTTTTTATGAAAATGTTTAGAATATGATCAAAATTGCCTTAAACATTAATGTATTTTTGATGATGGAATGGGGAAATTTTGTGCTAAATCAAAATACAATCACCGGCCAGGCGCGGTGGCTCACGCCTGTAATCCCAGCACTTTGGGAGGCGGAGGCAGGCAGATCACAAGGTCAGGAGATTGAGACCATCCTGGCTAACATGGTGAAACCCCCGTCTCTATTAAAAATAGAAAAAATTAGCCGGGCGTGATGGTGGGTACCTGTAGTCCCAGCTACTTGGGAGGCTGAGGCAGGAGAATGGCGTGAACCTGGGAGGCGGAGTTTGCAGTATTGCAGTGAGCCAAGATAGCACCACTGCAGTCCAGCCTGGGTGAAAGAGTGAGACTTCATCTCAAAAAAAAAAAAAAAATGCAATCACCATATTAATTGGTAGCTTCAGGTAGAAAAGAAAGCTGTAACTTATTCTATTTTCTTTGGATTCATTAAAAAATGAATTTAAAAATCACTTAGGCCAGGCACGATGGCTCATGCCTGTAATCTGAGCACTTTGGGAGGCTGAACAGGGCAGATCACCAGATGTCAGGAGTTGGAGTCCAGCCTGACCAAACCAGGCTGAAACCCTGTTTCTACTCAAAATACAAAAAATAGCCAAGCATGATGGTGCGTGCCTGTAATCCCAGCTACTTGGGAGGCTGAGACAAGACAATCTCTTGAACTCCAGAGGTGGAGGTTGCAGTGAGCTGAGACCACACTACTGTCCTCCAGCCTGGGCAGCAGAGTGAGACTCCTTCTCAAAAAAACAAAAAATATCACTTAAAGTAGCATCATCAGTGAATGATTTTATTAGCAAATCTATCCTCTCTTGTTTCACTATCTTACTAAAGTCTGGTTTAGTGATCTTACATCCTTCCTTCCAAATGATAACTGCTCCATAATGGGTTATTAATTTTAATTTAACAAAGGGGGCTAAATTTTGTTAGTAACTTATTCTGAAATTCTACAGTATTCACAGATAACTTTACAAGAATATGTAAGTTTTAAATTTTGTTCTTTGCTATTAGAAAGATTATATTAACAATTTTATCATAAAAAAGTAATGGGCAAAATATTTTGGTTTTAGTTCAGATGTAGCATTTAGTTTATAATAATATTTCTGATCCAGATTTCCTACCTAAAAATTGAATTGAATACTACAAAATTTTTATAACCAAAAATATGTTGTTTGCTTCTGCATTTAACACACTTCCTGGGCAAAATGGCCTTATTAATTTAGAATAAGACTTTCCTTGATTTTGCTTTTTTGTATACAGAAATATACAGAATATTTATTAAGTGCCAAATACTAGATACAAACATGTAAATGACACAGTTTCTTGCCATTAAGGAACTCAGAACCAAGTGAAAATTATTCAGTAAAAGAAAAAACTATACTATAAGTAGACCATCTGTGTGGCATATTTTTAGGGCCCTAAAAAAGGAAAAATCCTATGTACAAACCATAATATCTCACAGATTTTAAGTTAGTACCCAGAAATTCTACCACAAAGATTGTTTTCTAAGACGATGGAGTCATAAAAGCTTTATACTTCCAGAAATTTGCTAAAATGTTAACTAAGATATTAATTTTTAAAATATTAACCAATATTTCAGTCATCAATATTTAAGGAAGAACCAGTTTATCAGACCATTTCTCAAATGACTTGTAGATTAAAGCAAGCCTGCTGAGAAAGACCCCACAGATGAATAAATAAGGGTCTGATAACTTCAAAGGGAAACATCATCAGCTCAAATTTATACTGTAATTGCCTAGAGATGAATACTCCTAATAAACTTCTTCCAGTTAATTCACAAGAAACATCTCTTTTAAAAGGAGTAAAAAAGAAAAAGAACCCAAGGAAGCTGCATTTTGAAGTAAATCTAATCAGAAAATAATTATGCATGCAAAAATACTTTTAAGATATTCTAATCATGATGAAATTATACTATATATTAGATATTAAAATATAAGTATACCTAGTTTTATTGTGCTTCACTTTATTGCACTTTGCACATACAGTGTTTTTCACAAGTTGCAGGTGCATGGCAACCTTACCTTGAATATGTCTATCAGTGAAACTTTTTCAACAGCATGTACTCTTTTCATGTCTCTGTGTCAGTTTGTTAATTGAAATTTTTCATTATTACTACATCTGTTATAGTGATCAGTGATCTTTGTTTTTATGATTTTTGCTGTTTTTGAGTGTCACAAACCCATGTCAACACTTAATTGGTAAATGTTATGTGTTCTCTGACTGTTTAACCAACTGTTTTTTTTTTTTTCTGTCTCTCTCCCTTTCCTCAGACCCTACTATTCCCTGAGACACAACAATATGAAAACTAGGCCGATTGATAACTCTACAGTGGCCTCTAAGTATTCAAGTGAAAGAAAGAATCATACATCTCCCTCTTTAAATCCAAAGATAGAAAGGATTAAGTTCAGTAAAGAAGGCATGTAAAAGCCAAGTTAGGCCAAAAGCTAGGCCTCTGGTGTCAAACAATTTGCCAAGCTGTGAATGTTCTCGAAGGATATTAAAAGTGCTATTCCAGTAAAAACATGACTAATAAAGTAAAACAGCATTACTGCTGATATGGAGAAAGTTTTAGTGGTCTGGATAGAAGATCAAACCAGCCACAACATTCTCTTAAACCAAAGCCTAATCCAGAGCAAAGTTCTAATTCTCTTCAATTCTATGAAAACCAAGACAGGCAATAAAACTACAAGAAAAAGATGGACTCTAACAAAGGTTCATTCATGAAGTTTAAGGAAAGAAGCTGACTCCATAACTTTAAAGTGCTAGGTGGAACAGCAAGTGTTAATGTAGAAGCTGTAGCAAGTCATCCAGAAGAACTAGCTAAGATAACTGATGAAAGTGGCTACACTAAACAGATTTTCAATATAAGCAAAACTGTCTTATGTAAACAGACATTTAGGAGTATCATCAATGCCTGGCTTCAAATCTTCAAAGAACAGGCTGACTGTCTTGTGATGGGCTAATACAGCTAGTGACTTTAAGTTGAAGCCAATGTTTATCTACCATTCTGAAAATCTGAGGGCTTCTATGAATTACACTAAATCCACTCTTCTTGTGCTTTATAAACCAAACAATAAAGTCTGGATGATAGCACATCTGTGTATAGCATGGTTTACTCAATATTTTAAGATCACTGTTGAGACCTACTACTGCTCAGATAAAAAATAATTCTTTTAAAACATTAGTGATTATCAAGAAGGAACCTAGTCACCCAAGAGTTCTAAAGAAGATACACAAGCAGATTAATGTTGGTTTTATGTCTACTAGCACAACATCCATTCTGCAGCTCATAGGTTAAAGATTAATTTAGACTTTCAAATAAAATAAATAATAAGATTTTCAAGTCTTATTATTTATGACATACATTTTGTAAGGCTATGCCTTTCATAGATAGTGATTCCTCTGATAGATCTGGGCAAAGTAAATTGAAAACCTATTGAAAACCTTTTGAAATGGATTAATTATTCTAGATGACATTAACATTCATGCTTCATGAGAGAAAGTCAAAATATCAATATTTACAAGAGTTGCTAAAAAACTGATTCCTATTATAAGGAGCTCTAAACTTCAGTGGAGGAAGTAACGGCAGATGCAGAAATAATTTCAGTGGAGAAAATAATAAGAGAACTAGAATTAGCAGTGGGACCTAAACATGTGACTGAATTGCTGCAATCTTATGATAAAACTTGAACAGTAAGGAGTTGCTTCTTATAAATGAGCAAAATGAAAAGGTGATTTCTTGAGATGAATATTGTTGAAATGACTACAAAGGATTTAGAACATTACATAAACTTAGATGATAAAGCAGTGGCAGGGTTTGAGAGGATTGACTCCAATTTTGAAAGAAATATTTATGCGGATAAAACACTATCAAACAACATCGTATGCTACAAAGAAATTTTTTGTGAAAGGAAAAGTCAATAGATAAAGCAAACTTCATTGGGTTCTTAAGAAATTGAAAAAGTCACCTCAACCTTCAGCCACCACCACCCTAATTAGTAAACAGCCATCAACATTGAGGTCAGATCCTCCACTAGCAAAAAATTATGATTTGCTGAAAGCTCATATGGTCAATAGCACTTTTTAGCTATACAGTATTTTTAATTAAGATATGTTTATTACTTTTAGTTATAATGCTACTGTACACTTAACAGTATAAACATAATTTTATATGCACTGGGAAACCAAAAAATTCATGTGACTTGCTTTATTGGAAAATTTGCTTCATTCTTGTTGCCTAGAACCAACCTGCACTATCATTGAGGCATGCCTGAGTATCACCTATATTAAGACAAGAATGATCAGAGTCCTCAGAATATTGTTCATTTATATACTAACTCTGAGAAGATACATTATTCACTCATGATTTTCTAAAGAAAGGACTGTTTCTGTACAATGTGAAATTAATCTCACCTATGAACCAGAACACTTGGGAGCAAGATAGGCAGAGATTGGCTGACTCAATATACAGAGTATTTACCAAGTTGTAAGACATGAACCCATGTACTAATTCAGCTGCAGGGGGTTATAATTATTGTATTTGCTCTACTCTTTGAATTTGAGCAAATGAAATCCTTATAAGCAAAATGTTTTTATTCTCTTAGTAAGATTTCCAGTTATGATCAGTTACTTATAAGCTGAATTTAATTACTCTTGTGTAAATTATAGCTATTTGTATGTGTTTGGAAAAAATACTCCTTTTGTTGTTCACAAAACCAGTTTGTGGATGCTCTTCATTATTGATGCAGATAACAAAGGTTATACTTGTGAGCCAAAAAGAAAAAAAAACTTTAAGAATATTAACTATGCCAGAATGTCCTAAATTTAAAGGTTTCTATTGTCCTGATTATCAATGGTATGTTGTCCAGAGGAAGGGCAGGAACCTATAAATGAAAGTAGTATTCTAATAGCGTAATACCACAAAATACCCCCAAAGCCTATAAAGAGAGTATCTCCATCAAATATTCGTATACTTTGTCTCCAAAAGTCCATACGTCAGCCCTATGTAGTAAGATGTATGTCTGTGGATAAATTTTAGAGGATATGTTTAAAGAGCAAAATTTGAATGGAAAAACTTCACATAAGTCAAAGTCACATAACTCTCCTGGTATTTTGTATGATTTATGCAGACTACAAAAACTTCTTGTTTCTTTTACCCAAAAATATATATTTTTAAAACTAGTTTTATATATTAGTCAAGGGAGGATTCAATGCTTAAGCCAGATCTCCTCATTTATAGTGTTAATGGCATATCTCTGCAGTCCTGAAACCTGTGTAACTCACGAAGATGCAAACACAATGAACTATAATGCTTTAGGATAGAGCATCAGTTTTATTTTATTGTTTAGTGTTCACTAGGGAAATGTGGTTTTGTTTGCTTGATACACTTTGCCTTTCCAACATGGGTTTCCATTGAACTATTTGAAATCACTGGTTGAGAAACTGTTGATCCAATCCCTGTTCTTTCTGATGATTACTTAGTTGGAAAGGGATATATTGTATTAGGTCCTGTGTTCCAACTGCCTTAAAGTCACTAATACAATAAATTAGATAGTTAATCAAACACTGAAATTTTCAGCTTATATGACTCAAAGCACTAAAATCAAATTCATTCTAAAAATGATATCCTCCTCTTGCTGGCTATTTTAAATTAAGATGCTTGAAGCATTTTTCACAGCAATCATCAAAACACTGTCACCTCCCCCACTATCTTCTCCTTATAACCTGTTAAAATAACACTGTCTACAATTATAGCATCATTTGTTGTGCATGATATAATAGAGTGCAAATATAAAGAGGTATTATCATTACTTTTGTCCTTTGTTCTTTCAGGCTAGAATATTGCATACTTCTTTACTTTGACATTTATTGCTTTTAGATTGGTAATAGAATGGTTTGTGTTGCTCATCATCTTGAATGATGATAATATTAGAGGTTGGGGAGTTTGTGTTCCCTGTTAAGTAAAGTAAAGGCTTTGTATAATTTAGCAAAGGCTATTACTGGACAATTACCCAGAATACAGTTCAAGTCTAATAAAGTTTAGTCATATCCAGTCTTAAATAGAATATTTACTATGGTTTTTATGAAATTGGATCTGGTAATATTCATATATACTTTTTTCTGTTATATTTCACAAGTCTACTTGGACTGTTTCATAGGTAAAAATCACAGTAAAATAATTTGGCTATAACAGTGGATAAAAAATGAACATTTATTCGGCTTTGAATTATGAAGTTTTATTTTATTTAGTAAAATATGTAAATGTTAATAAATTTTAGTCTGTTACAGCATTAAGAACCAATGTTAAATATTCTATCCTGACACATTACATTGATTTGCTAATTGTTCTCTATGAGCATTTCCAAGTTCTTCATAGCTATAACCAAACATTCCACAAAGTTCAAATGAAAAAGAAGACTTCAACAAGGAAGAAAGATTATTTTCCCCAGAAGTCCAGCTGGTAATGTCTGAAAAAACGTATGTTTCCCCACAGCACTGGTAAATAATACATGGAGACAAATAAGAAGGGCTAAATCTCTAACACTTGAGGAAAACAATGACTTCAATATTAGGAATTCAAGAGAAATACAAATTTGAAAAGTGATGCATACTAAAACATGTTGGCCAAGGGCTTGATACGGGGCTAGTCACCTGTTACTCCTCAGCCAAATTTTTTTCCAGTGGGTCACACCATATTCTTAGATTTGAATCATAATATTATTTGTTTAGTAAGTGAGAAAATAATTTAGAGGTAAATTCTATTTTAGTGGAGAAGTTAGAAGAACTGGTAGAAAACCCCAATCTCAAACTTATGGAAGTGAGGAAGGGATACATGTTTTCACTGAAAATACTAGGGCTCTCAGGCTGAAGTTGTTTTGTCAATATAACCAAATACAAATAAGAAATACATTTAAATTTACAATAATCAGTAACCATTAAGAAAGTAAGTTTTCTAATCATTCATAAGCTCATAAATCTTATATTTGTAAGTCTATTTTTCATTAGGACATTATTATTTTAGTATAATACTGTTTTAGTATTTTAGTTCACTAGTGAAATATTTCCTTCTCAACATTATACTAAAATATAATATATAGATTGGCATTGTTGAAATAAAAATGTTTCTTATATTCTATTAAGATAATTTATTAATAGCTCAGTGAAGTGGCTTATACTTTCAGGAGGAAAAATTATTGAAAAAAGAATATGTGAAAGAAGAGAATGTGTTTGAATTCAGCAGACATATATCCATAATGTGCTAAATGAGTGTGCTAAATGTTATAGCTAAATGAAATGTGCTAAATGCTATAGCTACTGCTGAACATCATTTTCCATCAAAATATCGAACGTCTTAAATCAAGAATGTCAAAATTTTAAACTGCAATTCAAATTTTATGTGCAATAATTTTATCAAAAGTCATTTACTGTGTTTGTCCAGCAAATATTTAAGAACTAAGCTTGTGATTTTATTTCTGTAAGCAATGTCTAAAAAAATTGAGATTTAATGTATCTATTAACCTTATGTGCATAACCTATGTGTGTAACTTATGTGCATGGGAGATTTTTTACAACAGTAGATGAACTCAACTACTATTGAGCAAAAATATTTAAGACACACTGAACAAAATTGTATATTAATTCAAGTTAAGTTGCAAGCCATCTGGCTCACCATGTCTTGTTCACTGTGAATGCAATCAGTGTAAGTAATAAACACTTTTCATGGCATGTCTCCATACCAGACGTCTTGTGAAACATCATGCTAATGAAAAATGCTTTGGAAATTTAACTATATGATATATCTAAGGTTAGTTTAGGCTTTTCAGGGGAAGGTAGACTAAGCCAATATCAGAACAACCATTTAGGCATAATAAATCAAATAAATATTAATAGAACAAAAAAATTGACCTAGACAAAAATAGATACTAGGTAGATTATGCACTTTAGTTGTTTACAGATTTGTAACGTAGGTAAAATAAATGTACATGATAAATGGTATTATCACAAGAGTACACATTTAAAGAACTTGTTTAACTATTACTGGATAATAACTTTTACTAAAATTTCACTTAAAACAACATATATGTATTATCTCACAGTTTCTGCGAGTCAGAAATCTGGGTACACTATAGCTTGGCACTCTGCTTCATGGTCTTTCATGATGCACGGACTGCAGTCCAGATGCCCACCAGGGCTGGAGTTTCTCCTGAAGGATCAGGAGGGGAATGATCTTCCAATCTCAGCCTCTGTGGTCACTGGCTGAATGTGATTCCTTTGCAGCTCTTTGACTGAGGGCTTCAGTTACTGGCTGTTGGCTGGAGATTTCTCTGAGTTTTGTGCCACATAAAAATCTCCAACATGGCCGAGAAAACTTGCAAGATAAAAATAACTATTTCTTTGTAACTTAATCATGATAATTTGATACCCTCAATTTTGCCATATTACTTTGCTGAGAAGCAAGTTACATAAGGGGAGGGGCTAAGACAAGCCTGTTGATATCAGGAAGTGAAGACCATTGGGTCTATTTTATGGGTGACCTGCCACAGGAGCTTAGAGGAGTTCGTAATTAAGCGATTTTTTTTTCCCCATGATGATGAATTCTAGTTGTAATATTTCTTGGAAAGAATTTCTATACTTCTTAATGATAACCTTTGTATCAATCAATGAACTAAAAACGTGGTTGAACTTTTCTAATTTAGTCTTCCAGAACAATGTAATGTGTGTATTATTGTCCCATATTATAGATGAGAAAGATTAAAGCAGACATATTTATTAATTTGTGGAAATATATAGCCCATAAATAACACATTCAATATTTAAGTCCAGATAATGATTACACAAGCAATGTTATTAATGTTATATTATACAATTTTATAAAAAAGCTTGCATTCACACTATGACTTCATACTTTGTGTAAGCAGAAAAAGGAGGATAGAAGACAATCAAATTAGGAACATAAAAAAAGAGGAAGAGGCTTTTCTTCAAAGAAAAATAATTAGATCCCCAATTGGGATATTAAAGTGAGTTGGATAAGATGCAACAAGTATGGAAATGTTAAAAAGGAAGGTTAGAATCGTCAATATTTCTGAATGGAGTCAAAAAAACCTTAAATCCTCGACCTTTTTTTTTTTTTTTCTTATTTGTTTAAAAAAAAAAAAAGAAACTGGGATACATGAGTAGAACATGCAGGTTTGTTACATAGGTATACGTGTGCCTTGGTGGTTTGTTGCACTTACTGATCAGTCCTCTAAGTTCCCTCCCCTCACCCACACCCCCAATAGGCCCTGGATATGTTGTTTCTCTCTCTGTGTCCATCTGTTCTCAATGTTCAACTCCCACTTATGAGAGAGAACATGTGGTGTTTGGTTTTCTGTTCCTGTGTTAGTTTGCTGAAGACGATAGCTTCCAGCTTCATCCATGTCCCTGCAATGGACATGATCTCATTCATTTTCATGGCTGCATAGTATTCTATGGTGTATATGTACCATGTATTCTTTATCCAGTCTATCATTGATTGGCATTTGGGTTGGTTCCATGACTTTGCAATTGTAAATAGTGCTGCAATAAACATACGTGTGCATGTCAGGGATTTTTTTCTATAGTTCCTTGGTTGCTTGACTCCTTTTTAGCTGTACTACCTTTAGTAAGTTACATAATCATCCTAAACTTTAGTTTCTTCAACTAAAAAACATACATAGTAATAAAGTGTAACCCACAGAATTGTTCTATTGCTTTGAGCTAAAGTATACCAACTTTTTCTGACACAATCTTTTGTAAATAGTTTGTACCAAAAAAATTTCCTGGTAATATTATTGTTATTTTTCCCATCAGAATTTGGGAAGATGGTAAATGCAAAAAAAAAAAACAAAACAAAACATAAAACAAAGAAGAATCAAGGACTATTGACATGAAGAGATAAATCCCAAATGAGAAATAAAAATATACAGCAAATGTAATAATCAAATAGTTACAAATTAACACAACCATATAATACCACTTTTCACAATTGTATTGGTGAAAATTAAATAATTAAGTAGTTCATTCTAGGGAGGGTATCTTGAGACAAATATTCTCATGTAATATTTTTAGAATAATTTTTTTTACAAGATATAGAGCCAGTGCTCTGTATTCACAGGTGCAGCACCCACAGATTCACCCAACCACATATAGAAAATATTTGAATGGGTAAATAAATAAGAGTAGCACAATAATAAAAATAACACAAAACCCATTACAGTATAACTATTTACACAACATTTACAATAATATTAAGTATTAGAAGTAATTCAGAGATGATTTAAAGAATACACAAGGAGGTACATAGGGTATATGCAAATAGAACACCATTTTATCTGAAGTATTTGAGCATCCTTGGGTTTTTATATTGGTGGTGGCTTCTAGAACCAAATCCCCAAGGACACTGAGGGACAACTGTAATAAATTTTATTTATTTTACATTTTATTATGAAAAATGTCAAACATTTGCAGTAGTAGAGAGAATGGATGATGAACTGAATATACTCTCACTCAGCTTCAACAATTACAGATTTATGATCAAATTGTTAAACATTTACTCCTAACATATAATGTTATTTCAAAGCAAATTTCAGGCATAATATTGGTCCATCATACATTTTCAATGTTTCTCATTCTCAGACCTAAAATAATTAAAAGTAATTTATTCATATTATCAACTGTCAAGGCTGTATTTAGATTTCCCAGTATCTTCATAATTCACATTATGAAGTATCACATAACTTCACATCTTCTATATATATATATATATATATATATTTTTTTTTTTTTCTTTTTTTTTTTTTTTTTTTTTTTTTTTTTTGAGACAGAGTCTTGCTCTGTTGCCCTGGCTGGAGTGCAGTGGAGTGATCTTGGCTCACTGCAACCTATGCCTCCTGGATTCAAGCAATTCTCCTGCCTCATCCTTCTGAGTAGCTGGGATTGCAGGTGCATACCACCACATCCAGCTAATTTTGTATTTTTAGTAGAGACGAGGTTTCACCATGTTGGCCAGGCTGGTCTTCAACTCCTGACCTCAGGTAATCCACCAGCCTCAGACTCCCAAAGTGTTGGGATTACAGGCATGAGCCACTGTGCCTGGCCCCAACTTCATATTGTTGAAGAGCGGTCCATGTTATGGTACACCCAAATTTGTTGAAGGGCTTACTAGTCAATGAACATTTGCGTTTTTCCAACTTGGGGGCGTAAAATAAGTAAAGTGACTATGAACCTTCAGGTATAAGCCCCTTTTTGATACATACATTTTCATTTTTCTTGAGTAAATACCTCACACTGGGATTGTTGGGCAAATGTGTGTTTAACTTTAAATGAAACTGCCAAACTATTTTCCAACTTTACTGGATCATATTGTTTTCCTGTCAGCAATATATGAGGGTTCAATTGCTTTACATTTTCTCTAACACTTGGTATTGCCAGTCATAGTTTCAGCATTCCAGTGAGTATGCAGTGGTATCTCATTGTAGTTGTTAATTTATATTTTCTTAATGATTAATCATGTTGAGCATGTTTTCATGTGATTATGTATACTTCCATAACTTCTTTCTTAAAGTATTTGTATAATTTTTAATAAATTTTAATAGATTTTTTAGTGATTTTTAATTTTAGTTTTATTATATTGAGTTGTAAGTATTCTGTATACATTCTGGATGCAGGTCTATGATCAAATATGTGTTTTAAAATTGTTTTCTCTCAGTTTTTCCTTTCCTTTTTTATTCCTTAATGGCATCCTTTAGAAAGTAAAATTTTTAGATTTTGTTTGCTAAACTCACTTATTAGTTAAAATGAGAACAAGATTTTGATAGATTTTCTTGGGATTTTGCATAGAAATTGTGTATCACATTTATTTCTTTTTCTTACATCTTTTCACAGGCCAGGATTCTCAATACAAAATTGATTGGAAGTGGTAAGATTAGACATCCTTGCCTTGTTCCTGGTATTGGGGACGGAAGTATTCAATCTTTTACCATGGAGATGTTATGTTAGCTGGAGGTTTTTGCAGGTCTGTTTGCTGAGGAGAATCTAAAAAATGAGAATGCTGCCTTCTGTTTTTTTTGTGCTGAGTGTAATTATTATTATTTTTTAATTCTAAGTTGTTGAATTTTGCAATACTCATTTTGTACTTTTGGAGGTAATTACTTTTTTTTCCCTTTATTTTATTAATATCATGATTACAATTTTTTTAGCTGTTACACCAAACTTTTATTCCTGGAAAAAACCATACATGATCATATGTATTAACCTTTTATATATTACATGATTTTATTTGCCAACATTATATTAAATATTTTTATGTACATATTAATGAGAGATATTATTTTGTAGCAATATTTTGTTTTATGCCTTTTTCTGGCTTTTGTATGAGGGTAATGCTGGTCTCCTAAATCTATTAAGAAGTGTTTCCTTATCTTCTGCTTTTGGAAGAGTTTTTGGAGAATTCACCAGTGAAGCTATCTATGCATGAAATTCTTTTAGTGAAAAGGTGTTTGTCTACAGATTTAATTTCTATTGTAGACATAAGGCTGTTCACTTTCTCCAATATTTTCTTGAGTGAGTTTTGACATGGTATATTTTTGAGGAATTTTTCCACTTCAAATTATTGAAGATAATAATAAATACTTACTATTAGTTAATATTCACAATATATTCTTGAATTCCAGTTGTTGAGTTGATTAGCACAAGAATATTTATTACCATCCTTTTAGTGGCTGGAAGATCTGTAGTGATGCCACCTTTATATTTCTGATACTAATAAATTGTGTCTTCTCTTTTTGTCTCCTTGATCATTTGGTTAGATTGTTGCCAATTTTATTGATTTCTTTCAAAGAAAAAGAGCGGAAAGTGGGTGTGATATTGGAGGTAGTAACTGAGAACTAAGTAAATGTACCTGAGGACAAATTCTTGGGAGGATAACATGACAAAACACACACACACACAATGTAGAGATTAAATTTAAAAGCCCATACCCAGTTACAGAGAGCTACGAGGAACAAAGATTGTCTTTCCTTGGATGTCATTTGTTTCCAATGTTGAGATGCTTGGCTATTTTTCTTATTGCTCTCTGGTGATAACGTTTTATTTCAACTTTGCTCAGCAGCAGAAGTGAAGCCTTTCTCTGCTTTGAGACTCTGCTTTACTCTGTTTAAACTATTTTTTATTTTAAATTAACAGAAATCAAGATACTTTATTCTCAGAGGTGAAGTGATCTGAAAGGAAAGGCACTACTGAAAAGTGTCTGGACAGAGATAAAACCTATATACTGATAAGAATGAGGGAGATGATTTCTCAATATATATCATTTTGATTACTTCTCTTCTTTTGTATTTAGTTCTGGACATAACCATTGACAAGATATATATTTGAAATGGATCAAATTAGATTAAATGAGAAGTTTAGTGAAATAATTTAGAAACTTCATGACATACAATTTATCAGCAAGATTTATCTAGAAGAAAGAAACACTGGAGCACTTGAGGCAGCTGAGGGCAGGAGACTTAGAGCAAGAAGTGCCAGCCACTCAAAGAAGAGTTTGCAGAATCACATATTTAAGCAGTATACTAAGGGCAATGGGAAAAAAAATGGCAAATACAAGTAAAAAGAAGTTATGTACAAAATAAGAAATTGTAAGAAGAAAGATGAGACAATTATGAGATGTGGAATGGGTTGAGACAAAGAACAAACAAATGGGGGAATCAGAATACGTTGACCTCATTGAGCCTTTTGGTAGCCATGACATGCTTATCCAAAGTGGACTTATTCTCTTGTTTCTACTAGATACATGAAGAACAGCTGGAAAACTTTGTGTGTGTGTGTGTGTGTGTTCATTGTCTGTGTATGTGTGTGTTTCTGTATTTTTTGTGTATATGTGTATATATACAGTCTTACATAGAATATTGTATTTCTTATTCTTCCAATGGGAAGTTGCTCCATCAAAATATATAAAATTTGGAATATTCCAAATATCACACTGAATATGTCACTGGTATTGGAAATTATAGAATTTAAAAGAATAAGCATGGACTCTGCATAAGATATGATCAGAAACATATTATCTTACATTTCTTACATGTTCTATGTGGGCTGCCATGATAATGGGAGGCAGAAAGAATTCATAAGAGATTGTTGTGATGGCTTTCAAAATCTTGTGAGACATTTTCTTTTTGTTAGTTTTGGAATAAAACATTATTTGACTTTTACAGAATGATGAAATTCACTAACTCATTGCAATCACTCATGACTTTTTAGCTGGAATATCTTTATCTTAATCTAAGTTACCCCTAGATTTCTTCTGAATTATTATTTTTTAAAGCTAACATTACATCTTGGTATCTACAATGCCCTGACAGTATCTATATTTTCCAGGGTTCTTATCTTGGACCACTGATCTCACATTACATTCATACTTTGCTAAGGAAAATCTCATCCCCTCTCACATATTAAGCAGCCTTTGTGTGTTGAATCACCTAAATGCATTATCTCTAGTTTCCTTCTTTTGCCTGGCCTTCAAATACATCTATCAAACCACTTGCTAGATTTTTCTATATGTGTAAGTTATGGGCTTATCAAACTCAAAGTCCTCAAATCTGAATATATCATTCCCTTTCAACTCGCTTCTAGTGTATTTTGCACCTCCTTGTTATCATCTTCCACCCAGGCACTGAAGTTAAGTGCCTGAAACTTAATCTTGACTTCAGCTTTCTTCCCTCATACATACCCAATTAATCTTAAAAGTCTATATATCTTCTACATTATTTTAATTAATTTATTTTTTAGTCCTACTACCACCATGATCGTTTATTTCCTCATAGGTGTTTCTAGGACATCTGCAAAAACCTCTTTATCTCTGCTTCCCAGTTTGTCTTCCTCAAATTCATTCTCCATGTAGCTTTCAAAGTGAATCTTTCTCATTTCAAATCAGCCTGTATCATTTCTGTGTCTAATTTATCCAAAGACTCCTTCTCACCTAACAGCAAACAATTTCACATGATTTTCAAGGATTCTTCTTGCATCTGAACTCTATTTCTTGCTATTCTCCACTTCACACCACCTACTCCAAGCACATTTTATTGTTTTATTCCATGCCTTTGTATCCCCCTCTTCCTAGAAAGCATTTTCTTCTTCCCATCCATGTTTGGTACAACAAACTCTTGTTTATTTTTTATGACTCAGATCAAATACCAGGTCCTAGGAAAAGACTTTCTTGATGTCCTGTCCCCACCATATTTTCAGGCTTGATTATGTATTCTTTTTCACATTCCCCTTAATATCTCTTCCACACTGACTAGCACATTGCCCTTACAGCACTAAATTTATTTGTTAATTTGCCTTTCACAAATAAACTCTGAATTCTTTGAGGATAAGAGTTTATGGCATTAAATTTTTCATCCAAACAGTTCTTAGCACAGTACCTGGTGCATATAATTGTTCGATAATTAAATAATGAGTAAATGAAAGAATACCTCAATGAATAAATGGTAAGAGCAGAAGTGATAATATATATCACTTTGAATGCTTGAATAGACTAGAATCATAGACTGAAAACATCTAAAAGGAGCTTCATGACTCTAATTAAGATTGTATCTATAACCATAATATATTTTATGACTTCCCTTTTTAAAGTAATTCAATGTAGCTGATTTTGTGTTTGTGTGTATGGGCATGCCAACAATGCAAATAGAGTAATGTATCTTTTGTGATATATAAGAACTTTCACTTAGATTAATTTTCAGAAAATAAAATAAATTCTACATTTTATTTTCACTGTCTCTCAATCTCCAGTTTAATGTAGGGATTAAATATTCTGTATTTCAATCCACATTCCTTTGATTCAAAACCTGGCTTTCCCACCTAAAAAATTGTGTGTTCTTGACAATTTACTAAAGCTTTATTTATATTAGTTTCCTCAACTATAAATAGGAATGTTAATAAGCCTCACAAAATAGTTGTTGTTACTATGGTTGAAGACTACTGAAGCCAAAATCCCTGCGTTCTTTTAAATACTGCAGAATTTCCAATGCAAATAGCATTCAGAACAGTACCTGACATCTTGTTATCAGTCAATAAATGTTAACTAGTATTATTATTTTTGTACAGATTAAATGGATTGAATGATTCAAACATATTTGTCATTCAAATATGTTACTATGCTGTGTTAAATTAAGAGATGTCTTAGGGACCTTGAAGGCCTGAAGAACTGCAAACTCCTTATCTTATTTCTCCTGGAGTCTCTCATCATTTATTTTTAGTTAATATATTTGTATTCTCTTCTTTTTAGTCTTTCAGCTCTCATTTCTTGCTATTTCAGTATCCTAAATTCTAACAGTATTTCCTGTCAATGAGTTTATTAAGGTATGCACATATTTAAATGATATAGTTTGAGGGTGTGGCTGCTCAACTAAAGAAGAAAATAACCACGGAAGAAACTGATGAAGTCAAAGTGTTCTGCACCATTTGTGAGTTACCTGTTTACTTCAACTAGTCAAGAAATAGTCTGATAACACTTGATGTAGAAATCATCTGAAATTTAAAAGGCTGTAATAAAGGCAAGTTTCCTTATTTTAATTTTAATTTTAATTTCAGGGGTACAAGTGTAGGTTTGTTACATAGGTAAACTTGTGTCCTGGCGGGTTTGTTGTACAGATGATTTCATCATCCAGGTGTTAAGCCTGGTACACGTTAGTTATTTTTCCTGATCCTTTCCCTTCTCCAATCTATGTTGCCTTGAATTTATTTATTATTTACACATGTTATATACACACACTTCTATATATATAAATGTGTATATATGTGTGTTTGTGTATCATGGGTTTATTACAACTCTCTTTTTACTACCCAATCTCATGTTTAACAGTTTCCAGTAGAAATTCTTACAAAAAAATAAAGTCCACTTCCTTTTTCTCAAGTTTTGACTTTTCCCAGGAATTGATCTATCTATTTCTGGAAATTATATTGTGTCACCTGTGTTTTTATTCCTTTCCAAACTGGAAAGAATGTCAAAGCAGCAGCTTTGTGGTGTTCTATACCTGAGAATTCTCCCTAGTAGCCAGCTACCAGGCGAGCCTGTTTGGCAGGTGCAATCTAACTTCACAGTAATTTGATCTCGCTTCTTCCTACTTTTGTCAACCTTTGACTGTTAACAGGCATTTCAATAGTGGAAGAAAGGAAGCAGAAAAAAAAAGGAAAAGGAAATTTTACTTATTGGCTTATTAGTCTTATAGATAAAAGTGTTTTTTTGGTAAAATCACTAGAATTCATAATTAATCCTAATTTATAGTCTTAACTAGGACTTTGGTTATCAACATTATCTGATGCACCAACACAAATTCAACAATTTAAATGTTAAAGTACATTGGATAAATCTTTTTTCTGTTTTATCTACATCAGAAAACATCAGTTAGATAGTTTAATATATTTACTTTTAAATGAATCTTTTTTAGAAAAAGTGTGCACACAATCTTTATAAAAACAAAGAGAAAGAAAAACTAATATTTTCTAACAATGTTGATTTTTAATTTTTTACAATGTCTTAGATTAGTTCTTATTATATTACTTCTCTTAATGAGATCTGAAATGTTTAGGAAATTCCAATTAGAGCTTAATTTATTCCATAACATTTTGAGAGCTGCCCCTTTTGAGACAGGTTTAGGGGAGAAGATCTGAAAAATGAGCTTTCTTTCTATAAGTTGTGCTCTCTCTTCTTTTTATTTATTTCTCACTTTTTAAAGCTTAGTTTGTGCCTATACATTTCTATGACACAGCAAATCAATAAATGGAGAAGAAGATATGATTAACTGATCATATTTTCTTGAACTACATGAGGCCAAGCACTGACTTTTATGGATTTTTTTAAATTGTGCCAACTCATTCTTATGGTGGAAGAGTGAGGTCCACCATGAGAATTAACTCATGAATTAATAAGTTAATTTAAAATAATGAATATATAAGTACAGGCGGGAATTATGCTTTTCTATTATGCTTTTTTATTTCTCCCAGTTGGCTATGTGTAGTCTCCAAAAGCTTGAAATACTTTCCAAAATGAACTCTTAATCAATTTTGGGGAGAAAATTCACATGAGGGATTTTATTTTTTCCTATATCGTTCTCTGAAAGGGCTGAGATATAAATTTTTTGATTTGCAAATCATCACAAAGTTTTGTATTTTGTTTATCTCTAATGAGAAAAATACGTGAGAATATGATTTTAAAGAAGTAAGTAAGCTTTAAAGGAAGTGGCTGAAATTATTTTGACCGATTGGAACGGCATTTGTGACCATTTTATGAAGTCTGAATGCTAGTAGTTATGAAGAAGAAGATGGGGACAGAGTGATATTTAAATAATAAAAAATAATGCACCTACAAACTGGAAAGACTTGTAAATTATGACCACTAAGACAGTTCGTCAGACTTAAATATTAAGCATGTGTTATAAGAATCCATAAATTTTTTTTGAATTAAAAATGTCTCACTAATGTAACCTTGGAAAATATGCAACATTCCATGTCATATAAATAAATATAAATACAATCTGAATACAGCACCTTACCATTTTGACTTACGCATTAAGAGACATTGTGTTTAATTTAAATTTAAATCTAAATGTGAATAAAATAAACTATTTCTTTAATGTTCAAATTTGTTTTATCATTGTGTCATTATTAATCTATAGTTTCTCAGCTCCATGCCAGCTCTGCTGTGCTTTGCTTTCTTGTGCTAAAGCTACACAAACATCAGCTCTTTGCCAGTTGGCTTTCTGTTATTTTCTGCCAATAAGGGACATCAAAAGGAGATTGGAAGGCAGGGGAAGAGAAGAAGAAACTTCTGTATTTCTGTTTGCTGACTGCAATTCTAACTTTACCAGAAATTCAGCAGTTCCTACAGTTTCCAGGTTCTACTGACACACACAGAACCAGACTCATTGTGCTTATAAGGTGCCAGTCGTAGCCCCACTAATCAGTCTGAATTCTAGCTTCTTTGTTCCCCAACCCTATGGGTGGAAGCTGCTTTCTGTAGTTAATAATTCTGCATACAATAAAAACCCAGAAAGCAAGAGTCTCTTTGCCATTTCACTTCCCCATCATTTGTGGAAAGAATTCCCTACATTAAACTCCCTTGATTTAAAATAATTTCACATATCAATTCTGTTTTTCTGACTAGTTACTGTCCTACATAAGAATCAGGATTTTGTGATTCTGACTCACATATGTTATTTTTAATTGTATTTTTCATTTATTATACATAATATAACCAGAATTTGATTAAATAAAATTCTATATATATTTTTCCATTGATTCATTCATAGTCTATTTTTATTTAGTTAATTTTTAAATTCCATTATTTTCAACAATGTAATTAGCACTTATAACTCACCATTCAAAACAAAAAATAGTATTGTGCAGTAGCTGAATGACTGTCCTTTTCCACAAATACTGCCAGGCCAACTGGATATTGATAAGAGAAAAAGTTTACCTCTTACTCTACACTATACACAATGACAGACATAGGTCTAAAGTAAAAGGCAGTATTTCTTAGCTTTGTAAAAAAAAGCTTTATTTTTAATTGACATAATAATTGGACATTTTTGTGGGGCACAATGTGATGTTTCAATGCATGTATAGAAGGTATAATGATCAAATCAAAGTAATTACCATATCTATCACCTTAAACATTTATCATTTCTTTGTGGTAACAACATTCAAAGTTTTCTCTTCTTGCTATCTTGAAATATACATTATATGTTATTTGCTATGGGCATCCTACTGTGTGATAGATCACCAAAACTTATTCTCCCTGTATAACTGTAACTTTGTACTTATTGACCAGTCTCTCCAAGTCCCTCTCATCCCTCTGTTCCTCAGCCTCTGGTTACCACTATTTAACTCTCTTCTTCTAGGAAATTACCTTTTTTAGATTCCAGATATGAGTGCTATCACATATTTGTTGCTCTGTGCCTGGCTTATTGCACTTAACATTGTGTTCTCTATAATGTCTTCCAGGTCTATCCACATTGCTGAAAATAACAGAATTTTATTCTGTTTTAGGGTATACCATGTGTCTGTGTGTGTGTGTGTGTGTGTGTGTATCATATTTTTTTTCCATTTATACAGATGGGCATTTAGGTTGATACTATATCTTGGATAGCATCACAATAAACATGGAGATACGTCTTCAACATATGATTTCATTTCCTTTGGATATACATCCAATAGTGACATTGGTAGATCATATACTTATATTCTAAAGAAAATAATAGCAAATAAACAGGTGACTTTAAAAGAGAAAGATATTTCTTAAACAAGAAAGAGAGATATATAACCATAAAAGAAAATTTTGCAACTTGGACTATGTTAAAGATAAATTTTTTGATTGCTAAAAGTACCCTTAATAGTGTGAATAGACAACATAGAGGGAAAGTATTTGTGATAGATACACATATTAATATACATGTACATATAGATGTATCATGTATATTTACATATATATGTCATAGGATTTGTATCTGGTTACAGAAAGACAAATAAACAAGAAAAAGAAACTCAAGAGAAAAATGGGCAGAAGGTTTGCACATGCAATTCACAAGAGTCTATCAAATGGACAATAAAAGTTACATGCAATTTAATTTCATCAGTATTAAAGGGAATGCAAATTAAACCATATAATGGTACCCATTAGACACCAATGAGAATGGCTAAATGCAAATGCAATAAAAAAGATGGAAAATAACAAATTTTGGCAAAGATATGGAGCAAGATAGTGGAGTGTAATAATGTAAATTAAAACTGTTTGGCAAGACCTACTAAAGTTGATTATAAGCAAATCCTATGGCCCAGCAATTGCTCTTATAGACATATACCTAACACAAATGTGGACACATATTTACCAAAAGGCAAGCACAACCTTGTTTATACTGGCATTATTTGTAATAGTCTAAATTTGAAGCTATGTAAAGGCATATTCACAGTAGATCAGTTAAATAAATTGTGATATAGTCACACAATGAAACTACCCAGCAGGAACAATTAACCCTTTATAACTAAACCTTGAAAATATAGATTAATCTCACAAACTTAGTGCTGAGTAAAAGAAACTGGACACTAGAATACATACTATGTAGTTTCAATCACGTAAATTTAAAACACAGGCAAAAACTAATCTATAATGTTAGGAGGAGAAGTGGTTACCCTTGACAAGAGTGGAGATAATGACTAAAAAAGCAAAGCAAAGCAAAACAGAAACAAAAAGGGATTCCTAGGCTACTCTTAAGGTTCTGTTTCTTGATGTGAATATCGGTTATAAGGGTGTGTTCAGTTTGTGAAAACTCACTGGCCTAGACATTTGTGTAGAGTGTACTTTTCTTTAAATATTTCCAGTCTATATGTTTGCCTCTCACTAGCTGAGGTATTTGTCATCTAGAACCTATTTCATCATTCTTTTTTATGTAGCTTTATTGCATTTCTATATATTCTAAAGAGTAATTTTAGAAATACAAAGACTTATTAGCTTTAATTTTATAAAAAGATACTATGCTGTACATAAAGGCTATTGTGATTCATTTTTTTCTGCTTATTAAAATTCAGAGTTAAATATACACACTCAGCTCTACAGTAGGCACGTTTGCATGTGTGCACAAGCTTGTATGTGCTTATATAACACACGACTTTCTCCAAATATTTAGATTATTTCTGAGTAAATTTTAATCACTATACTTTGCTGTCTGACTTCTTATGTATATTGTTCGATGGTATTATTTTAAAAACAGGTTGTTCACAAAGCAAATGTGTATACCTTCTTTCTAACCTTTGTTCACATTTTGCTATGTATTGTTAATATCAATAAAAGAAATGAAGTCATTTTTAATTTAAAAAGCTGTAGTTACTTTTTTATTTTAACTGGCATTACTTTTGCATCATATACACAGACAGAATAAACATTCATTTAATAGGACAGAGTATACATCAAGGGACATAATTTGACATGATTTATCTAAGCAATGACAAGCATAGTTAATTCACTTTTAGTATATACAAATTTTAACTTAATTTTTAAATTAATTTTAGCAACAATATAGTTGTGTTTTGCTACGGTAAGCACATACTGATATTTTCTGAGGACGATTTTTGAATGATAAATGCAACATTCATTTTATTACCTTTTTAGTCACACGAGGATAATAATAGGCTATAATCATCATTGAAATAAAATATCTCTGTCTTCGAGGAGAAAAGAAAGAGTTACCACAAGGAGTGAAATACTAAATTCACAGATGGGATAAATAAAATATTTTAATCTGCTTTTGACATAATGAGTCCTGAACAAGGGCCCAGAATCACAGCAAAGTTTTTTATTCCTAAGGGTAACATTTCTAGGCTGGTTAGAGATGGAAATATTTTCATTTGTTAGGAAATAGTGCTTCTTGGAAGATTTTTTTTACACCTGAGGAAGATGAAATACATTTATCCCTATGGGAGTTTGTCTAAAATAATATAGTTCATGAAAAATGCCTCAATGAAACATATTTTATTTCACAGACTTTCATTTTTATATTGAATTTGAACTGGAAAAAAAACTTCATAATTAAACATATATCTGCTATTACTTTGTGAATTCAACCTTTCTACTTCCTTGTGAACAACAAAAAGAAACCCTCTAATTGGTATAAAAGGAAATGTTTTCGTCTTTCCTTAAACTTGTTCAAACATGCATTAACAAGTAGGCAAGACTCCTATTTGTGTATGCTTTCAGGGAATACCTATTAAACCCTTCCTGAAAATTTGTATCAAATAGTTTACTTAGGAGTGAAAGTAAATTTTACTAGGTTTGGTACAGGTTTTTCCAAGCAGCTTTCCTTCCTCTGTTTTTGTATCCTGTTGATAATTAATTCTTTTAAGGGGATAAACTATTAAAATATGTTCATTTGAATTATAGTTCAATTTTCTTCCAATAAATATTCAGAGATTATTCCAATAAATGTAATTTGAAGTGTAGCAACAGACTTGTTTTCCGGCTAATGTGTTTGGGTAGTCCAAGAGTCCTTAATATTTTCTTTATTGGAGTCAAGTTTTACAGCCCTTTTCTGGGGGCTAATGCATTAACAAATATTTTATATTTCATGTTACCATGTGGTCAATTTATATAATTATGTAACTAAGATGGCAATTCTCAAGATGACATGCATCCTGGAAGGAAGCTTCATTTAAAATGGTGATGTGACACAATGATCCAACTGGCAAATCAGACTTACAAGAATCAGAGATCTTACCCGGTGTTAAACATTACTACTAATACTTCAATGATACAGATTGATCATAGGTTCTAGATAAAGCAGGGAAAGGTCTGGAACCTTTCTTGCCTCATCAGGATGCACCCTGGCTCAAATTAACATCAGAAAACTCTTCATAATGTATGTAGCTATATTTTTACACAAAATGAAGTCATTTTAGTATGAAACATCTCTATTTTATGCTCAATTCCATAGCTTAGGTGACATTTTTAAGGAAATAATGGCCCATAAATTCACTGGTTCCATGTTTGTTTAAAATATGCAAACATGACATACTAAGTCCATCCTGCTAAAAAGATTACATAGTTAGAGACTTCTGGGTTAACAGATACCACTAGTTAGTTTTCAAATAAGTCTGTCTTTAGTAAGTTTACAAAGGAGATTGAAGGGTCCCCTTCTTTCTTTCTTTGCTGAGAGTGTCTCCCCTGTAAAAGAATAAAATTCATTGAATGCGCATTGCTCATCATTTTTTCCAAAACATTACTAGGATGGGCAAGAAAGCCAGTTGAAGTAATGGGAGCTGGTGGTGAGACAAGAAATAATTTGCCTAAGAGATAAAATGCCAAACTGAGGGATAAAGGTTTGGGAAAGAAAAGGGAAAGCATTGAGGAAAGTATTTGACCCTTCCTCAAATCTATCTATATATACTCCAGTATTTGTATTTTTTTCAACAAATATGCAGAGATTATTCCAATAAATGTGATTTGAGCATACATAAGATCCTGTCTCTCACAGTGAAGAGCTTTTCAATGGCGTGGTTTGGCTTCATTATTGCAATTGCTCTAATCTGCTGTGTTGCTTTCCTGATGAATATGTCATACACCAGGGTATTAAAAAATGTAATGGAAATGCTGTGCAAAATAAATAAATTTTATTATATTTTGCAAGCTTAGCAATTAGTGAATGCTGAAACAATATGAAACTACTGGAGACATTCTGCTCCCTTGAGAAATAAATGTGTCAATTTAAATTCTTTTAAAAATAATGCAAAACAATTAACACAAAATGATGCAATTATAAAATTAAAATTATACTTAAAATCATAAAGTTTAACATACTTTGTGTGGGTGGGTGTCCTACATGGTATTAAAATCTTGTCATGGTAAAACTAAAGCAGTGAAGAAATAATAGTTTTGAGTATAATATGACTCAAACTTCCCTTAAGAACAAAAGTATGGTATTTGAAACAAAAAATACAATCAGTCTTTGTAGGAGTGGTCTATGTATACACACCATTTAAATAAACTTTCACCATGCCCCAAATGCTTGTGTGAAGTAGTTGCCAAGTATAAATAATCTCTGATTTTTCTCAAGAATATATTAGAACCATATAATTGAATGCCAAGACATTGGGGGAAATTGCTATTGGAGATCTTTTGAAAATCAGAAACCAGGTGAACTACTTCTTGTTTGTAACTGTCACAGAACATAGTAATGTGTGTTTTCTCTATTCAACAAATGATTGTTAAGTTAGTGAATGTCTCACTGTTTCTCATTTAAGAGTTAGTATGGTCCTATGTTTGTGTTAGGCATTCTATTGGGTTTCATTGTGAAGAAATTGAAAGATTTGTAAGACTATAACCACAAACCTCCTCAACTCTTCCATCTAGTGTGTACTTGATTTTACATGTATGTGTGATATAAAGCACTTATAAATCTTTCCTTCCATGATATTCTGTCAGATTGCATGTGCCCACATAGCCTTTCTTGATTCTGTGATATTGCATAAACTAGATAGCCACTCAAAAATAAGATGATTTTATTTTCAATTCAGGTGTATAAAATCCATGGATCATTCTCAAATGCCAAGTGCTAAAACACAAGGTCACCAAACAAGATGAGAGCTCAACATTTTGTGAAAGGATCTGAAAAATAATGACAGAAATAAAGCATGCAGCTAAGATCTAAAATGCCATTATTTCCACTGAATGAAAGTAAAGCACAGGTAATATCCTTATCTTAATCATATTTTTGAATAAGACTATTGGACAATAATACTTTGAATAAGTAATTAAATATGTCTCAATAATTGACACTGATTAATAATAGTGAAGAAGAAAATAATCAAAGCATAAGCAGTAATCCACTTCAAAATACATACACAGAGTTAATAATGAGTTTATAATGGCGATAAGACAGGATTTCTTATAAAGTCCTTCTCCAGTTAAAAATAAATAAGTGCTACTAAAAACGAATATTACTAATTTTACTAATTACCACTCCTGTTACTAACAGTCAACTGCTCTATAAGTAATATTTTAATACCCTTATGTTAGCTCAGACATAGACTTTATGGAAATTTGCATATAGAATGGTTTATTGGGGGAAGGAATAAACACCTGTGAGAGAGTGAGATAAACAGAATTGGATACACGGAGTAGTTAAACTGCAAAGTATTTTCAACAAGGACTTCAATTAATACCCTAAGCAGCTTTCAAGCTAGGACATGCCCTCTAAGTTGTCTAACCCTCCACCCGTTGAAGCAAGGGTAGCACTATTTTTTTTTTTTGGTACCACCATTTTGACCAGTTTTTGGATACAAATTGCCCTGAGGAGAAGGCTTAACCTTGGGGGAAACAGCTCCCTTAAGTCTAACGCAACTTCTGGGGAGAGACAACTATTAGCTGCCAAGAGGCAATACTTCTATCAGCTGGAGCAACTGATGCCTTTGTCCTGAAGGGAGGAGCAGATGCAGGAAATGGCATTCACTGAGTCTCTATGTAGATAAATAATACAAACAAAAGTCCTTCAGAAAACACTAGTTATTTATAACCATGCATTCTGTTTCACAACAGCTATTCATGTGGACACTTTATAGGGAAACTTGCATACTTCAATCATATAATGGAGATTTTTCGAGTATTTGCAAATGTGTTTCCTTATTACCATATTTTAATGTTGATTTTTGGTTCCAACTTAAGACTCAAGGAAATAGAATACATACTTTGTGTGATAGTTAATTTTGTATAACAACTCAGAGGGTGTTTTAGAATGAGATGAACATTTATATCAGTAAACTCTGGGTAAAGCAGCTTGTCCTTCCTAATGTGGATAGGCCTTACCCAATGACTCAAAGAAGTTAATAAAACAAAAAGTACTGACTTCACATGCAAAAGGAAATTCTCCAGAAGACTACCTTTGGACTTTATCGACACCTATTGGTTCTCCTGGGTCCCTACCTGCCAGCCTTCATACTGGAACTGCACTACTGATTCTCTGGGTCCCCTGCCTCCTGGCCCACATAGAAGATTTGGAGTTGACAGCCTTCATAATCATGTGAACCAATTACTTATACATCTTCATCTACCTATCTCTCTGTCTCTCTCTCTCTGTCTCTCTCTCTCTCTCTATATATATATATATAAGCATATGTATATATACACACACACATACACAACCACAAATATACATCCCATTGGTTGTGTTTCTCTGGCAAACACTGACTTAAAACACCTACATTAATATGGAGCTATTATTAGTCTGTGGATAAAAGTAAAGATTTTGTCACAGTGATTTTCATGTAATTATCTCTTATTTCTGTCTTATTTTTGCAGTAATATTATATTCCAAATAGATATTCCTGCGTAGCTAAATGAGGATTTAGTACAAGGATATTTTAACCTTCTTTGATTTACTCATGGGACAGATCCTCAATAAAATTATACCCAAAATACATGCCTTTGACTAGAGTTAAATAAAAGAGGACAATGTCAGACAGGGGCTTAAAAATATTTCAGATATTATTTTTATACTGTTCCCTGATTGTCTTTTCCAAAAACTGGATAATAAGTCTGTCAATGAAATTATTAAAGCTGTTAACTCAATTGAAAATATAGAGACATAACTCTTTTTATTGTACTTCCGTTTTTGTGTTTCACGGATATTGCACTTTTTACAAATTGAAGGCTTGTGGCGACCTTGCATTGAACAAGTCTCTTGATGTCATTTTTTCTGGTGGTATGAGCTCACTTCTTGTCCCTGTGTCATATTTTGGTAAGTCTTGCAACATTTAAAATGTTTTCAATATTATTACAATTGTTATGATGATCTGTAATCAGTGATTTCTGTTGCTACTATAGTAATTGTTGTGGTGCATCATGAACCCCACTCATATACGATGGTGAACTTAATTGATAAATACACATGTTCTGACTGCTCCACCAACCAGCTGTTCTACAATCTCTCTCTCTCTTTGTCTCTCTCTCTCTCTCCTCAAGCCTCACTATCCCCTAAGACAAAAATTTTGAAATTAGGCCAGTTGATAACTTTACAATAACCTCTGTGTGTTTAAGTAAAAGGAAGAGTCACATATCTCTCATTTTAAGTCAAAAGCTAGACATGATTAAGCTTAGTGAGGAAGGCATGTTGAAAGCCAAAGTGAGCCAAAAGCTAGGCCTCTTGTGCAAAACAGTCAAGTTGTGAATGCAATGGAAAAGTTCTCGAGGAAACTAAAAGTACTACTCCTGAGAAAACATAAATAAAAAGAAAGTGAAACAGCCTTACTGACGATATGGAGAAAGTTTGAGTGATTTGGATAGAAGAGCCAACCAACAAGCCACAAATTTTCCTTAAGCCAAAGCCTAATCCAGAGCAAAGCCCTAAATCTCTTCATGTTCTATGAAGGGTGAGAGAGGTGAGGAAGCTGCAGAAAAAAAAGTTGGAATCTAGTAGAGGTTAGTCAATGAGGTTTAAGGAAAGAAGCCGTATCTATAACATAAAAGTGCAAGATAAAGCAGCAAGTGCCAATGTAGAAGCTGCAGCAAGTCACCCAGAAGATCTAGCTAAGAAATTTATGAAGGTGGCTACACTAAATAACAGATTTTTGATGTAGATGAAACAGCCTTCTATTGGAGAAAGATGCCATCTAGGACTTTCATAGCTAGAGAAGAGAAGTCAATGCGTGGTTTCAAAGCTTTAAAAAAGCAGCTCAGCTCTCTTGATAAGAACTAATGCAACTGGTGACTTTAAGTAGAAGCCAATGCTCATTTGATGTTCAAAAAATCCTAGAGCTATTAAGAATTGTGCTAAAGTTACTCTTCCTGTTGAATTGAACAACAATGTCTGGATGACAGCACATCTGTTTATAACATAATTTACTGAATATTTTAAGCCCACTGTTAAAACCTACATTTCAGAAGAAAAAAAACTTCTTCTAAAATATTACTGCTCACCCAAGAGCACTGACAGAGATGTACAAACATATTAGTGTTGTTTTTATGTCTACTAACATAACATCCATTCTATAGCCCATGGATCAAGGAGTAACTTTCAAGTTTAGATTATTTAGATATTATGTAAATTTCAAGTCTTATTATCTAAAAAATACATTTTGCAAGGCTATAGTCTACAGAGGTAGAGATTCCCCTGATGGATCTGTGCAAAGTAAGCTGAAGATCATCTTAAAGGATTCATAATTCTAAATGTTATTAAGAACATTCATAATTCATGGGAGAAGGTCAAAATATTCACATTAACAGAAGTTGGAAAGAAGCTGGTTCTAACCTTCATGAATGACTTTTAGGAGTTTAAGACTGGAGTGGAGTTATGGTGGAAATAGCAAGATAATAAGAATTAGAAGTGGAGCCTAAATATGTGACTGAAATGCTGCAACCTCATCCTAAAACCTGAGTGGATGAGGTTCTTTCTCATGGATGAGCAAAGAATATGGTTTCTTGAGATGAAATGCACTTCTGGTGAAGATGCTATGCACATTGTTGAAATGACAACAAATAATTTAGAATATTACATTAATTTATTTGATAAAGCAGAAGCAGGATTTGAGAGATTTGACTATAATTTTGAAAGAAGGTCTACAGTGGATAACATGCTATCAAACAGCACTGCATGCTACAGATAAATCTTCTGTGAAAGGATCAACCAATATGGCAAACTTTATTGTTGCCTTCTTTTAAGAATTGACACAACCAGCCTAACCTTCAGCAAACACCACCCTGATCAGTCAGCAGCCATCAACATGGAAGCAAGAAACTCCATCAGCAAAATGATTATGACTCACTGAAGTCTCAGATGACTGTTAGCATTTTATAGCAATAAAGTATATTTAAATTAAGGTATATATATTTTTAGACATAATGCTGTTGCACACTTAATAGACTACAGAATAATGTAAACACAACTTTTATTTGCACTCAGAAACCAAAAAATTTGTGTGACTAACTTGATTATGATATTTGCCTTGTTGTGGTTTGGAACTGAATTGGAGTATCTTCAAGCTGTGACTGTATATACTTAAGGTCTGTAATGTATGGTACATATGGTTTAACTAGTTCATTTTAATAAATGTATATTATACATCTATGACTTTTAAGGTTAGCTAAAACTTATATTTTTGATTTTGTGGAACATTTGTTGAGGTGAACTACAGCGTGGAGAGTGCTTCACTTTTAGTCTTAGTAAAGTCTAAGCCAGGCGCAACGGCTCACACAGTATTTCCAATGTTTTTGGAGGCCAATGCATGAGGATAGCTTGAGCCCAGGAGTTCAAGACCAACCTGGCCAACGTAGTGAGACTCTGTCTGTACCAAAAAAAATATAAAATTATTAGCCAGTCATGGTGGCATGTGCCAGTAGTCCTGGCTATTTGAGAAGTTGAAGCAGGAGGGTCACTTGAGCCCAGGAGTTTGAGGCTGCGGTGAGTGAGCTATGAAGGTGCCACTGCATTCCAGTTTGGGTGACAGAAGGAGATCCTATCTTCACGGAAAAAATAAAAAAGTCTAATTTTAAACTAAATTTCTTTAACTTCGTCATTAATCTCATTATAAAATAAACCTGAAATTGAATCTGATTAAGTCACACATAACTAGGAGACTGGTCCTCAACGATTGCTTTTGAAGGCAATTAAAAATAAGTAAATGAAATTAATTACTTAAATAAAACATAATTTTAAAAGTGTAACTTCCCTTCGCCTTATAAGAAAACTAGTATATCAGAATAGTATTTCAGGAACTTTAACTAACACATATGTGTGCTGGCAAATTCAAACTGTTCAGAAATTGTTTATTTTTTATTTTTTTGTGTGTGACAGGGTCTTACTCTGTTGCCCAGGCCAGAGTGCAATGGTGGGATCATGGCTCATTGCAGCCTGCAATCCTCCACCTCAGCCTCCTGAGTAGCTGGGACTTCAGATGTGCATCACCATGCCTGGCTAAGTTTTTGTATTTTTTGTAGAGACATGGTTTCTCTATGTTGCCCAGGCTGTTCTGGAACTCCTGGGCTCAAGTGATCAGCCTGCCTATGCTTCCTAAAGTGCTGGGATTGCCAGCATGAACCACTGCACCTGGCCCAGAAACTCTGGATGTGGTGGTCAGCAATTTCTGTTTGTATAAGCTCTCCAGGTGATATATGCTGAAATTTAAAAACATCGGCTAGTGCAACTGCTAAAAAGTGAACTGTGCTACCTAAATAGTGATGACTGAATATGAAAATAGAATCACAAAAATAATCAATTCATCTAAAAGAAGGCAGGAAAAGTTTTAAAAAAGGAACAGGAACAGATGGCACAAATACAAACGAGATAATCAAGTGAGATTTAAATATGACCATATCAATAGTTAACTCAAAGTAAATTGTCTAAACACTCCAATTATAAGACAGAGTTTGTAAATCAGATAAAATAACAAAACTCAAATGCTTTATGGAAGAAAACTACTTTGAAGATAAATACAGCATGTATAAAAATTTCTTAGAAATATGATACATAATATAAATATATAAATAAAAAATGTAAATACATTTACAGTAGGTTAAAAGAAATAAAGAATGAAGAAAGAGATCTACTCTGAAACATTTAAAAGAAAGCTGTTATAGTAGGCAGCTAGTCAGACATGAACAGGGCAGAAGAGGGCCTCCCCATACCAAGAATGCTAGCAACCACTGGAAGATGGTCAGGCAGTTGTTAAGCTGCCTCTCTAAAAAATAATTGGCTGAAGCTGGCGCCAGGGAAAGGCAGTCTCCCAATAGATAGAAAAAACCTAAAATTGAGATTACCTTCTCAATAAGATCTCAGGAGTTGGGCAAGTGGGCTCATGCATGTGCATTAAGAGGCAAAAAGGTGGCATTTAACTGGTATTCTTCCTGGTAAGGGAAGAATGCCCCAAGCGAGTGTGTATACAACTCCAGTAAATACACTGCGCATGCTCACCTCCCCAGTGTCAGCAGGCCACTGCCCATGTGGATGCCCACCTCAAGGGAAGAATCAGGGGAGAAGAGATCTAAGACCCTGTAAGCATGCCAATGTATAAAACCCCACATCAATAGGTCAAACCAGACACTTGTCTTTCAAGTCTTCCACTTGACCTTCTTCTAAGTTTACTTTCCTTCCTTTTGTTTCTGTTTAATGCCTTTTAATAAACTTTCACTCCAGCTCTAAAACTTGCCTCAGTCTCTCATGCTGCCTTATGCCCCTTGGTTGAATTCTTTCTTCTGAAGAGGCAAGAATTGAGGTTGTTGCAGACCTATACGGATTTGCCACCAGTAGCAAAGCTGTAGTTACTAAATTAATATCAAGTAAAGAAAGCTTCAGAACAATGTATATTACCATGAATAAAGAGGGACATTACATTGATAATGATGTCAATCCATTAAGAAAACACAACAATTCTAAATGTATATGCCCTTAGTAACAGAACCTCAAAATACTTGAAGCAATAATTGATATAATTGAATGAATACACAGAGCCACAGTATTTAATAAAATAGAAGACTTTACCATTCTACTCTCTCTCTCTCTCTCTTTTTTTTTTTTGAGACAGAGTCTTACTCTGTCACCCAGGCTGGAGTGCAGTGGCGCAATCTTGGCTCACTGCAACTTTTGCTTCCTGAGTTCAAGCAATTCTCCTGCCTCCCAAGTAGGTGAGATTATAAGCATGCACCACCATGCCCAGCGGAATTTTGTATTTTTAGTAGAGACAGTGTTTCACCGTGCTGGCCAAGCTGGTCTCGAACCCCTGACCTCAGATGATCCCCCAACCTCAGCCTCCCAAAGTGTTATGATTACAGGCGTGAGCCACCGAGCCTGGCCAACCACTCTACTGTCAATATTGAATATGTAGAGAGGAAATCCAAAAGCATGTAAAATGCCCGAACAATGCTACCAAGCAATGTGACCTAATCTATACCTGACTTAAATGACTACGCAAGAGTGAAATACACATTTCTTTCAGATGCACATAAAACATCAACTGAGTTAGGATACTGGGCCATAAAAATATTCTAATTATATTTAAAAGGATTAGTATCATGCAAAGTATATTACCTGATTACAGTAACTTGAAAATTATAACAGGAAAATATCTGGAAAATTCCTCAAATACTTGGAGACTAAACAATGCACTTCTAAGTAAACCAAGGTACAAAGAAGACATCTGAAGTAAAATTAGAAAACAGTTTGAGCTGAATAAAAATAAGAACCCTACACATCAAAATGTTGGGAAAGAAACCAAAGTGGTGCTTACAGGAAAATAGATATCATCAAATCCTTTTCTTAGAGAAGAAAATTACCCAGTAAATGATTTATGCTCCCATGTTAAGAAATGAGAAAAAAAAAATGTAAAGGACAGAGAATGGGTTTTTTTGAAAATAAATTTGCAGAATTTAATAAATTCTGCAAATTTAGAGCACAAGACTATGTTCTGTATTCTTTCCTTTTCTGTTATTTTTTCAAAACAAACATTGAAAACACACCACTATAAAACCTTTAGTATTACAAATTAAAAGGCTTAAATTTTAAAATTATTATTTCTTTTTTTTTAAATGGTGTAAATAAAACTTTATTTACAAAAACAAAAGGTGGCTGCCAACTTCTACTCTACAGGAATGTACTTTTTTTTAATTTTATTATTATTATACTTTAAGCTTTAGGGTACATGTGCACAATGTGCAGGTTAGTTACATATGTATACATGTGCCATGCTGGTGTGCTGCACCCATTAACTCGTCATTTAGCATTAGGTATATGTCCTAATGCTATCCCTCCCCCCTCCCCCCACCCCACAACAGTCCCCAGAGTGTGATGTTCCCCTTCCTGTGTCCATGTGTTCTCATTGTTCAATTCCCATCTGTGAGTGAGAACATGCGGTGTTTGGTTTTTTGTCCTTGCAATAGTTTACTGAGAATGATGATTTCCAATTTCATCCATGTCCCTACAAAGGACATGAACTCATCATTTTTTATGGCTGCATAGTATTCCACGGTGTATATGTGCCACATTTTCTTAATCCAGTCTATCATTGATGGATATTTGGGTTGGTTCCAAGTCCTTGCTATTGTGAATAGTGCCGCAATAAACATACGAGTGCATGTGTCTTTATAGCAGCATGATTTATAGTCCTTTGGGTATATACCCAGTAATGGGATGGCTGGGTCAAATGGTATTTCTAGTTCTAGATCCCTGAGGAATAGCCACACTGACTTCCACATTGGTTGAACTAGTTTACAGTCCCACCAACAGTGTAGAAGTGTTCCTATTTCTCCACATCCTTTCCAGCACCTGTTGTTTCCTGACTTTTTAATGATTGCCATTCTAACTGGTGTGAGATGGTATCTCATTGTGGTTTTGATTTGCATTTCTCTGATGGCCAGTGATGATGAGCATTTTTTCATGTGTTTTTTGGCTGCATAAATGTCTTCTTTTGAGAAGTGTCCTATGCCCAGTTTTTGATGGGGTTGTTTGTTTTTTTCTTGTAAATTTGTTTGAGTTCATTGTAGATTCTGGATATTAGCCCTTTGTCAGATGAGTAGGTTGCGAAAATTTTCTCCCATTTTGTAGGTTGCCTGTTCACTCTGATGGTAGTTTCTTTTGCTGTGCAGAAGCTGTTTAGTTTAATTAGATCCCATTTGTCAATTTTGGCTTCTAACAGAAACTTAAAGAGCATTTTTCAGATTTTAAAAATGAAAAAAAAACCTTTTTTCTTTGTAATCTTTCTTTATCTTTTCAATTTTACTGTAAACATATTAGTATAACAAAACTAATTCTTAATGCAATTTGCATGTTGCTGACTAGTGTAGACAAGGGTCAAGTAAGAAGGAAATGTTGGAAGAACTTGTTGAAGAACAAGTTGTTGAAGAACAAGTTGCTTGTTGAAGTTCTTGAAGAACAAGTTACTTCTTACTTGTTGAAGAACAAGTAAGAAGAAATCCTGGAAGAACTTGTCAGTCTTGTCAAGACTGACAAATATTTTGAAATATTTTATTATTAAACCAAATATTATATTTTAAAATGTACTTTGAAATATAAGTAAGCTGCAAAGTATACCAATGAATCATGGTAGGTACACTTCAAATTAAAAAAGTATACCTTTTATTAATCTCATGCAACTGCTAGATCATATCTCTGGGACCATTTACTTGCACAAACAAGATCTGACCCAGGGAAAGACTTCATGTTTAACCCTAAATAATTTTATCTTTTTAGATTCAGCCCTTTGCTACTGCCTTTGTCATCATGGTGAATCCTAATTCTGACAGTGTGTTAGGGCTGCTGGAAGAAGTCCCACAGCTGGTGTCTTAAACAACAGAGTTTATTATCTCACAGTTTTAGATGCGAGAAGTTTGAGATCAAGATGTTGGCAGGATTGGTTCCTTCTGAGTGAGGGCTGTGACACAGAATATGTTTCAGGCTCTCCCCTAGCTTCTGGTAGTTTGCTGGAAATCTGTGGTTTCTTCTGCATCAATCTCTCTTCATCTTTATATGGTTTTCTCCCTTGTGTGTATATATGTGTCTATGTCCACAATTCTCATTTTATAAAGACACCAGACATATGGTACTAGGGGTCCACACTGCTCCAGTACAGCCTTCTCTTAACTAATTAAATCTGTAATGACCTTCTTTCCAAACAAGGTCACATTCTGAGTATCAGGTGTTAGAACTTCAGCATATATACTTTGGGGGTAAACAATTCAACCCATAACAAACACCAAACATATTTTCTCTTTCTCATAGTTTTTTTTTTTACTTTATTATATAATAATATTGGCTCTCCATTACAATTTAAGATCCAAAATATCAGCATATACAACAAAATCCTCTATCCTGTAGCTCCAGTCTCTTTTAATACAACTCTGCTCTTTTTGTTCCATTTATACTTCTCTCTTTTAGTTTTTTCTCTAACATAATGAGCTCAGCCTCAGAATAGCTTCACACTCATTGTTTCTTCTTCCTAGAGTACTTTCCACTTCAATCATCTCCTGAATAATTTAGCTAAAACTACTTATCCTTTAGATACAGTTTAAATCACAACCTCATGCGGGCGTTTTCTATGCCTAAACCCTAAGTTTAGTTGGCACTTTCATTTGTATGGTCCTGTGGATACTTCTGTAAATACTTGAAATTGTTATTTACTTTTTGTCTTCCACAGGATTGTAAGCTGTATGAAAGGAGAAAACATGTTTTCTGCTTTTTCATATTTTCAATGTGTGGTAGTAATTCATTTGGCATTTTTTAAATTATTATTATACTTTAAGTTCTAGGGTACATGCACACAATGTGCAGGTTTGTTACATATGTATACATGTGCTATGTTGGTGTGCTGCACCCAGTAACTCGTCATTTACATTAGGTATATCTCCTAATGCTATCCCTCCTCCCTCCCCCCACCCCACGACAGGCCTCACTGTGTGATGTTCCCCTTCCTGTGTCCAAGTGTTCTCATTGTTCAATTCCCACCTATGAGTGAGAACATTCGGTGTTTGGTTTTCTGTCCTTGCGATAGTTTGCTGAGAATGATGGTTTCCAGCTTCATCCATGTCCCTACAAAGGACATGAACTCATCTTTTTTTATGGCTGCATATTATTCCATGGTGTATATGTGCCACATTTTCTTAATCCAGTCTATCATTGATGGGCATTTTTGCTCCAAAATTAATTGCATGATCATAATGAGAGTTATATAAGCTAATAGATATCCTACAATAAAGTTATTCAACCAGTTGATAATCCACACAATGATATTATTGCTATAAACATAATAGATCTGTTACCTGATGCACACGTCAAGTCAATATACCATGGCATTGGGATGCAGCAGAACAAGAGGTTTAATCATAGGAGGAGATGGAAAGGAACTTCAAATCCACCTCTCTGAGGAGTTTGGGACTAGGGTTTTCAACGGTTTTGAAGTGGATTGAAGTGTGGAGATTGTTGATTGGTTGAAGAGTGCAGGATGACATCATGGAGCAGGGAGAAGCTGTACTCTCACGCTGATCCCATTCCCCTATGGGAGTCTTCAACTAACATTGCTAAAATTCATAGTCTGAAAAACATCTTAATTGGTCCTTAAACAAAAGCTTTATGATTCTAATGTCAGAGATTTTGTCTATAGAACAATGGGGATGCAATCCAATTCTTAAATGGTCTTATGATCCTAACGTCAGAAATCCTACCTACAAGGAAAAGGGTAATGCAAATGGTGGGTAGGGGGTATCTAGTGCTAAGTGACTTTTAGCAACAAGGAAGTGCAGCCTGATTAATGCTTAATTATATAGTAACTATATGTCTGTCTAAACACAGCATGCAATTCTTGTCAATCTTGTGGGGATGGTTTCACAATACTCATATTCATGTTTCTCACTTGTGTTCAGTATATTACTCTCATTCAAAGAACACTGATGAATATCAATGCTTAACAGATTTCTTTAGTCTGCCAGAATAACAGTCCTAAAATAGATAAATAAAAGCAACAACAACAACAACAAAACAGAAAAAAAGAAAAGGTCAAACATAGTTTGTTTTAAGTGAACCAATATTGACTCCTGGTGATCGTTTTTATTTTAAATGCTTCTAAAGAAGAGGAAGATAAATAGTTTGATAAATGTGTGTCTCATATATGTTAAATTTGCCAATCTTCATTTTATAGAATATAATTAGGTCTATTTTTGAAAACTGTAGCTGTGCATTTCAAATCATTTTGTAAAATGTTTCAAGTATAACAAAAAGCACTTTGAAGGTAGTTATAAGTTAACACTGTTCCTGCAAGGTCAGGATATTTAAACTAATTTTAGGACAATTAGTTGTTATAAAATCCATACTACACAATTAATTTAAGTATGTTAAGCTTTATGTTGTTCTCTATGTAAATTAGTCTTATGGCCCTTTCAGAATAAAAGCTCTATGAGAATAGAAACTACAGCTTATATTTCTACGTTCCCTACAAGATGATAGACGCAGACTGAGTGTATAGAAGCCTCTGAATAATGCGTCTCAGGTCTCACATCTTATGACCTTTCCTCTCTCTGCTCCAGGCACACTGACCTTTCTGCTAACCCTTACTTATGAAAAGCATGATCCTTTTTCAGAGTCACTGCCCTTACTCTTCCCTCTGCCTAGCACAATCTTCCTCCAAATAGCCAGATGGTTTTTAGGAGCTACTGAAACACCACATTAACAGAGAGGCCTTCCCAATGACCCTCCTTAAATTGCTTAATATTTATCCTACCTTGTTTTTATTCATAACAGTTTTCATCATGTAGCACATGGTATGTTTATTATCTGTTAGTTCTTTGCTTCTCCCAATCAAAATAAAAACTCTAAGAAGGCAGAAACCATTTCTGTTTGGTTTTTGTTCCATCTTCAGTACCCAGAACAGTGACCAGCATGCCACAGAAGGTACTCACTGAACATTTGTTAAATGAATGAACGAAAGATAAACGAATAAACAAATGAATAAATTGAATGCTTCTAAGTTTCCATCAAGCTATCCCAAATCAATGAAGTTGCTAAGTTAAACAATCTTAACTGCTGATAGACAAAATAATATAGGATTTGTAGTCTAGCAAAAATGAAAAATGTGTTTTATTGCTTTTAATTCTTTTGTCATTATTATTTGTATATTGTTAATGCAAATAACTGTGACACTATGATGCAAAACATGACATATGACTTGTGATTCTTCACCAGAATTCTATGTCTGTCTTAGTCGAGTGGCTGATTATTTCCTGGGTCAGCTCAGGATGGCAATACACAGCTCAGGATGGCATACCACTATTTTTCAAAGTAACTTAGACTAATCTCTTTCAGGAAACCACTGGATCCTGATACTAATAGTAATTCATTCGCATCTTTCACAGAAACCAGTTTAGTATTATCAATATAACGTTTAGCAAGAACATAATTGAATTTGTTTTGCTCTCTTAGCATGGCTTCAGAAAATTGGAGAAAATGGTAGAATTGCGCGTAGTCAAATCAAAATGGATTTATTTGGGAGACTTAAAAATTACTGTAATTCCAACTCTCACATGGGTTTTATATTATATACACAGAGCCTTCAATAATATTGAACATCTATTTGCCATTATATGGATGCAAAATCTAGTCATATTTTACATGGGCTTTTTCATTTTAAAATGATTTTAATAACATTACATAGAAATAGCCAAAATCAAGTAAAAACATTTCCTCATTTCCATTTCTGTTTTGTTTTCTTAATAAATAAGACTCATAATATATCAAGAAAATATGGTCTTATGAGGTAGAGATGAAAATACTATTAAAATGTCGCTATAGCTTTAATGCATTAAAAACATTTAGTGAACATAAAAACTTGATGGCTAAGTGTAAATGAATCAGAACAGCTGGAATTAGACTTTTTTCCTTATGTTTAGGAGCAAAGAGATGCAATAAAAGATAAAATACTTACTCATGATTTGAGTAGGTATTCCATTGCAACTGAAAACATAAATATACATTTTAAAGTCTGTTTTTCAGCAGAAGATAGAAGATCAAGTAAGTCCTTTTCTTTGTGTATTTCCATTATCAGGATCTAAAGTAATATATTCTAAAAAGTTTCTAGGAAAACATCAGCTGGTTTGAAGTGAGGGACAGGGCATCCCCTTCATAAGAAAGCACTTTTCATAAGTAGTTCAGTTGGCCTCAGACTCTTCCTTATTACTTTATTAAAAGTCTATATTATCTAAATGTCTTTCGAATATAATCATGCCTCAAACAAGAAAATGAATTTGACAGGTAGCTAGTGGACTCCAACTTCAGGTAATATTTTACATGAAAAAGTTTACCTCCATTCACTACAGAGGAAGGTCTAATTCACAGCAAATAATATGCTAATATTAATTGCTTTGTATGCATTTAATCTTCCTATTGAAAATTGTCAGCAATAATTGTTTTGGGGGTAGTAATTAATATTTTAGGCTATGTATCCTCTCCAGTTCATTTACTTTATAAAAATGCATTTTCACTTTGTCTACTTCTTGTTATGGTTGAACATAGCACTGAAAATTTTACTGTATGTAGTCAGGAAAAATGTGCATTAGACAGTCAGAATTCAGATAGCACTATTTTATTTTCTCCTATCCCAGGAGCATATTTTGTATTTCCCACTAACTTTATTGCATAGCTGTTTAATCAACTGCTCTGATGTTTGTGCACTCAATATCACATTGATATTTATTATAAACTCTAAGGAGATTAAAAATAGAATCTTTCAATGAAATATAATTCAAATATAATTAGAATATTGTTAATCATTGGAGTTTCAGAGTCTTGGAAGTTATAAAGCACATGTCTTGTGAAAGCTAAATTATTATTTCCATTTGTATGTATGGATTTCCTTCCTCATAATCCTGTAAACTTGGTATGCATAGTGTTGGGAAAAAAAATTAAGTAGAGATTCAGCTATACAAATGTCCTACTTTTTTTCTTTACCTTTTAAGTTGTTTAGCTACTACTAGTGCTTTCATTGGGAATAGATGGATGGAATTCCATGTCTGTCTGTTAGTTACCAATAAAATCTTGAACTACAGCTGAAAAATGTCTCAAATGTGATGTCCAAAAATACCCTGTCCCCCTTCCTGCTCCTTATTTGTTTTCCTGGAATATTCAACACCATTAGGGAAGACACCAGTTTCTAGTTGTCATTTCCTTAAACCTTGATTTTTTTTTTCTACTCTAAGCCTTTGGAACATGATAAAAAGCCATAGAAAACTGGAAGGGTTGTTGTTTTTTTTTTTTAATAATAATACAAGTATTGCTAGCCAAAATGAGAAACAGCACCATCTAGAGAAACAATGACTACTTTTGATTCAAGAACCAATTATTAAATTGAAATTTGCTATTCTACCTTTAGAATTATAAAATTTTAAATGGCTACAATGTAAGGCTTTTGGAAATTTTTTACTTTGACCTTTTTATTTTTGTAAGTGAAGAAACTGAGGATGTCTTTTGTTTATTTTCTCACAGATGTCACTTAAAAATCATTGATTAAATCCATATTACACAGTCCTAGGGACACAGTACAAAATGTATGTCATCTTACATTTGAGAGAAATGTGAGAAAGCAATTAGTATAATTTAGCAGAAAGCTGTCATGACTTGCTTCTGAGTTAAAAAAAAATTGAAGTAGTAAAAACTTGTGTGCTCAGACTCTGCACATTAAAAAAAAATAAGCTGCTTTAAGCATAAGCTATACTGTACTTCTGTTTAGATCTAATTACAGATTCCCTTTTTCTATTGTCATTGGCCTTCATTCTTAGGTGCTCTTTGCCCTTCAGATACAATATTAAAATATGACTCTAGGTGCCTTGCTCAGATATCAGTTCTTCTTACCACAAAGTCAGTATTCCTTCCAGAATCTTCTTGGTTTTCTTCAGAGCTAATTAGATCAGACTCCAGGCAAGGAGAATAGCTGGAAGGCTGCTTCAATAACCAAGATGATAAATTATGGAGAGTTGAATTAAGACAGTGATGAGGGTCAAAGAAGAGGTGTCAAATTCTGGAAACATTAACATAAAATATGTATTATTCTTGGCCAACACTCCCCTCACATACACACACATAGACATACACAAGACACTACTGAGTTGTTAGGGGATTTGGCTTCATCAGCTGAGTGGCTACACAGGCCAGAAATTGAAAAAAAAAAAAAAAAAAAAAGCCATCCGTTTGCTGGCCCACTGACTGTTTGCTCAGTAAACTGATATCCTTTGGAACCAGTAATCTGGAGTTTCTACTAGTGGTAATAAAACTTGTAGTCAAGGTTCTGCCTTAAAACCAAGTGAATAAGTCTTTTAATAATAGCTAAAAGTTTCCAGGTAACATTATTTTTTTTCTTTTTCTGTCACAATTGATGGGACACTACTCAGAAAATCTGCAATAAATATATTTGAAAATGAATAATAAATTCCCATAATAAAGGAGGTTGGGATTGGAGTGGATGGTGATATTGTAATTACAACCGGCTTGCAGCATAATCAAGTGCTTACAATGTGACACGAAGAAGACACTGTCCTGAGGATCTAAATGGACAGCTATTCAAAAATATGTGAATTAGTGGTGATTCTAGTCTTGTCTCCTCATTGCAGATGGTATGAAACGCCTATGCAGTACTTCAGGAGAGCGCAATAAGGTAGAACTCTTTAAACAAATATCATCAGTGTGTGAGTGGGTGCTAGACAGGGACGCATTTACAAGTAAAATAAATCTGTCTACCACTTATTTGATACCATTTTCAGGGATATCAAGAATGATACCATTATCCCACAGATGACTTGTTCTGGGCATTGTATCATTTATGTAAAAGAGATGGCATTTCTCCCTTAACGGCACGTCTGGTAGGTATGGATAGCTTTCAGTCGACAAAGTTTTACAATAAATTTCAGAGAGTCTGCATGAAAACGAGTTGTGCCTCTTGGCAGCTGTAATAGAGGCATCTGCTGCTTTGTTTAAGTCTGAATTTGCTTTTCCTTGCTTTTTTTTTTTTTTTGTATTCACCAAGGGAAGTCTCAATTAACCAATTACATAAATATTATTGTCATGGGTATGATTATGATTATGAGCACCTAAAAATTGTCCCTCTGGTCTGTACATTGGTGACTTTATTTGAATCTCTATTTGTATGGTAAATCTCAGCCATCACTCACAGAGCCAAACATAGTTCAGTATAGCCCAAGCAGCATCTTTAATTAATCAGGGAAAGACTTATGAAGAACTTACAATGTACTTTATCTTACAAGGAAACTTTGGAGTTTTATCCCCTTATTATTATACGTAATGTTTGTGCTTAAATATTTGAAGAGTAACTCTTTGCACAATATCTTTCTTCCAAATGGGCCAATGACTTGTCACAGGATTTTGGATTTGGTATTGTACTATCCAGTGTTCAAAATAATAGATATGTCAATTAAACGCAGATTACACAAAATTGGTGAGTAGGAAATATACTGTGCAATATATTTAAGATATAGAAACATAGACATTGTTTGGAATGGCGAGTCTATGAAGATAAAACTCAAAATAAATGAAAAGTATATTTGAGAAATAAAATTTAAATTGCATTATATTTCAGTCTTAACTAAGAATTAGCATAAATGGCAAATTCTCAATAGTAATACAATGTATTTATCAAAAAAACTAATGTGATTTAGACTGCATTTAGAAAAAGGAAGGAGAATAATTATGATTTTCCTGGGTGCAGTAATAATCGCTAACATTTATGTAGTACTTTCCAAGTTACAAACACTATGCTAAATTATTTACATATGATATTTTATTTAAAACTTACAATTAAGAGTGCAGCTACTCCAACAGCTCCTTTTATCATTAAGGAAACTGAGGTAATGAGTGGTTGAATAAATTACTTAAAGTCATTACTAATCCAAATATTGCATTTAGTTTGAGAACAACAATTTTAAAAGAATATAATAAAAGCTGCATATATTTAGAGAAGTGGTATGAGGATAGTGAAAACTTGGGGAAAATAAGTCTTATATTACTTGTTTATTTGTGTATGATCGGACCCCTCCACTAGACGGTGAGCTCACGAGCACAGACCGAGATCTGTCAAGTTAGAGATTGTATCCCAAATGCCTAGCACAATACCTGACATAGAGTAGGTACTCAACATATTTTCTTATAGAATTAATAAAATTAAATTTCCTTGCGTAGACAATACTTTTGGATCTAAGTAGCTGTCTTAAAAGAATTTCAGAGCTGTTCCATGGGAAAAGATTAGATTTATTTCGTATGCCAGTGGTCGGAACAAAACAGACTTTTAATATAATTTAAAGAAAAATAATTATAATAGCCATTGCTGCCATAGAGTAGGTGGAGTGATAAGCTGTTATTTCAGTGTCATTGGATATCCCAGAATAATCTGGGTATAAATTTTCAAGGGTAGTAAAAATGTCTTTCTTTTTCATGATAAATTTTCACAAATTTATTCTCTGAAAGGTGATAGATATCCTAGGCATTGAAGTTGTTTATAGACTGAAATCCCTTGGTTCTAGTTTTCATTCCAGAAACGAAGATTGAAAGAAAACATCTAAAAGATTATCATATTTTGTAGGAATAATTTGTTATATTTTGAACTTCAGTTAGAACTACTTTTATTTATAAATATTACATTACTCATGAAAAATTATTATAGCAACTTTATTCAGTAACAAAGCAAATAAAGTAGAATAAATCTTATATAGTAGCATAAGTCATTTATTTATTTATATAGTAATTTAAAGGAATAGTTAAGGAACTGTAAGACAAACATTTGTGTAGTTGCTGCAAAATTGTTAACTGTATTGAATTAATGACTGAAGCTATAAATGTGAGTCTATTTGATTTTTATATAGAGCATACAAAAGCTAAGCGAAATAAATACTCTTTTCCCTCTCTATATATTATACTAAAACACAGACACATATAAGTCATTTTAGAGTCAACTAGTAAGTTTTAGCCTATTACTTAGCTTAGATATCACAAGTTGAACACTTAGATATCACAAGTTGAACATTTACATTTCCATAAAGTCAGAAGAGACTAAAAACTAAAATGAAGATGTACGTTGCTGCATGGTAACATTTCTTGATAGGCAGAGTTCATATGTAGCAAAATAAGGTGTAAGATATGCTTTTCAAAACATTGTGGAAAATTTTTGCTGCAAAGTTTTTAAAAATAAAAGCAGTAAGTATTATAGTTGTTGAGGATTCCAAAATGTAACTAGTAATGTAAAGGATTGGAACACTGTTAATAAGGCTTGGAGAGTCAATTCTCATAAATATTAAAAGATGTAGACAAAATTATCTGATTATTTTTGTAGAGTTGAGGTGGTAGGATAATTTGTAAAAATAAAAACAATGCCAATAACAAAATCTAAATAAACAAAACAAAATAATATTATAAAAACTATAGCATTATGTTTACTGCAGAGGTTATTACATTTCTATAGGTCAGAGACTACATTTAACATAAGATGTGCATTTTCTGTACTCTTAAGGCAATATCGTATAGATAATTCGTACCTCCAAATTGTTGAACCTTTGAATGGGTATTTCAACAGAAGGTATAGTGATTCGACAAAAATCACCAAAAATTCAAGTTTCTTTGATTATATTTTCACTGACTAAGGGAAATTTTTTTAAACAAATGCTTATTAAGCTTTTAATAACTATCAGTCCTTTTGTAAATGCTGAGGATACATAAGTGAATATAAGGCAAAGTCCTGAATTTAAAGACTTCAAAGATCTCAAAGACTTCTGGGTACTAGGCTGTTTAAAAAGTATATAGCAAATATAACTACCATAATGGAAGCCGGGACCAGTACTTTAAGAGATCCATAGAAAGAATGACTTTCAATGGCTGGTAGGGAATGGAGCAGAGGTGTTTAGAAACACCAAAGGAGTTGAGTCTGATTTTTAAAAATAAGCAGGGATTTGCATGAGAGATAAATATAAAAGCATGAAAGTGCATAGTTTGTTCAAGAAACACTAGGAACACAAATTTCCAAAAAGTATAGGAAACCTGGGACTCTATAATAGTAAACAAGGTGTTTAGAGCCAAATTGTAAATATACTCACATATGATGATGACTGTGGATTTTAATCCATGGAATATTCAATGTAGGAATCAAAAAACTTTTGTTTAGAAGAACTCTCATAATTTGATCAATTATTTTGAAAGTTGATGCTAGTTGTTCTAGATATAGCCTATAGTGGAGGGACAGTGAAAACAAGCAGGGCAGAAGGCAGGACTTCAATACAGTTTTGGATTGATTATAATAGGCTTTAATTACAGCTGTGGCTATATTTTTCATGTCAAATACAGTGTGTGGTTTCAAATCAGTTTAATTAAGCAGAAACAAGGTTTTTCAAAATTCCTTACCCTGTGTTGTTCCAGTTTAGGTTGGCCATAGAGAAATTTGCACGGTATTCAAAAGCGACAAGCATTATGATTTAAGGTCAGAGTAAGGCACAAAGAGCTGTTTCTGTTTGTGAATGTTGTCATTAGTTACCCTTCATCCACCTAGCTTATATCTTTTACCTTGTCCCCAAGCCAATACCCCCTATTTTAGCTTTCTGTTAAGGTAGTTTTGGAATCAAATCATATTCTGATATTCTATTGATGAAAAACAAGTCACCTGTTATATAGACTGAATGTTTGTGTTCCTCTCCAAATCTTGAAATCCTAAGCCCCTTACATGATGATGTTAGGAGATGAGGCCTTTGGAGGTAATCATATTATTGAGGTGGAGCCCTCATGAATGAGATTAAATGCCCTTATAAAAGAGATCCCAGAGAGATCTTTGCTGTCTGCTATGTGAGGTTGCATTGAGGAGGCAGCCATCTATAAGCCAAGAAATACTCCTTCACCAGACACTTGATCTTGGACTGAAGTTAATGCACAGAGATCAAACACCAGCTACATACATGTTTCAGTTGCAAACACCTTCACAATGCTCTTATTTATAAGACATAGAATAAGAGAAAATGCAAGATTAGCTTGATGAGAACAATTAGAATATTACTTAATATATGAAATGAAAATAATTTAACACAAATTTTACTATGGATATTGTTATTTTATTTTGGATTTTATTATGGATATTATTATGGATAACTTGGATATCCATAATATGGATATTATTATGGGTAACTCCTTTTGTTGTTGTTTCTTTTTAATACAGAGTTGGAGTCTTACTATGTTGGCCAGGCTGGTCTTGAACTCCTGGGCTCATGTGATCCTCCCACCTCAGCCTCACAAAGTTCTGGATTTACAGGCATGAGGCACAACACCCAGCCCTAATGACTCCTTTTGGAGTTATGGCCAGTCTTTTTGCTGGGATTATTTCTGCGTGTAGAGAGGCTAGAGATTCCAGCCATGTACGTATGAAAAATACATAACCAAGTGGATGTTGGAAGGCTGAGAGTATCAGTATTATGTGGAAAAGTAAGAAACTATTTGTGACTCTTTGCTTGAACTTTGGAAGTGGTGGCGGGCATTGGAGGGAATGGGGATGCTTCTGATGAAGCAATTCCCTTGGATTTGCCAGTTCCTGATAGCTACTTCAGTTATAAAAATAAATAAATAAAATAGGATTACATAGTTGGTATAAATAATCTACTTGAAACAAAGAATGCAAAGAATTTTGTTAAAGTTGAGAGGAAATAAAGAAAAGGAACCCACCGTTGGAAAGAACAGGCGGAGAATCAAAAGAAATTCAGGTGCTAGTCCTTTATTGCTTTTCTGAGTCTTATCGTCGCCCTCTGTGAAATAAAAGAATCAACCAGTATTCTGTAATATTTCTTCTAATTCTGAAAGTCCATAGATGACTTAAAGAAATATTAGCGGTTACTTTTTTTTTTCTGAGACAGAGTTTTGCTCTTGTTGCCCAGGCTGGAGTGCAGTGGCACGATCTCAGCTCACCACAACCTCCACCTCCCAGGTTCAAGTGATTCTCCTGCCTCAGCCTCCCGAGTAGCTGGGATTACAGGCATGCGCCACCATGCCTGGCTAATTTTGTATTTTTAGTAGAGAAGAGGTTTCTCCATGTTGGTCAGGCTGGTCTCAAACTCCCTATCTCAGGTGATCCACCTGCCTCAGCTTCCCAAAGTGCTGGGATTACAGACATGAGCCACCCCACCCAGCCGAGGTTAATTTTTAAATGAATTTTTAATTAGTTATGCTCAAATATGAGCGTACTGAAAATGCAACATATGTCATGTATCTACATAATTTCATAACTTATCTGGATTATGCTCACCCTTTTTAATTTAAAGCAACCATAAACCTTGGATTTTCAGGAGTAACCTTATCTTAAAATTTCTAATTATGCCTTCCTATTATTCAGACCCCATATTTGAGCATTAATTGTAAATTTTGGTCACCACATATAGACACATTCTGACCAAGTCTTCATGCTCAAGAAGACAAGGTTTCAAGACAAGGAACATTTGTGTTCATGAAAAGTATATGAGAAGTTCTGTTGTCTATTGCCAAAATAAAATAACATACATTAATATAGGAAACAAAGGAATCAGAAAAAAGTGGCTATTAAATGCTAAGTATAAAAATGGCTCCCTACTAATAAATGACTAGGAAAATATATTTCAATTTATCAACACTAGTGATGCAGTGTATTTTACTTTTCGTTAAGTCTGTGAGAAGTACTACTTTGGCTTTTTGAAAATGTTGCAGGACAAGATACTCCCTGGTTCACAGCATGCTGACAGTTTTTCTGCTTTTTTTGTTTTTTCCCTAAAAAGTTGAATTATTTCCTAAAAATTTACATAATGGGAGTGTTTAGCTCAATATCAACACATGTTTTATATGAGTTTTATTAAAAGAAGTAAATATTATCAACTTCAAGATAGAAAAAAAAAACAAGCAAGAGAGAGACTGAGTAATTTTCCCAATATCACCAATAAAGAATACTTGATGAGTAATATATCATTTTTTATAAATGTTGACAAAACTGTTTCTAAACAGTTTTGATTATATATTGTAGTCAAATGTTATTTCTTAGCTGACGAAAATGGGAATACAAACCCTGCTGAATCCATGCTAAATTTTGCCCATATATAAGTCCTGCAGCTGGCTTTCATAAAGGTTGAAAAAGGAATGGTTTCAAAATAGTTCTGCTGCCAACAGAGTAGCTAAAATGAGATTCATCTTTTCCTGTTTAACAATCTAGGCATTTGATTCCAGTATAGTTTGTATTAAAGTAGACAAAAGGATGATCAGGAGAGGGAAAAAGAAAATATAATATCCACTGACTTTATGAAATGTATCCCAAGGTTTAGTATGAGACCTTCAGAAGCCAATGATAAATGTATACCTTTGTCAAGTTGTTATGCATTATAGTCAAGGTCTCTTTGGTCATTTCTTTAAAAGTCAGGTCTTTTTTCAGAGTGAGAGGCTGAAGAAATATCTTCCTTTTTAGGGAATTTTAAGAAAGACTAATTTTAGGGACAGTTGTAGCCAGTTTTTTCTGTACCTAAGAAAATGAGCTACACAAATTCCCAAAGTCACACATAGCCTTATAACATAGTGATGTTACAATATATGTAATTACACACGGATTGGAAAATTTTGTAATGAGTAAAATTAATAGATAATAGGATCTTATAAATCTTATAAAGTCTAAGACATAATTATAACAATTACAAAAGCAAATGGAGAAATAATAATATAATTCTATCAATGAAGTTATGTCTCTAGAAAAACTAATCAGATAATCATCCAAATAAGTCAAGAGAAAGAATAATCCTTGTAGCTAAAATAAAATTGTTCTTTGAATTAATTGAATCATTACCTCCCAATCAAATGTTTTGCTGCTAAACTGAAATAGATTTATTTTTTCTAATATTTGAGGTAGGGATGAAAGAACCAGAAAATAAAGGAGGAAAATAAAGTATTTAAAAATTAAGACTTTATGCCTGACCAAAATTTTTCTGATGGTGGCATAAAATCCAGGACCATTTTCACCATTGTTCCATTTTTCTATGTCACAGCCTTCTCAGGTATAACTTTTTCTTTCTTTCTTTATTGAAAATGAATACTGACTTGGTGGAATCACTGCTAAGATTGGGACCGATGACTGAAATGAAAAATCCCTGTTTTGAGAGTGAGGAAAAGAATGTTCTCAGAGGTCTGAAATAAATTATTTGCTGGGACTGTGTGTACATGGGCACAATAGTCTTTTCAGCAGCAGACAGAAAAGGCTTGCCAGGCTCATAAATCTGAAGAAACAAAAGGGGAACAAATACCTCAGGAAAACCAGCCCCCACCAAGTCAAAGAATGAATAATCTCTCTTATTTATAACAGAACTGTAATGAATAACAGTAATATCACATGCAAAATTGCATATAAACATGCTGTTAGCTTAGAGAATTAGATTCAACTACAGACATTTTTGTTCATGTATTTTACTGTCTTTGAGACAGATTGTAGTGAATCTAGACAACACTTTTAAAAGCCTTCAAATAGCCAAGATTTATTGAATCAATATTAAAAATGTTCATATTCTATAAATGAATAAAATATCTACCTTGTAAATGTTGCCTTTGTGCCCTCCAGCCAAAGACTCCAAGAATATCATGCATCGGGCCATCCTCCATTTGTGGCTACACCTATCTCTTCCAAAGGACTTTTAGATTATTGCTTCACAATGCCACAGGGACCTCTGAATAGTATATTTTTATCTCCAATAGGTGCAGTGGTGTAGTGCTCATCCAAGTCAGAGGACAGACAGTCATTTCTAGTATGACTGTAACTGTCTTTTTTGGTCCATCTAAGGCCCCATCTCTATCTTTTCCAACAGTGGCAGTGTGTAGAAGGCAGCTATGCAATCAACATTGAAAGAGATCACATTCTAGAAATACAGTGATTTTTTTGCCTAAAGAGTTCCAGATGAGATATGGTTGAAAGATGTGCCATTGTGCTTTCCAAATAATAACTCTTAAATGATCAGAAAATGAATCATCTTTCACACTATCCTGCACGCTGGATAATTCTTGCATTTGTGGTCATCATCAGTAAAGCAGAATAAGAATCTCTGAGAAAGTCATTGAAAGCTGGTAGTCTTGGGCAGCATGATGGATGATGAAATGTCTTGAGCAACGATGTAACCAGCGCTAAATAAATGTTATTAGAGACCTGCAGAGGCAAGAGGATATATATGGTTTAAATACAACGCAGTTCCAGAAATTCATGGCATTGTGAGTAATAACAGCATTGCTATCTTTTTCTCACAGTGGGAAATAAGAAATTAGCCAGAAATGGTATGTTTGATAATAAGAAACCCAGAGAAATTCCTTCACATAAATAGGAAGACATGGTTAACGGATGCTATAGAGAACATTTTCATGTATTGGATGATAAATCAATACATAAGTACGTGTTCTCAATTAAATTTTCACTGCTAATTCTAAATTTCACTGACTATAACTCACTGAGGGCATAACTTCTGTAATACATTTTTGATCAAATTTCTTAAACAGTTGAGGGACCTACAAAATGTATTTTCTGGGATCCCCACACACACCAAGGGTGACTATAGCTAAATCTCATTCACATGGATATACCTAATTAGAAGGGAGAATAGAAAATGTATTTAGCTATAAATCAAGCAAGAATAGGAAATGTGTGTGTGCACAGCTAGCACTCTGTCTCTGAGAGTTGGGCAATAAATCTGACTGTATTAAGTTACCCAATATATGAATGTATAAAATGTGTTATGGAGAAAAACAAAGCTGAGGAGATGGGAATGTCTAATCCTTGTTAGACTCAACGTTGGTGAGCAAAATTCTATTCACCATATTGCTAGTTTTGACCTTGGTTTTGTGCATAGGGACTACTTTTTTTTAATCTCCGTACAAACTTGTGCCTACAGTAAATTCCTCTCTTCCTTGCCTACCTAAATTTAATTCATTATTAAAAATTCACATTATTTAACATTTATTCCATCAAGCTCTTACTTCTCATCAGTCCTCACTCTAGTTTTCCTGAACATTTTGTTTATGCTTTAACTGCACTAGCTTATTCTACACTATGTTACAGTGAATATTGTATATTTCTTGAAGGTATACTTCACTTTTCATTTTTGAATCTCACACTTACCATTGACTTAATTTTAATAAGTTCTCTATAAATGTTTGTGGAAGTGACTTTTTGGCCTATTCACAAGATTCTGAGCTTAAGAAGGTAGCAAAGACTCAGCTCTTCATAAACAATGATGTCTTAAGAAAGTTAATGCAACTGAGTTTGGGATGTTTTGTTGACGCCTGTCGATTTATTTATGGTGAATTTATTTGACATATTTCATAATTGTAAGCTACCATGAAAATTAGCCAAGAAAAAATTTATCTTACCCTTAATTTTTCATAGATTTGTATTTAGAATTACATGGAATGAAAAGAAGATTAACAATAATGAAACAATATAGCAATAATTAAAACAGATCTTTTCTGATCATCAGTACTTAAAGATATATTATCAGCCAAACCCGTTAGTTACTAAGTATATGCAGAGCAGTCCTCCAGGTGGCCTTGGACTGACCCAGGTCACTGCACTTTCTTGCCTGTGGTTCTCAAGAATAACTAGAATATGCCCAGAATGCAATGCCTCAGATAGGGAGGAGCTGCCTCAAACAGTTGGGACCTTGTTCCTATTACTCTTAGGGAATGTAACATCTTGAGTTAGGGAGCAACTGCCTGAGACAGCTTAAGCTTTGTTCCTCTCTCCTCTGGAAGAGGGATATCCTTCAAGGCTTTGCCAGTGAGTCCCGGTGCCCCTGATGTATATAACCCTGGCAGGCTGCCTGTGGGGCTCCCTTAGTTCTGGTGCAAATTGGGTCACATGCAGTGTAGACTCTATCTGCCCCAGGCAGATTTCTTGAGCTTTGAGGAACTGGCTCCTGATGAATTTGATGCTTCTTTTGTCCCTTACTGCCAATCTGTAAATAATAAATCCACTTTGGTAATGTGTTGTGTATGAGTATGCTCTACATTATCAGACTCAGACAAGGTGATAACCAATGCACAGTGAGTCTGCTTCAAATATATCCGTTTACATTTAAATAAAAAACAAATTCTTCCTGTCTAACTACAAATAATCTTTCTGGGAGACTTATACAAGCACTCTAACCTACTTCAGAAATAGTGATTTCAAATTGCCAAAATAGTTACAATTCTTATTAAAATCTTTGGAGATACAGGGATGGGGATGGGAGATCACATTTTGAACAAGGAAGTAATACAAGATAAAACTGGAAAGTTCATTTTCAAATCTCTTTGTTTGGACAAAATACAGCAGCTGTGGCAGAGGCTTGAAGACCGGAGGACAGGCAGGAATTCTGATCCTTTCCTTTTTCCTTGTCTTTCCCCATGAGCTCTAAACTGGTGACTGGAAAAGATAATCAGCACATAATCTGTTGCTCTGGATGTTGTGGTATGTGTGCACAACAGCTGACCCAGAAGTTGATGTTTCCCAAGACAACAGCTGACCCAGAAGGTGATGTTTCCCAAGACTGGACTTCCAGCTTCCAAGCTAGAAGCACACTGCTCCACACTTAAGTCACTGAGCGTTCCTTAGATGTAGCAGTTTGCACTATATCTGAAGGCACTTAAGGGTTTTCTCACAGCAAAATGAACAATTCCTTTAATTCTGGATAAGAGCTTCTCTGAAACGTTTTACAGAATATCTATCCTTCAACACAGACGACCAAACGCCAGTAGTGGTTTGGTTCTTTGGCCATCTTAGATTACCTTTAATAAAAACACTATCTTTTCTTTTGACTATCTTGGGCAGTTACTATATTTTGCACCATCTTTAATTATATTATTAGTTAATTAACCTTATGAGGTAGGGAGAAGAGCTAAAATATTAACACTCATTTCTTTCTTTGATGGAGACTACAAAATGCATTTTTTTCTTATTTCATCTCCTCCTTAAATTGTTGACCATATGCAGCCACAATGAGGGCACTGATGCCAAACTTCTTTATTACTTGAGAATCATATAATGCTCTATACTCAGTAGGATGCTTGATATTCCATATAGCAGTCAGGGCTACGTTTCAATGCTAACCTCTAAGCTCAGCTCCTTCATTGTCTCTGCTTACCATTTGGTTTCTCAGCTTGGTGCTGTGTATCTGGCATTTGTTTCTTTCCCTTTATAGCTCTGTGAATTTCATATGCATACCCAGAGACCTGTTAGCAACAGACCTATTTTGAAAGAACAATAATGTAAATAAATTCACTCTGAGTTCTTTATACCACACTCAATGTGTTGGCTTAATATTGATGCAGGAGCAAAATCACGGAGAGGCATCCCTTTTGAATTTCATGTGTATGAAAAATGAAGCCTGTGGCATAGTGGGGGCAGAGTGGTAAATTATATGGAGAGACAGAAGACTGAGAAAGGAGAAGGTTATTTAAGGAGATAGGCCTAGGATGGATTTGGAGATCCTGACCTGCTGGAGTACAGGGCTGAATAAGAGAAGTGGTGTGGCTTTCAGGGCACTGGAGGATGAAAGAGAAGGGCAAGTTTGCCCAACAAATGCCTACAGTTGCATGCCAACTAGCAAGGAAATATAATCCTTAAAACTACACTTCTTGGGCTAACGAAAACAGAACAGAGTCAAAAATTGTTCAGTGTTAGATATTCTCACTTTTGTTAGTGGCAACAAGATCAATGTGTTACAATGAGCAAAAATATTTACAATAAGAAATTTCAATAACTTTAGCTATAGGGATTTTAGATACATATTTGCATATACATAGATTTACAAAGTTCAGAATGGTAGCCTCAGCCAGGTGAATTGTTTTTACCAGAACTTTGTTATGTGCTTTTACACACAAATATCTTTTTCGTGTTATTGTTACTCTGAGCTGGGCCTAGAAGTTCCAGTTCGATATCACTTAATATATAATAAAATTCTACTCCTCACTGCATGGTTTTTACAATAATATTTTGGTGGGAAAGTGTATCTACAAGTGCACTTATGAGAAAGATGGTTAATACAATGGCATCACTTTCAATCTGTGGCCCTTTCTATCTGAAAACTGTTTAAAAGTAATAAGTTTGGATGTTGTTCACTGTATTTTAATATTTATGTTAATAGTTAAAGTATATTGTTGGCTTTGCATGTCCATTTTGTGGTCTTAATGTAAATCTGTTATTCTTCTCTATATTCTATTAAATGCATACTTTTGCATGTATTCCAAACAAAAAGCATTATAATACTTAACTTAGGTTGGTACAAAAATAATTGTGGTTTCAGACAATGAATGGTAAATAATTATAACTAGGCTCAAACACATCTTTATTAACCAAAATAGGAACAATTACAGTCAACATATTTTTGCCAATGAGAAATATTTATTTCTGTAGCATAAAAATTCATGCTTTGGGACTCCATGAACTCTTGGAAAACATTTTCTGTATCCTGCTGGTTGTGGAAGTGGTTTCCCTGCAAAAAGTTGTTGAGATACTTGAAGAAGTGGTAGTCGGTTGGCGAGAGGTCAGGTGAATATGGCAGATGAGGCAAAACTTGGTAGCCCAATTCATTCAACTTTTGAAGCATTGGTTGTGTGACATGTGGTCAAGCATAGTCGTGGAAAAGAATTGGGCCCTTTCTGTTGACCAGTGTCGGCTGCAGACGTTGCAGTTTTTGGTGCATCTCATTGAATTGCTGATCATAGTTTTCAGATGTAATGGTTTCACCAGAATTCAGAAAGCTGTAGCAGGTCAAACAGGCAGCAGACCACCAGTGTCTGTGACATTTTTCTGATACAAATTTGGCTTTGGGAGGTGCTTTGCAGCTTCTTCTTGTTCCAACCACTGAGTTGGTCATCGCCAGTTCTCGTATAAAATCCTCGTCATCACACATCACTATCTGATAGAGAAATGGTTCATTGTTTTTGCACAGAATAAGAGAAGATGACACTTCAAAATGACAATTATTTTGATTTTTGCTCAGCTCATGAGGCACCCACTTTTCTAGCCTTTTCATCCCTCCAATTTGCTTCAAATGCCGAATGACCCATAGAATGTTCAATGTTGAGTTCTTCGACATCTTCTCATGTAGTCGTAAAAGGATCAGCTTTGATGATTGCTCCCAATTGGTCATTGTCAACTTTTAATGGCCAGCCACTGTGTTCCTCATGTTCAAGGCTCTGGTCTCCATTGCAAAACTTTCTGAACCATTACTGCACTGTACATTCATCGGCAGTTCCTGGGCCAAATACGTTGTTGATGTTGCAAGTTGTCTCTGCTGCTTTCTGACCCATTTTGAACTTGAATCAGAAAATCGCTGGAATTCGCTTTTTGTCTAGCATCATGTCCAGTCTAAAATAAATATAAAATAAAGAGCAAAGCAGTGTTACTAAAAAAAGCCAGAAATGCACATTAAAATGATGTATAACATAACCACATTTATTTAAGAATGTATTCCAATAGCAAATGGCAAATTTCAACAACGCAAAAACCAAAATTACTTTTGCACCAACCTACCTAAATACACACAATTTTGTTGGCTCGATGTTTAGAAAAATGTGTGTATATATATACAGATACACACATTTATATGTAACTGTATACACACCTTGGTGTTTTAAATATCAGTTAACATATTTCCTTAAAATAATATACATAATTTTATAATTATTTCAATAATTTCTCTAATTTCAATAAACACTGAGACATATCAGATTTTAGAAACTTCAGTATGCTACATGAAGAGAGCACTAAACCAGAATTGGAAAATTCATTTATAGTTTAGTTACTGTAATTTCCGGTTTCATAGTCCAATATAAGTTTCAATTTCCTCTGTTAAATAAATAGAACCATTCCTATCTTGTTGAATTTCTGAGATTTGTATGAAGATTAAAACAGGAAAATTATGTGAGAGCATTTTAGGACAGACTTTACTTTTTAGAGTAGTTTTAGGTCTACTCTAAAAGATTGAGGGAAAGGTACAGAGATATTTCCCATATTCTCTCTTTCCCTACACGTGCACAGTTTCTTTCACCACCAAAATTCCTCACCAGAGTGGTACATTTGTTGAAATAGACAAGATGCATCACCACCAGAAGCCCATACTTTACATTCATGTTCACTCTTCATTGTACATTTTAAAGGGTTTGAAAAATGTATAATGGCATATATCCACCACTATAATATCATACAGAATAGTCTCCTTACCCTAAAAATCCTGTGCCCTACCTATTAACCCGTTCTTCCCCCAAACCCCTGGCAACCACTGATCTTTATACTGTCTTCATACTTTTGCTTTTTCCAGAATTTTACATTGTTGGAATCATATAGTACATAGCCATTCAGATTGGCCTCTTTCATGAAATAATATGTATTTAGTATTCCTCCGTGTCTTTTTATGACTTTATAGCTCATTTATTTTAGCTCTGAATAATATTTCATTGTCTGGCTGTACCACAGTTTATCTAGCCACTCACCTAGTAAAAGACATCTGGGTTGCTTCCAAGTTTTGACAATTATGAATAAAGCTACTACAAACATCTGTTTGCAGGATTTTGTGTAGACATAAGATTTTGACTCATTTGGATAAATACTAAGGAGCATAAATGCTTGGTAAGAGTATGTTTAGTTTTGTAAGAAGGCACCAAACTGTTTTCCAATGTGGCTGAACCATTTTGCATTCCCACCAGCAATGAATGAGAGATCTCATTGCTCTATATCCTAGCCAACATGTCGAGTTGTTACTGTTTTGGATATTGGCTATTCTAATAAGTGTGTAATGGTATCTCATTGCTATTTTGATTTGCAATTATTTAAGGACATATGTTGTTGCATATATTTTCATATGATTATTTGCCATCTATATATCTTCTTTACTGAGGTCTTACACTTAATTTTTGAATTGGGTTTTTCCTTTTTTTGTTGTCAAAGTTTAATAGTACTTTTTATATTCTGGATAATCTTTTATCTATTATGTATATAACAAATATTTTCTCTCAGTCTGTGGCTTGTCTTCTAATTTTCTGGACAATGTCTTTCATAGAGTAGAAGTTGATAATGAAGTCCAGATTTTCCATTTTTTTCTTTAATAGATTGTGCTTTTGGTGTTGTATTTAAAAAGTCATCACCATACTGACATCATCAAGGTTTTCTCCTATGTTATCATCTAAGAGTTTTATAATTTTGCACTTTACGTTTAGGTCTATGATTCAGTTTTGAGTTAATTTTGGTGAGGGGTATAAAGTCTACTTCTAGTTTTATTTGTTTTGTATGTGAACATCCAGTTGTTACACTATTTGCTGAAAAACTTCATTCAACTGTATTTCTTTAGCTTTTTTTGTCAAGGATCAGTTGACTATATTTATGTTGATCTATATCTTGGGTCCTTTTTTTTTGTTCCACTGATCTATTTGTCTATTATATTGCTAGTGCCATAATGTCTTGATTACTATTGCTATATAGTAATTTTTGAAACTAAAATGTAACTATTACCAAAATATTTCAAATTTTTAGATTTCTTCTTCGAGCTATATGTTATTTAGGAGTGTGTTGTTCAATCTCCAGTGTTATTTTAGAATGTGTTGTTTAATCTCCAGTTGTCTTTCTTCAATTGCATTTTGGTTTATTCCTTTGTGTTCTGATAGCAGACATATTGATGCTCTATTGTCAGGCATTTACACATTATAGATTATTAAGCATTTATGGATAATCGACCTATTTATCATTAAGTAATGTCCCATTTTGTTCCTGAGAATTTTCCTTGCTCCAAAGTCAGCTCTGCACAGAATTAATATAGCTAGTTCTGCTTTCCTTTGATTGGAGTTAGCATGGTATATCTTCATATCTTTCTCTATCCATCCACTATAATATGTATGTGCCTTACATTTAAGTAGGTTTCTTGTAGACAACATATAGTTTGATCTTGTTGTTTGATCAACCCTGACAACCTCTCTTTTTTAATTGCAATTTTTAGACCATTGAGGTTTAAAGTGACTATCTAAATAACTGGATTGATATCTATTATTTTGTCTTACATATTTTTGTCTTTTGTGGTTTTAATTGAGCATTTTATATTATTTCATTTCCTGTTTCTTAGCCTATCAGTTGTAGTTTTATTTACTTTTTACTATTTTTAGATGGTTGTTTTATAGTTTGTAATATATATTTACAATTAATCCAATTACATTTTAGGCTCCACTTTCTAACAACATTATACCATATCCTGGGTAGTGTGAGTACCATGTAATAAAAATTATTTCTAATTCCTCCCTCTGAATGTTTCCCTTATCATTGCTATTATGCATTATACATATATATATGTATACATATGCATATATTATATATACACATATATATGCATACATATATATGAATACATTTTGGCTATTATTTTGAACAAATTATCTGTTATATCAATTGAAAATAAGAAAAATAAGCGTTTTTATTTTACCTTCACTTATTTATTCTCCAGTGTTCTTTCCTTTGTGTAAGTTCTCACCTATATAGTTTTCTCTTTTTTGAAGAAATTATTTTTAAATTTCTTATGAGGCACTTCTATTGGTAAAAAATTCTCAGCATTCGTTTGTATGAGAAAATGTTCGTTTCCCTTTTACTTTTAAAGGGTCATTTTGCAGGATACAGAATTCCAGTTGTTGGCATTTTTTCTTTGTTTTGCTTTCTCTCTCTCTCAACTTTTTAAATATTTCACCCCATTCTCTTTTTATTGTATGTGTTCTGGAGACAAGTAAGATGTAATTTTTGTCTTTTCTCCTCTAAGGTCCCCCAAGCCCCCTGACTTCGCTTAAGACTTTTTATTTATTTTTTATTTTCTTCAGTTTGACTGCAGAAGGTGCCTAGGTGTAGGATTTTTTTAAATGTATCCTGCTTTGTGTTCTCTGAGCTTTCTATATCTGTGATTTGGTATCTGACATTAGTTTGGAGAAATTCTCAGGCATCATTAATTCAAGTATTATTTTCTTCTTTTCCCCATTTTTTTTTCGTTATCCTCATATGTATATAACACATTTTGTAAATATCTTTCATTCTTGGGTATTCTGTGGGAACTTTTTATCACTCTTTCTTCTCTTTGATTTTCTAATTTGGAAGTTTTAATTGAGATATTCTCAAGCCCAGATTTCTTTTATTCTTAGCTGTGTCCAGTCTACTGATTTGCTCATCAAGTATATTATCTTTTTTGTTATAATCCCTTTGATCTTTAGCATTTAAAAAATATTTCTCAGAATTTCTATCTCTCTGTTCATTTTTTCTTACTTGCTGTCTACTTTACACATTCAAGCATATTAATAATAGTTGTTTTAGATGCTTGATCTGATAATTTCAACATCACTGCCATATCTGAGTCTGCTTCTGATGCTTGTTACATCTCTACAAACTGTGTTGGCTTTTTTGCTTGTTTTGTTTGCCTTTTAGAATTACTTGTAATTTTTTTTTAAGATAGGGTCTTGCTGTTGCTAGGCTGGAGTGCCGTGGCATGATTATTGTTCACTGCAGCCTCGAACTCCTGGGCATAAGTGATCCTCCTTCCTCAGCCTGCCCCGAGTAGCTGGGACTACGAGTGCGTGCTGCCACAACTGCCCTTTTTCTTTTTTGTGTGTGTATGCCTTGTAATTTCTTCTTCATAGCTGAACATTATGTACTGAGTCAGAGGATTTGTATTAAATAGGCTTTAGTAATGTGGTGGTAAAGGGTAAGGAAAGGGAAAGCATTCTATGGTTCCATGATTAGATCTTAGTTTTTAGTGAGCCTGTACCTCTGAGCTGTGTACTTCACAAGTGTTACTCAATTCTCCCATCCTACTTTAGATGGAATAGGCTGGTAGAATGGTCTGGAGTCGGATATTTCTCTTCCCCCACATTGATTGGGCTCTGAAACAAAAATTCCAATAGTTTAGACTCTGTTAAAAGAAAACCTCTTGAAGACAGTCCTCGTTACAAAGAATAGAATGCCCTGGAAAATTTCAAAATGATTCTTTTTCCCCACTCTCTACTGGAAATGTAAGGAAATTTCTCTATAATATTTACTGTGAGAATCTGGTGAAGCTTCTGGAGGTAAAACACAAAAGTAGGGGGCCCCTCTGATTCAGTTGTCCGGCCATATTTGGTTCTCAGAGTTGCCACAATGAGCCTTCAATGATTTGTTAATTCCAGTTCAGGTTTTCCTGCTCCAGTACTGGTTCTCACAAAGTTTTAATTTGCTGGATTTCTTCTCCAATAAGTTGTGATTCTCTGCATTTTCCCATCTCTTCAATTTTGAGGCAGTTGTTTTTCCTGCGACTTCACTTCTCTAGTTCAGAGAAGCTATTACATTTTTAGTTGTTGAGTTTTTCACTTGTTAGGACAGAGTGGTGACTTCCCAGCTTCTTACATGCAGAATAGAAAACCACTGTGAAAGCATTTTTAATGTGTGAATGCTGTGTACTTGAAAGCTATTATCATTTAGCTTATTAAGGAAAACTTTTTTTCTCTGTGTTTGCTCTCTTTCACTGCTCGAAAAGGTTCAGTTTTAGGGAAGCTCTTGTAATTATTGAGGCCACTATTAAATTCAATCAATATTGTTCTCTGTCTCTTATACCTTGCAAAATTTCTATGTATAAAAACACACCAAGGTCAAAATATGATAAAGAAATTGGAAATTTTGTCCCTTTCCTTAGTTCCATAAAATGAAAACAAGATGAACATTGTATTAGGGTATTCAGAATAGTCCTTAATCCTTTTTTTATCAACAAGTATTTATATTTTTTATTCAATGAAAATTAGAGTCAGAGTTAGAAAATTAGAGTCAGAAAATTATTTTCTTAGAGTCTGCCTTTCTCAGGTACCCCATGGAAAGGAAACAGCAAAACATCCTTCCCCATAGATAAGCATTGATCTTTAAAATAATAAGAGTAATGATTAAAAAGAATTGGTTGGTTTTTCTCACATGCTTCATGTCATTCATTAAATTACATATTTGGTAAGCATAAAATGTTGTCTTCACAGTTTACACTGATTAGCTAAATAATAAAATCACTGCTGCAAAAACTTAATTTTTTTCCTTATGTAACAACACAGAGATGTTTTTATGACACAAAATAATTCCCTTTTGACTATTTGTGTTTCTTCCTTGAAATATTTTTGTAGCCTTCTGTTGGCAGTATGCTGAAGAAAAATCTAGGTTATAGGTTTAGATTTTGAGGTTGACAGTGACATCTTTGAAAATAGTTTACAAAACTATTGGTCATGATTTCTTCCTTAGCTATGAAACCATTCCAGGACAAAAGCCAGATAAATCAGGGACCCACAGGGAGAAAATCAATAGTAATGACATTAGAGAGAGTACTTTTGGGAAGAAACATAAAAACAATAAACACTGATTAATTGGAAAAATTTCTACAAATAGGCTTTTAAGGACAGTAAGTCCTTCCTGACAATTTCTGTGTTACATCAGCCTTATAATAATATGCCACAATTTTAGATCACTGTACATTTCACAGGGCCTAAGAAGTGAGACTATCACCATTATTCTCTCTCTCCCTCTCTCCCTCTCTCTCTCTCTCTCTCTCTCACACACACACACACACGCACATAAATTATATATACAGATTTCTGTGTACACCACTTTTGCACCCCTTAGAGAAAACCATTGGCTGTCTTAATAAAACCAAATCTAAAGCCTCTAAGTTTGACTAGTCATGCAGGGACAGAGCTCTGTACCTAACATACCAGCACTGTCCAATTGAATGTTCTGTGATGATGGAAATATGAGATATCTAAGTTGTTCAATACTATAGTCACTAGCTCCATGTGCTTGCTGAGTATGCAGAATGTGACCAGAATGATTAAGTAGTACAATTTTAAATTTTAATTACATTCATTTAAATTAAAATTTATGTAACCACATGTGATGACTAGCCACTATATTGTCAGAATAGAATTTAGACTCTAGACTTCTGTTCCTTATGATTTCCCCAAGAAAGACTTCCTGCCTTATTGCTGTATCACAGTGGTACTTAACGCTGGATGCATATTATATTAGCCTGGGGAGTGTTAAAAATATCAACTTTCTGGCAAGAACAAACCAGCAATCCCAAGAGGATCCACAGACCCTCCGAAGGAAACAAACTGCTCTTTCAGGACCTGGGGGACACCCCAAATACTGTGAGTTCCCCAACTGCAGAAGTGAGGAAGAGAGACATCCTCCTCTCCCAAACACACAGCTTGACTAGAGAAACTGAAGGGAGAAGTTTCCCACCTTACCTGGATTTGAGTCAATTCAGAGAGCCGAGTGAAATACAGGGGTAGAGGAAGCAGCAGGAAAGGCCCTGGGAGCTCACTCGGACCCCAAGCAGGCCATTACAGCCAGAGGAGCAGGGGAAAACACCATAGGGAGATGGTAGTCTCCAGTTGAACTTAGTTAACAATTTGAACTGGGAAAGAAGCCTCCCGGCCAGAACTCAAGGGAGGGCGTAAATCTGGTGTGCAGACTCCACAGGCAGGGGAAACACCAAGCACTTTTTTTTTGCAGGTAGGAGGCAGGTAGCCTGGGGCAAGTTCTCAAGCCCTGCTCACCCACTGCCTGGAAACAGACTTAGGGCTGTTAGGGGAGCATAGTGGTAGTGAGACCGGCCCTTCGATTTGCAAGGGAGCTGGGTGAGGCCCGTGACTGTTCACTTTCCCCCACTTCCCTGACAACCTGCATGAATTAGCAGAGGAAGCCATAATCCTCCTAGGTACACAATTCCATTGACCTGGGAGCATCACCCCCATACCCCACAGCAGCCACAGCAAGACCTGCCCAAGGAGGGTCTGAGCATGGACATGCCTAGCCCTGCCCCACCTGATGGGCCTTTCATATTCATGCTGGTAGCTGAAAACAGAGGGCATGTAATCTTGGGAGTTTTAGTTGTGGGCCTTGCCCATCACTAGTTCCTCTCTATACTACCACAGCTGATGCTGTCTGGAGAGTGCCACCTCCTAGCAGGATGCCAACCAGCACAAAAATAGAGCATTAAACCACCAAAACTAAGAACCTTCACAGAGTCCATTTCACCTCCTTGCCACCTCTGCTGGAACAGGTGCTGGTATGCATGGCTGAGAGACTCATAGATGTTTCACATCACAGGACTCTGTGCAGACAATCCCCAGTACCAGCCTGGAGCCTAGTAGACTTGCTGGGCTGCTAGACCCAGAAGAGGGACAACAATCACTGCAGCTCAGCTCACAGGAAGCTACATCTATAGGAAAATGGGGAGAGTATTACATCAAGGGAACACCCCATGGGACAAAAGGATCTGAACAACAAAATTCAACCCTAGACCTTCCTGCTGACAGAGCCTACCCAAATGAGAAGAAACCAGGAAACCAACTCTGGTGATATGACAAAACAAGACTCTTTAACACCACCAAAAAATCACCCTAGTTCACCAGCAATGGATCCAAACCAAGAAGAAATCTCTGATTTACCTGAAAAAGAATTCAGAATGTTAGTTATTAAGCTAATCAGGGAGGCACTACAGAAAGGTGAAGCCCAATGCAAGGAAATCCAAAAAAGAATACAAGAAGTGAAGGGAGAAATATTCAATGAAATAGATAGCATAAATAAAAAACAATCAAAACTTCAGGATACAATGGACACACTTAGAGAAATGCAAAATGATCTGCAAAGTCTCAGTAATACAATTAAACAAGTAGAAGAAAGAAATTCAGAGCTCGAAGACAAGGTCTTTGAATTAACCAAATTCAACAAAGACAAAGAAATATAAACAAAGCCTTCAAGAAGTCTGGGATTGTGTTAACAACCAAACCTAAGAATAATCGATGTTCCTGAGGAAGAAGAGAAAGCTAAAAGTTTGGAAAACATATTTGGGGAAATAATTGAGGAAAACTTCCCTAGCCTTGCTAGAGACCTAGACATCCATATACAAGAAGCACAAAGAACACCTGGAAACTTCATCACAAATAGATCATCACCTAGGCACATTGTTATCAGGTTTTCTAAAGTTACGATAAAGGAAAGAATCTTAAGAGCTATGGGAAAAAAGTACCAAGTAAACTATAAAGGAAAACTTATCAGATTAGCAGCAGATTTCTCAGCAGAAACCCTAAAAACTAGAAAGAATTGGGGCCCTATCTTCAGCCTCCTCAAACAAAACCATTATTAGCCAAGAATGTTGAATCCAGCAAACTAAGCATCACATATGAAGGAAAGATACAGTCTTTTTCAGACAAGCAAATACTGAGAGAATTCACCACTACCAAGCCACCACTAAAAGAACTGCTAAAAGGAGCTCTAAATCTTGATACAAATCCTGGAAACACATCAAAACAGAACCTCTTTAAAGAATATATCACATAGGATCTATAAAGAAAAATATGAGTTAAAAAGCAAAAACAAAATTCCTGAAAAAATGCAACCCTCCTAGATTATATCAGGAAGAATTAGACACCTTGAATAGACCAATAACAAGCAGTGAGATTGAAATGGTAGTTAAAAAATTACCAACAAAAAAAAAGTCCAGGACTAGTCGGATTCACAGCAGAATTCTACCAGACATTCAAAGAATTGGTACCAATCCTTTTGACACTATTCCAGAAGATAAAGATGAAACCTTCCCTAATTCATTCTATGAAGCCAGCATCACTCTAGTACCAAAACCAGGAAAGGACATAACCAAAAAAGAAAACTATAGACCAATATCCTTGATGAACATAGATGCTAAAATCCTTAACAAAATACTATCTAACTGAATCCAACAACATATCAAAAAGATAATCCACTATGATCAAGTGGATTTCATACCAGGGATGAAGGGATGGTTTATCATACACATGCCAATAAATGTGATACACCACATAAACAGAATCAAAGAAAATCAAAAACAAAAATCACATGATCATCTCAATAGATGCAGAAAAAGCATTCGACAAAATCCAGCATCTCTCTGTGATTAAAACTCTCAGCAAAATCACCATACAAGGGGCATACCTCAACATAATAAAAGCCATCTATGACAAACTCACAGTCAAAATAATACTAAATGGGGAAAAGTTGAAAGCATTCCCTCTGAGAACTGTAACAAGACAAGGATGTCCACTCTCACCACTCCTCTTCAACATAGTACTGGAAGTCCTAGCCAGAGCAATCAGAAAAGAGAAAGAAATAAAGAGCATCCAAATCAGTAAAGAGGAAGTCAAACTGTCACTCTTTGCTGACAATATGATCGTTTACCTTGAAAATCCTAAAGATTCCTCCAGAAAGCTCCTAGAACTGATAAAAGAATTCAGCAAAGTTTCCGGATACAAGATTAATGTACACAAATCAGTAGCTCTTCTATACACCAATAGCAACCAGGCAGATAATCAAATCAAGAACTCACCCCCTTTTATAATAGCTGCAAAATACAATACAATACAATACAATACAATACAATACAATACAATACAATACAATACAATACAATACAATACAATAGTTGGGAATATACCTAACCAATGAGGCAAAAGACCTGTACAAAGAAAACTACAAAACACTGCTGAAAGAAATTCTAGATGACAGAAAGAAATTGAAACACATTCCATGCTCACAGATGGGTAGAATCAATATTGTGAAAATGACCATACTGCCAAAGGCAATCTACAAATTCAATGCAATCCCCATCAAAATATCACCATCATTCTTCACAGAATTACAGAAAACAATTCTAAAATTCATATGGAACCAAAAAAGAGCTTGCATAGCCAAAGCAAGACAAAGTAAAAAGAACAAATCTGGAGGCATCACACTACCAGATTTCAAAATATACTATAAGACCATAGTCACCAAAACAGTGTGGTACTGATATAAAAATAGGCACATAAGCCAATGGAACAGAATAAAGAATCCAGAAGTAAACCCAAATACCTACCACCAAGTGATCTTTGACAAAGCAAACAAAAACATAAAGTGGGGAAAGGACACTCTTTTCAACAAATGGTGCTGGGATAATTGGCTAAACCACATGTAGGAGACTAAACCTGGATCCTCATCTCTCACCTTACACAAAAATCAACTTGAGATGGATTAAAGGCTTAAATCTAAGACCTGGAACTGAAAATTTAGAAGGTAACATTGGAAAAACACTTCTAGACCTTGGCTTAGGCAAGGATTTCATGACCAAGAACCTAAAAGCAAACGCAATAAAAACAAAGATAAATAGTTGGGACTTAATTAAAATAAAAAGCTTTTGCATGACAAAATGAGCAATCAGCAGAGTAAACAGACAACCCACATAGTGGGAGAAAATCTTCAGAATCTATACATCTGACAAAGGACTAATATCCAGAATCTACAACGAACTCAAACAAATCAGCAAGAAAAAAAACAAACATCCCATCCAAAAGTGGGATAAGGACAGGAATAGACAGTTCTCAAAAGAAGATATACAAATGGCCAACAAACATGAAAAAATGCTCAACATCACTAATGACCAAGGAAATGCAAATCTAAACCACAATACGATGCCACTTTACTCCTGCAAGGATGGCCATAATAAAAAAATCAAAAAACAGTAGATATTGATGTAGATGCGGTAAGCAGGGAACACTTCTACACTGCTGGTGGGATGTAAACTAGTACAGCCACTATGAAAAACAGTGTAGAGATTCCTTAAAGAACTAAAAGTAGAACTACCATTTGATCCAGCAATCCCACTACCAGGTATCTACCCAGAGGAAAAGAAGTCATTATAAGAAAAAGATACTTGCACAAACATTTTTACAGCATCACAATTTACGATTTCAAAATCGTGGAACCAACCCAAATGTGCATTAGTCAATGGTTGGATAAAGAACTGTGATATATATAGTAGTCTATATCATATATTATATAGACTACTACTCTGCCATAAAAAGGAATGAATTAACAGCATTTCTAGTGACCTGGATGAGATTGGAGATTATTATTCTAAAAGAAGTAACTCAGGAATAGAAAATCAAACACCATATGTTCTCACTGATATGTGGGAGCTAAGCTATGAGGACACAAAGGCATAAGAGTAATACAATAGACTTTGGGGACTTAGGGGAAAGGGTGGTAGGGGAGCGAGGATAAAAGACTAAAATAGGGTGCAGTGTATACTGCTCAGTTGATGGGTGCACTAAATCTCACAAATCGCCACTAGAGAACTTACTCATATAACCAAATACCATCTGTATCCTAGTAACTTATGGAAAAATTAAAAATTAAAAAGAGGATACATTTATAAAAGCAAAAATAAATAAATAAAAATATCAACTTTTTAACATATTTTGATGATTTTATTTTGAATCCGAGGTTAAGAATAATTGCTACAGCATAAGTATGGACTCACAAATCTTTCCTCGTCTCTCTTCATACAGACATAACCATTTAAACTGGGAGTTATGCATGGCTGCATCATAACAGGATGAGAATAGGTCCAGAGGACACACATCTTGAGGCTCAGGAAACAAAACCCCAAAGCACGGCCCTTTGGCATCCTGAGGACTTTGACTTAAAGAAAATTAAAAGGCCTTAGAAGCTGCCTCAAAATGAAGGTCTCTCATCTTCCCTTGTTTCTCCCCTGTCCCATCCATAGGGAGGGACTTTTTCTGAAGCTTCCTTATTTGACTGAGGAAAGTTTTTCCAAAAGAAACACAGTTGCCTTCAATAACCTGTCTAAGGTCATATTAACCATGGAGAACAATAACCAAATAACACCCACGTGGGCAGATTTTTCATCTATTATTTTGTGCTCTTTTACCTGAGAGATAGTTCATAATAAGACAACGTTATCCCCAGTACAGTTTTGCCTCTCGCTTTACCAAAATTTGTTGCTATCTCACTCAGAGACCAAAGGAACTTTGTCCCAGACTACTGTGGGTTCTGTGAGTTCATTTATTTCTCCTAAAAATCATTTACTCTTCCTCAAAAATTGCCTACATCTTCCATTTCCCACTCCGTTATGAAGAGATATTTAAGCTTCAATCATCTGACCCTTCTTTGAGTTTTATACTTTGTATGACCCCTGTGAGCTTGCATGTTATTAAATTTTTATGCTTTTTCTTCTGTTAATCTGTCTAGTGCTGGTTTGGTTTTTGGACAGAAATTATTGAACCTGTCAACTTGGGAAGACAAGAATTTGATCTCACTAAGGGAAGCAGCAAGGTTCCTCATTATATTTGCCCTAGTTTATTTTTAGCTGACTCCCTGAGTAGACACTGTTTAATATTCAGATTTTTTTGGTTTCAAGTGCGAGCTACTGAATCAGAGTGTCCTAACTAATATTACTTCTTCCATTTTTAAAAATGATGAAGGATATGAAATTTTACCCTGTATGCAAGCTAACAAGTTAGCCTATCACAGTGTCATAGACATTACTAAAAACTTGTGAGTCAGAAACAGAGGATTATTAAGCATAGCATAGAAGGCATCATGAGCTTCATGTTTGTATCAGTTCCTCTTGACCTCAAGTTGCATGGGTGCCAGGCAGAAAGGCTCAGTGGATGCTGCGTGCACAGCGGGTTTGTGGTACAGTCGAGGAACCCTGAGCTTAGATAGCCCCCTATTTTTGAAGGGTTGTTGATAAACCTGCCCAACCTTTGCCCTGTAGAGAGACATTATCTTTATTACTGTAGCCTGAAAATAAATCTGCTCTCTGCCTTGAAAGAAGATGATTTTTTTTTTTTTTATTTTCCAAGGCTGTTTGTGATACCAATATCCTTGAATAGACAGTCTGGAGCAAAAATTATCAATGTCTCTACACAAGATGTGCAGAAATGCAGAAGATATTTTGTTCCCCAACATCATTTACCAGTTGTTTGTTCTCTAAGTTTCAATGGAAATCACAATTGAAATAAAAATTATATCTACCTTAAAGCATTTCTTAGTGTATTAAATAAAATGTTACAGGGATAGAAAATAAAACTGTTTGGCAAAAAATAAATAAATTTCTGTATAATTTTGTAGAAATGCTAAGCTCTCAGTTCTCATTTTACTCAATGGTTTTAATATTTGTCATCAAAAGTCAACTGTCAAGTTTCTCTTCTATAAAATCTCCATTAATTCAGAAGTCTTCCTCTCTGCCCCTTTTTATCCTTATTCTATCCCAGATATGATTCAGACCCTAAGATCTTACATGTAGCTCTGGCATCAGAAAGATGTGTCTGGACCAGAGTTTCCAATTCTCATTCACTGTGGGCTTTACTAATGTGTAAAATCTCCACTTATTCTTGTACCCAAACCTACTGTGCACAGATCCATGATGAGGCACTGGAATGTCCTTTCTAAACATAACATGCACACAAGTCACTCTTCCATCTTCCTTTTCCAGAATATGAACTATGCACTTTCATCCTTTTGTTTTTGTTGTTGTTGTTTTTGATTAGATACTACCACAGACCCAATTCCATCTTTGGCCAAACTACCCAGCTCCCTTAGTCAATCACTACTGCACAGGCATTCAGGTATAATGATACACCTGGAGATTCTTTGCAATCACTCCCTGCTACAGTCTTTCAGTGAACCAAATATTACATCTACTCTCATATTTTTCCCACCTTACTTATTTTGAGCTTTTTTATTTGATAACTTCCTGAGTCCTGACTATAAGCCCATACACCGACCAGAGCATTAAGTATTATATCTCTTCTTGAAAGACTAGACTAAACATTTATTATGTTTCTGTAATCCTTTTTTCTCCCACAACATATTGGATAATATTTACACAAAAAAAGTAGAAAAACTTTTTCTTGTGACATTTTATACTCTTCAATTATTATTATTACTTTTCATCTTTTGAGTATTTTCAATTTAGTTCCTGATATTAAAAGTGAATATTTTATAAATAAAGACAAGAACAAAGCTTTCTTTCTCAAACACCTTATTCACCTTACTCAAAGCATGTTCAAGAACATTTATTGGAACCGAAACCCAAAGTTTTAACATAAAATTGTTTCATTACCCTATCTGTAAGAGAGTGTAGTAACTACCTAATGAGACATGAAAGGAACTGGTCATAAAAAGGTCATCAGTAACATATCTGAAGTATTATTTCAAAACGTTTTTTGTTACACATGTAAATGATCTCGAGATTGGGAGATTACCCCAAGTGATCTCAGTGGACTCAATGTAATCACAAAGTCCTGATAAGGGAAAGGCAGGAGGCTCAGTGCCGCAAAAGATAATGTAAGTACAGAAGCAGAGAGAGATCGGAAGACACTCTGCTGCTGACTTTGACAATGCAAGATGGAGCCATAAACCAAAGAATCTGCATGGCCCCTGGAAATGAAGAAAGGCAGGGAAATGGATTCTTCCCTAGAGTTTCTAGAAGACATGCAGCCCTACTGACACTTCGATTTCAGAACTTTTGATCTTTAGAACTGTAAGATAATCAACTGATGTTATTTTACGAGGCAAAGTTTGTAGTAATTTGTTACTGCGAAATAGAAAACTAATATAATATTTACTTTATAAGCCCCTGGCTGGAGACATATTGCCATGGTAGCTGGGCTTTGAAATGGAAAAGAAGAAAGTTCTCCAACTCCATCTCCTTTTTTTATCTCATGTTCTATATTTTGTAGAAAAAGAGATAAGAAAGAAACTAATAATTCAGATATTTTGTCTTAAAACTCTGTTGTGACAGACAGGAAGATGGGCCACTCAGATAGGAGTTGATATAGAATGGTAAGGGATGTCTCTTGGCAAAGGTGGCAGTTCAGCTGTTCAGATATTCACTGGTTGTGTGCTGGGGTGGCCAAATGGAGATGATGGAGGGGGTGAGGACTACACTTGTCAGTGTCAGGTGTTTGAAATATACAAGGCAAAAAATAGATAAAAGGGCAAAGAAATTAGATGTCATTATCTACCTTGCAAGTGGATAATATAAAGATTACAGCAATTAAGAATTAGAAACTTAGTGTGAGAATCTGAGTCTCTGGAAACACAAAGAAGGATCACATGCAGTAGTAGGTAAGCAGAAAAAAAATGGAAAATCAGCAAAAGATTTAATAGTCAGAAGAGCTGAACTTCAAAGATCATTAAATGTCCAACTGAGGCAGGTCTGTCATGCCAAATTCAAGATCCTAGTTGGGAAAGCATGATACTTGAACATGTGATTTGGGGACATATGTGTATATGTTTCAAAAGATCTTGATGCCTCACATTTGTCTGAACCACTTGATCTTAAAGATGTATTCCATGTTTTCCAACTCTCATTAAGAATTAACAGTCCTCCAAAGAGGAAAATACAGAGAGCTTTCCTCACAAGGCTATGGTAACTACCATCAGGAGATGTTTCCACCTTCTCTCCAGGCCTGCTGCATAATCTAGTCATGCCATATTGAGACTAACTGGAGAGCAAAGAGATTATTCCTGAAATAGTTGCTGGAAAAAGGAAGTATTTATCACTAGGAACAGTGAGACAGGAATCTGAGGGTGCTTGATCAAAACACACACACATACACACACACACAAGCCTAGTTAAAAGACAGTATGTAGACATAGTGCACTACTTCAGTATACAGGATTTAACATCCTGGCAAGGTCCCCAGAGAATGGCACAAACTTGCTGCTAGGGCTGGACCTGGAAACTTAAAAAAGTTTGAATGAGATTAAACTCAAATGATAGTTCAGAATAGCCCACGGTGAGCGAGATTAAAATGCCCAAATTACCCGAATAGTCAGTAGAGGGATTAAACACTAAAGAAAGTGAGAATACTGGAATGTCTCACCATAAATCTCCAGGGAACGTACTTTAAGTAAAGGACAGGTGTAAGGGGCCCCATGACTAAAGTTTATCTTTACCACCATGATGGAAGCCTGATTGATAGGGCAATAGAAATATGCGACATAAGTATAGCTAAAGCATCACCTCAGAATTAATCCTGTGTGAATTAGGTAAACAATTATAAATTAATGAACAAGTGCAGCAACTCTGATCTGAAATAGCTATGGTTACCAAGCACTCAGAATCATAAGGAATGAGGGTGTGGTTCATACCATGAGGTAAGTCACCAAGATTAGCAGATGTGATACAAGAAGTTAAAAGAAATTTGTTGTGTACCAGTTGAGCCCCAAGACCAGCTACAGTGAGGTCTGACATCTCTCTCTTCTGTTTCCCCTCAGGAAGAGAAGCTTCATCAATGCCTTGAAGACCTTCTGTCTTAGAACCTGTAAGATGAAGTGAAGCTACATGGCCCAAAGGGGTAGATTGTGACAGACACAGAGAAGAGCTTCTCAGATCCCCGCTCAAGAGAGGACTATCTGTCCACTTCTGATGAGTGTGATCAGCTGACCTTCTAGCTGTTAACTCATTAAGAGTCACCTTAGATTCCAAGGCAAAGTCCTTTCCTTTCCTTTCCAAGGTGGCTTTTGACCAATGGTTTTCCAAGGTGGTGTACAGGAACCTAACCATCTCTCCTCACAAAGGACTCCCTAATGAGCAATCTTTACTCTGTTGCTTAAAGTCAAGGAGACTTTATAGAGTCAGCATCAAGGTCTGACAACTCCTCCTAACCAATTCCACTTGCATCCCTCTCTTTCCATGGTTGTTAACAATAAACCTTTCACACACCTAACTTCTTATTATCTGCTTTCCAGAAAACACGGCCTGCCTCAGCCAGTCAAACTCTATGCATCCTCTTATTTAATTAAGGAAAGATTTTCCAGAAGATTATAGTAATATATTATTTTATAACTAGATATTTAAACATGCAGTTATCTAATTTTAATATAGAAATGATATGTGTGTATATACACAGAAACACACACATATCAATAATAGCTATGATAAAGTAAGATATTTTCATCAGTCTCATGATAGATTACAATATTGTCAACAGAGAATAAAAAATATCAAAAGGAAGATTTATGACTGAATAGTAAGGCTATTCGTTTCCAACTTGCCTGGTGAAAAAGTCATAATTGCTTCACCTTCTGTCAACAGCTATCTTCTAGTAAAATAGATTTTTAAAAAAGGAAAAAGTGTTTATAATTAACACCTACAAATTGACAGATGTACAAACTTGGAAGCCCAACAATGACAGAAAGAAGATGAAATATATTCTGATCTTGAGCACAATTGCATGAATTGTTTCAAATGGGAATTTATAATTTCCAATTAATTGAAATACAAATTAATTTTAAAAATTATTTTTATAACATAATAAAAGAGTTCTTAATGCTGAGTATTAGAGAATACAAAATGTATTTGAAATGTGCTCTGACAAAGTACTTATTCTTCATAGAAAAAGAAAATATAATCTCTTTGTCCTCCCATAATTATGATGGTAATACAATTTATTATGCTCTTTCCAGCACATGCTCACAGAAATTATGACCGTTATAATTTTGTTGGGCATTTTATGATCATGTCTTCAGTGATATTTATCATTTCATGAACAATTGGCAGTTAAATAGGTTCAAACATTAACATTTTAATTCATCTGCAGATTTATTTCAGAAATAAGCTACACGCAATGTGGATTCTCTATTATAACTTCCCTTGAGCAACTATAAACTTAAACATGTAACTATCTTTTATGATTTTAACTCTTCTTGAGAATGGGCATTTGAAATTTTAATATTCCAATAAAGAGAGATTTCTTGAAAATTATAGTTCTAAATGTTGACATTATCAAAAAAGTGAATTAAATTCGGTTTTGAACACAAGTTTAGTAAAATTATTTCTCGGATAGTTAAGAATTTTGCCCTGTGGCATTACAAAATGAACTAAACCATTGTGGGTACAAAGCTGCAAGGGTCTATATAAAAAAGTAACTTTACCTGTGTGTTCTATAACATAAGAGTTTTATAACTTCCTAGAGTTTGACAACTTCTACATTGAAATGTACATTTTAAATGATAATCATCCTAAGGATGAACTATTTTTGTCCATCACTGCCTATTGATTCATTGTAGCTTGTATTGAGGCCATTTAATCAGAGCCAAAAATATCAAATCAGTGATTTACTTATTAATTCTAGTAGAGAATGATTATTTAAGGAGGCTTTGATCAAAGCACTCTTCACAGAAGACAAGTATGAATAATACGGGCTAATTTGTGGGACTCAGAAAGAAACTAAACCCTAGAATAGGCTAGTAAGGAAACTGGCAGAATCTGTCTCTTCAGAAATAATTAAGACTAGAGTAGACATTTTCCACTGAGTATCTTTTAGCTTTACAACTCTTTGATTCTGGTATGTCTGTGATACTTATTTCTTGAAGATCATGTCAGCAGTTTTCATCTAATGCATTTGACAAAAAATGTGTCATGTGAGGTACTTTTTATATTAATTCATAGGCTATTTTTCAAAGCAGTTTTAGGTTGACAGAAAAACTGAGCGGAAAGTACAGAGTTTCCATTTACCCCTTCTTTGAACCATTCTCTGCACAATTTCTCCTACGATTGACATGCTGCATTAGTGTGGTACATTTGTTACTATTGGTAAATCAATATTGATAAATTACCATTAACTGATGCCCATAGTTTCATTAGGGATCACTCTTTGTGTTGTACAATCCCACGGGTTCTGATAAAGCATAATATCCTGTGTCCTCCATTAGAGTTTCAGGTGGAATAGCTTCACTGACTTAAAAATCTCCTGTGTCCCACCTATTCATCCCTCTCTGCAACCACTGATCTTTTTTACCATATCTATAGGTTTTCCTTTTCCAGAATATCACATAGAGTAGGAATCACACCATATGTAACATTTCACACTGGTGCTATCTTTTCAGTGCTGGATCCTCCCAGCTTTATTTATCAGTGTACCTCTCAAAATACAAAGTCAAGGATCTCAGAAAGCATGTGCTTTATAATATGTGACACTTAAATTTAAGAACCTACTTCCATAGGTTTGATTCTGAAGTATAATGACAATGGTGGTAATAAATAACATCAAGTTCTATCACCAAGGTCTAATATGAGTTTATTTCAATTTCAACTTACTTTAAGGTATGCCTTTTCTATCCTAGTGTACATTTTTTTTTTGGTCCTTATTTTACTCCTCCTTCTTCAGGGAAATATTCACTTTGAGGAGAATTAAGCTAGGGCTGGGCAGAAGGGAAAATGGAGAGCAGAAATTAGTGCTTGGAGTGGAGGAGTTCTGAGAGTACCCTGCCCTGGACCATGGCGGATGATCTGGTGGCTATGCTGGGTGCCTGTTGGATACCTAAAATAGAGCCTCGGTCTTAGAAACAGCTTCCATTTCTTAGGAATGCTTTTCTAAGGTATAAAGGGTGCCTGAAGGTGTGACACAGCAAAGTCAATGGACCAAATATTAAGAGCTCTGACCTAGAGATAATTGGTGAAAGCCCTAAGGCTGTGGAAAGAGAAACCTACTCTTCAGTCTCCAACAGTCGCAACACTTTCCTAACTAGATTGGAAAGTAGGGAGAATCTGGATGTTTTGGTCTATCTAAAATCACTGAGACTCTTGTATAATATTAGAGAGGTGGAGAAGGCTCGTCTCCCACAGCAAATTACTAACAGCGAATTATTGGTCAACCAGATATGTACATGGAGGCTTAGAGTTGATTGATCTGATATTGCAAACTAAAAAGATGTGGCCGGGCGCGGTGGCTCATACCTATAATCCTAGCACTTTGGGAGGCCAAGGCGGGTGGATCACCTGAGGTCAGGAGTTGGAGACCCACCTGGCCAACATGTCGTAACCCCATCTCTACTAAAAATGTATATATAAATATACACATTTTCCTCCTCAAGCCCACTCCTAAAACTGTTTTTCCCTTGTGGATATTTGAGACTAAAAATGAAAGCTCTTTTTAACAGAAAATCTTGTAAATTTCATACCTATAATGAATAAAGCCAAGCACTACTTGGCACACAGATGGTGGGAAAAAGAAAAGAAATGGAAAAAAAAACAGAGAGAGAAAAAAAGAAGAAAAAAAGAAAAATATGAGCAAATTTGAATACCGGAACAGGCCGATGTTGAAAATAACACTTACTTGAAAGCATTATTTTCAACTTGAAAGTTATAGTTTTTTTAGAAAATATTAGAAACTTTTAATATAAAGTTCTCCCAAGAGATGTTTGCAGCTGGCCCAATGTACTCTCCTGTCTTGTTAGAGAACTAGTAAGCAGATTATCTTTACAATTAGAGTAGGTAGAGTGTTTGCTTCATAGATAGAAACGTAAGAAGTAGTCAAGCCAATAGAAGTTAGAAGTAGTCAGGTCAATATTTTCTAACAGAATGAAGAATAAAAATTAGTCAGTCATTTCTACCATTGCTAGTTATCATGTTTTAGCACTGTTGTATATGTCTACATATCTTCTTTTTCATCCTCACATAAACTCTATAAATCTGGCCCTAGTATTATATCCATTTTATTTTATTATCATTTTTTTTTTAGAGATGAGGTCTTGCTCTGTTGACCAGGCTGGAGTGCAGTGGCATGATTGTAGCTCACTGCAGCCTTGAACTCCTAGCCTCCAGCTATCGTCCTGCCTCAGCCTACCTAGTAGCAGGGACTAGAGTCACGCACCACCATGCCCAGCTATTTTTTATTTTATGTTTTGTACAGATGGGGGTCTCGTTTTGTTGCCTAGGCTTAAAACTATTTTATAGATGGGAAAACACATCTATAAAATATGATGTGTTTTACACAATTCCTTTACATATTGCAGAGACAGCCAGACAGGGGTAAAACGACATTCAGGCTAAGGCAATAGTAGGATAGAAAATACACACTTAGGCTCTACATGTCACCTGTCTGTTTTTTCATTGACTTACTTTCTTCATTGAATAGATAAATGTATTACAGAAAAATATACTTAAAACCAACATGGATCTTTCATAACAATGTCATATATGTTATTACATATTTACTTTCAAAGCAGATGAGGTAAACTGATGTGGTCAAAAGATTAATAAATCCTTTTAGAATGCAGGACTTCTTCCTTAGAGGATCAATAAAACTTCCATTTTGCTCTTCATAAATTCATTCCTTATTTTTAAAAGCATTAGTCATATTATGTTAGTCACACAACTCAGATGGTTGCATGTGTTGTTAAACTACCCGCCTATCTTCAAGGTAGTAATTTATAAAAATCTATTTAATTTGTATTTGTATGAGGATAAAAAAATAATAATAAGACATGAACCTGAGAGGGTTCTTGACATCTTAAACTGGGATTCTTATCAGAATGTCTTTTTCTCCTTTTTTTAAATCTTTTCTGCAGAATGCACTATTCTCCCCCTTTTCTTCACTGGATCTCACAAGTTTTAGGAAGCTATACAAACTATCTATACAAACTTTCACAGATATGAGTGTTCACAGATTCACAGGTATGAGTGTAGGTAATGTACTGTGCCAATACTGAGGAAGATATAGAGATCTGTGGTCTGCTTCTTGCCTTCAATGAGTTTATCATTCATTTACTAAGACAACGTATATATTAAAAGGAAGTGACGACAAAAGGCACATATGAAAAATGAGCCTTTATTCATAGGTGGGGTCTTCAAATTTTTTCTGTTAAAGGTCTAGATACTAAACATTTTAGGGTTTATTGGCCGTATTTTAGTCAATATTCTACTTCTTATAACAGAATACCTGAAACAGGGTAATTTATAAAGAAATTTCTTTCTTTTTTTTTTCTTTTTTTTTTATTATACTTTAAGTTTTAGGGTACATGTACACATTGTGCAGGTTAGTTACATATGTATACATGTGCCATGCTGGTGTGCTGCACCCACTAACTCGTCATCTAGCATTAGTTATATCTCCCAATGCTATCCCTCCCCACTCCCCCCACCCCACCACAGTCCCCAGAGTGTGATATTCCCCTTCCTGTGTCCATGTGATCTCATTGTTCAATTCCCACCTATGAGTGAGAATATGCGGTGTTTGGTTTTTTGTTCTTGCGATACTTTACTGAGAATGATGATTTCCAATTTCATCCATGTCCCTATGAAGGACATGAACTCATCATTTTTTATGGCTGCATAGTATTCCATGCTGTATATGTGCCACATTTTCTTAATCCAGTCTATCATTGTTGGACATTTGGGTTGGTTCCAAGTCTTTGCTATTGTGAATAATGCCGCAATAAACATACATGTGCATGTGTCTTTATAGCAGCATGATTAATAGTCCTTTGGGTATATACCCAGTAATGGGATGGCTGGGTCAAATGGTATTTCTAGTTCTAGATCCCTGAGGAATCGCCACACTGACTTCCACAATGGTTGAACTAGTTTACAGTCCCACCAACAGTGTAAAAGTGTTCCTATTTCTCCACATCCTCTCCAGCACCTGTTGTTTCCTGACTTTTTAATGATTGCCATTCTAACTGGTGTGAGATGGTATCTCATTGTGGTTTTGATTTGCATTTCTCTGATGGCCAGTGATGATGAGCATTTTTTCATGTGTTTTTTGGCTGCATAAATGTCTTCTTTTGAGAAGTGTCTGTTCATGTCCTTCGCCCACTTTTTGATGGGGTTCTTTGTTTTTTTCTTGTAAATTTGTTTGAGTTCATTGTAGATTCTGGATATTAGCCCTTTGTCAGATGAGTAGGTTGCAAAAATTTTCTCCCATGTTGTAGGTTGCCTGTTCACTCTGATGGTAGTTTCTTTTGCTGTGCAGAAGCTCTTTAGTTTAATTAGATCCCATTTGTCAATTTTGTCTTTTGTTGCCATTGCTTTTGGTGTTTGGACATGAAGTCCTTGCCCATGCCTATGTCCTGAATGGTAATGCCTAGGTTTTCTTCTAGGGTTTTTACGGTTTTAGGTCTAACGTTTAAGTCTTTAATCCATCTTGAATTGATTTTTGTATAAGGTGTAAGGAAGGGATCCAGCTTCAGCTTTCTACATATGGCTAGCCAGTTTTCCCAGCACCATTTATTAAATAGGGAATCCTTTCCCCATTGCTTGTTTTTCTCAGGTTTGTCAAAGATCAGATAGTTGTAGATATGCGGCATTATTTCTGAGGGCTCTGTTCTGTTCCATTGATCTATATCTCTGTTTTGGTACCAGTACCATGCTGTTTTGGTTACTGTAGCCTTGTAGTATAGTTTGAAGTCAGGTAGTGTGATGCCTCCAGCTTTGTTCTTTTGGCTTAGGATTGCCTTGGCCATGCGGGCTCTTTTTTGGTTCCATATGAACTTTAAAGTAGTTTTTTCCAATTCTGTGAAGAAAGTCATTGGTAGCTTGATGGGGATGGCATTGAATCTGTAAATTACCTTGGGCAGTATGGCCATTTTCACGATATTGATTCTTCCTACCCATGAGCATGGAATGTTCTTCCATTTGTTTGTATCCTCTTTTATTTCCTTGAGCAGTGATTTGTAGTTCTCCTTGAAGAAATCCTTCACATCCCTTGTAAGGTGGATTCCTAGGTATTTTATTCTCTTTGAAGCAATTGTGAATGGGAGTTCATTCATGATTTGGCTCTCTGTTTGTCTGTTATTGGTGTGTAAGAATGCTTGTGATTTTTGTACATTGATTTTGTATCCTGAGACTTTGCTGAAGTTGCCTATCAACTGAAGGAGATTTTGGACTGAGACGATGGAGTTTTCTAGATATACAATCGTGTCATCTGCAAACAGGGACAATTTGACTTCCTCTTTTCCTAATTTAATACCCTTTATTTCCTTCTCCTGCCTAATTGCCCTGGCCAGAACTTCCAACACTATGTTGAATAGGAGTGGTGAGAGAGGGCATCCCTGTCTTGTGCCAGTTTTCAAAGGGAATGCTTCCAGTTTTTGCCCATTAAGTATGATATTGGCTGTGGGTTTGTCACAGATAGCTCTTATTATTTTGAAATACGTCCCATCGATACCTAATTTATTGAGAGTTTTTAGCATGAAGGGTTGTTGAATTTTGTCAAAGGCTTTTTCTGCATCTATTGAGATAATCATGTGGTTTTTGTCTTTGGCTCTGTTTATATGCTGGATTACATTTATTGATTTGCGTATATTGAACCAGCCTTGCATCCCAGGGATGAAGCCCACTTGATCATGGTGGATAAGCTTTTTGATGTGCTGCTGGATTCGTTTTGCCAGTATTTTATTGAGGATTTTTGCATCAATGTTCATCAAGGATATTGGTCTAAAATTCTCTTTTTTGGTTGTGTCTCTGCCTGGCTTTGGTATCAGAATGATGCTGGCCTCATAAAATGAGTTAGGAAGGATTCCCTCTTTTTCTATTGATTGGAATAGTTTCAGAAGGAATGGTACCAGTTCCTCCTTGTACCTCTGGTAGAATTCGGCTGTGAATCCATCTGGTCCTGGACTCTTTTTGGTTGGTAAGCTATTGATTATTGCCACAATTTCAGCTCCCGTTATTGGTCTATTCAGAGATTCAACTTCTTCCTGGTTTAGTCTTGGGAGAGTGTATGTATCAAGGAATTTATCCATTTCTTCTAGATTTTCTAGTTTATTTGCGTAGAGGTGTTTGTAGTATTCTCTGATGGTAGTTTGTATTTCTGTGGGATCAGTGGTGATATCCCCTTTATCATTTTTTATTGTGTCTATTTGATTCTTCTCTCTTTTTTCTTTATTAGTCTTGCTAGCGGTCTATCAGTTTTGTTGATCCTTTCAAAAAACCAGCTCCTGGATTCATTAATTTTTTGAAGGGTTTTTTGTGTCTCTATTTCCTTCAGTTCTGCTCTGATTTTAGTTATTTCTTGCCTTCTGCTAGCTTTAGAATGTGTTTGCTCTTGCTTTTCTAGTTCTTTTAATTGTGATATTAGGGTGTCAATTTTGGATCTTTCCTGCTTTCTCTTGTGGGCATTTAGTGCTATAAATTTCCCTCTACACACTGCTTTGAATGCGTCCCAGAGATTCTTGTATGTTGTGTCTTTGTTCTCGTCGGTTTCAAAGAACATCTTTATTTCTGCCTTCATTTTGTTATGTACCCAGTAGTCATTCAGGAGCAGGTTGTTCAGTTTCCATGTAGTTGAGCGGTTTTGAGTGAGATTCTTAATCCTGAGCTCTAGTTTGATTGCACTGTGGTCTGAGAAATAGTTTGTTATAATCTCTGTTCTTTTACATTTGCTGAGGAGAGCTTTACTTCCAACTATGTGGTCAATTTTGGAATAGGTGTGGTGTGGTGCTGAAAAAAATTTATATTCTGTTGATTTGGGGTGGAGAGTTCTGTAGATGTCTATTAGGTCCACTTGGTGCAGAGCTGAGTTCAATTCCTGGGTATGCTTGTTGACTTTGTGTCTCATTGATCTGTCTAATGTTGACAGTGGGGTGTTAAACTCTCCCATTATTAATGTGTGGGAGTCTAAGTCTCTTTGTAGGTCACTCAGGACTTGCTTTATGAATCTGGGTGCTCCTGTATTGGGTGCATATATATTTAGGATAGTTAGCTCTTCTTGTTGAATTGATCCCTTTACCATTATGTAATGGCCTTCTTTGTCTCTTTTGATCTTTGTTGGTTTAAAGTCTGTTTTATCAGAGACTAGGATTGCAACCCCTGCCTTTTTTTGTTTTCCATTTGCCAGGTAGATCTTCCTCCATCATTTTATTTTGAGCCTATGTGTGTCTCTACACGTGAGATGGGTTTCCTGAATACAGCACACTGATGGGTCTTGACTCTTTATCCAATTTGCCAGTCTGTGTCTTTTAATTGGAGCATTTAGCCCCTTTACATTTAAAGTTAATATTGTTATGTGTGAATTTGATCCTGTCATTATGATGTTAGCTGGTGATTTTGCTCGTTAGTTGATGCAGTTTCTTCCTAGTCTCCATGGTATTTACATTTTGGCATGATTTTGCAGCGGCTTTTACCGGTTGTTCCTTTCCATGTTTAGTGCTTCCTTCAGGAGCTCTTTTAGGGCAGGCCTGGTGGTGACAAAATCTCTCAGCATTTGCTTGTCTGTAAAGTATTTTATTTCTCCTTCACTTATGAAGCTTAGTTTGGCTGGATATGAAATTCTGGGTTGAAAATTCTTTCTTTAAGAATGTTGAATATTGGCCCCCACTCTCTTCTGGCTTGTAGGGTTTCTGCTGAGAGATCCGCTATTAGTCTGATGGGCTTCCCTTTGAGGGTAACCCGACCTTTCTCTCTGGCTGCCCTTAACATTTTTTCCTTCATTTCAACTTTGGTGAATCTGACAATTACGTGTCTTGGAGTTGCTCTTCTCGAGGTGTATCTTTGTGGCGTTCTCTATATTTCCTGAATCTGAACGTTGGCCTGCCTTGCTAGATTGGGGAAGTTCTCTTGGATAATATCCTGCAGCGTGTTTTCCAAGTTGGTTCCATTCTCCCCGTCACTTTCAGGTACACCAATCAGACGTAAATTTGGTCTTTTCGCATAGTCCCATATTTCTTGGAGGCTTTGCTCATTTCTTTTTATTCTTTTTTCTCTAAACTTCCCTTCTCGCTTCATTTCATTCATTTCATCTTCCATTGCTGATACCCTTTCTTCCAGTTGATCGCATCGGCTCCTGAGGCTTCTGCATTCTTCATGTAGTTCTCAAGCCTTGGTTTTCAGCTCCATCAGCTCCTTTAAGCACTTCTCTGTATTGGTTATTCTAGTTATACATTCTTCTAAATTTTTTCAAAGTTTTCAACTTCTTTGCCTTTGGTTTGAATGTCCTCCCGTAGCTCAGAGTAATTTGATCGTCTGAAGCCTTCTTCTCCCAGCTCGTCAAAGTCATTCTCCATCCAGCTTTGTTCTGTTTCTGGTGAGGAACTGCGTTCCTTTGGAGGAGGAGAGGCGCTCTGCATTTTAGAGTTTCCAGTTTTTCTGTTCTGTTTTTTCCCCATCTTTGTGGTTTTATCCACTTTTGGTCTTTGATGATGGTGATGTAGAGATGGGTTTTTGGTGTGGATGTCCTTTCTGTTTGTTAGTTTTCCTTCTAACAGACAGGACCCTCAGCTGCAGGTCTGTTGGAATACCCTGCCGTGTGAGATGTCAGTGTGCTCCTGCTGAGGGGTGCCTCCCAGTTAGGCTGCTCGGGGTTCAGGGGTCAGGGACCCACTTGAGGAGGCAGTCTGCCAGTTCTCAGATCTCCAGCTGCGTGCTGGGAGAACCACTGTTCTCTTCAAAGCTGTCAGACAGGGACATTTAAGTCTGCAGAGGTTACTGCTGTCTTTTGGTTTGTCTGTGCCCTGCCCCCAGAGGTGGAGCCTACAGAGGCAGGCAGGCCTCCTTGAGCTGTGGTGGGCTCCACCCATTTCGAGCTTCCTGGCTGCTTTGTTTACCTAAGCAAGCCTAGGCAATGGCAGGCGCCCCTCCCCCAGCCTCGTTGCTGCCTTGCAGTTTGATCTCAGACTGCTGTGCTAGCAATCAGCAAGACTCTGTGGGCATAGGACCCTCCAAGCCAGGTGCGGGATATAATCTCGTGGTGCGTCGTTTTTTAAGCCCGTCTGAAAAGCGCAATATTCAGCTGGGAGTGACCCGATTTTCCAGGTGCGTCCGTCACCCCTTTCTTTGACTCAGAAAGGGAACTCCCTGACCCCTTGCGCTTCCCAAGTGAGGCAATGCCTCGCCCTGCTTCGGCTCATGCATGGTGCGTGCACCCACTGACCTGCACCCACTGTCTGGCACTCCCTAGTGAGATGAACCCAGTACCTCAGATGGAAATGCAGAAATCACCCATCTTCTGCGTTGCTCACGCTGGGAGCTGTAGACCGGAGCTGTTCCTATTCGGCCATCTTGGCTCCTCCCCAATTCAGAAATTTATTTCTTACAGTTACAGAGGCTGAGAAGTCCAAGGCCAAGGGGCCACATCTGGTGAGGGCCTTCTTGCTGGTAGGGACTCTGCAAAGTTTAAGTGTGGAAAAAGGCACCCATGGTGGGGTGGGAGACGAGGGGTTGCAGGCTAACATGTTAGCTCAGGTCTTTCCTTCTCCCTTGTAAAACCACTGATTCTCCTCCCATGATAACCCATTAATTAAATAACGCAATAACCCATAAACCTATGATTGGATTAATTCCTGGTGGCAGAGCCCTCATGATACAATTACCCCTTAAAGGTCCATCTCTCAATACTGTCACATTGGGGTTAAATTTCAACACGACTTTTGCAGGGAGACAAATATTCAAACCATAGTAGGTCCCAGATGCTCTCTTTCTCATGCTCTATTTTTCTTTCTTTTTAACAATCTTTTAACATGCAAAAACTGTATTTAGCTCTCAGGTATAAAAACAAGCAGTAGAACAAATTTTGCCTGTGGGTCATAGTTCACCAATGTCTGATATACCAATATGAGTGTAATTCTACTATTAACAATGGAGTTAGAGACAACAAATTGACCAATAATTTTTTTTATTTATTTACAACACATGAAATTTACATATTTAAAATAAAATCTTCCCAATCTGGAGTTAGGTAACAGTCAATCTAAGCTCTCTGTTATACACTCATGAAATAAAGTTAGTGAATAAAGTCCCTGACTGTGTATAGACACATACTTGAAACCTGTCACAAAACCTCAAAACTACGACCTCCTCTTTATTCCATAGAAAACACTCCTTGAATCTTCTTTGTAAGTTTTTCACCCACTAGTATACCTTCTTTGAGATTTTGTTCTCTGCTTTATCCATCTATCCCCTATTGCAAGGAGTAAACTAGAAATTATGGAAAGTCTCTAATAAATTGTCCCCTTACACTAGCCACAGAAGAGTAGACTAAAAACAGAAAAATAAATAAGTTAATAAAAGTATCACAAATGTAAATAAAACTATGCTATATATTACAGTAAGGTCAAATAGTGTTCATATTGGTGAATCTAATAGCCTCTTTTGAAAAGATAAGAAAGTGTCATAACTTTTAGAAAGACTTTCATTACAATTATGATATGTGAAGTTGTAAAAAATCTAGAACTAATTGTTGAATCCTTAACTTTCTACATTTATTTAGTCGAATGGCTCATCAATGTCTTTCCAAATATGTATTTTCAAATCCATCTTCTCTTCCCCATTTCTACCACCATATTCTAGATTCTCTCTTGTTGGAACAGTGATAACTGTTTGCTACTTGTTTTCTAAGACTCGAGTCTTTCTCCGACTCAAATGTATCCTCCTCTTCTCTATTAGAATTAAATTTCTAAAGCAAAAATCTGATCATGCTGCTTTTTAAATGGCTCTGCATTGTCTACAGGGTCAAGTCCAATCTTTCCAGTACTGTTTTCTACACCTAGTGGAATCCATATCTCAGCTTGGTTGTCTGCTAATCTCCTCTGATAGACTGTGCTCTAGCCAGCTTCAGTTCTTCTCAAGCACACCTCCATGCTTTCCTTTGTCTGCTCAATTCCACTCCTTACTTTACTGTCTGTAATTCATCTACAGTCATCTTTCGACACACAGCTAATTGTCCCTTTATATGTATTTTTTTAACAAATTATTTTTGTGTTGATTTTTGAGTAAAAGTAAAAACTTTATTTCTTTGTATATTACTACCAACTTTCACACTGTTTAAAAGTGTACTGAGAACCTTAAAAAATGTACATTTTTCTATAAATGCTTTAAAGTGGTTGATACTGTTCTTTCTTTTTTTTCTTTCTTTTTTTTTTTTTTTTTTTTTTTTTTTTTTTGAGACGGAGTCTCGCTCTGTCGCCCAGGCTGGAGTGCTGTGGCGCGATCTCGGCTGACTGCAAGCTCCGCCTCCCAGGTTCTCGCCATTCTCCTGCCTCAGCCTCCCGAGTAGCTGGAACTACAGGCGTCCACCAACACGCCCGGCTAATTTTTTGTATTTTTAGTGGAGACGGGGTTTCACCATGTTAGCCAGGATGGTCTCAGTCTCCTGATCTCATGATCCGCCTGCCTCGGCCTCCCAAAGTGCTGGGATTACAAGCGTGAGCCACTGCGCCCTGCTGATACTGTTCTTTCATTCCTAGTTTAGTTGAGATACTTTATCTCTTGTCACTTCTCCTGTCTTTTACTCCACTTCATTCACACTGATCTTGTTATTTTCCTCACAACTCCAAGCATGCTCCAACTTCAAGGCCTTTGCACTTGTGTCCTGTGTGGAATGTTCTCTTACTCCATTTAGGTCTTTGCTTAAATGTTACTCTGCCATAGAATTCTTTCCTGTCCATTTATTTTTTCCTCAACTTTTATTTTAGGTTCATCGGGTACATGTTCAAGTTTGTTATATGGGTGAATTCCGTGTCACTGAGGTCTGGTGTACTGATGATCTTGTCACCCAGGTAGTAAGCATAGTACTTGATAGGTAGTTTTTCATCCCACACTCACCTCCCACTATACCCCTTCAAGTGTCCTCATTTTCTATTATTCCCATCTTTGTGTCCATGTGTATTCGGTGTTTAGCTTTTGCTCTTAAGTGAGAACATGAGGTATTTGGTTTTCTGTTTCCGCTTTAGTTTGACCTCTAGTTGTGTACATGTTGCTGCAAAGGACATAATTTTGTCCCACTGTAATCCCATGTTATGGCTGCATAGTATTCCATGGTGTAGATGTACCACATTTTTTTTATCCAGTCCACTCTTGATTGGCATCTAGGTTGATTCCTGTCTTTGCTATTGTGAATAGTGCTGTGATGAACATACAAATGCATGTTTTTTTTGATAGAATGATTCATTTTCCCTTGGTTTTATACTCAGTAGTGGATTGCTGGGTCAAATGGCAGCTCTGTTTGAAGTTCTTTGAGGAATCTCCACACTGCTTTCCATAGTGGCTGAACTAATTAACATTCTCATCAGCATGTACCGGTGTTCCCTTTTATCTGTAACCTCTCCAACATCTGTTGTTTTTTGACTTTTTAAAAATAGCCAATCTAACTGACATGAGATGGTATCTCAATGAGGTTTTGATTGGCACTTCCCCAAAAGCAATTGCAACCAGCACAAAAATTGACAAGGGGATATAATTAAGCTAAACAACTCCTGCACAGTAAAAGAAACTATAAACAGTGTAAACAAACAACCTACACAATAGGAGAAAATATTTACAAACTATGCATCTGACAAAGGTCCAATGTTCAGAACCTATAAGGAACTTAAACAATTCAACAAACAAAAGCTAAATAATCCCATTAAAAAATAGGTAAACACATGAACAGACACTTCTCAAAAGAAGACATACATGCAGTCAACAAATATATGAAAAACTGCTAATCATCACTAATTATTAGAGAAATGCAAAATATTTTATATTTTTGAAAATGTCTTTGACGACATTAGATTAAAATCATGATTCCCTCCTTGCTACTCCTAAAATAGTTTGTTAATACATTTAGCTTTGCACTTGTCAATTGTGTTTCATTTATTTGTGTATATATATATCCCCCTGGCTAGACTGTGAAGTCGTTTATGAAATTATCTGCTTTTATATTAAGATTATTTGCACAGTCCTGGCACAAGGTGGGCACTTAATCAATGTTATTGAATTAAATCAATTGGCATGGGGAAGCAGCAATGTCTGGGTGCTTATAATCAGGACAAATTGCGTGTCCACACAGAAAAGAAAACAGATTATGTGCTAGGCATATGAACCAAGAGAAAGATTATTACTCAAAATAATCATTCCCTGCTAATAAAGTGAAATTGAAAGTATATTTATATTGAGTATTTAATCATTTTAGGTTAAAAACATTTTCCCCCCCTCACTGAATTACAAACCCCTCTGAAAGTAGAGCCAAATGTTATGCTGTTAGTAGTTTAGTCCTCAGAGTCATAGATCTGGGAGGAGTTTTGAGGTGAAAGATAAGAAACAAGATTGAGAGGGCTCTAGGCTCCTTTATGAGTTCTGACGGTTAATTTGATGTGTCAACTTGGCTAGACCACAGTACCCAGATATTTGATCAAACACCAGTCTAGATGTTTCTAAGAAGGTATATTTTAGATGGCTGAACACTGAAATCAGTAGACTGAGAAAAGCAGATTACCCTCCATAATGTGGGGGGACCTCAATCAATTAGTTGAAGGGTTTAAGAGAAAAAAGACTAAGGTGTTCTGAAGAAGAGGTAATTCTGTCTCCAGACTGGCTTCAAACTCCAGCTGGGACATTGATTCTTCCCTCATTCTCCAGCCCACGGCCCTACCCTGCAGATTTGGGGCTTTCCAGCATCCATAATCACATAACCCAATTACTTAAAGCAAATCTCTCTGTCTCTATGTCTATTTATCTCTCTCTCTGTGAGAATATGTCCAATAACTTGTACAAAGACTTCCACTAAAATAATTAGAATTATGGCATTTGAAATTATAATAAGTCCAGGATTAATATTTGTATCACTATATCGCTACATTTATTTAGTCAAATTTTCTGTTAATTTTCTTCCAAGTATATATTTTCATATCCACCTTCTCTTCTCCACTTTCACTACCATACACACACACAAACACACACACACACACACACATTCTATCAGTGCTGTTTCTCTGAAGAACTTTGACTAATACATAAGACAAATAAAGAGGGAGGGAGTAGGTTACTGGATATTCAAAATACTTTTTAAAACAATTTACGACTGTAACTGGCCATGTGCACCTGACCTGATTTCCATCATAGAGCTTTTAAAAGCAAATGTGGAATTTCAAAATAAAACAACTGTCAAGTATCATAATATAAATTTCAGATAACACACTTTACTTTGTTTTACTATTTCTCTTCTCAGCAATTAGCCTGTATGTGTTATCTCATTTTTCTCACAAGTGAAATTTCTGATGTTGTTATGTGGTCAATTTGCAATACCTAAGGGAAAATTACACATTTTATAGTTTGTGTTCTCAAACTGGCTAGGCAGCATCCTGTTGCTAATATAATCTACATTTATTATTTTCTTCCTAATATGTTACAAACCTCTTGGGTTTCAATGTTGTTTATGTTTCTTATAATTGTTTTAGTAGAAATCAGTTTCTAAATACTTTTTTTTTCAACTCCCAATCATTTAAAATGAGATGCTTTCTCAGAACCAGTATTTCCAGGGTATATATTTTTATCATAGAGTAAGAATTGCTTTATATACATATGTGTATATATGTATATATCTATATATATTTTTTTTGAGCTGTAGTTTTTCTCTTGTTGCCCAGGCTGGAGTGCAATGGCGTGATGTCGGCTCACTGCAACCTCCGCCTCCCAGGTTCAAGGGCGTCTCCTTCCTCAGCCTCCTGAGTAGCTGGGATTTCAGGCATGTGCCTCCACACCCGGCTAATTTTGTATTTTTAGTAGACACAGGATTTCTCCATGTTGGTCATGCTGGTCTCAGACCCCCGACCTCAGGTGATCCACCCACCTTGGCCTCCCAAAGTGCTAGGATTATAGGCATGAGCCACCATGCCTGGCCAAGAATTGCTTTATATTTTAATAAGAGCATCAAATTAGTTTTACCTGCAAAAGCAAACCAAACGTTAGTTCTAACCAGAGGAACATAATACTTTTCCTATTTTTTTAGTGGTTACTTCTAGAAGACATGTGCTTTCCATATATTATATAATTCTCCATAGACTCATTAGAGTAAACATAGTTTCTTACTAAAATCACGTAGTTTCCTTTTCAGTGTATTTCTATTGTTTATACAATCTTAGGATCAAAGGATCACATACCATTATCCAGCTCATCCTCCAAATGCCTACCCTCTGGCCATGAAATCACCCAAGATTTTGACAACTCATCTCGTTTTAGAGTCATCTGAGAGCAAGATTTCCTAAGCTACATGAGATTCTTTACAATCAATCTAATAACCCTATTGATTTCTAGAGCATAACATCACATATATGTGTGTAGATACGTATGCAAATAAACATAAGCATTTTAAGCTTATTCACTTACTACAAATTCAACATGCTTAAATGAAAACGTTCATTAATCAGTTTTTGTTGTTTTGCCATTTTTAATCAAGAGTGTAACCCCTTTATCATGTAGCTATTCTTTCAACAATATCCTTTACCAATATCAGGTACAAAATGCTTGGATACTTCTAAGGATCTCTTTGCCTCACAGGGAAGTCAGGAAATGCTGAATATTATGGGTTACAGAGTTTTATAAAGTTTTATATATCAAGTATAGCAATTTAATCCCAACACCACTCCCAAACGTTGGACTCCCCAAAATTACATCTATCACCACTGTAGTTTCCTTTAATTAATTCACCAAACCCACATAGGCTCATATGGGAATAATTTAAAATTCCAAAGTACATCATTTTGGAATAGATATAAATTAATCTTAGATTTTCATTCCATAATTCAGGACATTCATCTATTTATATAATATTAACAATTGAATCCCCAAGTCTTTAATTTTTGGCTTCTACCACCAACTGATCTATCAGATTTTGTATCAAGTATTGAACAGTCTATTTTAAGCCCTGGATTTGTAGCATTTTGCCATGACAGCTATATTCATTAGGATTCAGTTTCAGGAAACAGAATACACTCTAGGTATTTTAAATTAAGAGGGGTTTAATACAGAATAGTAGATACTTACCAAATTATTGGAAGAGTTAGAGTGTAAAGTTTCAGGCACATGATAGTCTCTATATCAGGTCCAGGTGTGGTGAGTTTTGATCCACAGATTCATAAACTAAAAAGATTGTGTGTCTAACATCCAATTTATAGAAGTGTAATGGACACTTTGATTGTGAGAGGAGGAGAATGGGAGATACATGGAAGACACTGGTCTGCAGCAATTCAGAATTCCCAGTGAACTTTCTACTGGGGGTGGAGAATATTCTTTCTTTATGCCCTTTTACTGTTCGTGAGGAGCAACTTTTCTCTCTGACTCTGGGGTTCCTGGAAAATTCTTCCTTTGACATTGTTTTCCTTGGCTACATCAGAACTGGGAATTGGAGAAATATACTTTCTGTGAGGCTGGCAGCTTTCTTAGCCCAATTCCTGCTTGTACAAGTTTGTGAATCACTTTAAATCTCCAGTTGGAGACAACTTTTAGTTTACTATTTGCATCTTTTGGTAGAAAACATCTTCAAGAATTTGGTAGACTATTTATCAATGTGATGTCAATGAGTAAAGTGCCAATATCCAAAGCCACATTTCCTCTCAGGACATTGACATTTGCAGTAATTAGTGTCTCTTTAACCACCATCTCTCTTTTGATTTAGTTGTCATTCTGTGTATTGTGGTAGCTCTGTAATTGACATATATTTTAATCTCTTTTCTATGAGACATTTTAGCTAATTAAAAGATTTACTCTACCAGGCCACACTCATAATTGGATCTTAAGTCCAAGACACTTTAATCCATTCAGAGATTATAATGACAATTGAGATGGTCATTCCCTTAATTTGATTCTTGTCACTCACAACCTTTCTTACTTTTTCAATGTCTGGTGAAAGACTGAGAAATAGTGCCTTTTCCAACCCCAGAAATCTCCTGGTCTCTGTATTATTTCTCTTTCTTTTTATTTCTTTCCTTTAACTGTCCAATTCTTTTTTTGAACTCATTTCTTTCACATAATACCTTCCAACCATAATCAAAAGTAATCAATACACACTACCCCTGTTCATTTTCCTATATTCTTCCTCTATCCCTACAAATTCATTAAGTTTATGATCAGCTTTCCATGTTCTCTTAGAATTCCTTTTGTGAATTACTTTGTAATAAATAGTAAGGACTGTTAATTTTTAGACTCAAATACTAGTTTTTGTATCACTTCTGCCAAAGCCAATGTCACATATTTTAGGCTTTGCTCTCGTGACATTCCAAATCTGTTATCAATGTTTGTAGTATTAGGATTAGTCTAGGTCATGCTAAAGTAACAATATCTGAATCTTGGTTACTTAAAACAAAATGCAAAACAGAACGATGGAATATTTTTTCCTCACACAAGATCTATTGCATATCTGGAAGACTCTCCAGGGTAGCTGTCATGTATGTGATGGTTCAGCATTGCAACTTCTTTTCAGTGCATAATTCCACTTTATCTGTGGCTAAGGGAAGAGAAGATTAAAGAATTACATATCAGCACTTAAATGCTTGTACTTGGAAGTGATACGTATAACTTTCTTCACATTCCATTGATCAAAGCAACCATGTCCCCACTTATTTCAAGAAGTTGAAGAAATGCAATCCTATCACATGTTTGGAAGAAGAATGTCCAAAATATTGGTGTGCAGTGCTAATGAGTAACACAACTATGACACAGGAGTCAGGAAGCTACTCCTGCTTTCTCTGCAGCTGCCCTTTAACTGCCATAGGCCTTGTGATTGGACACAGAAATTTTTAGTCTAACTGTTACTAGCAACCCATTGGTTTCTAGGCACTTGTAACTTTAAGGAATAAACAACAACAAAAATCCAATATTTCCAGCAGGAAGATGGCCATCACTTCAAATTTGCCTTCAAAATTTTACAAGAACAACATTATTTGATTGAATCTAATTTGTATTCAGAACCATATGGGGAAGAGGATCTAAAAAAAGTAAGTTTTCACTCTTCAGAGTCTTCAATATGGGACAGTATACTAGCAAAACCTTAGACTGGAAGCTGACTGTCAATCTACCATATGAATACATCATGGTTTATGTTCTCTGTCCTCTGGCTTCTACAGTTTCATAGCTTGATCTAATCTTATTTCTGCTTGATAGAGATTAGTATCTGACTAGTCTTATTTCTTTTCTGTAATAACTCTTCAAGTATTTTGGCCCTTCAAGTCTCCTTTTGCTCATAGCTAAATATATTCAGTTTCTTTCACAGATTCTCATTTCACATTTCTTTGACCCTTTGTTTATCAAAATTTCAATCCTTGTAGCTTATCAGTAATGTCCATCTTAAAAGGTAAAGAGCCAAGACCCAAATATTATCTAACGAAATAATTAGCAAGCAAATCAAATATTATCTCATGGAATAATCTGTAAAAAGAGAGTGTTTTATACTCATTTTCTAAGTTCTCTAAGCTGTATTATTACTTATGGAAACAAAATGAGTCCTCACTTAAATACCCTTGTTTGTATTCTTTTACCTTCTTCTACCTAAAAGTGTAAAAATCTTTTCTTGGTACGTTTTATTGTATGGTTTTGCTTATTTCTGACAATATATGCAAATATATTGGTAGGAAAACTGAAATTCTTGCCAAATACACATGATATATTTTATATAATACTTTGAAAAATTAGAACCAATCAGCCCTTTTTGGTGAGAAAATTAACAAAATTGAATTTTTAAGAAAACGATTATCTATCAATTGAGAAAGAGATGCCTTTGGAAAAATTAAAAAATATGTATGCAACATTACCTACTTCAGGATTATTCTACAAATTTCTAAAATAAGGTAAAGATTGCTGTATTAGGTTTTCATATAAATATAATGAAAAATCATAATAATGATAAGAAGCAATTGATTAGATAATAGACACAGGGTTTTGCCAAATACTAATATGATTTTCCAGGCCACATTTTCACTCTTCATCTGCTTTCAACACAGCTGGACATTTCCTCCTTGAAAAGCTTTTTAATCTTATTTTCCATAAAATGCTCATTCAGTTTTTTTTTGTTGTTGTTTGTTTCCTACTTCTTTGACTACTTTTTTTTTCGATTTCCTATTTACCTACTACTTTTCTATTTGGCTTCTAAATTTTTGCCAGAAATTTGTCCTAACTGTCTATTTGTGGCCTCCCATTGGTGACTCATAAAGTCCCAAAGCTATAAATTTTATCCATGGTCTTATAGTTCTCTGCTTAATCTCTCAATCATGACTCATCTCCATATTCCAAAACAAACATTCTACTTGAAATCATCATTTTGATATCAAATTAAGTGTTTCACAGGAACACTTTTACACTTTGCAGTGTACCTCTAGAATCGGCTGTTGTCAGAGTCTAACATCAAACCAGCTGGCAAAGGGGAGATGCATCTCTCACCTATTCTTTCTTATTAATGTGCTCTGCCATTTACCCATTGTCTCAGGTAAACAATTGGAAATGACTTTACGTTTTTTTTTTTTTTTTTTTTTTGAGACAGAGTCTTGCTCTGTCACCCAGGCTGGAGTACAGTGGTGTGATTTCGGCTCACTGCAACCTCCACCTCCTGGGTTCAAGCAATTCTCTGCCTCAGCCTCCCAAGTAGCTGGGATTACAGGCCCCTGCCACCACGCCTGGCTAATTGTTCTGGTATTTTTAGTAGAGACCGGGTTTCACCATCTTGGCCAGGCTGGTCTTGAACTCCTGACCTCATGATCCACTTGCCTCGGCCTCTTAAAGTGCTGAGATTACAGGTGTGAGCCAGCACGCCCAGCCTTTTCTTTACTTTTTTTACACTCCAATAAATGCTGTTAGTTTTATCTCTACAATATATTTTGAATATCTACAATTTTCTCCATTTTGCCTCTACTTTCTTCACTGCTATTATCTTACATTTTCATTTTGACATCAACGGCAGTATCTATTCCCGGGGTTACTAATTAGTATTCTTAACTATTTTTCTAATTTTTTTTACACTTCCTTTTGCTTTTCTTTTTACAATCCATCTTCCACACAATAGTCACAAATATATTTTTATAATTTTAAAGTAAGTATTGTTGATTTTCACCTTAAAATCCTTCCAGTGGATTCTCGCCTGTTAGGATTAAAGACAATCCCTTTGTGCAACATGATGACTCCACTCCCAGAGGAGGTTATATTCCAAATGGTCACTCAATAATAAACAAACAGATGGAACCAAACTAAAAATGTTACTAATTTAAAAACTTTTTTTCCTTGTAATGCTACGTATCCATCATACATCAGTGAATTATGTGAAAGTGGAGCCTTTGGGAGGTAATTAGGTCATGAGGACAGAACCACCGTGAATAATAGGATTAGTTCCCTTATAAGAAGAGGCTACTAAAGTACCCCATTGTGAATAACAGGATTAGTGCCCTATAAGAAGAGGCTACTAAAGTGCCCCATTGTGAATAATAGGATTATTACCCTTATAAGAAGAGGTACTAAAGCTAGCTGACTTTCTTTCTGCCATGTGAGAAGAAAAGAAGTCAGTGGTTTGCAGCCTGGCAGAAACCCTCACCAGAACCCAGCCATCCTGGTACCTTGACCATGGACCTCTCTCCTACAAGGCTGTGAGAAAAAAAAAAAAATCTGTTTTTTTATATTGCACCCAGTCTATGGTGTTCCATCTTAACATCTCCAACTAAGTCATTAAACTTTATGAAAGTTAGACATTTTTCCCTCTCTTTTCAATACTTTATCCTTAGCATCTGTAAAGGGGCTGAGTCTAAAATCCTTTTTGCATGAATATAGTTGGGATGGCATGAGTTGTTCCCTGGAAATAAAAGTAAATATCCTGAACAACTGTATGACTGGTATTTTGAATAAACAGGATTCACATAATGTGAAATCGAACACAAGTTTATTTATCTCCCCTAATACTCATTCAAATCCATTCTGTGAAAATAGCTATTTTTCTTTCTCTTTTTGAAATCTGAGGTACATTTTACATCATTTCTCAGTCACTATTAGATAATAAAATGTTCTCTGGTTACTTCAAGCCATGTAGTCTCATTTTAGTAATCAAAACATTGAAGCACGTGTAATATTTCAAAATTGACATAATGTTTAACATTCTTTCTTTCCTTGGTTCCTGACAGCATCAGGCTTGGAAGTCTGCAGTGGGAGGAGGAATGTGATAGGTTGTAGGATTCACCTTTAGCTTCCTCTTTCTTCTTTATTTCATGATTAGTAGGCTATCTTTTTGGTTTTCTAGAGTTGAAGAAAAGTTGTATAAGAAAAAAAATGTCAGTGTTAAGAGAAGTCATATTTGTCTGATACTAAATTTTCTCTGGCCAGGCTGTTGTTTATACCCAATTTTCCCTGAGCTTTCTGGATATTCTCAGCTGATCATCTGCTTTCATGACAACAGAGAATATACTCTTCTACTACCCAGGGATCTCTTCCCTACAATCCTTTGATTCAGATGTTTACTTTGACTGAAAACGTGCAGTACCTTCCTCAGCCCTGGCTGCCTGCTGTCTTCACGATAAGGCTCTCTCTATTGGGATTCTGGTGCTCTTCTAATTGGCCTCTTGGTCAAAGCTACTTTAATACAACTCAAAGCTGATTATTTTCCCAAATTATCCATATCTGAATTATGAGAAAGACTTTCACTTTCATAAAAAAATTCAGAGGGCAGAGCATTCACAACATTTTTCTCTTTGCCTGATCCATCAGCTGAGCAATCCATTTTTCACCTTTATGCTTTTCCAAATGCAGGTTTCAGACTAGTATTTGACCTACAAAGACTCCAAGAGTTATAGGTAAAATTCTCCAGCAGGATTACTTTTCAGATCCTACCACTGTGCTTACATGAGAAATAAGAACAAGCAGAACCAGACGATAAAACAAGATTCATCTGTGGATGAGACAGAGGCCTTATCCTCAAAGAGTTTGGAGTTGACATCCCAATGCCTAGTAGGCTTATTTGGATTTTGAAGACAACACATTCCCCATTTGGGTGTGTTACTCTGGCCAATTTATCAAGTGACCCAAAAGGCTGCAAGTTTTGGGTAGGGTCCAGAACAGGAGAAGGCTCTGCAATAGGTCCAGGCTGCTGTGCAAGCTACTCTGCCACTTGGGCCATATGACCCAGCAAATCCAATGGTGCTTGAAGTGTCAGCAGCAGATAGGGATGCTGTTTGGAACCTTTGGCAGGCCCCCATAGGTGAATCACAGTAGAGGCCTCTAGGATTTTGGAGCAAGTCCCTGCCATCTTCTGCAGATAACTACTCTCCTTTTAAGAGACAGCTCTTGGCCTGTTACTGGGCTTTGGTGGAAACTGAACGTTTGACTATGGGTCATCAAGTCATGATACAACCTGGATTGCCTTTCATGAACTGGGTGCTTTCTGACCGATCTAGCCATAAAGTGGGTTGTGCACACCAGCATTCCATCATCAAATGGAAGTGGTATACACATGATCAGGCTCACATAGGTTCTGAAGGCACAAGTAAGTTACATGAGAAAGTAGCTCAAATGCCCATCGTCTCCACTCCTGCCACCCTGCCTTCTCTCCCACAGCCTGCACCGATGGCCTCATGGGGAGTTTCCTATGATTAGGTGGCAGAGAAAGAGAAGACTGGGGCCTGGTTCACAGATGATTCTGCACAATATGCAGGCACTACTCTAAAGTGGACAGGTGCAGCACTACAGCCCCTATCAAGGACATCCCTGAAGGACAGTGGTGGATGGAAATCTTCCCAGTGGGCAAAACTTTAAGCAGTTCACCTGGTCGTGCACATTGAATGGAAAGAGAAATGGCCAGATGTGAGATTATATACTTTTAATGGGCTGTATCCAGTGGTTTGTCTGGATGGTCAGGGACTTGGAAGAAGGATGATTGGAAAATTGGAAACAAAAAAATTTGGGGAAGAGGTATGAGAATGGATCTCTCTGAGTGGTCAAAAACTGGAGATATTTGTATCTCATGTGTGTGCTCACCAACAGGTGACTTCAATAGATGAGGATTTTAATAATGAAGTGGATAGGATACCCATTCTGTGGATACCACTCAGCCACCTCTTTCCCCAGCCACCCCTATCATCGCCCAATGGGCCCATGAACAATGTGGCCACGGTGGCAGAGATGGAGGTTACACATGGGCTCAGCAATGTGAATTTCCACTCACCAAGGCTGACCTGGCTACAGCCACTGCTGAGTGCCCAATTTGCCAGCAGCAGAGACCAACACTGAACCCTCGATATGACACCACTCCTCAGGGTGATCAGCCTGCTACCTGGTGTCAGATTAATTATATTGGACCACTTCCATCATGGAAAGGGAAGAGGTTTTTCCTCACTGGAATAGACACTTACTCTGGATATGGGTTTGCCGATCCTGAACACAATGCTTCTAGCAAGACTACCATCTGTGGACTCACAGAATGCCTTATCCACAGTCATGGTATTCCACACAGCATTGCATCTGACCAAGGCACTCACTTTACAGCTAAAGACGTGCAGCAGTGGGCTCATGCTCATGGAATTCACTGGTCTTACCATGTTCCCCATCATACTGAAGCAGCTGGATTGATAGAATTGTGGAATGGCCTTTTGAAGTCACAATTACAATGCCAACTAAGTGACAATATTTGCAGGGCTGTGGCAAAGTTCTCCAGAAGGCCATGTATGCTTTGAATCAGCATCCAATGTATGGTACTGTTTCTCCCATAGCCAAGATTCACAGTCCCAGGAATCAAGGGATGGAAGTGGAAGTGGCACCACTCACCATCACCCCTAGTGATCTGTTAGCAAAATTTTTGCCTCCTGTTCCCACGACATTACGTTCTACTGTCCTAGAGGTCTTAGTTCCAGAGGAAGGGACGCTGCCACGAAGAGACACAACAATGATTCCATTAAACTGGAAGTTAAGATTGTGACCTGGAAACTTTGGGTTCCTCCTACCTTTAAGTCAGTGGGTTGAGATGGGAGTTACAATATTGGCTAGAGTGATTGACCTGAACTATCAAGATGAAATTAGTCTACTACTCCAGAATGGAGGTAAGAAAGAGTATGCATGGAATACAGGAAATCCATTATGGCATCTCTTAGTATCATCATGCCCTGTGATTAAAGTAAATGGAAAACTACAAAAGCCTGATCCAGGCAGGACCACAAATGGCCCAGACCCTTCAGGAATGAAGGTCTGGGTCACTCCACCAGGGAAAAAAAAAACATTACCTACTTAGGTGTTTACTGAAGGCAAAGGGAATATAGAATGGGTAGTAGAAGAAGGTAGTCATCAATACCAGCTACACCCATGTGACTAGCTGCAGAAATAACGACTGTATTTGTCATGAGTATGTCTTTCTTCTTTTATTAAAAACCTGTTTGTGCATGTATACACTTGTACTAAGAAAATATCTTTAATTTCCTTTTCCTTTATTATGTGACATAAAATTTATTGACTTTATATCAGCTTTTAAGTATTGTTATTTTTATGTAATAGTATTTCGGTTGGGAATTGGTGTGCTTCTGGTTGCACAAAAGGTGGTTGTACTATGTTTGGTGTAATTATGACCTTATTATTGTCTTTATTTGAAGATTATGTATGATCTCAGGAGATGTGCGTGGGTTCAAATTGACAAAGAATGGACTTGTGATGGTTAATACTGAGTGCCAACTTGATTGGATTAAAGTATGCAAAGTATCTTAGGTGTGTCTGTGAGGGTGTTGCCAAAGGAGATTAACATTTGAGTCAGTGGACTGGGAAAGGCAGACTCACCCTTAATCTGGGAGGGCACCATCTAATCAGCTTCTAGCACAGCTAGAATATAAAGCAGGCAGAAAAAAATTGTGAAAAGACTAGACTGGCCTAACCTCCCAGCCTACATCTTTCTCCTGTGATGGACCCTTACTGCCCTCGAACATTGGACTCCACTTTCTTCAGTTTTGGGATGCAGACTGGCTTTCCTTTTTCCTCAGCTTGTAGATGGCCTATTGTGGGACCTTGTGATTGTGTGAGTTAATATACACACTATTAGTTCTGTCCCTCTAGAGAACCCTGAGTTATACGCAGGTAAACATAGGATAGTTGAAGCTCACCTCTCCATTATTCTAATATCTGTGAAAATATTTATCATCTAGGAATATTTTTATATTTTTAATATAACCAGCTTCAATACTAGGGCTACTCAAAATGACAGCAGATAATAAAATAAGGATTTTGTGCCAGAATATAATTGAATTTTCTGCTTTATTTATTGATAAATTATTGTTATGAAAAACAAATATCAGCCAACCTAAACAGGGGGCTTAACAACTTAGGTGATTTTCATACTGTCATGAGTTTCTTTTTGTGAGACACAGTTTCACTTTGTCACCCAGGCTGGAGTGCAGTGGCATGATCACAGCTCAGTGCATCCTCAGTCTCCTGGACTCAAGCAATCCTCCTGCCTCAGCCTCCTGAGTAGCTGGAACTACAGGTGCATGCCACCACGCTGAGGTAATTTTTGAGACCAGGAGTTTGAGACCAGCCTGGGTCTCCCTATGTTGGCCAAGCTGGTCTTGAACTCCTGGCCTCAAGTGATCCTCCTGCCCGGCCCTCCTAAAGTGCTGGGTTTACAGGTGTGAACCACCATGCCAGGCCCTGGCATGAGTTGCTATTTCACTGTGCACAAGTCACAAATATGGATTGGTTTCTGTGCTAGATTACACATAAGAAGCACTGTCTAAAGAGTAGATTCATTATTCAACAACACCTCCATTTGATTCTCTTTTAACGTCACTCACAAGGTAAAATTTAATGAATTCCTAGAAGCAAACTTAAAATTTGCATAGAATTATTAATATGTTCCAAATATCTTAGGACGTTTTTTACAGGGATTTCAAGAATCTTTAGTGCACCGTATACTAATGTATATAGTCACAACACCTGCTTCATCTGAACATGCTTAGATCTGTAGCCATTCTGAGGATCACACACAAAAACAAATTTAGACAGTTAATGAAAATCTTCGATGTCTCAAGGAATGGTTATGCTAATACAATAAAAATAAACTTTTATAGAGATCAAGACATCTTTCGCTTTGAAGTAATTCCCACCTGTCCTTATTAAAATAAAGTAAATTTAAAGGAAAAAAAGAACAAAGTACAAGTAAATTTAGTTTTACACAGGAAGCTATGTTTAAGTTTTGTTTCCAATAACAATTTCATAAAAAGCCTAGATATGTAGTTAATGGGCTAAAAATGAATCAAAAAATTTAAGTCAGACATCAAAATTTATATTCCAAGTATCTTATGACTAAAAAAAGTATTAGTTATCTCAAATTATTCTGACTTTAAAAAGCATTTAAATAGCAGCAAAGGAAACTCTAGTCAGTCACCCAATTCTTGGAAAAATTTAGTTATTTAACCTTAAACATGCCGTGCTGTTCTGAGAAAACAGACGTAAACAAATCCCACGAGAATATTGTTCAGATTTTCTTTTGTAATGTTTATGTTACTGTCTTTCTAAAACTCTGATTCCAGCAACAGTCTCAGCTCCCTCTGACTTTGATTATGTGGAGGCTGACCTTGGCCTAACCCTAACAGCCTTAGCACTGAGCCAGACTTTGGCATTATGGGACTGTGATCTGGTACGCTTCCATATTAGTCTGTTTTCACACTGCTATAACGAACTGCTGAGACTGGATAATTCATGAAGGAAAGAGATTTAATTGACTCACAGTTCAGCATGGCTGGGAAAGCCTCAGGAAATTTACAATCATGGAAGGAGGCAAAGGGGAAGTAAGGAATCTTCTTTACAAGGCAGCAGGAAGAAGTGCCAGCAAAGAGGGGAAAAGCCCCATATAAAACCATCATATCTTGTGACAATCAGCATCATGAGAACAGCACTGGGGAAACTGCCCCCATGATTCAATTACCTCCACCTGCTTTTTCCCTTGACATGTGGGGATTATGGGGATTACAATTCAAGATAAGATTTGGGTGGGGACGCAAAGCCTAACCATAATCAACTTCTTAGAGGAAATATTTAACTAAGGAATATTTTCTCAGACAACTGATAAAGCCCTACTTTTTCAGGTTACACCAAAGACCAAGGTGTGGTTAAAATTAATTGGGAATGAGGACACAATATGAATTAAAGATGAGGACATAATATGAAGTAAGGAGACAAGTTAAGTAGAAGAGTGTATGTAAAAAAACAAAGAAGAAGAAACAGGACATGGATGGCCTGGAAGCAGTCACTTCCTAGTTTTATAAAGCCTGGAGCCTAGGAGAGTAATTAGCATCAAGGCCAGATCAATTTTCCTCATCACAGTATTTTATTAGATTGCTACATGACAGCGTGCTAATTAAAAATGATTGGTCTAATTAGAATCCCATTTATAAAATGAAAGACAATGGAAGATATATTGCCACAGCTACAATGTCTTGACTCATCAAATGCTCTGACATTCAAACAGTTGTAACTATAGTTGCCCTTTTGATCAGTTTTTACTTTAATAAAGGAAAAGTACAAATATGGGTGGAAGGGGTAAGAGAGGGGAAGCTCCATAGGACTCTGGTAGTAAGGACCTAAAAAAAACAAAATTTTCAAAGATCAAACACTAGAGAAAAGCTCAACAAATTGTAATTTTTAGGACTCAAACTAAAATAAAAACATGAATTCTTTAGAGACGTATAGAACAATAATACTTTCTAAATGTAATTCTGAAATAAGTTTGTTGACTTAATTTCTTACCTACATAACATGGTGAAAGACAAAAGAGAAAATTAGAGTGGTTTGGGGCTTTTCATAATTATAATAATATAATCATAGTTCTGCATAGATTATATCAGATTCTAACGCTAAAAATTATTCTATTTCTGTTGTTTTATAACATTTAGACACTCCTCCCCTGCCTCCCAAAGAAAACACAGATATTTTTACATGTTAAGGCATATCTATCAAAAGAAAATATTTATTTGTTTTTGAATATATATTTTTTGAATATCTTCCATGTGCCAAACACTATTCTAGGTGACAGAGATAATAGTTTGTCCAATTTATTTTTCATAGGAAGAGCAACAATGAAGGAAAAGCAGTGACCAACCAAGACGACTGTCTATATATAAGCCCTTATTCTTGACTCCACTTCAGCAGTCCCCAAGGAGCTCTTAGGTGTCCTCATGCTCTGGTACCCCCCGACAAATATTTCTATCCTTCAGTCTATCATGTGTACTGTGTTAGTCTGTTCTCACATTGCTAATAAAGACATACCTGAGACTGGGTAATTTATAAAGAAATGAGGTTTAATTGCCTCACAGTTCCACATGGCTGGGAAGTACTGACAATCATTTTGGAAGGTGAAATGAGAAGCAAAGTCACACCTTCTATGGTGGCAGGCAAGAGAACATGTGCAGCGGAACTCTCCTTTATAAAACCATCATATCTTGTGAGACTTATTCACTTATTCATGGGAAAAACCTGCCCCCATGATTCAATTACTTCCCACCATGTTCCTCCCATGACATGTAGGGATTATTACAATTCAAGCTGAGATTAGGGTGGGGACACAGAGCCAAACTATATCATGTACTATCATTGTTTGGATGTAGATGTGGGCTATTCCCCAGGTTTCAGGCATTTCCACAACCCTACTGAGTTGTAGCTTTCCACATTTTCCTAGGACTCACTATGCTACTTCCTGGCCAATCTCACTCCTGTTTCTTAAGTACCTAGAATTCCTAGCATTTTACAAAAATCCTGATTTCAACAATGGCCACGTAATAGATTTGGTGTACATAATATACATCGTTTCTGTGCTCCTTTAACCTTGATTCAGAAAGAATTCCTTTCTATAAAGTACTCTGAGTTCTAATTCCTCATTGAATATGCCAGATCATCATAAGAATTTCAAAAGTTCAGCCTACAAGTTTTCTGTATTTTTTTTTCCTTTTTTTTCATGATTTGACTGGGGTTTTAGTAACGGAGGAGTGGGGATATTTCAAGTTTTCTCCTACATCCTAATACACCATTTGTTCCCAGTAAATTTCTCTCCCCTAGGCTTGGTTTCTTTACTTTTCCAGCTGATAAATATAATATGGGCTTTTTAATCAACTTCTTGGAACAAATCTTCACATAGTACTATAACTTTGGGTCCCAAATATTTAAGGCAGTCCCAAATTCAATGCACTATTTCTCTCTCTCTCTCTCTCTCTCTCTCTCTGTCTCTCTCTGTGTGTGTGTTTAACATAATTTTTTAATCAAGTAAAAAACAGCCTCCAAATATCAATGGCTTGACACAGCAAAGATTTATTTGTTTTTCATCTCACATTCCAGTCTGAGCTGAGTAGTGGAGAAGAGGAAAAGAAAAGAGTGCTCTACTCAAATTCATTCCATCTTGTGATAGCACCTTCTCAACTCCAACCCTGGACCTCCAACTTTGGAAATACACAGGAAATCATATCTCGCAGATTTATAAGTGTCTGGCTTGGAAACAATATACATCATTTCTTTCCATATTCCATTGACCAGAACTCAGGCATATTGCTCCAACCTAACTAAAGGGAAGCCAAGAAGTATCCTTATGTGTCTTAAAAGGAGAGAGAAAATAATAGCAGGTGCTAGCTTTCACTGCTGCATTCTATCACTCTCATCACTAAATATTTTTGCTTATTTCTGTGCATATTATTCTGTCTTTATTCCCAGAAAGGAGGCAACTTCAAATTTAATCTCATCTTTGCATCAGCTGAAAGACCAGAAATTTCAAATGTTGTGCAGCTCAGTCATATATTTTGGAGATCAGATGTGGCTCCTCCTACTCCAGCAATTTAAGGCCTAAAAAGTTAGTTATCTGTTCACTTCAACCCCACACTAAAAATTCAGGGTAAGTCAGGAATAAAATAGCCTTGAACAGATTTGAAAAGTGGACTGAAGAGCCTACCTTGTTTGTGGAGCTGTACAAATTTTTATAACTAACTTCTACTGGAGCACGTCTGGAGTTCCGAAAGCTCATTTACAGCTACAACAGGTAAAGGCATTTTAAATCTGATATCAGAGAATGTTGTTCAATATTGTTTCTTCGAATCTCCACATACTTTTGAGCTATTTGGTTTTGGCCATTTGATGACCAGCAATATACCCAAAGTCCTTTTTAGACAAAAGTCTTAAATCTTCATATTTGCATCCTGGCCTCTATGCTTCTTCCTCTCACCTTACTGGAGGCAGCAATGTGGTTTTCAAGTGTGAACAAGAGAAAGGCACCTTTTATCTGATCTTTGAGCGAATCCTGGGTCTTAATAGACTTTCAGTGTCAAAAAGAGTAATTCGTCCTAATTCCTACTCTATGATCTATAGAAGCAGGTGAGTTTTCAAACCATTAGGCCATGAATTTATGAATTCTATTCACCTTTCTTTTATTTATACTTTCAAGCTATTTAATTCCTAATTATCTTTATAGTCCTCCTTTGTTGAAATATTGTGCTAGATATAGTCAATATCAATATATGCTAACACCTTTTTTTCCAGCAAACTTCTCCTAAAGATACTGTCTCAATAGGTTTAAAAGTTCAGATTTAATGTAGGCAAAATTTTTACCAAGGGTTCTTGTATTATATATCATATATCTCCATATTTCTACTCTCCAATATCTATGTTTGTGGCTTATTTTTAGACAATTATGCCAATAGTCTATATTTTATTTACTTTACAGTGATACCTGACTTCAAGGTTCCAATTTTAGCAGTTTTTAAGGATATGCTACTATATGAAGAAACCCCAAAATCTCTGTATAACTAGACATCAATGATTTACCTGTTGCTCAGCTCTTTCTTTTGCTACTTGATTTCCACACATAGAATGTCCTTTCCAAATGAGACAACACCAAGTTTCATCTAGTCTTCACATCCAGCTGAAAGAAGAGAAATCTCAGATGTTGTGTATTTAGTCATATCTGTTGGGTCCAGATGTAGACCCTCTTGATACAGCAACTTCCCAAAAGAGTCAGTTATTTAGAGAAGGAGTGCTATGTTCCACAGAGTAACTTAGGAACCGTGGTGTTTTTGCCATTTACACTACAATTTTCCAGATGTTGTCTCCACCATTGCCATGCAATGGAAAAAGAAAGTGGAAGTTTACACATAGGATTTGTATGGTCTAGGCTTTGAAGTGGTCTATGTTGCTTTTGTGCACCATTCCCTTGTCTAGAATGTGGTATTATATACTTGACATAGATGTAAAAGATCTTTGAAACAGTACTGAACATGGAAAATGGAAAGGGAAACCAATATATTGCTGAGCATTGTTTGTCCTATTATCCACATAAACACAAGCTTTTATATCATTACACATGACATTTTAAACATTTTTAAATGTTTACTTTTTGAGAAAAAAAGGAACAAAATTCGGAGAAAATTATAATTGAATTAAGGAGTCAGTTTATCACAGAACCATATCAAAGATTTTCTATGTCTCCAACATTTTGATTATTCTTTTAGTGAAAGTAGCATGAAAATACTGTTATCGTCAGAGTGATTCTAAGACCAACAAAAAAAGAGTTCATTTGTTTTTACTATTTCAAGATAAGTATCACTGTTTAGTTAGTTTCAAGATAAGCATTAGTGAAAACACTCAAAATAGAAAAAGTCATGCCATAAGCCTGGATGGATTTGTTTCCTGAAGGAGCCACGGCAGCTGTCATTGGAGAAAGTATGGATATATGAGAAACAGCTGAATCCAGAAATCTATCTTGGGTAAACCCCAGTAATGTAAAGCAGAAGCTTATGCTATGTGATTGAAATTATGGTCAAAATTTGCCAGAATAAACATTTGTGGTGAAACGGAAGGATCCAGCACATGGTTCAAGTTAAATCCTGGTTCATGATCCAATGGTGAAGTCCTAGAGGACTTATGAAATGTGTTTAGGTCTCCATGGACTATTCATAAAGCATATTGAAATAACAAGAGAATATAGTTTTTCTGATACCTGGGAGGGCTCAGATCTTTATTCTTCACTTCCGTACTAACTGTTTCCTTCATAAATCTCATACCTATCAGCAGATACATATTCATATGTCCATAGCTATCTTACTTACGCTTTGAAGTTATATGATCTCTTAGGAGAATGGAGTACAGGTATATGTTTGTTGAAATCTCAGCAATCATTTCCTCAAGCTCATCATCTAGAATTTCATTCTTTTCTGGGGTCAAGGCTAGAGAAGGCCATATTCTCAATGTGAGGGTTACCAACATGGCCTCTGATAGTGACTCAGATATTACATTCCTAAATTTCCAGGATATCAGTGTATCATTGTAATATAATTTTGCCATGATAAGAAGCTATAACAAACTTTTCAAATAACTTAAAATCTGGAAATTACTTTAGTTACTTGAATTCCTTATCTGTAATATTCTGGTCCACTTCCTTAACTACTATGTAAAAACATACTCACATCCATGAGTTTATGTATTCTTCTTCAGCTCAGGAAATCATTATGTTTAATGGAGATAAGTGGACCTTCTCAGGGCAGATATGTTTCATTCAAACTAATAATATCTCTCTCAATTTTGCTTATTCTGTCTTCTCAAGGTCAGACAGCTAAATTCAGGCTTTGAATTTGATAATTCCATAAGTAGATGGTAAATAAAACTGAAAGCTAAGCACAAAAGTTTTATGTGACAATCAGACAAGATTTTTAGCAGAAATTCCAGGTGCCCTTGTGAAATAACTGCCAAGGGTTATTTGTTCAAATGAGTTTGAATATTTCTACATAATTCTTCCAAGACTAAGTAAGCATGATATGTATCTAATATTTATATAAATAAAAAAATTTTAATTGCCCTTATGATTTATTTTTTTCTCTATTCTTGAATGCTCATAGTCATAGAAAATATTTAGTTCAAATTTTAGTTCTTATCACTAATTCATATAAGTTCACTTGATGATAAATCCTGGTCTATCATTAGAAAATATGACATAATATTTATATAAAAGGAATACATAAAGTTCATTTGTAAAAGATGGAACATAAGAAAAATATAATAATTTTAAAATTAATAAAATGAATAATTTTAAGATTTTTTAAAACTCTATCAGCATCTTTCTCATTCCACTTAACATCTTCAACATTATGTTATACATAGCAAAGGCTATGTTTTATATCCTCTAAACCTTGTATTATTTAAATACACAGCAACTTGGACTTATTTACCTTCGTACCTTTTAACATGCCTATTGTGATACTCAGAATATGGTAAATATTCAGTTAAATAAAATATCATGGAAAGGAAAATAAAGAAGGAAAAAAGGGAAGAGGAAAGAGAAGTTGAAAGACTTGAAGACAATAAGAAAATGAAGAAAAGCTTCTAAATTAGAAATGTATTTTTTGATTAATATTTATTTTTACCACATAATTAGTTATTTCTGAACCCCACAAGTATTACTTTACACTAAACATCTGGGACTAGTTTTTAAAAAAGGAAGATATGGGTACTATCATATTTTGTAAATGCTCAATTTGTCAAAAAGAAAATTCTTAAAAATCAATTGAACAATGACTTTATAAGCTTTCCAAATACCACTTTTCTGCCATGAGATTCTTGAAAACAGCACGTCTAATTTTAAATAATTTTTACTGCTAAATTTTTCAACATAACAACCACAAATGCTAAAGAAATCAGAGTATCATGGTTTGGTAAGTAAAATATAACTTTTTTTAATTTAATAGGCACCCCAAACTTACATTTTAAAATTAAACTGTAAATCTTCCCCTAAATATTTGCTTTATTCTGAATATCCAAAATGACAATGATCACAACCTTATCCTCCTTAAAATTTGGAAATACTTAAAATGCTCACCTTTCTTCTGACCTATAATTAATATGTCTGGAAATCTGGTGAGCTCTACTGAAGAATGCCCAGGATCAGAGCATTTGTCAACAATTTCCACTGCAACCATCACCCTACAATAAGCCATTACCATTTTTTTCTTGAATTAGTTGCAAAAGCTTTTTAGCTTGTCCCCAGTCTATTCTCAATTTAGTTTTAGTCTTTTAAAAACAAGGATTATGTCACCTTTTTCTTTAACAGTCTTCAGAGGCACCTATCTCACTGAGAGTAAAAACCAAAGGTCTTCCAAAGGCCTCCAAAGCTCTACTCAACCTGCAAGCACTGTATCCACCACCCCACCCTTCTCTCTTCCTATCACCTCCCAGCCATGCACTATCCTAGCAATACTGGCCTCAACATTACCCCTGAAAAATTCTAAACATTCTCTCACTGTGGGGATTCTATTTAGGGACTCCTAAATAGTTCAAAAGTGATTCAACTGTGTGTAGTATGTGGGAAATAATGGAATGATTAAATATTTGGTGGACATATGAATGAATAAATAAATGAATGAACTCAATGTCAGATATGTTCACATTACTTTTGAATCAGTCTAACCTGAGTATCTTTGCATTTTAAATAATAGCATATATTATATTGTACATTTCATCTTTTGTTAAAGAGTTTTTAATTTTAGATAATGACATTAGTTATGCTTCAATAGTGTATTCAAAACCGGAATATAAACTACTTTTAAATTAATGTCAATATTGGTCTCATTCACACAGTTCTCATTGATGCCTTACACACATAACTTTCCCACACCTTGATCAAAACTTCAGTATCTGTGTCATTTCTTTCGTTCTAATTTGGATTGAGGTCTCTCTTTTCCAAAATAGCCACTTTCTAGGATAACCATGACCTAGGGGAAATTTAAATTTAGGTGTGTGTATCATGTGTGACACAATGAGCAAAGGAAATCAAAATGGATGAAACAAAAGATATTTATTACTCACAGGTCCAGAGAGGTTACAGGTGCAGACTGGAGGCTGACAGAAAGTTTGGAAGCAGCAAGGAGCTCAGCCAGTGGGTGGAGAGTGAGATACAGACAACCTGTGGGTACATGGGCATTATCCCTAAGGCTTTCTGAAGCGGGTTGTAGACTGGCTAGTTTAAAAGATGTGTGGCAGGGGGGTAATTACTTTTTTACATGGCTCCCATGTTAAACACTAGGCTATATTGTGGTCAGTAGCTGTGAGGTGTGTTGGGTTTTGGGTCAGTGAGTTGAGTGGGCTATATCAAAAACCACCCAGGATGGAGAAGTTTTAACATGGCCAAAGTAATGGGATATAACTCTATTTCAAATAGCTTATGGCTAGACTAAAATGCATGCGAAGGCAGCAAGTATATAAATTTATGCAAGCCATTATGGTAAATTTTAACTTATTTGACACTGTCTATGTACAACTATTTGAGTACTATCACAATTCACTTTCACCTATTTTATTAAGGTCTTCAAAGTTTATTTTCACATAATATAAACTCTCGTTCTTTGAAAAAGAATGTTCTATGATATAGCTATAAAAATTGCTTTCCTATATACATTAATTATTCCATTCTTCTTGTCTAAAAGTTTTCCCCTTATTTTCCCTTGCCCATTTATTTCAGTGCAACTCAGACTTGAAATCCCAAATACCTCTTCTTCCGTATGGCCGTCACCATCTCTTTCTCCAGGAAACTTCCTTTCTTCTCAAATCTTCCTCTACTAACTTTAGTCAAGTTTCTACCTCCAGATATACTTAGTATATCTTGTTTTGTAGATAATTTATATTTTATAAATATAGTTTTTTTCCAGTAGATAAAGCATCTAAGATCAAGTACCTAGTTGAATTTGCTGTTTCCAAACATCCAACAGATATTAATTTTCAGGATTTAAGAACAAAATGGGAATTCCCATGAATTCTTAGGAACTCCTGAAATCTTGAATTTTTCTGCATTTTGCGGTATTTATAAATAGAACAATAGTACCTAGTATGTTAGTACTATTTATAGTAGTAGTATTTCTTACTATTTTAGTGGGATTTAATTGTATTTACTAACAATTATAACCTATAGCAAAAATTCAAATACAGGAAAATATCAGTGACCATTCCGTCTTTGAATAACATAAAGTTCTGATCTCCTAGCAAAGCAACAAACAGCAAGATACAAAATAATGTGCCGAAATTGCCAATTTAAGTACTTATTTAGGATCCTAAACTTATTATTTCTTAGAATACCACTCATATGATTAGTACAAGTGCAATATATATGTGTATATGTATTATAGATAGCGACAGACATGAGTGTACACTTTGCAAGAATGACTTACCATTATCAACAGAGAATCTCACAAATTTACACTTATACCATAGTAGCAGCTACAAGTAACTTAGACCATGACAGATCCTTCCCTATATGTTTCTGTTCCAGTTCCTGGAAATCTTGACCTTCATTTTCAATGGATGTCAGTATTTTCTGCTCTTGCTATTCACTTGCTATTAGCTAATTCCTTCAATTCAGTAAAGTCTCTACATTTATACTTATGCCTTAGTTCTCACACGAGAATTACTGATAATTTTTCTTATTTTCTCAATTTGTCAACTGTTTGTTATCAAGATTTGGAATTTAGAAGAACATATACATTTTTTAAGAAAAGCCAGGAAGATGTTCCTGCACAAACATTCTAGTTGGATTGATATATTCATTCACCTACAAATATTATTTAAGCGTCTAATATGTGTCATTCAGTAGGAATGATATTGGAGATGAAAGAATGGGCAAGATAGGCATTGCATAGTCCCGTATGGAGTTTATGTTCCAGCTTAAAAGACTAGCAGTTAATATAGTGCAGTGAGTTATGAAAGGAATATAATTGGAGAGATGCTGAATGTTGTAACAACACACATATTAGGAGTTCAGTATTTCTTTGTATTCAAATAAAATATAAGCAAGGGCTAGTTAAGTAGGCTGATGACAATATTAGGCATTTACATGAGTAAACATAGAAAATTTGAATTAAGAGCTAGTGCAGGAGACATACACATTTGCATTATCATAGTATTAACTATTTCTCAAACAGCATGTCTTTCATTCTTCTATGAGATCCAAATAAAACTGTTTGTGGTACATTATTTCATTTTAAAATAATGCCATTCACAGGTGATTTACTTACAGTTCATTACTAGATACCTATCCAGTAAGAGAGCTAAGTGAATTTCTCATAAATAGAGCATGGGAGTGGTGCTCAGTCAGGGCAATCAAAATCGATATTCAGTCTCTTAAAAAAAAAACAGAAACTTTTAAGTTACTCTGATTTAGGAAGTAGTAACACATCTTTAGAGTAAAAACAATATTCAAATTTATCAATATGAATGATTTAGAGTTTAATGAATTATATATTTAACTTTTACTGAAGTATAGCATACAACTAAAAGAGTACAAAATTATGAGTTCAACTCAAACACTTTGTACTAAGTGAGCATACCCATGAAAATAGCACCTGCATCAAAAAATATAACATTACAGGTAACTAAATCTCCCTTGTATTTACTTCCAATCACTATTCCTCATGTAATAATAACCAATATCATTAATTCTATTAGTAATAGATGGTTTTGCCTATCAAAAAATAATATTATTTATGCCTCACCTCTTTCTCTTAATAAAATTTTTTTATTATTATTCTACATTCCTGTTATAGCAGTCATTCATTCATTCTCATTGCTATTTAGTGTTTTGTTTTATTAACTATGACATAATTTATTTATCCATTACCCTGTTGATGGACTCCTGGGTTTTCTCCAGTTCTGGACATTAGGAATGGTGTTCTTATGAACATTCTTATGAATATATTTTATGGATAAATAAACACATTTCTGTTTGTAAGTGTCTTTTAGATTAAAATATTTGGTAGTGAACTAAGATGGTTACAGTCAGTTTTCTCAGACAACAGTGAAACATACTGAAGGCCTTTATTACTGATTGAACCCTATATTCCATTTTCAAAACTTTCTGAGGTTTTTGAGTATACACAGCTTGAGTATGACCCAAGGCCAAATAGCAGCTTTTCCAAATCCTGGCAGAAGTCTGGATTTGAACCAGAACCAGAATCACCTCCAGGTGGCAGGGCATTAAAGGCAACATTTAATAAGCCTTCCTCCTCAGTTGTTTGACATTTTGTCAGAAATCAGAGTCCAGGAAGCAACATAGAGAATATAAAAGGCAAAAATCAAAGATATTTTGTGTTTTTTAACTTTAGAAAAAGAAAATCAAATAAGGTACTAAATCACTTGAGCCCTCAGGCCAAGCTCAGGATAGAAACTTGAAAAAGTTAATGCATTTTCTTCACAATTGTTAAAGGTACGTTGATTGATGATTAATCTGTCAGAATCAATGTAATTACTTTATGACTAGACAACTGTCACTAGGGCAGAGCTTCTTATAGTTCTAAAAAGAAGTCAAAAGAGAGTCTAAGGAATTCAACTTCTGAAAATTACTACACTTTTCTCTTTTGACTACACACACGGAGACACAAATATACACAAAGAAATAGTTTGAAATACTAAAGAAAATTACTTGGACATTTTTTAGATTTTGAATGCTAACCAAGCTCTCGTTCAGTTTCATTAGTATTTGCGGAATCCAAACCAGGAAAACAGACAGAAAAAGAAAACAAATACTGTTTAAAATAATCATCTGGCAGAAAACATGATAAATTTTGTAGGGGAGATTTTTTCTTTGTAGGTAAACCAGTATCTGAAGCTCCTGTCTATATTTTGGGGACTTGATAACTCTGCATAGGGGATAAAGCTTATATCAACGGTAGAGATGAAAATTTCCAAATACTCACTTTCCCAGTATCTTTCACAAATTGCATATGCATGTATGACCCAGATCTTACCAATCAGATCCAAATGCCCACCCTATATATGAATTAGGAAAAATGATGAATACTTCCTAGAGTTCAGGGAGGTGAAAGCAGAAAGAAGTTTACAAAGGAAGCACTGGTTACTCTGCTGTCAGAGCACCCAGGGTCCAATGTGGTGGTGGAAGTACTTGGAAGTTTGGGTGCCTGGTCCTGAGAGTCAAGGGATGCCCTTATTGAACGAGATCTGCAGTATAGTTTTGGACATAATCAGGCTGTTACAGTTTCTTAAATCTTAGCAATTATTTGAGCTACCTAATATCCTTTTGATAAATTCATTTTTTAGTAAATACAGCCAAAGTTATTTCTGTAGTTTGCAAGCTGGAACCATGGATCATGGGGTCAAGGTGATTGACAATTAAATTCAATTTTTTTAAATGTGAAAAATTATTTGGGAAATAAATCTTAATTTTATAATTCAAGATAATTTGTTTTTATTTTTTAGAGCATTACATGCTGCGTTATTTTTACCTGCTCTACCCCATCATCAAACATTCAATAAAAATTGATGATAAACTTAATATGACTGCTGACTGGAAGTTCCATTATAGGCTTGGTAAAAAAAAAAAAAAAAAAAAAAAAATCACTGCTATAGATAAAATGAAGCTTCATTATTACCTGGGGATTTGGTCTTGCATGTCTTTATTTTCTTCATTAGCTTAAAAAAACAGGCAGCTATTTCTAATATAAAATCCAAATAATTATAATAGCAATGTTTTCATTATATAACATAACAGACATTTTTCTATTTCCGTGTAGCTATGTTGTATGTACTTACAAAAGCCTACTTGGGGAGGTACACTGTTTTATAAAGAAATGTAAAGAAGACACTTGATCACATATGAAGAAAAGCGCCCTAATAGAGAATGAACAGGTAATCATCCACAAAAGAAAAATAGTTTCTCACAAATGAAAATGACATTTTTGACAGCTGAGGCCATGTAATTAGTAAATTTTTTAAAAGGCTACATTCAGATAGATTCTCTCCTTGCCCCATGGCAAGCTCTGTGGCAGCCAGGAAATAAGACTTTCTCCATTTCAAATTTCTTCTAAAATTAATTTTGCCTTAGAACTATACCTTTCAATGAATAAATAATGGATAGAGTGAGGTCCTAAACATATCTCAATGCATTTTTAAAAGATCAAGAGAGGTCAGGGAACACGAGTATCTGAAAATATCAACTAGTTATAATATCATTATTTCTCAGACAACAGATCCTCGTAGCTCCATCAGTTATATGTGACTGCTCTGGTACCAGAGGAGAATTGTGTGTTAATAAGTTTATGTTTATGAAGTAAATAATGGTTCTGTAAAAGTATATTCTCTGGTGAAATTAAGGAATGCCAGGAACAAATATCTTCTTCCTGAGGCAAGGTAATTCCCCTGAGTAAATAAATATACCTACAGCAGTGAAGACAAATTATGATGACATTTTACAACACAGAGAAGGAGCTTCCTTTAAAATGTAAGATTTGCACAAATCCTTTAGAAAAGCCATTGAAAAGGTCAACTTGTTGTAATCCACTGTTTTTTTGGCTACAGAGCAGTGACAAATTGGTGTATTGTAATCAGTCATGAGGATGTGTTACAGGTAATTTGTTATAAACAATATTTAAAGTACTGCAGTGTGGGAATGATTCACTTTTTATGAATTACAGTCTGGTCAAGGTTATTCCCATAAATAACATTACTCTCACATCTCAAACACCATCTAGAGAAGGACTGTATCTTTCATGGGAATTTTATTCTTCATATGTGGTATTTGGGAAGAAATGTTGAGAACTGCAGAATTTTAGCTTCATTTAATAAATAAAGGATGTTAAGGAAGTAAATAATCTAGCTTAAATGTTTTACTTTAGAAGTATTGAAAATAAAATTTTAAATAAATTTTAGTAAAGAGCAAAAATGTAGTTTCATGTAACAAAAAGAAAGAGAATTATTTATGCTAAATTCTAAATCAGAAATGGCTAATGTTGAAAAAATTAACTCATTACAAAGTAGAATTAGTTTAGTTTTGTTAAGACTGGCCATGGAGAATACTAAACAAATACATGATATGATGAAATCTGATGAATTATTAGATTAATTATAAGCAAAAGATAAAATAAAAAATTCTGCAAAGTTCAAAATTAATCAAAATTCTGATAAAACATGATTGTATTTTTTCTTATATTGTGAGATTATTAACTTTATAGCTACAATTGTCTATAATTGTGTCTACAACTTATTCAACTCTTTTACCTAGTAATTTGAAAATGCTATTCTTGCCCCTACATCAAAAATTAACAACTGGATTATGGAATGAGTCAATGACGGCATAGTTATTTAATGTTTCATAATCCACAGAAAACAAACAATAATAAAACAAAACAACAGAGAGAGAAACCAGATACCAAAAATTAGTAGACAACATCTACAACAAAAGTTGGCCATAAAGTATAATAATGAATCCTAAAATATAAGCAAGTGGGGGACAAATACCACCACTACTCCAAGACCAGTACAGTTTCATTATATGTGTAGGAGGAATCTGAGAACACAATGGAACATCTGACAGAAGTGGAAATAGAAGAACTCCCCAACAGCCACAGGTTGAATAACTGAAACACAATACACAACAGAAGAAGAATGGTAGCCTTTCTCCAGCCCCAAATCTAGTAAGCGTTAGGTAAATATCTTATGGTTAAGTTTGAAAGGCCTGGAGCAGTGTAACTCCTTTAAACTCCTAAAATCCTTCCCAGACAGGGGCCCAAACCAAGAGGAAACTGTTGGGCATGAAATAAAATTGATCAAGACAGGGACAATAGACAAAAGGAAGGAGAGGTTCATATAAAGATGAGGAATGGGAATAGAGCCAGAAAATTCAGAGAGCAAGCTACTTTTGAACAGTATATGAAATGAAAAAAGACAGACTTCTTTGAAGTTGCAAAAGTTAGCATGAACTACACTTTCCTCTAAAAGTTTAGAAAAATGAAATTCACAGAACAATTAAAAATAGAACATCCTGCACATGTACCCTAGAACTTAAAATAAAAATAAAAATTAAAAAAATCTAAAATATGCTTAATATTCTAAAGGCTAAATTACATAGGAATAAAAGAGAAAATAATACCCCTACATATAGTTATAGCATACAGAGTGACATACAAAAATCCACAAATCATATCAAAACTACAATCTACCATTTTAAACACATTAAATGCATCTAAAATAGAATAAGAAATGAAAAAAATTCAGAGTTGGAAGAAATTAAGCGACAGAACTCAAGAAAGAATTGGAAATAGAACAAAAACTCATTTTAGAAACAAAATTGAAACTAGAGGGAACACAAGAGTAAATAAGAAATGATGTCTTATGAGAAATAAAAGATGAAATAGATGATTTTTATCAAAAAAGACAGAAAAATGAGCATTCACACAAAAGCCTGTACCAATGTTCATAGCACAACTATCCATAATATTCAAAAGGTAGAACAAACCTAAATATTCCTCAAGAGATGAATGAAAAAGGTAAATGTGGTATATTTACACAATGCAGTATTATGTGGGATGGGAATGGATTACTGGTTCATGCCACAACTTGGATGAACCTTGAACACATTTGCTAAGTCAAATAAGATAGTCATAAAAGCCCACATATTATATAATTCACTCTTAATAAAGTCCAGAATAAGTGAATCTTTAGGGATAGAAGGTGGGTTAGTGTCTGCTTAGGACCAAGGGATAGACAACAGGAGAGTAATAGCTCAAGGGTACAGGGTTTCCTCTTAAGGAGATTAAAATATTCTAAAATGGACTATAGTGATGGTTTCACATATCTGTAAATGTGCTATAATCCATTAGTCTGCATAGTTTAAATAGATGAAATGTGTGATATGCAAATTATTTCTCAACAAAGCTGGTTTTGGGGCACAAAAAGGAAAGGAAAAAGAGACAAGCAGATGAAAAAAATGACTAACAATTGAAGAAGATTCAAGATACATATAATATCAATCTCTGAGGAAAAAAAAAAGCAAGATAACCAAACAAATATAAACTTGCTTAATTCAGGAAAATTTTACTAAAAGAAAAAATAATGGAAAAAGCCTCTAAAGTACATACTGAAAAAGCATAACACTTTTCTGAATATATTGACAAAGTAAGTATTTAATGGTTATCAGAGCAAGAAGATGGAAGAAACATTCAAAGAAGTTGAGAATGTTAGAGATTTTGTTGACAGACCATGAGTTTCAAAGAGCACAGTGAAAGAGAATCAGAGGTTGAGGAAGGGTGTGAAACGGGGTCATATAGGACATATACAGAGATTTAAGGGAGTACAGCAATCTCAAAGCATAGCCCTTGGACTGGAAGCCTCAGCATCATCTCCTGAATCAGGACTTCTTGGGGTTGATCTCAGGAATAAATGTTTTAACAAGTCTCCAGGTGATGCGTATACATGATCACATTTTAGAAGTACTAGATTAGAACAAGAGAAATAGTGACCTGGAAATCTTGGTTTTTATGTGGTAATTGACATTGACAGAAATTAATGGCACAATGTGATTAGTTCTAGTTGTAGAGAATCATACAGAGGTGATGATACTATAAAATTTAAGACAAAGAAGAGTAAGTTGTCCTTCTCAGAATATGCTTGGTCTGCTGTGACCTCTCATGTGGACAGAAGGCTTGTTCCATGTAGAGAAAAGATATTTTTACAACATGACAAAATTAGGTCAAATGGAAAATATGTACAATTTTATATGAACACAGGAGGGTCATAGAGTAAAAGGGAGGTAATTTTAAACTTGTAAATTATCCTAACTTCACTGTTTTCAGAGTTGAAGTTATGTGCATATTGCCTAAAAATCCTTAGAACACATTAAAAATGCTCTGTCTGAACAACTGAAGAGCTACATTTTTCAAAATAATTGTTTTTATTAGTGATTCATTCAGGAAAATGAAAGCACTATTTGCTAGTCATCTCCAACTTATTTGGCTTAAATTCAATGCATATCACAGCTTAATTTAATGGAATTTTTCAATTTTATAATAATTTTTTGTTCAGTTATAAAATTGATTCTAATTCAATTATTATACCTATCCTCCAAGTCCAAACTAAGCATATTTTAAGACTACTCTTCTACATTTCCTAGCTAGTTAAATTCAGATTTCAGTTTGTGTAAGACTGTGGAGTAAGTCTTACGATCGGAAAACTAGCTTTTCTTGAAAAAAAGAATTTGTTATTCTGTTAATGGTAAATTCAGAAACCTGAAGCTAATTTTAATATCCCTCTGTAATGTATCACTCTTACCTTCAAGTGGATCACCCTGCAACTAGAATATATGAGCCTATTTCTTTTAAATAATATAGATTTTTAAATCTAAAGTTTTGGAAGGTCAGTAATGCTCTTTGTAATTGATACTTTGTATATAGAAGAACTGAATTCAACATTAATATATTCATATTGCTATTCCATATGCAAAATGAAAATGAATGTGTGATTATTTGCTGAATGTGCCTGATATTAAGCTGTCTTTAAATACAGAAAGATAAATCACTCATATATTTAAACAATAGTGAATTTTTATATTGTTTTAATGGAGAAGTAGGGGAAGGATGATTAAAGTTGAGGTCTATTATTGCACCCTTTTTTGTTGTCTTTGTAAACTTCTGAGAGATATATAGACCATTTGTGACATATTTGACACCACACTTAATTTGTTGTAGCCTCTTTAAGCCCAGTTTCTAGTTCTAATTTCCGTGGTTGTTGTTCCCCACTAAGAATCTGAACAGTATCTTTTCTATGTTAGTTGAGGAAGAAGTTTGAGATTTCCATTTGCCTCTTCACTCTTTCCTATTCTTTCATTACACTACTATCATTTTCTCCTTCAAACAGATATCCCTGTGAAAATGGAGGTATGTTTCTTCCTTTCTCCATTCTCAAAGTTAGGAGATAACAACAACAAAAGTTTGGTGGAATTTAGACATGATTTTATCTTGAGAACATATGCAAAGAAGTCAGAAAAAAGAAAAAAAAAATCAGGTTTTAGATAAGAAAAACCTAAGATAAGCAATGCTCTGCCCCTGGTAATTTGGCAATCAGACCAACAACTAGGAGATCATCAAGTTAATAAGCAATGTTCAAAAAGCAGTAATAAAGGCAGAATAAATTGTTGCCATGGAGTAGAAGATGCAGATGCCTCCATGGACCAGAAAGTATTATAATATAACTGGGTCGATCAGGATTTATAAATAGGGTGGTCTAGAAAGCATGTCCCTTCCAAGGGAGGCAATTGTTTTCAGTTACAGCCAATTGTTTGCATGTGGGAACCTCAGCATGTGACAACTGCTGTCTTCATACTGCTGATGATTTATGGTTAACCTTTCACTAGGAAATTTTTGAAAGATCACTTTCTGGATAAATCATGCAGGCAAAAAAACACATCTATGGACAGAATCAGCTCACAGATTATCAGTTTGAGAACTCTGCCCTTTTCTCACTTTTTCTTTATTATTTGACAAATAGTTCAAGCTAAATAGGGCTCTGATACAAGAGCTACTGCAAACAAAGGTCACACCTACTTTTGAGGTTTACAGTTTGATGGGCTCACACATCTGTCTTAATATAGCTACTTGCTGAGTTAAATTAATAGATGAGACACACTGTATTAATGGTGTTCAGTTTGCTAAGAAAATTGCCAGCAATGCAATTGACCAGATGTGTACAGAATGAAATAAATTTATTTTTTCCCAGGTTAACTTTAAAATCTTATAAAATCAGGCTCAAAGTAATGCATATTGACTGTATGAAACATATTAAAATATAATCCGAGGAAATATATGGTTAATATTGCACATCTTTTAAAATACTTCTTTAGAGTGATTTTATTAAGCTTAAAACAATTGCCAGATACCAGTTTGTGTTCACACTTCAGAAACTACAAATGGAAAATCATCTGGTTTTCTATTATAAGTAAGCATGAATAAGCCCTGTTATTGAACCAAAGGCTAACTCTCTAAAATGCAATATTAGGAATAATTTTTACATTACTGCACCATGATTTTAAATTAAATTTAAGAAATTTTGTCATATGAAAGATGGTTTAATAAAACCACCATTAAAATTTTGACTTCTTTAATTTGTACAGTATATCTCAAAAGATACAAAATGAAATTAGATTACTAATGAGAGTCTGCAGGTTTGGATATCAACTGTTTAAGAGGGTTTTCACCTCAGTGGGATTTACTGATATCATTTTTCCCATTTAAAATTACTCTCCAAATATATACAACAGGAGTTTTGTTTGGGTAAAAAATGTTATAAAAAGAAGATATTGTATCATTCTTCTTTAGTAAGTATTAATAGGATTTAAAATCAAGAATAGACATTACATGAAAATAAAATGCATGCATTTTTTATGTTAAAATATTCTTAATTTCAGGGCCATATATTATATCTTATAGAGTCGAACATGACAGCTTGCTTTTTTAGACAGTACTACTTCCCCCAAAAAGCAAGAACATGTATAGCAACTGTAAACTATATTGAACAGTTTCTCATTAGGCATTTTGCTTTTGCAAAGAAACCAAACATTCTGTATTCTCAAAATTTTCTAAGCCCTTCAAGTTAGAATACAAATTTGAACATGTGGATAGGATAGTATATTGTGCTAGCCTTTAAGGTTCCTTCTCTACTTTGTAGATTCACAGGTGTGTGAATTGTCTAGAACTTTGTATATCAGAGACTCAGATTGATTACTTTTTACAAACAAGGGTAAAGGAAACCCCAAAAGTTTGAGTAAATTGCTCAAGGTCACACAGGAACTAAGCCAGTAAAATCAGTATAAGCTCCAACCATTTTCCATATCACTAACTAATGCTTCTAGTGAAAAGTTCTAGCAGATGACCAAGCAATTAGTTTTACAACTTTCCAGTGAAGTATGAGATGTTTCCATATTTTAAGTAATTCTGCAGTATTCTGCAGGAAGCCATAAGGCTAAAAGAAAAATTTTTCATATCTCTGATTGCTAAAATAAATAATAGAGAAAAAGTGGTATTACTTCACATTTTCAATATATCTCTTTTTAAGAGTTACAGGTTATTTAAATAATTGGCAAAAAATTGTGCTATTATCCTAAGGCATTAAAATTTATTTAAATAGTGTCTGTTACAAGCATGATGGTAAGTTTATAAAAAGTCTCAGGCATATTCTACATGCTTCATTCATAATTTAAGACCATTTCCCAATTCTCATATGTAAATATATATACTGTTCCTTTAAGCTTCTTTTAAGTCTTAAGTCTCAGAGTTCAAATATAAATTAAGATATATATTGTACAATTTTTTGTGCTTTAGAATGTCAGGTTCTGTGTCTATGATGGATTTAATGTTGAGTTCTCAATCAGGAACATAATCTACATTTAAATAAATACAGTGCAACACACACCACAAGGATCTACTTTCTATTTCTTGTTGCTACTTTTTTTCCTGTTTCCAAGTAATATTTGGCAGCAAGCGAGAGACTACCTGGGCTTTGTAAAATGAATTCAGATTCAAATTACACTATATAGTAATTTTAACTCTATTGTAAGAAGTTAGAGAAATCCTGTAGTATTGCAACAAGGCTAGAGAATGAATAGCCTAAGGTATACTTTCATACAATAGACAAGTGTGTGTGTGTGTGTCTGTGTGTGTGTATGCATGTGCACGTTTGTGTGTGTTAACAATGGTCAGTTGTGATTAAGTTTATGAGTGATTTGTGAAGTTATTTTGTGTCTTGTGTTTTCCTGTATTATAAAAAAAATTTAATAAATGTACTTCAATTTTATATTCAGAAATCTTTTTAAATGTAGATAAGTTTTATTTTCTAAGCACTAATTTAATTGTATATTCATTCAAGATGATTTCTGTAATTGAGAGCTCCAAGGTAAACTAAATAGAAGTAAGATTTTTTTTCTGGATTCAAACCCCAGATGTTCTATTTTTATTTTATTCTCTCTTTTTTTAAAAAAGAAATTTCAATAACTTTAGGGATACAAGTGGTTTTTGGTTACATGGATGAATTACACAGTGGTGAAGCCTGGACTATTGTGTACCTCTCACTTGAATTGGTTACATTGTACCCAATAGATGATTCCTTTATCCCTTACTCCTCTCCCACTCTCCTTCTTTCTGAGTCTCCAAAGTTCATTATACCACTCTGTATGCCTTTGTGTACCCATAATTTAGCTCCCACTTACAAATCAGAACACGTGGTGTTTGGTTTTCTATTCCTGAGTTGCTTCACTTAGGATAATGGCCTCCAGTTCCATCCAAGTAGAAGCAAGACTTTTTAAAGCAATTTATAATTTTGACCAAGATGATACTAGCTATCACATTTTCCATAATTTTCTTTCTCTTCTAAGCCTTAATGGTCACTAAGAGGTATTCAATTAGTTCTCAATAGGATAATGTGGATTTACATTACAAGAATCTGTAAGAAATTATCTCAACAATGGATATGATTATCCTACTCTACTCCTTAGTGTCTGGATAGTAACAATATTTTCCTTGCTGACAGCAAACTTTAAATGGAAAAATGACAAACTTATCGTGTCTAGAGGAGAGCAATAAAAAAGCCAAATGATCTGTTCCCCTCTGGAAATACAACTGAGGGAACAAACGGTATTTAATGTGGATATTAGAAAAGAACTGATGATATTAGTCTTCAAAGCCAGGAAAGACTGTCACACCAGAATAGCTTTTAAACTGTAAAACCAGAGGAAAAAGAAAGGAGGCAGGTTTCAGCAGAAATGAGCTGCTCTTGCTGGGCGTGTAATCCCAGCACTTTGAGAGGCCAAGGTGGGCAGATCTCTTGAGCCCAGGAGTTCTAGATCAGCCTGGGCAACATGGCGAAACCCCTTCTCTACAAAATACAAAATACAAAATTTCTCCAGGCATGGTGGCACACACCTGTAGTTCCAGCTACTCAGGAGGCTGAGGTAGGAGGATCTCTTCAGCCCAAGAGGTGGAGGTTGCAGTAGCTGAGATCGCACCACTGCACTCCAACCTGAGCAGCAGAGCCAGACCTTGACTCAAACAAAAACAAACAAACAAACAAACAAACCAAAAAAGAAATGAGCTGCCTTATTTACTAAAGTCTCTGGAACCAAGACCTTCAAAAAGAACATGAATTTGCCTTCAAATTCAAGCAATATACTTAGATAACATTTTGAGGGACTATGTTGTTTAAATCACCAAGTAAATCATTCTACTAGTATCACTTAGGACAAAAGCTGTAGTGACAGATTCATTCATTCACCAGGTAAGACTAAGACTAGATGAGTTCTCTACTTTTTATCTGATGATTAGATTTTGTGATCTTATTTTATACTAGTAAATGTGGGAGTAATTAATGTACACTGTTTATTGAGAGTGACCTATACTGAGTCATAATTTGAAAATACTCATATACAAATATATCTCAAATAATCACATACAATATTACCTAACAAAGTAACTATTTTTTTTTTTCTTTTTGAGACAGAGTCTTACTCTGTCACCAGGCTGGAGTACAGTGGCGTGATCTCAGCTCACTGCAACTTCCACCTCCCGGGTTCAAGAGATTCTCCTGCCTCAGCCTCCCTAGTAGCTGGGACTACAGGCGCGCACTACCACGCCCAGTTAATTTTTTGTATTTTTAGTAAAGATGGGGTTTCACCATGTTGGCCAGGATGGTCTCAATCTCTTGACCTCATGATCCACCCTCCTTGGCCTCTCAAAGTGCTGGAATTACAGACGTGAGCCACCACAACCGGCCTGTTGATACAGACTTCTAAAATATCTATCAAAAACAATTTGCACAAATACTCCCACAAAATAGATTAGTGTTAGAAAATGTAGAATTTATAAAACATAATATATCCAGCTTGCACAATAATGTAAATACACTTAACACTACCGAACTGTATACTTAGAAATAGTTAAGATGATACATTTTATGTTAAGTGTTTTATACTAAAAACGTTTACAAATGTTGCATTTTGAGTTTTATTTTAATAGATAATACAGCTCAAAATAAAAAAAGAAAATATATTAAAAGAAAATGTTTTCCATAATATAAATATGTTAAAATTTTTTTTTTAAATAAGCATTTGTTATTTTAAAAACAAACACTACAAAAAGTAAATTCTATCCGGGAAAAGTGATAAAGGCCACAGCAGTGATTAAAAAGAATAATAATTAAAGTCTTCCAGTACCTTATCTTTTGTGTAAATTAAGTAGTTCCTGTCTGAGAGCTAATGAAAAAAAGGAATTGTTTTCGAGGTTAATGCATTCTACTGGTATGTACTGAAATAGTCAGGACTGCATGTTGATCAGAAATTACCAACAGGATGCCAGTGAATCATTTACTCAGTCATCAAGTAAACCATGGGCAGCAGCAAACAGCATGCCCTAATGAGAGCCCAATTCTGATTGTCTGAATGTCACAGGTGTCATCCATTCTCCTAAGTTGCAGAAATTATATGAATAGACCGCCTGCCTTGTTCTGAAAAACTAAGAACACAAAATGATGTCCTATTACTTCTCATGAGTTCAAATGAGAGTCTAATATATAACTGCTTCCTGGGAGGAAGAATTGTGATACAATATTTAGTTGTCTGGAAATAATCTTCTTACTTTTTTCCAGGTTTAATATCTATTTGCTTGATTTTAAAGTCATGCTGAGCTTCCATTATTATCTCCTTGCATCAATCAATCGAACTATGCTTGTTACATTTAAAATAGCATTTGAGAATGAAGCTGTGCTTGCATTTCTGAGTTATTTCATCTGTATTATATTATTGTATTGGGTGGAATTTTGTCCTTGAAAAAGATACGTGGAAGTCCTAACCTCTAATATCTCAGAAGATGACCTTGTTTAGAAATAGGGTAGGCCAGGTGCAGTGGTTCATGCCTGTAATCCCAGCACTTTGGGAGGCCAAGGCGGGCAAATCACGAGGTCAGGGGATCGAGACCATCCTGGCTAACACAGTGAAACCCTATCTCTACTAAAAATACAAAAAAGTAGCTAGATGTGGTGGCACGTGCTTGTAGTCCCAGCTACTCGGGAGGCTGAGGCAGGAGAATAGCTTGAACCTGGGAGGCGGAGGTTGCAGTGAGCCGAGATCGTTCCACTGAACTCCAGCCTGGGGAACAGAGTGAGACTCTGTCTCAAAAAAAAAAAGAAAAGAAAAAGAAAAAGAAAAAGAAAACAACCAACCAAAAAGAACTAGGGTAATTGCAGATGTAACAGTTGAAGTAAGATGAGGTCATACTGGTGTATGGTTGATGCTTAATGCAATTTGACTGGTGTCTTTATAAGAAAAAGGAAAAAAAATAGGTACATAAGGAAAAAAATATATTATGACAGAGATCAGAGTGATGCAACTGCAAGCCAAAGAATGTCAAAGATTGATGGCCACCATGAGACTTTGGAAGGGGCAATGTAAGATTCTTCCCTATGGATGTCAAAGGGAGCCTGACCCTGCCAGCACCTCGATTTTGGACATCTAGCCTTCAGAATTGTGAAAATCAATTTTTCTTGTTTTAAGTGACAGGTTTATGGTACTTTGTTATAGCAGTCCTAGGAAACTCGTACAATCATACACACCAAAAACAGAAAATAACCAAGTTCTAGGGAAAAAGAGAGAGAACACTTGCATTTAATTCTAGAATTCTTTAAAAATGGTCGGTCACACTTATCTTGAAAATATTTCTGAAGCTCATTGAAAAATGGTGATTAAAGGTTTCCATTTTATTAGCCATCTAAATTACTATATGCCATTTATTTAATCACAGTTACATTAATACTAAAGTAATATAATATAATGCAAAAACTAAGTGGATCACAGAAAGCCCTAGTGAAGGAATTCAAGCTCCTATGTGAATATTACTTGATTATAGAAAATGGTCAACACCGCAATTTTAGGTATGCTCAAGTAATTTTTCAAACTCTTTTGCATTTAACTTCTGGCTCTAAATTGCTTTACAGAACTACGTGAAAACTGATAAGGACTCTAGGAGTCACCCCATTTGGCAGTTGAGTCCATTGACACTTTGTCTTGGTCAAATAGTTGACCTAGGAAAGTCCTGGGACTTGAACTTGCTCCCTCAACTCCTAGGACAGTATTTTATTTTTTGTCTTCTACATTGCCTTTTACTGCCTTCTTGAAGTAATAATGATCATCATAATAGAAATGGCTATTTGGCTAATAAGACTCACCTGACCTTAGCCAAAAGGTCAAGAAGCAATAGGATTCTTAGATGCAAATTCATATATGGAAAAAATTGTTCTATCTTTCCATAACAAAATCTCATGTTTTCAACTTAAAGTTCCCATTTGCTGGATGACAGAAATTTCCTGATCCTAATAAACTTATGCCAATATATATAAGATTCATATCACAGACACAAATATACCAAAAATGCACAATCTAGGAGATGCATTACAAAACCTTCCAGAAGCACATAAGTTCTGTTTTACGAAACCATTGCGGAGAGAAAAAGAGAAAATAATTTTATGAGGCTAATATGATCTTACATCAGGAAAATAAGAGAAAAAGAAAATAAAACTTTAAAATGATCTTATTTACAAACTTATAAACAATCATAACTATAACACAGGCAAATGGAATCTAGCACTATACATATATCATAATCACCATGATCAGTATGTTTTATTACTTAAATGTGGGTATCATTGTTTTATTCACCAGTGTATCCCAAGGACTGTCTTAGGCACTGGCTGGCAAAGAATAGGTCCAAATAAATATTTGATGGGTAAGTTGAATAACAAGTATGAATTAACACATTAGAATATCTGACAATGCAAACACCTACATTAACATACTTAACATATATATCTGTTATATTAGCATATTTAGCTATTATACATATTTAGCTATTATATATAATAAACATTTAGCTATTATATGGTAAATATTAAATAATATGTAATGTTAATTTGTATTATAATTTATACATATAGGTATATTTATATTATATGTGTGAAACACACATGCAGAAAACTCAATGAGTGCAGAAAAAAACATTAGCTATTAAGTGCAGAAAAACCATTAGTTATTAAACATTCATATTTGATTTTTTTTAAATCACAGCATCTAAGACTTGAATAAAGTGTTTCATCTCGAGAAAAATTATCTACCAAAACCTCAAATAAATATACTTCTTATGATCATTCCCATTAAGATCAGAAGCAAGGAAAGTATGGCTTTTATCGCTGCTACAGTTTACCATAATCAATCAAGGCATATTTTAGAGCTATATATAATAAAACAGTGTTATTTTATATCTAAAGTAGATAAATAAATTAAAAAGAAGAACAGACCCACAATATGGCACAAAAGCATTTAAGTGAGAAAGAAACGTCAAACATTAGTAACTGATATCAAACCTATTATGGCCTTTAAAATACAGAAATAGCACCACACTGATTTAATAATAAAATAGGGGCAACAGTGAAGAAAGGGACTTTAAAGCTGCTAGATAAAATATAAGCTATCTTTATTTTATTTTTGAAATAAGAAAGCTTTAATTATTTGGACACTTAATGAAAAATAAATTAAGGGAAAGACTGTATATTTGACATCATCAAATTTAAAAGTATCTTACACCAAGAAAACTACAAACAAAAGTAAAAACATAGACACAAGCTGGAAAACAATATCTGCCACATTTCTAACAAAGGGTTTATATCAAAATTTAAAGAACTCAAGTGTATATTTCCAAAATAAAAATAATAGGTCCTCTCTTTTTATACTCAAGATTATGAGTTAGAAGACTTGGGAAGATGTTTTAAAGTTAAGTAAAAATGTAAGGTATTGTGTAATCATATAAATAAATTAGTTTTATGATAAAAATGAGAATCAAATTAATTAATATCTATTATACTATTAATACTTATATACTATTTATATTTTAGTTTATGGCTTTTCTAGAACTTCCATATACCACTCAAAATTATAAAGTAAAAAAATAAAAAATTATTAAAAGTGATCACTCTTATTATCTTTGATGTGAATTACAGTGGAAACTAGCAGTGAATATAAATGTTTATGCTGGTGAACCTATTGATATTTTTTACTACCCAGTAAAGCTTATTCACCTTTTTAGAATTTCAGAATGACCAAATTCTGAGTCTTTAGGCAAGCCCTTGGATTCTTTGAACAGGAATTCACTCTGTTAATAAGAATAGTATTTTTATGATTCATATTTATGATAATCACTAACACCTTATTCTTTATAACCGGGAAGTGGTGAAAGTGAGAGAAAAAATAGGTAACTTTCAAAAAACAAACTTTTAGTTTTTGAGTAATTTTATGTACAGAAAAATATGAAGATAGTATAGAGTTCCCATATATGCCAAACCCAATTTTCTGTATTGCTAACATCTTACACTAGTATGACATATTTTTCATAATTAATGAGCGAATATTAACACATTATTATTAAGTGCACACTTTATTCAGATTTTCTCTAGCTTTTACTTAATGTTCTTTTTTTTCTTCCAGGCTCCTATTTAGGATATCACATTACATTTAGTTAGTCATTGTTTCTCTTTAGGTTTTTCTAGATTGTGACACATTTTTGCTGACTTTGTTTTTGATGTTCTTAATGGTTTTCAGGAACTCTGAATAGGTATTACAAAGAAGGTCTCACAGTTGGTGTTTTCTGGATGTTTTTATTATGATTAGACTGAGATTATGGATTTGGGGAGGAAGAGTACAGAGGTTAAGTGCCATTCTCATCACATCACATCAAGGGTTCAGGCCATCGATATGATTTAGCACTATTGATGTTGACCTTGATCACCAGAATGAGGTAGCATTTTCAGGTTTCTCCATTATAAAGTTACTTTTCCCTCTCTTTCATCTTGTACTCTTTGAACGAAAGCCTTTATACACATTCCACAGGTAAGTAGTGCAAAGTTACATTTCACCATCTTGAAGCAGGGGTAGATATTATATAAACCAGATTTTTTTGGTTCAAGAGATTTATCTATTCTTCCTATTTATTTATTCATTCAGTCATTTATTTGTATCAGAATTGACTCATGAATATTTATTTTGTTTTATTTATAAATCTAATACTTGTTTATTTATATTGCTGCTCAGATTGTTCTAATTTTGGCCAATAGGTGATCTTTCAGCTAGTTCCTGACATACTCCTATTATTGTGTTTCTTTTATTTATTTATTTATTTTTCAGCAGCACTTAATTTTCTGGCCCTGCAAGATCCTAAAACAAAAGTTTATATGCAGTCATCCCTCAGTATCCAAGGGGAATTGATTCCAGAATCCACCACAAAGACTGAAATCCACAAATGCTCAAGTCCGTTATATAAAACGGTGTTGCATTTGCATATTACCTACGCACATCCTTCTACATACTTAAATCATCTCCAGATTACTTTTAATACCTAATACAATGTAAGTGCTGTGTAAGTAGTTGTTGCATTGTTCAGGGAATAATGACTAGAAAAAAATGTCTGTACATGTTCAGTACAAATAGAACCAACCATTTTAAAAAATAGTTTCGATCTTCGGTTGGTTTAATCCACAGATGTAGAAGCCATGGATACGGAGCGCTGACTGTATTTTTCACCTGTAGCCCAGAATCAGCCATTTCTCCAATGATTTCCCGTTCGAATAACACTATACCACTTTATGTGTAGTTATGGTGCCTTATAACAGAGCATTCCCAGTTCCCTTTTGTATATTATGATATTGTTGTCACTCATTTTAGTTATTCATGTTATAATCCCTCGATACATTGTTATTATTATTGCTCTAAAGATCAATTAAGAATAAGAAAAATGAAAGATATTATGTTACCTTCATTTATTCCTTTTTCTAACACTCTTCCTAACTTTATGTAGATCCATTTCTCACATTATTATTCTACCACTTGAAGAAATTATTTTAATATTTATTACAGAACTAGTCAAGAAATTTGTTCTTTTATTGTTTTTTTCTGAGAAAGTCTATTTTTCCTTCATTTTTGGACAGTAGTTTTTCTATATGTATAATTCTAACTTGATAGCTTTTTCCTTAAATATTTTACTCCATTTTCTACTTGTTTACATAGTTTTTGACAAGCAACATGCTTAATTCTTATCTTTATTCTTCTATAGACAAAGTCTTTTTTTGGTTTGTTTTTTGTTTTGTTTGTTTTTTCTCCTTGCTTACTTCAGAATATGGTTCCATTGTCTTCTCTTCCAGGTAAGCAGATCTTGGTTGCTCTATCTTTCAGCCTTTCTAGATTTTGGCATAGTAGCTTGCTCTGACAACAGTTCTCTGATGAGTCCAAAAAAAGTGATTGATTTTCAGTGTGTTGAGCTTTTCCTTTTTGTGAAGATAAAGGTGACTGTCTACATTATCTTTACTTGTCAAGCTGAAACAAGTCTTGTGACTTTTATCATTTTGGATGAAGAAAAAAGATGATTTGAGAAAGACTAAACAAATTTTTATAGGTTTATAGACGCATTCAAGATGAAAGTGTGAGGAAAAAACAATTTGACAACCCTTCAATAAAATATAAAAATGACAGAAAACAAATAAAATGTGGAAGATTCAAAATAAAGCAAGCACTACCATTTTGAAAACGTCACAATTAAATATTTCACAATAAACAATCTTTACCTCATAAACTAATCTCTGCTCGTTTGTATTTTTTTATTTATTCAACATATAATTATTAAATGTATTCACTGTACTAAGCACTGCTCCAGTTGCCAAAGATGTGGCAGGGAATAAAGAAAAACAGTCATTTGTTATTCAAACCTGTGGTATTTTCAAAACTGATGACAATGTCAACTATGAACATGGACTCTTACACAACACCCAACAAGTTACAAAACAAAGAGGTTTTTTTTTTTTACCAAAAAACACAGGTTTCATTATTTTTTCATTAATCTCAAAGAGATATTGAAGAAATTAATGCATATCAGTTAATCCATAAAAGCAGTTATCCAAATTGTTATACTTAACATTTTTTTCTATTAGATAAAGTAAATGTAATACTTTTTTATTATAAATATCCTAAATTTTATTCATTCTTTTTGTTTTGTTTTGTTTTGTTTTTGTTTTTTAGATGGAGTCTCGCTCTGTAGCCCAGGCTGGAGTGAAGTGGCGCGATCTTGGCTCACTGCAAGCTCCGCCTCCCGGGTTCACACCATTATCCTGCCTCAGCCTCCCAAGTAGCTGGGACTACAGGGACCCGCCACCATGCCCGGCTAATTTTTTGTATTTTTAGTACAGACGGGGTTTCACTGTGTTAGCCAGGATGGTCTTGATCTCCTGACCTCGTGATCCGCCCGCCCAGGCCTCCCAAAGTGCTGGGATTACAAGCGCCAGCCACCAGGCCCGGCCTATTCATTCTTATAAAAGTCTCCCTCCTACTCCTTGTGTCCCCATACCCCACACAAATATTCTTATGATTTAGAAGAGTGAAATGATGGTCACCAAATGTAATCAATGTTTATTTTGGAATGACAGCATAGTGGCTGTTTTAATGCACTCCATTTGTGTGTGCTTTTCTTAATTACCAATTTTTTTTTAAAAGGACTATTTCAAAAAATAAATGTATTAACATTATAAAAGAAAGGAAAAAATTAAACAAAAAGAAACCTTATTCACTGCACATAGCTTTAACTTCATTATGCATGCAAGTTATTATTTAATCTAGAAACACTATAAAATTTTATACTTACTTTCCTTTGATTATTCTGATCTTGTGTGGAATATTATTTCCACCCCCACTCTGAACTCAGTCTAGAAAAGTTCTATTCATTACTCAAAGCCCAGATTCAGTTTATTCCTCCTTCCTTTATCATCTTCCCAAACTACTATTTTCTCCCAAGTTATTAGTCATCTGTGTTATCATGGTTCTTTTGCATATCTCCTTTTTAATACTTATATCACCGTATAAATTGTTTTTTTCTTTGGGGGCTACTAGAGAATAGGGATTACTTTATTCATCATTGTATCTTTAATACTTGGACTGAGATATGGTAAATACTTGGTAAGTAACTTCTGATAAATTATAATATGAGAGAGAAACAAGTAAATCAACACATGTAATACAGCGGAGTATGTGCAATGTTGACATTACACAGAGAAGAATGGAAGAGAAATCCTAACTCCTCCTGGAAAGAAAACAGTTAGAGAAAGCTTTGGAAAAATATTGGCGTAAGTTCTGAAAGCACAGGAGTCACTAGAGTAATACACTGTAAAAAAGTGAAAATTTAGAAAAAAAAAAGTCATATAAAAAATACACATAGAAGAGAGTATGATCATCAAAATACTTGTGAAAAGTTTCTCGGTTTAGCTGATGGTTGGATCACATACGAAAAAGTGTAAAAAGAAGTTGTAGAGACAGGCAAAGCCTAGGTGGGGAAATGCCTGCTTATATCATGGAAGGTCATCATTTTTTTTCTGAAAGCAATTAAAATCTATTGAAGACTTTAATTGAAAAAGCTGTATGTTAAGATATGCTCTTCAGAAAATATTTATTAAAAACTGCAACATACTCATACACGAAATGAATATGTATATATTCAGCTCATAAATGTATTTTTTTATGTAGCTTATTAATTGATTTGTTAAATGACAACTGTGTGCTAAAGACAGAAAGTGAAAAATGATTTGAGAAATGACCATAAATGTGCTTTCTGGTTTGTAAAAGGCTTTAAAAAGAAAACTGTACTTTTGTTATCCTGATAAAAGCATTAGGACTCCATCGTATTTTTTGTGGCTTCATGAACATTTGGAATTCTAAGATAAGAAAGAGAAGATAGCTTTAGCTTGATCTGAAACATTATAGAACATTTTGTATAAGCCCTGGTGTTTGCTACTTAATGGGAACAAGGCTATGGAATCTCTCACACAGTTTAAAGAACTACTTTTTTACTAAAACACATAAAAGTCACACACACACACACACACACACACACACACACACACTCTTTTCTCCCATTTCAGCATTTTGCTGCCTTAATCCAATTTCCATTATCCTCCAAATACTATAATAAGAGACATGCTAAGTCAAGCAGAAAAAAATATTAGCAAGAGATATGGAAGAAATCAGCCTACAAATACGATATTCTCTCCTAATTAGAGGTGACTGTTCTCAAAACCCTCATCTTCTATTGTGAGTTCTTGGCATCTTATCTATTGAACATGAAAACTGAAATGTTTCCAAATAGTTCAGACCTTTACTTGACATTTTAACACCAAAAATATCTCACATGTGTTCTCCAATTTCCAAAATCAATAAGTTGAATCAATAGCAAAATAACGCTAATTTTCTGCATCATCTTGGAAAAAAGTAAAAGTGAAGCATTCTAAGCAAAAGGAGAAGACAGGCAATCGCCCTGATCAATATTAAAAAGTGGGAATAATTGAGTGTTTTAATAATCCCAAATGCTAGAAAGTGAAAAGAGAAAGGAAATACAGGTAGCTTTGGTTACACACAAAAAATGTATTTTTAGTGTATACTCCAACATCACTCCCTGTAGCTGACATTGTTGTCTTCAGTCCAGATTCCTTTCTATCTTTTTCTCTTTTTTTTTTTTTTTTTTTTTTTTTTGACTCTTACACTGTGTCCCTCTCCTTTTTGTGTGTGCCATTGCCTTTTCTGGCCCACATCATTGATTTTCTTTAGTGTATGGTACAAAGTTTGCTGGATCTGCTTATCCTTATAGTGAAAAGCAAGAAGCCTGGAAGTTTATGCTCCAGTTGACCAATGACTGCAGGATGTGAAACTTCAAAAGTCTAGTTCCATCATCTGTAGCATAATTTACCCAAAGTCATCCCCCAGGATCAGGAGGAACTACCTGAATCACACTCTGTGGAAGTTTGTCTGAATCACACTCTTGCTGGGATTATTTTTCTTCCTTATCCTGCTTTCGAAACATTCTCGCTGGTTTCTCTTGGCAACAGTTCCTTAATAGTTGTGGGGAAAGTTTGAGAATTTCAAAGACAGAACAACTGAAACCTTTACAAGAGCTTACACCATACCCAGAAATTTTAAAAGGCAATAGAAATGAAAGAAACATCAAATATCAACAGTAAAGTTTATTCTTCATCTTTGAGCTTATCAGTGTTTTAAAACACGACTAGTTAGGAAGAACACATGCAGCCAAGGTTTTGGTGGACCACCCAGGTCTACCTCAGAATCCAGGAACTCATCTCTCCAGATGCTGAGAGTTGTTTACTGATGTCTCACAGCAAAATGATTTGTTCAAGGGTAAAGCTCTCTTTAGGGGCAGCTTCTGACAATCGGTTGATTCAAGGTACAAAGACTAAAGCTTTTGCTTCATTTTGTGGTATCTCTAGACAGCCATTTAAGCCTCAGAGTTCCCTGAGAGATTAACTGAGGTTACTGTTGTAACATCATCACAGTTTAACTCTTTTCCCTGACCAATCTTGCTTTGTTCATCTTTTACAGATATTGTTTCTGAGAGTACATCCCAATAAGTGACATGCATGACAGTGCCTTTTCCAGCACAGAATAGGCCACTCAAATAATAGGTCTTGGATTCCTACTGGGACATGATATAGAAGGAGGGACATATTGTGACTATGCAGTCAGAACAATTCTTTATAATTTTGGTTTATGTCAGATACACAAAATCATAAACTTGTGCAGGCCCAACAGCAATCCATCATAAGATGGAAATGGAACATCTGGGATCTGACAAGAACAGGGTCAAGGGGCACAAGTAAGATGCACGAGCAGATGGCCCAGAGGGCACACCATTATCACTTCCGCATTTATTCTTTGGCTCCTGCTTATTGCTACATGTCAGGAAGAAGGATATCCCTTATGGCCAACTGATGTAGGATAAAAAAAGGCTGGCTTTGTTCACAGAACAGTCTGCTCAGATGCGAGTACAACAGGAAACTTCTCCAACACTACAGCCCCTGAAAGGCAGCAGTGAGTAAAATCTTCCCGAACGCTAGAGCTTTGTAAGATACATGTTGTCATTTACTTTGTGTCTAAAAATGTGGCAGGAGGCAAACATATACAGCAATTAATGGCAAGTGTCAAATGTCTTTACTGATTGGTCAGTGATGTTAAAGAAAATAAAATTAGAAAGTTTCAAACAAGGAATTCATGGGAAGAGAGATGTAAGTAGGTCCATTCAGAGACACAGTATGAAGATCTTTTTATCATATATTAACAGGTTTAAAGGGTATCCACCACTGACGATTCCTCAAATAGCCAAGTAGACGGATTAACAAGCAGTTGATACCAGCCAAACACTGTCATGACCCACCAAAATACTAATACAATAGCCAATAGCAGAAGGAATGGAACCTGTAAATAGGTTCAACAGCATAAATTCTATCTCATCAAAGCCAATTGAGTTACTGCTACTGCCAAATAACTAAAATTTTCAACAATATAGACCAACAATGGCACCATCCCTTACGAAGACCAACTAGTCATTTGGTGATGGACTGATTACACTGATCTCATCTATCCTGGGGTAAAAAGCAAATTATCTTGGTAGAAATCAACCAATATTCAGAGTACATATTCATTTATTCTTTCCACATGGCCTCAGCATCACCACGCAAAGGCTTACAGAGTGTTTGATTGAGCAACATAGATTCCTACATTATATTTCATTCAAGAGAGTGATACGATTTACAGCAAAGGAGGTTCAACAGTGGTTATATAACCGTAAAATCCATTAGCCTCTTCACATATTATGCTCAGAAGCTGCCGGTCGACAAAATGAAATAGGCTTTTGCAACCTTGGAGCTCAGACCCTGAGAGTATAGGAAGCCATCCTACAAGATACAATGTATACCTTCCTTAAACTTTCTTAAATCGATGAACATTATATGTTACTGTATTTCTAATAGGTTGAACACATGAGTTCAAGAATCACATGGTACAACAAACCCCCATGGCATGAGTCTACCTATATAACAAGGCTGCACATATACACCTGAACCTAAAATAACAGTTTAAAAAAATACATAGATACAAATTATTTCAAAAAAGAACCACAGAGTGGAAGTTGGAGTGGCCTTATTTCTTTATCATTCCTAGTGAAATTACTGGGAGAATTTGTGTTTCTCTCTCCTACAACTCTCAGTTCTTTGGTTCTATGTCTTACACTCCATAGTACGGATGCTTCTACCAATGGCCACAGCAAGAATCCTAGTAACAAAATATGATATATCCATACAATGGAATAGCAAAATGGCAAATAAAAAGCAAAAACAGAACTGACACATGATACAACATGAGTAAAACTTGAAAACATTCTGCTAAGTGAAAAAATCAATCATGAAAGATCACATATTTTATGACTTTATTTAACAATTGTGTTACACACTGGACTCTAAGTTTCTTGAGGAATGAGACTATTTGCCTTATTTACTCCTGTAATCTTTAGTTTCTTACACAGTACCTAATGCAAAGAGAATATAAAATAAGTACATGTTCAATTAAATATATATTTTAAAAGCCCCTGGAAATTGGTATTTACACCCTGCATCTAATAGAAAACTCTTCAGTCAACAAGACAAGACATTTATGTCTTTAATAAGCTACCACTTTGCTTTTTGACATAATTTTACCAACTTTCAAATTTGTATGGATATCTATGTATTGGTTATAAAGAAAATTCAAGTTATGGAACTTGTGGCTTAAAGCTATTCATTAAAGTTTAATTAAAACTGTCTTCAGGAGCCGGGTGTGGTGGCTCACACCTGTAATCCCAGCACTTTGGGAGGCATAGACAGGCAAATCACTTGAGGACAGGAGTTCAAGACAAGCCTGGCCAACATGGTGAAATCCTGTCTCTACTAAAAATACAAAAATTAACTGGGTGTTGTGGCTGGCACCTGCAATCCCAGCTACTAAGGAGGTTGAGGCAGGAGAATCACTTGAGCACAAAAGGCAGAGTTTGCAGTGACCCCAGATCTCACCACTGTACTCCAGCCTGAGCAACAAAGTGAGACTCTGTCTCAGAAAAAAAAAAAAAATCTGTCTGTCTTCAGTGATGTTAGAAGTTTTGCACAATATAGTTTTGATAGTCTTCAAATCAATGCAGTGTGTTCATCTGTTTTGTAGATTTTAAACTTAAATACTGTGTGAAATGTCTGACACGAATGTGTTGCTAGTAAAGATGAGATTAGAGTCAGGCCTTCAGGGACATAACAAACTTTGCTATTCTGCATCTGGGGAATAATATCTATTCATATGCATTCATGTAAATAAATCTGTACCTATACAAACATAAACTCTACTGCAAACATTGAAATCTAACATATTTTGTCTAAGGAAATAACTGTTTCCCAACATAGCAAATCAATAGAATCTTACAGTAAGATTATAAAAGTAAAAATGTGCAACATCTACTCTCGTGATATTATATTCATTAAGTAAAAGGAGAAAATAAAGAAATCAAATAATCTGTTTTTTAAACTTGTTGATTTCCATAAATCTCTTGAAAATTATTTTATTTACTCAGTAAAAATATCTAAGAATGAACACTAGGTGTTTATACCTCTACAAAACTTCCTATATGATCTTGAATTTCATGATGTTTTACATCTAATATCTAAGTAACTTTTTTCTTATTCTCAACAGTGTTTCTTTTAATTAATTTGTTAATCAATTATTTACCTTGTGTATGTGTCAGGAAAGTCAAGTGCAAAGTATAGTATTCTCTCTGGCTCTTTGGGATATAAAGCAGGCTGCCTCTGATAATAAAACAATAATTTTAGTGTATTTAAAGAAATAATATGTCGACCAGAAATGATTTAATTAATAATTAAAACATAAAGTATTTGTGACAGATAAAATCACAGAATTAAACTTTCTTTAGGCCATTCTAAATACTATTGAGAAAATAAAGGACTTTCGCCAGTGGTCTGGCATGTTGGAGATTCATTGTTGAGTGTCCCTGTGGTCAGATAAATGCATCAGAGTATTTTACCAGATGTCTTTAATATCCATTTATTTCATTGACCTGTTTACTGTCTGCTATGATCTGAATGTTTGTGTCTCCCCAAAATTCATGTTTTGAAACCTAATCACCAATGTGATGATATCAGAAGGTGGGGACCTTTAGGAGGTAATTAGGTTCTAAGGGTGGAGCCCTCGTGAATAGGGTTAGTTCTCTTATGATAAAAGGCTCCAGAGAGCTCCTTTGCCCCTTCCACCATGAAAGGACACAGTTAAAATTTGAAGGTGCCATCTATGAACCAGAAGGTGGGTACTCACCAGAAACTAAATCTACTAGTGCCTTGATATTGGAATTCCTCACCTCCGGAACTGCAACAAATATGTTCCTGTTACTTACAAAACTACCCAGTTCATGGTAGGTTGTTATAGCAACCCAAACGGACTAACAAACTGTCCAATCTCTAGATTCCTGATCATAATATGAATTATCATGGGAGGTCAATTAACATCAATTACTATAGAGGAAACGTGTTTCTCATGCCGACTTCAAGTTATCCACCTCATAGAGCCATTAAAGCTATCATTGTAGAATTAGAAATCAATACTAAGAGGACTTCTTTCCTCACTCAGCAATATTTTAGGAGCCTTTTACATTGTCCAAAATTATGTTAGATGATAAGAAAAAAAAAAGTAAGAAATACTGCCATCATCCCCATCCTCCTTGAGTTTACACTCTATTGAGGAACACAGACAATTAGAGAAGCACTTGCAATAAAGTGTGATGACTGTTATGCAAGAGAGCTAAGGATCTTATGGGGGAAATTATGTCAGGGACATAACATATCTATATATTTAAAATGGAAGAAGGGAGTACTTCTTCAAAGAAATTTCATTAAGCTAAAATGAAAAGATAGTTATCCAAGTGAAGGGGAAGGAGTGTGGAAAGTCACTCATCTAAGAGGGTGTAAGAACATATGCAAAGATCCTGAGTTGAGAAAGAGCACAACACATTCAATAAACTAAAAGAAAATTAATATTTCTTAAAAATTGTTGACACATAATATTTGTGCATATTTATGGTGTACATGCAGTATTTTTTTACATGCATAGGATATGCAGTGATTAAGTCAGGCTGTTTAGGATATCAATCACCTTGAGCATTTATCATTTCTATGTGTTGGGAACATTTCAAGGTCTTTCATCTAGATATTTTGAATAGACAATACATGTTGTTAGCAATGTATTTTACAAAAATAAATTTTATCAATAAAACAAAGTATAGTCACCCTACTCTGCTATTGACCATTAGAATTCCTTTCTTCTAATTGTATATTTGTATCCATTAACCAACTTCCCTTCACTCCCCTTCCCTGACCAACATCCTTCCCAGTCTCTGTTAGTTATTATTCTATTCTCCATCTCCATGAGATTAATGTTTTTAGCTCCCACGCGTGAATGAGAACTTTGGCTATTTGTCTTTTGGGGCCTGGCTTCTTTTACATCACATAATGCCTTCTAGTTCCATTTATGTTGCTGCAAACTATATAATTTTATTATTTTTGTGGCAAAATAGTATTTTATTGTGTATCTATACAACTTTTTTAAAAAAATCAATTTATCTGTTGATGCATACTTAGGTTGATTTCACATCCTGGCTATTATGAATAGTGCTGCAATAGACATGGGAGTGCAGATATTATTTTGATATACTAATTTTCTTTCCTTTAGATAAATACCCAGTAATGAGATTGCTGGATCATAGTTTGATTTTTAGTATTTCTGATAAATCTCCACACTTTTTTTTCCAAATGACTGTACAAATTTACATTCTCACCAACAATATATAAAATTTTCTTTTCTCCACACCTTCATCAGCATTCATTATATTCTGCCTTTTAGTAATAGCCATTCACACTGGAGTAAGATAATATTTCATTATGTTTTCAATTTCATTTCCCTGATTAGTGACGATGAGCATTTTGTCATATTTCTGTTGGCCATTTATGTGACTTCTTTTGAAAAATATCTGTTTATGTCCTTTGCCAACATTTTAATGGGATTATTATTATTATTTGCTGTTGAGTTGTTTGTATTTCTTGTATATTCTGGATATTAGTCTCTTATCTAATGAATAGTTTGCAAATATTTTCTCCCACTTCAACAGGTTCTCTTTTCATTCTGTTGATTGTTTCCTTTGATTAAGAAGCTCTTTAGCTTGATATAATCCCATTGGTCTATTTTTGCTTTGATTTCCTTTTCTTTGCAGGTCTTAGTCACAAAATCTTAGTCTAGTGCAATGTCCTGGAGTGTTTTCCCAATATTTTCTTCTAGTAGATATATGGTTTTGGATCTTAGATTTAAGTCTTTACTCCATTTTGAGTTGATTTTTATACATAGTAAGAGACAGGGGTATAGTTTCATGCATATCCAGTTTTCCCAGAACCATTTTTTGAAGAGGCTGTCTTTTCTCCAGTGTATCTTCTTGGCACCTTTGTAAAAAGTGAGTTCACTGTAGGTGTGTTCATTTATTTCTGGGTTCTCTATTCTATTCCATTTGTCTATACACCTCTTTTTATACTAACACCATGCTGTTTGGGTTACTATAGCCCTGTAATATATTTTAAAGTCAGATAGTGTGATGCTTCTAGCTTTGCTATATTTGCTCAGGATTGCTTTGACTGTATGGGTTTTTTTTATGGTCAATTTATGCAAAATTTAGAATTGTCTTTTATAATTTCTGTGAAAATGTTGCTGATATTTTGATAGGGATTGCATTGAATGTGTAGATTGCTTTGAGTAATATGGTCATCTTAATGATATTAATTCTTCTGATCCATGAGCATGGAATGTTTTTCCATTCTTTTGTGTCCTCTTCCATTTCTTTTATTAGTGTTTTGTAGTTTTCTTTATAGAGGTCTTTTACTCCGTGATTAAATTTATTCTGTTTTTCTTAAGCTATTGCAAATAGGATTGTCTTTCATTTATTTTTCTGCTAATTCATTATTGTAATTTAGAAATGATATTGATTTTTCTATGTTCATTTTGTATCCTGAAACTTTACTGAATTTGTTTATCAGATATTAAGAGGTTTTTGGTGAAGTCTTTAGGTTTTTCTAAATATAACATCATGTCATCTACAAAGAGAGACAATTTGACTTTCTCTTTTCCAACTGAACACTTTTAATTTCTTTCTCTTGTTTGATTACTCTGGCTTGGACTTCTAGTACTATGTTAAATAGGAGTGTTGAAATAAGTGTCCTTGTCTTTTTCCAGTTCTGAGAGAAAATGTCTTCAGCCTTTCCTCATTCAGTATGATATTAGCTGTGGGTGTGTCCTAGACTGCCTTCATTATATTGAAGTATATTTCTTGTATGCCTAGTTTGTTGAGACTTTTTATCATGAAGGAATGTTGAATTTTGTCAAATGCTTTCTGTGCCTATTGAGATGATTATATGGATTTTATTCTTTGTTCTGTTGACGTGATGCATCATATTTATTGATTTGCATGTGCTGAACCATCCTTGCATCCCTGGGATAAATATCACCTGATTATAATTTATTATGTTTTTGATATGCTATTTCATTCAGTTAGCTAGTAGTTTGTTGAGGAAATTACATCTATTTTCATCAGAGACATTGGCCTGTAGTTTTCTTTTTTTGGTTGTCTCCTTATCCGGGTTTGGTATCAGGCTAATGCTGGCCTCATAGAATGAGTTAGAAATAATTCCTTTCTCTTTATTTTTTTAATAGATTGGGGATAATTGGTATTAATTCCTCTTTATAAGTTTGGTAGAATTCTGCAGTAAAACCATCAGTGTTTTGAAGTAGAGAGCGTCAAGGTGGTAGGGACTTATGAAGAATAAGGCTAGGGAGGGAGGCAGGTAGAAATCAAATCATTCTGGTATTTTAAAAACTAAGTTAAGATATATAGACATTATTGTTATTACAGTATAAATATATTAAAGGTTTCTAATCATGAGAGTTATATGATAAAATTTCAATTTAGAAATCTGTCAAAAACAAGGACCCAAGGATGCAAATGTAAAAGTTGTACTAAGGAGCAGTGATGGTGACCTGCTAGATTACAGTGTTTACATTAGAGACAGACAAAAGTTGAAAGATATAAGGGATGTTTAGGGTCTATACTCAGTGAAAATTGACCAACTAAATGTAAGGAGTTATTTTAGTTCATTTAGTGCTGCTATAACAGAATACCAAGACTGGTTAATTTATAATGAATAAAAATTTGTCTCACAGTTCTGGAAGTTGAGAAGTCCAAGAGCATAGCATCAGCATTTGTGGTGAGAACCTTGGAGCTGTGTTATTCCATAGTGAAAGGTAAAAAGTAAAGAGAGGGCACACACACGAGACAGACAGTGAGAGAAATGACGGTGGGGGGTGAGAGAGAGAGAGAGAGAGAGGGATGAAAGGAGCCAAACTCATACTTTTTTTTGTAGGTTATATTTATATTACTTTGAGGTGGAGAAAACCATCCTCAATATGGCCCAAATGTAGAAGCAGTTTCTTTTTATTTTAATATTTTATTTTTTGCTCTTTTTTTGTTTTTGTTTAAATAGCTTTTGCAGTTTGAGTGGTTTTGGATTACATGGATGAATCATATAGTGGTGAATTCTGAGATTTTAGTGTATGCATCACCTGAGTAGTGTAAACTGTACCCAATACGTAGGTTTTTATCCCACACACCCTTCCCACTCTCCCCCTTCTGAGTTTTGAAAGCCCATTATATTACTCTATATGCCTTTGTATACTCATAGTTTAGCTCCCACTGAGAAGTGAGAACAAGCAGTACTTGGTTTTTCATTCCTAAATTACTTTACTTAGAATAATGACCTCCAGCTCCTTTGTAGTTGCTGCAAAAGACATTATTTTGTTTTGTTTTATGGTTAAGTAGTATTCTATGGTATACATATATATATCACATTTTATTTATCCATTCGTTGGTTGATGGGCACTTAGGTTGGTTCCATATCTTTGCAACTGTGAATTGTGCTGCAATAAACATACTTGTGCATGTGTCTTTTTCATATAATGACTTATTTTCCTTTGAGTAGATACCCAGTTGAATCAACTGGCAGATCTACTTTTAATTCTTTAGGAAATCTCCATACTCTTTTTCATAGTGGTTGTACTAATTTACATTCTAGCAGTGTATAAGCATTCCCCTTTCATCACATCCATTCCAACATCCACTGTGACTTTTTAACAAAAGCCATTCTTGTAGGAGTAAGGTGGTACCTCATTGTGGTTTTAGTTTTCATTTCCCTATTGATTATTGCTGTTGAGCATTTATTCATATGTTTGTTGGCCATTTGTATATCTTCTTTTGAGAAATGTCTATTAATGTCATTTGCTCACTTTTTGATAGGATTTTTTTTAAATTTTTAATTTTTTATTTTTTTGGCTGATTTGTCCGAGTTCCTTGTAGAGTCTGGATACCAGTCCTTTGTCAGATGCATACTTTGCAAATATCTTCTCCTATTCTGTGAGTTGTCTTTTTACTCTGCTGATTATTTCTTTTGCTGAGCAGAAGCCTTTTAGTTTAATCAGGTTTCATTTATTTATTCTTGTTTTAGTTGCATTTGCTTTTGGGGTTTTAGTTACAAATTCTTTGCCTAGGCCAATGTCCAGAAGAGTTTTCCAAGGTTATCTTTTAGAACTTTTACGATTTCAGGTCTTAGATTTAAGTATTTGATCCATCTTGAGTTGATTTTTATATAAGGTGAGAGACAGAGATCCAGTTTCATTATTCTACATGTGACTAGCGAGTTTTCTCAGCAAAATTTATTAAATAGGGTGTCTTTTCCCCAATTTATGTTTTTGTTTGCTTAGTCAAGGAACAGTTGGCTGTAAGTATTTGGCTTTATTTCTGGGTTCTCTGTTCTGTTCTATTGATCTACATGTTTTTTATACTGGTACCATGCTGTTTTGGTAATTACAGCCTTGTAATGTAGTTTGAAATTGGGTAATGTGATGTCACCAGGTTTGCTCTTTTTGTTTAGTCTTCCTTTGGCTATGCAGGCGTTTTTTGTTGTTGTTGTTGCATATAAATTTTAGGATTGTGTTTTCTAATTTCAGGCACCCAATTTCATAATACTTAATCCACTCCCTAATAACTTCATTAATCTATGCATGAAGGCAGAGTTTTCATGACCCAATTATCCCTTAATGATTCCATCTCTCAACACTGTTGCATTGGGGATTAAGTTTCCGACATATGAGTTTTGGGGCATACATGCAAACCATAGCAGAAGTATATACTAACTTGGACATTTCTATTGCTATGTGGTAATACATCTTATTTTAAGGAGATAAATTATTATTCCCATTTTATATTATAATCTTATGATCTTTGAAAATATGGGTATGTTCCTGGCTGAATGATAAGTTAACTATTGGTATACTGAATTAGTGAAATTTCTTAGTGTGTAAGCTGAACTCTTGGCTTGGTAAATTCACCAAGGGACAGAAGGGATTTGTTAAATCCCTTAGTAGGAGTGTGCCTACCTTGCTTCAAGCAGGTACACACACACACACACACACACACACACACACAATTATCAGAATAAAGGTCTAAACAGCTTAAGTTAAAGAAAATATACTGTGACTAAATTGGTTAAATCCAAATAAATAAAGAATATTTAATAGAAAGGATAAAGGCAAAATAACTTTCACACAGTACAGTGGCTCACACCTGTAATCCCAGCACTTTGGTAGGCCAAGGTGGGCGAATCACGAGGTCAGGAGATTGAGACCAACCTGGCTAACATGGTGAAACCCCATCTCTACTAAAAATACAAAAAATTAGCCGGGCATGGTGGCGGGTACCTGTAGTCCCAGCTACTCGGAAGGCTGAGGCAGGAGAATGGTGTGAATCTTGGAGGCGGAGGTTGCAGTGAGCCTAGATCACGCCACTGCACTCCAGCGTGGGCAACAGAGTGAGAGTTCATCTCAAAAAAAAAGAAAAATTTAGTTTTGCGTTGTCGCTTTATTTTTATATGTTTACATTTTTAACATAATATTTTAAATTAAAAATATTGTTTGAAAATTATAAACAGGTCAATATGAAATAAACAGTATCCATTCCCATTTTGTACCACCCACACAGGCCAACTTCTGACCTCCACTTACCATTCTTCAGTATAGCCATTGTTCTAGTGACATATGTACCCTTGTAGGATTCTCTTAAACATATGTAAGGAAATAGTAACATAGGTTCTTATTATATTTCCTTGTAATACAAATCCAGTAAATTATATATACTTTGAAATCTTACCATATCAAAGTGGCATCACATTATGTGACCTGGTGGCATCATATTACCTGACATCAAACTGTATTACAAGGTTATCATAACCAAAACAGCATGGTAGCAGTATAAAAAATCATACGTAGATCAGTAGAACAGAACAGAAAACCCAGAAATAAAGCCAAATACTTACAGTGAACTAATCTTTAACAAAGCAAACAAAAACATAAATTGGGGAAAAGACACCTATTTCCATTCAACTCTATAGAGTTAAATGATTGTGTTGTAATCCACGCAATCCATTCAAGCAATCTGTATTGATGAACACTTGAGGGGTTTTCAATCTTTTGCTATTACAGTGTTTTGATATATTACATATATCGTTTTTGTCAGTTCAAGTTATACATATAATAAGTTCTTGGAAATAGAAATTAGAGTAGATATTGCCAAGTATCTCTCTACAGGGCTCACAAAATTTAGAATAACAACAATAATGTTTGAGAATTTGTGTTACTACACAACCTTGCCAAAATAATTTTTAAAATGACAGTTTTTATTTGTATTTTCTTATTGTGGTATCGCCTATTTTTCTGTATGTTTAAGAGCCCCTTTTCTATGAACTATTAATATAGTTTGTCCCTTTTGGTCATTTTATTAATTTATGTTGTTGTATTATAGCGTCTGATTTATTATTTCCTATATAAATTTTAAATATTTCCCCAGATTTTTATTTTACCTTGACTTTACTTATGTTGTCTTTCTTCCTTTTTCTCTCCTTCTTTTTTGTCCTCCTCTTTCTATGCCCCTCTTCTTCCTCTTTATTTTTCTTTTCATGCTATTTCTTCTTTTTCGGAAAAACTATCAAGCATATATTTTACAGCTATAGTATTTTGAGCCAAAACTAGAAAACATATCTCATCCCCAAGTCTATAGAGAATATGTGTTCTTACAAGAATTTTTATAATTTTATTTCACATATATTATCCATATTGTATTTATGCTCATGCAAAGTGTAAGATATGGATCTAAGTTATACAAACTTTATTTTTTAATTTAAAAGTTTTGAAAATACAGTAGGGTGTATGATTTTTTAATTTTCTTTCCTTTTTAATTTTTATTTTTAGTTCTGGGGTACATGTGCAGTATGTGCAGGTTTGTTACATAGTTAAATGTGTGCCATGATGGTTTACTGCACTTATCAACCCATCAGCTAGGTATTAAGCCCAGCATGCATTAGTTATTTTTCCTACTACTCTCTCTCCCACCACTCCACCCACTGATAGTCCCCAGCATATGTTGTTCCCCTCCCTGTGTTGATGTGTTCTCATTGTTCAGGTCCTACTTATAAGCAAGAACATGCAGTGTTTGGTTTTCTGCTCCTGTGTTAGTTTGCTGAGGATAATGGCTTCCAGCTTCCTCCATGTCCCTGCAAGGGACATAATCTCATTCTTTTTTATGGCTGTGTAGTATTCCATGGGGTGTATGTACCATATTTTCTTTATTCAGTCTATCAATGATGGGCATTTAGGTTGATTCATGTCTTTGCAATTCTGAATAGTGCTGCAATAAACATACGTGTGCATGTATCTTTGTAATAGAATTATTTCTATTCCTGTAGGTATATACCCAGTAATGGGATGGCTGCATCAAATGCTGTTTCTGGTTCTAGATCTTTGACGAATTGCCACATCGTCTTCCACAATGGTTGAACTAATTTACATTCCCATTAACAGTATAAAAGCATTTCTATTTCTCTGTAACATCACCAGCATGTGTTGTTTCTTAACTTTTTAATAATGGTCATTCTAACTGGCATGCAATGGTATTTCATTGTGGTTTTGATTTGCTTTTTCCTAATGATCAGTGATGTTGAGCTTTTTTTCATATGTTTGTTGGCTCCATGAATGTCTTCTTTTAAAAAATGCCTGTTTGTATCCTTTGTCCACTTTTTAATGTTTTTTTTTCTTGTAAATTTGTGTGAGTTCCTTGTAGATTCTGGATATTAGACTTTCGTCAGATGGATAGATTGCAAAATTTTTCTCCAACTCTGTAGGTTGCCTGTTCACTCTGATGATAGTTTATTTTGCTGTGCAGAAGGTCTTTAGTTTAATTAGATTCCATTTGTCAATTTTGCCTTTTGTTGAAATTGCTTTTGGCAATTTTATCATGAAATCTTTGCCCATGCCAATGTCCTGAATGGCATTGACTAGATTTTCTTCTAGAGTTTTTATAATTTTGGATTTTACATTTAAGTCTTTAACCCATATTGACTTAATTTTTGTATAAGGTGTGAAGAAGTGGTCCAGTTTCAATTTTCTGCAAATGGAAAGCCATTTCTCGCAGCACCATTTATCAAATAGGGAATCCTTTCCCCATTGCTTGTTTTTGTCAGGTTTATAAAAGATCAGATAGTTATAAATGTGTGATACTACTTCTGAGTTCTCCATTCTGTTCCATTGGTCTACGTGTCTGTTTTTGTGCCAGTACCATGCTGTTTTAGTTACTGTAGCCTTATAGTATAGTTTGAAGTCTGGTAGTGTGATGCCTACAGCTTCGTTCTCTTTGATTAGAATTGTCTTGGCTATACTGGCTCTTTTTTGATTCTGTATGAATTTTAAATTTTTTTTTTTCTAATTCTGTGAAGAATCCCAATGGTAGTTTATGGGATTAGGATTGAATCTATAAATTACTTTGGGCAATATAGCCATTTTTATAATATTGATTCTTTCTATCTATGAATATGGAATACCTTTCCATTTTCTTTGTGTCCTCTTTGGTTTCCTTGAACAGCAGTTTGTAGTTCTCCTTGAAGAGGCCCTTCACTTGCCTTGTTAGCTCTATTCCTGGATATTTTATTCTCTATGAGCAATTTTGATGGGAGTTCATTCATGATTTGGCCTTCTGCTTGCCTGTTGTTGGTGTATAGGAATGCTTGTGACTTCTGCACATTGATTTTGTATCCTGAGACTTGGCTGAAGTTGCTTATCAGCTCAAAGAGCTTTTGGGGTGAGATGATTGGGTTTTCTAAATACACAATCATGTCATCTGCAAAGACAATTTGACTTCCTCCCTTCCTATTTGAATACTGTTTATTTCTTTCTCTTGCCAGATTGCCTTGGCCAGAACTTCCAACACTATGCTGAATAGGAATCGTGAGAGAGGGCATTCGTGTCTTGTCCCAGTTTTCAGGTGAATGCTTTAATATAATATTGGCCGTGGGTTTGTCCTGAGTGGCTCTTATTATGTTGAGTTATGTTCCTTCAATACCTAGTTTATTGAGACTTTTTAACATGAAGGATTGTTGAATTTTATCAAAGGCCTTTTTTGTGTTGTATTGAGAATTTTTGTATCAATGTTTATCAGGGATATTGGCCTGAAGTTTTTTTGTTGTTGTTGTATCTATGCCAGGTTTTGGTATCAGGATGATGCTGGCCTCATAGAATGAGTTAGGGAGGAGTCCCTCCTTTTCAGTTACTTGGAATAGTTTAAGAAGAAATGATATTAGCCTCTCTTTGTATTTTTGGTAGAATTCAGCTGTCAACCCATTTGGTCCTGAGCTTTTTTCAGTTGGTAGGCTCTTACTGTCTCAATTTTGGAACTTGTTATTGGTCTATTGAGGGATTCACTTTCTTCCTGGTTCACTCTTGAGAAGGTGTATCTATTCAGAAATCTATACATTTCTTCTAGATTTTCTAGTTTATTTGCATAGAGCCGGTGATAGTATTCTCTGATAGCTGTTTGTATTTCTGTGGGGTCAGTGGTGATATCCCCTTTGTCATTTTTTATTGTGTCTATTTGATTCTTCGCTCTTTTCATCTTTATTTGTCTGGCTAGTGGTCTATTTTATTAATTTTTTTCAAAAAACCTGTTCCTGGATTCACTGATTTTTTTTGAAAAGATTTTTGTCTCTATGTCCTTCATTTCTGCTCTAATCTTGGTTATTTCCTGTTTTCTGTTGGCTTTGGGGTTAGTTTGCTCTTGGTTCTCTTGTTCTCTTTGTTGTGATGCTAGGGTGTCGATTTGAGATCATTTTAGATTTTTGATGTGGCCATTTAGGGCTATAAATTTCCCTCTTAACATTGCTTTAGCTGTGTATTAGTTTGTATTCATACTGCTGATAAAGACAAACCCAAGACTGGGAATAAAAAGAGGTTTAATTGGACTTAATTGGACCCAGTTTCACATGCCTGGGGAGACCTCAGAATCAGGGAGGAAGTGAAAGGCATTTCTTACATTGCAGCAGCAAGAGAAAATGAGGAAGAAGCAAAAGTGGAAACCCATTATAAACTCATCAGATCTCATAAGACTTATTCACTATCATGAGAATAACACTGGGAAAGACGGGCCCCCATGATTCTATTACCTCTCCCTGGGTCCCTCCCACAACATGTGGGATTTCTGGAAGATACAATTCAAGTTGAGATTTGATGGCGACACAGCCAAACCATATCCAGCTGCATCTCAGAGATTCTGGTACATTCTCTCTTTGTTTTCACTGGTTTCAAATAACTTCTTGATTTCTGTGCTAATTTCATTATTTACCCAGGAGTCATTCAGGAGCAGGTTGTTCAATTTTCATATAGTTCTGTGGTTTTGAGTGAGTTTCTTACTCTTGAGTTCTAATTTGATTGCACTGTGGTCTGAGAGACTATTTTGATTTCAGTTATTTTGCATTTGCTGAGCAGATATTTACTTCTAATTATGTGATCAATTTTAGAGTAAGTGCTATGTGGCACCAAGAAGAATGTATATTCTGTTGTTTTGGGCTGGAAAGATCTGTAGATAAATATCAGGTTCACTTGATCCAAAGAGGAGCTTAAGTCCTGAATATCTTTGTTAATTTTCTGTCTCAATTATCTGTCTAATATTGACAGTGGTGTGTTAAGGTCTCTCACTATTATTGTGTCTCTTTGTAGGCCTCTAAGAACTTGTTTTATGAATTTGGGTGCCCCTGTATTGGGTGCATATATATTTAGGGTAGTTAACTCTTCTTGTTGAATCGATCGCTTTACCAATAGGTAATGCCCTTCTTTGCCTTTTTTTTTTAAATCTCTGTTGGTTTAAAGTCTGTTTTGTCAGAAACTGGGATTGCAACCCCGTTTTTTTTCTGTTTTCTATTTGCTTGGTAAATTTTCCTCTATCCTTTTATTTTAAGTCTACATTTGTCTTTGCATGTGAGATGGGTCTCTTGAATACAACACACCAGTGAATTTTCACTCTTTAAAAAACACAGCTTGCCAATCTGAGTTTTTTAATTGGGACATTTAGCCCATTTACATTAAAGGTTAATATTGTTACGTGTAAATTTGCTTCTGACATCGTGATGCTAGATGGTTATTTTGCAGATTTGTGTATATATTGCTTTATAGTGTCACTGGTTAGTGTATTTCAGTGTGTTTTTTGTAGTGGCTGATAATGGTTTTTCCTTTTCCTATTTAGTGCTTCTTTCAGGAGCTCTTGCAAGGCAGGCCTGGTGGTGACGAATTCTTTCAGCATTTGCTTGTCTGATAAAAATTTTATTTCTCTTTCACTTATGAAGCTTAGCTTGGCTGGATATGAAATTCTGGGTTGAAAATAATTTTCTTTAAGAATATTGAAAATTGGCCCCCAGTCTCATGTGGCTTGTAGGTTTTCTGCTGAGAGGCCTGCTGTTAGTCTGATGGGCTTCCCTTTATATGTGATCTGTCCCTTCTTTCCGGCTGCCTTTAACATTTTTTCCTTCATTTCAACCTTGGAGAATCTGATGATTGTGTGTCTTGGGCTTGATCTTTTCATGTATTTTACTGGGGTTTTCTGGATTTCCTGAATTTGAATGTTGGCCTGTCTTGCTAGGTTGGGGAAGTTCTCCTGGATGATATTCTGAAGTGTGTTTTTCAACTTGGTTCCATTCTCCTCGTCTCTTTCAGGAGCCCTGTCGGTCATAGGTTTGGTCTTTTAACATAATTCTATAGTTCTCAAAAGTTTTGTTCATTCGTTCTTATTCTTTTTTCTCTAATCTTGTCTGCCTGCCTTATTTCAGCAAGATAGACTTCAAGCTCTGATATCCTTTCTTCCACTTGTTCTATTCAGCTATTGATACTTGTGTTTGCATTATGAAGTTCTTGTGTTGTGTTTTTCAGCTCTATCAGATCATTTATGTTGCTCTTTAAACTGGTTATTTTGGTTAACAGCTCCTGTAATGTTTTATAATGATTCTCAGTTCCTTTGCAGTGAGTTAGAACATAATCCTTTAGCTTGCAAATTTCATCATAACTCATCTTCAGAAGCCTATTTATTTCTGTCAATTCACCCATTTCAGCCTCAGCCCAGTTCTATACCCTTGATAGAGACATGTTGCAATCTTTTTTTTTTTTTTTTTTTTTGAGACAGAGTCTTGCTCTGTCGCCCAGGCTGGAGTGCAGTGGCACGATCTCGGCTCACTGCAAGCTCCGCCTCCCGGCACATTCACGCCATTCTCCTGCCTCAGCCTCCTGAGTAGCTGGGACTACAGGCTCCCGCCACCACCAAGCCCAGCCAATTTTTTGTATTTTTTTAGTAGAGATAGGGTTTCACTGTGTTAGCCAGGATGGTCAAGATCTCCCGACCTCGTGATCCACCTGCCTTGGCCTTCCGAAGTGCTGGGATTACAGGCATGAGCCACCGCGCCCGGCCGACATGTTGCAATCTTTTGGAGAAAAAACACTGTGGCTTTTTGAGTTTTCAGCATTTGTGCATTGATTCTTTCTCATCTTCATGGGTGTATTTATCTTTGATCTTTGAGGCTGCTAACTTTTGGATGGGGTTTTTGTGGTGTCATTTTCATTGATGTTGTTGCATTCAGTTTGTTTTTCTTTTAGCAGTAAGGCCCCTTTTCTGTAGGGCTGCTGAGGTTTGCTTGGGGTCCACTCTAGCCCCTATTCACCTGGGTCCCTCCCATCCCTGGAGATATAACGAGGTAAGGCTGCAGACCAGCAAAGATGGCAGCCTGCTCCTTCTTCTGGGAGCTCTGTTCCAGAGGGGCACTGGCCTTATGCCAGCCGGAATGCTTCTGTATGACGTGTCTGCAGACTCTTGTTAGGAGGTCTCACTCTGTCAAGAGGAGCTGGATCAGAAATTCGCTTAAATAAGCAGTCTGTGTGCCTTTTGGCAGGGCAGTTGTGCTGCACTGGGGGGAATCCCCCTGGTCTGGGCTGCCCTGACTCTCCAGAGGCAGCAGGCAGAAAAGAGTAAGATCTCTGATTCAGGATACTGCAGCCACCCCTCCTCCTAGGGGCTCTTCTTAGGGTTATCAGTGTTCTGTCCATAAACCCTTGGCTGGGGATGCTGAGATTCCTACAAGGAGGCCCCACCCAGTGAGGAGGAGTGGATGCGGGTCTCACCCCATCTCACTGGCACCGGTGACAAGGGAAAGCAGTGGAATGTACTTACGGTGATGGTGCTGTCCCTACCCTCCAGGAACTCAGTCTTGTTAGACAGTTTATAGCCGGCTGTGCTGGCCGATGGTGATGCCAAGCCAGTGGATTTTAGCTTTTGGAGTTCCATGGGAGCATGGCTGCTCAGTTACCTGACTTCAGCCCCCTTCCCGCAAGATGGACGGATCAGATCTCCTGCCTCAAGGGAGTTGCCAGAGCTGGAGTATGCAAATACTCCTGTATCTCAGTGCCTGCTGAAAGCAGCTGCCGACCAGAGCAGCCACTGTGATTCTCCACAGCTTTGTGCTTGGGACCCAAGGCTCTGGTAGCATGGGCCCAGGAGGGGACCTCCTAACCCACAGGTTGCAAGGATCTGTGGGAAAAGCCTGGTTTTCAGTGAGGGGAAGCACAGTCCTTCACCCTCTCCCTTGGCTGTGGGAAGTAGTTCCTTTGCTGCATGCAGCTCCCTGGTGGGGGTCTTGCTCCACCCTGTTTTTGCTCACTCTCAGTGGGTCATGCCAGTCACCTAGTCAGTCCCAAGAAGAGAACTTTGGTACCTAAATTGAAGATTCAGAATTCACTCGCAGTTTTTGTCCTTCTCAGTGGGAGCCCTAGAGAGGAGCTGCCTTTATTCAGCCATCTTGGCTCCACTTCCAGGTCCATGCTTTTATAAAACTCAAACTAATGTCTGGTAAAAGACACAATCCCTTAGCTAAAACTTATCTTCTCAGGCTGGCCGCTCAGAAAAGGAGTTGGCCTATTGCAAATCCCTGTGGAAACTTGTCATAACCTTGGGCTTACTTTAATTAATCCTGATCAGTTTTCAAGACTGGACCCCAGTCTAATGATTTGACTAAAAAGATAGACTGATACATCTCCAACCATGAGAACTTTTGTTTTGAAATATGCCACTAACTTGTTATATCATACAGTTTCAAGAATAAGAGTTGACCCCAGACCTTGATCACGCCAAGGAAGAGGATATACTTTCCTACTCATGCAGTTTAAAAGCCTCACAGCCCGGTGGGAAGTGAGTGACCTTTAAGCCTGCTACTGGTTCTAACGTTGTGAGTTATTTCCAATGAATGATATCCCAACAGGTCTTATGTATGTATTCTCTAACATTTGTATGCAACTTAGAAAGTAATCTCAAATCAATTTGCTTTAGGTACATTTTCTTGATCTATTACAAATAATTAAATTATTGAAAATATAGCCAAATATCTATAGCATGAACACAATTCTTTAAAAAAAGAAATGCCAAGAATGCCAAAAATGATTTTTTTCTTTTCTTTTTTTTGAGACAGAGTCTTACTCTGTCCCCCAGGCTGGAGTGCAGTGGCGCGATCTCAGCTCACTGCCACTCCACCTCCCAGGGGCAAGCAATTCTCCTGCCTCAGCCTCCCGAGTAGCTGGGATTACAGGCACCCACCACCACATCCGGCTAATTTTTAAAATATTTTTAGTAGAAACTGGGTTTTGCCATGTTGGCCAGGTTGGTCTCGCACTCCAGGCCTCAAGTGATCCACACACCTCGGCCTCCCAAAGTGCTGGGATTACAGACGTGGGCCACCACGCCCACCCGGATTTTTATACTGATTAAAACTTGAACATATACCACTAAATCATGATAAATATGACTAACCTGGACTGTAACATCTAGTGTCTACTAAATGGATATAAATATTTAAGATGAGAACACAAATTTGTGATATCATCTACCTTATACTTAAAATGTTCAAATATGTAAAAACATTCAAAAACTATACTTTTACAAATTTTTGAAAATTAACATTTTTCCAAAAATTTGTTCCTAGCCAATTCCCTCTAGTAATCTTTCCCCATGCTTTCATATTTTCTGGTATGATATAACTCTAGTATGACCCTCAGGAGGTCTTGAGTTTGATATTTGTGCAAAGGAAAATAATTAAAGATTTTTAACTGAGTTCTATGCAAAAGAAAGCAGTTAAAGATTTTTAACTGAGAAATTGTAAGTTATTAGTGAACATAAAATTTAAAGGTTAGTCTAGCAAGCATATGCATAATGTTTAGAGCAAGAGAACAGAGATAGCTGAAAGACAGCTGAAAAATAAAGCATGTGAGACTTGAGAAGTGATAGTGGCAGTGGAAAAGAACAAGTCACAGCTAAATGTCAGAAATTACAATGATTTGATGGGACTTGGAAATAAGTGTTGAAAAAATGAGCTAAAAATTATTTTACTCTATGTTAAAGTCAAATATCCATGAAAATGAGTGTGCTTTTGTATGAATTGGGTTCATCGTATGGGGTAGAGAGGGACAATCTGTTCATTTTCATAAACCTTTTGGCTCATAGCAAAATGTTCAAAGCCCACTTGGCAGGTAGAAATATAAAGTAGAGCCAGGAGCTTAAGGCTTCTGGATAAATCATCCCTCCTTGCAGAGATTAATAAGAATTTCAGATGATGTAAAACTATGTAGAGATAGTTCTTTTTAGCAGAGTAGAACTATGGGCTATTAACATTTATTTAAAGATTATCATTAGCAAATGAATAAAAGAAATAATTTTGATAGGGAAAACTTCACCAAATAACTGAACACAAGCCCAACAGTTTTTATTTTAAAGCAGATGCTAGAATCTCATCCAATCTGGTCCTCTCTCCAGCCACATTCTCATTATTACTTTCAAGGGTGTGGCTGGACACATTGCCCTAAGCCCCTAGTATCTTATTCTGTCAACATTTTCTTTGCATAACCTTAGTCTCCTCTGATTAAGGGTAAGATTCTAAGATAATAAAAATCAAATTTTTGCAGAAGGAAGCTTCAAACTTTTTAATCCAAAAGGCAGGAAGTTTATAATATAAAATGAAGAACTTCCTCTACAAAATATAGAATGAAAGACTAGGACACACTTTGTTTCCTCTCATACATGAACCAAAAATTCTCAAGGAGAAAAGTTAAAATGTGGTTGTGATTATATTTTCGAAGGTGGGAAGCTGGCTCAGACTAAGTATGGGCAACGTAATGCTCCTCTATGAAAAGCAAATGTGCAATCTTGTCTTAATAGGGAAAACAAATTGAGACACTTAGCTGTTAACACACATAAAAGCCTCAGTTTAAGAACAACAAAAGCAAAAATTATCAAATATTCAAAAACTGAATAATTTTTCCAAGTAAATTTTGGCATACAATATATGTGCCATGTTCTTTTTTTCTATTGCTTGTAACTGTAACAGTTCGACCTTGATGTTCTTGATTAAAAACTGTAATTCCCTTTTGATGAGAATGTCTTTCTGAGATGCACCACTCTGTGAGGAGGGTAATATGTCCATTTCACAGAGAGCCAGCTCTTATTCTGTCCAGTAGAAAGACAAAACTATTTCTGTTACTGATCAAGCCTGGAGAAAACTCTCTTTCAAAGACAAAGGCAATATCAACTCAATGAAACTTGTGGCAGCCATTATGAGCTTCAAGCTGTGTCTTATATTCAGCTGCTAAATAAACACTGCACTAAAGCATTAGGAAGTTTTGTGGTTGACAGATGCCACCTCATCTATCAATCAGCCATTACAAGAATAACATTGGAGTGTCCGTTTAGTTTCCCAGATGAAGGTTTAAACCCTTTTTAGTTCTGATCTGCTTGAAAAAAGGCAAAGTTTTGGAATTGTTTTAGAACAGCGACACTGAAAAAACAATACACAATGATACAGTTCTTTCTTTTTCCTACCAAATCACACCTATATGGAGATGGGCAGTTTTAGTGTTCCAGGGTCTTTCCGTGACATTGCACATGCTTTTTGGCAATTATAGCTTTATTTGGAGAGAGAGAAATTGCAAGCTGTTAGTATTTGTTTCTGCTGTTGAGATGCATGCTAAAGAGAGAAAAAAACTCAGAGAAGTCAATATTTTTAAAGAGCAAGAAATGGGATAAAATTCAGCAAATAATTCAAGGTTGAGCTCTATCACAGTTTAGATTATAAATGCCAACTTCTCAGTCATTAAGTATATATGTTAATATTGTGTTTCTGTGTAATTTTTGGAGGATTAAATATTTAATATGTTTTATTTCATTTTGATTTGCTGTTTGTTGTAGGATTACTTTCATCATTTAAATGCTTAATTGCAGATAATACTAGAAGTATATGGAGGTATTTTACTTGTAAATAGGAAAATTTGTACCATAAGTTGTTGGGAAGTTTAAACTCTTCTGTCACCCACCTATACCAGTAAAGCTCCAGTAGCAGCAAATGCTTTTTAAAATGTCTCTTGAGAAGTGAGGAATAAACAGCTTTCCAACAGAGAACAGGTTTTCTCTGCACAAAGGGTAAATAGGAGAATTTACTTTTGTAAATAAAATATAAATAAAAACAGTTGTACCTAGAAGAGGATTTTGGACCCAAGCTTAGTTTCCACAACCATACATATATATGTTTTATATATATATGTTATATATATTATATATGTTATATATATTATATATGTATATGTATTATATGTGTTATATATATGTGTGTTATATATGTTATATATATATAACACATACATATTTGTATATATATGTCTCAAAAAATGTATATATATATATTATCCATATATATAATGTTTATATATATTTGTTTTTGTTTTTGTTTTTTTAAGGCAGAGTCTCTCTGTCGCCCAGGCTGAAGTGCAGTAGCGTGATCTCAGCTCACTTCAACATCCACCTCCCAGGTTCAAGTGATTCTCCTCCCTCAGTCTCCCCAGTAGCTGGTATTACAGGCACCTGCCACTACGCCCTGCTAATTTTTGTATTTTTTAGTAGAGATGGGGTTTCACCATGTTAGCCAGGCTGGTCTCAAAATCCTGACCTCAAGTGATCCACCCGCCTCAGCTTCCCAAAGTGCTGAGATTACAGGCATGAGCCACCATGCCCAGCCCACAGCTATATTTTTACATGAACCCCAAAGTAATCTTGGGCAGTAAATTATTCAACAAACTTTCATTTATTCATTTGGTCACTCTTAAAATTAATCCAAATCCAGTTTGTGTCTTGTACATATTTTCTACATGCACAATCATGTCATCTGCAAACAAGGACAGTTTCAATTTTTTCATTTCAATCTGAGTAGCTTTTCTTTTCTTGTTTTACTGCATTAACTAAGACTTTCAGTATGATGTTGAGAAGAAATGATGAGTCATCCTTGCCTTGTTCTTGACTTTAGTAGAAATTCCTTCATATTTTTAATTTATTCTCTAACAATCATTCCTGCTCTGTAGTATTTATTAGAGAAATGTGAGAACAACTAATTATTTGACAGTGAAAAACTGGCTGTAAATTATGGTAGGCTATACAGTAGTTACTGCAATATGAAAACTGTTTAAAAAATAACAAATTGGACATTTACATTTTGAATATTTTTAAAACTGCAAAAATATTGCCAGTAGGATCAGAAATAAGTGCCTAAAAATGATGTTGAAAACCCTCAAAAAATTCAAATTCCTTTTTTTACATTATTCTTAATTATTTGTATTAAAAGCAAAATTTTAATTTATCTTAGAAAATATAAATAAATCAGAAAAGCTAGCAAAAATAGCAAAGAATCACCTATCAACGCAAAGACAATTTCTTTTTTAGTATCCTATTTCATTTTAATTTAGAATTTACTAAGAGAAAAATTTTCTTTTTGCATCAAAAAAATTTGATGCAAATTTTTTTTAAAAGTATAATATGCATATTATTTTGTAACCAAAAGTTGTATTCAACCAATCCCCTATTATTAACCACTGAAGTTCTCTACAGTTTTTAACATTTTATAATATTTATATTGTTTTCAAATTTTCAATTATGTACAGAGGCAAACGAAACTAATTGACTTGGAGAACAATTTCAGAAAGACAAAAACACTTAGGTCACATAAAAACGTAAAAACTGTCTCATAGAACCAATGGGTATGATATTTATGTATAACACTTGAAAAAAGAAAGGTCTAAAAAACTTTAACTGAATTTTAGTTTCAATAAAATATGTAATCAATTAACTTGTTTTTACCAGTGATTGACCAAGTTCTTTGTGTCAAATTATCTGAGCTAAGGCATTGAGTGTGATCACAGTAAAGCCATATTTACATTTTTTTTAAAGCTTACTCCATCAATCATTTGGAAAATTGATTACAGGGAAATAAAATTACTGGGTCTGGAATACAAATCTGGAGGCTATTGTTCTTATCAAAGTACAAATGAAGACATGAATTCAAAGTTTGAGAAGAGACATGAAAGAAAGGTAAAAATTTGTAACACAATGAAACTATTAGATTTTTAGGGCAAAAAAGAGGGAGTTAAAGGACAATGCTTGTGTGTCTAAGGTAAGAAATAATGCAAATTTTATGGAGATAATTTGAGAGGAAAGATTATGAGTTCAAGTATGGATACTGAATTTGAATTGCTTATCAGACATCCTGCGAAAACTCTAATAGATGGTTTAATATATGGGTTTTAGACCCTGAAAAGAGATCTGAACTAGAGGTATCTATTCTAAATCAACATTACAAAAGTGGAAAATAAATTGACAGATATATAGCAAATGACCCAAGGTCAGCCTATAGTATGTTTTACTCCATATGTGTTACTATACAGGAATACCTAAGATTGGGTAATTTATAAAGAGAAGAAATTTATTTGGCTCATGGTTCCACAGATTGTATGAGAAACATGGAATCAGCATCTGCTTCTGGTGAGGGCTTCAGGAAGACTCCAGTCATGGCAGGAGTGAAGGAGCCAACATGTGCAGAGATTACCTAACAGGAGAGGAAGCAAGAAAGGCAGAGTGGAGGTGCCTTCTTTTTTTCAACAACCAGCTTTCATGGAAAATAATAGGGCAAGAAATTATTCATTACCAGGAGGATGGCAACAAAGCATTTATGAGAGATCTGCTATGAACAAACACCTCCCATTAAGCCCCATCTTCAACACCGGGGATCAAATATCAACATAGGTTTGGAGGGGCAAGTATTCAAATTATAGCAGCATATAAAGAGAAAATGAAGAATAGAATCTTAAAGAAAAACTCATTTTAAAAGTTAAATTTAAAAAAAAAAACATGAAGGAGTTTGAAAAGAAACAATAAAAGATGTACGCTAGCAATTAGAATTAAATGGCCATCACCAAGGCTAAGGAAGAAGTTCAATGGTAAGCATATAATAACTGTGTCAAATATAAAAAGAGACCAAGTAGGAAAAGTGCAACAGAGGAATCACTTTTATTTCTGGGCTCATAATCCATGTAAATAAATTGTTCTTAAAGTAACTTTTCTGGCTGCCCTTTACCCACAGAGTGACAAATCAGAAGCGTGAGTTGGAAGAAGGAGCCTGAAGATACGATGCCTTCCCATCTATCCCCTGCTATGGCAAAGGGTCTTGCCTATTGCTTGGCTGGTACATTTCATTCATGGGAGGGTAAGAAAGCCTATTTAGCCACACAGAGAATCCATGTCCTTTGACTTATGTATTATAAGTGATATGCTGACATTTTAATCTCTATTTCCACTGACCTATGTCCTATTTCTCAACTGTTTCAGAACTCAGTCATGAAGGAGAGAATTGTTACGTATTGAGTAGTTTAAGCATCAGTAATAAGAACTGAATAATATTCCTTCATCTAATGTAGTGAGAACATTGCTAAATAACCATGTAACCATAGTTAGAGCAGTTTTATTGGACTTATAGTAAATGAAGTCAGACCAGAATGTGTTAGACAATACATGTATTCAAATTAGAGATTAAAAGAACAGATTATTTTTATAAAATTTTGGCTTTGAAATGAAATAAATCTTGTGTTTATTAATGAGGACTTAGGGCTAGGGGAGTTCTGAGGCTTGGCTGTAGTTGCTTTTAAATATGAACAGAGCACAGTGTGTTTAAAGCTTTAAGGTAGAACCAGCTGAGAAATGCATGAGACAGGGCATACTTAATGGAGGGTGGTCCTTGAAGTAGTGTGAAAGCATACATTTCAGAACACAGGTGGGCAGGATTAAGCTTATGACTAAAATGAGAGCGAGGCAGGTAAGGACAGGTTTATAAGTGCTAAGCACTAGAAATGCAAATAAATAAATAAGATATGATCATTCCTTTCAAGGAGCTCCTTCTGGTCATTGAGGGGAAGATAAAAATTAATCAAGCTACCACAATACAAGTTATAGGTTACTAAGATTTAAAAATTCAACTGCTCCCCAGTAAAGTGATTCTTCTCTAATCTCAGAGTGCTCATTTATTTCTTGTGGGAAATAAATAAAACTGGAGAATAGGTTTCTAATTCAGTCTCTATATGACGGTACTTTAATACTTAAGACAAGTGCTATTATCCAAACCATTGTTTTGTAAATGTATGTTGGTCTTTTAAGGCTTCTCCAATATCTTGCATGGGTACTTGAAAAGTAGTCTATTACTGTTAAATGCTGTGTTCATTTAGCCTTGAGAATTTCTGGGATGGGAGGATTTAATATGTTTGGAAAACTTCTTCCCAATGCATATAAGATATGAAAAGAAATTTGTTTTTGAAATGGTCTGATTTTAAAGCATCCTCACGAAAACTACAATGTATATAATCAAGAAATTTGACTGCCAAAGCAGGAGTGTTAATTTCAGCTAGCACAGAAGTGTGCATAAGACAGCTGTGATGTAGAGAAGGAAATAAATAAATGAATAGAACTTAGCACTAAACTGAAATGTAAGACTGGTTTGAGTTCAGCTTCACTTCTTAATGTGGTTGCTTTCTTTTTTCTTTTAGTTCCTTTACTTGTACACTGGGCAGGAAAGGAAGAGAGAAGAGCAGCTTTCATTGACCACCAACTTTTTTTACTGTGTTCTGCTGAAATGTTTATTTACTAGAAAGCAGTAAACATAATGGTGAAGAATATGGAGTCAGGCTTCCTAAATTTGAAATTTGGTTCTCCCACTGAATAGCCATGTGACCTTGGGTTAGTTTCTTACCTTCTTCATGCCACTGTTGACATCATAACATTTCAATAATAATGAAAGTATATGATTCATTTTCAATATCTTGTGATTATTAAGTGATTGAACATATGGAAGCACTTAGGACTGCACCCAGACAATGGTAAGCAGAACATAAATATGAGCTATTATCATAATTTGCCTCATAGGGTGTTGCGACAATCTAATGAAGTAATAGACATTGTGAAAGGAAAATGTCTTGGGTCCCTTCAAGCTGGGAACTGCTTGGGGCAAATTTGCCTCCCATTCTATTCAAAGTCATCCCTCTGCTCACTGAGATAGATGCATATTCTGACTGCCTCCTTTGGAAAGGCTTATCGGAAACTCAAAAGAATGCAACCGTTTGTCTCTCACCTACCTGGGACCTGGAAGCCCCCTACCTGCTTGGGGTTGTTGCCACCTTTCCTGGACAGAACCAATGCACTTCTTACATACATTGATCGATGTCTCATGTCTCTCTAAGATGTATAAAACCAAGCTGTGCCCCGACCACCTTGAGCACGTGTCATCAGGACTTCTTGAGGTTATGTCATGGCGTGCATCCTCAACCTTGGCAAAATGAACATTCTAAATTAACTGAGACCTTTCTCAAATTTGGGGGGTTCACAACATAAAACACTTCTTAGCACAGTGACTCACATCTAAAATGTTCATGATAAATGGCAAGCATTATTATATTTTCTAATAAAATTAGGTTAATAGTCTTATAATTTATTGATGCTTATTCCCCTTTTCAAAAAAGTGAAACAATAAAATTTCAAGAAACGTTGAAAGTTTGAGGTAAAATCTGAACTTCTATTTAAAATAAATTTTAATTTATAATTTTTTATTAGTTTCTGTATAAATAATGATTATTAAAATTTAATACTGTCTTATTTCACATTGTTATTATAAGGATTAAATAAGTGAATATTTATGGAATGCCTTGTGAACTTTAGGAGCTGAATTAATCTAAGGTGTTATTACATCCTGTGAGGAAGTTATACATTCTCAAGTCCTACCTACAATCTCATTCCAAGAGAAAAGGTAGTTGATAGGGAGAAAAACCTTTTCTCTACCCTCTTAGGTTAAGTCCTGGAGGCCTGCAAATTAAACTGACAACAGATTAACAGAAGACAAAAAAAATGTATTTCTATGCATACAGGTGTTTACAAAAGAAGTAGCTTAATAAATGGTTAAAGTTACAGGCTTATATACTAACTTAGTAGGGAAAAGGGAGTGGGACTCTTTGGGAAGGACAGGGAAGTTTATAGAAGAACAAATAGGAGATAAGAAAGTTTGTGATATTGCTTGTTCATTCAGGTGCAAGTAGTTTTTCTGTCTTCTTCATGGCCATAAAACTCCCCAAGAGAAGGGATTTATAATAGGCTTATTCCTGGTCTCCTTCCTGGTAGTAAAAGCTGCTCTAAAAAAAGGAATTTATGGCAGCCTCATTTCTCAGAAGTTTCTGCTTTTAGTCAGATAAGGGAAGCTATGAGAAGGCTTCTATCTGCATCTGTTGAATCCCAAAAATCTTCAGCATAAAGTAATCTTCATATCAACTCTGGGGTTAAAGTGGGGGTTCCTACATAGTTAAGGTGTTGACCACAATTTATGGTGTCACAGTTGTGAATGTCTCAAAGACTCTCCTAATTTGGAGTGGAGTTGATGGGAACAATCAAATTAGGTGGCTCACTTGGATTTACTTCATGAACAGTAAAAGCCTCAGAGGCACCAGAATTGACATAACACAATACCATGGCTTCTATGCAAGGCAGACAGATAATTTTTCCCCAAAAATAAAACAGGTTTATTTCTTTAAATGAATTACAATGTATTAATGTGTGTGGAAAAAAACAGAAGCTAAAAGAGATTTATACCAAGATGTAAAAACTATCTGAAAAATCAACAGTGATCCTGTTGGGAAAATTGACACTAAAATCTGGAGTAATACAAAAGGATCACATTGAGTTAAAGAATATATTCCTACATCAATTGACACTTAGACCAGGTGCAGTGGCTCATGCCTGTAATCCCAGTGCTTTGGGAGGCCAAGACGGGAGGGTCACTTGAGGCCAGGAGTTTGAGACAAGCTAGGCAACATAATGAGACCCTGTCACTGCCAAAAAAATAATAATAATAAAAAACTCATCTAATTGTGAATGTGCCTAATTTATTAACAAGTTAAAAGGAATTCATTTTAGCTAGCTTATAATACAAGCTTGAAAAGACATGGGTTCTTAATTTTAATGGATATTTATTTTATTTTCCATAGATATTATGATGAATGTTTCTGTAATATTAACAATAGCCAAAAAATAATATCTAGTTATACTAGTAAATAAAAAATTGTTAAGAACAAATTAACTACTTAGGACTTTTAATTGATGTAATTAGTTTTTAATTAACAATCCACTTGGCCTTTTATAAAGTAGATGATGCTTTCTCATTGCTGAATGACACTAGAGAGAAGTAAGAGCTATTCTTCAATATTTGTACCAGGTGGCAAATAGCCTGAGTGATTAGTTGCCACATTTAGTTTGCTTATGAAGTGAACATTTTCCTCAACCAGTATTATTATAAGAACCTGAAATGTATTTATGAAAACAAGTAGATAATGTTCTTTTTAAACAATGCTAAACCATTTTAAAAATTATAAAATCATGACATTTAAATGACTAAAATAATTGTTGTAAAAAATTAAGAACATCTCAATGACTAATAAATTCAGAGTTTATCAATATTTAAGAAATAAACCATATGTATTTTGTGGCCTCCAAATAATTAGATGTTCAGCATTCAAATGGAGTTTGCTATAGTTGTGGATTCCCCCTAAAATACAGTATGAAACTTGCTAAGACTCTATCTTATTATTTTAAGTAATTTTGTTTACTATCTGTCTTAGAACTCATAAGCATTTATAATAGTCCATTCTCTAGGAAACCGTGTGGAAGACGTAAGTAGTTACAAATAATGTCATCCCAGAAGCATACAAACTCAGGCTTAAAGATAACATGAGTTCCTTGATCAAATCTTACTTTCTGTCTTCTCCGATCCAATATTTTAATCGTAATTTTCTAGCATACATTACTTTAAAACGATATATAGAAAACTTTTACAGTTGTTTCTATTTGTCTACCTATCTAAACGCAATTATAGAATAAATTTCATTATTTCTTTCTTCCAATTTAAATGTCTTAATGTCTCAGCAAGATCTACTCCCAAATTATTCAATCGGGTGCTTAACTCTCCTTTCTAATAATAAATGTCAGTATGAACCAAACATATTTTCTGTGGCTCACGACAACAAGATTACTACCATGTAACATTACACTACATATTTGAATTTAATGATACAGCACTAACTTTCTAACATTGTGTTATGTGAAAAACATTGCGCTGCTCAGGAAAAACAAATATTTTAGTTCAAAGTATGTAATATAAAAAACCTGATTAATCTTTTGGGACCTTTATTACCCAGAGAAACAGTTGTTTTCAGTTTGGCCTCTGCCAAATTTATTTTTCATGCCCCTCAAAAGTCTTTCTTGTCTTACTTTGGATATTTTGTGAAATATTATGCAAACTGTGGCATGAGCTAAAATAGCTAGGCTATTTATGTATTCTGGAGGTTGAAGTTTTTCAATTACTTTTTCTGAAAAAATAATTTATATAATTATATATTATACAGCATGTTATATATTTATATATAATATATTAGCATTATATGGTATGTAATTATATACTATAAAGTGTTATCTATACTTTATATTATTAAAAATATAGCTTCTTATATTAAAATGGCCAATTCGAGTTATTAGGAGATGTCTCTCTATTCTGTTAAATCCACACAGAAAAATAAACTGCAAAGTATAAAAACAAAAATATTCTGAGTTGGCCTTCCCAATTTCTATCCAGGCCTTCACAGTGGGAAAAAATGAACTCCTGAAAAAGTGATGAAAACAGAATCTTTTAGTTTAGTAGTTGGTATAGGGATTCATATTAGAAAGGGAACTATATTCATTTGGGAAAATACTTTGACCAACTTCTCAGTGGAAAAATTTAAATCCAAGAAGGGCAAGGGCCTTACAAAGGCTTTAGGCCAACTTGCGCTGTTTAAGACAGAGAAAATGTCTCTATTGTTATAAAGAGAGAGGAGCGAAATGAAAGATCATAGCAGTAAGAAAGAAAAATAAATTGAGATGATTCTGGACACAAAAAAGAATAAGTGCCGTATATAAATAAAGTGCAAGGTCAAAAACTCAACAATGAAAAAAGAACAGGAAGCAGAGACTCAAAATAAGTCTGTACACAAGTGTTGAAAGCAGCATTGTTCACAATAGCCAACAGGTGAAAGCAACCCAAATGTCCATTAACGGATGAATGGATAAACAGATATATATATTATATATACATATGTGTGTGTGTATGTGTGTGTGTGCGCGTGTGTGTGTATGTATGTACACAAAGGACTATTATTCATCCTTAAAAAGAAATGGCAGCCAGACGTGATGGCTCATGCCTGTAATCCCAGCACTTTGGGAGGCCGAGGCGGGTAAATCACCTGAGGTCAGGAGTTCAAGACCAGCCTGGTCAACATGGCGAAACCCCATCTATACTAAAAATACAAAAATTAGCCGGGTGTGCTGGCAGGCACCTGTAATCCCAGCTACTTGTGAGGCTGAGGTAGGAGAATCGCTTGAACCTGGGAGGCAGAGGTTGCAGTGAGCTGAGATCGTGCCAAAAAACTCCAACCTGGGGAACAGAGTGAGATTCTGTCTCTAAGAAAAAAAAATAAAAAAAAAGAAGAAAAGGCATTCTGACACATGCTAAAACATGGATGAACTGGATAAACTTTGAAGAAATGAAATGAAATAAGCTGGACAAAAATGTATCATTCCACTTATATGAAATAGCTAAAATAGTCAAATACATAGAGAGAGAAAGTAGAATGGTGATTGCCAGAGCTGAGGTAGGAAAGAGTGGGAGTTATTGTTTAACAGGTACAGAATCAGTTTGGGAAAATGGAAAATTCTGGAAATGAATAGTGGTGATATTTACATAGCATTGTTAATGTACTTCATGATACCAATACTGGAATGTATATTTTACTACAATACTATGCAAAATGATAATTTTTCAAAGAAGTCATAGTACAGAGGATGTGAAAATGTTTTTTTAAGAAAAAGGAGGCTTATGTTTCCATTTAAAATTGTTTGTGATACAAAACCCATTGTTCTCCATCATTGATATCTTCAGGAAAATCTATTCTTTTGATGTTGTGGAGTCTCTCAAGGTTAATATTGGTAGCAGAACAGCACATGTGGACTCGGAAACCCCAGAGGTAAAGAAGGCTATGAATACATAAGACCCCTAGGAACTTGCATCAATCCTAGACAGATTATTGGGCTTTCTCATAAATTATATTAAGAGGCTCAAGGTAATTTTCGTCTCCAAGGAGCAGAGGAGGGTCTCCAATTGATATGTGCGTTACACTCCCAAAGAAAGTTAAAAGAGAATATTGAGGCTACACTTAAACTTTATCAAGAAATAATAGATTCCTAAGAAAGCTTCCTGCCTAATGAGGAGGTATTTCAGAGACCACTTCTTTCTCTATTCAAGTGGGAACATAAAACTAAAAAAATAGTAAACACAAAGTATATGCTTAAAAACTACCTCTCATGCTGCACCCCCACAATATCATAGCTACTCCAAAGATAGATATTGTATATTCTGAGTTTTATTTCTCATCTTAATTAAAATAATAGTAGAGAATGTTATTCATATATAATTAAAATAATACATGAAGTATTTATTTTTGAGACTTCTAAGTTTTCTTTGAAATGTCACTTTTATTAAAAATAAATATGTGGCCCACAAGTTAATATTCTACGTAGGAAGTTAACTGTTCAGTAGCAGGAATCCTGAGAAAAAGTAGAGTGAATGAGTTCAGAAAATTCAGCTATGAATTCAGACAAAACTAGACAAATACTAATTGTGTGGTTTTGGGCAAATTGTTTAAATTATTTTTTGCTTATAATATGGCTATGGATATCAAAGTTGTTTAAAAATACTGAGTCTCACTTCTAACATTTTACATATTAGTCTCATATCTTCTTATGTTTCACAACAAACTGTTGTATTATTGTTCATACTCTGATACACGTATTTTTAAAGCACCATGCACAATTAGACGATCAATACATACTTGTTGATAATTTATTGATTGTATTATTTTTTATTGCTGCTGTAGTAAGTTAGCACAAATTTAGTAGCTTAAACCAAAACAAATTTCCTGTCTTATAGTTTGGTATGTTAGAAGTCCAACCCAAGTGGGTCTCATTGGATAAAAATTATGTTGCTGGCAAAGCAATATTTTTTTCTGGAGGCTTCAGGAAATCGTCCATTTCTTTACTTCTCCAGCTTCTAGAAGCTTCCTAATTTCCCTGGCTCATGGCCACCACCTCCATCTTCAAAGTCAGCAACCAGCAATGTGGCATCTCTCTGAGCCTTCTTTCTCAGTCACATCTTCTTCTGACTCTGAACTCATCCAGGAAAGGGCCATCAATTTTAAGAACCCATGTGATTAAATTGAACCCACTTGAATAATTTAGGATAATCTTCTCTTCACAAGGGCCATACCCTTCATCACCTCTGCAGAGTATTTCTGCCATGTTAGGTAACATATTCACAGGTTCTGTGGGTTCGGGCATGGACACATTTAGGGGACCATTATTCTGCCCTCTACATTGGTGTTAAAGAAATAAAAGCTGAGATGATTTTAAACTGTATATTTTCTTTCCGCAAAGTTCCCAAAACATTTCATGATAGTTTTAAATCACTATTCTGTATATTGATCATGTCTTATGTGGTTTACCTATTTTAGAGAGTATGGTGAAACATAATCACCTGGCTAGCTAGAAAATCCTTTATTTTAGGTGTCTTTAATATGGCTTAATCAGAAAAGCACTGAAATTAGCCAGTTTCCTGCTGGGCATAATTCTGGGTGACTCTCAATGTATTTCAGACTGATTATACTATCTATAACATGTACTTCTTCATCTGTTGCTTTTATCCATAAGCCTCAATAACCTTTTCAAACACCAAAGAAGTGTCAGTATCCGTAGCCTCCAAAATGCTAATATCATCATGCCCAATCTTCATGTGAAAAACATTTGATCCTCCCAAACAAGCGAAGTATGGTTTCAGCCCAAAAAGAGTGTATCCCTAGAAACTGAAGAGAAGTAATTTAATTCAGAACAACATAGGACTAAGTATCTTAGTGTATTAATTTCTAGAGCTGCTGTAACAATACATCACAAACTGGGTGACTTAGAACACTAAAAATGCACAGTCTCGCAGTTCTGGAAGTCTGAGAGCAAGTTGTCAGCAGGATTGGTTCCTGTGACAGGGTATATGTTCTGTGTGTTCCTCCTAGATTCCTAGCTTCTGGTGGTTTCCTTAGCAACCTTTGGTGTAGAAATCACCATCTCAATCTCTGTCTTCATCTTCACATGGCATTATTCTTCTATATGTGACTGTCTCCAAATTTCCCCTTTTTGTAGGGACACTAGTTATCTTAGAGTCCATCTTAATAATTTTAATTTTATTACCTCTGTAAATCCCGTTTCTAAATCAAATTACATTCAAAGGTATTGGAGGTTAGAATATCAACATGTGAATGTTGGGGGGACACATTCAACCCATAGCACTTGATATTATATCTTGGGTTTCATATATCTTCAGATGCCTCCTGGCATCTTTACTTTGCCTGGCACAATGTCTGAGCTATAGCAATAAAACTTACTTGTGTAAGTTGAAATCCTCATATTGCAAAATGGGTAAGAAAAAGACAACTTAGCAAAAATGATATTATAAAGCTACAATTCTTCAGGCCCAGAGTTCTGTTTTGTAAATGGTATTAGTAGTCAATTGCTTAAAAATTGGAAAATTCCTGTTAAGAATTCTGCTGTAGGTCACTTCTCTTGTTTCACTTAGAACTGGTGAAAAGCTATTGCTGCCTGCCCAGTGCAGTGAAAACAAGATCTAAATACGCAGTTCGAAGTGCAGCTTAATTCATGACAGCAGTCAGCACCAACTAAATCATATTTTTCATGTCACAAACAATAAAGCACAAATCAAATAGCAGTGAAACTAAGAAGTACTAATTTTTCAGTTATGGACAACAAAACTTCTTATCACTTTCCTGCCAAAGTTGGAGAACAAAGCAGATACTCAAAGAACTTAGACTATATCTATCCTGAAATGATAAGAATGGCTTTGGGTCAGATCCTTATTAACACAAGTCTTTTTTCTCTGTTAAGGAGCAGTTCAAAATCCTAGTCACCTGTCAGCTACTATACAAACCTCAAAATGATCTAAGGGCTTTTCATTTTAATTCATTATTGAATTATCCAATTATTTAGGTATTACTGAGAATTTACCACACACCAGGCATTCTGCGAAGTTCCATAAGCCATCTAATGATAAAGCATAATACATATTGGCAAAAAGCATAATATGTATTGGCAAAAAGTTCAGTCTTTTTAATTATTCTATATTAAATTACTTCTTTCCAGCTTCTAGGACTAGAGTCCTACCAACAGACCAGAAGTTATTTTTTTGCACTTAATAATTTTTTAGCATATTTCTTACATTCTAAAATTTAATTCTTTGGGTAATTATTCAAAAACATTTCTTTTTTGTTTATTACTTACATCTTAGTTTTTAAATTGAGTCTTATTATATATGCGGATTTAAATACTAAAATATTTATAGTCAGAATATATTCTATAGAACATGGTTTTTAAAGTACAGTTAATAGACTCCTATGTCAACATTAGTATATTTATTGAGCTAATATTTTCCAAATTACCGATGTACGACAAAAATTCTTGCGTAGGTAAAAGTTCATCCGTAATGCCATAAATACCAATAAATTTCAATGTAACAGTATAAGTTTATTGTTATGGTTTCTTTTTCTATTTGTTTTAGATAAAATCTTGCACTCTGTTGCCCAGGCTGGAGTGCAGTGGTATCATCACAGCTCCCTACAGCCTCCAACTCCTGGGCTCAAGGGGTCCTCCTGCCTTGGAGTAGCTGGGAGGATAGGCATCCACCAACATGCCTGGTTGATAACTTTCAAATTAAACATTGCAAGTTTTGTTTGTAAAACTACCACTTGTCAAGTTTTTGTGTAGTATTAAAATCCACACTAACTGAAAAAGTTTTAAAAATACTCCTTTTTGTATCTGTGCCAGGCCAGATATTCTTCATATACTTCCACCAGAACAACACGTTGCAACAGATAGAATGTGAAAAGGACACGAAACCTCTGTCTTCTATTCATTCAAATATAAAAGAGATTTGCAAAAAATGCAAAACAATATTTGTGTACTTGAAAATGATAGTTTGTTATAATAATTGTTATTTATGTTCCCATACAATAGGTTTATTGTCATTTATTTTAAATAAATAAATATAAGCAACATCTTCCATTTTTAATTTTCAATAAAACAAATATTGGTACATATAACCCATATAAAACAAAAACTCCTTGGGGCCCACGATGATCATAATGGAGTTCTGAGACTAAAAAGTTTAGGAACCACTGCATGAATAAACGTTCATCAGCACAAAGCAGTCAACAATGGCAGTAAAGATGCAAACATCCCCTGCTTGGGATCCTCCGAGCCCTGCCCAGAGGGGAGACGTTCTTTTCAGTGCAATGGAAATAGCTTGTGAGTGTTGCAGCTTCCAGCATTACATATTAGAGCCTTATATACTTCATTTCTGTTTCCTTCTGCACCAAGCAAATTTCTGATAATATGATTTTCTAGCTTGGCTTGCAGAAAATAATTTTATGGTTGTTCTGAGGATTTTATTTATTTAGAAATTATATTTCTCATTATAAATGAATACACTGGGATTCTGATTGTAACCAGTGTAGCCATTTCAACCACTCATGATGTGACTTTGATCACTTCTGCACAAACACTAGGTTCTTCAATCCTTTCCCATCAGTGGAACATGGTCAGGGCCATTCAAGTTTACTTAAACAGATTTTCCTAATTTCACACAATAGTATTATTCTTATGTGATGGTCAGTCAGGTGCATGCACAAGAGGAGACGGAGGAGAAATTCAGGAGAAAATAAAAACAAGGTTTATTATACTTACAGATTTTAAAGACAGGAGGCAAGCCCTACCACACAGGTCCACATGAAAAGACAGCAGGATGGTTAAGAAGGAGACAGGAGTAAGGGGAAGGTTTAGGTCACTGTCTTTATTGGGGTTTCCAAGGGAAAGTCAAGACAGCGCAGGATGAACCAGTTTAGAATTGACTAGTTTGAATAATTTCAGTGAGTTTTGAGCTATGGGAGTGGTTCCCAGTTGCCTAGAACCTGGTCCTGGAATGGTTGAGGCTGAGAAATACTGTCTCGTGCGGTGCATGGGCTGGTAGAGAAAGTGTGGTTCTGGGTTGGTTAGTTTGCAAACCAAAGGCATGCTCTAGGCTGGGCTAAGATGCCCAAACATCATAATATACAGAAAACTGAAAAATATTAAAATATACATTGTATTAGCCCTGCCTGTCCCAAAAAAGAATTAAGTTCCTTTGCAAATCTGTCTTCTCCACTTCAAGACTGAATTACAAGGGGTCTCAGAAAAAGGCAGCTATCGTACAAGACCAGGAGCTTGTTACACTCATGCCCCAGAAAAACGAGAGCTCTTACCTTTAAAAAAAAAAAAAACAATTTCAAGGGAAATTTGTATCTCTAACTGTAAATAATATAAATTGAATTCTTTATTTGTGAGGGGAAAGAATTAACTACTGTCTTGCCAGTTATCCTATATGTGTTTTTACTCTTTTTATGCATATTTTAATTATTTAACTGGATTTGACCAAATTCAGATATGCTTACTCACAAACGAGAAGGAACAAGAATTTTAGGGCATACAAATTCACCAAAATGAAACCAAATTGTGAAGACCTCTTAATTTTTTAAAAAAGTACCATCTTTGCAGAAACTTGTGAATTCACCAAGATATATTAGATGGTTTTATTAAAAGCTCTGATGTCTTCCAATGAAAAAAGTGGTAATAAGTCTTAATGAATATGGCTATTCTATTTCCCGATTTCTTCAGGAATGCTCTTTTTCTGCTTTCTACTCTGTTCTCTAAAATTCTATCCTGTAGTGCCATAATACTCAACAAGTAATCTACTTTGAGATTGAACTTTATCAAAAACTTCAGAAAATCCTTAGTTTTGTTAATGTATTTGAAAAATAATTTATATTATTACAATTTTATCATTCTACTGTTAAAACTTTCCACTTCTTTAAACTGAAAAACACTGGTACTCTCTGCTTGTTAGCAAGGAATGGTTGAGTGATGTTGCAGTTCTTTTTCTACTCTAAGTGTTTTGCCTTTGGTTGTATCTGCTTTTTCACCAATTGAATAAAAATAGGTACACCAGAGTATCTCTTCCATAACTAACCCTATTTCTCAGGTTGCATTGAGAAAGTGTTCAATTTTAACAATTTTATTATTAATATTTATCTTCATAGAACACTGTATTCATTGTGTCCAACTTCTCGGATTTCATGATTTATGGGTTCTCTGCACCACTCATTCTTTCATTCAATATATCCAGTGGTGTGAAGAATTCTGAAAATACAAAGATGAGAAAGTATTATGTTTGTTCACTCAAAATCTTAACTTCTAACAGAAGAGTGACTAACTATATTCAGCAAATTCATATAAAATTATAATATATATCTTATATAAAGAGTTGTGAGAGCACTGAGAAAGAACAATTAATTATGCCTAGAAAGTAATAAAGGAACTCTTCATAGCAGAGAAAGTAATTAATCTTTATATGGAAAGAATAACACATTGATCTTCACCAAGGAAATGGGGGAAAGGTGAGATAAATGGGAGGTACAAAAAGTCACACAACAGTCCGGTGTATGTATACTTGAGGAATTAACAGAAATACAGGCTGCCTTCAGGGTTATAAGTATCATAGAAATGAGAGCTGTGATGAAGTGAAATACCAGGCTAAGCAATTTGTTTTTTGGCATACAGAAAATATTAGTGAGACATTCAGTTTTGTATTTTAGAAATGTGAGTCTAAGAGGAATATGTAGACTAGATAATAGTGGAAAGAATGTATGTCAGGATGATAAGGCAATGCAAATATAGCATTACAGGAAAAAAATTAGAAAGAAAACTATTCTGAATTGTTTTATTTTCCAAAGGAAATTGGGAATGTGGATTAAAGATTGATGCAGATAACTTTTTCCATGTGATTTTTTTTCTACTGCCTATCTAGTACATTGTAGAATGATTATTGTATTAGTTGGTGTTTCCCAGGGAAACAGAACCAGTAAGATTAGATAGATAGATGATAGATGATAGATAGATAGATAAAGAGAAAGAGAGAGAGAGTATTAGCTTACATGAGTATGAAAGTTGAGAAGTCCCACAATCTGCAATAGGCAACCTGGAAACTCAGAAAAGCTGGTGGTATAGTTAGGGGTCCTGGGATCTGGAGAACCAATAGTATAGATTCCTGTTGCAGTCTAAAGGCCTGAGAACCAGGAATGCCGAGGGCAGGAGAAGACTGATGTTCCAGCTCAAGCAGCCAGGCATTGAAAGGGAAAACCCAGCCCTCATCCACCTTTTTGTTCTATTCAGTCCTTCAGTGAATTGGATGATGCCCAGCACACTGGGGCAGGCTAATCCTGCACCGGCAACCAAGTTATCCAGCTTCTCTCATCAGAACTAACTAGGTGGCTGGAGTGATCCACAGAGAGCAAGGAAGAGCAGTGCGGCGTGGTGGCCCATCTGAGAGCCACACAGAGCAGGGGAGCCCCGACCCCGCCAGCCAAGGGATGCAGTGAGTGAGCATGCTATCCTGCTGGGGAAACTGTGCTTTTTCCATGAAATAGTGCAACCCAAGAATCGGGAGATCCCACTCCCGAACCCATGCCACTGGGGCCTAAGGTTCCAACCCCAGAGCTGCACAGATTCTCAATAGCCTCTTAGCTAGAATCTGCTTAAGCCTGCTGAGTTCCTGGGGGGGGAGAAGTGACCAGCACCACAGCTGTAGCTGCCTGTAGTCTAAGCCATTTGAGCTCCTTGGGAAAAGGCCAGCAGCCAGCACTAAGGCTCATAACTGCCTAATACTCTAAGCTCCCTAGGTGGGGGAAGGGAGGTATCCATCTCTAAGCTCCAAGCCACGTTTTTCCCCTGTGGGAACCAGGGAAACTAGATGGCTTGGTCCCAAGAGGTACCTCCCACAGCCAAACACACTGGCTATGGTAGACTGTGGCCAGAGCACCTCTTCAGACATGACCCTGACCCATCTTTCTTCACTGGGTGGGGGTCTTTCCTCCTGGTAGTTCTGAAAAATTCAGGCAGCCTAAATGAGTGGGTTTCCCCCCAGCAGAGCACATCCCCTCCACCAAGAAACAGTCAAATTGCTTTGTTAAATGGGTCCTGTTTCCCGTGCCACCCATGTGGGTGAGATGTTCCAACAGAGGTTGTCAAACACCCTATACAGGAGCAATCCTACTGTCATAAGTTTGGTGCCCCTGGAGGTCAAAGATCCCAGAAGATGGAACAGGCTCCCATCTTTGCTGTTCTCCAGCCTCCCTGAGTGACATCTCCAGCCATGGGAGTGAACAAGATGAACAGGGCCTGAAGTGAACACCCAGCAAACCACAGCAGGCCTACAGAAGAGGAATCTGACCATTGAAAGAAAAACAAACAGAAAGCAACAACAACAGCATCATCAAAAACAAAATGTCCCCACAAAAATCCCATCCAAGGGTCAGCAACCTCAAAGATTGAAAGTAGACAAACTCATGAAGATGAGAAAGAATTAATGAAAACACACTGAAAACCCAAAAGGCCAGAGTACCCCTTCTCCTCCCAAAGATCGCAATGTCTCTCCAGCAAGGGCACAGCACTGGATGGAGGATGAGATGGACGAATTGACAGAAGTAGGCTTCAGAAGATGGGTAATAGAAAAACTCCGCTGTGCTAATGGAGCATGTTCTAACCCAATGCAAAGAAGCTAAGAACCTTAATAAAAGGTCAGAGGAGCTGCTAACTAGAATAACCAGTTCAGAGAGGAAAACAACTGACGTGATGGAGTTGAAAAACACACCACGAGAACTTCATGAAGCATACACAAGTATCACCAGCCAAATCGACCAAGTGGAAGAAAGGATATCAGAGTTTGAAGACCACCTTGCTGAAATAAGGCATGCATACAAGATTAGAGATAAAAGAATACAAAAGAACAAACAAAGCCTCTGAGAAATATGGGACTACGTGAAAAGAACCTACAATTGATTGGAATACCTGAAGGAATCAGGGAGAATGGAAACAAGCTGGAAAACACACTTCAGGATATTATCCAGGAGAACTCCTCCAACCTAGCAAGACAGGATAACATGCAAATTCAGGAAATACAGAGAACACCATTAAGATACTCCACAAGGAGGTCAACTCCAAGACACATAATTATCAGATTCTCTGTATTAGTCTGTTTTCATGGTACTGATAAAGAAATACCTGAGACTGGGAAGAAAAGGAGATTTAATTGGGCTTAGAGCTCCACATGGCTGGGGAGGCCTCAGAATCATGGTGGGAGTTGAAAGCCACTTCTTACATGGTGGAGGTAAGAGAAAAATGAGGAAGATGCAAAAGCAGAAATGCTTGATAAAATCATCAGATCTCATGAGATTTATTTATTACCATGAGAACAGTATGGGAGAAATTGCCCCCATGATTCAAATTATCTCCCACTGGGTCCCTCCCACAACATGTGGGAATTATGAGCATGTAATTCAAGATGAGATTTGGGTGGGGACACAGAGCCAAACTATATCATCCTGCTTCTGGCTCCTCCAAATCTCATGCCCTCACATTTCAAAACCAACCATGCCTTCCCAACAGTCCCCCAAAGTCTTAACTCATTTCAGCATTAACTCAAAATTCCACAGTCCAAAGTCTCATTTGAGATAAGGCAGAAGGGACTTCTGTTCTGCCTAGGAGCCTGTAAAATCAAAAGCAAGCTAGTTACTTCCTGGATGCAATGCTGGTACAGGTATTGGGTAAACACAGCCATTCCAAATGGGAGAAATAGGCCAAAGCAAAGGGGTTACAGCCCCATGAAAGTCTGAAATCCAACAGGCATTCAAATCTTAAAGCTCCAAAATGATCTCCTTTGACTCCATGTCTCACAAGCAGGTCATGCTGAAGCAAGTAGTGGGTACCCATGGTCTTGGGCAGCTCCTTCCCTGTGGCTTTGCAGGGTACAGCCTACCTCCCACTTGTTTTTATGGGCTGGCATTGAGTGTCTGTGACTTTTCCAGGCACATGATGCAAGACATCAGTGGATCTACCATTTTGGGATATGGAGGATGGTGGCAATCTTACAGCTTTGCCAGGTGGTGCTCCAGGAGGGACTCTGTATGGGGGGTACAACCCCATATTTCCCTTCCACATTGCCCTAGCAGAGGTTCTCCATGAGACCCCAATCCCTGCAGCAAATTTCTGCCTGGACATCCAAGCATTTCCATACATCTGAAATCTAGCTGGAGGTTCCCAAACCTCAATTCTTGAGTTCTCTGCACTCGCAGGCTCAATGCCACATGGAAGGTGCCAATTCTTGGGGATTGCACCCTCAGAAGCCATGGCCCAGGCTCTTTGGCCCCTTTCAGACAGGGCTGGAATGGCTGGCATGCAGGGCAACAAGTCACTAGGCTGCACATGTTATGGGGAACCTGGGTGCGGCCCACAAAACCATGTTCTCTTAGGACTGTGGGTCTGTGATTGAATGGGCTGCTATGAAGATCTCTGACATGCCCTGGGGACATTTGCCCCATTGTCTTGGGGATTAATGTAAAATCAGAGTAGAATTGAAGGAGACAGAGATACAAAAAGCCCTCCAAAAAATCAATGCATCTGGGAGCTGTTTTTTGAAAAAATTAACAAAATAGATAGACTGCTAGCTAGACTAATAAAGAAGAAAAGAGAGAAGAATCAAATAGACATATTAAAAAATGATAAAGGGAATATCACCACTGATGCCACAGAAAAACAAACAACCATCAGAGAATACTATAAACACCTCTATGAAAATAAACTAGAGCATCTGGAAGAAATGGATAAATTCCTGGACACATACGCCCTCCCAAGACTAAACCAGGAAGAAGTCAAATCCCTGAATAGGCCAATAACAAGCTGGGAAATGGATCATCTACAGAACCAGGCATCCAAATACTATCATTAACATAGACCTGATAGGCACGTCCATCCATGTCATGGATCAAATAAGAGAGGGAAAAGGAATATAGGCCCAATATGTATAGTTTTTAACAGTCTGTTGGGTGACAGAGGGTAGAAGGATCAGTGTCATCAGGAGGAGGCAGAGGCTGAGCCAGACCTGGATCTGCAGAGACAAGTTGTTCAGGATGGCTGACTGGATTGTCTGTTGTAAAGGAGTTAGCATGGTCACTTTCTTCTTTTTGATGATTGGATGTGTTAGTTGTTTCTTGCTGTGGTGCTTTTTCAGCAAATTTCTCTGTCTTGTTGTTGTATGCATTTTCAGGACATAATTTCAGGTGTCTAGCAGGAATCCAAACAGGAGATTGATATTCACCTGGGGAAACACAAGCATAGCCTCTTCCCCACGTTAAAATAGAACCTTTTGACCATATATTAGATTGAACATCTTTCCACCATACTTCCCTTCCTTGGTTTACCCTGGGGCAGTTACCAGAGAAATGTTTTTCTGGCATTAGTATGAGTGAGTTGACGAAATTGTTCTGCATCTGTAATGGCTAGAGAAACTAGAGTATCAACTTTATGATTACCACTGGATAAATGTCCAAGCAAGTTAGTATGAGAACAAATGTGAGTGATGAAAAAAAGGGTGGTTTCGGTTTCTGACAGTTTTTTGTAATAAAGAGAACAAGGAAAACAGATTAGTGTCAGCAATATTTTTGACGGTAGCTGTTTCTATTGCCTTAGTGGCATGGACTACATAAGCTGAGTCAGAGACAATATTAAGAGGCTGATCAAAATCCTGTAATGCAGAGATAACAGCAAACAACTCGGCTTTTTGAGCAGAAGTGTATGGAGTAGAAATGACTTTATCTTTTGGTCCTACATACCCTGCCTTTCCATTACTTGATCCATCAGTAAAAATGGTAACGGCTGTCTCTGGTGGTGATGAATGTGTAAGTTTTGGTAGAATCCAGGAAGTATTTCTTAGAAATTGAAAGAATTTTGACTTAGGTAAATGATTATCAATAGTGCCAACGAAGTCAGCCAGATTAGTCTGCCAGCACAAAGATGTAGAAAAGGCATGTTTGACTTCATTTTTTGACAAAGGGACCACAATAATGTTTGGATCAAAGCCAGAAATTTTAGTGATACATTGACGTCCTAACCCAATCAAAGTGGCTATTTGATCAATATATATTGAAAGAGTTTTAAGGGCTGAATTAGGAAGAAATACACATTCAACTAGAGAATCATTTTGTACTATAAGTCCTGTAGGAGAGTGGATGGAAGGAAAAACTAAAAATTGTAAAGGCAAATTTGTGTCAATATGAGAGACTTGTGCCTCTCTCACTCGTTGTTCTACAAAAGACAACTCTTGTTTTCCTGGCTCAGATAGACAGCGAGGACTGTTTAAATATGTATCTCCTGATAAAGTGGCAAATAGATGAGATAATGCATAAGTAGGGATGCCTAGGGTTGGTCTGAGGTAATTGATGTCACCTAGTAATTTTTGAAAATCATTTAAGGTGTTTAAATTGTCAGTACAAAGTTGGACTTTTTGGGGCTTAATGGAGTGAGCTTCTAGCTGCATTCCTAAGTACAGAAAGGAGTGGCTTGTTGAATTTTGTCAGGAGCAATGTGGAGTCCTGCTTTGGCAACAGCTAATTTTAAAAAGGTAAAACACTGAATTAATTCATCTTTAGTGGGGGCAGCAATCGGTATATCATCCATATAATGAAAAATGTAATTATTTTTAAAAGTCTGTCAGATAGGTTGTAACACAGTACTGACAAACAACTGACAAATAGTAGGACTGTTAATCATTCCTTGAGGTAAAACTTTCCATTCATATCTAGCTGCAGGAGCTGAATTGTTAGTGGAAGGTATAGTAAAAGCAAATTTTTCACAGTCTGACTTGTCTAAAGGAATATGAAAAAAGCAGTCCTTAAGGTCAATGATAATTAAAGGCCATTCTTTAGGAATCATGGAAGGGGAGGGCATACTGGGTTGTAATGCCCCCATAGGTTTAATAACTGCATTAACAGCTCTTAAGTCTGTTACCATCCTCCATTTTCCTGACCTTTTTTGTACAACAAACACATGTGAGTTCCATGGAGACAAGGAGGGCTCAATAGTGTTTACTTGTAGTAAATCATTAACAATTTCAATTAAAGCCTCCAACTTGTGTTTGGAAAGTGGCCACTACTCTACCCAAACAGGTGACTCACACATCTATTGTGAAGGGGCAGAGGAAAAGAGAGAAAGAGAGTGAGCATGCCGGGACGTGGACTGGGGGGAAGCAGGATTCCAAACCTCTGAAATAAGGGGTCCTGGAGCCTCAAAAGAAACAGTAGGCTTAGAAGAGGGGAGAGGTCCAAAAGGATGAGAGGAATGAGAAACAGCCGATTCAGATGAATGCCACACATCCTCCTCTGGCAGAGGGGACAACGGCTTGGTAGAAGAAGAGTTAATATATACAGGTTCCAAGATAGGAGGTGGAGGGAGGGGATCAACACCAGGTTCCTCCTCTTGGGGAGAAAACAAGGAGAGATCGAATTCTTCTTCATCATCAGAAGGAGGACTAGTAGGGGGGTCAGCTACCCAAGGTAAAGGGAATGGTTCACCAACCACCTTAACTTCTGGCATTTGAAGAGTATCACCAGACTGAAAAGGAAGTAAAGCAACACGAATAAGAGCCCAGTCAGTCCAAACAGAAATAGGATGTAAAACACCAACTCTCATGAGTTGGCGGAGAGTGGCGCCAACTCTATCCCAGTCTAACAGGTCCATAGAATCTTTGTCAGGGAACCAAGGACAATGTTTTTCAATAGTCTGAAATAAGAGAATAAGGTTATTGGAATCAGCCTTGATTCTACCCTGTTTAAGAAGAAGTTTAATAAAAGACAGATAAGCCTGGTGTTTAAACTGCAATTGTCCCATAATAACCCTGGAATATTACCAGTCAACAAACCTGAAAAGAGGGGAGCATTGGAAAAAGTGTACCCAGAGACCTTACTGTCGAGACTGAAGACTAGTCATCACGAACCCGCACTCAGAGTGCACTGAGCCCAGGAACAAAGAAGGCCACGTTGGGTGCCAAATATTGCAGGATCTGGCCAGCAGCCCACAATGCAACGGGGCTCTCTCTTTGTTCCTAGGTGGGTTGGCAGGTTGAGAAACAATAGACACACACAAGATAGTGAAAACTGGGTCCAGGGGATGTCACTGCTTTCTGGTCCTGCAGTGTCAACAATGCACTGGATATACCAGGATTTATCATTAAGTTTAGTGAGGGCGAGGGTAGGTTAGGGAGGGATTTAGGGTCATTTGATTATAAGGTGAGATGGTCACATGGGGATGAAGTAATTCTTTAACATAACGTCTGTATGCAGAAGTACAGTATACAGGGATAAGAATTTACAATATAGTGTGTGTATCAGCAATTTCTAACAGAGCCTTAAAACAGAAACACAGTCTTTCCATAACCTATGATTAGCAAGATATTAACCAGCAGTAACAGTTGCAGCAAAAGCTGGTTACAAACAATCCATAGAAACAGGACATGAAGCTAGACAACCAGTTAGACCAGAAATTCTCAGAAGGGTGTATACCTTAACCCTAAAGAGGCCTAGAAGAGCCATGGCAAGATGAGGGCATTTATAGTCCTATCTTATCCATATGGACAGGTGCCCCCGCCCCATGCATCCATTTATAGGCTCTCCACAAGGGTTGACTTCCATTCCCAGAGCTATGAACATCTGCTTTTCTGGGATAGGACTCTTGGTGATGTGAAATCCCCCAGACTGCACGCCCATTCATAGGCTCTCTGCAGGGGGAAGCACATTACACACTGTTGACTCATTCTGGCAGTCCAACCTGGCATTGTCTTTACACAATCTTGCATGCAATTTTGTATTTACAATAATCAGGAGCATTTCATCTTTTATTCCATAGCAATAGTTTCGGGGGGGGTCTCCCTACAAAAGATAAAGATCTCAAATGCATAAGAAAGACAGATAACCAATAAAGGAACAACTATAAAGCCAAAAGTGTGATTCCAAAAAAAAAAACTAGAAAATAATAAATGATAGAATGTATTCAATGCTTAAAATATGTAAGGCATGTAACAAGTAGAAATGTTAATTCTGTTAATCCTATGAAACAGGTATTATTAATACAATACTAATTTTACAAATGAAGAGGGTAAATGATGAAAAGCTTTGGTAATTAACCCAACATTCCTCAGATACTAAAACATAAGTCTAGATTTGTGTCAAAAAAGTTAAGCACCAGTGTCCAGACTCTAAATTATTATTCTCTCCTCTTTCTCCTGGAGATCAAAATGAAAGCTGATTGAAAATAATTGCCATCCCAACTTTCTAAACAGTGTTTCAAGAACAAAGCAAATAAAACACGTTTTTGTGGCAAAAAAAAAAAAAAAAAACTGAAGAAACCTGAGTGTCGATGAACACTCAGAAAAGAAAGAGCTAAGAAACTAATTTTAAGAAAATTAATCTAGTAGAAATATATTTCTTAAAAAGCTAATCAATAAAATATTGAATACTAGTATATTTACACATTATTTACACAAAGTAATAATAATAAAAATATTTGATTTAATGGAGTTCTAAAGGGGAGCTAAATGCTAGATAGTAGTAGTCCCTCATCTTGGAATGATAAGGAGAGAGAGGTTCTTGTGATCTGAGTTAATACCTTTCAGAAACCTTATGTTGATTAGAATATAAGATACTGATTAACTTTTTATTGCATAAATCTTGGTAAAGCAGAAATAGAGGATTTATCTTGAATAGCTGTATAGAGAAAATAAAATTAAAAATAAAATTGAATTACTCAAAAAATACAATAACTGAGAAATAATAATGCTTAATATGTGCAAAACTCAAAATATGATAGTGAAAAATATATCTATCAGTACCTGTTGTAGGCCAACAAGTTTGTACGCCCACTGCATAATAACACACCAATGCACCAAGACAGCAGGTTTTGCAGCAGACAAAAATCCTCAAATATGTTGCCCCAGATAGCCTTGGACTTGGGATTTTTAAGCAGATCGTGGAGGTTGAGGAACTGTAAAATTTGGGTTATTGATTTGTCAAGGTAAAGGGTATGAAATCATCAGGATGTGGAGACTGCATTGTTTGATGAGTCAGCTTCTAATGGGGTCTTGCAGAACAGCTAATGTTTCACTGACACACAGGACCTAAAGAATATCTCAAAGAGTAAACTCAATGTTGTATAATGTTTAAGTTGTTATCTAAAGAGGAGTTAAGGGGAACTATAATCTAGGGACTACATGATTCTAAAACAATAGGCACCAAACGACTACGAAAAAGCAAGTAAGAGAACAAGCTGACCTAATGATTAACAATGAATGTGCTGGAAATTTGGTTTATTTTTGTTTCTCCTTCACCCTCCTTTCTTGAATACTTTTATAAAGTTTATTGGGACAGTTTCATAATTACAATAAACAGAAGTAGTTTGTGTTGAATGAAATTTGATGCAGTTTTTTTGCTAACTCTACCCATCAAGAGAGAGAATTTACTTCTCTATTTTTTGAATCTGGCTGACCTTGGTACTTGCAGCTGAAGTGACATTGTGTTATTTCTAAGCAAGGAATCAAGAGGTCTTGCAGTTTCCATTCTCACTCTCTTGCTGCCCTGGGATCTCCCTGTGAAGTTTTTTTTTTTTTTTTTTTTTTTTTTTTTGAGACGGAGTCTCACTCTGTCGCCCAGGCCGGACTGCAGACTGCAGTGGCGCAATCTCGGCTCACTGCAAGCTCCGCTTCCCGGGTTCACGCCATTCTCCTGCCTCAGCCTCCCGAGTAGCTGGGACTACAGGCGCCCGCCACCGCGTCCGGCTAATTTTTTGTATTTTTAGTAGAGACGGGGTTTCACCTTGTTAGCCAGGATGGTCTCGATCTCCTGACCTCATGATCCACCCGCCTCGGCCTCCCAAAGTGCTGGGATTAGAGGCGTGAGCCACCGCGCCCGGCCCCTGTGAAGATTTTCTAGTGACCCAGCCTGATGATGAAAGACCACAAAGACAGAGAGGACCATTTTTATGGATAAAGGAAATCACCAAATCATGATTGAAAAAAAAATTCTTTGGGAAGTTATCACAATTCTAAACACATATGAAACCAATAAATTGAAAATAGTCTTGGAATTCAAAGAATTATTGTAAAATAATTCATAATAGCAGGAGCTTTAACACATCACCTTTAAAATATCAATCAGACAACAGACAAAATATTACTTATCAAGGATGACCATTTTCTGGTGTTCACCAGTACAGCTGCACCACTTTATCACAGCTTATATGTATTCAAATGATTCATATATTCCATAATGTTTATAAATTATTTGATATCACTTCCATTAGCAAAGTGGTAAATGTTTTCTAATAATATACTAACAATCTTTATTAAATGAAAATATAAAACCCTGTACCTTAAATATAGATAATGCATTTTTCTTAAGCATAAATAGAACATTTTAATAAAAATTGCTCATGTATTTGTCACAAAGAAAATCTCAACAAGCTAAAAGATTGCTGCCATATAGATTATACTTGCTAATTACAATGAAATTAAGTTAGATATCTGTAGTAGAAACATAACCAGGCAATGAAACAAACAGTGGATATTTAAAAATTTTAGAAATGTAGGATCCAAAGAAGAAACATTAAGGACAATTTTAATATTGTTAGATGAAAAAATTCTAAATATATTGGAGAAATTTTATTGAAATCTAAATAATAATGTCTATTACTTTTTTTAAAAAATACAAATATATTTATACCTTACATTTATAAAAATGAATTCTAAGTAGAATTAAGTACTATATATAAAAACAGCTGTGACAATTAGAAGAAAATATCTTGTGACTTCAGATAAAAAAAGTATTCCTTAAAGTATTGGCATTCAGAAAATTTTTTTGATAGGGGTCATTATGGTGGATGGGTGGCAGAACTAGATTGCAGCTCCAGACAGAGCAGCGTGTAGAGGCTCGCATTGTGAATTTTAGCTCCAGATCGACTGCAAGAACAAATGAGCAATCCCAAGAGGACCCACAAATCCTCTGAAGGAAATGGACTGCTCCTGCAGGACCCAGGAGACACCCCAAATACTGTAGTGATCCAACTATGGAAGTGGGAAAGGGAGACCCCCCTCTCCTGAACACACACCCCCACTGGAGAAACTGAAGGCCTGTTTGCAGGAGAAGTTTTTGACTTTACCTGGAGCTCAGTCAATTTAGAGAGCTGAGCAAAATACAAGGGTAGAGGAGGCAGTAGAAAGGCCCTTGGGGTAAAACTCAACAGGGAGAAGGAAATCTCTTGCTGAACTTTTTAACAATTCAAAAGGTGCAAGAATCCTCCCGACCGGAACTCCGGGAAGGCACAATTCCAATGTGCAGATTCCACAGGTGAGGGGAGAACCAAGCCCTTTTCTTTTGCAGCTGGGAGGCTGATAGCCTGGAGAGAGTTTTCAAGCCCATCTTGCCCTCCTCCTGGAGACAGACTCAGGGCTGTGGTGGAGGGCACAGTGGGAATGAGACCAGCCCTTTGATTTGCATGGGAGCTGGGTGAGGCATGTGACACTTACCTTCACTTCTCTGACAACCTGCATGACTCAGCAGAGGCAGCCATAATCCTCCTAGGTACACAATTCCAATGACCTGGGAACATCACCCCCACTCCCAACAGCAGCCACAGCAAGACCCCCCCCTAAGGAGAGCCTGAGCTTGGACATACCTAGCCCTGCCCTCACCTGATGGGCCTTCCAATTTGCCCTGGTAGCTAAAGACAAAGGGCATATATTCTTGGGAATTTTAGAGCCTGGCCCACCACTGGTTCCTCTCCATACTACCACAGCTGAAGCTCTCCGGAAAGCAGCACCTCCTGGCAGGAGGCCAAGCAGCACAAAAATAGAATATTAAACCATCAAAGCTAAGAATTTTCACAGAGTCCATTTCACCCCCCTGCCACCTCCACCAGAAAAGACTCTGGTATCCACAGCTGAGAGATCCATAGATGGTTCATATCACAGGACTCTGTGCAGAGAATCCCCAGTACCAATCCAGAGCTGGGTAGACTTGCTGAGTGGCTAGACCCAGAAGAGAGACAACAATCACTGCAGTTTGGTTCGCAGGAAGCCACATCCATAGGAAAAGGGGGAGAGCACTACATCAAGGGAACACCCCATGGGACAAAAGAATCTGAAGAACAGCCTTCAGCCCTAGACCTTCTCCCTGACAGAGACTACCCAAGCAAGAAGAAACCAGAAAACCACCTCTGGTAATGTGACAAAACAAGGCTCTTTAACACCCACAAAAAATCACACTAGTTCACCAGCAGTGGATCCAAACCAGGAAGAAATCCCTGATTTACCTAAAAAAGAATTCAGAAGGTTAAGTATTAAGCTAATCAGAGAGGCATCACAGAAAAGTGAAGCCCAATATAGTAAATCCAAAAAATAATACAAGAAGTGAAGGCAGAAATATTCAAGGAAATAGATAGCATAAATAAAAAACAGTTGAAACTTCAGGAAACATCGGACACACTTACAAAAATGCAAAATGCTCTGGAAAGTCTCAGCAATAGAATTTAACAAGTATAATAAAGAAATACACAGCTCAAAGACAAGGTCTTCGAATTAACCCAATTCAACAAAGGTAAAAAATATGAACAAAGCCTGCAAAAAGTCTGGGATTATGTTAAACAACCAACCTAAGCATTATTGACATTCCTGAGGAAGAAAATTCTAAAAGCTTGGAAAATGTATTTGGTGGAATAATCCAGGAAAACTTCTCTGGCCTTGCTGGAGACCTAGACATCCAAATACAAGGATCAGAAAGAACACCTGGGAAATTTATTGCCAAAAGAACATCACCTAGACATTGTCATCAGGTTATCTAAAGGTAAGATGAAGGAAAGAATCTTAAGAGCTGTGAGACAGAAGGACCAGGTAACCTATAAAGGAAAACCTATCAGATTAACAGCAGATTTCTCAGCCGAAACCCTACAATCTAGAGGGGATTGGGGCCCTATCTTCAGCCTCCTCAAACAAAACAATTATCAGCCAAGAATTTTGTATCCAGTGAAACTAAGCATCATATATGAAGCAAAATTACATTCCTTTTTTGAAAAAAAAAAAAAAAAAAAAAAAAAAAAAAAAAAAAAAACCCTGAGAGAATTCACCATTACCAATCCACCACTACAAGAACTGCTAAAAGGAACTCTAAATCTTGAAACAAATCCTGAAAAAAACATGAAAACAGAACTTCTTTAAAGCATAAATCACACAGGAACTATAAAGCAAAAATACAAGTTAAAAAGCAAAAAACAAAACAAAAAAAATACACAGGCAACAAAGAGCATGATGTATGCATCGGTACCTCACATTTCAATACTAGCATTGAATGTAATGACTTAAATGCTCTACTTAAAAGATATAGAACCACAAAATGGATAAGAACTTACCAACTACCTATCTGCTGCCTTCGGGAGACTCACCTAACACATAAGAACTCACATAAACTAAAAGTAAAGTGATGGAAAAAGGCATTTCATGAAAATAGACACCAAAACCAGGCAGGGGTAGCTATTCTTATATCAGAAAAAAAGAAAAAAAAGAAAAAAACTTTAAAGCAACGGCATTAAAAGAGACTAAAAGTGACATTATATGGTGGCAAAAAGCCTTGTTCACCAGGAAAATGTCACTATCCTAAACATATATGCACCTAACACTGGAGATCCCAAATTTATAACAATTACAAATAGACCTAAGAAATTAGATAGACAGCAATACAATAATAGTGGAAGACTTCAACACTCCACTGACAGAACTAGACAGGTCATCAAGACAGAAACTCAACAAAGAAACAATGGATTTAAATTATACCTTTGGAACAAGTGGACTTAACAGATATATACAAAATATTTAATCCAACAGCTGCAGAATACACATTCTATTCAACAGCACATGGAAGTTTCTCCAAGATACAAGTGATAGATCATAAAATGAGCCTCAATAAATTTAAGAAAATTGAAATTATATCAAGCACTCTCTCAGACCACAGTGGAATAAAACTGGAAATCAACTCCAAAAGGAACCTTCAAAACCATGCAAATACATGGAAATTAAATAACCTGTCCCTGAATGAGCGTTGCGTCAAAAACAAAATCAAGATGGAAATTAAAAAATTATTTGAACTGAATGACAATAATGACACAACCTACCCAAACTTCTGGGATATAGCAAAGGCAGGGCTAAGAGGAAAGCTCATAGCCCTAAATGCCTATATCAAAAAGACTGAAAGAACACAAACTGACATTCAAAGGTCACACTTCACGAAACTAGAGAAACAATAGCAAACCAAACCCAAACCCAGCAGAGGAAAGGAAATAACCAAGATCAGAGCAGAACTAAATGAAATTGGATTTAAAAAATTACAAAATATCAATGACACAAAATGTGTTGGTTTCCTGAAAAGATAAATAAAATTGATAGGCCATTAGCAAGACTAACTAAGAAAAGAAGAGAGAAAATTCAAATAACCTCACTAAGAAGTGAAACAGGAGATAATACAATGAACACCACAGAAATACAAAGGATCATTCAAGGCTATTATGAACACCTCTACACACATAATCTAGACAACCTAGAAGAGATGGGAATATTTCTGGAAATACACAACCCTCTTAGCTTAAATTAGGAAGAATTAGTCACCCTGAACAGATTAATAACAAGCAGTGACATTGAAATGGTGATTAAAACACTACCAACAAAAAAGAGTCCAGGATCAGACAGATTCACAGCAGAATTCTACCAGATATTCAAAGAATTTATACCAATCCTTTTGACACTATTCCACAAGATAGATGAGACAGAAGGAGCCCTCCCTAATTAATTCTATGAAGCCAGCATCACCTGAATACCCAAACCAGGAAAGAAGATAACAAAAAAAGATAACTACAGACTGATATCCTTGATGAACATAGACACTAAAATCCTTAACAAAATACTAGCTAACCAAATCTAACAAAATATCAAAAAGATAATCCACCATGATCAAGTGGGTTTCATACTAGGGATGCAGGGATGGTTTAACATATGTAAGTCAATAAATGTGATACAACACATAAACAGAATTAAAAACAAAAATCACATGATCATCTCAATAGATGCAGAAAAAGCATTCAACAAAATCCAGCATCCTTTTATGATTACAACGCTCAACAGAATCGGCATGCCAGGGACATACCTTAATGTAATAAAAGCCATCTATGACAAACCCACAGCCAAAATAATACTGAATGGGGAGAAGTTGAACACATTCCCCTGAGAACTGGAAAAAGTCAAGGATATCCACTCTCACCACTCTTCTTCAACACAGTACTGGAAGTCCTAGCCAGAGCAATCAGACAAGAGAAAGAAGTAAAGGGCATCCAAATTGGTAAAGAGGAAGACAAACTGTCACTGCTGATGTTATAATTGTTTATCTTGAAAACCCTAAAGACTCCTCCAGAAAGGTCCTATAATGGATAAAATAATTCCACAAGCTTTCTGGATATGAGATTAATATATACAAATCAGTAGCTCTTCTATACACCAACAGTGACTAGGTGAAGAATCAAATCAAGAATTTAACTCCTTTTACAATTAACAGCAAAAATAAAATAAATAAAATAAAATAAAATGAAATAAAATAAAATACTTAAAAATATACCTAACAAAGAAGTCAAAAGACCTCTAAAAGGAATATTACAAAACGCCGCTGAAAGAAATCATAGATTACACAAACAAATGGAAACATATCCTGTGCTCATGGATTGGTAAAATCAATATTGTGCAAATAAACATACTGCCAAAAGCAATCCACAAATTCAATGCAATCCCCATCAAAATACCACCATCATTCTTCACAGAATTAGAAAAAAACAATTCTAAAATTCATATGGAACCAAAAAATTAATATGTTTATGAAAATAAACATACTGACAAAAGCCATCTAGAAATTCAATGCAATCCTCATCAAAATACCACCATTATTCTTCACAGAATTAGAAAAAGAAAACAATTCTAAAATTCATATGGAGCCAAAAAAGAGCCTGCATAGCCAAAGTAAGACTAAGCAAAAAGAACAAATCTGGAGACATCACATTACCTGATTTCAAATTATACTATAGGACCATAGTCACCAAAACAGCATGGCACTGGTATAAAAACAGGCACATAGACCAATGAAACAGAATAGAGAACCCAGAGATAAACCCAAATACTTAAAGGCAACTGATCTTTGACAAAGCAAACAAAAACATAAAGTGGGCAAAGGACGCCCTTTTCAACAAATGGTGCTGGGGTAATTGGCTAGCCCACATGTTGGAGGATGAAACTGAATCCTCATCTCTCACCTTCTACAAAAATCAACTGAAGATGGATTAAGGACTTAAACCTAAGACCAGAAATTATAAAAATTCTAGAAGATAACTTTGGAAAACCCTTCTAGACATTGGTATAGGCAAGGAGTTCATGACCAAGAACCCAAAAGCAAATGTATTAAAAACAAAGATAAATAGCTGGCACCTAATTAAAGTATAGAGATTTTGCATAGCAAAAGGAACAGTCAGCAGAGTAAATAGGCAACCCACAGAGTGGGAGAAAGTCTTCACAATCTATACATCTAACAAGAACTAATATCCAGAATCTACAATGAACTCAAACAGTAAGAAATAAACAAACAATCCCATCAAAAAGCAGGCTAAGAACATGAATAGACAATAATCAAAAGAAGATATACACATGGCCAACAAACACATGAAAAAATGTTCAACATCACTAATGATCAGGGAAATGCAAATCAAAACCACAATGCGATACCACCTTACTTCTGCAAGAATGGTCATAATCAAAAAATCAAAAAACAGTAAATGTTGGCATGGATGTGGTGATCAGGGAACACTTCACTTCTACACTGCTGGTGGGAATGTAAACCAGTAGAGCCACTATGGGAAACAGTGTGGAGATTCCCTAAAGAACTAAAAGTAGAACTACCATTTGATCCAGCAATCTCACTGCTGGGTATCTACCCAAAGGAAAAGAAGTATTATTCAAAAAAGATACTTGCACACGTATGTGTGCATCACATATATATACATGTACATATATATGTATATGATGGAATATATATATATATATGATGGAATATATATGTGTGTGTGTGTGTATATATATATATATATATATATATATATATATATATATATATATATATATATGATGGAATACCTCTCAGCCATAAAAATGAATAAATTAACAGCACTTGCAGTGAACAGGATGAGATTGGAGACTAAGTGAAGTAAATCAAAAATAGAAAACCAAACATCGTATGTTTTCACTGATATGTGGGATCTAAGATATAAGGAAACAAAGGCATAATAATGATATAATGGACTTGGGTACTGGGGTGAAGAGTGCGAAGGAAGGTGAGGAATAAAAGACTACAAATATGGTGCAGTGTATACTACTCATGTGATGGGTGCACTAAAATTTCACAAATTACAACTAAAGAACTTACTCATGTAACCAAATACCACCTGTACCTCAAAACTTATGGGAAAAAATTTAAAATAAAAAATAAATGAGGTGATATAAGTAATAAAAAAATTAAAATTCTTCACATCAATAGGAAGGAACAAATTCCAATACAAAAATAAATAAAATCTATCAATGTACCTTTCACAAAAAAGAAAAAAAAAGTGAAAAAACAAAAAAAATTGTTTTTGAAATTAGGAACATATAAATTAAATATTCCAGTTGATACAATTTCATGCTCACAAGATTACCAAAATATGTAAATATCAGGTATATGTGCAACAATACAGTCATACTGTGCTGTTCTGGGTAAAAATTAGTACATCAATCTTATAAATAAATTTATATTTTTCTAATAGATTGTAAGCTATGCCTACCATAATAATCAATGATTCCATGCTTAAGAAAGTTAAGATGTCATTTATTCCTTATATTATGTCTCTTTTACAGAGTGTTCAAAACATTTTTTTTACATTGTCTCATTTTATTTAAAAGTCACAACATACCTTTAGCTAAGATGGTGGAGATACTGTACATATTATTCAAAATATTCTTATGTGCTTTGTTTATAAAACAAAATGAAAGAAAAAACTAAAATGTCCATTGAATTTAATTATAGAATGAAACATATGGCAGGGAAATGAAGAAAAACTAAAACTATGTTTATCAATATGAATAAACCTCCAACACATAAGATTTTTAAAAAGATATAAAGGAACACATAGAAAATTGATAGCGTTGTACATAATTAGAAAACATGCAAATGTTTTCCTTTTCTTACTATACTTTAAGTTCTGTGATACATGTGGACAGGATGCAGGTTTGTTACATATGTATACATGTGCTGCATTGGTTTGCTGCACCCATTAACTTGTCATTTACATTAGGTATTTCTTCTAATGCTATCCCTCCCCTATCCCCCCAACCCTATGATAGGCCCTGGTGTGTGAAGTTCCCACCCTGTGTTCAAGTGTTCTCATTGTTCCATTCCCACCTATGAGTGAGAACACGTGGTGTTTAGTTTTCTGTCTTTGTGATAGTTTGCTCAGAATGATGGTTTCCAGCTTCTTCTATGTCGCTACAAAGAATATGAACTCATCCTTTTTTATGGCTGCATAGTATTCCATGGTGTATATGTGCCACATTTTCTTAATCCAGTCTATCATTGATGGACATTTGGGTTGGTTCCAAGTCTTTGCTATTGTGAATAGTGCCACAATAAACATACGTATGCAAGTGTCTTTATAGTAGAATGATTTATAATCCTTTGGGTATATACCCAGTAATGGGATCACTGGGTCAAATGGTATTTCTAGTTCTAGATCCTTGAGGAATTGCCACACTGTCTTCCACAATGGTTGAACTAATTTACACTCCCACCAAGAGTGTGAAAGTATTCCTCTTTCTCTACATCCTCTCCAGCACCTGTTGTTTCCTGACTTTTTAATGATCGCCATTCTAACTGGTATGAGTTGGGATCTCCTTGTGGTTTTGATTTGCATTTCTCTAATAACCAGTAATGATGAGCATTTTTTCATGTGTCTATTGGCTGCATAAAAGTCTTCTTTTGAAAAGTGTCTGTTCATATCCTTTGCCCACTTTCTGATGGGGTTGTTTGATTTTTTCTTGTAAGCTTGTTTAAGTTCTTTGTAGATTCTGGATATTATCCCTTGTCAGATGGGTAGATTGCAAAAACTTTCTCCCATTCTGTAGGTTGCCTGATCACTCTGATGGTAGTTTCTTTTGCTGTGCAGAAGCTCTTTAGTTTAATTATATCCCATTTGTCTGTTTTGGCTTTTGTTGCCATTGCTTTTGATGTTTTAGTCATGAAGTCCTTGCACATGCCTATGTCCTGAATGGTATTGCCTAAGTTTTCTTCTAGGGTTTTTATGGTTTTAGGTCTTATATTTAAATCTTTAATCCATCTTGAATTAATTTTTGTATAAGGTGTAAGGAAGGGATCCAGTTTCAGCTTTCTACATATGGCTAGCCAGTTTTCTCAGCACCATTTATTAAATAGGGAATCCTTTCCCCATTTTTTGTTTTTTTCAGGTTTGTCAGATGCGTGGTGTTATTTCTGAGGCTTGTGTTCTGTTTCATTGGTCTATATTTCTGTTTTAGTACCAGTACCATGCTGTTTTGGTTACTGTAGCCTTGTAGTATAATTTGAAGTCAGGTAGCATGATGTCTCCAGCTTTGTTCTTTTGGCTTAGGATTGTCTTGGCAATACAGGCTCTTTTCTGGTTCCATATGAATTTTAAAGTAGTTTTTTTCCGATTCTGTGAAGAAAGTCACTGGTAGCTTGATGGGGATGGCATTGAATCTATAAATTACTTCGGGCACTATGGCCATTTTCATGTTATTGATTCTTTCTCTCCATGAGCATGGAATGTTCCTGCATTTGTTTCTGTCCTCTTTTATTTTGTTGAGCAGTGGTTTGTAGTTCTCCTTGAAGAGGTCCTTCACATCCCCTGTAAGTTGGATTCCTAGGTATTTTATTCTCTTTGAAGCAATTGTGAATGGGAGTTCACTCATGATTTGGCTTTCTGTTTGTCTGTTATTGGTGTATGAGAATGCTTGTGATTTTTGCACACTGTTTTTGTATCCTGAGACTTTGCTGAAGTTGATTATCACCGTAAGGAGAGTTTGGGCTGAGACGATGGGGTTTTCTAGATATACAATCATGTCATCTGCAATCAGGGAAAATTTGACTTCCTCTTTTCCTAATTGAATGCCCTTTATTTCTTTCTCTTGCCTGATTGCCCTGACCAGACCTTCCAATACTGTGTTGAATAGGAGTGGTGAGAGAGGGCATACCTGTCTTGTGCCAGTTTTCAAAGGGAATGCTTCCAGTTTTTGCCCATTCAGCATGATATTGGCTGTGGGTTTGTCATAGATGGCTCTTATTATTTTGAGATACGTCCCATCAGTACCTAGTTTATTGAGAGTCTTTAGCATGAGGCTGTTGAATTTTGTCGAAGGCCTTTTCTGCATCTATTGAGATAATAATGTGGTTTTTTTCTTTGATTCTGTTTATGTGATGGATTACGTTTATTGATTTACATATGTTGAACCAGCCTTGCATCCCAGGAATGAAGCCCACTTGATCTTGGTGGATAAGCTTTTTGATGTGCTGCTGGATTCAGTTTGTCTGTATTTTATTGAAGACTTTTGCATCAATGTTCATCAGGGATATTGGTCTACAATTCTCTTTTTTTGTTGTGTCTCTGCCAGGCTTTGGTATCAGGATGATGCTGGCCTCATAAAATGAGTTAGGGAGGATTCCCTCTTTTTCTATTGATTGGAATAGTTTCAGGAGGAATGGTACCAACTCCTCTTTGTACCTCTTGTAGAATTCAGCTGTGAATCTGTCTGGTCCTGGACTTTTTTTGGTTGGCAAGCTATTGATTATTGCCTCAACTTCAGAGCCTGTTATTGGTCTATTCAGAGATTCAGCTTCTTCCTGATTTAGTCTTGGGAGGGTGTATGTGTCAAGGAATTTATCCATTTCTTCTAGATTTTCTAGTTTATTTGCATAGAGTTGTTTATAGTATTCTCTGATGGTAGTTTTTATTTCTGTGGGATTGGTGGTGATATCCCCTTTATCATTTTTTATTGCATCTATTTGATTCTTCTCTCTTTTCTTTTTTATTAGTCTTGCTAGCAGTCTATTAATTTTGTTGATCTTTTCAAAAAACCACCTACTGGATTCATTGATTTCTTGAAGGGTTTTTTGTGTCTCTATCTCCTTCAGTTCTGCTCTGATCTTAGTTATTTCTTGCCTTCTGCTAGCTTTTGAATTTGTTTGCTCTTGCTTCTCTAGTTCTTTTAATTGTGGTGTTAGGGTGTTGATTTTAGATCTTTCCTTCCTTGTCTTGTGGGCATTTAGTGCTATAAATTTCTGTCTACACACTGCTTTAAATGTGTCCCAGAGATTCTGGTACATTGTGTCTTTGTTCTCATTGGTTTCAAAGAACATCTTTATTTCTGCCTTCATTTTGTTATGTACCCAGTAGTCATTCAGGAGCAGATTGTTCAGTTTCCATGTAGTTGTGCAGTTTTGAGTGAGTTTCTTATTCCTGAGTTCTAATTTGATTGCACTGTGGTCTAAGAGACAGTTTGTTGTGATTTCTGTTCTTTTACATTTGCTGAGGAGTGCTTTAATTCCAATTATGTGGTCAATTTTGGAATAAGTGCAATGTGGGGCTGAGAAGAATGTATATTCTGTTGATTTGGGGTGGAGAGTTCTGTAGATGTCTATTAGATCTGCTTGGTGCAGAACTGAGTTCAAGTCCTGGATATCCTTGTTAAACTTCTGTCTCATTGGTCTGTCTAATATTGACAGTGAGGTGTTAAAATCTCCCATTATTACTGTGTGGGAGTCTAAGTCTCTTTGTAGGTCTCTCAGGACTTGCTTTATGAATCTGGGTGCTCCTGTATTGGGGGCATATATATTTAGGATAGTTAGCTCTTCTTGTTGAATTTTTCCCTTTACCATTATGTAATGGCCTTCTTTGTCTCTTTTGATCTTTGTTGGTGAAAAGTCTGTGTTATCAGAGGTTAGGATTGCAACCCCTGCTTTTTTTTTTTTTTTTTGCCTTCTATTTGCTTGATAGATCTTCCTCCATCCCTTTATTTTGAGCCAATATGTGTCTCTGCACATGAGATGGGTCTCCTGAATACAGCACACTGATGGGTCTTGACTCTTTATCCAATTTCCCTGTCTATGTCTTTAATTGGGGCATTTAGCCCATTTACATTTAAGGTTAATATTGTTATGTGTGAATTTGATCCTGTCATTTTGATGTTAGCTGGTTATTTTGCCCATTAGTTGATGCAGTTTCTTCCTAGCATCGATGGTCTTTACAATTTGGCATGTTTTTCCAGTGGCTGGTACTGGTTGTTCCTTTCCATGTTTAGTGCTTCCTTCAGGAGCTCTTGTAAGGCAGGTCTGGTGGTGACGAAATCTCTCAGCATTTGCTTGTCTGTAAAGGATTTTATTTCTCCTTCGCTTATGAAGCTTAGTTTGGCTGGATATGAAATTCTGGTTGGAAATTCTTTTCTTTAAGAATGTTGAATATTGGCCCCCACTCTCTTCTGGCTTGTAGGGTTTCTACCAAGAGATCCACTGTTAGTCTGATGGGCTTCTCTTTGTGGGTAGCCTGACCTTTCTCTCTGGCTTTCCTTAGCATTTTTTCCTTCATTTCAACCTTGGTAAATCTGACAATTGTGTGTCTTGGGCTTGCTCTTCTTGAGGAGTATCTTTGTAGTGTTCCCTGTATTTCCTGAATTGGAATCTTGGCCTGCCTTGCTAGGTTGGGGAAGTTCTCCTGGATAATATCCTGAAGAGTTTATTCCAGCTTGGTTCCATTCTCCCCGTCACTTTCAGGTGCACCAATTAAATGTAGACTTGGTCTTTTCACATAGTCCCATATTTCTTGGAGGCTTTGTTCATTCCTTTTTGCTCTCTTTTCTCTAAACTTCTCTTCTCACTTCATTTCATTAATTTGATCTTCAATCTCTGATACCCTTTCTTCCACTTGATCGAATTGGCTACTGAAGCTTGTTCATGCATCACGTAGTTCTCATGTCATGGTTTTCAGCTCCATCAGGTCATTTTAGGTCTTCTCTACACTGTTTATTCTAGTTAGCCATTCATCTAATCTTTTTTCAAGGTTTTTAGCTTCCTTGCAATGGTTTCAAACATCCTCCTTTAGCTTGGAGAAGTTTGTAATTACTGCCTTTCTGAAGCCTACTTCTGTCAACTCGTCAAAGTTATTCTCTGTCCTTCTTTGTTCCATTTCTGGCAAGGAGCTGCAATCCTTTGAAGGAGAAAGAGTGCTCCTGTTTTTAGAATTTTCAGCTTTTCTGCTCTGGCTTTTCCTCATCTTGTGTGGTTTTATCTACCTTTGGTCTTTGATGATGATGACCTACAGATGGGGTTTTGGTGTAGATGTCCTTTTTGTTGTTGATGATGCTATTCCTTTCTGTTTGTTAGTTTTCATTCTAACAGTCAGGTCTCTCAGCTGCAGGTCTGTTGGAGTTTGCTGGAGGCCCATTCCAGACCCTGTTTGCCTGGGTATCACCAGCAGAGGCTGCAGAACAGCAAATATTGCAGAAAAGCAAATATTGCTGCCTGATCCTTCCTCTGGAAGCTTCGTCTCAGAGGGGCACCTGGCTGTATGAGGTGTCAGTCATCCCCTACTGGGAGGTGTCTCCAAGTTAGGCTACATGGGGGTCAGGGACCCACTTGAGGAGGTGGTCTGTCCATTCTCAGAGCTCAAACACCATGCTGGGAGAACCACTGCTCTCTTCAGAGCTGTCAGACAGAGAAATTTAAGCCTGCAGAAGTTTCTCCTGCCTTTTGTTCAGCTATGCCCTGCCCCAAGAGGTGAAGTCTACAGAGGCAGGCAGGCCTCATTGAGCTGTGGTGGGCTCCACCCAGTTTGAGCTTCCCAGCCACTTTGTTTACCTACTCAAGCCTCAGCAATGGCCGATGCCCCTCCCCCAGGCAGGCTTGCCACCTTGCAGTTTGATCTCAGACTAGCAGTGAGCAAGGCTCCGTGGGCATGGGACCCACCAAGCCAGCCTTGGGATATAATCTTCTGGTGTGCCATTTGCTAAGACTGTTGGAAAAGTGCAGTGTTTATGTGGCAGTGTCCCAATTTTCCCGGTACAGTCTGTCACAGCTTCCATTGGCTAGGAAAAGGAAATCCCCCAACCCCTTGTGCTTCCTGGGTGAGGTGGTGCCCCACCCTGCTTCAGCTCATCCTCTGTGGGCTGCACCCACTTTCCAACCAGCCCGAATGAGATGAACCAGGTACCTCAGTTGGAAATGCAGAAATCACCTGTCTTCTGCGTCGATCACGCTGGGAGCTGCAGACTGGAACTGTTCCTATTCGGCCATCTTGGAACAGCACAATGAACAATTTGTATCTTTTTTTTTTTTTTTTTTTTTGAGGCAGAGTCTTGCTCTGTCACCCAGGCTGGAGTGCAGTGGTGTGATCTTGGCCCACTGCAACCTCCGTCTCCTTGGTTCAAGTGATTCTCCTGCCTCAGCCTCCTGAGTAGCTGGGATTACAGGGGTGTGCCACCATGCCCAGCTATTTTTTTCATTTTTAGTAGAGATGGGGTTTCACCATAGTGGTCAGGCTGGTCTCAAATTCCTGACCTCTTGATCTGCCTGCCTCAGCCTCCCAAAGTGCTGGAATTATAGGCATGAGCCACCGCACCTGGCCAACAATTTGTATCTTAAAGATAAATACATATACAATCAAACCATAAAGTAATTAAAAAATAAGATAAACTTTCCAGATCACAAAAGACATGTACCATTGGGAATGAACATGCAAAAAATTTCAATTTATTGGCTAGAATTTCCATAAGTTGGGAACAGGCTCTGTAGATATTCAGTCTACTGTATCTTTCACTTAACTATATAATAAATATTCTTTCACATGAATAAAATATTTAGCAAAAATTTCCTCTAGAGTATAAAAAAGGTTATAAAATTATAAACAACCTAGATATTATCCATAAATAGTTTAATAAATTAAGTATTTCTCTGAAATATAATTTTGTACAACCATTATAAAAACTATATACAGTCATAATATATTTTCTGTGGTTACAGAAAAGAATGCATAGAATGATCCTGATAATATAAAATTACACATTAATATTTATATATGTGAAATACAATTGAAATCTATAAAGTTTTCCATCAACATGTCAGTTGTAGTTTTGTCTGACTCGTTAAGTTTTACTACACCTACAACTTTTGTGTATTGTTAGAAGTTTATACAAAAAGCACACATCATGTTAATCATCAATAATAAATCTATTTTAATTTTGAAGCCATTCACATACATTCACTTATATATACACACACATACTGCACACATACTTCAAATGTGTAGCTAAATGGGAAGATGAGGCAACTTGTTCAAAATTCATCTACTTTATTAGCTAAGATGCCACAATTTAAGTTAGACAGAATTGGATAAGAATTCCATCTCCACCATATACTAGTTGTATTACCCTGAATAATGCATGGACACTATTTTCACTTTTATAATTTGGTCTCATACTTACTTTTTATTTGCACATATAAAAATGAGAATAGTCATTCTGCTACCATTATCTTGTAGATGAATCAAAATCAAATCTATGAGCCTTAACCTTAAAAATTATGGGCCAGGCATGGTGGCTCATGCCTGTAATCCCAGCACTTTGGGAGGCCGAAGAGGTTGGATTACCTGAGGTCAGGAGTTCAAGACCAGCCTGGCCAACATGGTGAAACCCCATCTGTACTAAAAATACAAAAATTAGCCAGGCATGGTGGCAGGTGCCAGTAATCCCAGCTACTCGGGAGCCTGAGGCAGGGGAATCGCTTGACTCCAGGAGGTGGAGGTTGCTTTGAACTGAGATCATGCCATTGCACACCAGCCGGGGCAACAGAGCAAGACTCAGTCTAAAAATAAATAAAAAATAAATAAGTAAACCTTAAAAATTATGATGCTGTGTAAGCATAGTCATATCTTGCTTGGTGTTACATAGAAGAAAATGCAACCTTATAAAATTTAAATGGACCAAAAGTTCAGATTACAAAAAAATCTTGAAAACCAACTCCTGATCTTAATTATAAATATTGTATATATTGCCAAGATACACATTTATATATTGAGGCATATATAAGACTTCTTCATTAAAATACATGAAAAATCTTACATACAAAAAACATAAATTGTCCATCATCAAAATCTCTGGTCAAATCCAATGATTTAATGAAATATTCACCAATAATTATGTCTACATGTAGCATTAATATATTTAACCAATGTAGTGTTCAACTTTCCTGTGTATTTAACATTATGTGAATCAAGCACCTGGATGATTAAAGACAGTTTTGACTGAATTCACTGACCTGTCCATATGTGTTTTTAAAATATAGGCATAGCCTGTTGTATTTCTGCATTATTAATTACCTACTTCCTTCTCAGCTTTCTGGGAAACAGATGAAATTGGCTCAGAAACCTTTATTCCATGAAGGACACTGCTAAATCTCTATAAATTCTAATTTCACATTATCAATAAATCAGTCAACTAATGGAGACTGAAAAGTGAAATCAAGGCATGAAAGAGTAAAGGAGAAGGAAAGAAAGGGAAGAGAGAAATATAGAATAAAGATCAACTGGAAAGATAGGAAAAGAAAGAGAGGAAGGGAGGAAGAAAGGAAGGAAGGAAGGAAGGAGGGAGGGAGGAAAGAAAAAGAAAAGAAAAAAAAGAAGAAAGAAAGAGAAGAGGGAAAAAAGAAGAGAGAAAGAGAGGAAGGAAGGAAGGAAGGAAGGAAGGAAGAAGGAAGGGAGGGAGGGAGGGAGGGAAGAAAGAAAAAGAAAGAAAGAGAGAAAGAAAGAGAAGATGGAAAAAAGAAGGGAGAAAGGGAGGAAGGAAGGCAGGAAGGAAGGAAGGAAAAAAGGAATGGGGAATAAAAAAGAAAAGTTAACCAGGAGATAGAAAAAGAAAGAAGGAAGGAAGGATGAATAGACAGAAAGAAAGAAGAAAGGAAAGAGAGGAAAGAAGGCAGAAGAAGAGGGAAGGGAGGGAGAAAGAAGAAAGAAGCAAAGATCACCCAGCATAGACAGAGAAAAAGAGGAAGAAAGAGAAGGAGAGAGGAAGAGAGAGGGAGAGGGAGCGAGGGAAGGAGGGATGTGGAAATAAAGAAAAATTAGTAGAAAAGAAAAAGAAAGAAAGAAGGGAAGGCAAGAAAACAAAAAGGAAAATAAAGAAGTAAAAAAGGAGGCAAGGACAGGAGTGAGGAGGGGAAGAAAAAGGCTCTGGCAGTCAGATAGCTTGGAAACAATTTCTTTTGTACATCAAGGTCCCTCTTTGGTCTACATTCAGGTACCTTTTTTTTTTTTCAATTGACTAGAAAACAATAGCGTAATAGGTATACAGTAAAAAACTGAAGCCAGACTGAAAACATTAACACTGCAAATGTGTGTCGACATGAACAGATTCTTTATTTTCTGAGCACAAGATTTGATTTTGCCTTAAAATGCAAAAATGCAGAAGTACATCTTAGTTTAGCCATGTTCTCTGCATGAACAGTTGAACTGTTAATAGCATAGGGACTTTTTATAAAATTTTACCTTTCCAGAGTCTATTTGCTTAGAAATACGCATATGTCCAATTTAACACTTTTACTGATACCAAAAGAGAAAATCTGTGTGTGTGTGTGTGTGTCTTTGTGTGTGTGTGTGTGTTTGTGTAGGCAGCCTGATATCAAACAATAGAAAACTGGAAAACACAGCATTTCAGAAAGACTCCAACTCCTCCTATCAAGATCCTATTCATGTTAAGTTTTTCAGCATTTCAAAGCTTGTACATTTTTTACATTTTTAGGGAATGAAAGTGGAATGGAATAGAATGATAAATAAATTCTGTATGGAAGAAGAGAAATGCAGTCAGTTTTACATATAGGCTACTAATTAAATTCTTCTAAATAAGAAATCTCTTTTAGAGTTTTCTCTCCCTCTTCCTCTTCCCTTTCTTTCCTGAACAACTCAGTTCTAAAGCAATTAGATGAGCAAAGAAAACTAGGCACTAAAGCATATGAGAGTGGGGAGTAGAAGCCACAGTGGCCTTGTGTTTTAATCCCAAGCAGTGTGATGGGGCTGCCTGGCTTAGGGCACCAGAGCCTGAGCAGGGAGAAGAGAACATCACACAGGGGTTAGTCAGCATAGCTATAGAGCCAAGCTGAGTTGAGGAAGAAAGGAGACAATAAAGGGAGTGTAAGAATTCAATCCATGGCATGTCAGAGCCTGGGTGGAGAGAGAAGGCATCATAGCAAGGCCGAATCTGGCATAGGATGTTAGAGTGCAAGCAGAAAAAGGAGGGCATTCATAGAGAGGTCAGCCTGCTGTGAATGTCAACACTTAAGCAGGGTGAGGAGTGCATCCATGTGGGAGCAAGGATCAGCCTGGCCTCGGGAGTCATAGCTCAACCAGGACAAAGAGGTACCCACAACCTGGCATCCGGTGTCTGTTTATGACTGGAGGAGGAGCACAACCACATGGAAGGGATGGGGGTGGCCTGCCCATTGCAGTGTTAGAACCCAAGAACAGTGAATGAAGAGGATATTCCCCTAAGGAGGAGACCTGGTGCAGGTTTGCAGAGCCTGAGCATTCTGAAAAAATGAGTACACACAACTCATCATGAAAGGGCCACTTCCATACAGGGAGAGCAGTCCAGTGTGGGGTTTTGGAGCCCAAGCAGGGGAAGGAGACTGTCTGCCTGGGCGGTGCCATATGGATGTCAGAGCCCTAGAGTGAGGAGGGCATCCGTTTTGGGAAGGGTGTGGTAGTGGAGATGGGAGATTGGTTACATACAGAAGAATTAATTAAAGTATTAATATTCTAAGTATAATAGAAACAGGTTTGTCACTGTGAGAGGAGGAAGTTAGTTATAATAAGAAGAGGAAGAAAATTAGAATGAACCTTGCATGGTTGGATTAGAATTGGAGATATTGTGAACTCAATGTTTTTGACAGACAGACAAGTAGAAAAAATAAATATAATGTAAAGGTATATATGTTATACACATTTGTATTTATATATAAATAAATACATATAGTGTATGCTTACACTTAAGTATGTATATATGTATATACGTGTATGCATGTATTTATGCTCTAACTCTCCACTGAGATCATCTGTGAGCAGCATAATCTTGATAACAAAGAGCATACCTGGTGCTGAGTGTTGGCTTCTAAATACAATTTTCACTAAAAGGAGCAAGTACTCCTTGAAGAGATGCTGGATTCTAGGGCTAAGGCGCAGAAAATACAAGAGGAAACTGGAATATCTGCTAGTATCAAAAAGCAAAAATGTGCTCAAAAAACAGTGAGGTCATCACTGCTCTACCTAACGAGTAGTTATTCTTTTGTTTCTTTACTTCTCTAATAGACTTGCTTAAAAAAAAAAACCCCACAAAACAGTCAGGTCATGTTAAAAGGAAACCAATTTTGGCTTGAAAGAGCTACTACTGGCTGGGCACAGTGGCTCACACCTATAATCCCAGCACTTTGGGAGGCCGAGGTAGGTGGATCACAATGTCAGGAGTTTGAGACCAGCCTGACCAACATGGTGAAACCCCGTCTCTACTAAAAATACAAAAATACAAAAAAAAAAAAAATTAGCAGGGCATGGTAGTGAGTGCCTGTAATCCCAGCCACTCAGGAGGCTGAGGCAGGAGAATCGCTTGAGCCCTGGAGGCGAAGGTTGCAGTGAGCCGAGATCACGCCACTGCACACCAGCCTGAACGACAGAGCTCAAAAAAAAAAAAGAGCTACTATTAATTGTATCAGATGCAATAAAAACAAGAAAATAAATGCACATAGTAACAGGTCAAATCACCTGAACAAAATAGAAAATCATAAATTCATACTGATATTAAATAATTAATTAATTAAAATTTCTAATAAATGGAATATTTGCATGGATCCAAGGTAACTAACATCAACATACATATCAGTCACAAAGGGAAACAGCAATTTACATTGGACAAGGCTGATACATACCATTTTAATCAAATAATTAAACAGAACATTATATCCAATCAAACAAATCAGAATTGTGTGCCACGTGATAGGATGCAGATAAGGAATGCCCAACATACTTTCTATGATTATTCCTGCCAGAGATGAATATCCTGAATCTTGTGATTACAAGGAAATATAATACAAACCCAAACTGAGGAGCATTTTATGGTAGATTTAAAAGTGTCAACATGAGGAAAGTCAGGGAAAGCCTGGAAGTATTTCCAGACTTTGACACAAGCATTCATTGTAATGTGTGATTTAGCTGTGGATCAATTTTCCGTAAAGTACATCACTGAGACTATTAGTATAACGTCTAAGGTCCAATAATTAAATAGTAGGAATGTATCAATATTAATGCTCTGATTTGATGTTGATAAAATGGTTATTTTAAAAATGCCCTTGTTTGTCAAAAAGTATTTGAGAGTGATGAGCATGAGGGTAAGAAGTAAGGCGACAAATCTAAACTTGAAATTCATTAGTCTTTCTTTCTCCTATTGGTAATTTTGGTTCATACTCATAAGATTTGGAACACATGTTCGTGTTTATTTTGCCATGATAACACTTCTTTTTTTATTTGTATAAATTTATGAAATACTGGTGCTTTTTTTTTTCCTAAATCTATTGCATAGTGGTGACATCTGGGATTTTCTTTAAAAAAAAAACAAAATGGAGTTACATTCAATAGAGACCCTGACTCTTTCTGCTCTAGATTTCCTTGAAGCATCCATTCCAAATGAGGCCTTTAAAGTTACATTGTTCACTTCAAATAGAGCATGTAGATAAGGTTTCCTGTGTAAGATATGCTTGGGGTTTTTTCCAGGTTGATTTTATGTTACAAAATATGGCTCCTCTAAAACCTTCTTTTGAAAGAGACTCAGGAGCCTACTATTCAGGAAAAAAATATAATAAATATTCCTGATCTCCTTTCTCCTGGAACTTGTCATGAGGTAATAGTATTGAGAAAGGAACTAAGGGGCATAGATATATTCACATAATTATAATACATGGCATAACATTATAGCATTCATAAAATAAGAAGAAAGTGAAGAATCCTTTCCACTACATAGAATACTGGTCCACAAAACCCTAAGCATCCAGATTTACATGTGTATACCACATGATAAAATAAATTGTTCTTTTTAAATCTAGTTATCTGTGGCTTTAGGAATAAAATACAACAAAATCTCCAAAAGAGAGAAATAAAAATGTCAAGTGATCAAGGAATAATGTATTCATTGAGTCAATATAATAGAAAAAGTTGGAGAACCCAAAACATTAATTTTGAAAAGAGAATACTTAGAAGAACATAGCAACAATTTTCAAATATCTGAAGCAATTTTATATAGAGGAAGGAAGAATTAGGACTAATAAATGGAAATTATAGAAAGAGAAATTTCCATCCAGTTAAAAATAAAAACAAATACTTAAATATTCCAAAATAGGAGAGGTTGCCTAGGCAATTGATTAATCAACTAGAAGAGTCACAGCATAGACAAATTAGTTCATAAAGGTGGTATAGAAAGAGTTCAAATAGCAAGCCGGCCAAAGGAATCTGTGACGTGTAAGGTCCATTTCAATCTAATAATTCTTTAGTTTTATGCATCTAAAATTATCAGACATAAACTGATAACTCCAAGTTCATATACAAATGTGATTTCAGAAGGTATATATCACATTTGAGATTATTATACAAACATGGCCTTTTTTTGCTAAAAATAATCTCTTTCACAGAGATGAGCTTTGGCCAAACTATAAATCCCCTAAATAGGTCTATAAATGACCTATACTATAAATGTCTATACTGGAGGGTAGACATTGACTGAAAAGAAATATGTTGGGCTTTTGATGTATCGTGTTCAATAGTGGCTTCACTGAGCAGTAATATTCATTGTCCTGCAACTAGTCAATTTTGCTTTGAAGTAACATGGGCAAAAATCACTTCTTCAACACCTTTTTATTGTGGAAGACTGTGTTTGTTTCCTAAATCATCATTTAGAAAGTGACATTCAAGGACAGGCATGTTTGGGAAATCAGAGCATGAAAAATTGTATTACATTTTTAAATCGTGCCACAGAGTTAAAAAGAACAGGTAAACAGGTGTCTTTATGTACGTTGCATTTGAGAACTAATTTCTAGGGTAAAATATTATGTATAGCATATGTAATTTATCATTAGCCCAGCTAACACAGTCTAAATTATGTTAAGTATCTATGTACCTATGACAACAAATGTACCATTAAAAATCAAATTTTTCCTTTTTTTCTTTTTTTTTTTTTTTGAGATGGAGTTTTGCTTTTGTTGCCAAGGCTGGAGTGCACTGGCACCACCTCAGCACACTGCAGCCTCCACCTCCCGGGTTCAAGCAATTCTTGTGCCTCAGCCTCTCCACTAGCTGGGACTACAGGCAACCACCACCACAACCGGCTAATTTTTGTATTTTTAGTGGAGACGGGGTTTCACCATGTTGGCCAGACTGGTCTCGAACTCCTGACTTCAGATAATCCGCCCACCTTGGTCTCCCAAAGTGGTGGGATTACAGGCATGAGCCATCATGCCCAGCCAAATTTTTCCATTCTTTTAACATTCTACTGACATCACACTTAATATTTTGATATATAGAAATATAGATGACGGGATGAATTTATCTCTTTTCATCTGAGTATCTTCTTTGTGGTTTTAACATTTCTTTAGGCAGAACTGAAACATCATAATCTACCTGTGTATTTTATCAGGCAAAAATTTGGCAATAAATGAGGAAATGTCTTGATAAATGAGGAAATGTCTTAGCAGCCAAGGGTTTGTGGTTGGTTGAAAATATAGTTTATGAATTTAATAATTTAAAATATATACACATACATGATGTCAAAATGAAGACTCAAAAACCCACTGATGATGAAGTTGAAAGAAGGATGACAAGGAGGTAAATGTAATCCAAATTCAGAATAATAATTTATGATGCTGACGGTTTCATGACAGAAGGTACCCACATCATAAAACCACCATTAAGAAACTGTCTAGTCCCCACCGTTTATAAGCCATAGCAGGGGCTCATAGTTTCTGATAAATTGGACACTCCTCAGTGATGATAGCCAAGTGGGAAATGCAGGCTATTTTAACAAAGAATGACTTCAAGTTCTCATTGTTTATTAGGCCATTGAGTGAGCACCAGGTTTACAGAAGGAAGAAGATGGATGTTCTCTGTGGAATAGGTTACTCCGCCCACTTGATTTGAGACTCTTTATGGAGATGATATTTGGGTAAATATTCACATTTTTCATTCTGGATTTATTCCAAAGTGCTCACACCCACAACCCTTTCAAAAACTTCTGCCCCAAATTATTAATTTCAAGCCCTCTATCATCTGGCTAAGGAGTTTGCATTCTATATAAGAACTAGTATAATCCCTTATGTCTAACTTCATAGTTTATGCAATCTTGGTCCCATATATACTACTCAATGTTGAAATGCTGAAAGATACTCTTAAACTTCCACTGGGTAGATGCAATAACAATTAGGTCATGATGGACATCTTCCTTAACAAGAGACCTTGGTGTGCATGGTCACTGCTTGAGCTGTGGTCAGGCATTTGGTCTTCATTGGAATGCAGTAGAATAAGGTGAATTTTCCCCAAAAATGAATCTATCAAAAAAGATAAGCAGTCTTAAAATCACAGAGACCTCCTCAGTAATTCTCTTATCTGGTTTTACCACAGATTCAAAGTAGCACATGGATTTGCTTGATAACTCTAACGTCTAGTCAATCATAAGACTCAAGTGATCAAGCAGTGACATGGCATTCTAAACCATCTGGAAAGATTTCTATTTCTCTGAGACCAAACTAAACCTGGGAGCTTTGCTGATTAATCAGAGAGAGATATCTAAAATGGGTATACACTGACTCCTGCAGATGTCTCTTTGTGGTATGGAAGTATAAAAGCTTTCTTTTGTTTTTGTTTTGTTTTGTTTTGTTTTGTTTGTTTTGTTTGAAGAGGTTAACGCGAATGTACTAGACTACTGGGATTTTACTTATATTACAGATGTCTCTTGGTTTTCATACTTTATTTATCTCCCAACTCCTGTTAGTCATGTCAAAACATGCAATTTAAAGGTAACATTTATTGAACTTTTATTATGATTCAATTATTCATTTAAAGATCTTAGCAGTTTAAATATATTAACTCATTGGATCCCTAAAATAACTATGTGGCAGTCACTATTACTAACCACATATTATGGTTAAGGGAAATTAAATACAAAGATGTCCTGAGTTACAAAGCTGGTAAATAGTAGAGCTCAGTTTAGACCCATATATTTTTCTCACACATTCATACGTATTCCTTTCTTTCACTATGTTAAGTGTCTGTGTGAAAGACAGTCCTTTGACTATCTTTCACTATATTTCCCTTTCTTTTTTCCCCTCCATTCAGTCCACAACATGAGACTTACAGACATATTTCTTTGCATATATGATGGTTTATCCTTCTCTTAGCAAGTACTTCATGGCACCCTACATGGACCTTCCTTTTTGTTATTCACAAAAAGCTAATGACTTTAAGAGGGTTTTTTTCCTTTACTCTCTACTAATTTCATTTTAGCTTAAATACGTTAGATTCACTATGAAAAATAAGAAAATTAATTCCAAGGGTATTGCCCATATAAGGAAAACACATATAAACTTTTGCCCAGGAAAAAAAAAAAGAAAAAATATACTACTTTCTTAATGTATTGGGAAGGTTGCAATAGCTTACCAAATAGCATTGAAAAATAAAGTGTTCCCCTGAAAACTTCCAGAACATAGCTTAAGGTACACCCAAATGATGGATGCTTATTTATACCGAGGATGTTTCTGAATTTTTCTTACTCCCTCTTTTCTACCATTAGATATTCTCTGTATCACAAGATTCAAGAGCCAGGTCGGACTTTTCAGCATGAACCACTCTCCATTGCTTCACCTTTCTCTAAATTAAACTGTTGACCTTCTGAATAGAGTTATTTTTTTCCCAAGTGGCTTGTCAAGAAAACTCCTGTGATAGATCAGGAATTAGTGCTTGTGACAAGTTGACGATAATATAGTCCTTGTCCAGGAATGTCATGTTTAATGCCTGAGTGAGTCATAATAAATTGAGAATCTCCTTCTGCCCTCCCCCCATCACTGCCAAGTGTTCCTGTAGGCTTAATCACTCACGCACCCATTGCTTAGGCAGTGACATGTAATTAAAATGGCATCATACAAATAGAATGAGAAAGTGTGAATTCCCATCAGAGGATAACAATTTGTAAAATATTGCAGTGCACATCTTGTTTGGTTTGTTTTACATTTTAATCAAGCTTGATAAAGGAAATGTTTATAAAAGAACTAATCTGTGCAAGTTCAAAGATGAATATCAACATATTTTTATAAGTGATTACATATACTATTTGTGTTCACTCAGCATTCAAATACAAAAAAAAATTATTGAGCATTTACTGAGTGCTAAGCCCTATATATGTACTATGGTCCTAAAACAATGTCATAATGATTATGTTTAGGTGGTCAAATTTCAGGTAATTTTAAATATATATTTAACTCCAATGTTCTACGATTACTTTTTGGAGTTATTGTTAAAATTACAATCCTCAAAATATAAAAATACACAGTTGTATCATTTACAATCTGTTAATGACTCCAAAGGGGGCAAAGATAAGTTAATATTTATCAGAGGGCAAAGATAAGTTAATATTTATCATCCATTTTATATTTTAACATGTGCCCCAGATGTGGTGGCACACACCTGTAATCCCAGCTACTCGGGAGGCTGAGGCAGGAGAATCGCTTGAACCCAGGAGGTGGAGGTTGCAGTGAGCCAAGATTGAGCCACTGCACTCCAGCCTGGGCAACAGAGCGGGACTCCATCTCAAAAAATAAAAAATAATAAAAATAATAAAAACACACACAGGACTGAGAGGCTCACACCTGTAATCCCAGCATTTTGGGAGGCTGAGGGGGGCGGATCACCTGAGGTCAGGAGTTCAAGACCAACCTGGCCAACATAATGAAACCCTGTCTCTACTAAAAAAAAAAAAAAAAAAAAAAAAAAAAAAAATCAAATGTGCCAAAAATAAGGACAACAATATGCATGTTTCTAAATAACAGTGATGCAGAAATAGGTTTCAGGCAGGGCTAAAACTCAGGTTTTTAATTTAAAAAAAGTGTACAGTGGGAAAATGATCCAAGTGTCACCTCTGATTGGGAACCCTGAGACTTTTATTCTCACTGGAGTTTTAGTCACTTTGAAATGAGGGAAAATTGTCCTTTCACGTATCTCCAGTAAACATTCAGTGAGCAAGTAGTCGATAGTCAGTTTCCTGATTATTTGAAAGGGGACAACAGAATATATAAATCCCTGTGAAAAGGGGAAAGGGAAGTTTTTGAAGGTTCTGATGGTGTCTTCAACCCCATCAGGTAGTCCTATTGGCAGAGGTAGCAGCTTGCTGAGACCTAAAGCAAAGGAATGTTTCCAATCTACCAGAAGTTACCATGTTTTCAGCTCTGTACAGCTGTCTCAGTGAGATTTTGTTGTTGTTAATCCTTTCTCAATGTTAGTGACTGTGTATCTTTTGGCTGTGAGTGTTCATATCTTTCCATCAGTTACATCACTATTGCATTGGGACAACAACCCACAAAAGATGTAACCTTTAGTTTTTGATTTGTTATCTGCATTAGCACCAAGAATCAAAAAAGTTCAAGCCTTTCAAATTATCAAACTTTATATATATATAAAATATATATTTTACATATAAATATATATTTTATATATATGTATGTATAGTGGATGATTATTGATTGCCTCCTCAGACTCATTCCCCACATTCTTTTTAAATAACCCTGATTTCCATTTTGGGAAGATAAATTTCCACCAAATCCTGCAGTGGCAGATTAGACTTATGCTAAGCCAATTAGACATTCCCTTCCTCTGGCCATCTTAATTAGGTCAAGGATAAGCATGAGATTGAATCCTATTCACTCAAAAGAAAATTTATGATGTTGCCTGGAAATACTGGAGAAAAAAAAGTCTTCTCATTCCTAAAATTATATAATGAGAAATTGAATAGTCCAGGAAATTTTAGAAGTGTTTAAGACTACAAAAAGATCCAGACTTGGTATAAAGCAGAGTGACAGAATTTTGTAGAAAGAGAGAGAGAGACAGAGAAATAAACAGCAAGAAAGAAAATGGGTTCCATTGTAAATAACTAAGTAGCTGAATGTTCTTTTCCTTGAAACAGAAACATCTAAATTTTACATAAATCAAAAATCTTATGTAAGGCTTTTTTGAAATTTCAAAGTATCCAGTAACCTTCATATAAAAGTGAAAATTTAAATCAGTACTAGATGGACATTCTTGAATCAAAGCTGGATAATATTTAACAAGGTGTGTTTGCTCTGTTCATGAATATTATGACCTTGCTCTTATGTTGACTATTGAATTTTTATTTTTTTGGCATACGGAAAGATATGTAATGCGTTAGAAGATCTATCATTGCCCCATTTCTCATTCACTTCACCTCTATCTCTGAGATGGCACAACTCCTTTTAGATATATTATGAGTTCTAATTTGGATAGAAGCTAGTGTTGCATTTTAAAACCTACTATCAGAAAAAGTCTTAACTGTGTTTAAATCTAAAACAACTTTTCTGTTGCTTATACATTTGTATATGTCTTTTGGGGATAAAATGCAGGCCAAAATGTTTCCTCCTTTCTGTAACTCCTCCTCACCTCCTACAATCAGCTAAAAAAAAAAATGACTCCTTTGTCTTGTTCGCTATGGCATGTGTTGAGTACCTAACACAGCATATTGTATTTATTTGTCTACATGACTGTCTGTCCTGGAATGTAAGTTGTTTGATGGTAGGGATTATGTCATATTTATCTAAATATTTCCAGGCCTTGGTATTGTTCCTGACACATAGTAAGCACTCAACAAATACTTGTTGAGCTCTGTTAAGAGTAAATCTACACAGTGAGGCCTGATATATCTGTTTTGGTTTGGTACACACAGTGAAGAAATTACCACGGCAACTCTTATGTTTTGCATTATAAGCATAGACTTTATGTTGTGCAAACACAGCCTAAGTTTAAATTTGTTATAATGTTTCAGGGGAAGAAAAAGGCAAAAACTGTGACCAGTGAAAGAAAGCTAGACCTCTACTTTTTTCTAAGATGTTCTATATAAAATTTATAACCAATAAAATTCCTCATTTGTACGTCTGAAAGGGATGTTACAATAAATTCATTATTTCTAATTGTTGGTCTCGTTCATGCACTATTTCGTGTAAGAAAATATTAAAAAAATTAAAATGTTTATTTGTATTCCGAAGCTCACTCGGAATACAAGAAAGAACAAAGATTTTGGGGAAATATGCTGCCCTTGGTTACGTTCAACAGTAGGGTATTGTTTACAAGGCATACAGTATCATTTCCGAATTCTATTATCACGGTTTTCTCAGCCTGGTAACAATTCTAAACTTGGTAGTAACACTGTAGTATGTAAAATATTAATGTTTCTCCTTAGACTATATAATATTTAAATCAAAAGGAAAAGATTATCTAGCTCTCGGGAGAGCAGATAAGGATATATAAGTAATTGGTTTTATTTCCAAGTTTTTCAGTATTGTTATGGCTTTCTCCAAAGAAGCACCTTGAATCCATTCATTCTTTTAATAGTGGAAATCACAGTAGTAATTGCTTTATTCCTTGTATCTCAAGCAAAGTGTAAGGATTAACATGCAGGAAGGCACACAGAGAGAAAAGTAGTAATTCAAAGATACCGATGTGGAGGCTAGTCCCGAAAGTGATCCCTTTTAAAATCACACCTCCTGGTATTCAGACCCTACCACATTGAAAATGGGATACCCCTGTGTATCCATAATATGAAAGTGGAAATGACACAATATGACTTGCAAAGTCATAAGAAGCTTTGAAGCTTCTCCTTTGGTCTCTTGGAAGGATTTCACAGGAGAAAGCCAGGGCCCTATAAGAAATCCTACCTCCCTGACAGGTTCCCATGTCAGTCATGAGGACAGACTGGATGGAGAGAGAGATGCCAGCACTTCATTCCCCAACCACTGTGGAATAGACACATGCTGCTCTTGCTAGTTCTCAGCCCAAATCCATAAATCCCCAAATTGTGAGTATAATAAAGTTGTTGTTGCTTCATACCACTAGGATTTAAGGTGTTTAAACAAAACAAAACAAACAGGACAACCAAAGAGATGAAAGAAACAAGTATCAATAATAAGTTTTAATCAAGATATTATTTTAGTGTCAGTGATTTTTCTCCGGTAGAGCATTCACTAATTATGTCCTTCTAGTCGTTTCTAAAGGAAGCTAATTTCTCAAAAGTTTGGCACATATGTTAGATCTGTTGACTCACCTAAACAGGAAATGAGGCTTCTAGGACACCTGAGGTATAACAGATGGCCTGCCAGATCCAATCAAGGCCTGTTCTTGCCTGCATAACAGGACTAGTGACCCCTGAAAATCAGCTTGTTGCAACAGGATTCAGTTATGTGTTCAACATTTCCCATTACTCTAGGAAATAAAGCAATTAATTAAGAAGAAACAAGATGATTTATTGAACCATGTGTGTGTGTGTATATATATATATATATATATGTATGTATGAATACACACATAAGCATCCTAAACATCTATACTCTGAATATTTCTAAATCCTCCTCATTTTAATATTAAAATACAGTGGTAATATTAATAGCTGGTCTATATCACCTATATTATGGGAAATACAGTACTCCATCCTTCTCTGCCAAAAAAAAAAAAGGAAGAAAGAAAAGGAAGGAAGAAAGGAAGAAAAAATAAAGAAAAGAAATAAGAAAATTTGATTAGACCTTTTATTGACCTCCTTATTTTGTCTGCAACAAATTATGTTGGAAATACTTAAAATGTCAGAGTAATCCTTGTGTATGTAAATAGCCATTTCCCTGTGCATGTGTTCAGTTAGTATCAATAAGTTATAACATCCTAGCACCTCATTAAAAATAAATATTTCACATATCTTCTAGGCTTTTCCAACATCTAACAGTAGATGAAAAAAAATCAATGATTAACAGGATATTTCACATTCTATCTATATTTAAGCATTAATAAATACATATTTAATGCTTAAATATAGATAGAATGTGAAATATCCTTTTAAGCATTAGTGCAACAATTACTTATTAACAACCTGGCATTTGCCATGTGCCGTGCTAGGAACTGAGGATACAGCCATTAATAATACAATGTCCTTGTCCTAATGGACTTTAGAGCCTAGCTTAAGAGTCAGATGTTACCCATATTCCATGAAGAAAAGGCTACAAAGTTAAGAGAAAAAGAAAACAAAAACAAAAACCAAGGAGCTTTGTAATTTGGAGGTCAGGGAAGGACTCCTGTAGAAATGACTTTCTGCTGCAATTCTGAAGGGTAAGTAAGATATCCTAGATCAAAGCAGCGGGGGAAGTGACTAGCGTTTTAGGCCAGGAAAGTGCATGTGAAAAGCCAGTATGCAGAGGAGAGCACAGAACACTTAAGAAAGTGAAGGAGGCCCAGGCTGACACGGGGAGGACATAGCAGTGCAAGACAGGTCTGTAGAAATGATCAGGGGCCATATCTTGCAGGGCCTGGTAGAACCTATTAAGGATTTACTTTTGTTCTGTAAGAAATGTGAGGCATTATAGCATTTTAGGCAGATAAATAACATGACGAAATTTGGAATTCAAAATGCAGTGTTATTGGCCATGTTGTGGGAAATTGATTGTAATAAGTATATAATTTAGGAGGTTACTGCAATAGCTCATGTGATAAGTGGTGTTAGCTTCTAATATGTGTTAATGGAAGACATGGAAATAAATTGATTGAGATAGGGTTGAGCACAGTCTTTTTCTTAAAGTTTTCTCTTCCTTTGAATTTTATGTCATTCTCCTGAGTTTACTCTATTTTCTTGGCCAAACTTTGCCAGTCTGTCTTCTGGCTCAGCCTCTTTTACCTAGCCTTTGAATGTCAAAGTACTCAAGGTCTTTTCTTCTCATTCTATATTCTCCTCCGAAGAGCATTCGTCTATACTATAGCTTCGGTCACCACCAATACAATGGCTTCTAAATACTTATGCCCAGCTCTGACCACTCCTCTGAGTTTGGGACTTATATATTCAATTACTGATTTCATATCTCTAGTTGGATGATGCAACATCATCCAACTACAAGATGGATGGTGTACCAAAATATTCCCACATCAAACCTAGTCTTCCTCCAGAGTTCTTTATTCTAACCAACAGATACTCTTATGTTTACAGTTTCTCAAACTCAAACCCTTTCACACCTTTCTATTCTACTTTTCACATCTAATTCAGCACAAAAAGCAGATATTTCTACCTCATATTAATATTACAGTTGAGAAAACTGTGATTCACAGATGTTAAGAAACTTGACCAAAACTGTACAGCTAGACTGCATCAGAATCTTGCCTGTTTGATGCTTGAATCAGCATACATTCCACTACACTATCTGAGATGTTCAGGAGTTTCCCAATTATCCCTTTCCTATCCCATCAGCAGACGCCCACCCTATGCCAGATTTCTCCTTATATATCACTTTGCCTGTTCTATAAACTCTTTTTATCATTCATCCTGAAAATCTAAAAAGTCTTTGGGTTTGCTCATTACATCAGCCCCCATCGAAAGCTAGGAGAAGTTTGAAAGCAGCCATGAGCATTGCTCTGATTCATTCTGTGCATATAATAACCCTGAAGTACATTGCCAGTGGTCATGTTTAAACCCCTTCCCTTGATTTATTGTGGATCACGACATGACGTCTAACTTGCTATTCGCATTATTAATAAGACTGTCCTTGCTGAAAACATTCCCTAAAACCCTTTCCCAACGAACTGCATTTTGCCTGAATACATGGTTTCTTTATGGTTCTTGGTGAGCTTCCAAAGGTAAAACTAGATTGTTTTCTTTGTTACAAAAACTTGGGTCTCATGAAGCCAGTCTCTATAGGGCTACACAGACAAACAGACATGTATAGATAGACAGCAGGACTGGGGATGTCAAGGGTCATTTCTGAGGGGAAAAAACATCCTCTCTGATTCATACAGTTGTTCGGCCAGACAAATTTCTATTCAAAAACCAAATAAATGAATTTGGAGCACTTGGAAGAAAGCCTGTGAATGCTGTACAGCTAATTTCCCAAGATAATAGCAGGCATTGTGTCATGTTTGTTTGGTCTTTAACACACACACACAACACACACACACACACAAAGTGTTCTTATTTTTAGGTTTTATATTGTAGCAAAGATGGTTAAATGAAAAGTGACTGCCTTATTTTGCTGAAAGGGAAAAAAGGATACAGGTTTTTAATTTTCTTTCATGAATTGAAAACTATTTCAAAATATGGAATACTTCAAAATATAATAGAAAGGAAGTGAACAGAGGCCTTAAACTGCTATCTCTCTTTGTTTTGACATATCCACAATAGGACATGGCATTCAGTATATCTTACAACGGTGAAACAGAAGAATACAGTAGTAATGGACAGTGCTTAACACAGTCTGTCTCATTTTTCAAGACAGAAATGTCCTGTAGAATGAGTTTAAAGAAATGAAATTTTGTAAAAAGGAAATGGAAGGGAAAAATTGGGCATAAACTGTGACCCTTTCAAGTTTCTGTAGCTGTAAGGCAGACGGAAGAAAAAGGAAATAAAAGAAGAAAAAATAAATAAGTCTATAGCAAATTGGTTGGCAAGCCACCTGTTTAAAGAGAGAAAATATTTGAGCAAGAGCTATACTGGCAATTATCTGGATGGTGATTACTTGGAACAAGGTTTCAAAATGAACAAAAGAGAAAAGACTAAAGGCTAATAAATAAGATTGGAAAACTAAAGAAAAGAAGGAGAATACATTTTAGGAATGTTGACTTCTACGTGGCTCTTCTAAGCCTTTACTACATATAATCTAAATCTCAAAACTCTCAGGTATTAGTTTTAAATCCCTGCGTTTTTGTGCCTTCATTAGTAATGAAAATCAGTTTTTCACCATTCAGCAATTCCATGAGCTCAATCTGCTCCTTTCTATGACTCCTCAGGGTTCTTTCCTCATGGATGGTTAAGCTACAAATGTTGGCTTGATGAAAATAAAATAGTGGGCTGGGAGATTGTTTATGTGCGTCTCACTCTCGAATGATCTCCCTATGACTGTCTGAACTTGGCTAATCAGAGACTGATCTGAATACATTTGAAAATAAAATTTCTACCCACAAAGTTTCAGGTCATGTGACACTCGTGCCTCCAAATATCCAACTAACAAATATTTCTTTGGAGATATTAAAATTGTATTGGGAGATATCTAAGTTGTGAAAATAGGAGTTAATAGTTATATAGAAAAAAGGCACAAGGGGCTAGGTATGGGATGAGGCAGGGGAAATCTAGAAACTGGAAAGGAACCAAAGGAAAAAAATCTGCCTAGACAAATACTGACACCTAATGTGCCAGTCCATTAATGATACTTCTTTTCTGTATATCTTCAAAGTGCCCTACATCTGTCTTCAGTTGAAGGATCCCAAAGTTGACACAGTACTATGCTAGGGTTTATCATATGTGTGTGTGTGTGTGTGTGTGTGTGTGTGTGTATACACACACACAGTATGTATATGGTACAATATACATACCATATATATGCTTATATCTTTTCATGAACATTTGTCATTTTGTCATTTTGCCACTCTAAAAAACATCGCTTCTAAAATACATCTGGATACTGAACTCCACTTAAATAACAAAATTTATCCAATAGTAGAAAATTAAATTGGGTTACTTACTCAGTGCCACATTATAACAGAATACTTACTTTTACTACTTGCAGAAAACTTCTTTTATTTTCCTATCAATCAACTAATAAATTAGGTGCTGCTTCCTTTTATTTGGCAATTGGTCATAATTGGAGTCATAGAAAAGAACAATTTCCTAAGAAACAAGAGCCACTTTAGTCATCATTTATAAATGAGGATTGGTGGTCAAAGAAGAGTATACATAAAGGATCAGAAATCTTCATATCAGAAACCATAGCAGCAAACATCTAATGATAAAATAGCATTTAATTTCAGCTGACATAATCATAAACAGTGTCATCTTTCATAATGTAGAAAACATAAATAAAAATTCCCTAAAAGAAGTTGATTTTATTTTCTGTTACTCTAATTCCATTACAAACCTTCAGTTCCAACAACATCATCTATTGGCCATTTTCTGTTTTGAGTAATTTTTGCCAAAATAATAAAAATGATGGCATTGAATGGCTTGTTTATTCAGCAACTCAAAATATCAAAAATAACCTGACTAATTCATATGGTTCCTGACTCTTTCATGCACTTCTTGGCCAATTTCTCCTTTAATCCAATATTCACTAATTAAACATACATTCTCACAGTAGCCCAGCCCTTATTCTGCAATAGCCTAAGTGCTCTTGAAAGCCGCCCTAAGAGCTCTGAGTGAAAAAAAAAGCTATTTCAATTTTACTTATAATTAGAATAGCTAACATGTAAGAGAAAATTGTGCCTTAACAAAAGTACTTTATTTCAAGATTTAATTTTGACCTCAAAAATGTACAGTTGTCTGATTTTCCTGGTGCCATAGGAAGGGTCCTCACTTTGTGTGTCAGTAAACTAATTTCACAAGACATATGGTGACATTCAGGTTCCTGGTGAATCCAGAACTTAATACCAGGGACAACACTGAAAACCGGTCTTGGAAGCTGAATTGCACTTGTCACTTCTTGTGGCTACTATTCGCTGTTGGATTTATAGCTCCCATAACACATGAGAAGAATCAAGGCAATTCTGAGCCAGCACTCTAATGACACCACACAGACGGCATCTCTTCTATCATATTCAAGCATCATGCACATCACAAGATGAAGAAAAACTTAACAATATTTGCTTATTCTCCCTTGAATTTTTTATCCTATTATTATTTTGTTTACATCACCAGTTGGGGAGAAGGCAATAACTATTAGGGATAAGTCGAATGATGAGTGGGATTTTTTTTTTTTTAAGTCAAACACTTCCAGATTTTTTCTTCAGTTTCATGGTGAATATTTTCTCCCATTTTGAAAATGGAGACAGACATTAAAATTATATTTTGTGAGCATTTATATATATTTCTGCTTAGGTTTTACATTTTAAAAAACTTGAGCAGAAAAGTTAAACAAAATGAAATAAAATCATACATAGAAGTAGTTTAGGGAAATTATTGCACGTGGAAGTCAAAAAGAAAGCAGGCACCAAAAATAAGACCGTGGAAAGTATATCTAAAAACACCTCAAAAAATACAGTTCCATTTATATCAATAAAATATGTCCCATGCCTCTCTTTTTCTGTTCTTTAGCCTTCGTCCTTCCAGGTGCAATCCTTTTGCTCAGCCTCAGTTCTTCACATTTCCTCCAATAATACGTGACAGGCCAGGCACAGAGGCTCACACCTGTAATCACAGCATTTTGGGAAGCCAAGGCAAGCGGATCACCTGAGGTCAGGAGTTTGAGACCAGCCTGGCCAACATGGTGAAACCCCATCTCTACTAAAAATACAAAAATTAGCTGGGCATGGTGGTGGGCTCCAATAATCCCAGCTACTCAGGAGGCTAAGGCAAGAGAATTGCTTGAACCCATGAGACGGAGTTTACAGTGAGCCGAGATCATGCCACTGCACTCCAACCAGGGCAACAAGACTGAAACTCCATCTCAAAAAAAAAAAAAAAAGGGACAACAAAAGAGTCAGAACCTGTCTTTTCTACGTGTGCAAGTAGGTTGTACTTGACAGCCACATTTTCTCTGTTACAAGTATTTAATGGTGCAGTGCTATGAGGACGTCGATATTTTTCACCAGACAGAATGAGAAGTTCCTGAAGCATCACACCTTTATTGCAGTAAGCATGGGAAATACTGAATAGTTATATGGGTTTGAATAGACATTCATACTCCAATTCATACTCAAAGACATCTGCAAAAGATGGAAATTGAAGTGTACAGAAGTTTGAATTGGTTTGAGCTCCAGCAGAAATGGATCTTGAGACAGGATTCAATGCAAGTAGTTTTTTCAGATGATCCTGGGAAACACCTGTAAAGAAGTAGGAAAGTGACAAAGAGAAGAGGAGAGAACCAATATAGGATGTGTTTCCCTGAAACTCACTGCTGTGGACAACTGGAAGCTAATCTTGCTGGAAAACAATGGGAGCTATTTTAGAACATAGGCCTCAGATTGATCCAATTAGAGAGCTAAGGGAGCTGGTGAATTTATGCACCAACTACTGTCAGTAATTGTTTGATTGCTGCTGCCAATGGAAATCATTTCTTGGCATTTCTGGCTCAGGCAAAAACCGAACCCACATCCACAGAGGACCCTCAGGCACAGAGGTGAATAAACTAGCAGCTGGAATTTAAGGCAGAGTGCAATGAAACGGTACAGTTGTAAGGAACATGGGCAAGGCAACAATGTCTTCTGCTAGGGAAACAGTGGTGTAATGACCCACCTTGCCCTTATTCTCAAGAGCTGGTTGTGTACATCTCTCCCCAAGTGTCCATTCAGTGACACTACACGGTAGCTAGAAGCCAGCTGCTGTGGAAGAATTTACAACATGGAAGTCAGCAAACACAACAAATCTATCTTTCTTTTTTCTTTATTTTGAGAGCTAGCTATTAAACATTTACCAGCACAACACTGCATAGAATGATATTTATTAAATACTACAGGAGATTAAAAAATGCTAGATTTTCTAGTAGGTTACCTCATTAATACTACACTGCAAGGAAAAAATGTTATAAAAACATGAATTATAAGCTTTCCAACTTGTTTGGTATTTTCTTTGCAAACCATCTCTGAACTTGTATAATTAAATAAATAATGCCTAAAACAACCACGAAAATGAGGAACTGGATAATCTTGCTCTGTGTGAAACACTTTGCTAAATGCAGAGTGTGAGGGCAGTGGAAGAGGAGTGAGAAGTGGCAAAGAATAAAGGAGGGAAAACAAGGGGATAAGTCAGATAACCTGCCTTCCAGGAACCTATAAGCCAGATGAGGAGAAAATTTAATAATAATACTTTGCATTTCTAAATTGTTTCTGGGCTCTTTCAGAAGTTCGTAACCAATCACCATAGAGCTATATAATGCCAAAATGGATGGCCTAAATAGACAATATAGTATTGAAATGTCAATGAAAAAATAATTTACCCCATCTGCATTCTTTTTTTATTTTCATCAGGATAATGATTTCAAAACTTCTCTCTCACTTTAAAAGATTAAAAATGGCCAAAATTCACCACTGAATATTTTCCTCAGCTTTAGCTAGGTTTATGTTTTAGCTTCCCAATAGCTATTACTATAATTATTATTCTATCTGCATATCAGTTATCTGTTTAACCAATAAAAGCAACTACATTGTGTGTTACATCCCATATCTCAGCATATTAACTTTCTGCACAAAATAAACCCCTCTATGCCAGATTTCCTTTTTTAGTTTGAAACAAATCTTTACAATCATTATATCAACACCTGTAACACTCAATTTCAATTAGGCAAAAACTAATGTGATATTAAATTCTAAAATAATCGTGAATGAAAATCATTGATAGAATCTGAGCAGTTTATAGAGTAGCTTCAATAAATGTAAATAATTTTAAAACCTGTAGGGCACTTTCAAAATTTTGTCTAAATTATCTCCTCACAAGTTATTTGAGTGTACTGTGTACTACCTTCAAAAGTGTTCAAATTATAAGATCATATTAGATTTAATACATAATTTTTTTGAAAAAAGAAAATTCTAAAGTTACTTTCAAAGTGATACCTGTGACAAACATTCAAAGATAAAACCCACGAAAGTGTAGCTTTGAATTTTAGGTTTGGCAGAAATGACATGGCAGTCCCTTCAAAATTCTGAAGGCAGATGGACAGTGAGTAGCAGCAACAGTAGCATTAAGAGGGACTAGTGGGCAACCCCCTTTGGGTCCCCTCCCATTTTATGGGAGCTCTGTTTTCACTCTATTAAATCTTGCAACTGCAAAAAAAAAAAAAAAAAAAAAACAGGGTTTGGTGACAGAAGCACAGCTTAGCCAGTGTTCCCAAAGGCACACCGAGGAGATAAAATGTCGTGGCTGATTCTTGAGCAGAGACAAGACGCTGTCCTTGCCCTTGCCCTGGGAGAAATTATTAACCTAGGATCGTGATAGCTACATATTTTACTATACTCAAGACTTAACTCATCCAAGAAAAACCTATAAGGATCTCAGTTATTCATTTCACATTGCCCAGGGAGATATCAAACACTGGACAAAAAATACCCACTTCTTGATTAAAAAAAAAATTCCCACTCTCAATCAGCTAAATAGCTGCTTACTTTGCATAATATATCATTAAATACATTCGGTTTCCCACAATTTGTTGCATGTAAACTGTCTGGGGGAAGACATTTCACAACTTTTGCTGAGGTGAATTCACTCTCAAGCACTGTGCTCAATGCTGAAGAGGGCCAAAAAGCTGAGTAAGAATCAATTTAAGATTACAAACTAATTTGATTTGTGTTTTCATGTTTGATGTGTATGAAGAAAAGGAGGAGTCCGTAAGAACTACTAAGAACACCAACAGGGCCTCAGAGTTTAATGAAAACTGAAGATGTCTATCAAAACAAATCATTTTTGAAAGTTTAGACTATAACAGAACTATAATGTTCTTTAGGTTGTATCTTGTTGAGACTTCATCAGCTTACTTCAGGAAATGCTTAAAATATTTTTCTTCATTTCAAATTTTATTTCTTAGTGGTTTACAATGTAATTATGAGAGAACACATAAACTTTGGCATTTTTCCATATAGTGTCATACAACTTGACCAGTCTGCTAATTAAAAAACAAATTCTCAGTTAACAGTAAGCTTTATTTCTGTTGCTTCAATTTAAACAGAAAGATTCTTCCAGATGAATTTAGTAGCAGGAGAGTACTAAAACCTCCTTGACAATATGGGGAAACTAATTAAAATCTGATTCGTATTCAGGTTTTCTTCAGTCTTACTGGCTCTTTTTTTATATTTCACCCTGTAGTAAAATTTAAATTCATTTATTATTACCAGTTTTCTTCTAACCTTTCTGACTGATTGCTTATTTTTGGTCAGCTTTACCAATCTCTTCTTTTTTCACTTAATTATGATTATTACATAATGGTTCAAATATCATTACCGTAAAGGAGAGAAAAAAATAAAGGCACAGGAGAAAGGAAGACAGAGGTTAAGAAGGGAGGAAGGAGAAAAATAATCCACATAAGAATGAGAGAATTTTTTAATGAAAAAATAGATGTATACAGATATGAGGAAAAGGGTGAAAGAGGACCCAAGTAACTAGAGTCAGAAACATCAAGACAGCAGAGCCTTCCTAGGAAATAGCCCTTCCTGGATCATTAGGATTTTACTGTTGATGATATTTTACATTTTGAGACATTTTTACTATGTTAGCATGGAAATTAGATAATAAAGCCCTGTCTTACTATTCTCTCATCCTCTCCAGTCCTGAGCTTTTTATTTGGGAAGTTCATCGTCACACAGTGTTTGACCTTCACCTGTTGGTATAATATCTCCAGTCCTGCCCCTTACCTAAATATCATCCTAAATTTCCATAATCAAAACAAAATTATTTAGTTAATGTTCTACAATGTCATTCCAAAGCCCCCTTTTCCCACATTTAGCAAATCAGCATAGTCTTCCAGAATCACAGATGTAATAAGTCTCATGCAATGTGCACAAAATATAGTGTTCAAATTAAATAATATGGTCTGAGGAAACAGACAAATTTTACTTATTACCTACATGTTAGTGGGTTTAGAACTAGTTCATTCACTGAACAGTGGGCAAAAAGGATAGTTAGATGGGGCACAGCTAGTCTCTGGCACAAGACAATAGCTAAAGCTTTCATTCGTGGTTTCCTGGGAAAATGTCCCAGTGGAGGGGAATGTCATTGCAGATGCAATGATCCTGGCTTTTGGAATATGTGGGAAAATTATCCATACAATGAGAGTGGAATGGACTGATTATTGCTAATTTGTATTAGTCACCTGCAGAGAGATAATGAAAAACTGAGCACCACCACCAAGCAGTAAATAGCTAAACATGTCATAGGTAACCTGGAGACTGAAGACCTAAAAGAGTCACAGAGGTCTAGAGATGTCTGCATCTAAACGAGGGCAGATCTGTTTTTCTGAGATCAGGACCTTGGTTATGAACATGTGGGATTCTGAGACATTGGATAACAACATCTGGATAAGTGTCCCTGAAGATATTGGCTGAGCAGATTCTCCCAAATCCTCAGAACTGACAGGTTGCTGACCCTTTCATAATAAGAGCTAGCATTTTCTCTACTCTGGAAAGACATTTCAGAGGCATGTCCTCAACAAGGCAACACGTTTCCTACTCAGTAATCTCCCCCAGATCATTCTTAAGGCCATGATAAATACCATGGTGAGAGAAGAACAAGCATCATTAATAAGTTCAGTGTGGAAAAAAGAAAAAGTTCATTGTGGTCCTCTCTGTGAACTAGGACTGGTGGAAAGAGAAGTCATAGAATTGGCATCAATGTCATCCATGAAGTGACAGAGCCGGGGCACAGGGCTAATCACAAGGAGCCAGGATACCCTAATTACTACAGTGACTGGCAAGGTGAGAGGCGCATCCAAGGATGATTGACCTTCAGGAAGTTGTGGAGATGGCTAATAGATCACAGTGGCATTCCTCAAGCAAACTAGACAGGCAGCCAACAAGGGTACTGATTAAAATCTAGTACAAAGAAAAAAGGCGAGGATGGTAGAGAAGGAATCTGAGAGCAGTAGTCTTGATATAAAGTCATGATCTACTGTGAATTTCCTAGATCTGAGCCAATTTTACTATCTGGAATCCATTGTCTAAAGGTGGTCCCTTCTTGCAGGAAGAACGCTGTAATACTGTGGCAAGTATATAATGTGATGTGATGATTCCCCTAGTCCTTCTCCAAAGGAACCCAATATCATTTACCAGGTTTGACTGCACTTTGGAAAGAAAAATGCCCAGGCATTTTGAGTAGTGTTGGAAACAGGTTATTGACATTGGCACCTAAAAATCCAAAGCATTATTATGCTGCCTTTTAGAGTGGGGGCTAATGGGCACCAAATAATAAATGCAGCTGTAGTTAAGACTGAATCAGAATGAGACCATTGGGTGTGTAGAGCAATTGTGAATTTACTCGATTTCTAAGTTCATTTACCCAATCTCCAAGTGCATAAGTGGAATTGCTATACTTAGCAGTTGAAGTAACTCCCACCAATATATTATTGACCCGTAGAATAAGAACTAACTCAGTAGGTAAGACCAAGCGGAAACATCTGAAACTCTTTCTACTGGCCAAGATATTAAATCAAAACCGTTATTTTACTTCAAGAGAGATTAAAGAGATTGGTACCACCATTACAGTCTTATTGGGTTGCACACCTGGTGGTTTGGTGGTTTCTATTATATCTCCATTTAATTCTGCCGCGTGAATCCATGCAGAATCTATGTGGATACTGGTACATGACTGAAGACAGTGGGCTTAACTAATTAGTTGTCCTTATATCAGTTACTGTACCAGACATGATATAGTTATCAAGACATAGTAATAAAGCATGAGGTTTATGGCTTGCAATTGTTGATTTGGTGAATTCATTCTTTTTTATTCTGGTTAGGAGAGAAGAGTTGAAGTAGTTTATATTCACATGGAACAGACAATAGTATTGATTTACAGTGTTGTCATAGATCTATATTAACTCTACTACTGTGTTGTAATACAGCCCAGAGAAATCTGGAATAGCAGGACACACCACAGAACACTCCACTTATCCATTAAATCAATGATATTGTCTTGATCCAACCAGATGAACAAGAGGTGGCTAGTAAACTGAGCTTTGATAAAATACATGTGGTCCAGTGGAAGGGAGATAAAGCTTATAAACATTCAAAAACTGTGGCTTCTAGTAAAGACTTATAGGTCTAGTCATCAGAGAATGGCAGCATATTAGCTCCAAAGTAAAAATCAAGTTGCTGTGACTCATTACCTATCACAAGGAATGAAGTGCACTGCAACTAGCCTTTCTTGAGTTCTGGAGACAAAATAGTCCACACCTGGGAATACTGCTTTAGACTTTATACCCAGTGACACATATGATACCAATTTTGAATGGAACCTGGATCAAAAAAGAATTCTACTTAAGGTGTAGATTTCATTACAAACAGTACTACCACATGGGCCATACAAGTCAGCAGTCACTATGGTATTCATGGGAAAAGATGCAACATTAGGTTTTGGGCAAGCTCCAGTGAGAGAACCATTCAGAAGTGAGGTCATGATGCCATTTATCACAGAGACTTATGTGCTATTTGAGAAATAGCTGTTGGCATGTTACTAGGCTTTGGTACAGACAAACTGCTTAACCATGGCCATCAGGTGACCATGCACCTGGAGCTGCCCACTATGAGCTGGGTTCTATTGGATGCACCAATTCATAAAGTGGAACAAAACCAACAGCAGTCCTAAATAAAAAGTAAATGTTAGGGATTGATCTTGAGCAGGGCCAGATAAAAATACGCAGGTGACTTACATGCCCATGACACCATAGTACGATCAGCATCATTCCCCAGCTTGCTTAAATGACCCTATAATATGAGACTACATAAAACCATCTTAAGGAAGAATAAAAATCTGAGCTTGGATTTTAGATGTGTCGACTTGGCAATTGCATACAAGCCAAAACCAGAGACTCTCTGGATTACAATTCAAGTCTAAAAAAGAAAGCCAATGGAGAGAAGAAATATTCTTTACAAGCAGAGCAGTGAGTCGTGCACCTGGACACCCACCTTGTGTGGAAAGAGAAGTGGCTCAGATGAGAATATATAGAGATTCTTGGGCAATGGCTAATTGTGTCACCATCCAATCAGATATCTGAAAGGGAAAAGGCTAGAGACAAGGAAGTCAGGGGTAAAGTGTGTGGACAGACAAGTGGAAAGGCATAAAAGGGATGAAGATTTTTGTATCACAGATCAATATCCACTAAAAATTATTCACCAAAGAAGAGGCACCAAACAAGCAAGTAGACAAAATTACGGACAAGTTGATATTGTCCAGCCTTCCACATCAGTTATTCCATGACAGACATGATTACACTTGACAGGATACACATAGGTCTGTTAGCGTGGACTCCCTCCAGTCGGAGCCACTGTAGTTACTACTAATTCTGAATGTCCCATCTGCTAACCACAGAGACCAATGCCTTGCCCCTAATATGGTACTACTTAAATTTCATCAAAATTAAAATTTGTTTCTCTCTGAAAGGTACTATATTAAGAAAATGAAGAGGATATCCACAGACTAGGAGAAAATATTCTCTATATATCTGACAATGGACTTGGATCCAGAATAATATGAAAAAATTATTTTAAGGCTAAATATGCATTTATTTTATAAAATAACATTATAATCTGTACTTTTATATTATACTTTAAAAAATCTGCTGTTATTGTGATTATTTTACAATTATTTAAAACAACCTCAATTACTGCATAATATTAAATCAAAAGAACATAAGTTGACCACTTTTCTACTGCACATTGAGTTTTCTCCCATTTTAATTTATATTTACTTGTGCAATGAGTTCATAAAAATGTCTTTGCCTCACCAGACTGTAAACTTTGTGTTACTTTTGGTCATTGTTATATTCATTTTTTTTCCATATTGGGGTACAGGAGGCATTTGGTTACATGAGTAAGTTCTTTAGTGGTGATTTGTGAGATTTTGGTGCACCCATCTCCTGAGCAATAAACACTGCACCATATTTGTAGTCTTTTATCTTTCACTCCACTCTCACCCTTCCCCCAAATCCCCAAAGTCCATTGTGCCATTCTCATGCCTTTGCATCCTCATAGGTTAGCTCCCACATATCAGTGAGAACATACGATGTTTGGTTTTCCATTCCTGAGTTACTTCACTTAAAATAATAGTCTCCAATCTCATCCAGGTCACTGCAAGTACTGTTAATGCATTCCTTTTTATGGCTGCATAGTAACCCATCATATATATTTACCACAGTTTCTTTATCCACTCATTGATTGATGGGCATTTGGGTTGGTTCCACAATTTTGCAATTGTGAACTGTGCTGCTATAAACATGTGTGTGCAAGTATCGTTTTCGAATAATGACTTCTTTTCCTTTCAGTAGATACCCAGTATTGGGATTGCTGGATCAAATGGTAGTTCTACTTTTAGTTCTTTAGGGAATTTCCACACTGTTTTCCATTGTGGCTGTACTGGCTTACATTCCCACCAGCAGTGTAGAAGTGTTCCCTGTTCACCGCACCCATGTCAACATCTACTGTTTTTGGATTTTGTGATTATGTTCATTCTTGCAGGAGTAAGGTAGCATTGCATTGTTGTTTTAATTTGCATTTCCTTGATCATAAGTGGTGTTGAGCATTTTTTCATGTTTGTTGGCCATTTGTATATCTTCTTTTGAGAATTATCTATTCATGTCCTTAGCCCACTTTTGGATGGGATTGTTTGTTTTTTTCTTACTGATTTGTCTAAGTTTGTTGTAGATTCTGGATATTAGTCCCTTGTCAGATGTAAAGATTGTGAAGATTTTCTCTCACTCTGGTTGTCTGTTTACTCTGCTGACTGTTCCTTTTGTCATGCAAAAGCTCTTTAGTTTAACTAGGTCCCAGCTATTTATCTTTGTTTTTATTGAATTTGCTTTTGGGTTCATGGTCATGAAATCCTTGTCTAAGCCACCATCTAGAAAGGTTTTTCCAAAGTGATCTTCTAGAATTTTTATAGTTTCTGGTCCTAGGTTTAAGTCCTTAATACATCTTGCATTGATTTTTGTATAAGGTGAGAGATGAGGGTCCAGTTTCATTCTCTTACATGTGACTAACCAATTTTCCCAACATCAATTATTGAAAAGGGTGTCCTTTCCTAAGTTTATGTTTTTGTTTGCTTTGCAAAGATCAGTTGGCTGTATTTGGGTTTATTTCTGGGTTCTCTCTTCTGTTCCATTGGTCTATGTGCCTATTTCTATACCAGTACTGTGCTGTTTTGGTGACTATAGCCTTATAGTATAGTTTGAAATCAAGTAGTGTGATGCTTTGTTCTTTTTGCTTAGTCTTGCTTTGGCTATGTGGGCTGTTTTTTGGTTCCATATGAATTTTAGAATTGTTTCTTTGAATTATGTGAAGAATAATGGTGGTATTTTGATGGGGATTGCCTTGAATTTGTAGATTGCTTTGGGCAGCATGGTCATTTTCACAATATTGATTCTACCCATCCACAAGTATGAGATGTGTTTCCATTTGTGTTGTCTATAATTTCTTTCAGCAGTGTTTTCCAGTTTTCCTTATAGAGGTCTTCCGACTCTTTGGTTAGCTATGTTTCTAAGTATTTTTTTGCAGCTATTGTGAAAGGGGTTGAGTTCTTAATTTGATTCTCTGCTTGGCCACTGTTGGCATAGAGAAGAGCTACTGATTTATGTACATTAATCTTTTATCTGGAAACTTTGCTGAATTATTTTATCAGTTCTAGCAGTTTTCTGGAGGAGTCCTTAGGGTTTTAAAAAAATTAAATCCACCAATAAGAAGGTAACCCAACAGAAAATGGAGAAATATGTGAACCAACACTTAAGAAATTTAAGAATGGACAATAAATATATGAAAAAGTGAAAAAAAGCAAATCAATGATTGGGGACAGGAACAGAAGGAGGGATAAAATGCAAAAGGGCTTGAGAAAACCTTTAGGGCTAATGGACATGTTTATGTCATGGTTGTGGCAGTGGTTTTATGAATGTTTACCTCTATCAAAACACATAAAATTTTGTATTTTAAATAGGATGCAGTTTTTTGTAGATAATAATTGTACAGAAATTATACCTTCATAGAACTGACAAAAAAGTATTACTCTGTAATTTGAAAAGGCAAATCTATATTTTATATACTATATAATGTAATAGGATAGATAAAAGGGATAAATACAGGTTATTATTCATTAATTCATTACTATGTTTTTTATATTTATTTCTTTATATTAAATATAATTTAATTCCTTCTACTTATATAATTGAATAAATCAGATAATATTAAAAATTATTACCTCTTATATTTGGTTTCTCAAAGGAAGAAATACTTGAAAAAGAAACTCCAGAATGCTTGTGCAAAATGCAAATCCCTGGACTTTATCCCATGGCACAAAATTAAAATTTAGTGAGTACGTGTGGAACATCACCAGTGTTTACAGAGAGATGTAGTTCTACCTTTTATAACAATTCATGTGCTGGATAATGGTGAGAGAAGCAATCCCTGCCTTCCACCTCCAAATTATAGACAACCACAATATCAGCCTAGTCCTCACACTTCAAAGTTCCACTCCAATTTTAGGGTTCTCGAAGTACAGATAATTCACTACTTTATCCACAAAATGGAGCAGGTTGACACTTCCAGTGGCTTTTACCAGTTGCCACTGGGAACTCTGTTATGAGAAATGTGTTGTGCATTGAGATGACTACCCAGCATGGACAATTCTTCAAATCCCAGTCCCTGAAATGAGTTTTCTCTGGTTTCAGGGATGTGCTGGATACTGTAGAGTGTGCATGCCCAAGGGAGAAGTCCAGGTCCTCTGCTTTAAATCTCCCCTCAGTTCCAACAGAATCTATGTGAGAGAAAAGTTTCAAGTGTTTCGGATTTCTATTGAGCAGAGTGCCTGGATTTAGGGTTTAAATGCAAAATAGCACTGCATGCACACTTTTATTTTGTGTTGTTGAATTCGTAATACAAAAAAATAAGATAGTAATTACTGTAAATAACCATAATTATACAATATCCATGTTATATATAAATCTAACTAAAGTTGTGTTATATGCGAAACTAATAATATGTTTTTAAACAAATAATTTAATGTTTTATTGAGCTAGAAGAGAGAGGGAGCCATGAGTAAAATGATTACATGCATGCAGAAATGCATTTGCTCAGACAGAAAAGAAAGTCTTATGTCTACAAAGTAAAATGGGGTCTTGGCATTTCTTGGAGCAGTTTGGGTCAAGAACCTACATAATCCAAGTTATATAATGCAATGTAAGTATTTTGCTTAAGTTGTTTAGACTCCTGTGATTCTGTAAGCCTAACCACAGAAAGACTAATATTTATCTCTCTGGTTAAACCTTAGTGCCGAAAATGGCCGTCCAACTTAGATGAAACAATCATTTCAAGCGTGGGTCTTCTTTGGCCTCTACTTAGATAATGCATTTAAAGATATGATGAACTCATATATCAGAGTCGGATGTTTCAAAAATAGGCATGCTGTAGTTAAACAATAAAACTCTATGTGGTAATGGCTAGAGGAGAAATTCAATATTTTATCACAGGAAATATAATTAAGTCAATGACATCTGTGCAGTGCAAGAGATTTTCTCAGTTTAGATTTAACTTGGAAGCCGTTCTGCTTTTGCCAAAATTGAGGAGCTATAAAAACCTTTCTACCATATAGCTTAACTCAGTGGGAGGCCAAGCCCGTGTCTCAGAGGAGAGAAATGAGGAAGGAGTCCAGAAGCAAGCATTTTCTAGAGATCATGCTTTGGATGAAACCTAGCCTGCTTAAATAGATTCAGGAGAGAATATAAATAATGTAAACCTTTAGAAATTGTTTATAGTGATGCTGTAAATTCCCTGATATTGATATTAAGTACCTTGATAAAAGAAACTGACCATCTAGCAAGCTCCTGCAAAAACGAGAAGTGAGAGAAAAAGAGAACTAAATGACTCAGAATGGGAAGGTCAGAATGACAATAACAACAGCAGCAATCACACAAACAACATTAAAGTAAATGAAACAAAAACAAAGCACACAAAAAACCGAAAAAGGCTTATGTGAATTAGGTTACATGGTTACTAAGGGTTTCCCTAATTATAAGAAATTATAAGAAAAGAGTGGAAATTAATACTCAAATCTCATAGTGTGTGTGTACATATATATGTAATAATATTAATATTGTTTAATAATAAATGTGCATATATGTATATATACATATATACACACACTATGAGATTTAAGTATTTATATATATAATACACATACGCTATGAGATTTAAGTATTAATTTCCACTCTTTTCTTATATGTGTGTGTATATATATACACACATATATATACACACACATAGATACACACACATATATACACATATATACACATATATATGTATATACTTAATTTCAAATTTTATTTTAGATAGAGTTGGTACATGCGCAGGATAGTTACATGGGAATATTGCATGATGCTGAGGTTTGGGGTACAGATCTTGTCACCCAGATAGTGAGCATAGGACCTGATGGTTTTTTAACATACCTTTCTCTACCCTCTAGTACAGAGGTTCCCAACACCCCGGGAGGTGAGCAGTGGAGCAGCAATAGGTGAGCAGTGGGGGAGAAGTAGCAGTGGGAGATTAAGTATTACTGCCAGAGCTCTGCCTCCTGTCAGATCAGCAGCAGCGGCACTAGATTCTCATAGGAAGCAGAAGCCTATTGTGAACCACACATGTGAGGGATCTGGGTTGCACCCTCCTGAAGAGACTCTAACTAAATCTCTGATGGTCTGAGGTGGAACAGTTTAGTAGTCCACAGTGTCTACTGTTCCTATATCTATGTCCATGTGTGCTCAATGTTTAGCTCCCACTTACAAGTGAGTATACGTGGTATTTGGTTTTCTGTTCCTTTATTTATTCTCTTAGGATTATCATGGTATATGTTAATTTTGTTTTGTTGCATAAACTTCTATTAACTGTTTTGTTATACATTTTTTTCATTACATGGTAAACATTCAGTTATTATTAAACCTTTTCTATGTGTTATTTTTAGAACATCCCAATTTAAAAAATCCTATCAGATACTATGAAAAAAATGATATCCAAAAAAGATAGATCCTGACTGGTAATGGCTTTTGATATTCTCATTCAGAGTGCGAAGAGAGAATAGTTTCCACCTTAACAGACTCTTGAGGCTACGCACACTGTAAGATGTAGGCTACTTGCGCTAAAACTATGCTTATGAAGGAAATAAAATCTCTTCTTTGAATTACTGATATCTTATAGTGGCCCTCATCACTTTTTGCCTTCTATTATAAATACCTGCACAAGCACTTTATCCCTTCACATAGAGACAGATACCATCTTATTTATGTAAGAATGTATGACATGTAATAAGCATATGATATACATATATGTAGAATGGACTAATTGAATGAATGAGTAAGGTGTGATATGGTTTTTATTTTATTCCTTACAGCAACTGAGGGGAACAGAAAGTATATTTGACTTAGAGTCCAAAAACCTGGGTTTCTGTCTTATTTTTGTGTTTATTAGCCATTTGACCATGAGTGTGCCATATAATCTATTTAAGTCTATCACAAATGAAATTTTTATTTGGTTGATGTGGAGGATATTAAAGAATTCTACTGTTTTAGGTAGGTTTTAGGTTGGATTCAGTCTCTGCAAAATTCATGTTTTGGAGTCCTAACTCTCAATGTTACTTCAGAATGTAACATTATTTGGAGATGGGGTCTTTGCAGAGGTAATCAAGTTAAAACAAGATCATTAGGGTAGGCCATAATTCAAGATAATGGATATCTTTACAAAAGGGGAAATTTGGACAAAGAGACACATACAGAGGGAAGATGAAATGAAGAGACATAGGGAGAAGACAGTCATTTATAAGCCAAGAAGAGAGGTTTGGAACACATCCTTCCCTCATCAGCCCTCAGAAGGAACCAACCCTGCTGATACCTTGATTTTGGACTTCTAACTTCTAAAACTGTGAGAAAATAAATTTCTGGTGGAGTCAAACTAGTTTGTGGTCTTTAGTTATGGAAGCTGAAAGCAGTCTTGGTAAAGAGAGATCTTTATAAATTTTATCTGAGCCATGTAGTTCTCAGTAAATTGTTCTACCAATTTCTAAAGCAGAGGTCAGCGTACTATTTTTGTCGTAAAGGGCCAGAATTTAGGCTTTATAGGTAACTAAGTTTCTTTTGCATATTCTATTTCATCCTTTTAAAATGTAAAAATTATTCTTACCTTGCTGGCTGTTAAAAAAAAAAAAAAAAAAGAGCTGTGGCCTGGGTTGACCCACAGGCTTAATTTGTCAACCCCCGGAACAAAGAGAGAGTCTTATGTCACAAGTAAGGTTTTTAGGATCTTGTTGACAAATTCTAAAATGCTATTCAAATGCACATTACAAAATACACAAGTCTATTTCAATCAAAAAACTTTTTTTTAGTAAAATGTTATTTTTAACCAACCCCCTTCTTTTTACTCCCAAAAGGTGGTGGTAGGGCCTGAAGTTCTTTTCTCTAACTTTTATCAACTATGAAACTTAATTTTTTAAACAAATACTTCATTATTAAGTTCTAATTTCAACTGATATCACTGACTAACAGGAAATCTTGTCTATACCTGTTTAGAGAAACATTTAAGTTTGGCAGTTGATCCTGCTTACCCCAAAATGCAATGATTTGATGAACTGAATATCAGCAGGGCACTCAGCATTGCCCTCAATGAAGAATTACATACATTGATTTCTCAGTGATGTCAAAATGTATTTTGGCTAAGAAATTGTGATTAATATAGCCTGTAAATGATTTTACAGACCAAAGCACCAAAGCCACTTCAAAAATATATAGTCCAATAAGCACAGGCTAGGTGGTTTGCTTGCTAATCACAAAATAGAGTTTTTTCCTAAATGCCGGAATGTGTGTGCTGGAGTTATAATTGCAGCCCTAGTGCTCAGCACTGTTTCTTAGGAAATCAGTTATTAGGTTTGTGAAGTGATAAACAGCTCCTTGTTCTACTAAAGTGACTAACCTTTATTCTTTATAGATCTATCTCTAGGCATTAAGAAAAAAACCACTGTCCTGCTGAATGCAAAACCTTTTCACATTTAATTTTAACAAAGTTTGATTGTGAAGATGGAAATAGAGATTTATTGTTGGCAGATGAGTAAACTAGCACACAATTTTTAAAACCAGCAGATACTTCCTCCTTTATCTGTGAACATCTTGTCTTATTTCCTTCCAATTACATTTTTTTCTTCCATGAACAGCAAATATGTCATTTCTATCATTCTCCTGCTGGTGGCCTTCTGGAAGATGATTGAATTATCCAATATTTGGAAGAAACAAGCTGTTTTATGTCTTGAGTGCCATGGATTTTGTAGATTCTCTTGCTCTGGGGTCTTTCTCAGGTTATTACAGATTTTAAGCTGCTTTCACTGAGTAATGTTCTCCTGAAGGAAATGAAGGAATGAAAACTCTGGCTGCATGCAGGTCTCCCAGGCACAAAATCGCAATGATGAGCTTTTCCTCCATCTTAATGAAAGATGGAAATTATAAGAAATAAATTTAGGCTTTTCAAACTAGTTCAGAGACTGTCTGCATCAAATGTACCTGTGCTATTTGTTAAACTATAGATTTCTGATTCCGACCTCAGACTCACTGAACCAGGATCTCTAAAGGCAAATCCTGTGTATCTGTTTTCTATGGCTGAGTAACAAATTACAAAAACTTAGTCACTTAAAACAAAACGATTTTTTTTATATTTTCTCTGGTTCATGAGTGGAGGCACAGCCTAGCTGTGCCCACTGCGCAGGGTCTCACAAGGCTGAAATAAAGGTGTCAGCCAGACTATTTTTCCTCTCTGAAGCTCATGATCTTCTCCCAGGCTCACATGGTTGTCTTCAGAATTCAGATTCCTGCAGTTCTGTTTGTAATAGTGAGGATCCCAGCTTATTACTAGCTGTTGACTGAGGCTACCCTCAGCTCCCAGTCAATTATCTGCCACGACAGAGAGTTGACACAATATGACTTTGCTTCTAACAGTCCAGCAGGAGAATCTCTCTCACTAGTTTGCTAAGATGGGATCTAAATTATAAATATTTAATTTTGAGCCATAATTCTAAAAATGGCTCCCAAGATTTTATACTCTAATCCCTAGTGCCTATAAATATGTTAAGATGTCACTTCCATAATTGTTATTTTGTATGACACATTTGATCTTAAGATAAGGAGATTACGTATATAGACCTAATCTAAATCATATAGACCCCACTAAAAACAAAGTTTTTTATGGCAGATAGTAAAACAAGAAGTAAGAGATATGGAAGCACAAGAAAGAACTTTAATATGCCATTGGTGGTTTGAAGATAAATCAGTCCAAGAGGAAGAATAATGGAAGCCTCTAAGAGCAAAGACCAAGCTCTGGCTGATGCTAGCAGGGAAACAGAGACCTCAGTCCAGCAACTGCAAGGAACTGAATTCTTTTAATAGTCACAGTGAGCTTGAAAGCGTACTCTTTCCCAGAGCCTCCACTAATACCCTAGCTGCGCTAACACTTGATTTTGGCCATGTAAGGCTCTAAGCTGCTAAGTCGGTTGAGCCTGTCCAGAACTTTTTTTTTTTTGAGACGGAGTCTCGCTCTGTTGCCAGGCTGGAGTGCAGTGGCGCGATCTCGGCTCACTGTAACCTCTGCCTCCTGGGTTCAGGCCATTCTCCTGCCTCCGCCTCCTGAGTAGGTGGGACTACGGGCGAGCACCACCATGCCCAGCTAATTTTTGTACTTTTAGTAGAGACGGGGTTTCACCATGTTAGCTAGAATGGTCTCGATCTCTTGACCTCATGATCCGCCAGCCTCGGCCTCCCAAAGTGCTGGGATTACAGGCCTGAGCCACCGTGCCAGGCCGAGCCTGTCTAGATTTTTAACCTATAAGCTGAGACAATAAATATATGTTTTTATAAGTCTATAATTTTGGGGTAATTTGTTACATAGCAATAGAAAACTAACAATAATGTAATCAAGAGAGTGGCATCACCTTTGCCATATTCTGTGGGTTAGAAGCAAGTCACAGGCTCTATCTCTAATCTAGAAGAGGAAATTATTCCAATGAGTGGATGTAAGGTTGGAGGAATTACTGGGGATCATCTTATTATTCTGCCAATCACAGTCCCATAGTCTTCATTTTTCAGCCTTTCAAAGTGACTTTTCTGCTCTCTAATGTGAGAATCATAAATGAAATTGAAGGTGTGATGAAAACATGTAACCTGGCCTACTGGGACAGGCTGAAAGTGATGTTATGGGAAACTACTAACTCAAATAACAAATCTTAGCCAGTAAAAGTTGATACACATGTGCTTTTTAAAATAATGAAGAGAAGATGACTAGACTTATGCATAGATTAACTAAAACATTTAGGATTTATTGAGTGCATCCCACGTGGCAGTTGCTGTGCGCGTGTTTGACTATAAAACATCTTATAAGCCTTTCAGCATTCCTACAAGGTATTTATTATTTTATCTATATTTCATTAATGTAAAAATCAAAGTTTGAAAAAGATAAATACCTTGCCAACAGTAATAAATCACATTATTTTTATCATAAAAATTTTAAAGTTTTATTATATTTATATAATCTCTTTAATCCTGATGGCCTGTCTCTGTGGTAAGCAGAGCAGGCCATCAAATATTTATTTGTCAGCACTGTCTTTGACCCTGGGGCTACAGTGATGAGCAATCCAGGCAGGGTCTTTCCCCTCTAGACTCCCTCATTCAAGTCATGCTGCATTTCTAGTTAATCTACCTAGAGGTGATCTACGATTGTAACACTGTGTTCCTCAAACAATTTTAATGTCATTTCAATTGCCTATAAATAAGTTTCCAAATCCACGTTTACCTTTCCAATATTATCTCTTTCAACACAATCTCAAAATCCTATACATTATTTAATGTAAACACATTTCCTCAGCAATTCTCTCTTTCCAGTCTTAATAATTTTTGTCACTTGTGAAAGGCAGGTTAACGCTCCACCCAATGATGTCTATATCCTAATCCCTGGAACCTCTAAATATGCTATATTATGTGACAAAGGTGAGTTAAGTTTGCAGGTAGAATTAAGGTTATCACTTGACTGACTTTAAGGAAATTATTGTGGTTTATCCAGTGGACCCAATGTAATCACATGGGTTCCTTAAATATGAGAAAGAAAGGTGGAGGGGTTGGTGTCAGAGTGATTCAAAGTGAGAAACACTTGACCAGTTATTGCTGGCTTTGATGATGGAAGGGTGTCATGAGCCAAGAAATATGGTCAGCCTCTAGAAACTGGAAAAGATAAGAAGAGAGATTAACTTCAGGGCCTCCAAAAGGAGCAGTCCTGCTGACAAATTGATTTTAGCTCATTGACACCTATTTTGGACTTCTGATCTCCAGAGCTATAATATATACGTATTATTTTAAGCCATGAAGTTAGTTGCAATGTATTACAGGTACAAAAGGAAATTACAACACCATTCCCACCTATTAGATCTTAATAATTTTTTCAAAGTCTTTCATGTTTTCTTTCAGAATACTCTTTTGTTTTCTCTATCCCTGTAAATCTTTGTTTATGACAGTCAAATGATACTTAGTACATATTGCTCTCAGTCATATAAACTTAAATTCTTTATCTATTCAACTATTTTAGCTTCTCAAGGGCACAAACAGTATTTTAAACAACTCTACATCAGACATGATAGCTGGCATAATGCCCTGTTGGCACCTGGTGCCCTGTAAATGGTTATTGAAAAAAATCACAGTTGACTTCTCCACAGCAGAAGAAAAATTGCCATGATAAAATCTTATGACAAGATGTAATAAAATGTATCTCAAAAATAGCAAGATTCAGAGTTTCTTAGATATGGCACTATTCAAACTTTTGCTAGAGGTCTATGTGCAAAAAAAAAAAAAAAAAAAAGAATGATGGTGTCCTTAAAAAAAAATTAAACTGACCTCTACTTCGAATTTTTTGTTCCACATAGTTGCAGTATATATGAAAGGAATGCATTTAACTTAAAGAGAGGATGGGGAATTTACTCAACCAAATGAAGGGTGCTTGCATGTCTTCATTTAGTTTGAATCTTAATCCTATGTAGTGGCAGAAATGTCTTTTTTTTTAATAGGAGCTCCTGTTATTATAATCACTGAGTGTGACCAGGATATCCTTACAAGTTGTTTACAAATTTATTCTGGTAGTATCTTCTCTTTTCTTGTGTTGGTGATCTTTCAAACACTTTTGTATTTATCTATTAATCTCTCTTTTTATCTTGCAACCATCTTTCCAGACTGCTCTCTTCTCCATTATAGTGTTTAATCCTGATATAGAGAAGCTCTCATAATTTCCCAAACCGAACTCACACTTAGTTTTGTATTTGCCAAAGAACAGAATTTTCACATTTCAAAAACTAGAAAAAAGTTTTCCCTGCATCCTCAATTTCTTCACTGAAAACTCCCTTAACCTACTTGTCTTGAGGAAATACTACTTTCCTCTGAAGACACAGCTTCCCCTGCAACCATTTGTGATGGTTAATTTTATGTGTCAACTTGACTGGACCATAGGGTACCCAGATATTTGGTTAAACATTTTTGTGGGTATGTCTTAAGAATGTTTCTGGATGAGATTAACATTTGAGTCAGTAGGCTAAGTAAATCAGATTCCTCTCCTCAATGTGTGTGGGCCTCATCAAATTTATTGGAGGTCTGAACAAACCAAACCCAAACAAAAAAGGCTAAGTGAGTGAGAATTTGCTCTCTTTCACTGACTATTGAGCTGGTACATCAGTGTGCACACAGACTGGAGCCCTGGAGCCACACCATTGGCTTTCCCAGGTCTCCAGCTTGCCAACTGCAGATCTCGAGACTTCTCAGCCTCCGTAATTGCATGAGCCAATTCCTGATAATAAATCTCTTTACACACACACACACACAGGCACACACACATACATACACACCTAATTGATTCTGCTTCTCTGAAGAACCCTGATTAGTATATCTTTCAGTTTGAAATTGCTCTTCTTTGACACGCCACACATTTGGAAATGGAAAGTGGAGCTGGCTTCCTTATGCTCTCTAGTACTGCTTCCAGATGATTATTTCATCCTCATATTAAAAACTTCCACTTCTTGAGATTAGTATCTTTCTATTATAACAGCCTCTTTTTCTTTCTCTTGTTTTAATATTGTCACCCCACAAACTCCAGTGTGGGCAAAAGAATTTAACTACAAGTCTACCTTAACTCCCTAAATTTCTGCATTTGTGTTTGGGAACAGCACCGTGTAGTAATACATGGCGATTTTGTGTGCCTTTATCAAGTGCATATATATTTTTCTACTAAGTGTCAAGCCGTGGCAGAAAGCGAAACCAGGTGATCCTGCATCTCAGGTCTCTCTCTTTTTCTTCTCACCTTTCTACTTCCCAAATACCTGCCTTTACCTTCAAAAGATGAACTTACCTTCTACTCCACAAAGAAAGTTTAAGCTATCAAAAATGACATTTTTTTATTTCTCACCACCTTCTTATATTTTATATTCATACAGGCATTGTGCCTTTTTGTTAGTAAAGTCCTCACTCAATATGCAGCCCCCAACTACCCTCCTACACACACACACCGTTTAAGCCTGCTCTTCATTCACTTGGCTCTATCAGAGCCTACACATGATTAACACTATTTTTTTTACAAATACCAAACACAAAAACATTTTACAAATTCCATTTTATGTTCAATTTATTTAAAACTTTAAAATCTATTTTCTACATTTGTGTTTCTACTTCATCACCTACAGAGTAACTCTAAAGACAGTTTCCCTTTTCTACTACTCCACTGAAGCTACTTTTTTCATGGTAACCAATGACTTCTTTTTTAAGGAAACTTTGTAACACTTCTCTTACATGACTTCGTAGTAGCTTTTGGCACTGCAAATAACTTTATTGATGAAACTTTGTCTTTCTTTGTCTTCTGTGACACTATATTTCTAGTTTCCCTCCTCTCTTTCTGATAATTCCACAATCACATTGGTTGCCAACATGTCTTTGAGTCACAACCCTAAAGTTATATTTCTTCTCATCATCTTATTTCTCTCAGTAGCCTCTTCCTGAGTTACTGTTTAACTTCCTTGGCCTTAATCTCCATCTACATTACCAGATTATTAGAGGAAAAACCATGTAGCATCATGGTTAAAGGTATGTTAGCCTGGAGTCAGACTGCCTGGGTTCAAATCACAACTCCATCTCTTGTGAGCTTGAGCAAAATACTTAATCTGAATAAAGCTCAAATTTACCATTTGTGAAACTGGGCTAATAACATTTTACCTATTTCATAGCATTGACGTATTAAATTTGTTAGTATATATAAATCCCTTGGAACCAGGCCTTCAGCATTTAATGACAGTATGAGTGACATCTATTGTTATTAACTAGAACTGTCTCCAACTCAGCTCTTGCTTAAGCTCGTTCTCTATATTCAACTAATGTTTACTAGAGACCTACAATTAAAATTTCTGAATCATCTCAAACTCAACATATCCAAAACTGCACTAATTGTCTTTCCTGCTAAACCTGTTTCTTCACCTGTATTGACTCTCTGTTATCGGTAGCATCATCTACCTGTTTGATCCAGCCATAACCAAGACATTTTTCTAGTTTTCTTCAGCACCTGCCTCCAATCTGTCACATTTCTTGTCAATTATCTCATGTAAATATTTGTTCTAATCTTTTTCAATAATTCAAACATTCAAAACTATTTATTAAGCTACTATACATTCCAGGAATTCTGCTTTCTGTGGAGGATATCTGACAAGTAAAAACAGCATGGTCTTTTTCTCTAACAGTCAAGTAGAGAATAAAAATTAAATGATGTCCTAAACAAATGAAAAAGTATATTCAATTTTTCTAGTCTTTGAACTACCTATTTCATGCCAGCATTACCTCTACCCTGACTACTTCCACAGAATCCTGTTCTTCTCATTTTGTTCACTCTTGTTCCTTCCGTCAATCCTTATCAGATGATCTTTCTGAAATTCAAATCTAATATCTCATTTTTCTGCTAAAATTCCTTTCTACTACCATTAGAAAAATATTAAATTGTTTTACAAGTTTTTTCATGGTTCTACATGATCTGGTTTCTGATTACCTTTCCAGATTTATTATTTTAAGACATTCTCTTTGTTTACACTATAATCTAATCATAGTACAGTTCTCTCAGTTCTTAAAAAATGCCACATCCTCTCTTTTCCAATGGATACTTCACAAGCTGTTCCCTCTCCTTGTAACATTTTGCTCCCAATTCTAACACACTGGCCACATTACCTTTGTACCTCATCCCAAACTTCATTCCCACAGCTATGCCTGACTCATTTCATTTTTCAGATTTCAGACTCATGCTAATATTAGTTTATTTACTTCTCTTTTGTTGTCCAAAACCACATGATACTTTTTATTATATAATAGAACTTACAATTTGGACTTTTGAATGCGTATTTTGTTGTTATAATAGAACTTACAACTTGAACTTTTGAATGCCTATTTTGTTGTATACTTTTCTCATTAGACTGTAAGCAACTTGAAAGCAAAACTGAGATGTACTTAATGTCAGCATTTTGCATGGTATACAGGGCACATTAGATATTCAGGTAAAATTATCAGGGGATAGATAAAGCAAAGGGTACACTGGAGGAGAATGGGTTTTTATAGCAGACATAAAGCAAAACTTTTGATGGCACAGTTACTAGGTCCTGTGGGAATGCAGGCCTGTCCAGAGTTTGGAGCTGGTTGTGCATATGGAGATCAGGAAAACAAATTCATTCCTGGCACATAATAGGTGCACAATAAATATTTGTCAGATAGAAAACTAGGAAAGAACCATTTCAAGGGGCTAAAGTAAAAAAATAAGTTAAAGCAGACTCCAAAGCAAAAAGGAAACATTGAAAGTTTCCAACCAGTAAAATAACAGGAATAAATACTTTTAATGACAATATTCATCATTTATTGAGTGCTGGCAAGTTCAGGTCCTGTTCTACATGCTTTATTTTTTTTTATTTAGTCTTCTGAATGTATGAGTAATGGAGACATAAGCTTTTAAGTAACTTGTCCACAGTCACAAAACTAGCATGATACAATAAAAAAATTCAAACTCAGATATCCCAGCTCAGCAAAGCCACTGTAGCCAGACTGCCTCTCTAGATTCCTACTCTGTGGGGAGGGCATTTCTGAAAGAAAGGCAGCAGCTCCAGTCAGGGGCTTATAGGTAAAACTCCCATCTCCCTGGGACAGAGCATCTGGGGGAAGGGGTTGCTGTGACCTCAGCTTCAGCAGACTTAAACATCCCTGCCTGCTGGCTCTGAAGAAAGCAGCAGATCTCCCAGCACAGTGCTCGAGCTCTGCTAAGGGACAGACTGCCTCCTCAAGTGGGTCCCTGACCGCCATGCCTCCTGACTGGGAGCCACCTCCTAGTAGTGGTCAACAGACAACTCATACAGGAGAGTACCAATTCCAAAGACTGTTATTTATCACAATTTCTTCAGAGAAAGTAGCTAGAAAGCTATTTCAGCAATCTGGATATAAAATGATGGAGACCTGTGTTGGAGCGATGGCAGTGAAAAGGGTGAACTGTAATAGGATAAAGTTAAAAGTTTTAAGTTATGGACTATAAGCAATAAAGGAGGAGAATGAGTTCTTAAAATAACTTAAAGCTATAATGCAGAAAGTAAAATTATCATTAATAACATTATAAATGATCACTTAATTCAAAACAGTTGAACACCCAATGCATAATTCTATTAAGGAACTATAAATACGTAGTAAAACACTAAAAGTCTTAATGAGCTTTCTACATAAAATCTATCTCCTTTCTTAATACAATAGCTATATTTTCTAATAAAATAATACAGAATATTTTCACCTGCCATCAACTCAATATTTTCTTTATGTTATTGGCCTAATTCAACTCTCTCATTCTGTCTTTTCCAATATTTGTTGTGAAGGAATGCATTACTAAGGTGAATGCTTCAGAATAGAAGCTCCAGAGCAGAAAATACATCCCTAAAATGTATGCCTAGAATGACAGAGAGGCAGTATATTTAAATGGCTTTTAACTCCCTAAACCAAGCTTGTCCAACCAACGGCCCACAGGGTGCATGCGGCTCAGGACAGCTTTGAATGTGGCCCAACACAAATTCATAAACTTTCTTAAAACATTAGGAGATATTTTTTAGCTCATCAGCTGTCATTAGTGCTAGTGTATTTTATGTGTGGCCCAAGACAATTCCTCTTCCAATGTGACCCAGGGGAGCCAAAAGAATGAGCACCTCTGCCCTAAACCTATAAAGTAATAAAAATCAAAATAAGAATTTTCCTAACTTCTTATCTCTAATATTTCCAAAGGAGTATCCTTTATAAAACAGAGTGCTTTTTCATTAACTTCAGAAAAATTAGAGGAGTGTCGCCTATGGCATTAATTCTGGTCCTCCAAGAAGTAGTTGTCAAGATAAAATCAGGTGTGCAAGAGATTTTTGGTGGAAATATCCATGATAGAAAAGAAAGGAGAAGAAAGAGAAAGCGAGAACTGTCAAATCAGGATGCAGGTCTGATCCCTGTGAAGTAGTGGGGAAAAAAAGTGATGGTGGATGGAGATGGCGTAGAAAGAGTCTTAAACTATATCATAGTTCTAAGAAAATTTTGACAAGGTCAGTGAGGAGTCCTGGAGCTGAAGTCACCAGTCAGAGAAAGCTCAGATTTCACAGAAATAGGCCTGCCTTGGAATTCATCCTACACACAGTCATTAGCTGGAAGTATGTCATGGGCAATGTGGCCCCTGAACAACTATAAATTAATAATACAGTACAGTTTCTATTTTGGTCACTACCTTAAAGATATTCTTCTATTGCCTTTGGGTCATCACAGTCTGAGATAAAATCTTACATTATTTAATGTTTTTATTTTTTTCCTCAGCTTTATTGAGATATAATTGACAAACATCTTATACATTCAAGGTATACAACTTGATGTATTGATATACATTGTAAAATAATTGCCATAATCAAGCTAAGTAAACTGTCCATCACTTCATGTAGTTATTATGTTCTTTTTCCATGTTTGTGGTGGGGAGTGAGAACACTTCATCTACTATCTGGGCAAATTTCAAATCTACAGTACAGTATTGTTAACTATATTCACATTGTTGTACACAGATCTTCAGAATGTATTCATCCTGTGTAATTAGAACTGTCAACCATCTGACCAACATCTCCCCATTTTCTAGTCCCAGGTAGCTGCCTTTAAATACTCTATTTTTATAAGTTTGACTGTTTCAGTTTCCATTTTAAATAAGTAAGATCATGTAGTATTTTTCTAAGTTTAGCTTGCTTCACTTGTCCTCTAGTTTCATCCATGTTGTCAAAAATTACAGGATTTCCCTCTTTTTCATGTGGAATAATATGTTCTTTCCTATATTATCTTTATCCATTCATCCATCAATGGACATTTTAGTTGTTTTTGTAACTTGGCTATTGTGAATACCAGTACAATGAACATGGGAGTGCAAATATTTCTTCATAAAATTTAAATAAACCTTACATAGTTTCTCCACTAGAATTCTAGTTTCCTCCCATTTCTGGACCTTTTCTTTCCCTCTCTCTTCTTTCTTTTGCCATTACTTCCCTCTCTTTTCTCTCTCCTCCAGGAACAACAACTGGAACCAAAAATCTGCACAAATGTCTACATACTATTAAAAGAAACAACATGTATCTCTTCAGTCTTTAAGCTCAAACCTCTCTTTAAATATCCAAAGACTTAGTTTGAGCATTATAAATAAAAGCTAATACTTAGCTCTTACTGTTTTCTAGATTCCATTCTAAATGCTCTTACTCTAATTATGTAATTTCATTCTCAACACCCATCTATGATGAGGGGACTGTTACTATACTCCATTTTGTACCTGAATAAACTATGGAACGTGGAGATTAAGGAACCTGTCTAAATAACACAACAAGAAAATAGTAGAACTAGGATTTGAACCCAGGAAGAATGACGCTAGTTAACTCTCATGCAACACTATTACTGTCATTGAAATACTTTCTAAATACTTTCTAGATGGGCAATTAATTTCAAGAGAAAGGCCATTCTCGTCCTGTAGTGGGACTGGAGTGAAGATAGGAATGGTTCCGTCTTGGTTTTCTAGCTACTTATTTACTCCATTGATAGACACATGACCTAGGAACATTGACCCATATCACTGTTTTCTTAATAGCCTATATTTTATTTTTAAAACATCCTTTCTACATTTTCATCTCCTGTATTTTAAAGTACTCAAATATACAGTGTATGATGTTTTTATTTTATAAATTATATTAAGAACTTCATGAGTGAGAAGGACTATTTACCAGAAAAGACAAGCTTTCAAACTCCATTACCTTCAGAACTACTGAAGTCAAACAAATCCCTTAGGTTATACTATTACATTGCAATGATAATTAGTTTGTAATAAAGGCAATAAACTCTCACAAATGTGAAGTGCATGGAGTCATGTTTCATAGAATCAGTTACACTTTCTGAGCATTGATAACTCAATTCATAATTGCATACTTCAGCTTTTATTTTGTCTATTTTGAAAATGCTTATATGTGTTTGTAGTTTTAATAAGGAATTAAAATTGATTTTTTGGTGTTTTATGTTGTATCTGTTATCTACAGCCACCATAGAAATTATGTATGTTCATGGATCTAAAATACAAAACTTAGGACAGAATCATATAAGTAAGAAAGTGATTTATATATATTTTCCTTTTAGAATTTCTGACAGCAAGGTCTCTAAGAGAAATGAAGTTGAAGACAGATAATTAGTTAAAATTTTCAGGATATTTATTTTTGTGATAAAAATTTTGTAAGTGCTTTTTGCAAAGTTATTTTTTTCATATTTCTCGTAAAACAATTCAAAATTTGTGCAATGATTTCTGCTTCCATTCTTCCTACTTATTTTATCATTAAGTCTGACATTCTGATTTAAATTATATGTAAGTCATTGACATTTCTTTAAAGTGACGAGTGATTCCTTATAAGCCTGTCCACTAGTCTATTACTGATTTTTGCTCTCCTTGTATTTTTTCCTGTTATGACTGAACAATTGGCTATATTCTTAAAATAAATTATTGTTTCTTCAACTTCCATGAGAATCGTTTTCTCCAATTTTCCCTCTACCATTTTTCTTTGAGTCTTTTGTTAACCATTTTCTCTTCCTGATATGCAAACCCTGTGTACTTTTAAGTTGATGATTTGACTTCCAGCTTCTAACTATACACATATCCATCTGAAATGACAGTTTTTCTATTGTAATGGTTTTAGTGGTCATCTCTTTGTTTTATTCTAGCATCTAAATTCTCATTTCTTCATTCTTTATTATCATCCACATACAGCTCATCCTTTCTTATATATCATAATAAGAAACTCAATGTAGAACTATTTTTCAAATAAACATTTTACTAAACATACATACCAAAAAATACAAAAATCATAATTGTATAATTTAATGAATTTCCATAAATTGAGCATGAAGATCTGTGGAGCACACAGATCTATCAACCTATCTATCTGTCTATCTATCTATCTAATCTGTCTATATCTATCTATGTATCTATGTATAATTAGCACTCCAGAAGTCCCTGTTTCACTATTAGTACCCTTCTCAGAGTAATCATTATCCTGACTTCTAACATGATACAATATTTTTGCCTCCATTTGTATTTGATTTAACTAAAATCATAAAGTATACTCCTATGCAACTATCTCCTTTCACTCACCATTATGTTTATGTCCATTATGTTGCTGAATATAGTTGAAATGTGTTCATACTTATTGCTAATTTTCCATTGTATGACTATAACAACTTTTTAAGTCTATTTTATGGTAGGTGTATATTTGGATAGTTGCCAGTTTGGGATAACTGTGAAGAGTGCTGGCATAAACATGTTTGTCAGGTATACAAAATTTTTGTCAATAACAATCAGTAAGACTAAGAGTTGGTCTTTTGATAAGATAAACAAAATCAGCAAATGCTTAGCTAGACTAAAAAAAGAGAGAAGACATAAATAAAACAAGAAATTAAAGAAGAGACATTACAAATACCACAAAAATAAAAAGGAACAAAAGGGACTATCACAAACACTAGTATGCCAACAAATTTGATAACCTAGAATAAATGAATAAATTTCTAGAAATACACAATCTACCAGGACTGAACCAAGAAAAAATAGCCTGAACAGATCAATAACTACCCAAATAGTTGGTGTGATTACTACAAACTTTACATGGGTATTATGAGCAAAGGCAAAATACCGGATGGATTACAAGCTATTAATAGTCTGACAGTGGAGAAAATATGATTAACTGTTTAGACACTTTTGTAGAAATTTGACATTACTACAACTTCCTAGCCAGTGAGAATTATTCTAACAAGAAATGTTTATTGGATTTATAAAAAGTATTGCTCACAATGGATTAAAATAATTCAAATGATCTTCTCTCCAGAGAAGAAGCACTGTTCTAAAGAGTAGTGTGAAAACCATATGGGAAAAAGGATTGCATGGCATGCTAAATTGTGTGAATTTTATTTTATTACAAGTTTTTTTTTAATTCAAATAGACACATTTCTGTGTGATAGAGATGATTGTGGCAACAATGTGATACCAAAGGAAAGAGACAGTGGTGGCAGAAACATTTGATATAAACTAATAATGAAATCTTGGGGAAGTGCAGATAGAAAGAAAAGGGTAAATTCGTGAAAACATTTTAGAGGCAGAAATTAATGAACTTGATAAATGGCATGGGTTGGGAAGGATGAATTGTCAGGAAGAAGAGCTAAATATATTATAATTTCAATATTTAGTTATTAGAGCTGGTGAGTGGACAGCTTATAGTGAATACAAATATTTGGTTATAAACATTTTGAGTTTGATTGACTGTGGAAATTGAAATAAAAATAAAAATACATCTCTAGAGTTGAGAAGTGGCATCTGGGGTGGAGCATCTGAGGTGGAAGACGTTAATGTGTATTCAACAATAAAAATCCAAGGTGCTAATGAGGTTGCTGACAGAGAAAGTAGATACGGTGGAGGAAAGAAGGCTGAGTTCAAAGCTGTTTTTCCCCTGAAATGATAGATACCACTCTAGGGAATGTCAACACTAACAAATGAGCTTAAGAACACTAACCAGCAAAAAACATCTGAGAATGAAAGAAAATTCAAGTTAGGAAGAGAATTAGGGAAAGAAATGATTATGCTAGGAAGAGAATGGTCTATGCAAATGTGAATATAATGAGTACCATTACTCCTTTAATAAGTATGTGTAGTAACATAACAGCATTAAGAAAGCATAGGTAAGTAAAAAAAGGTAAGGAAACATAGGAAGTGTCTTGTTTATAGATGAAGATAGCTGAAGCAAATCTGTAGCTTAGCATAGGAAGCCACTGGAGATGGACAGAAAAAAAGTATGCATCTGATCACCATGTTTAAAACACTTTTCCAAAGGAGACCTCTCCATAGAGATTGGTTCTTGTTAGTGTGTATTGCTATGCTCTGGTCCAGGGCCTCTCAAGTAACCTGCTTGTCATCTTAAGTTATGAAATTTCTGCATATTTAGAAAGCCTTAGGGATTTCCTAAGTCTGTTCTAAATTGCATATTTCTAGCATCTAGCTGCAACATTTCTCTTGTCTGTTTAAAGATGTTTGTGCCTCTGATTAGGGCTGCTCAGTCTATCTCTTCTCTGAAAACTCACCTTTCACTTGATTCCAACGCAGTAGAGTATTTCACCTAGAGCAGTCACCTGAGTGCACCCTGCATATAAACATCCATACTGTTTTACTGTCTCACATGCTCTTGCTATTTTTTCTATCAATACGTATACTTTAAATAGAATACATTTTTTAGAGCAGTTTTAGGATTATAAAAACTTTGTTCCCCTATTACTAACATCTTACATTTGTGTTGTAAATCTGTCACAATTGGTGAGCCAATTCATTGTTATAGTAAAAGTCCATAATTTTACATTAAATTTCACTTTTTGTGTTGTACATTCTATGGGCTTTAATAATTGTATAATTACATATTTACACAACTAAAATTTCATACGGAGTAATTTCACTGTCATAAATAACCCCTTGCTCCACCTATTCATCCCTCCCTATCTCCACCCAACCTCCTGGCAATCAGATTTTTCATACTGTCTCTATAGTTTTGCCTTTTTGAGGATGTCAAATAGTTGGAATCATACAGTATATACACTTTTAACATTGGCTTCATTCACATATTAATATGTGTTTAAGGCTCCCCTATATGTCTCCATGGTGAAGGTTTCTTTTGTCTTGGCTTGATAGCTCATTTCTTTTCATTGCTGAATAATTTCCATTGTATGAATATAACATGGCTTCTTTATTCACCTATTGAAGGGCATCTTGGTTGCTTTCTTTTGAAATTATAAATAGAGCTACTATAAACACTTATATGAAAGTGTTTGTATGAACATAAACTTTCAACTCATTTTGGTAGATATCCAAGAGTGGGATTGCTGGACAATGTCTTAAGAGTATGTTTAGCTTGGTAAAAAACTGCCAAATTATCTTCCAAAGTGGCTGCAGCATTTTGCTGCCCCACCAGCAATGAATGAGAGTTCCTGCTGCTCCATACCCTCGCCAGCATTTGGTATTGTCAGTGTTTGGGAGTTTGACCATTCTAATAGATATTTAGTGATATTTCATTGTTGTTTCAATTTGAAATTGCCTTATGACGTATAATGTTGACCATCTTTTCACATGCTTACTTGCTAGCTGTGTATCATCAGGTGAGGTGTCTGTTCAGATCTTTTGCTCAGTTTTTAATTGGGTTGTTTGTTTTCTCTTTGTAGAGTTTTAAGAGTTTTGTGTTTACTTTCAACACCAGTGCCTTGGCAGACATGTGTTTTGCAAAAATTTTCTACCATTCAGTGATCTTTTCAGTCTCTTAAAAGCGACTGTCTCAGAATAGTTTTTTAATTTTGATGAAGTCCAAATTATCATTTTTTCTTTTGATGTCATATCTAGAAAGTCCTCATTTTATCTAAGACCACCTGGATTTTCTCTTACGTTATAGTCTTTGAATTTTATAGCTTTGTGTTTTATACTTAGGCCTACAATCCATTTTGAGTTAATTTTTGTGAAAGGTCTTTGTCTAGATTCTTTTTTTTCTTTTTTCTTTTTTATTTATTTATTTACTTTTTGCGTATGAATGTCCAGTTGTTTCAGCATCATTTGTTGAAAACGTGATTTTTGCTCCATTGTATTGCCTTTGCTCCTTTGTCAAAAATCAACTGACTGTATTTGTATGGGGCTATTTATGTGCCCTTTATTCTGTTCCATTGACCTATTTGTCTATTCTTATACCAGTCACACTGTCTTGATTACTGTAGCATTATAGTAAGCCTTGAAGTCAGGTAGTATCAGTCCTCCATCTTTGTTCTTCTCCTTCAATGTTGTATTCACTATTCTGGGTCTTATGCCTTTCTGTAAACTTTAGAATCAGTTTATCAACATCCACAAAACAATTTGCTAAAATTTTGATGGAGATTGTATTCATTGTATAGATCAAGTGGGGAGAAACCGGCATCTTGACAATACTAATATATGTTTTATTATTGCATTACTTTAAGTGTCAACCTGAAATTTACTCACTTTGCCAAACACTGAGCATGGTATACTAAAAGAATTCTAAATTATGGTCCCCCAAAAATGGATTTATGTTCCATATTCATCATTTACTTTAACAAGTGTGACTGAGCACATCACTTATCCCCCTTGAACCTCTGTTTCTTTATCTGTAAAATATCTGTGATAAGTAATCATCAATGCTATTGTTTTCCACTTCTTTTCACACTCTTTCATCCTCCAGTACATTTAACTATTTTTTGGTTTCTTTTTTTATTGTCTAAAAGAAAGAATATAGCAGAAAGAAAAAAATAGATAACAATAACAACAACCAAAAAACAACAAAAAAAACTGTCAATCTTTCGTTTATATTTTCCACATTATAAGCCACTACAGGAATCTATAAAGGAGAATTTGGGGTGGACCACACTGCTGAACCAACAACATTAAGAAAAAAATCAATTTCCTCAGTTGAGAGAGTGCACTGGACTCAGTGATACAGGTGAAGTGAAAAGTAAGAACAAAGAGAGAGAAAGCGCAGTGGGGAGGAGGAAACAGAGAGATTTAAGATAGCCAAAAAGACAGACAGGTATTCCCCTCTCCCTACCTTCTCCCTAGCAGCTAAAGCATGGCACAAAAGTCAGACCCATCTAGTTGAACTCCTGTTTAGGACTTGAATCTTAAGGAAGTGACAAAAGTTGCCAGACAATGTGAATGTATTTATGGCACAATTAATAGTTTCAAAGATTCAGTGGCAGAGGCAACTGAAGCAGCATCTTAAATGGAAGCTTCTCTTGTGTAACCATTTCTGGAGTATTAATGATTTTTTGCTTGCTACCTGTTATTAAGCATTGCGATCTGGCTTATAGGTGGGCTTATAGGTATCTTCACAATAAATCCATTTTTTTTCTTTAAAAAGCCTAAATTGACCCCAGTTGTTTGTAACAAATCAATCTTACTGTCACCAAAACCAATACCAAGAATGGGACTCAGGACTCAGACTCTTATAGAAATAGAAAAAATGTAGGATATAGTATCTGTTATATGAAACTAAAGTCAGTGAAGATTTCAGTATTCCATAATAAAGATACCTTGCATGTGAAGGAAAAACCATTAACTAAATTATTCACTGGGGTTTACCTGAAGACAAGACTATGGGACTGTAGTTACACCTGAAGAGAAGAATATGCTACGGTTTGAGTTGTACACTCCAAGGAAAGTATGTTGAAGTCCTTACCCCCAGTACCTCGGAATGTGAACTTTCTTAGAAACAGGGTTATTGCATCCGGAATTAGTTAAGTCAAGATTATGTCATACTGGAATAGGGTGGACCACTAGTCCAATATGACTAGTATCTTCATAAGAAAATAGCCATGTGAGACAGAGACAAATTGAGGGAGAATGCCATATGACAATAAAGGCAGACATGAGATTTATTCAACTGATAGTCAAAAAACACTGAAGATTGCCCCCAAACCACCAGAAGCTATGAAGAAGCAACGAAGGAGTCCCCTGCACATTTCAGCAGGAGCATCACCTGCCAAAGTTGACTTTGGACTTCTGGCCTCCAGAACTGTGATATGATAAATGTTTTACATCATTTTGGCTTTGTGATACTTTGTTATAGCAGCCCCAGGAAGCTAATACAGAACGTTAAAGAGAAAAGGAGAACTCAAGAACTGTGGATCATTGTGATTGCTCTTGATGATCCTTTGAAAGATTAAGAATAGAACAAAATCAAGTTTTTATTTCAAGTAATGTACTTAAAATCTAGGGACTTTCCATGATGTGTTAAAATATCTATTATCATCTATAGATGCAGACAGGTAGTCAAAAACTAAATGCAACAATTAATCCTGTAGGTTGCTAATTTATAATGTGTTTGAATTTGCTGCTATACTCTGTCATTTGGTATAAGATGTGGCATTGCTCTGAAAATAAGAACTGGGATTCTAAGAACTGAAAGTACATTCTTGCACATCTGAATGGCATGAGATACTTTTTAATATTTCCCCAGCAGTCAAAGCAGCCCCTTCTATAAAAAGCTATTCTTCCCTTGTTTTAAAATTGCATCAGAAAAAAACTCTTTAGTCTTTTTTTTTTCTTTTTTAAAGGTTTATTTTAAGTTCAAAAGTACATATGCAAGTTTTTTTTTTACTCTGGATATTAATCTTTCATTAGATATATGATTTGCAAATATTTTCTTCCATTCTGGTGGCTGCTTTTTCGCTCTGCAGATTGTGTTTTTGTTGTTTTTTTTTTAATTTTATTACTATTATACTTTAAGTTTTAGGGTACATGTGCACAATGTGCAGGTTAGTTACATATGTATACATGTGCCATGCTGGTGTGCTGCACCCATTAACTCCTCATTTAGCATTAGGTATATCTCCTAATGCTATCCCTCCCCCCTCCCCCCACCCCACAACAGTCCCCAGAGTGTGATGTTCCCCTTCCCGTGTCCATGTGTTCTCATTGTTCAATTCCCACCTATGAGTGAGAACATGTGGTGTTTGGCTTTTTGTCCTTGCGATAGTTTACTGAGAATGATGATTTCCAATTTCATCCATGTCCCTACAAAGGACATGAACTCATCATTTTTTATGGCTGCATAGTATTCCATGGTGTATATGTGCCACAGTCAGGAAACAACAGGTGCTGGAGAGGATGTGGAGAAATAGGAACACTTTTACACCATTGGTGGGACTGTAAACTAGTTCAACCATTGTGGAAGTCAGTGTGGCGATTCCTCAGGGATCTAGAACTAGAAATACCATTTGACCCAGCCATCCCATTACTGGTATATACCCAAAGGACTATAAATCATGCTGCTATAAAGACACATGCACACGTATGTTTATTGCCACACTATTCACAATAGCAAAGACTTGGAACCAAGCCAAATGTCCAACAATGGTAGACTGGATTAAGAAAACTCTTTAGTGTTGTCCCCTGCCCTCATCTCTTGTTGATTTCAGAGCTATAACTAGAATTTGATTCCAGCATAACTGGAATGAGATTGCATTCAACAGCAAGACCACACCAAGGTTAACTGGCTTGTGCACTAAATTTATCTAAGAACTTGATATTTTCAAGAAATGTATAATATGAGAAATAAATTAAAAGGGATCTCCAACAGCATTTGAAAAGCATTTAGTGGCCATCTCTGTAGCCCTTATGTTGGCATCAGGAGATTCTGAGCTCATGTTTTTTATATTTCCAATTCTTGAAGAAGGTGCTTATCAACTGAAAGAAAAATCCTAGTTGTCTTCTTACCCTTTAAAAAAGAATTATGGTGAAAATAGCAAAGATAATATTCCTAGAACTCCCTCTTTCTACCAAAATAATAAATCAGATTGTATGTCCACATCACTAGGAAAGTGAGAGATGAGTAGCACCATAGAGACTTGAAAGATGAATTTATCTTAACCGTTTTAGCCAATTAGCTTAATGAGTATTTGAAGAGTAAATTTTTATAAGCTTAATCAGGACATGACTCCAAATTATAATTACTCTTCCAGGTATAGTCTCATTACTAGAGCAATTTAATTCAGCTCAGGAATTCTTTGTATTCCTTAGGAAGACATATGAATGAGAAAGAGTTAAAATCAATCTTACAAAAAATATGTGATTCATGATGCATACAGCAGGGCATCTACTCTAAAGTGAAGGGTAAGTTACTGCACCCTCACCTTGTACAATTGAGAAAGAGAAAGTATTTGGTGAGCGATTTCACATTTTTGTATTTTCCAACAGCATAAACTGCATTGGGTAACCCATTAACATCTATTTATAGATGTCCTAAAAACCTGTGACCTTTGAATTAAATACTTCTCCCTCCCCAAAGAAAAGATTGCTCTCTGGTTAGTACAGATTACCACGCAAACAGCTCTGCCTCTAGACACAAGATTTAACAGAAGTCAGTGTTTGTCAAAGACTTTTGGTATATCAGAAAGTTGTGTGGTGCCTGTGATGAGGCCATCAATATCTCCTAAGATTTTGAAACTAGGTTATATCCTCTTTAACGACAAACTATCCTTGGCAAAACGGTGTTTGGTTTGATGAGGAACCCTAGTAGAGCCTGAGCAACTCTCCATAGACCAAGAGATGACCATTACACTCAAGCCTGTAATCAAGAATTAGACATTGCCATATCCATGAAGACATACATTTTAGTTGTGCAAAATACTACTCCATTATGAAGCAAAAATAGTACATATGGAACAACTTGCAGTCTGGCACAGAAACTACACATGGGTTGCATTAGAATACCAAAGTACATATCCCAGCCATAATTCAAGCTTCCATTAACACAAACAAGTGGGCTTATAAAGATTCTCTGTGATTATTTGCCCAAAGAAGAAATAAATCAAACCTTATTTTCACATGAATGCATAAAATTCTGGCATCACTCACTCAGATGTGGACTGCTGAAACATTACAGCGTCACTAATGATAAAGAAGGTAATTATCGCCATCAGGAAGAACTACAAGCTAGATATCCAATTATCCACTTTCCCTATAAGAAGAAATGGCCTGTGGTTATGCTCTACAGTGGCCCGCAAGTAATGATTCATATTTTGGCTAAATCCTTTGGCATTTTAAAAAAAAAATGTTAAAAGATTGTTGACATGTTGGTTTCAGAAAAGGGATTCTTTGTAGATTTCTCACAATAGGTTGGTCCATTTTAAAAATATATATTTAGATCATATGTGTATGTTCACCAATAAGTTGCATTTTGTCTGAGGATTGTAATGATAAAATGTAAAGAAAAACCACTCTGTGCATGTTCATCATCATACTTCCTTAGTCACAATAGTGCATTCTCAGTGAGCACATGGAAGAAAGCATCCCTAGTAATAGGAACAGAACCTATGCATGGGCCCATGCAATAGACATGCCCTTATGAATCCAACCAATTGCTAATACTGAGTGTCCAGTTTTTTTTCTTGACAGCTATCAATAATGTAACCCCTACAGGCCTTCTCAAAATTGTAGTGTTGGAAAAGCTGCATAGTAACTTGATGGCAGATTGATTATGTTAGAACTCCATCCATGAAGCTTGTATGAACACTTTTCATTGCTGGAATAGACTTATTCTATTGACAATGTATAATTAATAGTTATAAAAGAGGGGTTACTTTCTTCTTTTGTAACTATTAACCCTAGACCAAGGGTCTAGACCAAGGGTTACTCCAAGGGTGACTTGGTCTATCATCGTTAGAGAAGAAGAATGATAGGTAAAGAATAAAATTCTACAATTTATTCAAATTGTACAGTGTTACAATTTATTCTAATTATGGAACTGTATTCTTTGCCTCTCATTCTTCTTTTATAACTATTTACCCTAGACCAAGTAAATGCTTTATAAACAATTATAGTATAACATACATCAATTCTAAGCAAGCAACTCTTTATTGCAAGAAGTTAGGCAATGCCTTTATGTTCAAAGTCTCACCCTGTCCCACATCACACAAAAGTGGCTGACCTTAGAAAAAGGTGGAGTTATACTATCAACCATTATAGAGCTATGGTACAGAATACTGTAAGCTCTAAGCCAGTAGCCAATATGTGGAACGGTTTCTCTCAAAATTGTGATAGAACTAAGTGGCACAGTGGGAATGATGTTGTACATAATAAATCTAAATATTTACTCACATTATTATTTTCTAGTTTGACTTTTCTTAAACCTGCTGCTTAGGAAGTTTAATGCTCAGGGAGTGTATCCTTCCATCAAGAGAGATATCAGTGGTTCCCATGAATTGGAAGCAGACACTTATTTTACCTTTTAGGGCTCTTCTTTCCATTGAGTGTATCAGGGTGAAAAACTTAAGTTATTTTATTTGGTCTAATAATTCATTTTGACTATAAAGATAAAAATCTCTGTTTTAATACAGTGGGGAAACAGAGGAGTATAGATGGAACCCAAGTGATCCATAAGACTTTTCCTTGTACTAACATGTACAGTGTTACAATTCAATGGGACACTATGCTAACCCTATGCATACAGAACTACAAAGGGTCAGATCCCTCATGAATATGGATAAAGAATCCTACCAGCTGTGATGTTGAATGAAGAAAAAAGAAGTATATAATGTGTAGTGGAGGAGAAAAATTATAAATATTAGCAGAGTCCAGGGAAGAAATGTTTGTGTGTGCACTATGTAAGCTTTCAGCACTGTGAACAGCTTCTGGTGTCTCCTAGACCCCTACTCTTTATTCTCTGACCATACTTACTTTAGCCCGAACTGTTAAAATAATTCCTTAACTTGTCTTCTTGTCTCTGGGCTTCCCCTATCAATAAATAACCAAATTTTGAATATTCATATTTTTATTTTTTATTGATTTACATTACCATGTAATGATCATTTTATACAACACATTTATTTAAATATTTTGCAGACTTCTCTATATAATGCATTCTTTCTCATACAATCTGTTCCTTCAGAGACAATAACATTTTAATACTAATTTTATGTCTCCCACTGTTATACACAAAATGGATGCCTAATAAATACTAGTTAAAATTTAATAAATCAATAAAAAAGTACTTCATAGATTCAGAGAGTAAAGTTAAAATCCATGAAAGAGATAAGATCAGTAATAGAAAATGTCCAGTAATACACATCTAAGGTGCTTTTTGTGCTGCTCATTAAAAAATAGTGCTTTGCTCATGTATACATATGCAACAAACCTGCACGTTGCACACATGTACCCTAGAACTTAAAGTATAATAATAAAAAAATAGTGCTTTGTTGATGCAGTTTCATAGTACTCACTGTTTTTTTTCAAGTAACCAAATATATTTTAAAACTATATTCTAATTATCTTTTTTACAAAGAACTGAACTTATTCTTCCCTTACTACAATAAAAGTTTTGTACAAACTATATTCAAGCCAAAGACTTCATTTTGATAACTGTCTTCCCATAAGTCATTTACAAATAATTTGCATGTATGCCTCTCAAGGAATCCCTGGCCTACTGGTGAGAAGCAAATAATTTAACTTTCCTGAAATTGTGAGGTTCTCAGCTTCTAATTTCTGTATTTATTTTTGTTTATTTTGTTTTAGTGTAAAGTGACATGGATACATGTAGTCAAACCTAAAAGAATGTCTTATCAGAGATTATTAAGTTTCTAACATATCTTCCTTCTTTTTCAATTTCAAAGACAGGTAGAGCTGTTAAATGACAATATATTTTGACTGATTCATCCACTGAAGAAAGATTGAGTATCTTCTCTGAGTCTGGAATTGTGTTAATACACTATATTAGGCTGTTCTCACACTACTATAAAGAACTACCTGAGACTGGGTAATTTATGAAGAACAGAGATTTAATTGACTAACAGTTCCATAGGCTGTGCAGGAAGCATAGCTAGGAGACCCTAGGAAACTTATAATTATGGTGGAACGTGAAAGAGAAGCAGGCACGTCTTACAAAGGCAAAGCAGGAGAGAGAGAGAGAGAAGAAGGGAAAAAAAAGTGCCACACACTTTTAAACCATAAGACCTTGTAAGAACTCACTATTCTGAGAAAGATGATCCGCCTCCATAATACAATCACCTCCCACCAGGCTCCTCCTCCACTTCAACATGATTTTTGGGCAGGGACACAAATTCAAACCATATCATTCTGCCCTGGCCCCTCCCAAATCTCATGTCCTTCTCACATTGCAAAATACAATTATCCCTTCTCATCAGTACCCCAGTCTTAACTAATTTCAGCATAAATGCAAAAGCCTCACAGCTCAAGTCTCATCTGAGACAAGGCAGGTACCTTTCACCTATTAGCCTGTAAAATAAAACACAAGTTCATTACTCTAAAGATACAATAAAGCTACAGGCATTGGGTAAATGCTGCCATCCCAAAATGGAAAAATTGGCCAAAACCAAGGGGCTACAGGCCCCATGCAAGTCCAAAACCTAACAGGAAAGTCATTAAATCTTAAGGCTCCAAAATAATCTCCTTTGACTCCATGTCTCACATCCAGGGCACACTAATGCAAGAGGTGGGCTCTCATGGCCTTGGGCAGCTCCACCCCTGTGGCTTTGCAGGGTATAGCAAAGGCAGACAGGCAGGGCAGTTATTAAATTTTAAATCTCCAAAATAATATCTTCAATTCCGTGTCTCACATCCAGGGCATGCTAATGCAAGGGGTGGGCTCTTTTGGCCTTGGGCAGCTCCACCCCTGTGGTTTTGCAGGGTATAGTCCTTGGGGCTGCTTTCACAGGCTGGCATCGAGTGCCTGCAGGCTTTTTCCAAGTGCATGGTGCAAGCTGTTGGTGGATCTACCATTCAGGGGTCTAGAGGACAGTGGCCCTCTTCTCACAGCTCCACTAGGCAATAGCCCAATGGGGACTATTTGTGGGGGCTCCAACCCTACATTTACCCTCTGTACTGCTCTAGTAGAAGTTCTCCATGAAGGATCTGCCCCTGCAGCAGACTTCTGTCTGGACATTCAGGCATTTCCCTACATCCTCTGAAATCTAGGCAGAAGTTCCCAAACCTCAACTCTTGCCTTCAGTGTACTCACAGGATCAACACCGTACGGAAGCTGCCAAGGCTTGGGGCTTTCACCTCTGAAGCCAGCCATGGCTGGAGCTGTACCTTGGCCCCTTTTAGCCATGGCTGGAGCTGGAGCATCTGGGACTCAGGCTGTCCTGAGGCTACAAAGAGCAGTGGAGTCCGGGGCCTGGCCCATGAAACTATTTTTTTTTTTTTTCCTCCAGGCTTCTAGGACTGTGGTGGGAGGGCCTGCCCCAAGGTCTCTGAAATACCCTAAAGGCATTCCCAACCCCCTTGTCTTGGCTATTAATATTCAGCTCTCCTTTACTTATGCAAATTTCTGCAGCCTTGAATTCCTCCCCAGAAAATGGGTTTTTCTTTTTTACTGCCTGGTAGGGTTGCAAATTTTCCAAACTTTTATGCTGTTTCCCTTTTAAATATTAAGTTCCAGTTTCAGATAATCTCTTTGTTCATGCATATGAGTGTACACTTTCAGAAACAGCCAGATAACTTCTTGAATGATTTGCTGATTAGAAATTTCTTCCACCAGATACCCTAAATCATCTCTCTCAGGTTCAAAGTTCCACAGGGCAGGGGCAAAATGCCAAGTCTCTTTGTTAAAGCATAGCAAGAATGATCTTTACTCCAGTTCCCAATAAGTTTCTCATCTCTATCTGAGACCGCCTCAGTCTGGACTTCACTGTCCATATCACCATCAGCATTTTGGTCAAAACCATTCAACAAATCTCTAGGAAGTTCTAAACTTTACCACATCTTCTTTTCTTCTTCTGAGGCCTCCAAACTATTCCAACCTCTGTCTGTTACCCAGTTCCAAAGCTTCTTCCATATGTTCAGGTATCTTTATGGCAGTGCCGTACTTTTCTGGTACCAATTTCCTGTGTTTGTTTATTCTCACACTGCTATTAAGAACTACCTGGACTGGGTAACGTATGAAGAAAAGAGATTTAAATGACTCACAGTTCCACAGGCTGTGCAGGAAGCATGGCTAGGAGGCTCCAGGAAACTTACAATCATGGTAGAAGGTGAAGGGAAAGCAAGCACGTCTTACCACTGCAGAGCAGAGAGAGAGAAAAGGGGAGAGTCCCACACACTTTTAAACCATCAGATCTTTAGAGAACTCACTCAATATCATGAGAACAGCAAGGGGGATACCATCCCCATGATTCTACCGTCTCCCACAAGGCCCCTCCTCTAATTCAACATGAGATTTGGGAAGCGACACAAATGCAAACCATATTATACACATTAAAAAGATATACAGTCTGAAAATGAAGTTCAGTACTTTAACTCCCTAATCAACCATTATCTGCTAAGAAAAAATGCAAACAAATTACTACAAGTACTAAAAATAAAGTATACTTTCAAATACCCTGGAAGTAAAAAGCAACCTTCTTGAATATAATACAGTCAATATAATCAAACTCATGAATTGAGTGTCAAAAAATTAAACATGTTATTACAAGTTAAATACTTTTTTGTTATTAAATCTTCAGAAACTAGTGTAGTCTCTCATTCTTAAAGGGATGAAATATATTTTGGGTGAATTAATGAATATGAATAACCACAGTAATAAATCAAGTGAAAGCCTGAGTCATTTTTATTAAATTTTGTACTTTGATGGACCAGTTCATATTATCGTTGGAAAATGGTGTTCGATCTGTTATTTCTGCCTTTAAAAAAAACTTTATAATAAATCTGGACTCCTTCAAATTCTAATGTCACTTCTATATATTTCTGATTCTTCTGTATTTCTCATATATCCACCAGAGTTTTAAACTTGTAATAATTGCTTGATTTTTGTAATCTGCCTAGGAAAACAAAATGGGTCAAGCTGTCAGGAATTTACTTTGTCCACTTTTTCTTCAATCAATCAATAAGAACTTGCCAAGTAGTACTTTCAAAAATTCAGTCTGTGTTCTGACATTATGCTGACAATTAAGGTAAAAATAAACCATTTGCAAACAATGGTTTTAACGTGTTTGGACTTTTGAGACATTTTTAAGCAATTTGTGTTTGCTTATATGATGCATTCCAGAACACAAACAATAGTTTATTCTGTGGCCTCAGTAAATAAGAACAAATCTTTAATCCCAATTTTCTGAGGTCAAATGCTAAGAACTTAAATGTTTTGCTATTATGAGAATTAAAAAGAAGCACGATTACTTAAAACCTCTAAAATCTAAATCTAATAACTTCTCTTCCCGTGTCTTCTATGACCTGATTCATTGAAGCCTATTCGATAACCAAATAATTGGCAGCAGTACAACTTTAAAACTCTGTCTTTACTCCTAGTGGTTTTATCTGTATTGCCCTTACCTTTAAATGCTATTCCTCATGAGGAATCCCTAATTATTCTTTTTAATGGCATATTTTGTACATCAGTGGAGTCTTTTAACATCAAATATTCACATTTTCTTCCAGAGGAACACAGAGTAAGGGCTGAGAAAATGTTCTTATTTTCAGCCTCAAATATAAGTATAAATAAGAAATTAAATTAATTCATAGACACATATGCACACTATCCCCAATGCATGTATTTTTTTCTATGAAGACATTTTTATTTTCTTCTAAATGTTCATAATCCTGATATCTCATATTACACCAATATTGAAAAAAAAAAGTCTGAGCTTGACTTGTTACTGGCCTTTTTGTTATTAATATAGCACTAGTTTAAATAGAAATTCTCTTCTTGTTACACTTCACCATTTCCACAGAGATACTAAATTTTAAATGTTCCAGATCAGTGATATTTATTACTACAAAGTAAGTGTGGCTTACAGGTTGAACCTCCTGTTTTAATGTACATATTAAACTAAAAGGTAACAACAGATGGAACTGTTGGAAATGTTTCCATTACATATTTTATTTAAGCAATACACTTATCATTACTGCTTACAGAAGAGCTATGAAAATTTAAAAAATTTCCCTGAAACAGGTCCCAAGTTTCTCCAGTTCTTTTGACTTTTAAGTAGCTTTGTAGTAGATGAAAAGAATGAGAAACTGTAGATTCTTCTGGTGCCATAACATAAAGGACTGGCTCATACTGAGCTGTCAACAATATTTGACCTTAAATTTATACAAATTGTCTTATAATTTAACTGTCCATTAAATAACTTATTTTATTTAATGATAATATTATTTTATAAATCTCCTGTATTATTATTTATTCACGTATTTTAATTTGAAAGTAGATGTGTAACTACACTGCAATATAATTTGTCAGTCTATGATGCTATTTTTAAAGGAGAAATAAAGAATGACTATAAAGATCAAACTACTCTTTAATCTGAGAAAAGTACCTTCAGGCTCTGATAGAGCTGCAGATTGCCTACAGGACTGAATCATGTATGTTAATGTTTGAATTCCAAGTTCTATACTGGCAAAGCTGGATCAATTGGTAAAATTTAGCTGCAAAAACCCAAATACCAATTATTCATGACCAAATCTTCTATGCAGGTATTTATAAAACTTACATAATTACTATATCAAGTACACAGTGGTTATGCAAAACATAGCACAAGTTTTTTTCATCTGTAGATAGCATTCTTAGGAAATTCAGTTATTGTCATATTAGACTTCCAGTAAGTGCCAATATGCCCAATCAAGAAAGAATGAAACTCCTGGTTATACTCAGGATTCCAGGAAAAAATTCAGCTTGGAATCTTCATTAGCCCCTCCAGATCCATTCTTTACCCTTTTCCATCCTACACTTTGCTGCAAGAAGCTGACCTGTTGAAATACGTCAGATCTCCTGTGCCCTCTGCTTGTAGCAGGGAAACCCAGGGGAATTTAAGAGAAGGGACTGAAAGAGAGTCAGAGCTTTAATTGCCCTGGTTCCCTTCCTTTGAAGTCACCTCAGGCAAGGTAACTATACCATACTTGATAAAAGTGAACTGCTGTTCTCAAGGTGGCCTATCCTACACTATTCCTTCTGGTTCTGAAAATCTTTCCTATTTCTTATCACGTTTATACCTAGAGAGGTTAATATTTTCTTCTGGTAACAAGGTTCTGGGATTCTGTACCATTTTTGGTGGTTTTGCAAGACTCCAGACATTTTTTAAATTAGGCTTTTTATTAATAAACCCTCTTCAAATATTGTCCTAATTTCAGTGTGCCATCTATTTTCTGTTGTCTTATACAGTAATTGATACCAGGAGTATCCTGGTAACTTATCCTCAAAATGGCATTCTAGGATTTAGTTGGTCATATACAGTAGTCCAGGAGCTCACAGATAACATATATTCTGGGGAAAATGAGACACAAGTAACTTATGGCATGTGGTGGCTAGTCATAGGGCACCCATGGCTGAGGGCCATGCACAGGAATTCTTAATTAGGGATAAAGTTGCAGCACCAGTTAAACACTCAACACCCCAGGCCTGTCATGCTAATGAAACTGGCGGGAAAGGAGAAGGATCCTTTAACATGGAATGGGAGCAATTAAACAGATGTGAATGAGGCTAAAGATTTTGAAACTTCTAATTTCCCTACTCTTTCTTCCACCTGAAAAAAAAAAAAAATCAGTCCATCCTAAACACCTGGTTGCACCTGGAACAATTAGCCTTATAAGATGATAAAATTATTTACAGAATTACCTCCTCTTCCTTTTCTTCCTTTCAGATCTGCAACAAGTGTTATATTTCAACATAGTCCAGACACTGAGGCACACGATCTGTTCAAGGAGGAAATAGTCTATACACCAAATGAGTTAAAAAGCCCTCACAAGTCTAAATTGGTGGGAAACTGGGAAATATGTGTGATGTTTGGTTCTAAGTGTATTAGATTACAGATATAATTTAAGATTCATTAGGCACATACATGGCATAATTAATAGGCATAGATATATTCATACTGGTTTCAAATTTGTTGTGTACTTGAGCACTCATGCATGGCACTAATAGTCTGTTAGGTTGGCTAATCTAAGTTTTTCCTCAACAAAGAGTTATAATTAATGAAGTTAAAAGGCAAAAGCTACCTTATTGTACTTTAAAGGAAGAAGTCTTAAATTTTAAGGTAATAGAGTTGGAATGGATCTATTATGTGGAATCTTCTGAGCCATTGCTTAGCCTCATCATCCTGGGATATCTGGAAAGACATTCCCTCAACAAGATATTAAGAAATAAGAAAGATATTAAGAAATAAGGGAGGCATGAATATTCTTGATGACCTCTCTGCTGATTATACTTTGTTGGCCAGAGACACTAACATGAGATGCTATTTTGCAAGTTGTCTCTGTGATCTCAATAGTAATAATGGGATTCTAGGGTGGTTGAATGCAGGAGGAGACATTTAACCATTAGAGAAAAGGTGTGTGTCATTACACAATAAGCCATAGAGAGAAAATGGTTGCCATAGTGTCCTGGCTCATGGAAATCTGTGACTATTGCTAATTACTCACAGTCCTAGAAAAGAAAAAAAATCATCCCTAGACATCCAGTAAAGTGATTCTTGAAATACATAGGATTATAAAGTGTTGGGAACAAGCCTCCCAAAATCTGACCATAAACTGGCCCCAAAACTGGCCATAAACAAAATCTCTGCAGCACTGTAACATGTTCATGATGGCCATAATGCCCACGCTGGAAGGTTCTGGGTTTACCGGAATGAGGGCAAGGAACACCTGGCCTGCCCAGGGCGGAAAACCGCTTAAAGGCATTCTTAAGCCACAAACAATAGCATGAGTGATCTCTTCCTTAAGGACATGCTCCTGCTGCAGTTAACTAGCCCAACCTATTCCTTTAATTCGGCCCATCTCTTCATTTCTCATAAGGGATATTTTTAGTTAATTTAATATCTGTAGAAACAATGCTAATGACTGGCTTGCTGTTAATAAATACGTGGGTAAATCTCTGTTCGGGTCTCTCAGCTCTGAAGGCTGTGAGACCCCTGATTTCCCACTTTACACCTCTATATTTCTGTGTGTGTGTCTTTAATTCCTCTAGTGTTGCTGGGTTAGGGTCTCCCTGACCGAGTTGGTCTCAGCAATAAAGGCTAGATTTGGCGGCCAAAAATCTAACCCCAGTTGCCATTTTAGAGGGATTCACAGCTTAGTTATCTCACCTAAGGAATTTTAAGACTCAGAGCCCATCCCATAATAAAGGTTCAGGCTGATTGGTTTGAAAAAAAAAAAAAAAAACTGCATTGGGTTCCTCAAATATACCCATTACCAGTTAACAGAGTAACTACAGAGTGGGAAATATCCATACTTCAGAATTTATTAGTGTTATTAGTTAGTGGTTTTGAACTCATGCTTGTACTCAGAGACCCAAAATACCATAATGTTCTACTAGTCAGAGTAAGCCTTGAGCTGTTCTAGTAGTGGTTTCAAACATACAGTAGAAAGAGAGTATATTTAATGGCAGAATTTTGATGTTGATTCCCTAATATGTGGAACAAGGAACAGATGTTCCCTTCCTGAAGACAGTAAACCAAAATGCCACATCCCACAGAGATTAGTGCCACTGTCAAAATTTGAGAGATGCAAGGATCATGTTTTCTAGCACACTACCAAGTAACTAGCCTGTTCGGTCAGTGCAAAAGCCTGAAGGATCATAGAGAATGACAGTAGATTATGTTGAAAACTTAATCAGATAGCAATGCCCATCACAGCTATGGCTCCAAATGGGGTATCTTCAAGGACACAACTCAAAACAAGTTTTAGCACTTAATATGTAACAAATAATTTATTTTCTACAAAATTCAGTAAAGAAAATCGTAAACAATTTGCATTTATGTGTCGGAGACAACAGTGTAACTTTACTGTCTTGTCATAGGGCTGCCAACTCTTCAGCTTCCTTTTACAATACAGTATACAGGGACTGTGTTTGCTAATGAGCCAGCATCCCAAACAACCTGATGACTTAAATGACCTAAGTCTTTTAATTTTCATGCCTACTTCTGTTCATCTTAACATTTATCTCTTATAATTAACAATTTTGTAATTAAGTGTCCTAGTTTATTTCTGATTATTAAAAGACTTTAAGACCTCTCTGATAAAGATCCTAACAAAATTGATGTAAAATCTGCATTCATTTACTTTGATAAGAAAATAGATACTTTATAAATTCAAAGTCAATGGAAAAAATAAATATCAAGATTCTCAAGACCACTAAAAGGGACATATCTGCCCATAGACAGATTATTTTAAAATCTCCCTTCTAACTTATGAATCCAATAGAAAAGCCCTCTATTTGTTCCAAAGAAAAGCATAGCTAAGCATAGAAAAAGCTATAATTGTTGCTCTTTTAAATTCACTTTCAACGTACTTTTAAGGAAAGAGAAAAAAGATAGTCTTATTGATCATGACATGACAAATTAAATTTTATTTTTTCATTTATAAAAGTTATTTGTCTTATAACGTGCATGTAATATAGATTATGCAGCTGGGCAAGGCAGAAACATAAGAGAGACTATGTAAAGCTTGTTCCTGCCCTTGAACTTCCTACATCCTAGTAAAGACTGATGGAATGCCTGCTATGAGGTAAATTGCTAGCCTCCAAGCAATTAAACCCTTGACTCTCACAAACATGCATACACACATACACACGTGGCACTTAGCTCTGCTGATTGTCATGTCCTGGCTCTATTCTCCTTTAGGTGGGAAGAGCCAGAGCTGCTCTCTAGCCCTAGAGCTCAAAACAAATCCGTAGGACCTGTCTATATAATAGCAGGTAATCCTCAGGTGCAATTTTAGAGATCATTTTTGTGTGGTTTCCCTATTCCTTTCACCTGCTCAGAAGTGAACTTTCACCCTCTGCCTGTTATCCAGAATTATGCTTTTAGAAAGGCTTAACCATTGCTGAAAATAATAAAAATAGTAATGTGGGAAAACGAGAGGTTGTAAAAGTGTTTAGTAGATTTGTTACTAAGAAATGGTTCTGAATTTGATTTGTTTACATTTAATGTTTCCTGTGGTTAGAAATTTGGATGTTTGTCTCCTTGAGAACATAATGAGATGTCAGGGTCAACTAGTTAACGTCCTGAGGGTTCTTCAGAGAATATCATCAGATCCTACAAATTTGTTCAATAAAATATTTTTATTTCACTTATTTCTATTACCAAAAATTTGACTTGAAGGCTTTAATGAGAGGTTTAGTTTTAGAATGAAGTTCTTCTAAGAGGCATCAAGCTGATAGGTGCATTAGAGGGTCATGCCAGGTTATTCATAATGGATTAGAAAGTAATATTCTTAACCATTTGACACAACGCATTAAACAAGGCCTTTATGGTACTTATGAAGTTGTGGGCACCGTAAAGTTGTGAGGACATGAAGGTAACAAGATCTCAGATTACTTCATTTTCAGAGCTAGAATAAAATGTTTAAAAGCATCTAAATTCTAAAATATTTTCTCGTTCAGACCCAGAGAATAAGCTATTAAAATATAATATAATTATTAAGTTATTAACCTAAACTTCTCATTTATTTCTATGCCAACAAAATTTGTCCTCTCAAATAATAAAATATTATTTAAAATATATTGCTACGTTGCATAAACAGTTTGCCTGTGGACACAGTGCATTATGTGGCTAAATTATTCAAAGTGGAACACACTGATGAATATTGGAAAAAAGTTTTCAAATTTCCCAATTACTGTGAATCCATGTTTATAACTTCTAAAATTTGTCAGAACAAATCTAGACCACCTTTGAAACTGTCACCTATTTCTTAGATGCCTGGTAAATATAACCAGCTGTTATTTTCATGGCCATGATAGTAGATATAATGCCTTTTTTCCTATCTCTGACATTCTTCTATATATCTCTATGTTCAACAAATATAAAAAAGTCCCCAAATTATTTGTAATATAGCTATAATGTTCCATAGAGCTTCTTCCATAATGTTCTAGTGTTATTAATCCTATTTGGAAGGAAGGGATATTAAGGAGAAAAGGATTCATTCACTTAACTATAGGACATTTTTTGCTTCCGAAGATTCCACACAGAAATAATAAGAACTAAAATGGAAAGGCCCCATTTCTTTGAAAAATGTTTGGAAATGTATTTTAAAGGATTTAAAAGAAATACAAAGAATATGTTTCTATTATTTGATAATACTGATGGTGAACTTAGGAAGAAAATATAAACTTGCCATGCTTTTATTAATAAAGAAAACTCAGACTTTTTAATTTAAACATTTTAAATCATTTTTACTAAGAAATGTAAACATATATGGAAGGTATTATAAGAGCAGCATGGGAAGAAAAGGGAGGAAAATAAAGGCATATTAATAAAGCTAATACATGTAAAAACAATCTAACTTGGAGTCTAAATGAAGCTTGGAAGTAAACCAAGTCATGTGTAAAATCTCAAGATAGCATATTTGTTGGTGTATTTTTAAAATTAATTGGAATGGAAGTTTTCAATTCAAATCTCCTCCCCAAAGATTCTGAGTCTTTGGTTGTCTTGCCCTTGACAGGGCATAGTTAATGCAATGGCTATTTACTATTAATCTTTTTTACAGAAATATTAAAACACCAAGAGATATCCTACTGAAACCCCTATCTCAAAGATAGTGAGATGTTGACAGGAGCCTATTCTCCAACCCACACTGAATGCCTGGAATTACAGAATTTAGCTGAAGGATACCCCTCTAAAAAATCAACTGTTCAGTAAATATATAACCTATTAGAGATCAGTGTCCTACCCTTGAAGAGTTTGTCCCAAAGCTAATTCCTTTGCTAAATAGCCCATTTCGTCATTCTAATAAGTTGATTGCTTCTGGTGAATGTTTAAGATTAGTGGATCTTATAACAATGTTTTTCATTTTTGTGTGTATTTTTCCATCAAATGGTACCCCGGGTTTGAGGCAACAGCTTGTAGGATGACAAGTTTATAAATCAGACACTCTATAAGCAATCAGATAGTAGTGATGACGGAGGCATCATCACTGTGGATAAGAAAAACCAACTCATATCTAGTATAAGTATTTATTGATTGTAATAAGAAAAAAAATGCTGCCTCCTCCAGGATAGAAGTGAAGTGTAATAACCCTGACATCAATAGCTAGTTGGTTTTCTCAGGGAACAGTTCCATTTTAGGAGCTTAGCATCAGTCTCTTACGCTGCCAGATTAGACATTCAGAAGAAGCAGTAGCTTCTGGTAGAAGGGAGACTGCAAACTCTGGCAAAAGGAAGACTATGCAATTGAGTCCATGCATAACCTTCATCCCTGCTACCGTAGCTACTCTTTTTATGAACCCGTTACACAAGGACTAAAGTTACTAAGAGACCAAATGACATGCAGTTCATGTCATTCTGTCCATTGATTTGTGAGATTCTCATCTGCAATGGTGGACATTAAAAAAGTCTGCACTCTTTGCGCCCTTCCCCATAGGTCCTTCTACCACCCTCTTCTCCAGATCTCCTGGTCCTGATCTTCTAGTCTTGTTCATTTACATATCTGCTCGGTCAATCAGGCTATTTTATTTCCACTGCTAAGGTATGTATGTGTGTGGATACACACACACACACACACACACACACACACACACACTCCTTAGACCACTTATTCCCAACTTCCTCCATGAGGTGAATGATGGAACGAACTGCTCTCATTTCTGTCCATTAGGAGGGTGGATTTCCCTTCACCACTGTTCCTAGTAGGGGGGCTATAATGGAGTAAGGTAGGTAAGCACCATCTTGTGCTGGCATTTTGGAATCAGATTCAAGTGCTTTACTTCTCTTTCAGTTAATTCCCATGAGGCTATAAGTAGGAGTTGAAGTGAAACAGAGGTAGGTTCCAAGGGAGTCTGGACCACATATTCACATAATTTTTCATGGCTTCTGGATCTAACCCGGCCCAAACTCAAATGTGAAACTTCTATTATCTAAAGGGTTGTGGTATTCATACCCGAATTTGTGGCCCAGTAGATCTGACAATAGCCAGGCTATTCCAGGCAACTGTGATTAAAGCTCCCACATGCTTATATTAAAGTAACCTACCTGACCCATCTGGTTTTGACATGTACTAGAAGGATGAAATAAGTAGGAAAATGATGGGGACCACCACACTTGATTTTTTCCGGTTATTGAAAATAAAGAGTCTGAAATTTATTTTGTATATTGTATGACATAGAGATCCAATCTAATTTTCTTCTAGTTGTTTTCACATTAAATAAACTATTCTTTCTCATTGATTTTATATAGTGTCTTAGAAATAAATAACATTTTCAGGTGTACTGGCATCTATTGATGAATTGTCTTTCAGTTCCACTGATTTATTAATATACCACTGCCATATAGATTTTGTCATAGTAGCTTTGTTGTATGTTCTTAAATCTGATAAGTCTCATTTCATTATTTGCATTGATATTAAAATATCTTCACTATTCTAAAGCATATAATCTTGCAGGACGTTTTGAGGTTATTTTATCCAGTCTATATCAGTCTATATCTTTCCAAACAGTGCTTGGATTGTAATATATTAGTTATAGAAAATATAATTTTTATGTGACAGTAAGTCTCCCATCTAAGAAGAGGGTTTGTATTTCCTTTTGTTATATCTTGTTTTATATCTTTCCTCTACATTTAATAGAATCCTCCGTGACTCTTACTACTTTCTTGGTAAAGTTATTTCTAAAGATTTTATATTTGGGGTACTCATTTGATTAAACTTTTTATCTAATTTCCATGAATAGGTTCTGATTGCCAGGATCAAGGAAAGCTATTGTTACTTTTTCAGATGCTCCTCATCTTAACAATGGGATTACATCCTGAAAAACCAATTGTAAGTTGAAATATAAGTCAAAAGTGTGTTCTAGACATATGATGTTTTTAACTTACAGTGAGTTTATCCAGGTGTAACTCCATCATAAGTCAAGGAGCATACCGAACGAATATCACTTTTGCACCATTGTAAAGTCAAACCATCATAATTTAGGGATCATTTATATGAATAAAATTACCTTACCACATTCTTTGATTGGTTTTTAACAGCTTATTAAAGTATAAATGAAGTACAGTGTATTTAAAGTGTACATTTGGTAAGATTTGCAACACATCTCGTATGTATCTATGAAACAATCAAGATATTGAATTTAATGATTGACCCCAAAAGTTCTCTCATGCCTTTTATAATCCTTTTTATTCCACCTCAATCATCTAATTCCCACACCATCCCCCAATTCTAGGAAACTACCTTTATGCTTTCTGTCACTAAAAACTAGTTTGCATTTTCTAGAATTTCATGTAAATGGAATCAGTCATTCAGTATGTACTTGTCTTGGCTTGGCTTCTTTCACCCAGGATATTATTTTCAAAACCATTACCTTTTTTTTTTTTTTTTTTACCAAGTATTAGTATTAGTAGTACATTTTTTTCCCATTACAGAGTAGTGTTCCATTATATGAATATCAAAAATATGTTTATTCATTTACCTATTGATTCATATTTTGTGATTTTCCTTTTTTTCATAATTTCAACTTTTATTATACATTAAAGGATATGTAGGTTAGTTACATTGGCATATTGCATGACACCGAGTTTTGGGATACATATGATGCCATCACCCAGATAGTGAGCATAATAATTGACATCTTTACAGCCCACACCCCCTTCCTCCTTCCCTCCTACATCTTGTAGTCCCCAGTGTCTACTGTCCCCATCTTTATGTTTATGTATACTTAATATCTAGTTCTCACTATGAGAACATGCAATATTGGTGTTGTTTTTCTCATTAATTTGTTTAGGATAAAGGCCTCCAACTCCATCCATGTTACTGTAAAGGACATAATCATATTCTTTTTTTGGCTGCACAGTATTCCATGGTGTATATGTATCATATTTTCTTTATCACATACATTGTTGATGGACACCTAGGTTGATTTCATGTCTTTGCTATTGTATCCCCATTTGTATCCATGTGTACTCATTGTTTAGCTACCCCTTATAAGTGAAAACATGTGGCATTTATTTTTCTGCTCCTGCATTAGTTTGCTTAAGATAAGCAAATCTTCCAGCTCCATCCACATTGCTGCAAAGGACATAATCTTTTTTGTCTGTGTAATATACCATGGTGTATATGTATCACATTTCCTTTATACAGTCTACTGTTAATGTTGATTCCATGTCTTCACTATTGTGAATAGCAAACGTGATGAACATACATATTCATGTGTTTTCATGTTAGAAGAATTTATATTCCTTTGGGTATATAAAAAATAATGGGCTTTCTAGGTCAAATGATAGTTCCGTTCTAAGTTCTTTGACACATTTGAAAACTGCTTTTCACAATGTCTGAACTAATTGACATTACCAAAGTAGTGTACAAGCGTTTTCTCCACAACCTTGCCAGCCTCTGTTATTCATTGACTTTTGTGACTTTGAAGATAGCAGACAGTTGGGTATTGTCTTTTTATCCAGCATGCCACTCTGTGCATCTTAAGTGGGACATTTAGACCATCTACATTCAGGGTAAGTATTGATACACAAGATTATTATTATTATTATATTTTAAGTTCTGGAATACACGTGGAGAATGTGCAGGTTTGTTACATAGGTATACACATGCCATGGTGGTTTGCTGCACCCATCAACCCGTCATCTACATTAGGTATTTCTCCTAATGCCCCTCAGCCCCTGACAGGTCCTAGTATGTGATGTTCCCCTCCCTGTGTCCATGTGTTCTCATTGTTCAACTCCCACTTATGAGTGAGAACATGCAGTGTTTAGTTTTCTGTTTCTGTGTTAGTTTATTGAGAATGATGGTTTCCAGCTTCATCCATGTACCTGCAAAGGACATGAACTCATCCTTTTTTATGGCCGCATAGTATTCCATGGTGTATATGTGCCACATTTTCTTAATCCAGTCTATCATTGATGGGCATTTTGGTTGGTACCAAGTCTTTACTATTGTGAATAGTGCCACAATAAACATACGTGTGCATGTGTCTTTCTAGTAGAATGATTTATAATCCTTTGGGTATATACCCAGTAATGAGATTGCTGGGTCAAATGATATTTCTGGTTCTAGAACCTTGAGGAATCACCACACTATCTTCCAAAATGGTTGAACTAATTTACACTCCCACCAACAGTGTAAAAGCATTCTTTTTCTTCACATCCTCTCCAGCATCTGTTCTTTCCTGACTTTATATATATATAAAGTATATATAAAGTATATATATATACATACATATTTATTATATATATTTTTATATATATTATATTATATATATAAATATATATAATATATAATATATATAAAGTATATATATATACACACATACATATTTATTATACTTTAAATTCTAGGGTACATGTGCACAACATGCAGGTTTGTTACATATGTATACATGTGCCATGTTGGTGTGCTGCACACATTAACTCGTCATTTACATTATGTATATCTCCTAATGCTATCCCTCCACCACCCCACCACACAATAGGCCCCGGTGTGTGATGTTCCCCTTCCTGTGTCCATGTGTTCTCATTGTTCGATTCCCACCTATGAGTGAGAATATGCGGTGTTTGGTTTTTTGTCCTTGCAATAGTTTGCTGAGGATGATGGTTTCCAGCTTCATCCATGTCCCTACAAAGGACATGAACTCATCATTTCTTATGGCTGCATAGTATTCCTAGTGTATATGTGCCACATTTTCTTAATCCAGTCTATCATTGTTGGACATTTGGGTTGGTTCCAAGTCTTTGCTATTGTGAGGAGTGCCGCAATAAACATACGTGTGTATGTGTCTTTATAGCAGCATTATTTATATTCCTTTGGGTATATACCCAGTAATGGGATGGCTGGGTCAAATGGTATTTCTAGTTCTAGATATTCCCTGAGGAATCGCCACATTGTCTTCCACAATGATTGAACTAGCTTACAGTCCCATCAACAGTGTAAAAGTGTTCCTATTTCTCCACATCCTCTCCAGCACCTGTTGTTTCCTGACTTTTTAATGATTGCCATTCTAACTGGTGTAAGATGATATCTCATTGTGGTTTTGATTTGCATTTCTCTGATGGCCAGTGATGACGAACATTTTTTCATGTGTCTTTTGGCTGTATAAATGTCTTCTTTTGAGAAATGTCTGCTCATATGCTTTGCCCACTTTTTAATGGGGTTCTTTGTTTTTTTCTTGTAAATTTGTTTGAGTTCTTTGTAGATTCTGGATATTAGCCCTTTGTCAGATGAGTAGATTACAAAAATTTTCTCCCATTCTGTAGGTTGCCTGTTCACGCTGATGGTAGTTTCTTTTGCTGTGCAGAAGCTCTTTAGTTTAATTAGATCCCACTTGTCCATTTTGGCTTTTGTTGCCATTTCTTTTGGTGTTTTAGACATGAAGTCCTTGCCCATGCCTGAATGGTATTGTCTAGATTTTCTTCTAGGGTTTTTATGGTTTTAGGTCTAATATTTAAGTCTTTAATCCTTCTTGAATTAATTTTTGTATAAGGTGTAAGGAAGGGATCCAGTTTCAGCTTTCTACATATGGCTAGCCAGTTTTCCCTGCACCATTTGTTAAATAGGGAATCCTTTCCCCATTGCTTGTTTTTGTCAGGTTTGCCAAAGATCAGATAGTTGTAGATGTGTGGTATTACTTCTGAGGGCTCTGTTCTGTTCCATTGGTCTATATCTCTGTTTTGGTACCAGTACCTGCTGTTTTGGTTACTGTAGGCTTGTAGCATAGTTTGAAGTCAGGTAGCATGATGCCTCCAGCTTTGTTCTTTTGGCTTAGGAATGACTCGGCAATGAGAGCTCTTTTTTGGTTCCATATGAACTTTAAAGTAGTTTTTTTCCAATTCTGTGAAGAAAGTCAGTGGTAGCTTGATGGGGATGGCATTGAATCTATAAATTACCTTGGGCAGTATGGCCATTTTCATAATATTGATTCTTCCTACCCATGAGCATGGAACATTCTTCCATTTGTTTGTATCCTCTTTTATTTTGATGAGCAGTAGTTTGTAGTTCTCCTTGAAGAGGTCCTTCACATCTCTTGTAAGTTGGATTCCTTAGGTATTTTATTCTCTTTGAAGCAATTGTGAATGGGAGTTCACTCATGATTTGGCTCTCTGTTTGTCTGTTATTGGTGTATAAGAATGCTTGTGATTTTTGCACATTGATTTTGTACCCTGAGACTTTACTGAAGTTGCTTATCAGCTTAAGGAGATTTTTGGCTGAGACAATGGGGTTTTCTAGATATACAATCATGTCTTCTGCAAACAGGGACAATTTGACTTCCTCTTTTCCTAATTGAATATCCTTTATTTCTTTCTCCTGACTGATTGCTCTGGACAGAACTTCCAACATTATGTTGAATAGGAGTGGTGTAAGAGGGCATCCCTCTCTTGTGCCAGTTTTCAAAGGGAATGCTTCCAGTTTTTGCCCATTCAGTATGATATTGGCTGTGGGTTTGTCATAAATAGCTCTTATTATTTATAGGTAAGTCCCATCAATACCTAATTTATTGAGAATTTTTAGCATGAAGGGCTGTTGAATTTTGTCAAAGGCCTTTTCTGCATCTATTGAGATAATCATGTGGTTTTTGTCTTTGGTTCTCTTTATATGCTGGATTACATTTATTGATTTGCATATGTTGAACCAGCCTTGCATCCCAAGGATGAAGCCCACTTGATCATGGTGGATAAGCTTTTTCATGTGCTACTGGATTCAGTTTGCCAGTATTTTATTAAGGATTTTTGCATCAATGTTCATCAGGCATATTGGTCTAAAATTCTCTTTTTTTGTTGTGTCTCTGCCAGGTTTGTTATCAGGATGATGCTGGCCTCATAAAATGAGTTAGGGAGGATTCCCTCTTTTTCTATTGATTGGAGTAGTTTCAGAAGGAATGGTACCAGCTCCTCCTTGTACCTCTGATAGAATTCGGCTGTAAATCCATCTGGTCCTGGAGTTTTTTTGATTGGTAAGCTATTAATTATTGCCTTAATTTCAGAGCTCGTTATTGGTCTATTAAGGGATTCAACTTCTTCCTGGTTTAGTCTTGGGAGGGTGTATGTGTCAAGGAATTTATCCATTTCATCTAGATTTTCTAGTTTATTTGCGTAAAGATGTTTATAGTATTCTCTGATGGTAGTTTGTATTTCTGTGGGATCAGTGGTGATATCCCCTTTTTAATTTTTAATTGTGTCTATTTGATTCTTCTCTCTTTCCTTCTTTACTAGTCTTGCTAGCGGTCTATCAATTTTGTTAAACCAACAAAGATCAAAAGAGACAAAGAAAGCCATTACATAATGGTAAAGGGATCATTTCAACAAGAAGAGCCAACTATCCTAAATATATATGCACCCTATACAGGAGCACCCAGATTCATAAAGCAAGTCCTTAGAGAACTACAAAGAGACTTAGACTCCCACACAATAATAATGGGAGACTTTAACACCCCACTGTCAACATTAGACAGATAAATGAGACAGAAAGTTAATAAAGATACCCAGGAATTGAATTCAGCTCTGCACCAAGTGGACCTAATAGACATCTACAGAACTCTCCACCCCAAATCAACAGAACATACATTCTTCTTAGCACCACACCACACCTATTCCAAAATTGACCACATAGTTGAAAGTAAAGCACTCCTCAGCAAATGTAAAAGAACAGAAATTATAACAAACTGTCTCTCAGACCACAGTGCAATCAAACTAGAACTCAGGATTAAGAAACTCACTCAAAACTACTCAACCACATGGAAACTGAACAACCTGCTCCTGAATGACTACTGGGTACATAATGAAAAGAAGGCAGAAATAAAGATGTTCTTTGAAACCAATGAGAACAAAGACACAACATACCAGAATCTCTGGGACACATTCAAAGCAGTGTGTAGAGGGAAATTTATAGCACTAAATGCCCACAAGAGAAAGCAGGAAAGATCTAAATTTGACACCCTAACATGACAATTAAAAGAACTAGAGAAGCAAGAGCAAACACATTCAAAATTAGCAGAAGGCAAGAAATAACTAAGATCAGAGCAGGACTGAAGGAGATAGAGACACAAAAAAGCCTTCAAAAAATCAAAGAATCCAGGAGCATTTTTTTTTTTAAGATCCTGACTTTTTAATGATCACCTTTCTAACTGGCATGATTTTGATCCTGTCATCATGTTGTTGGCTGTTTGTTTTGCAGACTTGATTGTATAATTGCTTTATATTGCCTGTGGGATATGTTTTTGAATGTATTTTTGTGGTAGCAGGTTTTCATCTTTTGTTTCCATATTTAGCACTCCCTTAAGGATCTCTTGTAAGGCTGGTCTAGTGGTAACAATTTCCCTTGGCACTAGCTTCTCTGAGAATGATTTTTTTTTATGTTTCACTTATGAAGCTTAGTTTTGCAAGATACAAGATTCTTGGATTTAATTTATTTTCTTTAAAAATGCTAAAAATAGGCCCCTAATATCTTCTGAACTGTAAGGTTTATGCTGAGAGGTCTGCTGCTAGACTCTTGGAGTTCCCTTTGTACATGGCCTGACCTTACTCTCTAGCTGCCTTTAAGACTTTTTCCTTTGCATTCACCTTGGTGAAGCTGATGACTATATGCCTTGGGGTACATCTTTTATACTATCTCACAGAGGTTCTCTGTATTTCTTGAATTTGCATGTTCTCTTCTCTAACAAGGTTGGGGAAATTCCCATGGACAAATAAATGTTTTTACTCAAATATACTCAAATATGTTTTCCAAGTTGCTTACTCTCCTTTTTTTTTCAGGAATGGTAATGAGTCATAGATTTGGTTTCTTTACATAATCCAATATTTCTTGGGGTTCTTTATTTTTTTTAAATTCTTTTTTCTCTATTTTGTCTGAGTTGACTTGAAAAACCAGTCCTTAAGCTCTGAGATTCTTTCTTCAGTTTGATCTATTCTGATGTTAATGCTTTGAATCGTATTGTAAAATTCTTAATGTGAGTTCTTCAGTTCCAGAGGGTCAGTTTGCTTCTTTCTTAAAATGACTATTTTTACTCCAACTCCTGTATAGTTTTACTGGATTTCTTAGATTCCTAGGATCAGGTTTCAGCTTTCTCCTGGACTTCAGTGAGCTTCCCTGCCATCAGATTCTGAATTCTATGTCTATCATTTCAGTCATCTCAATCTGGTTAAGCACTATTTTGGGGGAACTAGTGTGCAGGTTTGGATTTAAGGGGACACTCTGGATTTTTGAACTGCCAGAATTCTTGCAGTGATTCTTTCTCATGTGTAATGGATGGTGTTCCTTTAACTGAGATGTAAGTTGAGTAATAGTTGCCTTTATTTCTGGGCATTTTCAGAGGGCCAAGGCTCTGTATAGAATCTTTACTTGTGGCTAAATTTTTGCCTTAGTTTTGACAGGTGCTGTATACTGGCAAAATATTTTGGTGTTTTATTCTGGGCTGCAATCCAGTAGGTGGCACTTAAGAGTGTTGGCTAGAAGATAGGCTCCTTAGTTGCATGACTCTCATGTATTTTGGTGCAGTTGGCAGTAGTGCTCTGTGGTGAGGTGGGGGAAGAGATGGCACCATCACCTGGTCTGTTCTTGGGGCTTAGAGGAGCTCTCTTCAGTCACTGGCTCCATGCCCGCATTTCCTTTGTTGGATATGCTGATCTACAGGGTTCCCTCAGGCATGAACTGTACCCTTCCTGAGGCAGCCTTGAAGAGGGAGAAATGCCTCACACTCCCACTGGCTGCAAACCCAGGTGGCTCATCCCTCTCAGTGTTCTGAGATTGAGGGCTGTTCCTCACCTGACACTACCCAGATCAGTGATTCCTGACCAGCTAGGGGGCAGCACATCTGTTTCCCAGAGGAATTCAAAGCTGCATCCACCCACAGAGTCAGGCAGAATTGAGTCTGCTCTGCTGGAAGCCCCAGCAGGCATGTCTCACTCAGCTATAAGCAGCAGGGGTTGGTGAAGTTTCTTGCTCCATCACCTGGGTGCTTCCCAGGGGATCAGGGAGCTGTATTCTCTGGCAGAGTTTAGACAGAAGTGGGACCACCATGAGGGAAGCTGGCACTAAGCCTTGTCTGGCAAGGGGGAGTAAAGCAATCTTACTGCTCCCAGGCACCATGACTGCAGCCTCTACTGGGCTATGGCAGTTGACATCAGGCTGCTCCAGGGTCCAAGACCTGTGGGGGTCCCCTTGGTCTTGAGTCTTACCTCTGCAAAAACTCCAGGTAACTCTCTGTATCAATTTAGAGGCCCAGGGGAGTCAGGGGCATTCTCCCATTCCCAGGATTACATAGATACTTGTTGGAAGTGTGAGTCCCCTGGGGACTTTCACTCATTCACTATTTCCCCATTTTGGGGAGCTTCCTCTGGCTCCACATCAATTCCAGATAGGCTGCTGCCCAGCTTTGCTCTTCTCTGTTCTCTGTGTCTTCTCAGTCTTTTGATGGAACCTGATGTGGTTTCTTAGATGATTGGCTTGCAGGGTCAGTGATTACTTACTACTTTGCTTCCTCTCTGTGAGAGTGGTGCACACTGGCTTCTAGTCCACCATCTTGACCCCCCCTCCAGTTTTTTAATACTACTAAAGTTACTACAAACATGCAGGTATGTCTTGGTATAGACATATGCTTTCATTTCTTTTGATGGGTGGAGTAAAATGTCTAGATTACATAATCAGTCAATGTTAACTTTATAAGAAATTGCCAAACATTTTCCAAAACTATTGTAGAATTTTACTTTCCCACCAGCAGTGTATGAAACCCCCATTTATTTACATTCTCATCAACACTTGACATGGTAAGTCTTTTACATTTTAGATGTTCTTACAAGTTTACAGTGTTATCACATCATAATTTCAATTTGCATTTCCCTAATGATAAACATCTCTTTCTGTGCTTATTTTTCATCCATATAACTTCTTTTTTCTAAGTGTCTATTTACATTTCTTGCCATATTTTAACTGGGTTTTTGTTATCATATACTCTCTTGAGAATTCCTCATATGTTCTAAAAATTATTTCTTTATCACATGTATAATTTGCAAATATTTTCTCTCAGCTTGTGGCTTGTCTTTCCATTCTTTTAACAGTGCCTTTCAAAGAGCTAACTTTTGAAATTTTGATCAAGTTTAACTTAACCATATTTTTATAGATCATAATTTTTGTGTTGTAACAGTGGATCACAAAGACTTTTCTCTTATGTTTTCATCTGGTATTTTTACACTTTCAGGTTTTACATTTAGGCTGGTAATACATTTTGAATTAAATTTTGTATTCACTGTGAGATGCAGGTTAAAAATCACTGTTTTGCATATGTGTTTCCAGTTGTTCCAGCATCATTTGTCAAAAAGACTATTTTTTTCCCACAGAATTGCTTTTGTGCCTTTGCCAAAATTGTCGGAGAGGCAAACTATCAGAGATCCTCAGGGAGGATCACTTGAGGCCAGAAGTTTGGACCTGCCTGGGTAACATAGTCAGACCCCACCTTTCAAAAAAAATTAAATTGTTAATATATTTGTGGGCCTATTTCTCAACTCTATTAGTTTCCATTGACCTATTTTTGTATTTTTATGCCTATAACACTCAAAACATTACTGTAGCTAGGGAAATCATAATGTATTAAAATCAGATAATATCAGTTATCAATTATTTATTTTTCAAAGTTTTACACTATTCTAGGTCTTTTGTGTTTCCATGTGAATTCTACAATCAGCTTGTCAGTCTTTTAAAATATTTTTCGTATAGATATTTTTAATAATTTGGTTTTTAAACTTTATATTAGAATTAAGAGTGACTTACCTTCCGCTGTTACAGTGATGTGGAATTTTGTATTTATTCACATATTTACTTTACTTTTACCAATGAGTTCCATACTTTCTCATACTATCATGTTGCTCTTTAGTTACCTCTCATTTCAACCTAAAGAACTCCCTCTTTTTTTTTTTTTTTTTTTTTTGAGACGAGGTCTCACTCTGTCACCTAGGCTGGAGTACAGTGGGGCTATCTTGGTTCACTGCATATAGTATATAGTGACCATGTTAGTGTAATAGGTATATCCATCATTTCAAATATGAGTTTCTTTGTGTTGAGAACATTCAGTATCCTCCTTCTAGCTATTTGAAACGATATATTGCTGTTAACTGCAGTCATCCTATAGTGGTAGAGAACAACATAATTTATTCCTTCTATTTACCTGTAATTTTATAACCTTGAACAAATCTCTAGCAAAGACCTGGAATTCAAGAAAGAAAAGATCATTTAGGAAGGTAATAGAGGGAAGTTCTAGTATGACTGATTTAAAAAGGAATTACCAAAAGAGGATTCCCATTTCTAGAAGTATTGTAAGAACTATTCTTCCTGGGTTTTATAAAGAAATGTATGGTAGAAGGCTGTGAATTAAGCAAATTCTTGTTTCTAAACTTTATTCTATTTATTGTAACTTTCTCTGATTATGATTTATGAATATCTGCTCTTTTGTTGATGTTGATGTTGACGTTAATGACATTCACTTAAACTTAACATACACTGCGTTCCTTTATTCTGAAGAACTCTTGAAAAATCTTGAGTAAAACTTTTTAAAAGTTGTAGAATATTGAATATAGACTAAATTTTTCTTACAAAATCTTAGGAAAACAGATATCAAAGATATATATTAAAGACTGTGTACCCTTAGCAATGGTAATGGAATTACACTGAGCTTTTTATATCCCTTTGACCTCTTGGATAACCAATGAATACTGTTGATAAGAATGTAAAATGACATATAATTATATGTGGGATGATAACTGTCTTCTATGGATATTAAACCTGTAATTTTGACTCTGCTAGTGTTATAGTGTTATACTCATTCAAAACAGTTTAGGCAAAATTTAACCTCCATGAATAGAAAGCTTGTCAGAAGTTATAAAAAAAAAAAGTTTGAAATTTCTATTTTAAAAAAAGAACAGTTTGAATCATCAACATTGTCTAAAGACTGATAAAAAGATTCAGTTTTGATTAAAAAAAGATTTTAAAACTGATAGAATTATCATAGAAATGGAATCTTTCCTTGTGTATTTCAAATGAATTCATTCAAAAATCATTTATTTAGCACAAAAGATATGTTAAACACTTGGTGATCATGACGACCAGGGGAAAATTCTACCTTAAACCTCAGGTAGGAAGATACCGAAGAGCTTAAGTGAAAGATATAAATGGTCATGAAGTTTCAGAATTTAAAATGAAAAAGTTCAGAGAGTTAAGAAATCACTTGAAATTGAATTTCTACCTATGAAAATATTTAAAAACTCATCGAGTATAGTGTCTGAACATTCATAGTGGTTTCATAAGGACCACTTAGATGGTTTTAACTTTTAAATTTATATATTGAAAAAGGATGCAGAAGCATATAACCAAAGACACATAATAAAGGAGCGTGAGCCTAAGAGGACAGTACCAGAAAGCCTAAAATGAGTTAAGGTTTGTGAGAAAACTGTGTAAGAAAATAAAATCTTTCTAAGTTACAATTATATTCAGAGCAAGAACAAAAACTTTAACTGTACTATGTTTGGTAAGACTTTATAAATTCAACAAGTGATACAAAATGGGATCGTAAAAATTCTATTTTACTTCCATATTCTCTGACTAGGAGAATAATTTTTAGCCTGGAGAAGGCAAAATAAATATTGGTAAAAAGCAATTGAACCTAGAGATAGGTAAGGAGATGATAAGATAGCATTTACCTTCTCTAAATGATTTCAAGTCTCCAGGCCTAAGAAGATTGCATACCAGAGTATGGTAAAAACTTGCAGATGAGATGTGAATGAATGAAAATTTCTTATCTTGCAGCCACTGGGGGAAATAGGAGATGTGACCAGGAATCCAGAGTTAGAAACATTTAATACTGATTTTCAAACCAGGAGGAAAAGAATGTGTCTTGGAAGAATTTATTGTTACAATTTGTGTGTGTTCTCACTATTCTAAGCTAGTAGCCAAGCCATTAATACAGCCTTGCCTCTGGGATGGTTGAAAGTGGAAAGCAGACAACTTAAGATCAATGGCACCTTCAGTCCATTGTGAAAACTACGTTCCTTAAAGAGATTATATTACATAGAAGATGCAACTGAAGGTCAAATATTTCAAATATTCTTCTACAATTCTTAGCCTCCCTGCCATTTAATTTTGGACTGCATGTCTAGTCCAGATTAGTGGATTATGAGTGGAAGTAATATGTTTTATTTCTAGACCAAACCAATTGAAAGCCAGCCTTCTTCATTTTCATTATTTTCTCTTTTCCCTGACACAGGTTGTGATGGTACAATCAAAACAAGAAAGATTTTTTTCATGACTCACCAGCGAGGCCAGCCTTTGACAACTCAACACCAGTTTTTATGTAGATAAACTATAGATCTTTGTTGTGTTAAGCTACTCATATTTCATGGTATTTTAGGGCAGCTGGCCCCATATATTTACTCATATAACTAAAACATTTAGAGAAAGAGAAACACTGTTAGAGTAGAACTTTACAGAAAATCTGGCATTCCTCATCATCAAAAGTAGCTATAAGCAGTTCTAGGCCTCACATTCCAATCTTATCTTCCAGAGCAAGAGACTTTCTCCTCCTAATCTACCTAACATGGTATCCTTTACTCTCATTGGAATGTTCATGAACCAGTCACTGTGGTGTAGATAGTTAAGTTAGGCTGGTTATCTTTAACCAATCAGGGTTCACGCAAGATGATGTTGGTCAGTCCCTCCCCAACCTCATAGTTGCTATAGGTCAAAGGGAAACTAGAATGGATTTTGGGGAAAGATAGCCATAATATATATTAAAAGGTCTCTAATGTCTCTTAGATAATTACTCTGTCCTGTTCAAAACATTTATAAGGGTTCAATATCATATTTAGTGGAGTCATAAAGCTTGTAAAGAAAGGCAGTATGTTAAATAACACAGTCCAGTTCCAAATGTTGATAATGAATTAGAATAATAGTTAAAATCTAGGTAAAGGTTTGTTGAATAGAAATTTAAAAACTAGTATAAAAGATAAAAGGATCTAAACTTGAATTTAAAAGAACTAATATGAATATAGGTCCAAGTAGGAGAAGACTATACTAACTTCTACAAGGGGTAATATTTAGGGTGCTATAGTTAACAAAGAACAGAATCAGTCGACAATGTGATTGTACTGCCAAACAATGTAGAGCAATTTTAATTGCATAAACCAACATAGAAAATCTACAATGATAGAGTGAAAAATCACATTATATTTCCGTATAGATTGAAACCAATCTTGGAATCTGTGTAAATTTGGGGACATCACAATTTAAGAGGAATATTGAAAAATCAGGATCTACCTAGGGGAGAATGAGCAAATTAGTTAAAGAACTCCAAGTTACATCAATTTTGGAATAGTTGAAGGAACTGTGGATACTTAGCCATAAATAGAAGGGCTTAGGAAGAATTAGTTAGCTATCTCCGGACTTTTGAAATGCTGTCCTATTGAAGAATGTGCAACTTTTTCAGAGGGAATCACTAAGACAAAAGAATTCAAATACAAGAAAACAAATTGCAACACTATATAAAGAGGATTTTTACAACAGTCATAGATGTTCACAAATGGAGGACATTGCCTCAGGGCAGAAAGCTCTCATGATCAGGGTGATTTCAAACAAGAGGATTTTAACTTGTCGTAGGTGATATAGAAAGGATACAAGCATGAGATGTTACTTGAACAAGATAATTTTAATGTCAGTGTTTCCAGGATAACATGAAATAAGCTAGTTTTCACTACTATATAGAAGTAGTCTATTCTAATGTTTAATTCACTAACAATGCTGCAATTCCACTATATAGCTATGGAGAAAAAGAAAGAAAATGTTAAATTGATTTGTACTTTTCTAGTTCATGAGAGATTTGATAAATTCTATGGTTCCTAAGGACACAGAGAACATGTAATGTTTCCATTAAGAAGTGATCTCATGTAAGTTAATATTGACTCTTGAAATGTTCATTAACTGCAATGACAATATTGGCTAGAATACAGTGTTTTTATATGACCCTTTCTATATCATTGGTCTACAAATAGAGGGTCTCCAAAGTCATTTACTCTGCTACTTAGGGAAAAAAAAACAAGCCAAACAGGGAGCAGATAATCCCTATTTCAGCAATGCATTCACCTTGTATCTTTGCAGGCCCCCCTCTGATTTTTCCAGCCATGACCAAGTCATTTGGAATAGATTTTCTATAGCACTTCTTCCTTAGCCTCAAAAAAAAAAATTATAATATCGATTTGTGTCGAAATATATTTTGACTTAAATGACCAGGTATATTACTTTCCAAATTGTTAAAAGTAAATGTCGGCCGGGCGCGGTGGCTCACGCCTGTAATCCCAGCACTTTGGGAGGCCGAGGCGGGCGGATCACGAGGTCAGGAGATCGAGACCATCCCGGCTAAAACGGTGAAACCCCGTCTCTACTAAAAATACAAAAAATTAGCCGGGCGTAGTGGCGGGCGCCTGTAGTCCCAGCTACTTGGGAGGCTGAGGCAGGAGAATGGCGTGAACCCGGGAGGCGGAGCTTGCAGTGAGCCGAGATTGTGCCACTGCACTCCAGCCTGGGCGACAGAGCGAGACTCCGTCTCAAAAAAAAAAAAAAAAAAAAAGTAAATGTCAGTTCCATTTTTAAATGAATCCAAAATTTGTGGTGAATTATATTGTTAAATATTTGTATTTAGACATTTTCAACAATTGTTCTTATAAAAGTAGGGGAAAATTTATTTGATGTCTTAATTACATGAATATTTATAAATGTCATGTTCCTTTAGATAATATTTATAGGTTTTTAAAATTTGTATTATTATTAATCAGTACAACAAAAATACTTGAGGGGATAGATACCCCAGTTACCCTGATTTGATTATTATACATTGTATACCTGTATCAAAACATCACATGTACCCTACAAATATGTACAACTATTAGGTATACATAATAATTAAAGATTAAAAAAATTTTAAGACCCACTTACAATCTACATCACTCAAGGCCTTGTCCTAGCATATGTGACTTCTAGGTCCTTATCATCTCCTTCAGCCTGGGGTGGATGGGTTAGGAATTTAGTGCCTAAAGGCCAACTCAGCTTTGTAAAGGAAGGAAGTGGGATGATGCTGGATAAGACCTTCCTCAACCTGTGGGTGTTCTTGCCTTGGCTAAAAGGAAAGCCACTACCTAACTCAAGCTGATTATTCCTGTTTAGGCATTAAGATTTTTTCCCAAAGAAACCAAAATTTCAATTGTTTGTATAAAATTTTTTAATTTTGAAATGCTAAAATCTCCTTCAAAATTTTTGAAACACTGTACAGAACAGTATCATGGGAACCAAGCAAAACACATGTTCAGCTGAAGGAAAACTTCTTGCAGTCTATGAACATATAATTTGCCCCTGTGGTCTAGAGAATGCATAGAACATAGAGAAGAGAGAACCACTGTTTTTAATCTGACCCTCTCGTCACATTCTTCCCAACTTGCCGTCTCTAATTCTTCAAGTACTAAGACTTTTTATTTTTTTTCTCATTCCATCACAACATGTTCTTCCTTGAGGGAAAGTAACTGAAACTTCAGGAATGTAGTGAGAAATATAATAGAAAACAAACTCGGCACTATAGAGCTAAGAAGGCATGGAGTCCCCTACTGTTCCTTCTTTTAAGATAGTTTATAACTCTCTCCAGGTGCTCCTACCTGGGACTAGAATTAACTTTAATTTTGTGACACAGCTTCAGATGTATAAGCCCAAGAGACCAGAAAAGCTTTCAACATGAATAAAAACATTTAGTAGAACTTGACTTCCATTGAAATGTGTACCTTCTATACTCAGCGCTTGTTATTCAAAGTGATACTAGGCAGATGTTAGCTATTAGAAGTGATAAGTTAGGCAAAATCAAAAATGTTGGTCCAGTCTGATAAGAATGTGTTCACCTTGGTTTCCAACTCAGTTTGTAAACAAACCTAACAAAAAATCTAGGAAAACAAGGAATAACTTTCTAGTGCCTCTTTAATTACTTAATTAGGAAGCCATGCCTGAAAGTTCAGTGGTTAAGGAAGCCACCAGAAGAGTAAGAACTGATAGAAGAAGGATGAAGCCTCAGGATAACTGTCTTTTCTTCCAATACGTGAAAAAAAAACTCTGATTATAATGCTTGCTAAGGTGAAGTTACTTTCCTCCCTAACTAGTATAGGAATTACAGCAGTCCTAATTTTAACATACCACATGAGGAGACACAGCGGTTACATAAAAGAGAACTAACATCATAAAAATGCTAAAAAATCAATTAATGAACTACACAGCAAGAGAGAAAGAACTTTAGAAACAGACACAATTTTATTCCCTAGAGTGATCAAAGAAAGCTTTGTTTATGAGCGACAACTCAAACTAGAACATGGGGAAAGGTATTCTTGTGGCATGACAAAGAGCACCACTTCAGATTCGGAGAACTGAACAAATTAGTGACTTGGTTAGGAGACTCATTTTTTAGGAGTGGAGGGATTTGTGAAGAGGTATAATGAAAGTTGAGGCTGAAATGATGGGCCAGAGTCAGTATGAAAGTTTTGAATGTCAAATTCCAAGCTAAGAAGTTTAAACTTTATTTAGGCTTTAGGGTTGACCCCTTGGATTTTCTGAAAGGGGTTGGAAACAACTGTACAATTAAATTTGAATTTTCAGAAAATATATGGTGAGCCACTTATTAGAGAGACAGAATTTGAAACTTCTTTTCCAAACTCATTTGGCAAAGGCACAAATCAATTGACCTTTAATACAGACTGAAGGTCCATCTGTTCAGGCTGGCCTACCCAAAGGGCATACTGAATACCACTGCTGCTTGGTGGATCTGTGCCTTTTGATTTGTTGTTTTTAAAAATCATGTATTTGCAACTGTAAACTGCTCTAAGGAAACATGAAAGCCATCTTTTATAAGAAAAATAATTATGCATATTCACATGTACAATCCATTCAACATTTTTAACTATACTTCATTTAACATGTCAGTCACCTTGTTTTTCAGTGTACTTAAGCTCACAAATAAATTTTGTTTAAGTATTGTACTAACCTGACAACTTTAGGGAGGAAAATAATTCACCCAAAAGCATAAAATGACGATTAAATTTCTAATGTAAGAATTCTTTTTTCCTGTGTTTTTGAGGGAATGCTTTTGATTCTTTCGTATCTGTAAGTCTATATTCAGAATTTACACACACACACACACATATATATATACACACACACACATATATATATACACACACATAAAAATTATACTGGACAACATAGTTTGTTTCAAATAAAATACAGATTTTTGATAAGATAGTGATATTCAACACAACATACAGCTGGGGTTTCGAAAAATACAATTGACGTATTGTTATACAACGAAATTTGGAAAGTGCCTTTCTATCTACACATACACACACTCTCTCCCTTTTACGGGGAGAAGAGGGCCATGACTAATGCTTTAAACTTTCTCTTCAAGCAGAGATGAATGTTCTAATTTGGACAAAAGAGACTCTTCTTTAATTCTTCGGCACATATGAAGCTACATATATCTTATTTTTGCAAGCCATGTATTGTGAATTTACATACATACACTCTGTTTATAAGTGTCTCCGCGTGTTCATTCTGCAGATGAAATTAGGATGTCAGTATGTTTTGTGTCCTCTGTTCTTAGAGCATTCTCTACAAGCTCTACAAGGCGATTGATCTACTTTTAGAGATCTCTACCACCTGCACGTTACCTGTCATCTGTTTGTCACATCAAGCTTGCACATTAAACATTCCTTTCATTTTAGTGCCAAATCTTCATAAAATTTTAAAATTAATAATACACTAAATTTCTTGAAGATGAGAAATCAGACACAGGGCTACAGAGTTCCAGGCCAGATTCTCCTGCTTTCAGACTATAGCATCTTCTCAGCTAAATTTCCTAGTCAGCCCTTGGGAAGTAAATCTCAAAACCATTGTTAATGGAAATCTAGTTACTGCTTACTTTCATTAGATTGAAGAAGTATAATTTGAGAGTCATATAATCTCAGTTATATGTAGCCTGACAGAGCTTGACAAAGCAACTTAACCTTTTGAACCTCAGGTTACATAAATAAGGATTATAATAATACGTTATCTTGATTCTCAGGGTTGTTCTAAGAATTAAATGAAATTTTATACATAGACCACTTACTGCAATGAACAGCACAGAATAGGAACATATTATTAATTAACATGAAAAGTATTATAAATGTAATATCTCAAAATATTATAGAATTTTCATGTCTTTGGGATGAAGTTACTTAACATAATAGGATAGCAAGTTGAATAGTACCAAAAAAAATAGTCCCAAATAAGCTCATGTGGTAATTTAAGGAAATCACAGATTCACTCTCCTTTAGAAGGAGAACTCCACTAAATGTATATCAATGTAAAAGGCGAAAGATTTATACAATTTGAAGAGAAACCAGAGCATAAATGTATATCAGTGTAAATCAATGACAGACAAGCTTTAGAGTGAAGTGATGGGGAAATGTTTAATGCATAGTCTTGTGTATCATTTTGCTGCTATAAGAAAATACTACAGACTGGGTAATTTATAACATCTTCACATGGCAGAAGGCAGAAAGGCAGGAGAACTTAAAGCTGCAAGATCTATATTATATTATATTATATTATATTATATTATATTATATTATATTAATTATATTAAACTTTTTGAGACAGAGTCTCACTCGGTCACCCAGGCTGGAGTGCAGTGGTGCTATCTTGGCCCACTGCAACCCCACCTCGTGGGTTCAAGCGATTCTTCTGCCTCAGCCTCCCAAGTAGCTGAGACTACAGGTGCATGCCACCATGCCCAGCTAATTTTTTGTATTTTTTAGTAGAGACAGGGTTTCACCATATTGGCCAGGCTTGTCTCAAACTGCTGACCTCGTGATCCACCCGCCTCGGCCTCTGAACGTGCTGGGATCACAGGTGTGAGCCACCACGCCCGGCCATGATCCCTCTTTTAAATGGGCCTTAATCACATTCATGAGGGGTGGAGCTCTCTTGACCTAATCACATCTTAAAGGCCCCATCTCCTAATACTATCATTAGCAACATCTGAATTTTGAAAGGGAAACGTGGAAACAATAGCATCTTGAATGGGAAAATTGTTAGCATTACCTCCTTTCCTTCAAAACATGTATAATTTATCTTGATATGTACACATAAAATTGAATGGCAGATGGCAAGGAATGAAGATAATACTTCAGAGGAATGAGAGAAAAAAACTTGCAACAGAAATAACGAAAAACATGTTAAGGGACTACTGAGCACACCAGTGTGATTCAAGGGTTGTCAAGTTGAGGCTAGGTATACCTCAGGATATTGGATACAAAGATAAAGGGTGTGGATTTTATGCTGTGAGAAATAGAGCACTACTAAATATCCAAAACTGAGCAGTGATGTACTCGATCTGACTTTTAGGAAGATTGATCTGGTAGTGATGCTTAGGATGCAGTGAAGTAGGGAAAGCCTGAAGACATGGAAATCAAATGGAAAACAAGTCCATTAGTTCAATAAAGGTATAAGAAACTAAAAAAGGATGACATTCATCAGAATGAAAAGAAAGGGAATATTTCAAAATAATTATTTTTTAAATCAATAACTTTAAAAGCTAATTCAATATGAGGGGAAAGAAAGAATTTAAAGATGACTATTACAGTCTTAAAGTGATGTTTTAGTCTGGGCTGCTATAACAAAGTAACATAGACTGAGTGGCTTATAAATAACATAAATGTATTTCTCACAATTCTGGAGGCTGGAAGTCCTCCAAAAATCAGGATACCAGTATGGTCAGGTGTTGGTGAGGGCCTTCTTCCAGGATACAGACCACCAGCTTCTTTTTGTATCCTTACATACCTGAAAGAGGGCTAGAAAGCTCCCGAGTATCTTTCATAACCGCACTAATTCAATTCAGGGGCTCCACCCTCATGACTAATTACCTCTCAAGTTCTGAAACTCCATACATGCTCACACTGGGAATTAAGGTTTCAACATATAAATTTGGGGGGGACACATGAATGTGTCCATTGCATACTGTCCCTAGCCCCCCAAAATTCACATTCTTCTCACATGCAAAATACATTCATTCCATCTCAACATATGAATGCCAACTCAAACATGGTGTCTTTAATAAGAATTATTAGTAACAGCTAGTTCTAACCCACTATTTACCATGTGTTTGACCTTTCTGAATTTCACAGTGATGCTTAGAGTTAGATATCATGATTATACTATTTTTAAGCTAGAAAATCTGTAGCAGCGAGATATTAAGTCATGTGACTAAAACCACACAATTTGAAAGTGGCACTAGGGGTTTGGATCCAGGTGACCCTTGCCCCAGGGCATGTGCCTATAGACACTACACACAATGCCCCTTGTCATTTCTATAAGAAAGACCATACATCAATATTACCAAGTGTGATTTTGCTAACAAAAATATGATTTTCTCACAAGATTGTTATAGCATTTGAACAGTGCTCCTTCTTTTTAAGGTGCAGCTCCAAAACTTGATATCAAAAACCATAACCTATAAAATAACATCAGTCAAAACTGTATTTTATCCTTATCTTTTTCTTGTAATCTTGTCAATGCCAAACAGATGAAAAGCTGCCAGATATAATTAGAAACAGTAGTCTAGAATGGACAGCATAATTACAGGAAGTTGGACATGTCAGATTTCATGAGTAGTCTGAAATAGAAGACTTTCATATAAAGACCTTTAATTTTTCCATATTTTACACAATAATGTTGATTTTTGTGATTAATTATGTTTCCAAAAATAATTAAATGTTCAAAATTAGTGAGTTACCAGATCCTACTAGTAAAAGGGCAGTGTTTCTGGATGCAGTATGAAGTTATAGCCTACAGGATATTGGGCATGAAATGATTAAAGAATGCTTTTCTTAGATCTGCTGCACCCCTGCAGGTGGAAGAGGGAGTGGTGTTTGATGTTATTACAGTGTTGGGGCCTGATGCAAATGAGATCTGATTTCAACTCGGGCTCCAGGTTTTAAATGAAATTTTCTCATTTAGAATGTTTCTTTCCTACCTCTGAATAGAATAGTAAATATGGCTACAGGGAAAAAATGTAGGACAGAGTAACCAAATTAAAGATAGGGAGTTGAAGTGGCATGCAGGAATACAGCATGCAACCAATATTTTTATTCAGTATATTGAGAAACCAGTGTGCGATCAAAATTTTAAATGATAACATCTACTTAATACCTATAATGTTTTACACGCACACACACACCTGTTTAATCTTCATAATATCTCTATGAGGTAGATAGGATTTTTATCACCATTTTCAAAATAAGAAACCAGAAACACAAAAAAAGTTAAGTTTTTCAAGTTTGCATAGCTTGCAAGTGACAGAGTCAGGATACAAAATCGACAATTGGGCTTCAAAGTAGACACTGTTATCCTCTATGCATAACCATTTCTTAGTGCACATTGGAGCAAAGCAAGCTTTTCAAATATATTCACTGAGGTTTCACAAAGTACTCTTTGAACACTCACAAGTGTAAAGATTAAGGAATATCTGCCATCATTATTGAGGGCTCTGAAGAAAGATATCCCAGCTCCGAATATCATGAGACCAGATTTGAAAGACATAACAAAACTTATTATCAAAATTAGGGCAAAGCAAAAAGAGGAGCCCAAACTGGACCACAGTCAAGACTGTCCCTTTAATCCCATTGATTTCATTATTATCAGATGCTGGTGAGACAGAAGTGGAAGCTTCCATTCCAGCATTTGGGAGAAGGCACTCTCAATGAAACATTTTATAGTATTTCTGAATTATTGAGTAAAATAATTCTTGTTGGAATCTGAAACCGAGAATATTTTAGTATCCCTTAGAGAAATCTATATTAGCATAACATAAGTTAAGTCTGTCTAGCTCTACTAAAGAATATACAAGTAAATGACATGTGATTTTTTTCCAACTGTGAAACACTAATCTTTGCATATTTTTTCTTATATAAATACAAATTGGACCGTGTTTCATGTAGTTATTATTTTTAGACATATTGGGACCAAGCCCACCTGACAGAGTCTAGATTTAGAGATTTCAAAAAGGAAATTTACCATTTGGGGGATTGGTCATAATTTATGTTTTCTTGAGTGGAGATTGGAATTTGTCTTGGGATTCTACCTTCCTTTGTACTAAGAAGGGCTATTTGAGGAATTGTCTTAGTCCTTTCCTTGTGCTATAACAAAATACCTGAGAGTAGGTAATTTATAAAGAACAAATATTTATTTCCCTTAATTACAGATGCTGGCAAGTCCAAGATCAAGGCACCGGTGTGTTCAATGTCTGATGTGTCTGATGAGGGATCAATCTCTGCTTCCTTGAATGCTACGTCCTCCTGAGGGGATGAACACTGTCTCCACATGGCAGAAAGAATGAAGGGGCAAAAAGAACTAGCTAGTTCCCTGCAGCCCTTTCATAGTGACGCTAATCAATTCATGAGGGTGGAGCCCTCATGACCTAATCACCTCCAAAAGGCCCCACTTCTTAATACTATCACATTGGTGATAATGTTTCAACATGTGAGTTTTGGAGTGACATTTTGTATATTCACACCATACCAGGAGTCCTATGCATAGTGGAGTTGCTTCAATGAGAACTTACATTAAAGGATAGTGATGCTTCACAACAATAAACTGCAAAGGAGTAAGAGAAACAATATTTAGTTCTTGATATATATGTTTGTCTTTTTTCCAAGATCAGGTTATTGATTAATTTTTCAAGCAGGTCTGAGCCTCTCTTTCTTTCACACTGAAAAATGGACTTTGGGAAGGAGCTTGACTGGACCCAGCACACTACAAACAGGACTGTACAGGTGGTATTCTCCATGCGATGCTTTTTCAGATTCTTTTTTTCTTTTTTTGAGACAGAGTCTTGCTCTGTTGCCCAGGCTGGAGTGCAGTGGCGTGATCTCGGCTCACTGCAAGCTCCGCCTCCCGGGTTCACGCCATTCTCCTGCCTCAGCCTCCCGAGTAGCTGGAACTGCAGGCGCCCGCCACCACGCCCGGCTAATGTGTTTTTAGTAGAGACGGGGTTTCACCGTGTTAGCCAGGATGGTCTCCATCTCCTGACCTCGTGATCCGCCCGCCTCGGCCTCCCAAAGTGCTGGGATTACAGGCGGTGAGCCACCGTGCCCGGCCGCTTTTTCAGATTTCTTAAGCCAGACTTCTGGAAACCTAACATCAACTATTGTGATGTCTCATTCCAGCCACATGCCGAGAAAGGGAACAGGGGTTTTCTTCTGAAGGAAATGGATATTCTGTCAATTATGTTAGAACATGTTTAATACTGAGCTAATACATGAAGCAACACATGACATGAAAGAAAAAAGAAAATCTGTTTTCAGTTGGGAGGATGGGGCACAGAAGCCGAGGACAGGGATGGGACATGGGCAGTTGAGACATGGCAATTGTTATGGGGCAGAAGAATCCCATTGCTATGGAGCAACTCGGTGTGCTTCTGCTATCTGCAGCCTGTGAGGGATGAAGCAGTGATTCGGATCATGATTTGGAATTCTGAGGTTTTAAGAATAATAAACACATGTAAGTAGCAGCTTCAGTTTGTACTTGTAACATTTAGTAATGTCATAAAAAACTACAGCCTGGTCTTATTTATGCTCTGGGTGATTAGAAGAAACAATTTCTTCTCCTAGAGGCCAGATTGGTGGTGGCAGCAGTACTCACTATCAGGAAATAACTCTGCCAACAAAGCGGCAGTACTCCAGGCAGAAGAGGCGGCAACAGGGTCAGGACAAGGGGGCTGAAGCGGAAGAACTGAGAGAAGCTGTGAATGTCAGAAACCTGAGAAAAGCCACCAAAATAGCTGAGACTCTTGGATAGATGTGATGTCTTGTCAACTATTCTGGTGCTTGCACTGATATAATTTAATATAAACTTACAAATAAAATTTAAAAATCTAAAAAGAAAACAGATTTCTGCAGCCAGGTCATACTAAGGATGATAATGATAGCGGTAGGGCTGTTAAACAAATATTCTATACTTTAACAATTTCTAAGCTCACACTTAAAATGTTCAAATCATTATAACCTAATCTAACAGATTCCTAGTCTTCTTCTAGATTCCTATCCCTAAGGCTTCTTGAGTCTACCTAAGGAATCCTTACACATTCCTCAGATTTACTCTCTTGTTTTGCCAGCATCTCAGCCAGATGTGACCATTAGCACCTCTTTCCACAGGTCACCTCCTATTTTCTTGAGACTGGGGCCCTACAGACCAATGCTGCTTTCTCTGTATCATATTGTCCCTCTCACTGGTGCTGGCATTTTCTTTCATTCTGAGTGATAGATGACCAGGCACAACACATATAGGTATTTTTCAGAGGCTTGGTAATAACACAAAGTAATTACAAAACAGAGGACTTAAACTTGGACCCTAGCTATAGCATCCTCAGGTCAACAGGCTTAGGCCACTCCACTGGGCATTTCCTCCTGAGTGGTACTCCCTCTACTACTTGACACCATTATTTGTATTAATACCTTCTCTAGAGTAAGTGCTCAATTACCTGAGACCTGGAAAAAGAAAAACATTTCCCCATCACTTCAATCTAAATCTTGTCTGTCATGCACCTTATGTCAGTACTAGGATTAACTTCTTTTTTTTTTTTTTTTTTGGATTAACTTCCTTTATGTATGCTTGACAACATGAATGCATATGTTTCCCAACCGTCAAACTACATGGATCAGCCTAGCCTAAAGTTTCCGTTAGGAAAATTCATTAAATCTAACATTATTTCTTAAGCCAGGATAATTCATTCTTAAATACTGTCTCAGAGATGACTTCAACAGTCCAGCATAAACCGCAGAATCTCCAGTTGTGCCCTTAATTACGGTTTGTAATTATGTGATGTAAATACATGCCTCCACATCCTGACTGCTGTCTTTGGGTCTCTGCTCTGACAACTCCATGAAATGGGTACAGTTATTATACCTATAAACAAAGATAGGTTATGTATCTTGTCCAGGTTCTAGTAGCTAATGATCAATGAATCTTGGATTCATGTCAAGGTAGAATCAGAAATTTCCCTCTTCAATGCTGTGGTGATTATGTATCAACTTGACTGGATTTAAAAATATCTAGAGAACTGGTAAAGCATTATTTTTGGGTGTGTCTGTGACAGTGTTTTCAGAGGAGATTGGTGTGTGAGAGGTCTGAGCAGATTCAATGGGGAAGATCAACCCTTAACATGGTCAGGCACTATCCAATCGACTAGGGACCAGATAGAATAAAAAGAGGAAAGGTGAATTAGTCACTCTGTCTCCTGAAGCTGGGGTATGCTCTTCTCCTGCCCTTGCACATCAGGCTCTCTGGTATTTGGACTCCAGTCCTTACTTCAGTGGCCCCTCCAGGTTTCCAGATGTTTGGACTTGAACTGAGCCCTGCTACTAGCATCCCCAGTTCTCTAGCTTGCACACAGCCTATTGTGAGACTTCTCAGCCTTCATAATGAGCCAATTTTCCTAATAACCCCCCCCCTTCATAATACATACATGCATATACACATATGATATGGTTTGGCTCTCTGTCCCCACCCAAATTTCACCTTAAATTGTGATAATCTCCACCTGTCAAAGGTGAGACCAGGTGGAGATAATTGAGTCATGGGGACAGTTTCCCTCATGCTGTTCTCATGATAGTAAGTGAGTTCTCAGGAGATCTGATGGTTTTATAAGGGGCTCCCCCCTTCACTCGCACTCATTCTCTCTCCTGCCACCCTGTGAGGAAAGGCTTACCACCATTATTGTAAGTCCTGAGACCTCCCCAGCCATGTGGATCTGTGAGTTGAATAAACTTTTTTTCTTTATAAATTACCCAGTCTCTGATATTTCTTCATAGCAGAGTGAGAATGGACTAATACAACACACACATACACGTATACAATTGTGTGTATATATGTATATGGTGTATATGTATATATGTTTGCACAGATATATATGTATGTGTGTATGTGTATGTATTGCCTACTGATTCTGTCCCTCTGAAGCACCCTAATGTCAACATTATTCTGAAACTGCTTTGAAGAGAATTTTCCAAGAAGATGCAGCCTAAACACCTATATAGAAAAGAAACATTTTTTCCTAGAAGAAACTATCTATAGATATTGAAGTCTGCCCATAACCATAAACCTTTGTGCTATTAATGCAGAGCAGTGACCATCTCCATTTTTAAAAGTATGATCTTTGCTTTATCTTTGACCATAATGTGATTTTTTCCAAAACAAAGGAGCAGTCTGTCCCATACCTGAACTTAATCTTCCAACACTAGAGGGAAATAAAAGAACTGCAAGGGATTTTAAAATGGAATTCTTGCTTACACATAATATCTACCATATATCAAATACAGACTGTTTACCCATCACTGTGCCTTACCTCTGCGTGTGTGTGTGTGTGTGTGTGTGTGTGTATGTGTGTGTGTGTATGTTCTGACAAAAACTTGACAAGACATTTATTATTATCCCCATTCTACATATTTCTATACATAAGACCTTGGAGAAATGAAGATGAAATGACTACCTAAAGATTAATTAAGAGCTCAGTGGATTTGGAAATCAAATCTTGTGATTCCTAATCCATTGCTTGTTCACCAAATCCAATGGCTTTTGCATTATCAGTATGCATTCAGCTGGAAATTTAGGGATGTACAAGTGTCTCTCTTTGCAAAATGTTGCAATAGATGATATCCAGATTTGCATGTCTATCATTCTCTACCAAGACAAGTGAAAATCATTAGCTTCTTTTCAGGAAACCTCTACATTGTCAGGACAAGTAAAATGAATACAAGAGCATTGAACTTTCAATTAGCACCAGCTATCAGACTTTGCCAAATCACACCTTCACATATGTGCAATAGAAAGAGTGCCAGCCGTATCTATTGCACAGATAGATTAAAAGGTTTAACTGAAAGAAAATGAGAAAGCACACTGACAATATGAAGTTCTTTATCAGTAAAAGTTTTTATTTTATGGATATGCCAGTATGAAATAAACAAAATATGGTAAAGGCAAAATAAAACACAATGTCATCTCACATCATTTCTCTCTAAAAATAGGATATAGCCATCATTCACTACGGAAGCCTGATGTGTTTTTGAGAGGAAGAAAAGTCCTTAAAATTAGAATTTAATAATTGAGACTATTTGTTCCATTAGCTTTTAATATATATTTAAAATTATTTTGTATGAGAAAACATGTAGGCCTATACATATAATAATCATTATTTAACACTGGTTTTAGAAATAAGGCTTAAAAAATAAATATACAAATTTTAATGGTGGTTGCCTTAGAAAAGTGGGATTATAAATTTTGAGGTAGTGTTTCTCAGTGCATTCTAAATTTTTGTCAATAAACATGCATTATTTGTAAATCATAAGAAATATAGTAATACATTTTCTGCCACAGGAAAAATCCTAAAGTATCAGATGTAAAACTATACTTGCAAAATTAATGACAGATATAATGAATTAAATGGCAACAATTATTAGAGCCTTAATATAACAGAAATTATGTTGAGTGGTAGAATACAAAGAATTATTCCTTGCTATATGTCCCTGATAGGTTGGTGAGGTTCTCAGCTCCATGTTACTCTCATTTAAAGACCTGGGATGCATCATATGGCACATCACTGGATACCACGATAGAAAAGATATAGAGGAAAAACCAGAAGCAGACAACCTTACCAGACACAATTCAGGCCATTTATATTCACATCTCACTGGCAAAACACATCACATGGTGAATCAGAAATATAGGTGAGTAGCATGTAGGTATACCATACAGTTCTTTTTTAGTGAATGTTGGGGGGAGAAAAGGATTGTCATTGTCCAAAGATTTGCTCTAAAACACATTATTTATACTTTAACGAAAAGTAGGAAGTAGTACCCAAATTTATGAGCTATGGGCTACTTTACATAAAGTAGCCAACTTGATGTTAGACGCAAATAATGAAACAAGTAACATCCTTCTTTTTTTTCTTCCTTTCAATCAATAAGCAATATCGACACCTTTTTTGCCAGGCTCTAGGAACACAAAGATGAAAAAAACCTAGTCACTGCCCTCATGGTTCTTTATGGTCTAGAAAAAATAGAAAACATCTTTCCTCCGTACAAGAAAATCTCTGCTCCATGATGGAACTAGAAGTTGAACTCTTATGTTAAGACTATAAACCTGGTTTTACTGTCTTTGGAAAATTATAGATCTTCCCCACCAAAAAAAGACTGTAAAATTATTAACATCATCCTCCATTGAATAAAACCTGTAGGATACTTGGAAGTAATTTGGATGTCGCCTGTAATCATCACTACTGTAGAGAGTGGGAAAGTAAGAAGCATATGAAGAGTTTGGGAAGTAGAAGTAATACAGAACATTAAAGGCCTGGCCTGGTTGTTGCCTCTTTCTGCCTCCTAAAAAAATTGTAGCCACAATGGAGACACAAAAAATGGGTAGACTACATTAGACTATGTTTGTTTCTATTCCTCCCTTCCAAATGTGCTTGTACTCAGGTAGATAGGCTAAGAATTGCCCAGTTATTTCTCCAAAAGCAAAGATAACATTGATAACAATATAGTAAATGCAAATTCATTGCAGATTATATAACTGCTTGCAATTTGATGCCTCAATATTGTTTTCCATAAATTGTGAGGTAAAATTTGTACACTGAATTGGAACACAACAAAATATGTGTCGCTGAACTACAGTTCTCTTTGCCTTTCTTACACCTATGCAGAATGCAGATTGCACTAGTAAGATAGGAATCCATCATTTATATTCACTGTTTCGATGTCAAATAGACCAATAAAAATTGCTATTTCATGTGGTCAGCCACTTTCACCAAATTAAGCATCTCTTCAGGCAGAGCCAGTTTAAAAGTCCATCATGTCAGGGAACCTGAAACACTTTTTTTAATAGCCATGTCTGGCATTGTTTTTCCACTTGGTTGAAACAGTAAGGCATCAAAGGCAAACTACACTCTCAAGAAATGCAATTAATACACTGTGTCCTCTTTCTCTTTACTTATCACGTGGCTTATCACACCTGCCGTGTGTGCTGTCAACCAGTTCTCATAATTATGCTGCAGGAATATACAGGCCCATTGGCTCGGGCAGCTATTGAGGTGTGTTTATATTTAAAATATTTGAAGAAACATCTTTCATGTTCTGGATAAGTAAGCTTGGATTTGTGTTTTTCATGCAATAACCATGCTTCTAATAGCTTCTATCTATGGCCTTGTGAGTTATTAACTGGATTTATCTCTTAGTAACTGCAACAGTAGGTTGATGTTTTACAACTCTGGCTCTAGCAGCCAAAGCTCTTGCAATCAACACCCACAGATTATCCCATATGTATCTGGAAAATTAAAAACAACAACAACAAATACCCTGCTAGGTAAACGATATCTATATCCATGGAATAGTTAAGATAGAAGGAATCTCCCTTAGACCTAAATGATTAGCCAAACCAACCCTAACAATAGGAAGATATCCCAGAAAAATTGCCCTTATATTTAGCGTTCAAAGTACCATTAATACTGGATCAAGATTTTTTCACAACAAAATATTATTTTCTTGCAGAAAGAAAACTCCCTTAAGAAACCACTACAGCAAAAGTTCTTAATAAAATTCGTGGCCGTAATAGTCAGTTTAAGAACTGTGTGTTCTGCGTGCTTTCTTTTTAAACTCAAAAAGAAGATGAAAGAAGCTTAACTAGAAAACAAGCATTAAAAAATCAAAATAACAAATTTAAACAAAAAAATAATAACTTTTTTTCTCTTGGTAATCAGCACTCTTAATGATGTTCCAGTTCTATCATGTGAAGGGTACCTGCATATTTTCTCCATTGCAACAGAGCGACCTTGATTGTTTTTAGCACATTTATTTCAATTAAAAGTGTTATTTGATCCAGCTGCTGAGGAAGGGGTCAGAAGGAGTCATATCCAGATTGCGGTTGCTATTCCTTTTTTTTACTTTTAACCTTTCTCTTTAAATAGACTAAGTTTTTTATAAACAGGGCAATATGGCACAGAAACCAAAGATGTATTTCTTCCAAATGAAAATCCAAATTGCCAAACAACAATTTATTCAAAGTCTTCTAAATAAAGATAACTATGAAATCTAACAATAAAGTAAAAAAAAAAAGGACATCAGAGAAGAAAAATAAAGGGTTTGCTTTTTTTGTAATATTATAAAACGAAATATCACTGATTCCATGAAAAGCTCCCTACTAAGGAAGATCAAAGGCAAGTCTCCAAGTTAACCACTTAGTTTCATTTTCTTCTATAAACGGAATCATACAGTATGTGGCCTTTGGATATTGCCTTTTTTTCCCTTAGCATTTTACCCTTGAGATCTATCCTAGCTCTTGAGTGTATCAGTAGTTTCTTTAATTTTGTTTCTAAATAAATACATACATCCATGGTATAGATGTATCACAGTTTATTTAACTATTTACTATCGCGAAACATTTAAAGATGTTTGTATGTTGAGGACATAATTCAATAAAAGAGGGGGAAATTGATAATGTGGAAGTGGTTGGGATCAGTAGAGTAACACAGAGCTCAAGCAGAAAGGTTGGCCCTGAAACCACGGACATTCATCTAAAGTAAAGCCATTGAAGTCAGAGTCAGTAGGCAAAAAAGAAAGCAAATGGATATTGTGGTGGGAGCTTGTGGAAGCTGTTTTCTAGCTGCTTCTACTTTCTAAATAAGCAAGCTTGGACATCCATTGAGAGTAAAAATGGTCAAAAAATTTGTTGCAGATTTGAGGAGAAAAGAAAATGTATTCAACAACCATCTTAGAAAGTGGCGAGTGAACAGATGAGGTATGTCGTAGGTTATGCTGCAGCATGAAGGGCCCACAAAGAGAAGTGCCATGAATTTAAAGCCAAAGCAACCAACACGACTGTGTTTTTCTCCAGCCTCATTCAGGGGCACAGATGCAGGGACCAAGAAAGCACTAGGAATAATGATTTGAGGTAGACAGAGAAAAAATGAGGAAAAAAAGAGAAAAAAATGGTAGAGTTTGAGAAAGCGGCATTTATTTTTGTTTTCAGAAATGTGAGGCTCATTGTAGCCAGCAGAATTCTGTAAATACAAGCAGCTTAAAAGACAGCAGCAGGATTCCTTGACTTATAAACACAAAGCCTACTCCTGTGTATCTTCACTGTTACCCAATATGCTGAAAATTCCACTGAAATGCTACCGATGTAAGTACAGTGGTGATTCTGTTGTCTGTTAAGATGCTAACAAGTAGCAGTTAATGCTGCCCTCTCTCCAAGGAGGGTTTGAAATATCTTCAGTCAGCTCCCTCGGTCACTGGTATTTCAATTTTTCCAGCCATCTGAATATATGTACGCTTTGACTCTCTTTTATAAAACAGTCATACTTTACCATGCTCAGCCATTCTGATAGACAATTGATATTTTTCCATCTGTCAGGTCTGAATATCACATCAGAGAAAGAGAAGTCTGGTTAAGGGTTTCCGCGGGGATTTTCATTTTCCTGACTCAACTTGTCTGGAGTATTAAAACACAGAGGCTTTGCAACTCCTCCTACACAGTGAATTTCACGCTGAATCCCCCTGTGGCATTCCTGGACAGATTACGCCTCTTGTGGCCACAGACAACAGCACATGAAACAACTCAGTGCTGTGTGGTACATCTGCGGAAACCAGTGTGTCTATGATTTTACAAAGCAGGCAGCCACTTGGCTGAATACAAATACAACACTTCTAGGAGCTATGGGAAAGAATACAGACACAGCGCCTCAGTTCAGACATTTTTTCTCATCATGTTGGTACAGAACTTCCAATGTATCTTCTAGTATCAGTTATTGAAAACACAGTAAGTCAGCACCATTTCATTTTTAATAGACTGGCAGCTGGATATCTTTCTAATTAATGTCATATGTTTAACATAAGTTTCTGACATTCAGCTTGGTTACAGGTAAAGGGCCATCAACCTTTTTAGGAAATAGCCACAACAGTCATTTGTTGAACCAGTTTGATCTCTTTTAATATACCCGAGTCTCACATTCAGTCATGCTTTTTTTTTTTTCCTCTCTCACCTCAAACCCCATCTCTGTCAGAAAATAAACAAGGAGCCACAGTACATATCTGGGTCACGGTACTTCATTACCCAGGCAAAAAAAAATAACAAATATTTTAAATTCTGTCACTAACAGAGGTCAGAAGGATGACAGAATCAAATCTGTGGGCTTTTTACTAGAGGCCTTCATTCTGCTCTGCCTAATTACCTTAATTTTCCAAGTTCTTTCAAGTCATTGCATAGTTCAAAACACAGCTTAAAATGTTCTTTCTGCAGCTCTCTGTGTGTTTACTTTCACCTTTAAACAACAAAGACTGCAAATATGACCTTCCGTTGACCTGACTGATCCATTTTAAAAGACTAAAAGCAAAACCGACTGAGCAAAACCATCTCGTAGGGCTGCAAGGCTGCAAAAAAGATAAGCTTGTCAAGCCGCAGCAGCCTTTAAGGGAAACATATCCTGACAGAGCACACTTCACAAAGCTGTTTCCTTGGTTTCTTCTTTGGTAATGTGTGATTAGAATGTTTGCCCAGCGCTCACTGGGAATAAGAGGGACTGGAGAGGGAGGGGGTGGTGATTGGTGATTGCAAGGTATGGGCTCATCTCCTTCAGGTGCCACAGGTACTCCTTGGCCACAGGTGGCCCCACAGGCACCACATACGAAACAAACTGAGAGGTTTCCCAGGCCTGTCTTCAGCGTCATTCCCACTGCTTTTGGCACCCTTGTGCTCCTATGCAGGCCCCTCATCCCCGATATCCTAAACCACATTATCTGTCTACGTTCTTTTCTCATTCCCATCCATGGCACCCAGAGCCTGCACTTTGCCATGCCCTCTCAATTCCTCCAATTTTCCACACTCTTCACCATACAACAGCTTTTGCATAAATAGTCTTTTTTGTCTTCTGTGTTATTTATCCAGCTGGCTCCTTCTCAGTGCTGGGTCTCATCATAAACATAACCCTTCTCAGAGAGGCCTTCCTCAATTATGCACTCCCCAAGCCAATCACTATATCTCATTGCCTGCTGGCCTTGTCCTTCTTGGACATATGTTGACATTTTCTACTTATTTGTTCCCAAACATTCAGGAAATAAGTCTATTTTATTCACCCTTGTGTCAGTTCCTAATACTGTTACTGTGCTTGTCCCAGTGTAAATGTTGCCCTTTATAAATAACACTTGATTCAACAGAGCCCATTTCATTGAGTACCTATTATGTAAAAAAGAAAATATCTTAGATGACTGTCCCTGTGGCACAGGCCTACCCAGCACTGCACCACAACCTTGAAATAGACTTTTTCATTTAATCATCAACATAGCAATGGGAAATATGTCATACTGTACCCATTTTAGAGAGGACAAAAATTGGATGCACAATGGTAATATAATTTGCCAAAAATATTTAGAAATGTCAATGCCCCGGCAAAAAGTTATGAAAACATTGGAAACATGATAACAGGCCAATAAGCTCTCATCATAGAGTATAAGATACAAGCTATGTAAGAGATATTTTAAATAACACTCTGTTAGCAGCTTTATTCCTAAGCAGAGCAGTATTCCATCATCCCTGAATCAAGTACAGAAAATGCAAAATGGCTAAAAGAAAGGATCAACATTTAGGGAAATCCCTTTGTGGGTCACAGCAGACTCAACACACATCTGCAGAAATGTGAAGTATATGATCGAAATAATTCTGGAAATAGTGTACAATATACTAATGCCAACAAGGGATATCAACCCCTACCTTCATTATATTGGTGTAATGTTGTGGTTAAGATCAATAATCCTAAAAGACATACCTGAGTTTTAATCCACTCTCTCTTATTTGCTAATTTGGACTCATTTTCTCATTTGTCAAATGAATATAATAATCCCACGTTCCATCATTGGTGTGAAACTAAATTATGTATTGAAATTGATTAACACATTGACACACACTAAGTGTTTAATGAATGTTGATTTTCATTATGGTGATTATTATTAATGTTATTATTGTTATTAGCTTGAGTTGCCACTGTAAGACCAGAAATTTTAGCTCCTGTCTCTGAAAGTTCAAATGCAAGATCCTGTATGAGGGTAGCAGGTGAGTGGACCTCCCTTGTAACTATGCTGCTGCAGCACTCTCCCCTCTGCAGGAGAAACTCTGGCATAGCACATTTCCCACCACTAATTTACCAATATTTTTTTTAAAGATTTTCTATTCTAGAAAATGCCAGTTGGCAGTGTGTAATAGATATTTCTCATTTACATAGATTTAATGAAATTTATAAGTACATGGTCACCAAAAAATTTTTGAATGTCACTTTTCTTTTTGGGAGACTGTTTTAAATATAAGCTAAATACTTAAATTATGTAATAAAGTTCTGATTTTATTATATACTACCTGGCAATTCACTCCCTTGGGGATATCATGTGCTAATTATCACTTTGAAGCATTCTTGACAATTATGCATAGAATAATTTGCTCAACCACACCTTGTTTTAGGCTACTTTCAGACTTGACTCTGCTGACTATGTAACTAAATTAGTGCATTTGTACCTAAAACATGTTTACGATTACCTCCACAGGGATTTTCAGAATCACTTCATGTGGTGAATGGAAACATTAATCTGGGTGCTTAACTACCACTTGGGTACTAATTGGTAATCAGAAAATATATATTGAAGAATTTGCATGGCATAATTTAATATAAAAATAATTTATGTTAAATAACTAGCTCCTATGGCTTACGTTGCAATACAGAATGTCACTAATGATTGAAACTATCATTTGAACTATTTTCACCTCATTAAAAATAAGCTTATAAGAGGTGATGAAATTTAAAGCTTTGGTATTAGCCTTAAGAATTCTCCTCATGATGTCAGAACATTATTTAAAACATTTTATTATTAGAATAATACTACAATAAATGCAATTTTGTGATTTGTCTTTTAAAATATAAAGATATTTTAAAGTGGATTAATTGATTAAAATTAATACTTGGACATTTTTAAGCCCAGGTATAGCTTTAATCTTAACATTCATAATTTTATAAAATATTCTTTCCAATGGAAGACTTTATTTTTCTTAGATATTTTGAGTACATAAAACTAATTTTTAAAAATCACTAAGTTATTTTAATAGCATGAAACATACTATCAAGGATTAAGTAAAGACAGAGAATATTGAAAAGTATCAATGCATAAATCAAATTTTCCCAAATTGGCAAATAGAGTTAAAACCATTGTAGCTTTTCTGAATCATTTACTCAATTACTCTTTCATTTGTTCATTCATTCATTTAGCCACTGAATATCTACTGATGATCATATTATGTTCCAGGCACTACTGTAGTCATGGAAAACAAACAAAAAATTAACAAAAATCAATGCCCTCAGCCTCCATTCCAGTTGGTTGGTGGAAGATGGTCAATAAACAAAATAAGTAAGCAAAATATACAAAATCTTGAATGCTAATAACTTCAACTTGATAGATAATGCATAGAAGAAGAAGAGAAAATACTGTGGTTAGATTCGAAATTTTAAAAAGAAAGAGAGGGTAAGTTTTCCTGAAAAAATGACCTTTAAACAAAGACCTGAAGGAGACAAAGGAACAAACCTGACAGAAATCATAGAGGCAAGGACATCCTAGGAGAAGGAACATTAAGGACAAAGGCTCAGAGATGAGAGAGTGAGTGTCTAACACTGAAGAAAAATCAAGAATGACAGTGTGGCTGGCATGTCCTTAGAGAGGAAGAGAGAAATGAGAGATAGCGATAGACGTAACAGAAACCCAGGTCTAATAAAGTCCTGAAAACTATTGTAATGACTTTTTCATGAACACAGAGTAAAATAGGGCATGATTCAACCCTTTATTATGTCTGGAGATGTATTTTAATCACCAGCTGTTTCCTACACACCCTATAATAATATGTATTTGATAGTACACAAAAAGGTTCATGAATAAACTTCAACATTAAAAAAAAATTACTGAATGTTAACAATTGATCACTAATTAAGCTGAAATAAACCAGATTTTAAACCACATTTCAGCAGTGGAGAGAATTTTGGTAAAATAATTTGTCTTCAATTACTACTCTTGAATTGTGGCAAACTGCTAGTGGCTGAACAATGTCCATCTTCCCTTTGGTTCATAATAGTAACTCCTTCAGATCTTGTAACTAACTGCTGGTTAATAGGACACAGGCGAAAGATATTGGTGCCAATTCTAGGTCCTAAAATAGAATGCATATTGCTATCTTGGCTCTTTCCCTCTTGTAGCTGGCTAGGAAATAGTGAGAACTGAAATAGAGATGGATGTTACATACTAAAGTGAGCAGAGTTATCCAACCAGCCCTGACTGCTTATCTCTCCTTGGTGATATAAGCAAGAGACAAAGGTCTATCTTTTCATAGTTCATAATTTGGGGTCTTTGGTTGGTACTAACTTACCCTATATCCTATCAAATATATTAGCAAAGCAGGAGGTTAAACAGAACAGAACTCGTAAAGCTCTAAACTCTTTTATTACAATCTTTAACTCTCTCATATTCACTTTTCACTTCTTTACTACCTCTGACAAAGAGAAATGCAATAACATTTCACTGTATTTTTTTAATGTAAATAAGAAACAAGGGAACCACTCCCCTTTGAAATCTAATTTTTATTCCACATAATAAAAAAAGAAAGAGAGGACTTTTGAAAATAATTTGAAGAACTTCCCAAAGAAAAGCTGGATTTTATGACATTAATATATGTATTTATACCAAATTTGTTCATGAATATGTGCGTAATGAGATTTACACATCGTACATGGAGATAGTCACAGAACTATGATATTCTAGTATAGCTTGCTACAGAAAGAGAGAAAGAAAGAATAGATAGATTAAGAAAGATAGATAAAATAAAACAAAAGGGAATATTGGGAGGAGACTAAAGCAGAGACATCTACAATAAGATAGAAGAGAAACTTAAAGAGAGATTAAGACTCAAAGAGAACCAGAGAGGAACTTTGCAGAAGATTATTCAGAACTTCATGTAGGAACCTGTTTATTCTCAGCTTTTTTTTAGATCAATGCCTTGAAAGATCGTTACTGAATTCAGAAAACAATTTAGAATGTTTGAAAACCTTGGAACCACTATCTGATTAGCTGAGCAGAATTAACAAGCCACCAATGAGGTGGAAACTAATTGAGTTGTTTTTCTTTACTTTTCAGTTATTAAAGAAAATATCTCAAAGACTATCTTAAATATAATAAATTGTGTTCTACCTATAATTTTTGTGAGCTACGATGTTCACATTATATCCAATTTTACTGAAATTTTATTTTATCTTGAACTTTTCTGAATAATTTTGTATGTGTATTACACTAATTGACAGTTTTCACATCTTGATGGAATAAGAAAGGCAGAAAGTTTAGGAAGAAAAAAAATCAGTGCATACTCTTATAGTAATTAAACGTCATTATGCAACTTTGAAGTCAATTTGAAAGGCAAATTTAAGATATAAGAGTCTATAGAATTCAAAAAGTATTATTTTAAAGTATTTCTGATATTATGTTTAAAATGTTTATACTCAAAGACCATTTTGGAATACCTGTTTGGAATGGCCCAGTTATCAGCATATAGATATTATCTAACATCTTGTCTCGTCCTTTGAAAGATGCTGTGAAGGTCTACGGTCATACCACCCTGAATGCACCCGATCTCATCTGAAAAATATGAGGATATAAACTCTCAACAGATAGTCACTTAATATTTGTATGTGATTACTTCCTCTTATACGTTAACTCCTAGTCAAGCTTGTTTGTAAAAAGACAGTTTGGAGAATATAGCATGCAAGAATATTTTTAAGGCAAATAAAATACATTGACTATTTCGTTTTGAATACAAAACACAAAATGAGTTGATAAAGTTACAGGAAATAAAATATCCCAACTGGGAGAGTCGGAGGTACAATCTGTTTATTAGATTGGTCATTTAAAAAAAAAAAAAAAAAAAAAAGAAAAGGAAAAGAAAGAAAAAAGTTATGAGAACATTTAGGTCTGATATAGAACAATGGTAAGAAAAGTTAAAAATGGACAACTCAGCAACTATCTCCTAGTCTGATTTGCAGGCAAAGTGACTGAGATGAAAGGACAACTCCACAACCCAAAGTTTACTACCTTTATATTATGTTAAGAGATTAAAACAGAATATAATATAGATAACAAATTATCCAATCTGCTTGCATTGATCATATAGCTAAAAAATGGTAATAAGTAATCAGTTTAATTATTCTGTTATCTAAATAATTGATTAAGTCTACTTTTCTTTCATTTAATCTGCAAATAATACCTTACCATATAATTTCACTTTAGCACTGTGAAACACAAGAAGTAATAAATGAATTCTTTGCCCACAAGAATTATTAAGTAGATAAACTAAGGTACAATAATATTTTAAAGTGTTTATTTGGGCAAATAGAGATTCATGAATCAGGTAGCTCCAAAACACAATGTTTTCAGAAGCTCCAACAAGGGGACGCAAGGAGAAAGATGTTATAGAATGAACAAAGAAATGAAGCATAAAAAAACAAATTGATTGGTTACAATTAGTTTCCTTATTTGGTCTATCTTGTTGAAAAATCCCTATTTACTTAATTGTATATTTGTTCATTGTTTTTTATTAGATGAGCTTAAGTTCTGTTTTTCTTTAATATAGGCATTTACAAAAAAATAGCTCAACTTAAGTTTCACTTATGTTTGCAAATCAAGCAAGGTTTAGATCACTTATGAGACCTAACTGGCTTTGTCTGCTTGGTACTTTTCAGGCACAATCTCCATTTTAAGCTACTTTAACGGAAGTTAACAACTATCTGGGGAAAGAAGGAGACATCATGATCTCCCACTAGAATTACTGGAAGAGCACTCTGGCATGTTCGTTTTCCACAGTGCATTCAGAGTGATCTGTCTGATATGTAATCCGCCTCCCTTGCACCACCCCCCGACTAAAGACATGAAATATTTCATTGATTTTCAATCCACTTAGCTATTAACACAGAACTTTTTGTCAGAGTTTTCAGCCCTCTACATAGTCCTTCCCTAGATATTTTTCAGCCTGATCTCTCACTATGCTCCCCCTCTGTCTACTTTAGGCATACTGGCTATGCTTCCTGTTACCATATGTCTTTGTAAAAGTTGGTTATGCTTCATCAGGTTAACCCCTTCACATCTCAGCATAACTGTCACTTCGCTGACCTCCCTTTTTAGGTCAAATTCTCTATGCATAATGTCTCATACCACCATAAATCTCTCCTTTGTGCATAGCGGTTAGAGATTGTTTTACGTTTTTATTATTAATTAATGTCTGTCTCCCTCTCTAGAGTATAAGCTCCAAATGTAGAAAAATCATATTTAGTCCTCAGCATTGTAAAAGTGCTTTGTAAAGTGCCTGAATTCTGGAAGCTCTCAATAAATACTAGTAGAATTACTATTATTGTTAAGTGAAAAATGAAATTGAAACCAGTAACCCCATCAATGAGATTTCGGAAATTTCCTTTCTGTTAAGCAGTTTTAATCTTCAGCTCTTCAGCTTAAACTAGTCATGGGTTAGTTGTTTGTTAGGGTTTTATTTGTGTTTTTTTTTTTGTTTGTTTGTTTGCTTTTGGAAAAACAAACCTTGAATCTCTTAGAAAAATGAAGGAACTGACTGCCTCTAACCATATTGTGGACACTCATTGCTTCATGTATTCAACAAATAACCACAGAAACAATGTGTGAATTCAAAAGAGCTTCACAGATTTGAATCACTCAAGAGGACAAAGTTACACATTTATTTTGAAAATAAATGTAAACTTTATTACTGTTTAAAATTCTGTTGGCTTACTCTAGCCTATTTATGGCATATCAGAATTTTGTACTCTTACTTGCTGTGCTTCCCAAACTAAATTATGAGTTAAGTTTGTACTTCTGTGAAATAGACTTAGAATCCCTCATTTACCCACATTTAGACATTTTCCTTCCCAAAATTTTTTCTCCTTTGATTGAACAATTAGAAGTATTTTGTTTTGTTTTGATACTTAACTACCAAGTATTCCAGTTATCTATTATTTTTATATTTGCTATTGTTCATTTAAGATGTTTATGAAGAAATAAATTACAGAGCACTTACCATGCGTCATGATCTGTGCAAAGTATTTCACATGCACTATCTTATGCAATTATCATGACTGCCTCTTAATACAGTGACTATTACTAGATTATTTTAATAGAGAATTTTAGTAAGTTTTCTCATATCACATTGTTAATAAGGGGCATAGCTGGCATGGTAGATCAGTTCTTCTTTTATTCCAAAGATTGTATCAAGGTTAAAAGAAATAGCTTGAAGCGGTAGAAAGATCTCTAAACTTAAAAGTCTTTTAAACCCCAGAGATAAGCTATGACTCCACGACTAACTGGCAAGTCACTAAGGTTCTCTGTAGTCACCTTTAAAATAAAGAACATGTAGGACATCAGGGGGCAAAAACCATTGTCTGCCAAGTGAAAGTTAATCGATTCTCTGCTTCCCTCATCTTCCCTTTTCCCAGCCCCAAAATTAAGTCCAAAGGAAGAATGATGAATGGCTTAATGATCACGTATTATACAAGTAGACAGGGATGTAATCATATAGTCAGCATTTTTCATCTTCTAAACCATATGCTTATCTTCACAGAGTAGAATTTTTAGATTAGTAGCATTTTTTAATGTGGTGTATATCATTAGGAGATAAGACTACTACCAGCTGTTTGAAGGAAATAGGAGTTTTACTAAAAGAATCCATTGGAAGGAAGTGAATAAGACAGATTGATGATAGGAGAGGAAATCAGGTCTAACCGCTCTATTTCTTATTCTAACTCCCTATTTTTCTTACAAGTTCCAGTGACTTTTGAAGAAGATTTTTATATCTTCATTCACATCTCTATAAAGTGTTATAGTGTGAAACTTTTTGCTTACATAAAAATTAATGCTTGAAAAGTACTTTTAAATCCTTAGAACGTCAAGCATTTAACCTGAATTCATAAAATAATGTAATCTATTATAACATAAAATGTAGTAAAACAATAGTTATTTGACAGTGTTGAAGAAATCTTAATTAAACAGACTAGATCCCAGACAGAGTACAAAGACCTACAGCACTGACACATCAGAGATATACTGAAACTGTACAGTTTTTAATAGAAAGAATACCTGGATTTGATTTAGGTAATATAGATTTAAATTCCAATTTTCTTATTTTTTATTGTATCCTATAGATGTTAAAAAAGATAATCTGATATAAACTCACAAAATATTTCTTCTCGTATGTAAAGGTAAACTTATCAAAGGTAAGTTTCCCCTATCTTATTCTGCTATGCTATCATCAATGTGTATGCTGCCTGCTCAAACTCTTACTATCACATCTCTAGAGCCAACCAGAAAAAGAAAACAGAGAAAACAAGGTCATGTCTTGGCCTTTAAAAATACTCCTTGGAAACTGTACATAAACATGTTTACTTATAATGTACTGGCCAAAACTTAGCCATAGTTACAAAGCAACATGAGAAGTATAGTCTTTATTCGTTATCATGTACAAAATCAAAAATTGAGGAATATGTACTTTGAAAACACTAGCAGTCTCTACCATAATCATCTTATGCAAGTGGAATTACCTTCCTAAACAACAAATTGATTATTTGTCACAGATGTTTTGATATCTCTATTATCAAAATGTAATGATGATGGCATGCTCTATTTGAAAGTGTCTGTCACATGTAAAACAATGTATTTACATTTAAGTCCCAGGTAGACCTATGACATTATTTACTTGTGAAAGTCCATGAATAGGAAAATATTCAAATAGGATATTGTACTAATAATAAAGTGATAAAATGCATGGGAAAAGAGTCAGCACATTTAAGTAATGTCTTAAATATTTCATGCCATTATTATTGTGTACACTGGCTACTCGGGCTCTCATCATCAGGTGATGGCATTGTAGATTAAAAGAATTAATTTTTCCACATAGTTTTAAAGATTATGTTTATAACACAGAAAAGACTCTATTAAGTATTAATTTCTAGGTTTAACATACCTCTTTTTCCACTTATATTTGTTTGAGAAACTATCAGCCTCTTTCTATTTAGCAAGGAGGGTTGTTTTTTTTTTTCTAATTCAAGAAGATCTATCGGAAGCTATTCAAGAGTGAGTGCAGGCTAGGGTTAAGATTTGACAAGAAGTAACTAAAGCCAGTCTCATCAGATTGTTCTGCTCCTATTCAAAGCCACACATATAAAATGCTCAGGAGGGATTCCTGTATTTCAGCCACACTCCTATACACACACCACTTGTACATTTCTCAGAAGTCTCTAATAAAGCAGTTTCTTTTTAACAGTAATGCAACTTTGTGAAGATGGGTTACCTTTTTTATGGGGTGAGGTACCAGACAGACAAAAGACTGATATCTAAAAGCAAGAAAACTCCCATTTCTAGTGATGGGAGAAGTGGAAAGCAGTTATAGATGTAGTGAAGAATAACCACTGTGTGCATAGTTAAACTTTGAATTCTTTTTAAGCAAACATGGAGAAAAAGTTGGATCATTTGTCCTCAAAGAAACTACCTCAGAACAGTGAAGTTCCTCTTTTGAACCAAAGGAAGACTATTGCTGACAATTGGTAAAAGAGACACAATGAACCAGTTGTCAGACGTGCCTACTGAATGCCAATTTGTAAAATAAAACCCTTTGAACAACCAGAGGATGTTTTAAAAGAAGCTGCTGATTCAAAATGAATAACTTCACTTTGCTGTGTTTTCTGCTCTTGTATAGATCATCTTTACTATTTTTATTTTCTATTTTCACCAGAAATTTGAGTTAACCTTTTGTTCCATCTGTAGCCCGCCTTCTCAAGCAGCACCACCTCCTTTTCATTATTCCTTTCAAAAGCACTGAAATTTGCAAAAATGTGCTGTTTCTCTCCCTCACTCTGTGGAGGAGTAGCAGAGCTGGCTTTTCAAGCATGAAGATTACTAATAATCAAAGGAACTTGAGGATGAAAATGAGTATGCAGAACGGGTAATACCCAAAATCAGAGCAGGTGTGATTGGAGAGTCAATGAAAATCCTTTTGCCTTAAAATGCATTCTCTAGAAGCTTGTCATAGCACTTGGAACTTCCCACTGTGACTTGCTGAGACTTTAAGCATTTAATAAAAATTAAAAATATTTTCCATGAAAATATTATTCACTAAACCACTATCAACCATAAATCTCTCAGTTCATTTTGGTTTATCTGATTATCCCTGAGACCATGGGTCTTCTGATTTCTTAGCAAAAGTTAGTGGTAATGAGGAAATGTCAAAGTCCAGGCTCCAAACTTTCTCCCATATGATGACTTCCTTTAAGGTCAAACAATTGCCAAATCTCCATATGACAGTTTTTATTATACATGTAGTAGGCTAGATAATCTTAGAATCTGAGAAAGTAGGCAAAAATTTACTCTGAATACACTAGTGCCTTAAAATAGATCTTTTTCCTATTCACAACAGCACTTTCATATATTTAAAATATAGCTGCACATATAGCTATATATGTTTATGGAGTATGTATTTATTCATCCTCAAAAAATGCCCAAAGCAAATAAGTATTCACGGCCCCTCAGTAACAATCTTGGCACTTCATCAGGGTTTGCTCCCTGGAAGGACAAGCTATGCCTACCTGTCTGTGACCAGCCGGGCAGTATTACAGGGAGAGGCCTTGATCAGGGTTTGGCAGGAAGCACATGTGAACCTGAGCAGAGACAGCTGATTCTGGCTCTACTGTGATAAAAGATAAGGAACTGAACCATCACCAAGAATTCAGCCATCAATTCCTCTGCAATGGCAAATTTCCCACATAGATGTGGAATGTCATCGTAAATGGCATAAATTTGTATTGCAGAATAAGAGTGAAGGGCTGGAGGAGACCTTGAAGTTCACATAATCTTATCATCAGATAAAGAATCTGAGGCCAAAGTGACTTACTACCTTACACCCTCTAACCAGTAACAGCCAGGGCAGGTCTGACAACCAAGGCCCCTTTACATGAAATTATCTTGACTTTAAATGTGAGTGTCTTAGTTTGTGAGGCTATAACAGAATATCATAGACTGGGTAGTTTAAATAATAGATATTTATTTCTCACAGTTCTGGAGGCTAGGAAAGTCCAAAATTGAGGCACCATCAGATCCGGTGTCTGACGAGGGATGCTGTCTGGCTCACAGATCACTGTCCTCTGGTTATATCTTCACATGGCAAACAGAAAGAAGAAATAAGCCCTCGGTGTCTCTTCTTATAAGGGCATTAATCCCATCGAGAAGTCTCCAACCTCATAATCTAATCACACACCAAAGGCCTCATCTCCTAATACCATCATATTGGGGATTAGGGTTTCAGCATATTAATGTGGGGGAAAAATAAACTTTGAGTCTATAGCATTGGCTCAGAAAAACATTGTTATATGCAATGTTTGTAAATATATTGCTATTTATATACACTAAAGACATTTTCTGTTTAAAAAGATTCTGCTGTATCCCCTTTGTAAAGTCTCATATCATAGAAAAGGCATAAAAGGAGGCAACAGAAGACTTACATGCTAGTATCACTTCTGCCATAAATTGCATCACTTTCAGCATATCATCACTTTCTGACTCACCTTTTTATTCTGAAAACTATGGTGGTTAATATTTAAAAAAATATTCAAGTCCCTTTAATTCTATTATTCTGGAAAAGTAAACATTCTTTAAAAATGCAAAATTTAGCCCCATAATTCATCTGTATTATGATCATATACTCATTTTAAAATAGTATTATAGGATATTCATCTACATGTCTTTCTTTGGAAGAGGCAAATATATACAGAAACTGCAATTAATAATCAAAATTCTAGTCATTTTTTTCAAGGTTTCTATCAGCGTGATATACCCTAACAACTTCAAGAAAGAGTTTATTAACATTAAAATAATATAGCTGCACTAAAAATATCAAAGTTTGTCCTTAAAGAGCAACAGCATTACAAACATATTGTGCTTTGAAATACTACTAGCTGATGAGGTGCCAGCCCAACATCCCATAGTGACAGGTGTCCTGCTTTACAAGGAGATAACAATAATGCTAATTTTTTTCTATTTTATTATTTACTATCAAAAAGTATACACATATCTATAATTAAAAATTAAAATGTGTTGGGCATGGTGGCGCACACGTGTAATCGCAGGACTTTGGGAGATTGAAGCAGAGGGATCTCTTGAGTCTAGGCGTTCAAGACCAGCTTGGGCAGCATAGTGAAACCCTGTCTCTGTATAAATAAAAAATAAGTAAAAGTTAAAACTTATGAAAACTTGCACACACACTTACAGATCATATATTGTACCATTCAGCCTAGAGAAATGTAAACAAATGTAAAGAGGCAGTATTAAGTCATAACTGCATAAAACTAATGCTGGTATATACTATAGCACTGTAATAAGTTCATAGCCACCTATTGTTGCTATTGCTGTGAGCTCAGGTGTTCCAAGTGTCCCCTTAAAAAGCTCTGTGATGCTAATCATTTCTGTGTGAGCAGTTCATCTCTCCAGTAAATTGCAGTGAGCTCTCATTGTTCTCATATATTTTTCATCATGTTCAGTGTTTAGGGCAATAGGTAAATCTTGAATATTACATTGACTTTAATCATTCTAAGTATTGAGGCCACATGACATGTAACATTTTTCTCTTGATCAGCAACTAAGGCCATACAGGATTGTAACAATAAAGGCAAAGTATATAATTTTGGTCTCAGTGTCCCAGATTGTCATGTATTTACTCTCCTGGATAATTATTTAGTTCCCTTTTATTGTTCAAGTGTAGCCCACATGAGTAGAAGTATAAAAGGCATAGGAAATTATAATTAATTATCTGTGAATTCCATTTGACAGGAGAGAGAAATAAACTAACACTTGGCCCTGAGGCTATTTCTATATAAAACTAAACCAACTGGTGAAAAATAATTAATCAAGCAGCAATTTTTGCTAACAATTACCTAATTTTTTTACTGATTTTTCCAGCAGAAAAGGGCTTGTTTATATGGTATTATGTAGACTGAACTTAAGAGAAACTAAACACACTAAACAGAAAATTGAGAACATTAAGTCTAAGGTTTTCTGGGTTCTAGTAATACAAATATCTACCTCCTGTTTATTGAGTCTCCAAATATCTCCTGAATGTATAAAATTCTTTGAAAAAAAAAGTCTTCTGTAAATCTAAAACTTTTTCAATTAATCACTGCAAAGTTCACTGCTTCCCAAAGGCATATTAAACTTCAATAAACATATCGGCTGTTGAGAACATGGAGGGAAATAATGGCATCTGTGAATGTGACCCAAAATCTGTTTTATTGGTAATGCTCAACAATGAAGGACTGGTCTTTCGAGTGCAGAGGGAGGTGGGCCAATGAGGAAGAAAAATTGCTGGAGGAGAAAAGAATATTAAAGAGTAAAATATGATTGTGAGATTCATCTGACAATTGAACTCAAAGCATTACTCCGATGGGAACCTTGATGTTGATTTTGCTCATTGGAGGGTTAGGGGATTATAATCTAGCAAAATTAAAAAGTTGTTTCTATTAAATTTGGACTTCTGAGAAAAGTAAGAGACAACAAATGCCCAGGAACTATTAACTTTTAAAAATTGTGTATGTTTAGTTATTATTCAAAAGACAAAAACAAACTTGAGTAGTTGGAAAACTTTTTTTCTCTATTTAAAACTGCAGAGTATTATTATTATTGTTATTATTTTTGCTGAATCAGTTACAAACCTACAATTGCAATGAATAAAAATAAACTACAGTTTCCAGGAATTTGTTTGAAAAAAAAATGGGCCCTCACGAAATACAAAATCTGGAAAAACAGTCTTGGAAAATAGAGGCTAAGGTGACTCCTCACATGTAAAATATATAAAGCACAACTGGCAGAGCACTATGGCCAGGATGTCAACACTACATGATACTCAAGCTTCTGTAGGATGTATGACCACCACCTACTGACATGGCTACAGCAGTGGACATTCTATTCCACCTCCATGAATTCATTCTATTTTTTGTTTTTGTATCACTCATGCAAGTGTCAAAGTCCTGGGTTGAAGTATCTAATTCATCACCCCATACCATGTTTGGGAGGACAAAAAGCCATTGATTTAGTTACCTGAGATTGCTGTAACAAATTACTGCAAATTTGGTGGCTTAAAAGAACAGAAGTATATTGTCTTACAGTCCTGAAGTTCAAGCATCCAAAATCAAGGTGTTGATAGGGCTACACTCCCTCCAGAAGCTCTAGAGGAGATTCTGTTCCTGGTTTCTTCCAGCTTCAGGTGGCTGCAGGCATCCCTTAGCTTGAGGCAGCATCGCACCCATCTTCGCCTCCATCTTCATATTGCTTTCTACTCTTCTGTGTGTCTCACAAAATGTCCTTTGCATCTCTCATAAAGACACTTGTGATGGCATTTAAGGCCCATCTGAATAACCCGGGGTCATCTTCTCATTTAGAGACCCTTAATTTAATTATATCTGTTAAGACCCCTTTTTCGAGTAAAGTAACATTTACAATTTACTGAGATTAGAGCTTGATATTGTTGGGTGACCATTATTCAACCTACTATAACCATGGAACAGGAAAAGAAAGGATCTAGCCTTCTGTTTATGTAGTGGCCATTTCAACACATACAATGCATGATAACCTCTAACCAATAAGTAAGTTTGAGAGCTAGGTGGCCCACAATACGCCAAATATTTACTAACATCCACTTTATTCACTGCACAAAATGTATACAAAGTTTTCTTCTCATACATATACTTCCATCAAATAAAAGATGCTTATGCAAATCATAATGTAACTGTTCCTCATGCTTTAGTTGCAAATAACAGAAAACTGAGACTTCACTAGTTTAAACAATATAGTTTCTTTATAAACTCGTAATATTCCAAAAGTCCAGAAAGCAGGCTTTAGATACAGTTTGGTCAGAGATCCAGTTACATTTTGCTGCAAATGTCTTGACTCCTCCATTTTCTTTCTCCTAGAGTCATTGTTAGGCTGGCTTTCTTCATGGACACATGATTTAAGATGTTTCCAGCTATATATCTTCACACTTTCACCCAGAAAGGGAAAAAAATCTTTTTCTTAGTAACTCTGGAAAGAGTCTGAGATTCAGTCATCTGTACTAGTCCTGGTGAATAAAATGCCCTGCTATGACTTAGGTCATATACTGTATTTCACATATTGAGACAGCTTTAAAACCATCTTTCTTAAACAATTTGGACTCTGAAAGAGAAATTAGGGAATGTTTGTAAAGAAAGAATGCAGAATAAAGGGCAGAGAACTCCAAATGTCAGTTACAGAATCACATAGTTTTCATAATAAAAGTCATGTTTATCTAGTTTGTTTAGTTGTTTTTGGTTTTTTCTCATTTTTTTGTTTGTTTTTTAACTTTTATTTTAAGTTTAAGGTACATGTGCAGGTTTGTTACATAGGTAAACTTGTGTCATGGGGGTTGGTTATACAGATTATTTCATGACCAAAGTACTAAGCCTAGTACCCATTAGTTATTTTTCCTGATCTTCTTCTCTCACCATCAACCCTCCACCCTCCACTGGTAGGCCCTATTGTGTTCTGGTCCCCTCTATGTGTCTACATATTCTCATCATTTAGCTCTCACTCATGAGTGAGACTATATGGTATTTGGTTTTCTGTTCCTGCATTAGTTTGCTAAGGATAAAAGCCTCCAGCTCCATTCATGCTCCTGAAAATGACATGATCTAGTTCTTTTTTATGGCTACATAGTATCCTCTGGTGTATATGTACAACATTTTCTTTATCCAGTCTACCAGGGATAGGCATTTAGATTGATTTCATGTCTTTGCAATTGTGAATAGTGCTACAATAAACATACACATGCATGTATCTTTATGATAGAATAATTTATATCCCTTTGCATATATAGCCCATAATGGGATTGCTGGGTTGAATGATAGTTCTGTTTTTAGGTTCTGAAAAATCACCACGCTGTTTTCTACAATGATTGAACTAATTTATACTCTCACTAACAGTGCATAAGGGTTGCTTTTCCTCCACAACCATGCTAGCACCTGTTATTTTTTTACTTTTTAAGAATGGGCATTCTCCGGCGCTGCGGCTCTGCCGCGGCGGCAGCATGGGTGGCCCCCGGGGCGCGGGCTGGGTGGCTGCGGGCCTGCTGCTCGGCGCGGGCGCCTGCTACTGCATTTACAGGCTGACCCGGGGTCGGCGGCGGGGCGACCGCGAGCTCGGGATACGCTCTTCGAAGTCCGCAGAAGACTTAACTGATGGTTCATATGATGATGTTCTAAATGCTGAACAACTTCAGAAACTCCTTTACCTGCTGGAGTCAACTGAGGATCCTGTAATTATTGAAAGAGCTTTGATTACTTTGGGTAACAATGCAGCCTTTTCAGTTAACCAAGCTATTATTCGTGAATTGGGTGGTATTCCAATTGTTGCAAACAAAATCAACCATTCCAACCAGAGTATTAAAGACAAAGCTTTAAATGCACTAAATAACCTGAGTGTGAATGTTGAAAATCAAATCAAGATAAAGATATACATCAGTCAAGTATGTGAGGATGTCTTCTCTGGTCCTCTGAACTCTGCTGTGCAGCTGGCCGGACTGAGATTGTTGACAAACATGACTGTTACCAATGACCACCAGCACATGCTTCACAGTTACATTACAGACCTGTTCCAGGTGTTACTTACTGGAAATGGAAACACGAAGGTGGATTCATCATTCCTTTCCCTTTATGACAGCCACGTAGCAAAGGAGATTCTTCTTCGAGTACTTACGCTATTTCAGCATATAAAGAACTGCCTCAAAATAGAAGGCCATTTAGCTGTGCAGCCTACTTTCACTGAAGGTTCATTGTTTTTCCTGTTACATGGAGAAGAATGTGCCCAGAAAATAAGAGCTTTAGTTGATCACCATGATGCAGAGGTGAAGGAAAAGGTTGTAACAATAATACCCAAAATCTGATTGGTCATATTTTTCCAAAGAGTAATGCAGTCTGGATATAAACGTATTTTCTGTCTTCCTTATAAGGGGATTCTCCCAGCTGCTGAATTTAAATAGTAAATATCACATTTTGTTATTAACACAGCTATAACTTGCCGTGGTTCTCAGATTTATTTTGGACTATTTTGATGCCAAGTGAGTATAAGAGCTTGTACTGAAACCATTTATTTCTTTCTATTTTGCTATTTGCAAATGCTTGTTATCTTCCCTACATGAAGTGGCAGTAACCTTTTTCACATTTAAGCTACCCTTCTACCTTTTGAAGTGATTTGCAGTTACTCATCTGAGACAGCATCAGTATTTGACTAAATCATTGTTTCACAACTGAATAGTCTTGTTCTTTTAGTAGCAATGAAATCCTAAGCTCTTGAGGCCATTCACCTGCCAACCTGACCATACTGCTTTCAAAAGTCTTTTCTCATCAGTAGAATCTATTTTGGTCACTTCTAGTCAATGAAAAATGTAAACTTTTAGGAGAGAATGTTTCCTAGGACTCACCCACTCCATTCAATGTTACATATAAAATAGTGTGATCAATCACAATGTCCATCTTTAGACAGTTGATTAAATAAATTATCTGGTCTTTGAAAAGACCGTGCTGGGCGCGGTGGCTCTTGCCTGTAATCCCAGCACTTTGGGAGGCTGAGGTGGGCAGATCACCTGAGATCGGGAGTTTGAGACCAAGCCTGACCAATATGGAGAAACCCTGTCTCTACTAAGAATACAAAATTAGCTGGGCATGGTGGTGCATGCCTGTAATCCCAGCTACTTGGGAGGCCGAGGCAGGAGAATTGCTTGAACCCGGGAGGCAGAGGTTGCAGTGAGCTGAGATAGCGCCATTGCACTCCAGCCTGGGCAACAAGAGCAAAACTCTGTCTCAAAAAAAAAAAAAAAAAAATGATGGAGCTCTGAATGTGCTTAAGTGGAAAGATATCTATGAAATATGGTTGTTTTTTAAAACACAAAAATTATAGAATATGGGATCCCGTGTGTGTGTGTGTGTGTGTGTTTGAATGAAAAATGCTTATATATTGACAGAACACTTCTAGAATGATACCCAAACTCCTGGAGTGGGAGTGGGGAATGCCTTCTATGTACACACTGTTCTACTGTTTGAATTTTTTACTATGAGCCCAAATTGTATAATCTTTTTTTAATAAAGGGGAGAAAAATCACTTAAAAAAAAAAAGAAAAAGAATGGGCATTCTGACTGTTTAGTTATCTTGAATTTTTTAAGAGCATGAAAATGAAACAATATCTTGATTTAGAACCAATTTTTATTTAGCACAAATTATCAATCTGTAGAAAGTTTTAGTAGTCTATATTGAATCATAATTTTTCTATAATAAAGATAATCACTCACTAATAAATCTATTTTTCAACATTGAATGTCTTTACATTAGACTTATTTGCAATAAGGTAGTTTAAATTTTTTATTTCCTTGTTTTATTGGACACTTGGTGAGAAGAAACAAATAGCACTAAACAATTAAATTATAAATGAATAAAGGTGGTAGATCATGGAATTCAACTTCCATCTTAAGAAACTGAAAAAATAAGGAGCAAACTAAATCTAAAATAGAAGAAAGGAAATAATAAAGATAAGAGAATAAGTCAGTGAAATAGAGGAAATAAATTTATAAAAGATTGTTATTTAAAAAGTTCGATAAAATTGTTAAGTTTCTAGCCAGACTGATCACAATAAAAGAAATGACAAAACTAACAGTAACAAGAATGAGAGAAGTGGCATTACTATAAATTCTACAAATACTATAAAAATGAACAGAGAATAATATGAAGAATTTAGGCCAATTATTTTGAAAATTTAGAGCAAGTAGATGAATTCTTTAAAAGGCACAAAATACCAAAGCTCATTTAAGAAGAAATAGATTATATAAATAGTCCTACACAGTAAATAGTCACTTAATGTCATTGATAGGCTCTTGAAAACTGTGACTTCAAGCAAAATGATGTACAGCAGGTCCTCAAATAATGCCTTCTTATTCAATGTTATTTTGTTATAACATTGATGAAGAAAAAAATTGTTTTTATTATGTCTTTTGCTTAAATTGCATTTCCAAGAACCTCCTAATGACATTAAGTGAGGACTTACTGTACCTACTAAAGAAATTGAATTGATACTTAAAAGCTTTAAACAAATAAATCTTCAGTTCTATTTTGCTTTACTGATTAATTCTAGCAAAATTCTATTTTGCTTTTCTGATTAATTTCAAGGAAGAAATTAAAACAGAGACTTGAAGAAGATGGTATACACACCAACTTTATTATATGAAGACAGAATTAACCTGATAGTAAAATTAGACAAAAAATTACAGGAATAGAATATCAATAACTTCCTCACCCAAACATAATCATAAATTCTATGAGAAAACCGTATGATATTATTTGGCTGTGTCTCCACTCAAACCTTATCTTGAATTGTAGTTTCCATAATCCCAATGTGTGGTGGAAAGGACCCAGTAAAAGGTAATCAAGTCATGGGGGCAGTTTCCCCCATGATATTCTTATGATACTAAGTAAGTTCTTGTGAAATCTGATGGTTTTATCAGGGGCTTCACCCTTCACTTGCCTCTCATTCTTCTCCTTGCTGCTGCCATTTGAAGAAGGACATGTTTGCTTCTCCTTCTGCCATGATTGTAAGTTTCCTGAGGCCTCCCCATCCATGCTGAAACGTGAGTCAATTAAACCTCTTTCCTTTTTAAATTACTCAGTCTCAGGTATGTCTTTATCAGCAGCATGGTACATTGGTACCAGCAGAGAGAAGTGCTGCTGTAAAGATACCCAAAAATGTGGAAGTGACTTTGGAACTGGGTAACAGACAGAGATTGGAATAGTTTGGAGGGCTCAGAAGAAGACAGGCATAAATAGGGAAGTTTGGAACTTACTAGAGACTTGCTAAATGGTTTTGACAAAAATGCTGATAGTGATATAGATGATGAAGTCCAGGCTGAGGTGGTTTCAGATAGAGAGGAAGAACTTGTTGGAAACTCGAGAAAAGGTGACTCTTGTTATGTTTTAGCAACGAGACTGGTGGCATCTTGCCCCAGCCCTAGAGACCTGTGGAACTTTGAACTTGAGAGAGATGATTTAGGGTATCTGGCAGATGAAATTTCTAAACAGCAAAGTGTTCAAGAAGTGGCTTAGGTACTGTTAAAAGCATTCAGTTTTATGTATTCACAAAGACATAATTTGGAATTGGAACTTATGTTTAAAAAAGAAACAGATTATTAAATTTTGGAAAATTTGCAGCCAGATGATGTGACAGAAAAGAAAAACCCATTTTCTGAGGAAAAAGTCAAGCCAGCTGCAGAAATTTATATAAGTAGCAAGGAGCCAAATATTAATCATCAAGACAACGAGGAAAATGTCTCCCAGGCATGTCAGAGGTCTTCACAGCAGCTCCTCCCATCACAGGCCCATAGGCTTAGGAGGAAAATATGGTTGTGTGGGCCAGGCCCAGAGCCTTGCTGCTTTGTGCAGTCTCAGAACTTGGTGATTTGCATCTAAGCCACGGCTAAAAGGGGCCAAGGTGCAGTTTGGACTGTGGCTTCACAGTGTGCAAGCCCTAAGCCTTGGCAGCTTGCACATGGTCTTGGGCCTGTGGGTGCTCAGAAGACAAGAATTGAGGTTTGGGAACCTCCACCTAGATTTCAAAGGAAGTATGGAAACATCTGGATGTCCAGGTAGAAGTCTGCTGCAGAGGCAGAGCCCTCATGGAGAACCTCCACTAGGGCAGTGCAGAAGGAAAATATGAGGGGTTGGAGCCCCCAAATACAGTCCCCACTGGGGCACTGCCTAGTGAAGCTGTGAGAAGAGGGCCACCATCCTCTAGACCCAAGAATAGTAGATCCACAGACAGCTTGCACTGTGCACCTGCAAAAGCCACAGACCCTCAACATCATCCTGTGAAAGCAGCTGGGAATGAGACTGTACCCTGCAAAGCACCAGGGGCAGAGCTTCCCAAGGCCATGGGGGGAGCCCACGTCTTGCATCAGTGTGACCTGGATGTGTGTGACCTACACGTATGTGGACAAATTCATTTTGAAAAGAAACAAAAGCAATTGGGTGGTGAAGGTATATTTACAAAAATAATAGTGTGGAATAATTGGAAATCCATATGCAAAAAATGATTAACTTGAATTCAGGTCTTACAATATCTATAAAAACTAACTCAAATCGGTCAAATGTCTAAATACAAAATATAGCAATACCGTTAGCCATTGGGAATATGCAAAATAAAATGTCCATGCAAAGAATTTTACATAAATATTAATAACATCTTTATATATAATAACCGAAAGCTGGAAACAACCCAAATGTCCACCACCAGGTGAATGGATAAACACATTATAGTATATCCATAAAACTGAATGTCACTTAGCACTAAAAAGAAACAAACTATTGATACATGCTACCACATGGATGATTCTCAAAATAATTATCCTGAGTAAAAGAAGTCAAACAAAACCAATTCCGAATATAAGATTCTATTTACATAAAATTCTAAGAAATATGAGCTTATGTGAGTGACAGAAAGCTAATTAGTGCTTGCCTGGGTTGTCGGGGAGGAGTGGGAAAATAAAAAACCAAAACATTAAAAGCAGCAAAAGAAAGATTTTGGAGGTGAGGCATATGTTCAATGTCTTGATTATGTTGATGGTTTCATGATAGTAAAACATCAGTTTGTACACTTTAAATATGTGTGATCTATTATATGTAAATTATACTTCACTGAAACTGCTAGAAAATGGTAGTAAAGAATAATATCACAATAGGCCAATAAAAAAGTCTAAGAGAAATGGAGCTGTATCAAAAAGAATGCTTTTAGCTGCAAGAAACAAAAAGCCAAATTTAAACTGACTTTAAGAAGGGAAATTAATTGGCTCATAATTATAAAAACTAGACAGAAATAGTTTTTACCATAGGAAAAAAAAAGTTAGTTTAAGGAAAATTAACTAAAGCCAATTGGCAATGAGAAATCACAGGGAAAGGATAGAATAATAATAGATCTGAAAAAAGATTAATTAGTTTATTTATACTCATTTTATACAATATGGAGCATATCTGAATGCCTCAAATCTCAGTTTTATTTTATAGATTGCATTCTATAAAAATGACTTTCTGGTGAGAGGTCATAGGATTATAAAACTGAAGAGTAAAGCCATGAAAATGAAAATGATAAGCTTAGCTGAACATTCATTTATTGAGGCTCTGCAATGTGACAGAGACATTAGCAACAATAATGATACATAAGCCACAAGTTACCATCATTATCCTTGATCATTTAGGATTTTCCATCATATACTTGGCCATTTGGAAATCTAGTTGCCCAAATTATAATTTTTTTATTTTTATCTTTTTATTTGTGTAAGTATATGGGATACAAGTATAATTTTGTTATATGCACAGATTATGTAGTGGTAAAGTCAGGGCTTTTAAAGTATTCACCATTTGATAATGTATGTGCTTAATGTATTCATTAAGCAATTTCTCATCATCCACCTCCCTTCCACTACCTCACCCTTCTGAGCCTCCATTGTCCATAATTCTATACTCTATGTCCATATGTGCACATTGTTTAGCTCCCACTTATGAGTGAGAACACCTGGTATTTGTCTTTCCGTGTATGCCAGCCCCAAAAATTATTAAGGGGAAAAAAAGTTCAACTTTCATTTTTACTTTTTTTTGTTTTTCTAAAAGAAGCTGATAAACCCCCCAAAAAATCTTCACCTTTTATATGTTGCTAATGAGCTTTGCTCCAATTTAAGCAAATATTTATGAGCAAAATAGTACAACATATTTTATCAGTGGCTGCATCACTCTGTTGTGTAAAATTCACTAAATACAAATCATTGATGAATATAGTGATGGGCAAATGCAACTGCAAATACTGGAAGGAAACAAAGAATTATGATGACGTTTATCCGACAAACTGGGAACCCACTGACATGATTTGCAAACAGGGAAGCCTGCAGTATTCTACGTTTTTGTCAGTTCTTTCTGTCATTTATAATCAAGACCTAAAAATCAATCTACTTTATTGTCAAAAGTCCAATTGTATGAGTTTCTCATAAGCATATAATAATTACAAAAATATTTTGAATGCATAACACTTACCATTTAAGCCAGTTGTTGGACTACAAATCAAATTGGAAACTTCTGGTGCCCCCACTTAGAATGCTGCTGGCCCACCTCTTATTCCAGCTGCTGCTCCAGTTACTCATCTTATGATTAGCTTTGATAAGCTTCATATAATTGCAAGTTAGGTCATTGCTTCATATCTCTTGCCTTCAGGATTTTTCTAATGTCACAAACAGTGTGGGATGTCTGCAGACACCTGTTCAGCACTTAAGCATGACCAATCTGGAAGTGTGGGAGAGTTAATGCCCGGGAGGCATCCTTAACCAATGCAAGATGAAAGCCAGTGGATAAATGCTTCCTCCTTTCATCCCCTAGGCAGATCATTCTAAGACACGTTTCATAGAACACTTCATAAAGTGCAGCAGAATCAAGCTGCAGTTTCTCATACTGATTGCCAACTTAATAACGCATCATTTTTGTAGCTTTTCTTTATTTTCTGCTTTATCCTCCCATCCCTCACTCCCATTCTCTGCATGTAATCTTTGATCTCAGACTCTGGTTTCTCCTCATTGCTTTCAAGACAAAAACCCAGGTTATATCTCTGTACAGCCCAAACAGGAAAATGCAATTTCTTAAGTGTTTTGAAGGAATTTCAGGGACTGCTGATATGTACCAGCAGAAACCAGAGGAATATATGTGTGAGTGGGTGGTCTAGAGGAGAATACACTGGGTGATGGTCAGGGGGAAGACAAGGCAGAATATAAGCCTAAATAGGGAATAATTTATTGACTTGGAAACCTGTGACTCAGTTCAATGTCCTTGAAAGGAAACCTGGATCTCTTCCTTATACGCTATAGGGGTAGCTCTTTGAAGCCTGGATCCAATTATGGCTGTATATTAAATGAGCCAGAGTATGAAACTTCCTTAGAAGTTTAATATAAACCCACAATTGGGTCTATATTATGAAAACGGACTAATATATTGGGTTACTGAAATAAGTAACCTAGGAAGCATGATGGGGAGGCCTCAAGAAACAGTCATGGCAGAAGGTGAAGGGGAAGCAAGCATGTCTTACTAGGGCAGAGCAGGAGAGAGAGAAGGGAGAAGTGCCACACACTTTTAAACTAACTCGTAAGAACTCACTCACTATCAGGAGAACATCAAGGGGGAAATCCACTCCCATGATCCAATCACCTCCCACCAGGCCCCTCCTCCAATTCAACATGAGACTTGGAGAGGGACACAAATGCAAACCATATTATCCCAAGCCTGTACCCTGTCAAATCTTATGTCCTTCTCACATCGCAAAATGCAATCATCTATCCCTTCTCAACAGTCCCCCAGTCTTAACTCACTTTAGTAATAACTCAAGAGTCCACAGTCCAAAATCTCATCTGAGAAAAGGTAAGTCCCTTCTGCCTTTGAGTCAGTAAAATCAAAAGCAAGTTAGTTACTTCCAAGATACAATGTGGATACAGGCATTGGGTACATGCTCGCATTCCAAATGGGAGAAACTGGCTAAAATAAAGGCGCTACAAGCCCCTTGCAAGTCTGACAGCCAGCAGGACAGTCATTAAAACTTATAGCTCCAAAATAATCTCCTTTTACTCCATGTCTCACATCCAGGGCACACTGATGCAAAGGGTGGGCTCCCAAGGCCTTGGCAGCTTCAACGCTGTGGCTCTGCAGGGCATAGCCCCTGTGGCTATGTTGAGCACCTGCAGCTTTTCCAGGTGCACAATGCAAGCTGTCAATAGATCTACCACTCTTGCATCTAGAGGATCATAGCCCACTTCTCACAGCTCCACTAGGCAGTGCCCCAGTGGGGACTCTGCATGGGGGCTCCAACACCACATTTTCCCTCTGCATTGCCCTAGTAGAGGTTCTCCATGAGGGCTCTGCCCCTGCCGCAGATTTCTGCCTGGATATCCAGGCATTTCCATACATCTTCTGAAATCTAGGTGGAGGTTCCCAAACCTCAACTCTTACCTACTGTGCACCTGCAGGCCCAACACCACGTGGAAGCTGCCAAGGCTTGGAGCTTGCATCCTTGGAAGCCACTGTCTGAGCTACACCATGGCCCGTTTTAGCCACAGTTGGAGTTAGAGCAGCTGGGACACAGGGCACCATGTCTCAAGGCTGCACTGAAGAGGTGCACCCTGGGATGGGCCCATGAAACCATTTTCTGGGCCTGTGATGTGAGGGATTTCCTGAAGGTCTCTGATGTTCCCTTGAGACATTTTCCCCATTGTCTTGGCTATTAACATTTATCTCTTCTTATGCAAATTTCTGCAGCCAGCTTGAATTCCTCCCCAGAAAATGGGTTTTTCTTTTCTACCATATGGCTGGGCTGCAAATTTTCCAACATTTTATGCTTTGCTTCTCTTTTAAATACATTTCAGTTTCAGATCATCTCTTTGTTCATACATACAAGTAAACATCTTTAGCAACAGCCAGGTTGCATCTTGAATGCTTTGCTGATGAGAAATTTCTTCCGCCAGACACCCTAAATCATCTCTCTCAAGTTCAAAATTCCACAGATCTCTATGGCAAGGACAAAATGCCACCAGTCTTTGCTGAAACATAGCAAGAGTGACCTTTACCCCAGTTCCAAACAAGTTTCTCACCTCCATCGGAGACCATCTCAGCCTGGACTTCACTGTTCTTATCACTATCAGCATTTTGGTCAAAACCATTCAACAAGTCTCTAGGAAGTTCCAAACTTTCTCACATCTTCCTGTTTTCCGAGCCCTCCAAATTATTCCAACCTCTGTCCTTTACCCTGTCCCAAAGTTGCTTTTACATTTTCAGTATCTTTATACGGGCGCCTCACTCTTCTGGTACCAATTTTCTGTATTTGTCCATTTTCACGCTGCTATAAAGAACTACCTGAGGCTGGGTAATTTATGAAGAAAAGAAGTTTAATTTACTCACAGTTCCACAGGCTGTACAAAAAGCATGACTGAGAGGACTCAGGTAACTTAAAATCATGGTGGAAGCCAAAGGGAAAGCAGGCAGCACATCTTACTATGGTGGAGCAAGAGAGAGAGAGTGAAGGGAGAAATGCTACACACTTTTAAACCATCAGATCTTGTGAGAACTCACTCACTATCAGGAGACCAGCAAGGGGGAAATCTGCCTAATGACCCAATCATCTCCCAACAGGCTCCTCCTCCAATTCAACATGACATTTGGGAGGGGACACAAATCCAAACAATATCATCCAATAAAATAAGTATTGAGAATGTGCCAGCAGACTTAGAGAAATGAAAATATTTAAATGAATTTACTATGAGAGACTGAAAATCCCCTACCCGATTATACTCCCTAGGAGGACCCAGAGGACTTATCCTCACAAGGATCATAAGAAACATACTAGCGAAAGAGGCACCAGAATCTTTGAAAATCCCAGTGAATATGCCCTTTGCAGGTAGGAGGTGACAGTAGGAGATGCTTCCTACTGGGCTCTTTAGTTTCAGTAGGAATTCCATAATTCTAGAACAGCAGAGGCCAACTGCAGCACTTGAATGTCAGAATAAGCTAGAGTAGCAGAGTGTCTTAACCCACAGATATTGGTGAGAATGTTTGTCTAACAGGCTATGGTGCTTCAAGATGCAATATAGATGCAGAGCTGATTATGATGTCATTTTACTCCATGAAACTAGAAACAGAATAATCAGCATCTGGAAATCAGAAGGCTAAGGTGAATCACCACATTGCAAAATTACAGTCTCTCACCCAATTTTCACATCTAAGTCAGTTCACATATACAGAGTGCATTAATTAAATAGTATATTAGTTTGCTAGGAATGCTACAATAAAGTACCACAGAATGGGTGGATCCTCCAATAAAAATTTATTTTCCCATGATTCTGAGGGGAGAGAGGTTTGATGTCAAGGTGTCAGCAGGTTGATTCTGATGCCTTCCTCATTGGCTTGTAAATGGCCATCTTCTCCCTGTGTCTTTACATGGTCTTCCTTCTGTACCTGCCTCTATCAAATTTCCCCTTTTTATAAGGTGTCTTAGTCCATTCTCACATGGCTGTAAAGAACTGTCTGAGACTGGGTAATTTATAAAGAAAAGAGGTTTAATTGGCTCATAGTTCTGCATGCTGTACAGGAAGCATGGCTGGGGAAGCCTCAGGAAACTTATAATAATTATGGAAGGCAAAGGGGAATCGGCTTGTCTTACATGGCTAGAGCAGAAGGAAGAGAGTGAAGGGAGAGGTGTTACACAGTTTTAAACAGCCAGATCTCACAAGAACTCACTATCATGAGAAGAGCCAGAGGGAAATCTGCCCTTGTGATTCAATGACTTCCCACCAGATCACTCCTCCAACACTGGGGATTATAATTCAACATGAGATTTGGGAAGGGACGCAAATTCAAATCATATCATAAGGACACAATTCACTGGGTTAGAGCCCTCCCTAATGACCTCATTTTAACTTAATTACCTCCTTAAAGGCCCTATCTCCAAAAGCAGTCACATTCTGAGGCACTGGGGATCAAGACTTCCACGTATGAATTTTGAGGGAACACAATTCAGTCCATAATAGGGAGGAAGTTATATTCCCTTGAGGAAGGGCCTCCACAAGCATATGTAATAATCATTATTTTAATACCTCCCTAAAGATACCTTGGAGCCTGTATTAGGGAATGGAGGATACCCAAACTCTCCAGGATGCTGATACCAGAGGACCTGAAACCCCACCATAGGATGAGGGGGGTTATAAAGACGAGGTAAGAAAGATAACTTCTCCCCAAGTTCATATCACAGTGGTCTCCAATTCCCACTGAATGACTCAGTAGTTAATTTCTTAGTCTCTAAGTATGTAATTGGATAAATATCAAGTAGCTGGCATGCTCTCACTTTAGTTCTCTGACTTGCAACAGAAGAGCCATATGGTAGAAAACGTAAGTGGAAGCACTTTAACCTGCCACTGAACTCTGTCAAGATTGTGAAGAAGCAATACTGCAAGCCAGGAGGATTTTTAGAGATTATTACTACCCTCAGAAATAAGTTATGCAAGACTGGTTGTTCCCAAAGTACACTTTTTTGATTCACCTGTTTTTCCTCTGTAAAACCAGATGGATCACAGCAAACAAAAAAAATTATAAACTTAATCAAGTGGTAGCCTTACTTACAGGTGCTTCTTGATGAAAGTAGTTCTTTACTGAAACACATCAACATGGCCTGTGCTATGATCTGTTGAATACACTGTTTTCCATCCCTATCAGTAAGGAAGCTAGAAAGAAATTCTCTTTTACATGGGAGATACAGCAGTACACATTCCTGTCTTTCCCCAAGGCTGCATTAACTATTTCATTGTCTGTTGTGGAAAAACAATACTGTTTCACAGGAAATTTCATCATCTTGATATTGTGCAGAACAGCATTATTTATCCATTAAAATAAGAAAAAATGCTAATTGGACCTAGAAAGCAGTAAGTAATCTGATAAGACATAGTTGCCAGGGGGTAGAAGATAAATGCAATGAAGATTGGGGACAGGCATGCCCTATTGTGAAGTTTATAGTTATCCAGTGGTCAGAAGAACACTGAGACATTCTGTTTAAGATACAGATTGCTGCATTTTGAACCCCTATGACAAAAAAAGAAATACATCACTAGGTGATCTTTTGACATTGGGAGAACAATTGGAAATTCTATTTTGACCTATTTATGAAGTGTCTTATGAGGCTGACAGTTTTGCATAGTGCCTGGAGCAAGAGAAGTTCTTGCAGAAAGTCTAAGCTTGGTCCAAGCTGTCCTGGCTCAAGTTGTATATGACCTAGCAGATCTGATGATGCTAGAAGTAATCGTGGTAGATAAAAAGGATTTGTGGTGTCTCTGGCAAGTCAAAGTAGGGGAGTCACTGCACAAACTCTGAGGACTGTGGAGCCAAACCACGCTTTCTGGATCATAGAACTACCAGGCCTTGAAAAATAGCTTCTTTTGTGCTAATGGGCCCTAATAGAAACTGAAGGCCTGATCATGGGATACCAAGAAACTGTGTATTGGAGCTTCCCATCATGTCACATGGCAGGCAGCAATTAATTGTGTGACAGAATGATACACTCAGGACAGTGCCTGAGCAGAAGTGCCCTAAAACTCACTAAACAGGAAGGAAAATACCTGGATCTACTTTTCAGATAGGTTGGTACTGGTACTGGCCATAGATTGTCTATTGCTGTATTATGCTTCCATTCAGGAATGGCTCTAAATGACAACAGTGAAGGAAAACCTGCTAATAGCAGAGTTGTCAGCAGCACATTTGGTCATTTTCTTTACATGCAGATTTTCATGTCTCACATTAAGACTCACAAGAAAGTATTCACTGCAGAATAAGCACTAAATAGTCATGAGGGCAGGATTACTTTTCCCGGGAATATCAGAAGCCTTTCTCCTCAGCCAACTCAATCCTGGAGAAATGAGCCATGGATGAAGGTAAGGAGGCTATACATGGATCCAAGAGCGTGGGTTTCCTCTCACCAAGGCCAGTCAGACGACTGGTGCTGCTGAATAACCAGTTTACCAGCAGCAGAAATGATGAGCCTTCAAGAAGGCAGAGGAATAATTATCCCTCTTTTGTGACTTCGACTATATCTGATCTTTAATATGTTGGAGGGTAAGTAATACATTTTTACAGACTCAATATCTACTCTAAAATATAAATGTTTTCTCTTCCCACAGTGGCTTTTCCACTATTGTATGTTACACGATAGTGTGTGAGAGTAAAGGCCTCATTTATGACAAAATTGTTGCAACAATAGGAATACTACAAGGGGTTCCTCCAGTATTATTATCAACCTTGCCTCCCAGAGCATCCAATCTAATAGAAACAAGCTATATTATGTTGAAGTCTCAGGTAAGTCACTGTCATAAGAATATCCTGTGGGGTTGATGTCCTTTCTTCTAGAATGTGTTAGTATGCTGAATCAAAACCAAAAGCAAATGCTGTGTCCGAATAACTAGCATACACAGGTCCATAAAACAAGAATTTGAAATATAATCGGCCCTTATAGTTGATATTTCCATTAACACATAAGCGGAATTTGTGATACCTATTCCTATGACACTAGATTCTCTCAGATTAGAGGTCCTGATTTGAGGGGAGGAAGTAGGGGTTCTTTTACCAAAAAAAATGGCAAGTGTTCCACTGAACTTGAAACTGAAACTATTATTTTGGGATCTTCATGTCATAGGAATGAAAGGCAAAAAAAAAAATACAAAGAAGAAGAAGAAAGAAAAGAAAAGTTAGTACACTAGGGCACTATTGACCGTGACTACCATAAACAGCTAGGACTGCCACTACACAATGGGGCAGTGAGAAGTATGCCTGGGGCAAAAAAAAAAAAAAAAGATTCATGAGGGCATTTCGTGGTGCTCTGTGCTTTCTAATAACTATGAACAAGCAATTACAACCCTGGTATATTAAAACAATTCAATTAAAAATTCAGATCCTTCAGGGCATCACTTTACTAGGCAAGCAACCTAGACAAGTTGAAATTCTGGCTTAGGGCTGAGGGTAAAGTAAACCTAGAATGAGTGCTTGAGAAGGTAGATAACGAATAACAATGATGGCTTCAGGACACGCTGAGCCTTGGGGAACACTACTATCAAATAATCCTATGGATTTAACAGAGAGTAGGAAAACTTCTGGGTGGTTCAACAGTTGGACTGTGTTTATATTCATCTCTAGTGCCCAATTTCAAATCCTGCCAGTCTCACCTTTTGCTCCAGCAATGGTAACCAGGGCTGTGGATGCTGAAACCAGCTGCACACAAATGCAACCTATAAGCACTTCACGGCAGACCCATGAAATATACCTCCCACTTCTTACACAAGGGCTTCTCTAATGCTGCAGTGCAGGATGTTCACTGGAACTCATTGGTACTCATGCATGTGTAGCCTAGAAATATGAACGAGCGAGGTATTGCTCATGGTGTCATGCTTGATCAATGGGTATGATCGGAGTTCCAAACACACTAGTCAAAGAATTCTAAAACACATTTTTCAGTCTTCTTTGGTCACATTGTATTCCTCTGTCTGTCATTCCTGCTCTGCGAAATCCTGTTCCCCAAAAAAATACCTGCGTGCAAAACTCCCTCTAGGCACTGCTTTTGGGGAATCTGGACTGTGGCATTGACTGTGCATTTACTCTTGAGAGCTTATATTCTAAGAACACACACTTAACAAAAAATATAGTTAGGGACATTTCCTTTTAAATTAAATTGCTATATTTTCATGCTTTTCAAACTCCCAAAATCCTTCCTTAAAAGCAAAAAAAGATTATGCAAGATTAATGTTTTCTACCTTTTAATGAAATTCAGCCATTGCATCAAATGTAATTGACCTACCTTAAAATTTAAAGACATCAGCTATTATTAATGAAGTGTTTTAAGGCACATTTTGGAACTTGATCACAGTTAGAATATATATGAAGTTCTATATGATAAAGGATTAACTTATTAACCTTAGGGCATTTTCTCTGCATCAGCAAAGTTTGGGAGTATTGGAAGAGAAGCAGTATCTTGAATAATTTGTACAACTTTCTTTAACAGCACACCAAAGGGGAAAAAAATAGATGAGTTGTTTTCAAATAATGAAATCTGCTTCTGAAGAGAGCAGTTGTCTATGAAGCAAAAACTCTATTTAATCTTTGTGACTGCCTACTTCACCTATTGTCCATCACCACTCTGACCTTGAAAAATTCTTTTTGAATGTGTTTACAAAGATAAAGACAAGTTGAAGGCAATTATCAAAGAAATTTGGGACAGTATGAAGCACAGAGAAACGTGCATTTTTTTAACCTGAGTTTTCAACAATATTTGGCTTATTCTCAATTTCAGTTATTCCACCTTCTTCCATCACGTACCTCTTCATCTACAGCCAATATTTCAAAACTTTTATGGATGCTCATTTTCTTTTTTGATTATTTTTCCTCCTTTTAAATACATCTTTTCTTTCTGATATTGTAGTTCTCAGTTACATGGGTATACTTATATTTCTTATTCAGATTTGCATATCATTCTATAATTCTTTGTGAACTCATCTTTACAGTTTGGATTACCTTCATTTCTATATGATTGTTATATTTTCAGTTTATCACTATTAGATTTTCTGAGCTTATGTTTTGCACGTTTTCTGAAATCTCACTAAATTATTTGATTTTGTAAATATATATTGTTTTATAACTATTTAATTTAAATTTATTGTTACCTGTATAAATGTATTGAATTATATATTTTAATGGTAATAAAATAGGAAGTAATATTTAGACAATTTTTAAATTATATTCTTTATAGGTGAAATTTTACTAAGATGGACATCAAACACTGCTGATGAGAATATAAATTTTCTACAACCTTTTGTATGAGGAAATTTGCAACACAAATCCATATGTTTGAATGGTCACACCCTTCTGATCCATTATGTATTTTGCTATCTATCCTAAGATAATATTCAGTGATACAGTCAAAAACTTATGGGATGGGAATGTGTATTCCCTTCAGCAGTATTTATACTAGGAGAAATTTCAAAAATACTTAATGATCTTATAGGATTGGTAAATACAATATAATGTATCTATACTATAGATTTAAAAATATATTTAGAAATAATATTAGTGAAATGATAAAATGCTTTTTTTTTTTCTTTGATGAAGTCTCACTCTTTCACCTAGGCTGGAGTGCAGTGGCACAATCTTGGCTCACTGAAACCTCCACCTCCCGAGCTCAAGTGAGTCTCCTGCCTCTGCCTCCCAAGTAGCTGGGATTACATGCCCAGCTAATTTTTTTTTTTTTTTTTTTTTAGTAGGGGCATAGTTTCAGCATGTTGTCCAGGCTGGTCTCGAACTCCTGACCTCAAGTGATCCGCCTGCCTCGGCCTCCCAAAATGCTGGGATTACAGGCTTACAGTATAATGTCAAACAGAAAAAATACTGAATAGAATATTGAATAGCCAGTACTGCACATGTTTTGAAAATAAAAAAAAATAAACACATAGATTGTAAATGTACAAATATCAGGGATAAAATACTGTTAACAAGGACCTTTGTAATAATGGAGTATCAGGTTGTTTTTATTTATGCATTTATATTTCCCTGTACATTATAAGTCTTTCTCTAATAAACATGTATTTTTATATACTTCGGAAAAAAAATTTTTAAAAAGATTAAAATCAAATTTTGGGGTTCTGCTTTTTCTACAATTAGAAAGTAGACTGAAGCTTTGCCCCCAAAAGATCTAATCACTAAGAGATAAACTGTTAATAAAATAATGATGTTCTGTGCTCCTGATGACTGCATTAATTAAAAAAATTTTATTTCAAATGACAGAAACTCAAATGTGTTATAAGGGCCCTGAGATATCAAACTTAGTGAGTGGGAAATGTAGGTAATCCATAGAATCGTACAGAAAAAAAATTTTCTATGCATCTCTCCTCTGCTTCATTTTATTCTTCATTATTGTCTTTTACAGATGCCTGGCTTTCTCCACAGAACAGAATACATCAACACTATATACTCTTGAGCTTCTCATCTAGCAATGTTGGACCTCTAGATAGAATATGATCCTCTGACTCAAGTCAGAATTCAGTAAGATTCTGACCAACTTGATTTGGATAAGACGCCATCATTTGTGGCTAGAGAGAAATTAACAGAGAAGTTTCCATAAAACCACATTTGTAGAGCTGAGAGTTAGAGAGGGTAAATTCAATAAGTAGGAGTTTGTTGAGAATACAATAGGTCCACTACAATAACCATGAAAATGTAAATTAACTAATAGAGTCTTTCTAAATGTATGCTTCATTTAGTATTTTAAATGGGCTAAGTTTTATAGTACTATAGAACAGTGATTTGACTGTCTAGACCTATTCATAAAAGTTTTTGAAAGCCATTTTTCAGTGAGCATATTATATATTGTAATATATAGAGTATCTTTATTATTGAGACTATATATTCTTTAGAAAAGCTCTTTCCAATAGAAATATGTGAGCCACATGTGGAATTTTCAGTTTTCTGGCACACATTTTTAAAAAGTAAAAACAAACAAGTGAAATTAATTTTAATGGTATATTTAATTTAACTGAATGTATCCAAAATATTATTATTTCAATGTGTCACATTAGCTACATTTCAAGTGTTCCATGCATCTATGGGTAATGGCTGCCCTATTGGATGGTGTAGCTCTATGATGTATGGTTTATATAACATAAATGCCTAAACTATATGCTCTGTCTATAGGTGTGTATATGTATATTCTATGTAAATATAGAATAAATTTATTCTATAGGTCTATTCTATATTTTATATATTCTATTGTTATTACTGTGTTTATGTATTATACATATTGTTAAACCTACACATTTTTAAGAGAATTACAGAATGATTTACATGAGTGTAATTTCTAATGACTTCACTCACACGCCAACACATCATGGTGAGTGTTTATGAGTTTAGAGAGCACTGTGGTAGAGATTTAGTTCCATTTACTTTTCAAGGACATAGGAATCTAAGTCTATTTGCTGAATCAATTAATGTAGAAAATAATTTGATCAATAACAGACATAGTCAAATAATGAGGGAAGTAATAAACAAATTTCTGATTCGCCTTCAATTGACTTCGGTGATGATTCGCTAAGTTTGTCTTCTTTTACCAGATAATTTTTTTAAATAAAATAGAACATTTCAAACAATATCAAATATAAATAAGGAGTACAGTTCAAGGAAACTTAAAACTAAGTACGGTATTTCCTCTCTAAGAGAAAATTTCAAAATCCTTTCTATTTTATAAGATGCTTCATAAGCATGCATAAGTGTATTTGAACATCACTTACCACAAGTAAAATCAGTACAAGATCCTATAGTCAAATCAGAAATATGAAATGATTTTTACTTCTCAATGTGTATAAATGTATAAGAAAAAAACAAGCCATAAAGCTCTCCTCTTATTTATCTTTAAAAAAGGGTTGAATCAGCCTTGAAACATTTTATATTTTCCACATTTCTCTAGGGGGTTATTTTTGAAAAATTATTCAACGTTGTTGAGGATGGCACTCATCTGCAGAAAGTCCTTCACTTCAAGAACATTTTAGGACCATTTGGTGCTGAGGAAATTGAGGCTCAGAGAAATGCAAAATAAGCTTCTGGGAGGACCTGGCTAAATGTCACCAGTCCTGTAAATGTACGGCAGTGATGTATGGCAGGCAAGGCTTGTGAAAGTTAGAGCTATGCATCCTCTTATGCAACTCTGCCTTTAGTTTCTTTCCTGGTGCTAGTTTGAGGGATAAATTTGAGCTAAGGGGCTTGGCTTTCATGTGTACACTGAGAGCAGGTGATTTCTCACTGCTGTCTTTCATATCATCTTTGCTTTCCTCCTCTTGATCTTCACCTATGAGAGGAGATGCTTTCTAGGTGAGATAAAATAAATACACAAGTATAAAGAGTCTAAGCACTACCACAGAAGATTTAGGGATTAAACAGTTCTGGATTAAAGTGAGAAGGGGTAAGAGGAACTCTGAACTCTGCCAGAGATCAGCCCTTTAAATGTATTTGTTGTTCTCAAATATGTACTTGGAGAAATGGCATCAGTTAGTACATAAAAGCAACAATATATTTGGGGGTTCGCAATTCTTTAATTTAACCCTCCTCTCTATCAGCTATATAGGGATGCAGAAAAGTAAACTCAGGCACTGCCATGTCCTGCCTTGGTATTAATCAGAACCAACAAGATTTGGATACACATAAACATAACTAAAAAGGTTTTTAAAATCCTTTAAGAACATTAATCATACATTATGGATCTACTGAGTTAGCAAATGCTTAACAAAATAATTTTAAAATTCCACAAACACAATAATGTTGTGAGTTTAAATCAGACTTTAATATAACAAACATTCTTGGCCTGCATTGATTGCCAAGGATGTAAAGGATACTCAAAACAATTTATACCAATCTTCCCTTCATAAAGATGTTAGTAAAGTATGTAGCAAAAAAACAAAAAGATAAAATGAAAAAGACCATGTCAGAGGACCATAGTCTCCATCCTTTACGTACTCTTTCCTTTACTATCTTTTTTGGGTGTGTGTTGCTGAGGATTTTTTTATGCCTTTTGAATATGCAATCCTCCTTTGTTTCAAAGCTAGAGCCTTACAGCCCTGATTATAGCTTCTTATATAATAATCTTTCCTTTTCTCCAGCAAAGTTATACCACAATATACATCAAATCTGCATGTAATGATCTCTAGAACTACTTTGCTCTATTACAAAAGCTTCCCCCTATACTCACTATAACACACACACTCTGTCTCTCTCACTTAGACCCAATCTTACAGAATTAAATTTCGCCCATTTATGTTGCTCGTATGCATTCTGAGCTCACAGCTTTTTCTTTACGGATTTTGCCTGTCTTGGCACCAAGAGAGAATCTTTTAGTCCATCCACCTTAAAAGACTTGTGTCAGGCTACCCCATCTACTCTGTCACCTCCCCCTACTAGCTCCTTTCATAATCATCCATACAACCTGCTCATTCAGTTCTTTAATTCCTCTGAATATTGTTCTCACTCTTTTTTTCCACATAATAAAAGGAGCTATTTACTTTCAAATGAAGCAGCACCATTTTAGAGCAAGGAAACTGGCTTTTGTGTGTTCTATCACCTGGAAGACCATCACTCAAGGAAGAGATATTTTCAAGTATTATTTTTCAAACTACATGATACATTTAAAATAAATTTCTTTCTAAGGATCTTACAGAACTGGTGATGTGTTTTGGCTCTGTTTGGGTGGTTTGCCCACCCAAATCTCATCTTGTATCTCCTATAATTCCCACATGTTGTGGAAGGGACCTGGTGGGAGATAATTGAATCATGGGGGTGGGTCTTTCCCATGCTGTTCTCATTATAGTGAATAAGTCTCACAAGATCTGATGATTTTAATAAATGGGAGTATCCCTGAGAAAGCTCTCTTTTCCTGTCTGCTGCCATGTGAGACATGTCTTTCAACTTCCACCATGATTTTGAGGCCTCCCTAGCCAAGTGGAACTGTAAGTCTGTTAAATCTCCTTTTTTTTTTGTAAATTTCCTAGTCTCGGGTATGTCTTTATCAGCAGCATGAAAACAGGCTAATAGAACTGGCAAAACTTATTTTTAAAAATAAATGTTGGCAACCCACTGCAGGTGTTATGAAAGCATAGAATGCCCTGCTTTCTTAAGATAACTGCACAACAGGGCACATGTCTAAGAATCTGGATTTCAGTCAAATATCCAAAGATTTCTTCCTTAAGGAAATTTTGGAAAAATCTATAACCTTAGTAAAATGGGGATTAAAACAATATAAAGATATTTCTCTTTGAGTAGTGCTTCTGATCAGGTCAACACTTAACACTTTTGTCTGTTAAAGCATTTTATAAATAGTGAATTTGTTTCCAACTAATAATAATTTCAAAATAGAACATTTTAGTAGCATTCTAAATATGTAAGGTGCTTTTACATACAATTTTTATTTACCTTCATACGTCTCAGTGAGGTTTGTAGGACAGACACTGTTACCTCTTTTGACAAATGAAGAAACCCAGGCTAAGGGAAGCTGCAAGAGATTAGGTGACTTGCCCTAATCTTTGACACAGATACTGGAGAGTGGAGGAAGAACTAGGCTCCAGGGTTACTACAGATTAAATCTCTCAGTGAATGACTCTCCAATTTCCAAGAATTAATTCATTCAACAGAGAATTTTAAAATTCTCACTGTTCATTAGGCATTATGCTAAAAGCAACCAAGAAACATTGTACTTAAAGACAATAAAGTACGTAAACACTGATAAGAAATATTCTCAACCCTAGTTACTTACTGAGGAGAGTTAGGAAAGACTTCAAAAAAGAAAGGATGTTTTTGCCTAGTCATGAAAGATGATTAACGTTTTACTAGACTGTTGGTATTCTGACAGTCTGGGAGCATAATATTCAATGGCAAAAAAAAAACAAGAAGGCTGATATGGTTTGACTGTGTCCCCACCCAAATCTTATCTTGAATTATAGTTCCCATAATCCCCACATGTTCTGGAAGGGACCCAGTGAGAGATAATTGAATCATGGGGGCATTTACCCCTGTTCTGCTGCGTTCATTATAGTGAGTGCATTCTCACAAAATCTAACGGTTTTATAAGGGACTTTTCCCTCTTTTACTTCATGCTTCTTCCTGCTGCCATGTGCAGAAGGACATGTTTGCTTCCCTTTCCACCATGATTGTAACTTTCCTGAGGCCTCCTTAGCTATGCTGAACTATGAGTCAATTAAACCTCTTTCCTTTAGAAATTACCTAGTCTCAGATATGTCTTTATTAACAGCATGAGAATGGACTAATACAAAGGACAACAGAAATTTGATGTGGTTGGAATTTAGACAGGTGAAATGGTTGGAGGTGTGGATGGGGAAGTAGAGATGGTAAAGAATGGTAGTGGTAGGAGATGAAATTTAAAAGGTAGGCAAATATATATATTTTTGTCCCTTGGGCACTCTCCCCATTGAAAAGTGGTTTCTATGTCCCCTCCAATTGAATCTGGATGGACTCTGTGACTATGTGACCAACAAAATACCATGTAAGTGATGATTTCTAGGACTATTCTTTAAGAGGTTGGCAGCTTGCATTTCCTAATTCTACTTGCTCCTAGAACATAACCACCATGCTGTGAGAAAACTCAAACAACCCTGTGGGGAGTAACCATTTACCTCAGCTGCCAGCCCAGGTTGAGCTCCCAGCCAACAACAAGCATCAAGTTGCCAACCATCTGAAGGAGCTACTTGAAAGTGAATCCTCACCCCTTTGTAAGACCCACAGTGGAGCCCACATGAAGCAGAGATGAGCTACCTCTTCAGATCCATAAACGATTTCATATTTAATGAAAAATAAATGATCATTCTTGTTTTAAGCCACCAGGTTTGAGATGGTTTTTATGCAGCCCTAGATAATTGGAATATGGGGGATTCGTGATCAGATTTATAGAAAGGTTCCCCATGTGTGATGAATAGCGGTAGGACTACTTCATTTGATTAGATGGAGAGATGATAGGGGAAGAGAAAAATGAATAAATGTTCCACTAAAGCAGATAACAATCATATTTTTTAGCTCAGAGGATAAAGCATGAATTTTAATGATTCCTGAAAGCATCAGCATCTTAGGAAAGCTACATATGAACCTAAGTTCATGATGTGACATTAGAAAAAGATTCATACTCTAAAAATGCTGTGCTATCATTGAATATTCTTATCTTAATGGCAAAAAAAAAATTATGTCTTGAACACAGGAAAGTGACCCTAAAATATAAAAACTTACTCTCCCTGAAAGAGGCTGTCAACATTTTAAAGTATTTCTTAAATCCCAGAATAGAAGCTAAACCTGCTTGAGAGTTCCCTGAAATATCCGCTCTGTATGATTGTTTTAATGCTGAGGTTTCCTCAAGAACACACAATTTTTATTATAACCTATAACCCTTGATTACTACACCTGAAAGATTTTTAGAAAAATAACACCCTTTGCTCACCCCACCACTGTCTAACCTTTCTGTTAAGAAAACTTGTGAAGTGCTTGTTTATTTTTTTGTTTTGTTTATTAAAGGTCCCTTCATTTCTATAAATTATGGGTTGGTTAAAGATGATCATCCTTATAATTCCTATTTTTCTCCGTAATTACAGTGTTTAACATGTTACAAATATTCCTGAAACACCTATCACTGAAGTAGAACCCTCTTGTAAATAGTGTGGTTGGACATGTCTAGTGGTCATTTATTGTCACATGCATGTTATGTCTGGGGAACCATTTGGCAAGTGGATATTGAAATTCATTTTATAATAAGCCATATTCTTATACTTCCTACATTCCTCTGATGATACATAGAAGGGAAATTTTCAAAGGCCAATGGCAAAGGAAAAATAATCAGTTAAGCTCTAGGTAGGAGGAAAAAAGAGTTGTTTATCAACTCACTGGGAAATTATTTTCCAAGGCTAAGGGCAATATAAATCACACCCTACTCTCCGCCTCTGGGAAATTTGCTCTGGGCTAAGAACAAAGGATATTGAGATAGTTATGTAACTATCGAATTGAACTGTTGAATTCAGTCTATACTGGCAAAAAGACTGCACAGAAGTTGAATTAGCAGACACAATTTAAAAAACAGTTTCTGTATAAAAATTTGGTTCTCTAGCTTCTCTTGAAGAAAATAGAATAACTTACGGGACTGGGTTCATATTCTCACAGGGCAGCCCCTCACCAGGCAGTGTAGTGACTGCCCACAGTAGAAGGGGCATTTAAGATTCAATGTTCACCTCCCCCTCCTGGCACTCCCTGCCCTGGGTCAGTGTGCCCCATTCTTATCATTACAGTGAGACTTTATTTTTCTTATAGTAAAATTATAACAAAGTGAAATTTATTGTATCCAAATTTCTAACAAAGATAAGAAAATAAAATTTAGTCAAAAAGGGCAAATGCATCCAGAAATGTTCCTTATATCCAAGCCTCTTTACCTATTTATGTTACACTCCTAGTCCTCATGGGAATTTGAGTTTACTTCCTGTGATTTTAGACAGTCAAGATGAATTATTTGAGCCAAAAGAAAACTGTTGACTCTGCTTCCGTTGGCCTGAGGGAGCTTGATAATATATCAATTTCCAGTTTATTTTCTCTCAAAGAATTTACTCACTGAGAAAGTCAATCCAACTGTCCTTTCACTGGCCTTTGAGCCATCTCATAAACTGGCCATTTATGGCTTTTGAGTTGCCCTTTCGACAAAGATGTCAGTCCCAGCCCTATGCTTCTCATGTACTTTAAATAATATTTCTCAACTTCAGGTTATTTCTACCCTTAGCAGCTGACTGACTTATGGCTTATTAACCCATTCACTCCTTCCCAAAGCCCACAATCAAAACCATCTATTGCGATAGTGATATGTTTCTGGTCCCACAAAATATCTTATTTCTTTATTCAATTTGCAGTTTCTAGTTTCCGCTTATGGTTTCCTCATCTGAAGACAGCAATACAAATACCTTCTAAAAAAAAAAGCTTCCTGTTGTTTAATAAAATGAATTTTAAAGTGAAATATTGAGGTAAATGCCTATTTATTTTTAATTTTTGTTTCGCCTTACCAAGATTACTTGGTAAAAGTAATCTTGTGAACCTTGGCTGCAATTGGCAGTATGAGGACTTGCCTTGCATCAGGAAATGATCAAGCCTCACAAATGGAATGTGAGTGGTTGCAGGCACCTCCACTGCTGACTGCAGCCTTGGGAACCAAAACATCTTGAGCAGCAGCATCTATAACAAGATGCTATGTTAAAGGGTTGAGTCCTCCAAAATCCCATGTTTAAACCTATTCCCCAATGTGATAGAATTAGGAGTAAGGGTCTTTGTGAGGTGATTAGATCAAGAAACTGGAACCTTCATGAATGGAATTATCGCCCTTATAAAGGAGACCTCAAAGAGCTGCCTTACCCTTTCTATCATACGAGGACACAGGTAGAAGGCACCATCTATGAACTAGAGAGCAGACCTTCTTAGGCACCAAATCAAGTCTTGATGTCAGACTTCCCAGCTTCCAAATCTATGAGAAACAGATTTTTGTTGTTTTTAAGACACCTAATTTATGGTATTATTGTTATAGCAGCCCAGACAGACTATGACATGAGGTAGTGTTGGTAATTTAAAAGAATAAACACAAACCCCAATTATTAAAATAAATCTACAGAAGACAGAGACAGAGAGGAAGAGAATGAGAGATTTCCAGACATTGAGAAGCTGGCAGAAAGCATTAATAGGCAATAAACAAAAGCCCAACCAATGATTAAGCTGTTCCACTTTGGGGCTGCACATTTGGAAATTAACATCTGTTTCTGGACTACATAGGTAGAGGCAAGTTAATGGCATTGCTGCCAAGGCCTTATCTGCTTTCATTCCTCAGTAGCAGTTATTCTCACTTCTTTAGGCCTAGAGCCTGAAGAGAAACTGGCACCTGTTTCTGAGTCTCTATTGAAGCCTCAAAATGGAAAATAATAGGCTAATTAAATGAAAGGATTTTCCTCCTGTCCTGGAGCTGCTGCAAAGAATAAAAACCATTCATCGGAGTGTTCAAGTTTTTATGCAGCAGAACAGATAATGGATAAAAGTTCAGGTGCTCTGCAATTAGTGCTGGGCAAGTGCTTCTGGCAGGCATCCAATGCCCAAAGACACAGCATTGCTACAGTCTGCCAAACTGCATCCTTAAGAAGCCTTATTTTCTATCCCTTCAAAAGTCTGAATTGTAATTGCTGTGTTCTGAGACAAATGAAGGGCTAATCTGCCTCCTCACAGTGTACATTTCCAGAGGGGTTAATTTCCGGGTGTGTCAAGAAGGCGGCTCTAATTCTTCCTAAATCACTGAGGACAGTGGTGATTCCCATACAAAATGCATTAAATGCATCATCCTGTCTTTATTTATCACAGGAAGATCTGTTGACCATTCACATCAGAAACATCTGGGGTGACCAGACCACAAAATCAAAATCTCCCACATTGGCATTCAGAGTCTGTATTTTTTAACAAGTTCTGTGATTCCGATTCACATTAAAATTGGAGACCCATTGATCCTAGGTTATTTTGTTTTAATTTTACACCTGCACTTTACCACATAGACATTGTTTCACAGGTACAGTTTATACCCTCATGAAACCTATGGACTTGTGAAACGTAAAATGAAAAATGAAACAAGAAAATCTATTATTGCAAATCTTGACTATCTCTATGAAGAAAAAGAAAGGATGCCATCACAAAGAGTTAATTGGGGGAGGCAGGAAATGAGCCAGGTAAGTAGATAAGAAGAACCCTCCGTAAAGACATCTCTTCTCTCCCCGCAGAATTATTAACTTTCTGTAGTAAATCAAAACCTAGGTTCCGTGCTTAGGCCCTGAGGAAGCTAAAAGCCAGTTCTAAGGAAATTTAGAATAACACAGCTTTGTTTGTGTCTCCAAATGTGCAAATATTTTATTATATTCTCAAAGCAAACCTATGAGATCATCAAAACAAATATTATCAGACCCATTTACAGATGAGGAAATCTATGGCATTTTAAATAACTTGACTATGATCAAAAAAATGAGTTAGAGATGAGCCTTCTCTTAGTTCGTGGGTCTTCTTGTTTCAAGTTCATAGCATAGACAAAGGAATATTCAACAGGGACCCAAAGCAGAAGGTAGTTTAGGTCATCTTAGAAGTGTATTTCCTACCAAAAGAAAGGTAAACTTGTCTTAATAGAATGGAACATCTTCTGCCTATGAAATCATCACTGATATTCAAAATATCTTTCCTTTTATCTAGTCACATGAAGGTACTTGATCAACTCCCCAGTTTTAGAAACCGCCCTGATTCAATTTAGTTTTTACTTTTCTGTTGAGCAGAAGAAGGAACTGTGCTGGTTCCTGAAAAAAATATTAATACAGTTGTTCCTCAGTGTTTATGCGGGATTGATTCCAGGATCACTGCAGATAGCAAAATTCAGGGATGTTCAAATCCCTTATATAAAATGCATAGTGTTTACATGTAACCTACACACATCCTCCTGTGTACTTTAAATCGTCTCTAGATTACTTCCAGTACCTACAATGTAAATGCCATGTAAATAGTTGTTATACCATATTGTTTAGGGAATAATAAGAAAAAAGTATGTACATGTTCAGTACAGACACAACCATCCATTTTTTCAAATATTTTTGTTCTATAATTGGTTGAATTCATGGATGAGGAATGCATAGGCATAGAAAACTGGCTGTATAGGGTGCTGTCTCTCATAGAACTAACAAATTAATGGGTAAGAGAAAGATACATCATCATCTATTATACAATCTGAAATTAAATAACTACTAAACAATAAATTTTACATGATCAATTTTTTCAACAAATATTTAATGAACACCTACTATATGGGGGAAGCTCTTGAGACAGATAAATCAGGCAAAGCAAACATTTTTAAACAGGTAATATTTGAACTATGTTTTTAATCAGAAAAAGAGATTGACAATTGGAAAATAAGAATAAAAGGATTAAAGGTTGAGAGCAGAAAACAGACAAATTAAAGAGTGATAAAAACATAATAGGCAGGAAAAATGTAAATAAGGATATTTACAGACTTTGCAAAACAATGTAGTAGAAGACAGTGAAAAGTTTGAGATTACATCAAAGAAAATTCTTGCAGATTTGGTAAGTATTTAGGACTTTATTGCAAGGTAAAATGAAACTATTTTAACTCTGAAGAGTGGAAGAATAAACCCTAGTCCATAAATGAGAAAGAAACATACTTAAATTACAAAAGAACATATTAAAAAATCCTCCAATACCTCATTTTTCTCTTTGATTTTATAATCCTTTGGAGTGCATACATTAATATAGGTAATATATATTCCTAAAGTTGTAAAATGTTTAAGGTTAGGAAATAGATATATGCAATTCTCAGTAAAAATCACACTTTGCCAAGAAGTAGCTAGTGATTATTACAGGGTCTTGAGTTCCCTTCTAAAGGAGGCAGGCAGAGTGGATTGGAGATCCCATCTCATCATTTGCATGTCCCTGGGCAAGCATTGTGACTTATTCTTCTGTGATTCCTCAAAACTTAAGACAGGGTTCAATACACAGAATCCATGTTTAATGAATGAGAATAAATAAATGAATGATAAATCATCATTCTAGTACAACCATGCCTGGAAATTTAATATTTTCCATTATTTTATGCATATGGGCTTGCTTATATTTTCCTGGGAATTATAATGCTGCTTCTTGTAAATAGAATGAATCTTCATCAGATTACATGCTGTAAATAGCCTTCTCATATTAATATAGTCCATGCGAAAATAAAAGAATACTCTGAGAAAGTGGTCAATATGCCTTTCCATCCAATCTTGCTGAAAATAGGCATTCACACACATACATATATATGCACACTGGCATATATATATATGTACAAATATGTATAATTATACGTATACATATGTATAATTTTCATTCAGTTTGATTAGTGAATGGTAAGAACCAATTTTAATAGAAGTTATGACAAAAACTTACTTTGACCTTGTATCATCTTTTCCAGATTAAAATCAAAGCATATAAAAGTATAGCATATTATAACTGATTTAAACAAATTTTAGTAGCAGTATAAAGTTGTCTTGTCACAGGGATCAAGTTTCTTCTTACTGAAAATCTTTTTTACATGACAGCTGCAATTTCTTTATCAGAATATCTGGAAACCACTTTCACAAGTAAGGTTATTATTTTTCATTTTTATGTGATGATTAAATCCTCCTAGAAACATATCATGTTGTACTTCCAAAGAACCTCTCAAGACCAAGAAATCAACACTAATTTGGCAAAAGAATATAGATGATATGAAATCTTGCCTAACTAAAAAATATTGGGATGGGAAATAGTTTGTGTTCAAAGAATGTCTATCAAAATTGTTGGTAATTCTGCAAAGGAAGAAATACAAAGGTGTTAAACTATCAAATAGTTTAATTAGAAGGTTATATACTTTGAAATTATCATTATCAGCATGGAGGAGAATTCTCTCCAGCTGCTCTTTCTTGCCAACATAGAGAGTGAATATTTATTTTAAGGTAGTAGTGTTTTAGTCATCCATTTACCAGTTTTTGCTTTTTTTTTTTCTTTTTTTAAATTATACTTTAAGTTTTGGGATACATGTGCAGAATGTGCAGGTTTGTTACATAGGTATACATGTGCCATGGTGGTTTGCTGCATCCATCAACCTGTCATCTAGGTTTTAAGCCACGCATGAATTAGGTATGTGTCCTAATGCTCTCCCTCCCTTTGCCTCCCACCCCACAGAAGGCCTCAGTGTGTGATGTTTGCCTCCCTGTGTTCATGTGTTCCCATTCTTCAGCTCCCACTTATGAGTCAGAACATAGGGTGTTTGGTTTTCTGTTCCTGTGTAAGTTTGCTGAGAATAATGGTTTACAGTTTCATCCATGTCTCTGCAAAGGACACAAATTTATTCTTTTTTGTGGCTGCATAGTATTCCATTATGCATATGTGCCACATTTTCTTAATCCAGTCTATCATTGATGGGCATTTTGGTTGGTTCCAAATCTTTGCTACTATGAATAGTGCTGCAATAAACATACATGTGCATGTGTCTTTATAGTAGAATGATTTATAATCTTTTGGGTATATACCCAGTAATAGGATTGCTGGGTGAAATGGTATTTCGGGCTCCAGATTCTTGAGGAGTCGCCACACTGTCTTCCACAACGGTTGAACTAATTTACACTCCCACCAACAGTGTAAAAGTGTTCCTATTTCTCCACATCCTCTCCAGCATTTGTTGATGCCTGACTTTTTAATGATCATCATTTTAACTGGCGTGAGATGGTATCTCATTGTGGTTTGGATTCCCATTTCTCTAATCACCAGTGATTATGAGCTTTCTTTTGTATGTTTGTTGTCCATATAAATGTCTTCTTTTGAGAATTGTCTGTTCATATCCTTTGCCCACTTTTTGATGGGGTTGTTTATTTTTCTCTTGTAAATTTGTTTAAGTTTCCTTGTAGATTCTGGATATTAGAACTTTGTCAGATGGATAGATTGCAAATATTTTCTCCCATTCTGTAGGTTGCCTGTTCACTCTAATGACAGTTTCTTTTGCTGTGCAGAAGCTTTTTAATGTAATTAGATCCCATTTGTCAACTTTGGCTTTTGTTGCAATTGCTTTTGGTGTTTTAGTCATGAAGTCTTTGCCCTTGCCTGTGTCCTGAATGGTATTGCCTGGATTTTCTTCCAGGGTTTTTATGGTTTTAGGTTTTACATTGAAGTCTTTAATCCATCTTGAGTTAATTTTTGTATAAAGTTTAAGGAAGGGGTTCAGTTTCAGTTTTCTGCATATGGCAAGCCAGTTTTCCCAGCATCATTTATTAAATAGAGAATCCTTTCCCCATTGCTTGTTTTTGTCAGGTTTGTCAAAGATCAGATGGTTGTAGATGTGTGGTGTTGTTTCTGAGACCTCTATTCTGTTCCATTGGTCCATATATCTGTTTTGCTACCAGTACCATGCTGTTTTGGTTACCGTAGCTTTGTAGTATAGTTTGAAGTCAAGTAGCATGATGCCTCCCGCTTTGTTCTTTTACCAGTTTTTAAGTTAAAAATATAGCAATAAAGAGTTGACTATGTGTATGGGCTTGCAGATACAGGATTTTCCTGTGATCTCCTGGAAGTACATAGTATAAAATTATAATTTTAGATTGGGTTTCAGTCACCAAGATTGACTAAATAACAATCAAATACTTTGAAGCACAGAGGCTTAATGATATATTTAGCTCCTTAATAGGGAGAATACTTAATAATTATTTCAGAAAATAAGCATCACTTTATATTGAAACAATAAACTGTTTTACAGAACAATAGATTGATTACAAAAATTCTCCTCTATTTATGACACCTTGTCATATAACTTTAAATGCCTTGTCACACTCAATCTCAGCTTGATCATGTGATTTATTTTGGCCAATGGAATGTTAGCAAATGTGATGCAAGGAGAAGCTTTTAAAGTGCTTCTGAATTGGGAGTTGTTCTCTTTGGCTACTTTTGGAAAGCCTATTACAATTACTATGTATGTGAATAAGCCCAGGTTGCCTGCTGGATAATGGAAGAACCACAGAGACTAGAGATAAGATGTTTCAGCTAAGCTGTCCTAGAAGAGGTAATCTACCAGTTAATCCACCAGTAACCAAAACAGCATGGTACTGGTACCAAAACAGATATATGGACCAATGGAACAGAACAGAGGTCTCAGAAACAACACCACATATCTAACTGCAGATAATACAAACAAACCAAGCAGAGATCAGTTGAACCAGGCCACACTGGCAGAACCACCCAGGTGTGGCCAGGACAAATTGCTGGCTCACAAAATCATAAGCTATGTAAATTGCTATGGTTTAAGCCACAAAATTTTAGGATATTTTATTACAAAGCAAAAATTAACTAATCATATTATGAAATTAGTTTCAACAATCTGTTAATTTTTATAAATTATTTCTCTGAACACATATGTAGCAAAATAAAAAAATATTGAACTATATTCCCATTAAAAAGCTTATGTATTACTTTTTATGAATTTCTAGATGTTTGTACATCAATCTGCTTGTGAGAATTGTTCTATAAACTGCAAAAGGCTATAAAATTGTCACTATTAATGCAAATGAAACCTTGTGGATCCCATGAAAATATCAAAATATTTCCCCCATCTCATGTTGTTAAAAACGCCAAAATACTATGTTCTGTTGGAATGTGAGTCATGAATGTCTATATTTAAAAAATGAATAATTTTAGGAGTGACAAAGTTATATAAGCTTCAAAAAGAAGCTTTAACCATCTAGAAATTAATATATATTTTTAGAGTTTTCTGAGTAGACAGAGCAGTAAGATATTCTGGAAATAGTCTTTCATGAACATTTGATTTACAGATGGCAAAAGTTATAATTTAAGAGCTTCAAGTAATGTGTGTTTCGTTTTATTTTTCTGCTTATGGAGAAGACCTGAATGATGTAACCTGAATGCAGATACTTCATACTAAGAAATTTAGTCATGTGGCTGGTCATTTTATTTGGGTATTGTTTCTGAAAACTATGTTGCTTAATTGCAAAAAATAATGCTTTTGTCAGTAAGCATTTTGACAAATGTACATATATACGTATAAAAATGTATTATTTGTATTGAATTGAATTTGACTGTGGAACATGAGTTGAATTATTATCCAAAGTGAAATGTTACCTAAGGCTGATTAACTCAAGATGGACTAAGGCAGAGATATTTTGTTTTAGGGCCACAGGGCAGGGTCACAACACATCCTTCAAATCAAAGCAAGTATTATGATTAATATTCCTTGGAAAATGTCAACACAGGGAATTAAATAAGGATTTGGGAGATGGGTCTTTTAGTTGAAAGTAACAGCAGAGCTTCATTTTTTTTTTAATTCTGGAGGCTTGTAGAAGAAGCCTGAAGTCAACATAATATGGACACGGAAAAGTAAACTCCTATTAGAGGGAAAAAGATCAGCTAGTCCCTGTACATGATATTAGGGCAAAAGCAAAAAGGAAAGCACATTTCACAAGTACCCCAATAATGGGCCTGAATTTTGCCTTGAGTAGTGTAAACTAATCTAGTGTAGTTTTTTTCCAGAATCCACATATTCTTAATGAATTGCTTTTTAAAATTTAAGCATCTTCTTTTCTTTCCTTGTTGGGAGTTAAGAGACTAGTCTAGACCTATTCTTGGGGTGAAGGACCACATGGAAAAATACTGATAGCTGAGTGAGCCACAAACCATAGTTAGGGTCGAAGCAGGGTCCAGATGTGGCAGACGGCTTAGGTAGCAAGAAACTGCCAGGACAGCTTAGTGGAGCAGGTAAGCTTTCTAAAATGTTCTTAGAACATTTATGCTTACAAACTTTATAGAATGCTTGCTACAAGTACCTGGGAAGAGAAACATAGGAAATGCTTGGTATTCCCTGTAAGAAATGACCTATAAGTATAGTGATTATGACAGGGACAACAGGCAGGGAAATTCTGGGCAGAAGAGGGTGGGTCCCCAGCAAGGGACCCAACCTCAAGCCTGGAACTGAGGCCCAAAGTGAGAACCTATATCCCTGTTTGTCCGCCTTTTCCAAAACCACTGATGGCCTGCACTGCCCCCTGTCCTGTGCCCATAAAAACCCCAGGCTCAGCCAGAGGAGAAGAGGAGAAGCAGTTGGACTTTGGGACTACAGTTGGACATTGGAGAGAATCAGCTTGACATCAGAGGCATAGCTTAACAGCATAGTTTCAGGGGATGATTGCTTTCCTGTCCTATCCCTCTTTTAACTCCTCATCTCACTGAGAGCCACTTCCATTGGCAATAAAATCCTCCACATTTACCATCTTTAATTCATTCGTGCAACCTCTTTTTTCCTGGATGCCGGACAAGAACTCAGAGCCTTGAGTTCAGGTGCAAAAGGCTATCACACTGACCCTCTGCTGAGCTGTTAACACTTAAACCATCCATGGATGGCAAAGCTGAAAGAAGACCAACTGTAACACTGTAACACTCCCCGTGGGGCTTTGGAGTTGTGGGCACATCCCCTAGACACTGCGGTGGGGCCAGTACAGAGTTTGTTCCTGCCAGAGCCCAAAAGTGCTTGCCCTAGCTCCTGCATCTCCTCACCTGCATGCTCTCCCTCCCAAGAAGGGTTGAGGGCTGTGGGCTGAGTAAGCAAGGAACCCCTCTCACAATCCCCATGAAGGAGTCAGGAAAATATCCTGCTTCATTTGGACGCCCACCCGGTATACATCAGAAAGGTGAATAAATGTGGATCTGCTGAATGTGTTCCTTCACTTTTTTCCCAAGGCTTCTTGTCCTCAGACTTTCCTCTGAGCTATGCCACTTGCAGGTGACAGGATGCAACCCTGCCACCTCTCTTTTTTTTTTTCAGGGAAGAGGAAAGTTGGTTCTGTTTTTCTTCACAAAGGTCTAACCATCATGTGGGACTGGATTAAAATCCTAGGACAACTGAAGTCACTGGCCAAGGCCACTCCTTGCTGTTGCCAGAAGGCCCCAAGACCAGACCCAGTCCCAGATCACCCATTAAGGTGTCAGCCACAGACATTTCTATGGTATCTTACCTTTCTTCTTTCACAGTTTGAAATGGCTCTTATCTCTTCTTTTATGTTAAGGGTTTTGCTGAAAACTGCAGAAATGTTACTAAGTAGAATGAGAGTTTGGCCCAACAACCAGATATGCAATTCAGAACAATGTGATTTTCATTTGTTCTTAGAGGTGTCATGCCCACCCCAACAGCCACAGGTGCACACAGGACACAGTGGCTCCCCTCCTGACCCCTCCCCTCTCAGCTGGGGCATTTGGGTGTGTCCACAGCATGCACTTGCCACATCCAATAGCTACACAGGGCAGGAGAGAACTGTGGTTGCCACCAAGGCCCCAGGGCAGTCTTGGGGACCAGGAACTACATGCAGCCAGCTGGCCAGTGTTTCCCACTCACCATCACCTCTCACCACATTCCCATAGAGTCTTTTCTCTCCTGGCAGAGGAGTTCAAGTTCAGTCTGAACTGGGGGAGGGATACAGTGATTAAAAGAAACCATTTGCATAGAGCAAGAGGTTCTTCTGCCCCTTTAAGCTGTTCTTTTTTCTCTTTTTTATGTGAGAGGGTCCTTTTACTACCTCACCACTCTGCTTTTGATAGGGAGGCAACAGAGGAGTGACCCCCACTAGCTAATAACTGCAAAATTGGCAAATCCCATCTGGGGCTTAATCTGAATGAATCCATGGACCCCTGAGACAACTTTTTATCCCAAACTCAATTCTAAAGTTCGGGTTGAGGCCCTGGAAATAAAAAACAGATCTGAGGGATCTAAAGCTAGGCAACAGGCACAGTATAAATAGGCAGGACCAATTCCTGCTGATTATACTCCTGTTTCATGGAAGGAGGCCATGCTCCATGGAATAGATGATGCTCAGGGAACCCAAAGGTTGCTGACAGTAGCAGAGATGGAGGCATAGGTGAGTGAGAACAATCCCTGTTCTGTAGGCCCTCCCTGTTTCATGAGTGCAGGCCGCAATGGCACACATGGGTGGTGTCCATCTAAGTTTGCTGGGTCTCTGGGATAAAAAGACAGAACAGAAAAAGGAGATGCTCATTTTCTCTCTCCCTCACACCCCGAGTTTTCACTGAAAGAAAGAAGTGAAATGAGGGATGCCTATTTTCCTGTCTTTCAGAATGGACAACTTGTTATCTTCACCATCCATAATCTATACTCTTCTGGAGTGTATCCTGAATCACTGTTTTGATCCTCAGACTCTGGAGGAAAAATGCCTCATAGCCCTCTGCACAAGGGTTTGGCCAAACTATGATCTGCAGGAAGGACTGGCTTGGCCTCGAGAAGAAATCATTCATTTTGATACCATCATGCAATTGGACCTTTTCTGTAAATGTGAGGGCAAATGGTCTGAGGCCCCGTATGTGCAGGCTTTTTTACCTTGCAGGGTATTCCCAGACCTTTGCCAACAGTGTAGGGTTAATCCAGTCCTCTTGTTTGCCATCTCAGGAGAGGCTACAAGGGGCAATCCCAGGGAACTAAAGAAACAAACTCCAGAGGCACCTCCAGCAGGGGAGCCAGCTCTCTTGGGCCTTATACCTCTGGGTCCACCCCATCTTCCCTAACCAGTTTCTCTCTCTTGTTTGCCCCCTCCTAGAAATCCTCACCCTAACAAACCCCAGTCTCACTCCTGCCCCTCCAGCAGATGCCTGATGAATTTGGCCCCAGTAAGGTCCAGATCCCCTTCTCTCTACAAGACTTAAGGCAAATTTAGAAGGATCTTGGCAGGTGTTCAGATGACCGAGACAGATGTATAGAGGTTTTCCAGAATTTAACCCAGGTATTTGAACTCTTCTGGAAGGACTCTATTACTTTTGAATCACACCCTGACCAATGAAGAGAAGCAGGCCACTCTGCAAGTGACAGAAGGATTTGATGATGAGTTTTGTATCACATATAGTGTCAGGGAAGGAGTCAAACTTTATCTAACTTGAAGAGAAGCAGTACCATTGGATGCCCTAAATGGGATCCCAAAGACAAGATGGGAGAACGGAAAAGGAGACGTTTTCAAGTATGCATAATGGAGGGCTTATGTCAGACTAGAACTAAGCCCATCAATTATACCAAGCTATCCATGATAGACCGGGGATTTGATTAAAATCCCACTGCCTTCCTGGAAAGGCTAAGAGAGGCCTTCGTAAAGCATACTTCTCTTTCTCCTGATTCGGTCAAGAGACAACTAATCCTAAAGGATAAATTTATTACTCAGGCAGCCCATGATATCAGGTGGAAACTGCTGAAACAGGCCCTGGAACCAGATAGTACTTCAGAGAACCTCCTGAAAGAGGTCACTTCAGTCTTCTACAACAGGTCACTGGAATAGACTCTTGAATTCTTTATACATGAGTAAAGGCCTGGGGAGCCGACAGAGTTACCTCTGTCAACCCAGGAGTACAGCCAAAGTACCAATGTGAAGAGATCAGGGACCTCAAACTAAAAATCACAAAAGCTAAGTGTTAATAACTAACCTTCCATGGATATCTTCTTTATAGTTTTGCCTACGTTTGTTGTTTTTACTTTTGTTTTGTTCTATGTCAGAGGGTACAATGTTGTTTTCAGAACAATTAGTATATTTCACTTATTTCTATAATCTTTGGCACTAGATTCTCTCCTTTTAACTCCTCTTTGTATAATACACATATTTGATCCATGCATACTTAACCTTGTAAAACTTATTTCTTCTCACATAGAGGCCATCAAACTAACTCCAAATGGTCAGGCAAACAGACCCTCAGACGATGGCTCCCTTTTGCTGAGGATCCTTAGGTAGACCACTGGGATGAATCTGACTGCCATTCTTCCCAAAACAATGCCCCCTGTCAGCAGGAGGTAGCTAAGATTGACAATTGTCTGTATTCTCACTGCAGTTAGATGTGCCTCTTCAGAAGGGGGAAATCATATGGAGAGGAGGCAGGAAATTCTGGGCAGAAGAGGTTGGATCCCCAGCAAGAGCCCCACCGCCCCACCCTGAAGCCTGGAACTGCAGCCCAAAGTGATAATTTATATCCCTGTTTTCCTGCTTGAATGTTGCCTTTTCCAAAACCACCCATAGCCCACACTGCTCTCAATCCTGTGCCCATAAAAACCCCAGGCTCAGATAGGTAAGAAGAACAGAAGCTGCTAGACATTGGATACTGTGGTTGAATGTTGGAAAGAAGCAGCTTGATTTCAGAAGGACAGCTTGACAGAGCTTTGAAAAGGAGCATGGCTGGGGATGGCCAGACTTTGGGGGATGATTCCTTCCTGACCCAACCCCTTTTCAACTTCCCATCCCACTGAGAGCCACTTTCATCAGCAATAAAACCCCTGCATATACCATCTTTGATTCATTCGTGCGATCTCATTTTTTCTGGATGCTAGACAAGAGCTCAGAGCCATGAGTGCTGGTGCAAAAGGCTATCACACTGACCCTCTACTGAGCTGTTAATACTTAAGGCATCCATGGACTGCAAAGCTAAAAGAGCACTGACTATAAGGCTTCAGGAGTTGCAGTCACCCTCCTAGACACTGCCATGGGGCTGGTACAGAGTTCATTCCTGCCAGTGCCCAAAAGCACTCGCCCTGGCTCCTGCACCCACTCACCTGCATGCTCCCCCTCCCACAAGTGGTCGAGCACAGCAGGCTGAGGAAACAAGGCACCCCTGTCCCATGGGCCACAAAGTGGTCAGGGAAATATCCTGCTTCAATTGTACTATAAAAAGAAAAAATTATTTTAATGATGCATGAGTCATGAAGTTACAAAAGGTGGTTCAAATGTATACTGATTTAATTCATAAAACTACAGCAAACTTTGTTACATTGAAAGCTATGTTCAGTTTAACTAATACCAAAAGTAAAAAAAAAAAAAAAGACAAATAGAAAAACCAAAATTCCACTTTTATTTTCCAATTATCATGAACACTATGCTCTTAAAATCCAATATAAGACATATTTGATCACATTATACATGATTAAACCCTTCCAATATCAGTCCACAAAAGCTTTTGTTAAAAAGCTCCTGACACTTAAGTTCACCTAGAATCCTAGACTCTAAGCCTAAACCCCTTTAAATTCAGTACTTCAATTATTTCAGTACCCCAATTACTCTAACTTCTGAGCTGCTTTGAGCCTCTCTTCACTCAGATTGTAAAATCTGAGATTAAATTTCTAGCAGACTGTCAATAATAAAAGGATTAGTTTATTAAAAAGGGGGACTGCCTCCCTCCCAAATAAGCTACAAAGCAGTAGCATACATTGAAATGGGGTGTTTTCTCAGAACTAGTTGTTACTTAGGGCTTGATTCATGTAGAAAATGGATATTGTCTGAGGCTGAAAAGCAATGTTTAATGGCGGAAACTCTATTTCTTTTCTATTTGAGTAAGATTGGTTTACTCGGTCCTGAAAAATGTATTTTTTAAAGCCTCAAACTTGTAATCCAAACACACCATTAAACTAAGCGTGACCTCATTGCTAATTGTTTATAACTTCCTCTAAGGCTTGTACTTTTTAAGGAACACTTTGTGATCTTTGATATGTTAATTTATTTTGTAACTTCCCTTTGTTAATGGTGTCACTTTATACATTGGAGTGCTAATTATTAAAATAGCTCTTTATTTAAGAGGATATTCTTTAGACAAGAAACACCTTAAATGAGTATTTCAAGCCTGGACAGCTTTTTGTTACTTTTCTAGATGTCACCACTTCCTCTGTTATTAAAATAAACAGCAATTTGGGTAATACCCAAGGGCATCACTTCTTATTACAATAATTCTTGCTCACAATTATGATCAAAACATTAAGACAAAAAATAATTGTAAGGGCAGATAGTTTTAAAATACAGCTATATTTGAGCAGAGTACAGTTTGAATTATAATCTAAGGCTTCTTGAATCGAATCTGTTTTCCTGTGTTAAAAAATGTTTATTTCATGTTGATCAAGCCGTGCAATCTCTCTGGATCTCATTCTCATCATCTATAAAACTAGAAGGTTATACTAAAAGGCAAATCAAAATAACTCTGCTTCTAAAGCACTACAGTTTATGGTCTAAATTGTCAGCTCTTCGATCTCTAAGTAGTAAAGCACTCTGAGCTCTGAAAGGAAGAGCACAAAATTAGCAGAACTTCCAAAAATCGAGTAGATCTCTGTTGTGGAAGTTTAGATCAAAGACTGGTTGATGTAGAGATATTATTCTTGCTGCCCAGCCACAGACAGTATAGTCAGCATGCAACTGCCAGTTGACAGCTTCTTCTAGCCTCCAGAACTTAGGTCTCTCCCAGGTGTGGAGAGTCAAGCTGGTACTCTTTCTAGGGAAGCCCACATCCAGAACTGGAGAAGTTAGTATTCTAGTATGGACACTGTTGAGCAGTATTCACACCAGATCTCCCCACTATACAGGGTGGAGTTTTGTTAGTCCTACCTCAAATTCACCTTCATCCTTCTTTCTATCCTGTTCCATCCTTCCACTTCCTTTCATGTGTGTTGATAATAATCACTCACACCACAAACTCCATCTCAGCATAGGCTTCCAGAGAATGTAACTCCTTCCAAATATCAAGATCAAAGGGCCTACTGTTGCTATAAATTCTCAAGCTATAATTCAGCATTACACCATTCTCCTAAGTGGAGATCAAATTCTAGAATTTACCTATGACAGACGAATAAGGAGGAGTTCAGTTCAGTGCAGATTTGTCAGAATTCCACTGAAATATTAGTATCAATAGGTCCTAGGTTTTTAGGAAAACTGTAAGCATAGCAACTTACTGGAGAATTACACCCGGCATCCCCAAATTAGTTCACGATCCTAAAAGTGAAGATAGGGGTCCAAATATTTTGATGGAGCTGGGTAAACTGTGATTATTTTGAATCACTAAATTGACCTAAATATGGACAGATTGGGTTATGCAAAAGTTCTGGAATATTTTGCCTTGATTAATGAGAACATTCAGCACCCACCTTTAAGTATGCATGTGTAAGGCCTTAGTGGAGGTGTTGTGTGCATACACATTCTCAACACCTAAAGCAATGAGAACTCAATCACTTGTGGTATCTTACCCACATTCGCCAGTAAGAAAATGATTGCTAAAATATATATGGCTCTCTGACATTTTTCTCAGAATCATCCTGTAAGTCTGCACAATACAAGTCAGAAAAAGTTTTAAAGCAAGTGAAAATATAAATAGAACTGTGAATAGAATTATTAAACACAGGAATAATCTGTTCCAAGTTATCTATATTACAGTGTGGATATAATTAAACAGAAAACTCTAATAGTTAACTGAAAAAGTCTCTCGCCAGTTTTGAAGTGCTGTATTGTTCTAAATAAAGATAGTTTAAAAGTTAAAACAAATGAACAAACAACCAACCACAAAAAGCTTCACCAGAGTCCCTGATGAACAAAGTATAGAATGAGAGCTGCAACTCTAAGCCCCAATCAATCTTACTGGTTTAAAGTCCCTTATAAACAATGACTTTACTGGTTATAAGGTCCCATATAAACAATGACCCAGGAGTCCTACCCACATCTCCCAAACAATCCCTGTCTCTGACATGTTTTATTGAATTTTATCAACTAAAGCAAAAATTATCTGAAATAATGATTTTTTTACTACTTTAAACCCCCAATATAAACTTTGACTTTAAGAACATTTAATATTGATTAACATGGCCACTTCCCATGACATTTTCCTAGCAAACCTTGTCATTTTAGTAATTCCTCACAATTATTACAGGAGAGAAAAGTGACCATTGTGCTAAAATGCATTAGGTCTAAATCATTGAATATCATTTTTCAATGTCATAAATCTCCAAATTTTATATTTACTATACTATATATAGCTATTAGTTTTACTCACACACCGCCAGTGTTGACAAACCAAAAAGAGCTGCTTCAGTCACTGAATAAGCACTGAACAACTCAACACATTCACATCAAGCACGTATTGAACACCTATGATGCATAAGTTGGTGAAAAGAATAGAGGACTGATAGAAGGCTCAGTAACTGCTTCCATGATTTAACTTCTGCCACCAACTCAGTAAAATACTTTGAACAAGACATTAACATTCAACAGCCTTCCGTTTTCTCAACCATAAAGAAAAAGGCCTGGGCCAGACAACCAGCTCTAACATTCTATGGATCTGTTCCTCTTCTATGAAAAAATGCCAGCATGAGTCCTGTAAGCATAACTGATATTCTAGCTTGAAAGGTAGACCTCATGACCATGCATAAGAAATGAAAGACAATCATGTGTATGAAATGCTAAATTGGATGATACAGTGTAAGAATAGTGAGGACTTGAAATGTCAGGAAAAGCTGTATTGAAAATGCAAGTGGTATTTTAACAGGAATGATAAACAGAAGAGAGACTTCCCCATTAAGGCATACAACATGACACCAAGAGGATACTGAAGGCTGATGCACAGAAAGGTACACATTTCATTGGCTCAGGGGATAATATTTAAGAAATGAAATACTAAGAGACTAATAATGCAACCTTTGGTGGTTTTCAGAGATCCAGAGCGACCATGTCAGGAATGTTGAGATATATCTTTGAAACCAGAAAAGGCGAATTATTTTCAAAATACTTGTTTGAGATTATTTGAATAGATATATGAGGCAAAAGTAAGAGAGAGAACAAAATATATGTATTTTTTATTTCTATAAATATATATTATACATATATATACATAGATATATATTTCAAAGCATTTCACTTATTTTGCTTAAACAGACCTTTGAGTCAAATACAAAAAAAAGGCACCTAACATCATCTTCAAATCATTATCTTTCTTGTCTCAAACTCCAAGTCTGCAGGGCCAAACCACATATACAGAAATGTGGTTTAAATCCCTATTTCTTTGTCAGATGAGCGGGAACAACTTGCAAGCACCACAAGGTAATCAGGACAATTATTCTAGGGCTGGTCTGAGCTGACAACATGAACAATTCTTAGTCTCACCTAGGCAGCTTGTGAGGGAGCAGCCTGATTCCCATGAAAAGAACATCAGAGTCCTATTAGTCCACTTCGTTAAAACATATTTGCCAGACTGTTAAGGGGTTTGATTGTGCACAAAAGAGATGATATTCAAGAGATGGAGCAAGGCAGCCTTGAGGCTTGAAGGAACGTTAGGTTGAAGTATCTGAAATTGCTTGGCTCCTACCACCGAAATGGCTTCTGAGGCCAGGCAGAGGTTAAGCATCAACTTCTTGTTGCAGAGTAATACATCTGCCCCTGGGCACAGGCAGGTTATCACCGTAAAATCTGTTCCAGTCCCCTAAAAAGGAGTCTGCTATTTAGAATGCTCTCGTGCCAGAAATGTGCTCTACCATATGGACCAAAACACACTTAAGAGACAATTTTTGTCAACAGGCTAACTAGGGCAGACTTCATGTCTCTCTGTGTAGCTTACCCAACCACTGCCCAAGAAGCACCTGTGAATGAATGGCTGTGGTATTTGCATGCTGTCTTGTCCATTCTTGTATTCTTATCCATGTTCTTCCTTTCAATCCCCACCTAATTCCAATTTCATGTATACTCCACAATAGCGTTTAGAAAGACCCATTTGGATTCTTAAATCATTGTCATTGATTAGCACAGATTTTCTTGGAGGCATAAACATTCAGTGTTTAGAGATACCACTTAAAAGACTGGAAGAATGACGGCAAGTATGTTCCTTCAGATTCCAGAGTAACAATAAAGGCAATTTTCCTCTAGAAGCATCTACACCAATTTAGTGAAACATGACTGCAGATGAAAAAGTGGAGGGCGACACCGCACTATGCTGGAAGGAGCCATGGGCCAGGAATGGTAAGAACTGAGACTAAGTCCCCACACTTACCATGTAATAGCTATAGTATTTGGAAAAGTTACATTGAACTCTTGTTGCAATTTAATCTGTAAAATGAGTAATAATACCTGCCCTGCCACAAGAGTGTTAATAGAAGTAAAATGAAGCAATAAATATGAAACACTTTTCAAGCTTCAAATGTACATTAGATAAGCAGATAGATAGATACATAAAGCATATATTTAAGGTTTTTCTAGGCCTAAATGTATCACTCCTTTATCTAAACTTCTAGAGAACTGATCATTAGCATTCATTTATTCATTCAAAATTCACAGATTTGAACTCTAATGCTATGCTTTGTTCATTTCAAAAAACGTATCAAAACTTTATCATGTGCTGTGTTCCAAGGGCTAGAACACCTACAGAAGAGAATAAGAGCAAGCTCCTGCTCCACAGAGCAGAGGGCATTGGATCCAACTTCTTATTAACTTTTCAAGTGTTTGTGCCCTAATCTCACCTCCATGCAGTAAGCGCCTAACAAAACATTGCAAGTAGGAGGACCTTAGTGCATCATCTTTATTTGAACACATGATTTTGCCTGTTCTTCCTCAGACTGTCAATTAGGCAATTGATGATGTCCTATAGGGGTTCTTTCAGCAGTAAACAAAGTAAAATTTATTGTGTTAGAGATCTTCTCCAGGTTGATGGACTTTATACAACAGGAGAAAATTAGCTGACAGCACATGTATGCAGATTGGTCAGACTTTTGTACCTGCAATGCTGGTGGAGCTTCATTATCACTTGGCCCATGGATAATGTGGCAAGAAAGTGCTGGTGTCACAAACAAATTATACTTGGAGCTAGATGATCAGAGAAACAGGAAGTATTTTTTGCAGTAATGTAAGACGTTTCAAGATAATGTGCTATTGGTAAAAGAAAATTTGAAAAGACCCTACTTGGAGGCTTTGGAGACTTGGTAGGACCTCCTCCAATCCAGGCTGAATGCCATTACCCATCTGAGTACATCTCCCTTAAAGAAACAAGGGAGCCAGTCATGCTCAATGAACTGCTGCCAGCCTGAAGTCCTCTGGTATCTCTGCTGAAAATGTATCACTTGAGCTTAGTGCAGTAAAACATGTTTTTTACAAGACTCGTGCAACAAAGAACTCTTTTCTGCCAAGGCATAAACCTTTTCTCCTGAAAGACTAATTCAGCAAAAGAGATATGAATTGACAATAATACACCTTGGATAATAAAAAGTAAACAGTAAGATAAAAGGATCTTCATATAACTTAACATAAACATTCATTCATTCATTCATCCATCAAATAATTTTGAGTTTAAGAAATTATTTCAGGAGGCAGAGGATAGAATGATTCAAATTATGCATGGTCTCTGCCAAAATGGAGGCATGCAGTTACTATAGCTCATTATGACAAAAAAAAATCACATTTGGTACACTTTGGATAATAATTCTTAAAATACCTACACATGGTGTAGCTTGATGGCATGGTATGTCATAAAGGGCAGCCAAGAAAAAGGTAATGTAAATAATATTCATTAGGAGTGGATATTTAATCCAGGTTGTGTCACTTGAGGGTTCTTGGATATCATTTGTCAGCTTGAAATAATTCTTACCAAATCAATTGCTTGCCAAATCAAATTTTCTCTTACTTAAAATATGGACTGTTATAAGAAATAAGAGATGTAAAATTATTGGTGCACAGTAGTAATACCAGCTTTTGTTATTGAATATCTATATTCTAGATATTTTGCACACCTTAATTGATCTAACCTCTCCCCCAGCATGCACACACAAACTCACATGCACATTACACCAGACTGTAAGATTTATAAGAGCAAAAACTCTCTTTTGTCTCCTTCTGCATCTCCTAGTTCCTAGAAAAGGTCCTAACACATAATGGGCCCTGAAGATATTTTTAGTGAATGAATAAATAAAAAATAGGAAGCATTGACTCCATTTTGAAGCTGAAAATGTTTAAGTATCCAGACAAAGTTCATAAGATTACATGCCAGAGATAGAGAGAGTCCCTCTGCATGTGTTGCTTTATCCTGAGACTAGAGGATGGCTGATATGTGCTTAGAAAATTCCTGTTCCAGTTTTCCAGTTAAAAGGTGACACATTGTGATGTGTTCCTATTGACACAGTATTTTATGCTTCACTTTTCTCCTATTAGCTAAAACTACAATTCCACTCCTCTGTGATTTTAAATTGGTTTTAGGTCTTCTGGGCAAATAAGAACATATCATTGTGGAAGTACAAGTAGTCCATCACTCCTCAAGGCATTGGATCCCACAACTTATAACATTCCCAAATGCACTGAGTGGAAGGCAGGGAGTCATTGTTTTCAAACACTTTAAAGAAAAAGGACTAAAGAATACAAGTATCATTTAACACCATCTCTTCCTAGTGATTCTGACAGAAGTCATTGTATTTTAACAATATGCATTCATTCAGATGCTCTTGAAGTTCAAAATGCTACCTTCATTGCGACTCACTATCTGTTCCAACAGATGCTTAGTAATAACCAATCCATTTTACTGATTTAGCAATGTATTTTGCTCATTAAGGCAAAACTTTAATTCTAAACTGCTTAAATATTTAATAGTGGTTATACCTCATTTGTTAAAGAAGGCCAGAATTGATTTGAGTAATAGGATAGCTTTTAGGTAGGCCTTATAGAGGAGATGAAAGAAATTAAATGGACAATCTCCTCCTACTCAGAGTAAGCAATTATAGCACAGAACACCAGAAATATGTACAAAATGTTAGAGACAGCACACAATTAAAAGCCATAATGAGAGAATGATAAGCGTTACAGGCATTCACAACGTGGAGCGGCCAGAAGGGTGAAATCAACAGAGAAACGTTAACAATGGAGGAGAAACTTCAACAGGGGTCTTGAAAGATCTGTAGACTCCACTCCCTGTGCTCATTTTCTAATCATTACCCACAGTCATGAGCATGGTACATTTAGAGAACAGTAAGGAACCCTGCCTAGCAGATTGTTCAAATGCAGCCCTACAGGCACTCCCACCCATCAGGATAACAGCACACACAATGGCTCACTGTTACTTGACATACAAAGAATTTCATGCACTTCTCTAAATGCTGAGATCCTGCCAGAGGGTTGGGTCATTGTTTGAGGGTATTGCACTTCAGTTAGTATCGTTTTACAGAGAGCATGTGTGATAAGCTATAATATCCTTGGTAGGAAAATTTTGATGGCTTCAACTTGTCCACTTGTAAGCACTTAAAATAAGAAAGAATTTTAATTAATAAGTTTATAACAAATATTAATGGAGAATTATGTATCAGAGTTGATACTCCTGCAAAAATCCTAATACTTTTGAGAGATGGACTAATTAATAATGACTACACACCTGCCTAGGAAGCTCCATGGACCAGGTATCTGTAGGCTAACTGAAGAGTGGGCTTTTATAATCAGCCATTTGAGGAAAACTCATTATTCTTTCATTTGCAGAATTTGTTGAAGCAGACTTTGTCAGATATTCATTTCTGTAATGAACTATGTAAAATATAAAATTTATAATATAATATTACATAGCTGCAAGAGTAGTTACCATAAGAGATTCTTTTGTTAATGTCTGTTATCAATTGATACTAAGCCAACCAGACCACAACCAAATCCACACTTTCAGAGGTTTCTACTGTTCTCATGTTTGCCGTTGAAACTAAGACTTCTTTTAAATTTTCAATGTCAAATATCAGAACTCAGTAACTAAGTGTGCTACTTTGTAAGTTATATACATCAGAAGAAAAAATAAATTACTAGTGACTACTAATAAAATAACAGAATTTTCCACATTCAAAAACTGTGCACAGGGAAAAATGAGACAGGAGAGAAATACAACTAGCCACTAATTTCACTTTCACAAAAGACCTGGCTAGCCCTAGAATTGTCTCCAGATGAATGCTGACTAAAATATTATCATAATGATATCTATTTATAGTCAACAGGAAAAAAAGAGGGGGAATCATTAAGTCTTCTCACCTTAAAGCCAGTGCTATGAGTCTTACATGCTAATCTACTGCTGCCTAATTCTAATAAGTGCCTGGTGGCCCATTCTCAAAATTCCTGACCTCTCCATTAAGATATCTGCTTTGTTTTATGCTCACACTGCTTCCATGTTTTCTTTATTCCATTTTCTTATGCTATTCTTCAATTGCCCTCTCCTTTGTTGTTGTCTATTCCAAGGATGTGCAAACAAAATGCCATCCCCCTCCAAAGACTTACCCATAGGACTTGAATCACACAATCCCCTCTGTTGCTTTGATTCATCTCCTGCAATTTCATGATAATATATGCAAATGGAGCCCTGTGACCCTGAGAAAACTTAAGCAGGTAGGGCTTCTCTTTGGACATACCAAAGTCTCTTTTCTGCCTTCTTACTGTGCTGTGCACTTCCCTCAACTCTCAAATTCCTGTTTCTCTTATGTCTTGTCTACCCTCCCTTTGGCTGAAAGTTTCTCCCAAGAGAAAACCAGTTATCAGTCATTTGCACCTCTATTTAAGTTTAATTCAGAAAGATATATAGCTCAAGATAATTACAACTAAAGCTTTTCACTAGTGACATATTGAAAGGATTGACACATAGGTAAAAAATCTAAATCACATGCAGTGAAAAAGATCTTTTCATGGAATCCTTTCCAGAAACCACATTTTCTATCCACCTGCTTCCAGTGGATGATATTGTGAAACTGACACCAACCTCTCTCTTCTTTTTCCTGTCCTCTGAGTGAGAATTGCAGACAGCTTCCTTCTTTACTGAGTTTTCAGTTACACATGCCTATTCACAGTTGACATCTGTCTGTCAGGCTGGTGTTGAACTCCTGGGAGGCACATCCAGGGGTTGGAAAGAAATCTATTCCAAAGGGATCATGCTCTTTATTAACGTCAATCAGTCCTAACATCTGAACACCACCCCTCACTGTAACTATACAGATCCCCTATAGGATGTGTGCTTTAAATGCCTAGATATGTCAGATATTTGAGTCACTTACAGAGAAAAGAAAGAAAAAAAAAAAGAAAAAGGGAAAGGAAAAGAAAGAAAGTACCCAGATTCTCACAAACATTTCTTTCTAGAACCTATTTATTTGGATCCTATGTGGCACCCAATGGGAAAACAAACACAAAAAAATTACACATATATAATGTGAGTATTTGGGAGATACTGTGTGCTTACAAGCTTGAAATATAAATCTGTCACTTTTATAGTGATTTTTCTACATAGTAGTAAATGAAATGGAAAAGCAGAGTCAGACCATTGATAACATCATGAACCTAGATATATTTTAAAGAAATAATGAGTCACCTTGTGCTAGTTTCATCTGTACTATAGGCATCTAGAAGTCAAACCCAATGTATTATTCAGTTCCATTTCCCTAAAGGCAAGTTACAAGTAAGGTGCTTAATAAAAGCACCTAAAAGCTGGTACAAGTAAGGTGCTTAATAAAAATGTCTTTATAAATAATTTTTTAATGAGGAAATTCTGTCTGAATCATACAGTGAAATCCATTGTAGGCTATATTCTATCTTCAGCAGTGATCACAAATAATCTACAGGAGAATGTTGTTCTTAGTCTTTATATCAGTCTCAAAATATTGACATGGAATAATAAGCATTTCTAGCACACTCTCTAATAGCCCATTTTTGGCCCAATTGCCCATGCAGTTATCAAAACATTTCTTAATACTTTATTTTCAGGACCAACCATAGGTTATTTTATTTACTAAATATGCTTATGCAATTTATCTCTAATTTGGAGAAGATTTAGATGGTACACATTTCAGAATTACATAAATCTCTTCATAAAATTTTCTAGTACATATATTCCATCTATATTCATAACCATTCAGCATACACTCTGAGTTCAGGAAATATTTTTTTCATCATTGATTGTCTTACAATTACTAAATTGGATTGTATTTTATAATAAGAAAGATGAATTTCAAAAGCCACCAATTTTGATAGCCGCAATCAAGTAATTCTAGGAATACTGAATTAATCTGCAAAACGAGATATAAAACTTTCTTTAAAATAATTTAAATACTGGAAATACACACTTACTTGACCCATATTAATCTTATTCAAGTTACTGAATCTTTCGGAATCATTCATATTTCAGGTAAATATATATAATATCTAACTCCTAAACTACTAAAAATACACAGTGAGTCATCACATAAAATGCATAAGAAGATAGCTCTGCATTGTTGAAAGGTAGTTTGTTATTCTGTAAAGTATTAATATTTTTCTGGTTAAATATAATAAAATCTCTACTATAAGCTTTTCATTCCATATATCCAGTTATTTTTCAATAAATAAATATGCGACACTTATTTTGAATTTGGTGAGTGAGAAGCAAGGCTACTTCTCTCATGTCAATCATCTAGTATCAGAGAAAATGTTCACATATGAGGACCAGATAGCAATAAAACGATATAAGACAATATGTAAGTGTCCTGAAGCATTTACAAAAGCTGTTGACATTTCAAAGGAGAGAAGGCTCCTTCCATCCAGGGAAATCAGAGAAGAACACTTAAAAAAAGAATTGGGCATGTAGTCTAAGTAGCATTTCAAGAACAATGAGGAGCACTCAAATTAGGAAAATGAAAATGCAAAGGCCCAGAAGTGGGAAACTATACGTATGAAAATCGTGAGAGATAAGTCAAGATAAGGGCGTTTGAGTCTGATCTCTGGAGGGCCTTACATAATATGCTTTTGACTATAGAGTTTAGTTGATAGGAAAGTAAATGGAGCAATGGGGGTTGCCTTCAGAAGGAGCATAGAACCAACCACTGCTGCTGTAACAATTCTTCTGTGTGACTCCTGGAAGATTGGGCCTAGGGTGTATTCTATGCATCTACCATGTGGCAGACAAACTAGGTATTGGGGATAAAATGAGGATATTCTAATGGTGGAGAAAAACAATCAATAAGTAGACAAATGTAAGTAAACAACTTAATCAGGAGATTAGACTCAGTATTCACACTGTAATTTGAAAAAATATCTGAAGCTGCTAGCTCAATAATTGGTATGAGGTTTACACATTGCTACAATAAAATTCTACACTGATCTACTTGGGTACAAACAGGTTTTTTTCCCTTTTCTTAAAATTAGTCGTTTCGTTGCTCAGAGACAGAAAAGCAATTCTTTGAAATCCTGTGTAATACTGGTACACGAAGACAGAAAGACAGCTATATATGAATGGCACCCAAATAAACATTTGGTTCTGCTTTTTCTGCCAAAAGAAAAAGTGAACTATCTGTTACCAAATAGAAGCAGTCAGCTGATTTTACTATTCCTCCAGCTTTCCACAAAATACTGCATCAGACACAGGAAAGTATTGTCTGCTTTACTTTGAGAGGAAAGAATGGTTTCCAGAAAGTCATGTCATTAGTGTGAACTGAGGAAATTTTCAAACAGTCAACAAATATCACATTTCCCTTAAATATTTCATTTCTTATGAAGCCTGTTGATAGTTATCATCTGTCGTTTGCATTATCTCATCTGTTTCCAAGTTGGACTGCAATATGCTTTGAGGCAAAGCTCCAGGACAAAGTACTTCCCTTTGAAGAGAAGGTGTAGGAGAGCTTACAAGGCTCTCTCATCGTTCCGGGTTGTTACAGGGCAGATGTGGCTGTGATTTTTACAGCAGGATACAGAAGTCTAGTGTAATATGTGTGGTTTTAACAAATGTTTTATAGAGATTTGGAGCAAGCATTAGCAATGGAAAAGCACTATTTTTATGGTGCTTTCTGTTACACTTTGATTAAAAACACGTATAGGCTTGGGCGCGGTGGCTCACGCCTGTAATCCCAGCACTTTAGGAAGCTGATGCAGGCGGATCACAAGGTCAAGAGATCTAGACCATCCTGGCTAACACAGTGAAACCCCGTCTCTACTAAAAATACAAAACAAATTAACCGGGCGTGGTGGCGGGCGCCTGTAGTCCCAGCTACTCCGGAGGCTGAGGCAGGAGAATGGCGTGAACCCGGGAGGCGGAGCTTGCAGTGAGTCGAGATCATGCCACTGCGCTCCAGCCTGGGCGTAATGAGTGAAAACATCTGAAGCCATTTCTCCGCAGGTGAACTATTTATGAGTTGAGACTTTAGCAGGAAGACACACTAGGACAGAAAAAATACATATAATATGAATGAGGTGAAACATCAATATAATTGTATTAGTGATTCTCAAATCATCAGTATAATTGTACTAGTGATTCTTTCATATACATGATAATCAACTCAGAGATAGTAATACAGTAATACAAGGAGGAAGCTGCCCAGGAATCTATATTTTAACAATCACTCAACAAAATTTAAGAATCGTCTCACAGCTTTTAATATGGAAGGTCTCCAAAACATACTCTGAGCTTATCCACAGGAAAAAAAAATATTTTAGAGAATTACAAAAAATCACAACAATGCTTATTTCAAGGTGGTAAGATGATGAGTAATTGGTATTTAGTATACCTCTTTATATATCTCTGATATTTCTTCAACGGTCTTTTGTCATTTTAAATTTTAAAAAATAAAATATATTATATAAAAGGATTTTTAATTCAACACAGAGACTTTTATGTCAAGAAGACAGTGATTACCTTTTATTCTATTTTCATTTTTATTTCTATTATGTATTATATTTTTATTTTATTGTAATAGTGATTACCAATTATTATTTTCTGTATTCGAAAAGATTGTTTAGTGCAGAACACAATTAAATATTTGAAGATGACAGAAGACAATGAGTGCATGACTGTATAATGAAAAAACACTTTGATGGGTGATAGGTGGAGCAATAGATAGAGAGACAGAGCAGTAAGTAGAGAAAATGATGGTGATAATGAACAGAGGAAAAGGTACCAATAGAAAGATGAATAGTAATTGGTAATGACCACTTATGTGCATGAATTCTGAACAAAAGGTAGCAGTTTAAGTATTTTATTTATACTTGCAGATATCTCATTTTATTTTACATTACAATTGAGCTGGGAGACTTGGTTTTCAGGTGCTACAGGATTTATTGAAGAGTAAAAACAGAAATTCCATCAAACAAGGATCTGGAAACTGATCTAATTCCACTTAAAAATACGACAGGCTAGGATGGCAGAAAAGTGAAGACATGGAGAAAGGAAAGCTAACTGCCTTCCAGAGCACCCACTGGTATTTCTGAGTGACAAATTCTTCATTGTGACATTCTAATGAAGCGTAACTTTCTGGTTTTGCTAATATTCTTTGGAGATAGTTAAGATTCATTGTCTTAGTCTTACATTTTATCAACTGTTAGAGAAATTGCTATAATAATAAATGTAGTAATTTTCTGTCATGTTGGGCTCTACCATCCATTGAATCTGTGAACTTAAGAGAAATGATTTACTTATTTGGAGATGACTATAGACTCATTTCTAAAAAGAGGGCTGGAAGGTGTCAGATAATTTTTGTGAATTTTTCAGGGAGATAAGGATCATCCGAGGTTGAGCCTTAGGAGTAATCTAAGAGTTTCACAAGCACTTCAGGCAACTGGATGATTACAGGCTAATAAACCTGAAGTAGATGACTCTTCTTTCTACATTGAGCTCTCAAATTATATGCTCTTTCTTTCTCCAGAGAAGATGAGTTGTGCTGAAAAATGTAAGAAACTCACACATTTACACATAAAGTTTCCATCTAGCCATAAATGAAAGAGGATTTCTCATCCAATATATAATCAACCTGGAAAGTTTAAAAATACTTTGGTACATTTGTACTCAACTTCTGATCTCCCTTAATTTCACCAGACTAACAGAGAGACAGGAGGTACAACCTACATACAAGGCAGGTCACTTAGAGCAGGGGTTCCCAACTGCCAGTCTATGGCCTCTCAGGAACTGGGTTGCACGACAGGAGATGAGTGGCACTTGAATGAGCATTACCACCTGAGCTACCCCTCATGTCAGATTAGCAGCAGTATTAGATTCTCATAGGAGTGTTGTGGCTTTTTTGCTCCAGTAGTTCAGCAAGTGGGAGGGAGTGGCACCCAATAGCTTCTCTCCTGTTGTTCGGACAGTGGGAGGGAGGGTTAACAGCTCTTTTACTCCCACCACCTGTGGCTCAGCAAACCAGCCAAGAGCATCATAGCTCTTTCACTCCTGCAGTTCAGTGAGTGGGAGGGAGGATTATGGCTCTTTTACTCCCACCACCCTCAGCTCAGTGAGTTCCAGTTTCTTGTCCTGTGACTAAGAGGAATAAAGTATGCAGATATTGGAGAGTAAGGCAGAGAATAATTTTATTGAGTGACAGAAGGAAAGCTCTCAGCTGTGAGAGGGAACCCTGAAAGCGGGCTGCTGTCTATAAGTCTGAGTCTGGGGGTTTTATGGGTTTAGAATTGGGGAGTGTGTGCTGATTGGCCCATGGGTGGTCTTGGAAAAAGCACCATTCGATTGGTTAAAAGGCATCATTCAGGAGGAACCAATTGAGAGAGAGTGGGTAAGATAAAAATAGAAGTTCTCACTCCAGTCATGGACTCTATCTGGAACTGGCAGCTTGGTTTTCAGGCTTTAAGCTGTCCTTGGTTTGAAGGTTGAGTTTCACTGGGGACCTGTCCCTGTCTGCCTAGGAATTTGTCTGTCTCCTGTTGCTATCAGGAGTACGAACCCTATTGTGAACTGTGCCTGCATGAGATCTAGGTTGCACTCTGCTTATGAGAATCTAATGCCTAATGATCTGATCTGAGGTGAAACAGTTTAATCCTGAAACCATCCCCTTCCACAAAGTCTGTGGAAAAATTGTCTTTCATGAAACTGGCCCATGGTGCCAAAAATGCTGGGGGCTGCTGACTTAGAGGATGAAGGACTCATGCATCTGTGGCAACTCCCTGACTGAGCAAGAGATGTGCAGATTAGGGAGAATTTTCAGAAAGATCATTAGTATATTTGGATAATTAAATTTTCAAAGTCACAATGAACTACTGACAGCTTTCCAAATGCCTATTTTTGAGACATTTTGATCTTCATCCAACATTACCTCTTAGCATTCCCATCTCCCCTGTCTACCTCGCAGACCTCTCCACACACTTTAAGGCTCAATCTTACCTTCAACACTTCTCTGAGCTCTAGAGAAAGAAGCCTAGTTATTCTTTCCCCTAAGTTCTCACAGCACTTTATATATGCCTCTATCAAGTCACTTACTATGTTTTACTATATCTGTTGTTTTAATACATCACATTTCCCCATCTAAAACACTTGGAGTGAGAGACAGGAGAAAAACAAAGTTAAGGCAAGGGCAGGAGAAAAAGAGACACTACCAAGGGCATCCCAAAAATGGCAAGAAGTTTGCTTCAGTGATAAATATTTAAAAGGCTGAGATAGCTTACATCATTTGTTAAAGCAAGTGAGACACCATTTGAGATCGAGTGTTTAATAAATACTTTGATGATGCTGATATGAATCAAAACACTTCCCACTCTTCTTTCTTTGCTTGGAACACAGGAAATACAGAGAAATAATTTATAATATTTTTAGCTGAAAACAATGTTGTATATTTGAAGTTACTTAATTCAAAGTGTAGACCTTGTAAGATTAATTTAAAACAAATCCTTTAAAAATAGTCTCTTTTTGTGATTTGGGAATTACATCACAACTCTCTTCAGTCTTCTCTGGTTTCCCTTTAATTTCAGCAAATTTTCCTACTTATTTTGCCAATAGAAAAGGAATTCATTGTACCGTGCTATATCCAAAAGTAAAAATTAGTTGAAAACAATCAGCAGAGTTTAGGTTTCACTAGTTTTTTTCTCCTACCAGCAGGAGTAAAGGTCCCTGGAATGCAGGTTGTCTAGTGGGAAGAAAGCTAGTAAGTATCTTTGTTCGTCAAGGGTCAGTTTAAGAAACCAATTATGTTCTTCACAGTCAAGTACATGGAAGCCTGTGGAGAGCAAAAAATGGTTGCTGAATGAAGATTCTGAAACACAGAACAGACAAGGTAAAGAGAAGTCAGATGAGGATTTCACCACTGAGGCCCTGAATATTTTCTACAGTTCATGGGACCAGGGAAAAGGCATTTCAGAGAGTATTTGCAAATGTGAACCCTGAGTAGAAGGAACTTCCTTAAGTGCCCTGGAAGAAAACTAAGCTTTCTATCAAGTAGCCAAGCCTCTTCTTCCAGAGAGCGGCTGGCTAAGTCACTATGAAACAGTAGGAAAGGACACCAACAGGTGTAACTTAATCAGCCAGCAAAGAGGTTTTCCCCACAACTGTTTCTGATCCAAATATTTATATATCCTTTGGTGTTGTTCAACACAATGTTTGTTCAGAGACAAATTATTCTGTGTTAAATGAGCTCTTGAACTTTAGGAGGCAAAGAACATTAAAAAATTATGAGGGGTGAGTACCGCACCCACATTCATATTCACAAACTCAAGCATTTACTAGGCAATACGAGATGGGCTAAGCACCAAGTTAGGTGCTTCGTATACTCTATCTCTTCATTTAATCTTCATAAAACTTTCATAAAATGAACCTCCATTTTACAGATAAGAGAAATGAGACTGGGAGATTTATTGTTTTGTTTGACATCACTAATAAGGAAAACTTCTAGGATTCAAACTCACATCTAAAAGGTGCAATATTCATCAAACCCTGATGAAGATGAAGCCAAGCTCACATCCATTTTGTACTCATATAAAATGAACCAGTGGTTAAATTTTATTAGCATTTTCTTCATTTAGCATTGCCTATATATAACATCATAAACTTTGAGCCTGCTGGAAAATGTAGTAATGAAGAGAAGTTTTATCACATTTTAAATATTAAAAAGGAAGAAAAATTTACTTTGATTTTTGATAAGTGATGAATTAGCTGCAAGACAAAATCCTGCCACAGGATTAGAAATTGATTGAGTTACTCTTTCAAAATCTTACCGTCAGTTAACTTACAAAAATAAGCCCCAAATTAAGTAGGAATACCACAACACATCAAAATGTGTTATACAAACTGGACCAAATATGGTGTATTGGAAAAATGCCTACTTATATAGAAGTCTAAAATATAAACATATGCATTTTTCATTTTTATCTTTATTTCCCCTTTATTCAAAGCTTGTTTTTATCTTGGTCCCCCCAATATTCAAAACATGATGGCCTTAATTCTGTTCCTTGAGCACAATAGCTTATTCCTACCTAAGGGTCTTTACATTTGCTGTACCTGCTTATATTCTTTCTCCAGTTATTTGTATGACTGATTCTTTTCATCTGCCTTGTCTCAACTGAAATGTCATAAACCATTTTCATCACTTCCTCAAAGATACTTTTACTAAACGTCTTAGCGAAAGTAGCACTCTCTCTTTTCACTATTCAAACTCAATATGCATATGAAATTAAATTATCTAATTATTTTTGTATCTGTGTTTTCTTCTTTCTGACACTAACATGCAAGCTCCCTCAAAAAAAAAATGTTTGTTTCTATATAATCAAAACCTAGAAACAAGCATGACACATATTTATCAACTGACTGACTATATCAAAGTCATCATTTGGAAGATGATTCAATTTGTTGCTGTCTTCTGATAACTAAAAGTTCTAGAAGCCTCGACAAACAACGTAGGTAGTTTCCTATTATCTTTATTTTCTTCTTTTTTTAGTTTACAAGTAAAAATCATGTATTTCTGGTATACAGCAAGATGTTTTGAAACATGTATACATTGTGGAATGGCTAAATCAAGCTAATTAACATACCTCACCTACTTAAGATTTTTGTATGTGCTATGTGAACTTAAAAACTACTCTCTTAGCAATTTTCAAGTATATATTTGTTATTAACTATAATTACCATGGTGTACATTAGATCTCTTGAACATATTCAGCTTGCCTAACTATCCTTTGACCAACAATTCTCCAATCACCCCTCCTTCTCCCGTCCCTGATAAAAACATTCTAACTCTGCTTCATGAGTTGGACATTTTTAGATTCCATACATAAGTTGGATCATGCAGTTATTTTCTTTCTGTACCTGGCTTATTTCACTTAACAAAATGTCCTTCAGGTTCATTCATGTTGTTGCAAATGACAGAATTTCCTTCTTTTTTAAGGCTAACTAGTATTCCACTGTTTATATATACTATACTTTATCCATTTATTATCTTTCTTTTGAACATTTGCAATAAACAGAAATAAAAGCAGGTTATTGGGAGGCCATATATATTGGAGAAAATAAATAGTCAAGTACAAGAAATATTTAGTAACTGAAAGTAAAATCATTATTTTCAGTTTACGCCTTCTGCTACATCATTAAAGATCAGGGCATGATACACATTTATAAATCAACCGAAGAAAGCAGCAAGTTGAATGAAGGAGAGACACGAAACAAAAACTAGGTCTGGTTTAGCACCAAGATCCCAGGACCTTGGATGAAGTGAGCAAAGCAAATAAAAATTAAAATTAAAATTAGGAACAGAGGAAATACACCTCTAGTTTACCAAATCAAGATCAAATACAGAGAGGTGAAAACTAAACCTATACCCAGATCCAGAAAGGCAGACACCAATCAGAAAATAGGGAGGGACACACGTGCTTGATTGCACTATGTGGGGTTTCCACCATAACCTGATCCCAGCTAATCTGTTTGTTTAGGCCAGTTTCTCTATTTCAGGCAGCTACTGTCTTCCCTCCCTTCCTCACCACTTCCACTCTTTTCATCCCTTTGCCTATTCCAGTTTTATTCATGCCTCATTTCCCTGCTCAAGCTCCATCTTTGATATTAAGCATTAACAATATCCCTCATTCCTAGGACTCTCCCCCATTTCCAAATACCTATTGCTATGCCAGTAATTAGCACTATCATGTTTGCCATTTAATTATTGCTGTAAATGAGAAGCTTCCTGGATTTTTCCCTGAAAATCTTCTGAAGACAGAGATTGATTCTTTCCTATAGAGATCAGTGAAGAAATATTAAAAAAAAAAACTTTTAAGTAAAGTTCAGGAAACGTGTGCAGGTATGTTACATAAGTAAACTTGTGCTATGGGGGCTTCTTGTATAGATTACTTCATCACTCAGGATTAAGCCTAGTACCCATTAGTTATTTTTCCTGATCCTCTCCTTCCTCCCATCCTCCACCCTCCAATAGGCCCCAGTGTATGTTCTTCCCCTCTGCGTGTCCATGTGTTCTCATTATTTAGCTTCTACTTGTAAGTGAGGACATGCAGTATTTAGTTTTCTGTTCCTGCATTAGTTTCCTACAGATAATGGTCTCTAGCTCCATCCATGTTCCTGCAAAGGACATGATCTCATTCTGTTTTAGTAGTCCACGGTGTTATGTACCACATTTTCTTTATCCAGTCTATCATTGATGGGCATTTGAGTTGATATCTTTGCTATTGTGAATGGTGCTTCAATGAACACAAACATGCATGTGTCTTTATAATAGAATGATTTATATTCCTTTGGGTATACACCCATTAATGGGATTGCCGGGTTGAGCATTATTCTGTCTTTAGGACTTTGAGGAACTGCTGCACTGTCTTCCACAATGGTTGAACTAATGTATACTCCCACCAAGAGTGTATGAGCATTCCTTTCTCTCCACAACCCCACCAGCATCTGCTATTTTTTTTTACTTTTATTTATTTATTTACTTTGAGATGGAGTTTCGCTCTTGTTGCCCAGGCTGGAGTGCAATGGCATGATCTCGGCTCACTGCAACCTCCACCTCCCGGGTTCAAGTCATTCTCCTGCCTCAGCCTCCTGAGTAGCTGGGATTACAGGCATGTGCCACCATGCCCGGCTAATTTTTTTTGTATTTTTAATAGAGACCGGGTTTCTCCTTGTTGGTCAGGCTGGTCTCGAACTCCCAACCTCAGGTGATCCGCCCACCTCGGCCTCCCAAAGTGCTGGGAATACAGGCATGAATGATCGCACCCGGCCCATTTTTTGACTTTTTAGTAATAGCCATTCTGACTGGTGTGTGATGGTATCTCAGTGTGGTTTTGATTTGCATTTTTCTAATGATCAGTGATGTTGAGCTTTTTTTCCTATGATTATCAACTGCATGCATGTCTTCTATTGTAAAGTGTCTGTTCATGTCCTTTGCCCACTTTTTAAAAGAGTGGTTTTTTTCTTGTAAATTTGTTTACGTTTCTTATAGATCCTGGATATTAAACCTTGTTGGATGCATGGTTTGCAAAAAGTTTCTCTCATTCTGTGGTCTGTTTACTCTGTTGATTTTTTTTTTTTCTGTGCAGAAGCTCTTTAGTTTAATTGGATTCCAATTGTCTATTTTTGCTTTCATTACAATTGCTTTTGGCTTCTCCCTCATGAAATCTTTGCCTGCTCCTATGTCCTGAATGATATTGCCTAGGTTGTCTTTTGGAGTTTTTATAGTTTTGAGTTTTACATTTAAGTCTTTTAATTCATCTTGAGTTGATTTTTGTGTATGGTGTTAGGAAGGGGTTCAGTTTTAATCTTCTGCATATGGCTAGCCAGTGATCCTAGCACCATTTATTGAATAAGGGAATCCTTTCCCCATTTTTTGTTTTTGTCAGGTTTCTTGAAGATCAGATAGTTGTATGTGTGCAGTCTTATTTTTGGGTTCTCTCTTCTGTTCCATTGGTGTATGTGTCCGTTTGTGTACCAGTACCATGTGGTTTTGGTTACTGTAGCCTTGTAAAATAGTTTGAAGTTAGGTAGCATGATGCCTCCAGCATTGTTCTTTTTTCTTAGGATTTCCTTGGCTATTAGGGCTCGTTTTTGATTGCATATAAATTATGAAATAGATTTTTCTAGTTCTGTGAAGAATCTCAATGGTAGTTTAATAGGAATAACATTGAATCTATAAAGTGCTTTGGGCAGTATGGACATTTTTACAATATTGATTTGTCTTATCCATGAGCATGGAATGTTTTTCCATTTGTTTGTTTCATTTCTTATTTCTTTTAGCAGTATTTTATAGTTCTCCTCATGGAGATCTTTCACCTCCCTAGTTAGCTGTATTCCTAGGTATTTTATTCTTTTTGTGGCAAATATGAATGAGAGTAAATTCCTAATTTGGCTCCCGGCTTGCCTGTTGTTGGTCTATAGGAATGCCAGTCATTTTTGCACACTGATTTTTTATCCTGAGACTTTGCTGATGTTGGTTATTAGCTTAAGAAGGTTTTGGGCTGAGATATGGGGTTTTCTAGATATAGGATAATGTCATCTGCAAACAGAGGTAGTTTGACTTCCTATCTTTCTATTTGGTTGCCTTTTATTCTTTTTTCTTGCCTGATTGCCCTGGCCAGGATTTTCAATGCTATGTTAAATAGGAAGGGTAAGAGAGTGTATCCTTCTCCTGCACCAGTTTTCAAGGGGAATGCTTCTAGCTTTTGCCAATTCAGTATAATGCTGGCAGTGGGTTTGTCATAGATGTTTCTTATTATTTTGAGGTATGTTCCTGCAAAATCTAGTTTATTAAGAGTTTTTAACATGAATAGATATTGAATTTTTCTGCATCTATTGAGATAATCATGTGTTTTTTGTCTTTAGTTTTGTTTATGTGATGAATCACATTTATTAATTTGGGTATATTGAATGAATCTTGCATCCCAGAAATAGAGCCTACTTGACTGTGGTAGATAAGCTTTTTGATGTGCTGCTTGATTCAGTTTACCAGTATTTTGTTGAGAATATTTGCTTTGATATTCATCAAGGATATTGGCCTAATTTTTTTTCTTTGTTGTATCTCTGCCAGGTTTTGGTATCAGGATGATGCTGGCCTTATAGAATGAGTTAGGAAGGAGTGCCTTATCCTTAAATGTTTTGGAATGGTTTCAGTAGAAATGGCTCCAGCTCTTCTTATTTGTACATCTGGTAGTATTCATCTGTGAATCTGTGGTCCTGGCCTTTTGTTGTTGTTGTTGGTAGGCAATTCATTACTGCCTCAATTTCAGAACTCATTATTGGTTTGTTCAGGGATTCAATTTCTTTCTGGTTCAGTCTTGAGATGGTGTATGTGTTCAAGCATTCATTTATTTCCTTCAGATTTTCTAGTTTATGCACATGTAAGTAATCATAATATTCTCTGATGGTTGTTTGCATTTCTGTGGAGTCAGTGGTAATATCCCCCTTGTTGTTTCTGATTGTGTTTATTTGAATCCTCTCTCTTTTCTTCTTTATTAGTCTATCTAGTGGTCTATTTTATTAATTTTTTTCAAAAAACCAGCCTCTGGATTCGTTGCTCTTTTGAATTTTGTGTGTGTTTCTATCTCCTTTAATTCAGCTCTGATTTTGGTTATTTCTTGTTCTTCTGCCAACTTTGGGGTTTGTTTGCTCTTGGTTTTCTAGTTCTTTTAGTTGTGATGTTAGGTTGTTAACTTGAGATCTTTCTAACTTTTTAATGTGGCCATTTAGTGCTATAAATTTTCCTTTTAACACTGACTTAGCCGTATCCCAGACACTCTGGTAAGTTGAATCTTTTCTCTCATTAGTTTCAAATAATTTCTTGATTTCTGCCTTAATTTCCTTATTTATCCAAAAGTCATTCAGGAGCACGTTATTCAATTTCCATGTAATTTTAGGGTTTCGAGTGAATCTTTTAGTCTAGAATTCTAATTTCATTGTCCGGTGTTCCAAAAGGCTGTTTGTTATGATTTCAATTCTTTCGTATTTCCTGAAGAGTGTTTTACTTTTGATTATGTGATCTATTTTAGAGTAGTGCCATGTGGTGATGAGAATGTATATTCTGTTGTTTGTGGGTGGAGAGTTCTGTAGATATCTATGAGATCTATTTGATCCAGTGCTGAGTTAAGGTCCTGAATATCTTTGTTAATTTTCTGTCTCAGTGATCTGTCTAATATTGTCAATGGCATATTACAGTCTCCCATTACTATTGTGTGGGAGTCTAAGTCTTTTGAAGGTCTATATGGACCTGCTATATGAATCTGGGTGCTCATGTTTGGGTGCATATATATTTGGTGGTTAGATCTTGTTGAATTGAATAATTTATGATTACATAATGCCCTTCTTTGCCTTTTATGATCTTTGCTGATTTAAAGTCTGTTTTGTCAGAAACTAAGACTGCAACCCCTGATTTTTTCTGTTTTCCATATTCTTGGTAGATTTTTCTCCATCTTTTTATTTATTTATTTATTTATTTATTTATTTATTTATTTTTATTATTATACTTTAAGTTCTAGGGTACATGTGCACAACGGTGCAGGTTTGTTACATACATATACATGTGCCATGTTGGTGTGCTGCATCCATTAACTCGTCATTTACATTAGGTATATCTCCTAATGCTATCTCTCCCCCCTCTCCCCACCCCATGACAGGCCCCAGTGTTATTTTAAGCCCATGTGCATTGCATGTGAGATGGGTCTCTTGAAGACAGCCTACCAATGGGTCTTTCTTCTTTATCCAGCTTGCTACTCTGTATCTTTTAATTGGGGCATCTAGACCATTTACATTTAAGGTAAGTGTTGATATGTGTGGACTTGATCCTGTCATCATGATATTAGCTGGTTAATTTGAAGACTTGTTTATGTGGTTGCTTTATAGTGTCTCTAGTCTGTGTACTTCAGTGTGTTTTTGTAGTGGTTGCTGATGCTCTTTCCTTTCCATATTTACTGCTTCCTTCAGGAGTTCTTATAAGGCAGATCTGGTAGATATGAATTCCCTCAGCATTTGCTTGTCTGAAAAGGATCTTCTTTCCCATTTGCTTATGAAGTTTAGTTTGTCCAGATACGAAATTCTGGTATGGAATTTATTTTCTTTAAGAATGTTGAATACTGGCTTCCAATCTCTTCTGGCTTGTAGGGTTTTGGATAAGAGGTCCGCTGTTTGTCTGAAGGGCTTCCTTATGTAGGTGACCTGACCTTTCTTCCTAGCTGCCCATAACATTTTTTCTTTCATTTTGATCTTGGAGAATCTGATGATTATGTGTTTTGGGGATTATCTTTGTAAAGTATCCGACTGGGGTTCCCTGCATTTCCTGAATTTGAATGTTGGCCTCTCTAGCTAGGTTGGGTGCATTCTCATGGATGATATCCTGAAATATGCTTTCCCAGTTGGTTCCATTCTCCCTACCTCTTTCATGTACACAGATCAGTCATAGATCGAATCTCTTTACATAATCTCATACTTCTCAGAAGTTTTGTTCATTCTTTCCCATTCTTTTTCTCTATTCTTGTCTGCCTTTTTTATTTCAGAAAGCCAGTCTTAAAGCTCAGAGATTCTTCCTCTGTTTTGTCTATTCTGCTAATAATACCTGTGTTTGCATTGTGAAATTCCTGTAGTGTGTTTTTCAGCTCTATCAGGTCAGTTACATTCTTCTCTATACTGGCTACTTTATCTGTCAGCTTCTGCAATGTTTTATTAATATTATGATTTTTACCTTCCTTCCATTGGGTTTCAATGTACTCCTGTATCTCAATGATCTTCACTTTTATCTATATTCTGAATGCTACTTCTGTCATTTTAGCCATCTCAGCTTCAACCTCTTTCTGAACCTTTGGTGGGGAGGTGATGAGGTTATCTGGAGAAAAGAAGGCACTCAGGCTTTTTGAGTTCTCAGCATTCTTATGTTGACTCTTTCTCATCTTTGTGGGCTTATCTATTTTTAATCTTTGAGACTGCTGACCTTTAGATGGGCGTTTTTTTCTTTTATCCTATTTGATGACCTTGAGGGTTTGATTGTGGTATAAGGTGGATTCAGCCAACTGGCTTTGTTTCTGGGAGATTTTAGAGGGCCAACACTTAGTTCCCAACTCCTTGACTGTGTGCTGTAACTCTGGGAGATTTTTATTGGGCCCCAACTTTGTTCTCTGGCTCCTCAAGGTTTAGGGTTCCCTGCGCTGGGGGAGCTGATATGCGGCAGCTTCAACAGTATGCTAGCAGATACAGGGCTGCCTGTCTCCTTGAAGGCATGCACCAAAGTGGGGGTGGCAAGGCAGCTGGGGGTTGGTGAGCAAGGGGCCCCTGCTGGAGACTACATGTGTTGTTGCACTAGAGTGGTGTTGGCTTCGGGTAGAGTGCTGGACGGTACAGGTCTGGGTGCCTTCTCTGTGCTCTGCAAGCTGGAATGATAGCTCAGAGAGTGGGAGGATCCCCTGTTCTCTGCACGGTGTTAGCTGGTGGGGCAAGGCTTGGTGGTTTTGTGCCTGCCAAGGCTCCATCAGCAATGGCCTTCTGTGGAGAGCGGGAGTGGGGGGACAGCACACTCACTTGTGCTGCCAGAGCAAGTAAAGCAAAACCCGCCCATGCAGATATGTGCCAGTAAAGCGATGTAGGGAGTTGCTGTGGGCTTGGAGAAAGCTGCAGTACGGGGAAGAAAAAGCTGCAGCCGGTGCGCAGCGCTAGGGGCCACCTCACTAGAACTCTCCACATGTCAGGCACTGTCCACTGGCACAGAAGCTATGGTGTGGGCCCCCAGGGCACCCGAGACTGCCCTGTAAGCAACCATGGCCAGACTGTGTCCCCAGAAGAGGCCAGCAGACCAAAGAGTGCTCAGGCTGGACCAGCCCCATCTGATGTCCAAGACCACTCTGCAAAGATCAGGTCCAACAGTTCCCTAAGGCTAAAGTCTCTTATGAGAACAAGTTGAGACTAGGGGCATGGCTGTCCCTGGCCATGCTTCACTGCAGATGCTCCTGCACCAAACCCTCTGGGCTCCACATCAGTAGCTTGCTGCCCCACCACTTCTCTAAGCAGCTCTCCTTGCCACCTGAAGTGTCCATGATGGTAGAGGGGTTCCCTTCTGCCAGGGTTCCTGACCCCCTGGTGAGAGCGGGTTGCTCCTTACCAGTTCGACTAACCTGCACCCTCAGAGCTATTGTGGTTCAAAAATGAGCCCCAGTGCTCAGCAGCCCTTGTGGGGTTCCCAGCTTCCTCTTCAGCCCAGCTTCCGTGTCTTCCCTCCGCCCACTCTCAGTGCCTTCCCTCTGAAGATCTGTATAAAGCACGCCAGTTGTCTCAGTCCCTCCGTGGGAGCTGTTTCACTTGTCTGCATCTAGGTTGCCATCTTGCCCTCCCATCCCGAAAGATCACATTCTTTGCTGGCTTTTTAAAGTTTAGAGAGGCAGGAGAAGACAGCAATTTCTGTCAGTTATTTCTAGGCTTTTAGCAGGTCCTGGGGTCTTAGCCATTGATCTACCAATACCTGCTAGTCACAGAGCCATAGAGGCTGGGCTTCTAGGATCAGAGGACACAGAGCACCCAATAAAGAAATGTTGGCTAGAGAATTTCACCTACCTTTCCTTCAGATAAATTTTTTCCTACAATCTGAAATTATTACACAAAAATTATTGAAACCTTTTACTGCTTTTGGAAATGCCAAGTACAGATGTGTTAGTGGTAGCAACATTTCAAACTCAGGTAGGTCAAAACCCTCCCAAAGTGTAATGACTCTGAAAAAGCTTCAGACTAGGTGTTAAGAGAAGCAACATCATAAAGAGAAAGAAAAATGATTTAACATAAGACACCTAAAGACACAGAGAGCCTTTAAGAGAGTTCAGTGTGAGACTGGGTAGAAAAGGGAATTTAATAAAAATTTTTAAGTACAGATCAAATAACTACTATGGTTGGGAACTGGGTAAGAAATTAGCATACGGAGAGGAAGTAATTTGTGATATTACAGAGGACTTTACAGTCTAGTAGGAAAAAACAGCAAAGGAAAGAATAAATTACATTTTTAAAATAGGATAGCTAATTTCAGCTAGTTCCAATCCCCACAACGACTTACATTTAATGTTTGGCTATGAAAGTGAGAGAGAAAACTTTACAATACATGGAGTCAAAGTGCAGTGAGTTATACAAAAAGAATGCAGGAACACATTGCTTTCATAGCAAGCCATGTGCTATTTTAAATAAAGATGATGTATGACTAACCTGGAATCAATGTGAATACAGATAAAACCTATTCATTTCACTTGGTAATTCTATGCCTGATACATCCCTTGCTGAATATTTATCATTTGAATGCAGAATACTGTTTTGCCAATGCTCAGTGTACAAACAATAAATACAAACATTGCCTCCCTTACTATTTTTCTCTTATTCTTGCTGTTGCTTTTCCAGGACTAGGATAAATGATAGCAAAGACCCACCTCACAGTTCACGAAACATGGTAAAGGAAGCATAAATCCCCAAGATACCATTGCTAACAATCTCTAAAAGAAGTAAATGGCCCATGGATCCTTTAAATGTTTCAAGTATGGCAGTTGAATGAATGAGTCATATATTAAATGGGATCATTTGGAAGGATGAATGGATTTTTAAGGTGAAAGGGGTTTCTCGTCCAAGGTTGGCAGACAGAGGTATGCAAATATTTTTTCCTTCTACATTTTGCAATATTAAGATAGTTGTGAATGTGTCACAGTTCATTTCAGCATGAGCCCCCAGTGAATTACAAAATGTAATCCTCCAAATCAACCCTCTCCTCAAGGGTCATGAAGCAAATTGACTTTGTATTGGTGGTCTCAGTAGAGCCAGAGGGTTTTTTTATGGTTATTTTAGTAGCAGAGTTGGAGGCAAGAGAGATATAATACTGAAGTAGTAAATTCCATAAGTCAATATTACACAATCCAAATTATTTTTTTGGGGCAAAGATGGAGCCAGATCTTCTGTCATCCCTGATGATTCTTTCTTCATATGCAATACATAAACAATCTCCATATCCTGTATCTATTGCACCTCCAGATTATCTTTGAAACTCGTCTGCTTATCTCTTTCACTGTTGTTATCACTGTGCTTCATTGGACCAGTGTCTTGAAATACTATATCAGACACATAATTGAATTTCTTATCTCAAGGCCTGCCCCTTCTTAAATCTTTCCCCCACATATCAGCATAATAATACATTTGCCGTCTGATTTGTCATTCCACAGTTCCACACTTTTAGGGTCTCCTATTGTTTTGTAGAAACTCCACACTCCTCAACATGGCATTTAAAAAGCCCTTCATGACTACCAACTACTCTATTATTGTAGCAGAGGACAATGATGGAAATGGATAGAAATTTAAAGAGATCACCTGTCCATGAGCATACTATACTGAAGTGAGGGGAAAATCAACCCCCAAATCATACCACATACACTTTGGAATGCACTTCCTAATTTGGATCATACGTGAGCTTCCCTTTTGTATTCTTCTTTGGTTCATGGCCAGAAAGGGAGTCAGGGGGCAGTGTTGGGACTTGGGATGTCTATGCTACGTGACACAAGAAGATAAGTGACATTCTTGATGTCCTAACTTCCACTATTTTAGAAAGTGTAGTGGAAACTTGTGTGCAAAGATTTGAAATCTTAAAAAAATACCAAGTTCCTGAAATTCAATAAAATATTTTTATTAATTTAAAATAAATAAACATATAAATAAAAGCCCTTCAAATGTGAATTTTACTTACTCTTCAACTCATGTCCACAATATCACCCAACTTGTACTCTGTGCTAATCACTCCCAAATTATTACCATTTTTTTTCTTTTACTATTATACTTTAAGTTTTAGGGTACATGTGCACATTGTGCAGGTTAGTTACACATGTATACATGTGCCACGCTGGTGCGCTGCACCCACTAACTCGTCATCTAGCATTAGGTATATCTCCCAATGCTATCCCTCCCCCCTCCCCCAACCCCACAACAGTCCCCAGAGTGTGATGTTCCCCTTCCTGTGTCCATGTGATCTCATTGTTCAATTCCCACCTATGAGTGAGAATATGCGGTGTTTGGTTTTTTGTTCTTGCGATAGTTTACTGAGAATGATGATTTCCAATTTCATCCATGTCCCTACAAAGGACATGAACTCATCATTTTTTATGGCTGCATAGTATTCCATGGTGTATATGTGCCACATTTTCTTAATCTAGTCTATCATTGTTGGACATTTGGGTTGGTTCCAAGTCTTTGCTATTGTGAATAGTGCCGCAATAAACATACGTGTGCATGTGTCTTTATAGCAGCATGATTTATAGTCCTTTGGGTATATACCCAGTAATGGGATGGCTGGGTCAAATGGTATTTCTAGTTCTAGATCCCTGAGGAATCGCCACACCCACTTCCACAATGGTTGAACTAGTTAGTTTACAGTCCCACCAACAGTGTAAAAGTGTTCCTATTTCTCCATATCCTCTCCAGCACCTGTTGTTTCCTGACTTTTTAATGATTGCCATTCTAACTGATGTGAGATGGTATCTCATTGTGGTTTTGATTTGCATTTCTCTGATGGCCAGTGATGATGAGCATTTTTTCATGTGTTTTTTGGCTGCATAAATGTCTTCTTTTGAGAAGTGTCTGTTCATGTCCTTTGCCCCCTTTTTGATGGAGTTGTTTGTTTTTTTCTTGTAAATTTGTTTGAGTTCATTGTAGATTCTGGATATTAGCCCTTTGTCAGATGAGTAGGTTGCAAAAAAAATTTTTTTTTTTTGAGATGGAGTCTCGCTCTGTAGCCCAGGCTAGAGTGCAGTGGCATGATCTTGGCTCACTACAATCGCCACCTCCTGGGTTCAAGCAATTCTCCTGCCTCAGCCTCCAGAGTGGCTGGAAATACAGGTGCCCACCACCACACTTGGCTATTTTTTTTGTATGTTTTTTAGTAGAGATGGAGTTTCACCGTGTTAGCCTGGATGGTCTAGATCTCCTGACCTCATGATCTGCCCACCTCAGTCTCCCAAAGTGCTGGGATTACAGGCATGAGCCACCAGACCTGGCCAAATTTTTACCATTTCTTTATTTATTCTTCCCATCCTTCTACCTTTGACTAGTCCCTATTTCACCCTATTCCATACCAATCTTTCAAAATGTTCCAACTTGGAATTTATTTAGTCTAAAAAGATTTCTCAGAGTATGCAAGGCTAAGTAAGGTAACTATACTATATGACCTGAAGGTACCCTGTACTTCTCTCACCGGAGCATTTATTATGCCATATTGTTACTGCATGGAGATCTTCTATAGAGCAAGCTCCACATCTGTCTTGTTTTCTGTGATATGCTCAACACTTCATGGCACTGCGTGCCTGAATTAATACATTTTGTTTAATTGAATGGGCGAGGTAAGCCACAGTGGAAAAACTCTGATTCCTTGGACTTCAGGGCAGACTTGCAGAGAAGAAAAAAAAATGCAACAAATATAATATCTACAGTACCCATGTCTGCATCATTGAATCCTACCAGTATTTGAAGCTTCTAGTCACAGTTAAAGATATTCATTTGTGATGTCTTCTCTGACACTTCAACTCAAAGTAATATTTCCTTCCTCTGAACCACAATTATCTATTTTACATAGTGCTCAATTTCTCTAGGATCATCTCAAGTCATGCCAGGTCATTCATGAAAATTCTATTTGATCAAACAATAAAAAAATGAAAGTCACCTTAGTTAAGTTATATGTCTTTGTTTTTATCTGAGGCCATAACTAACAAGTCTGAGTCTCTCTGGTTGGCCTCCTACCCTCTCAGAAAAATGCAATGTACTTTGTGAATAATGTAATTTATTGTAGAAGTCAGTTGGTGGTTTTCAATTCTAACTACACGTTTGAATTAGGTAGGAAGCTCTAAGCACCTTCCCAAACCAAGTAAATTTAAATACTTGTATTAGTCCACTTTTACGCTGCTATAAAGAATTACCTGAGACTGGATAATTTATAAAGAAAAGAATTTTAATTGGCTCACAGTTCCACATGGCTGGGGGGGCCTCAGGAAACTTACAATCATGGTGGAAGGCAAAGGGAAAGCAAGACTCATCTTACATGGAAGCAGGAAAGAGAGAGAGCAAGCGGGGAATTGCCACGCACTTTCAAACCATCAGAGCTCGTGAGAACTACCACAAGAGAGCACCAGGAGGATGGTGCTAAATCATTAGAAACTGCCCCCATAATCCAATCACCTTTCAGCAGGCTCCACTTTCAGCATATGGGAAATACAATTTGACATGAGATTTGGGTGGAGACACAGAGCCAAACCATATCAATCCTTAAGTATAGGATCCAGACTTCTGTATTTTTTCAAAAGCTTTCCAGAAATTCTGTAAAAGCTTCAAACAATTGCGTTAGATGAGGATTCAGCAAACTTTTTCTATAAAGGGTCAAATAATAAATATTTTAGACTTTATAGGTCATATGGTATCTCTCACAACAACTGAACTCCACTGTTATAACCTGGGCATGTACAGACAATAGAAAAATGAAATGATAGTAGTTGTATACCAATAAAACGTTATTTATAATAACATGCAGGGGACCAGACTGGACACACAGGTCATAGTTTGTCAACCTCTGAATTGGATAATTCTATAACTTCTTCCAAGCTAAATGACTTTATTTGTGTTGTTTTATTTTCCATTTTCTTATGAAAGAACACGATTGTTTCACTAAAACAGTTAATTTGCCAAAAACAAGGCTTACTAGAATTTGACAGAAAACTTTCAGAAGGTGATTCAGAATTGTCATGGAGAATGTTCCATATATATAATTTATATAATTAAATATATATATAACTTATATAATTAAATATATATATAACTTATATATAATTCATATATGTTCTATTTGTGTATATGTATATAATTTATGAAAATATGCTAAATTGCCATGAATTTTCATAATGTCTTTCGAAACAACCAAACACTCTATTTAGTTACAACAAGTATTGATTGGGAAGTAATATTTAAAAGAATACCCATGTTCTCCCCTTTATTTATGTATTCCAAAGGAAAACAGTAAAACACAGCTGTTGCTGGGGTGGAGATAGCAATGAAAGCTCAAGCAGAACTGAAACAGCCCATTATCTGCAGAATCACGTCCACAAAGGCATCTCAGAAGACTGACCGCAGCAACACCAATGGACTGTAAACTATATTGTTGTATTACAGCCCAGGTTCATAAAGTTTTATAATGCAGTTGAAGAAAAACATGAAATAATGCTGAAGATGAGATATACAGAAATTCTATTCCCCTAAAAGTTGTTACTGCCTATAGAAAAGGAATTTGAGATGAGTTTCTAGGACTGAGATTTAAATGATTTAAACTGCTAAAAATTTGTGCACATATCAAAGAGGTTAATCCAAGTCAACCATGATGTGAAATAACCACTTTGTATAATTATTTTGACAATAACCAGTTTTCAACTTTTGAAAAGTTTACAATAACACACAATAAGGTCAGATTTTATCTGATTTCTTTCTGCAAGGATGAAAACAAAAACTACTCCACTATCATTAATCAGGCCTGAAAACAATTTGATATAAATATTTTGTGAAAGCAAGTGACCACTAACAGCTTTAAGAGAAGCAACCTTAAGACAATGTATACCCAAAGTGTGGACTATGACAACTGGAGTACTTCTTAAGAATGCTTATTTCTGCATTTGACCCCGGTTCTGAAAGATTGTCTAGTGGTTCCCAATGAATATTATGCATCAAAATTTGAGATTCACAGCTTTAGAGACAGCATACTATCGTGCAAAGAAAATCATCAGCCCAAAAACCTGAATTCTAAGTCATTCTCTGCTATTAACTACCTGAGGGAACTTGGACAAGTCACTTAAACTTCTAGGTCCCTTACAACTCTAAAGCTTTATTAATTCTATCCTACAATTGTACAAGAAATAAATAGACCTGTATTTATAGCACAGATAAATTGTTTTTACTAAGATCTATGAATGGCAAGTGGGAAAACAAAGAAAGAATGATAGTTGACTTATTTGTGGCTAACATTACTATTTTATTTTTCAATTGAAGAGGTTAATAAAGCATTTTGCTTACATTTTTCTTTCTCTTAAAACATTGAATATATGTAAACTGGTAAGTGTAATCTTACAAAATACACAGGCTAGTATTTGCAAAGGCTTACCACCTAAAGTTAAGCTCCCTTGTGGCCCAATCACAGCATGAACTTCCATTCAGGAAATATCAATAAAAAAGCTATAATAATTTAAAAGCAATTAGAATATATATTGGTCTGTAAAATAAATTGATACATGTAATGTTTCATGATATCCTTATTCTTCTATCTATGTCAAGTGATACTTAGCATCTGCCATGCCCATCCTCTCAAGTGCAATGTCTCTTCAATGACTCTGTTTTGAATAATTTCTTTTTGAATAAAGAAACTGAAAGAAACTGTTTTGAATAACAGTTACAGCAGCAGATATAACAAGAAATGGATACTTCTTCCTTAAAAGGAGGGGAACATGAGAAGAAACATTAATAATTTGATAAATTTTTCATCCAAAGAGAATATCATAATCGAGTTCTTACAGTGGATGATCTCTAATTATTAAATCAGTTTTGAAGTAGATTACATATGTAATTTTTGGACATACTCAAACCATTATTTCTTTAATTACTAGACTAGGATATTGTTCATTTATTATGTGCTAGTTTAAAAAGTGGGTATATAGGAATTATTAAACTTCTCATGACTTACTGATTTTTGTTGATTATTTCCACATTATCAGTGTTTATAAACTTGCATTCAGTTCTTTAACCATAATTTTCATTTTTACTTCACATAAGTTGTTCTATTTAAACAAGCTCAGTGCTGAGCATCAGTCCATCACCCCTGAACTTCTGACTATGATTCATCTCTGGATTTCATTGTCAAACATATCAGGTATATTCTTTTGATCAATATAGATCTTTCTTGAATTGAACAGTCCTGGTGATATAAAACAATAGAAGAGAGAGAAACCTAAAGACACTTTATTGAACTATGAAAAGTGCCCCATAAATATATATAATTATGATTTGTCACTTTAAAATAAAATATGTTTATTAAAGTTCCTGAAGAGAGCCAACGGCAGGTAATAAATTTGCATCTAACCAGAAAGTTCCCTGCCTTTCTACCCCTGCAACTTCTACCAATGTCATGGAGGTGGGAAGGAGGTTGGAGAAGGCTCGTGAGTGAAGTAACTCAGTGGGTTATAGGGAAGACCACAGATTTGTAAGAGTGGAGGAAAAAAATGACACAATGAATTGAATAAAAGTGAGGATGACATTCGATTACTTAAGAGCAATATTGGAGGTTAAAAGAAAGTTAGGCCATGCATCCAAAATTGGGGGAAAAATGATTTTCAATTCAGAATATTCTCTCTAGCCAAACTATAAATCAAGAATTCAAGGAAAATAAAAACATTTTCACATAAACAAAGAGTTTTGATCCCAGCCAAATGCTACAGTAACTTACAAGACAGGAAAGCATTAGTCAGACCCTTGAATGCTGACATGACCCCTCCTACCAAGCTAATAGAATAAAAAGCAGCAAGCATGCAGTTTGTAGTATTTAGGATCTTGAGGCTTGTGTACTATGTGCAGGCTGCATTGATCACAAAACTTTAAGTAAAATCTGGGCTGTACACACTTACACATTTATACACCATATATAAATCCCATATATTTTCTAATATTGTTTTCTAGTTTGATATAAATCAAAGTAAAAGCAATTTGAGCCAAATCCAAGTGATCTTTCTCTCCAACTTTGAATGTGGATGAGCCCTATAAATGCCTAGTTCAATGGGCCTCAAAATATGGATCTTTTTAAGAAAGCTAAAAATGTATGCCAGCAAAATGAAAATGTAAACCAAGAAAATGGAAGAAATGATTCACGAAAAAGGATATCTAACAGAGGAGAGAAACTAAGAAAAATGCCAGGATAACATTTGTGCATTAGTCCTAGAGATTAAATATTCCAGATTAGAGCAAATTGATAGAGATACGGGAGAAGAGATTTCTAAGAAAATGAAATAAGACTGAAATATTATTTAATATTGGGGTGCTTGGAAATAGGATTATTGTATTTAGTAGATTGTGTTAGAAAAAGTTGGGGAAAAATTGATTATAGGTATGCATAAAACAGCAAATTGAAAAATAAGGCAATTATTAATCAAAAGAAAAGCAAATCAGTGAATGGGATGAGCAGAAGGAAGAAGCCTAATCACTGTAAAGGTGATAACCCCTCAGCTATCTATAAAGTAGTAAAGACATACTCCCTAAAAGTGATAGTTTTTGAAACTTCTTACACATATAAAACAGATACTTAAGTAAATGAAAGTTACTGCTCAAAAGTTGAAAAATAGCACCTCTGGGTATTGAATTGGCAGAACAGGGAGGCAGTAGGGCAGGAGATTGCTGTTTTTCTATGTAAGAACTTTAAAAAATTTAATAGTTCAACTATGTTCGTGATATCAGTTTGATTTTTAAATATCTTAATTTAAAAATGATATATGTAAGATGATGTTTGTGGAAGTGTTTCTTAAACTTCAAAATATTTGTCTTGGCCAAATCCTCTGGAAAGCAGAGCCTAAAGCCAAGGTAAAGGGGAAAACGCTTGATGTGGGAGCATGGAAGCAAGAACAGGAGGTGAGGGAAAGAAGTTGAAGCAACAACATATGTGACCAATGTGATGTAATACAACTCCATACCAGCTACCATTCATCATGAGCTACAAGAAGACAGAAGGGCACCTGCCCTCAGAACATGGAATATCTGAAGAACCACAAGGAGGAAATTTGAAAGTATAAGCTTGTATTGGCTTTCCCTCCTTCCTTTCCTGTTTCACTCACTGTTATCTCTTGCTCCTGCTGCCAAACATCATGCTTTCAATTAGACTACTTGGACTTAAGCTGCTGTTTCATGCTTTGTTTTCTAGGGCTAATAATCTCACCAAAATATAGAAAGGAAAGAAATAAAAATAAAGAATAGCTCATTAAATATATAAGCTACAGTTCAAACCAGAGGTTATAGAAGTGGTCCAGCAAAACATGTGAATTATTGATGCCAAGGCTTTGTTGAGAGACAAGTTTCCATGAATATCCTGAATTCCTGCATATTCTAGGCCTTCTGAGCAAAGGATATGTTTGAATATGGAAGCTAGTGATGATGTATTCCTCCAGAAAAATTTACAGACATTTCACAATAGTAAAGGTAACAGCTTTTCCTCTCCCACTGCCACCCAGAGACTTTTTCCTCACATTCCAGAGTAATAAATAAATCTAGAAATGCCTTCCTCTGCTATCCTAGAGATTTGCTTATATTCCAAGGTAATATGAGTAATCTCTCTCCAGACTACCCCAATAAAAGTTCACAGCCTCCGAAGTTTGGGGTTCTTCTCCTGTGAAGCAACACATTGCACAGGCAGATAAATATCTGGCATTTATCATCTCACCCTGTGAGAAGTGGAACATGAGAGGCTGTGGCAAGTTATTGCTCTAGCTGCTGCTTTTTGCCGTAAGCAAAAAATGATTTCTCTGACCCAGAAATATTATGTTCTTGAGTGGTGTGTGCGTGTGTGTGTTTGTGTGTGTGTGTGAGAAAGAGAGAGAAACTGCAGACTCAGTTATTACTTTGCAAACAGAGTAAAATAACAGACCCTTTACACTTTTTTCTTACTTTTAAATGGGCCTTGCTTCTCCCATTTAACAGAAATGTTTTCAGTCCAGACAGTTTTGCCTTATGTAGAAAATCTACTTAACTAAAAGCTAAGTTTAGGTCTAACTGTTGCTGACAGCTGATCAATATTTCCACAAGTAGACTTCTCTAAGACTGTGATAATTGAACAAACAATGATGTCCCTGGAGAGATGTAATGGAAAGAACATGGTCTTTTTTTTTTTTTTTTTTTTGAGACGGAGTTTCGCTCTGTCGCCCATGCTGGAGTGCAGTGGCGCGATCTCGACTCACTGCAAGCTCCGCCTCCCGGAGAACATGGTCTTTTTAAGTTAGGTATTTATATATTTGAAACATATTTCCGGCATGCAATAGCTGTGTAACCCTGAATGCTTTACTTACCTTTTCTGAGCTTCAATGGCCTAATGAGTAAAAATGTATTATAGAATTATGAAAAAGATTTAAAAATATAAATGTAGAGCAACTGGCAGAGTACCAGGCAATTAGTATTTTTAAAATGTTAATTCCCTTTTCTTCAAAGATTATCATGAAGTTTTTAAAAAGCAAACCATATATTCCATAAATGCTTTTGTATTTTAAATTCACACACACATACACATTAACGTACAAAGCTTCAAGAGAATCTATTTAGTAAATACATTTTTAGTCTTTCTTAAGACTGTCATTTATGATCATTTGAACACTATAGGGTTTATTTGGCAGTTTTTGTGTTTGTGGTTTTTTGGGGTTTTTTTTATTTTTTTTGGAATTTTGCTTTTGGTTTTCTTTTACAAACAGGGTAACCAAGATTTAAAGGAAGATTAATGTTTGGCAAAGGAAAATATATATTAATGGGGATAGCTTTTCTGAAATTAATTATTTGTTTAAAATATTAAAAAAAATTAATGATAATTTAATCAGAATTCAAGGTAGTGTTTACAGAAACAACTTTGTATGTACCATAAATTCAGCCCCCTTCTGCTTTCTGATTCTATCCCACCCGTTTCTTAGAGGAGGAAAGTTATCAGTTAAAAATATGCAAATTAAAAATAGAGAATGCTTTCAAAAACTGTATGTATGTATGTTTTAATATGGTATAGCATCTATAGATTTTTCAATTTATAGATACATTATTTTATATATACTATAAATGAAAAGTGTATAATACCCATCAACTCATACTCCTTTTCACCTTAAGTACATATTATTTTAATTATTTTAAAATTACATTATTTTCAAAGAACAGTATAAATAGAATTTTTTCATTGCACCCTATGAAAGATAGATGAGCAAAACTTTTCAAAAACAATCAAGCAATCAGAATTAGAGTAATGAAATTATTGAAAATATTTAATTTCTGAAATAAAGCTCCAGATAGGACTTTCTTTAAACAAATTCTTCCTTGTTTTATTATTCTCTGAGTCTTTATTATTATTTTATAATAATTTAGGAACATATTAATACTAACTGTGATTTTTGTTATTTTGTTTGTTAAAGAAACAATTACCCAATACAAACTCAGGAGAGTTCCCAGCATTAACTTGACATCATTATAGATTGGGAAACAAATAAAAGAATTCTTGATTTATTCCCAGAAAACGTAAAGCTTTCTCATCAATTCAAACCTATCAATGATGTAATTCTGTGCAGAAATTTTTCACTAAAATTTATTATCTGGAGGGAAAGCAATAATGTTTATGAACCATATTGGCTACAGAAATGTATTTTTCATTAGAAATCAATTTTCTCTCTTCTTTTAGTATCTGTGGTTATAGATCAGCAAAACAACTGTTAGCAAATTGGAGGCCACTCTGCAAAGCATATTCTGTACCTCAGCATTACTTCCTCACTCTTCAAGGACCTGCTGTCCTGGGGAAGCAAACTTCTAGGATAACTCCAAAAAATATGTTTGACACTTTATAGATCTTTGGGGAAAATTATAAAGTACCTTTATGTGACTTCCTCCTAGAAATCTTTCATTATAACTAGAAATAATGACAGTCTTTTCTTCAATCTAATGATGTTACACTTTATGAGATTTCAAGTCAATGGACTTATCTTTGATGCCAGATGTTACTTATGAAGCAATGAGTGATCTGTCTTAATCATAGATTAGTCATCTATGAAAATATGATGTCTTTCCAATGATGTTCTCCATAATAAGAACTAAGACACAGAAATAAATGTAGTCCATGACAAATAGCCATTCTGGATCAGAAACTACTTTCATTAATACTTGAAAGAAAAGGGAGAAAGAACCATAGCAGGAATGCATGTGTTGTAATGCATCTAACTCTTATCTGTAGCAGAAAGCAGGTATACCACACCTTCCCCCACAGGTGAATTCCTGAATGCTTCTGTGTAAATTAGGTAAAACCTTTAATTTTATAATTGTACACAAAATCAAGCAACTCACATTAAAATTCTTTTTGTCCTCTTCAAAGTGCCAAATTCTCTCACATTTATTAAATTTACTTTAAATACTTTTCCACCCAAAATATCGAAGGGGCAAAAAAGTAGCAGAAAGATAAGCAGCCCCCTATTTAGGAGGAATTGGGATCTAAACCTGTTTGTGCATCAATGATTTGGATTCATTAATATGTTTCTTCTACAGACACAAGGATCGCATTCCAAGGTGGGTCACAAAAGCCTAATTGCCAAGTCAAGTATTCCCTTTTGCTATTTTTTGGAGGTGGGGGGATTTGTAAAGAGTAACCATTTTATCCTCTAAATTTCTAAAGCATTTCTGTTTTATGACTTTTAGGGTACTTTTCCCACTCTGGCTTATCGTTATCTGTCTACATGCCATCTCTCCTTCTACAATAAAATATCTTAAAATGTTTTAGGTCAGGTAACAATTGAAAAATACTTTTTGATCCAGAAAAATTGCTAATTAGTTACACAGAAGATGAACACAAGATCACCTTAGAGGAGATCTTTTTGATTCTTAAACACATAATTAGCCTCTATATGAATCAGTCAATTATTCAAGCTGCTATTTCCCCAGAGGAAGTTAAAACAAGAGCTTGTGTGGCCTGGCAAAGTCTGCATCTTGCAAAATCTTGATTCAGATTAAGTTTGTGAGGGAAAAATGGGTAAATTTATATAGGTGTCAAGGAGCCTTTAATGAAAAAAGGGATTACATTTCTAACCCTAACTTCCAATTTAATAGAGGTGTCAATGTATTGAGAGGGTCTCAAGGAGAACTGCTGCAGGAAAAAGAAATGCAGAAAGAGACAAATGAAACACAACAGAAGTAAAGGGTAAGTCAGGACCAGTGATCCAGGTTCAGCGCCAGCTAAGATAGAGCAAGGTTGATTTTATCCCCCTGATAAAGTGGTCAATTTTTAAAAACAATATCTTAGTAAAAGAGATTTGAACCAGCAAATTTTTTCATCACAGCATGCACAAGGTTGTGTTTATCTATGAAGCTTAAGTTTCAATTATGTTAAAAGCAAAGGACCACTTGGCATTTGAAAGCAGCACTGACTTTTTTGGCTAAGCACCTTTTTTATTTAGACAATTGAAAACAGAAAAGCTTCAAAAAGTATATATTAGATCCTGCTAATTGTGGCAAAAGTATATAGCTAAATAATCAGGAGCAGGGAAGAATAGAGAGGTGTAAAAATATTTGGATCCCATATAGAAAGCAGTATTTTATTCAAACAAAATTTTATTCAATAAATAGTTATTCCTCTAATTTTATCATTATTGCTCAATTTTGATTTCAAATAAACATCAAAATGTTTTATTTTTAAAACTGTATTTCTGCAGTTTAAATTGGGAAAGGGAAGATAAGCAAGGCATTTGTTTTGTGGAGATCCATATTGAGTACATTATAGAATTTTAAAGAGGCTTTATTTGGTAGGAATAGTGGTTCATTTTGATATCGTATTACATATCAAGACTTACAGCTTTCCTTTTTATTAGTGTATTTGTAAAACTAGCACTATAGTTACTCTTAATTTGAGCTGGGGACATTATAACTCCCATATAAAATAGTAACTGGAAATGATTTCCCTGAAAAAGTAACCAAAATTTGGGAGCTAGCATTAAGGGCTAGAAAAAATAAAACAGGTGAAAACCTATGTGTGTGTATAAGAGAAAAATGTTTGAAGTAAAATAAACTCAGCTTTTGCAAGTGAAAGATAGAGGACTTTGACAGTGTGACAATGCATTCTTCTAGAATGAAGGTACTAACTTCTCCACACATAAGTATGCTGACTGGTATTTTTATATGAACCATCCCACTGAGAACATTCAGAGAAGCTAAATACAATGTTTTTAAATTTGTGTTTGAAGGTGTTGAAGAGCTTCCATAGCAGAAGAATTTAAAGACCAAAATCCCCCCAAAAAAGAAGCATAGAAACTAGCCTGGTATTTAGCACTTTTTTCCCCTTTACTAGCCCATTTTCATACTTCCGGGAAGAAATACCCAAGACTGGGTAATTTATAAAGAAAAAGTTTAATGGACTCACAGTTCCATATGGCTAGGGAGGCCTCACAATCATGGCGGAAGGCGAAGGAGGAACAAAACCACATCTTACTGGGTGGCAGGCAAGAGCATGTGTGCAGGGGAACCGCCCTATATAAAACCATCAGATATCATGAGACTTATTGACTCTCATGAGAATAACATGGGAAAAACCCACCCCCATGATTCTGTTACCTCCCACTGGGTCCTTTCCACCGCACATGGGGATTATGGGAGCTAGAATCCAAGATGAGATTTGGGTAGGGACATGGCCAAACCATATTATTCTTCCCCTGGCCCCTCCCAAATCTCATGTCCTCACATATTAAAACACAATCATGCCCTTCCAACAGTCCCCCAAAGTCTTAACTCATCCCAGAATTAACTCAAAAGTCCAAGTCCAAAGTCTCATCTGAGATAAGACAAGTCCCTTCCACCTATGAGCCTGTAAAATCAAAAGCAAGATACTTACTTCTTAGATACAATGGGAGTACAGGCATTGGGTGAATATACCAGTTTCAAATGGGAGGCCAAAGCAAAGGGGCTACAGGCTCCGTGCAAGTCCAAAATCCAATAGGACAGTCAAACCTTAAAGTTCCAAAATGATCTCCTTTGACTTCATGTCTCACATCCAGGGCATACTGACACAAGAGATGGGCTCCCACAGCCTTGGGCAGCTCCACTCCTGTGGCTTTGTAAGGTACAGCTCCCCTCCTGGCTGCCTTCACTGGCCAGTGTTGAGTGTCTGTGGCTTTTCCAGGTGCACAGTGCAATCTGTCAGTGTGTCTACCATTCTGGCATCTGGAGGACAGTGACCTTCTTCTCACAGCTCCACTAGGCAGTGCCCCAGTGGGATTCTGTGTGGGGTCTCCAACCCCACATTTCTCCCCTGTACTAAACTAGAGGTTCTCCATGAGGGCTCTGCCCCTGCAGCAGACTTCTGCCTGGACATCCAGCCATTCCATACACCCTCTGAAATCTAGGTGGAGGTCCCCAAACCTCAATTCTTGACTTCTGTGTACCCATAAGTCAAACACATGTGGAAGCTGCCAATGTTTGGGGCTTGCAGCCTCTGAAGCAACAGCCTGAGGTGTACATTGGCCCATTTTAGCTATAGCATTTTCTCGTTTATAAGAAATTGTGGTCTAGATCCAAGCACAGAGATGCAGAAAGCAGTGTCTGAGAAGGCCAGCAGACTTGGAGTAATCTTATGGGAGAGTGCATAACATTGAAGCTCAGGAACTACCAAAGAGGATCACTTGATAAACATGACAAGCTTCCTGTTGGGATTTGTAAATTACTATATTGCAGAAAGAAGAGCTAATCACATGTAGTCATGTCTTTACAACTGAATTAAGATTATCTGAATCTTCTGTAATAGTCTGCCAGAAGCAACAGGAAGGCCTCCCTGAGGAAGAGAATTGTATTCAGAAAATCAAGTATCACCCAAATTTATTTTACCAATGTTCAGCATTCAATCAAAAATTACCTATCACACCAGACAATAAGAACAGAATACTAAAAAGTAAAGAAAAAATAGATAATAGATAAATGCCCACAAATGAATCTTATATTAAAATTATCAAATATGGAATTTAAAATATCTGTTATTAATATAGCTAGGAAAATTAAATATAAGTTGGGCAAAGCAGCAGAATTTTAGAATCTATATAAAAGAATCAAATGAAAATTATAAAATTAAATTAACACATATTAGCCATAGCTGAAACAAAGATTAGCAAACTTACAGAATAGTTGAAAATATCTCCATTAATGTATAAAGAGAAAAAGATAGAATATGCAAAAAGAACATAATAGAAATATGAGGTATGGCTTAAAAGCTCTAACATCTGTGCAGTTAGAACACAAAGAGCTATATTTGAAAGATTAAATATTTTCAAAAAATTACAAAAAGTACTAACCTTTATATTAAATAGTATTAAATCAATTTTCTTGATATTTAAAATATTTTACATTCTCAAGACAAAATTATGTTTAAAATTGTGTTTCTGTAGTAATAACAATAATAACATTAATCTCTCTTCTGTGTACACTGCATATATTAACTCAATTAATGCTCACACCAACTCTACAAGATAGGTATTCTTAGTATTCTGATTTAAGTTGGAAAACTTTGGCTCAGAGAATTTAATTTTCTGCAGTCCCAAATCTAGTATATGGCAAAATCAGGATTCAAACACTGGTATCTAGTTCTAGAATCCAGCTCCTAACCACTATGCCTACTATAATATGAATTATGAATGAAACTCTTATATGAAAATGTTAAGGCCTTTCCCAAGAAATTTAACACCTGAATTATATTTTTTTTATACTTTAAGTTCTAGGGTACATGTGTACAACGTGCAGGTTTGTTACATAGATATATACGTGTGCCATGTTGGTTTGCTACACCCATCAACTCATCATTTACATTAGGTATTTCTCCTAATGCTATCCCTCCCCCAGGTTTCCTCCTGCTGACAGGCCTGAGTGTGTGATGTTCCCTGCCCTGTGTCCTCATTGATCAGTTGCCACATATGAGTGAGAACATGTGGTGTTTGGTTTTCTGTCCTTGCGATAGTTTGCTGAGAATGATGGTTTCCAGCTTCATCCATGTCCCTGATAAGGACATGAACTCATAATATTTTTAATTATAATTGATTACAGTAAATCTATATAGTTATCTGTATCTTCAAATAATATGGGGAAATGCTTTAAAAGATGAAATACAGAAAAAGTTAATTGCTTGAAAAAAAAATTCCACGCTGCAGGTGCCAAGAAGCACATACACACATAAACTGAGTGGTCAGCTTTGCCTTTGACATTGTTAGCTACCACAGAATCTTAAACAAAATCTTTCTTAAGCTAGTTTGATTTGATCTACTTTTCTCAAAAGTGAAAATACATAGAATCGAGAACAAACTTTGTCTTTTTTTTTTTAGACTTTTATTTTAGCTTCAAGAGTACATGTGCAGGTTTGTTATACAGGTAAACTGGGTGTCACAGGGGTTTGGTACAGATTATTTTGTTGCCCAGGTTCAATAAGCATAGTAACCTGATAGGTAGCTTTTTGATCCTTATCCTCCTCCCACCCTCCACCTTCAAGTAATTCCCAGAATCTATTTTCCCCTTCTTTGTGTCCATGGGTACTCAGTGTTTAGCTCCCACTTATAAATGAGAAAACTCATTTTCTATTCTTCAGGAAGTTTGCTTAGGATAATGGCCTCCAGATCCACCCATGTTGTTACAAAAAAAAAACACGTGATCTCATTCTTTGTTATAGCTACGTAGTATTCCATGTTGTATATGTACCACATTTTCTTTATCCTGTCTACCATTGGTGAGAATTTAGGTTGATTCCATATCTTTGCTATTGTGAATAGTGCTGCAATGAACATATGACTGCATGTATCTTTCTAGTAGAATGATTTATATTCCTCTGTATGTACATCCAAAAATGGGATTGCTGGGTCAAATGGCAGTTCTGTTTTAAGTTCTTTGAGAAATTACTTAACTGCTTTCCACAGTGGCTGAACTAATTTACATTCCCCAGCAGTGTATAAGTGTTTCCTTTTCTCCATAGCCTTGCCAACATCTGTTGATTTTTTGCTCTCTAATAATGGAAATTCTGACTTACATAAGATAGTATCTCATTGTGGTTTTGATTTGCATTTCTCTAATTACTAGTCATGTGGAGCTTTTTTTATTATTATGCTTGCTGGCTGCATGTATGTCTTCTTTTGAAAAGTGTTCTTTCATGTACTTTGCCCACTTTTTAATGAGGTTGTTTGTTTTTTGCTTACTGACTTGTTTAAGTTTCTTACAGATTCTTGATATTAGACCGTTGTTGAATACATACCTTGCAAAAATTTTCTCCCATTCTGTAGGTTGTTATTTTGTTGACAGTTTCATTTGCTGTGTAGAAACTCTAGTTTAATTAGGTTCCATTTGTCAATTTTTTGTTTATATTGCAATCGCTTTTGACATCTTTGTCATAAAATCTTTGCCAGGGCTTATGCCCAAAGTGGTATTTCCTAGATTTCTTTGGCGGTTTTATAGTTTTATGTCTTAAACTTAAGTCTTTCATTCACCTTGAATTGTTTTTTGTATGTGATGTAAGAAAGGGGTCCAGTTTTAATCTTCTGCATATGGCTAGCCAGTTATCCCAGCACCATTTATTGAATAGGGAATCTTTCTCCATTGCTTATTTTTGTCAACTTTGTTGAAGATCAGAAGATTGTATGTGTGTGGCTTTATTTCTGGATTCTCTAACCTGTTCTATTAGTCCATCTGTCTTTTTTGTACTGGTAGCCTGCTGTTTGGATTACTGTGAAGTAACACGAAGCTTCCAGCTTTGTTGATTTTGCTTAGGGTTGCTTTGGCTATTTAGGCCTTTTTTTGGTTCCATATGAATTTTAGACTAATTTTTTCTAACTCTGTGAAAACTGTCTTTGATAGTTTGATAGTGACGGTGTTGAATCTGTAAATTCCATTGGGAAGTATTGCCATTTTGACAATACTGATTCTTTCTTTCCATGAGCATGAAATATTTTTCCATTTTTGTGTCATCTCCTATTTATTTCAATAGTATTTTGTAATTCTTGTTTCAGAGATTGCGCACCTCCCTGATTAGCTGAATTTCTAGGGCTTTTATTTTTTGTGGCTACTGTGAATGGAATTGCATTCTTAACATAGCTGTCAGCTTGGACATTCTTATTGTATAGAAATGCTACTGATGTTTGTACATTGATATTGTATTCTGAAACTTTTCTGAAGTTGTTAATCTGACATAGGGGTTTTGGCGTAGAGACTATGGGTTTTTCTAGGTATAGAATCATATCATCTACAAACAGAGATTGTATGATTTCCTCTCTTCTTATTTAGATGCCTTTTCTTTCTTTCTCTTGCCTGATCGCTCTGGCTAGGACTTCCAGTGCTATGTTGAATAGGAGTGGTGAGAGTGGGCATCCTTGTCCAGTTCTCAATGGAAATGTTTCCAGCTTTTGCCCCTCAGTATGATGTTGGCTGTGGGTTTGCCATAGATCGCTTTTATTATTTTGAGGTATTTCCTTTAATATCTAGTTTATTGAGGGCTTTTAACAAGAAGAGATGTTGAATTGTATCAAAAGCCTTTTCTGCCTGTATTGAGATGATCATATGGCTTTCACTTTTAGTTCTGTTTATGTGATGAATCAAACTTATTGATTTGTGTATATTGAACCAACTTTACATCTCAGGGATAAAGCCTCCTTGATCTTGAAGGATTAGTTTATTGACATGCTGCTGGATTCAGTTCATTACTGTTTTGGTGAGGATTTTTGTGTCTATGTTCATCAAGGACGTTGGCCTGAAACGTTCTTGTTTTTTTTGTTTTTTTGTTTTTGTATCTCTCCTAGGTTTTGGTATTAGGATGCTGGCCTCATAGAATGAGTTAGGGGGCAGTACCTCCTCCTCAGTGTTTTGGAATAGTTTTAGTAGGAATGGTACCAGCTCTTTTTTATACATCTGGTAAAATTCAGCTGCAAATATCTCTAGTACAGGGCTTTTATTGGTTGGTAGGCCTTTTATTACTGATTCAATTTCAGAACTTGTTATTGTTCTGTACATGGTTTCAGTTTCTTCCTAGTTCAATCTTGGGAGGTTGTATGTTTCCAGGAATTTATCCATTTCCTGTAGGTTTTCTAGTTTGTGTGTGAAGAGGTGCTCGTTCATCATAGTTTCTGAGGGTTTCTTGTATTTCTGTGGAATTAGGGGTAATGTCTTCTTTGTCATTTCTTATCGTGTTTATTGAGACCTTCTCTCTTTTTTCTTTATTAGTCTAGCTATCTATCAATCACATTTATTTCTTCAAAAACCAAACCTCTTGTTTTGTGGATACTTTTATTGTTTTCCCCACCTCAATTTCCTTCAGTTCAAATCTGACTGTGGTTATTTCTTGTCTTCTGCTAGCTTTGGTGTTGGTTTGCTTTTGTTTTTCTAGTTCCTCTAGATGAGATGTTAGATTATTAGATTATTAATCTGATATCTTTCTAACTTTTTAGTACTATAAACTTTCACCTTAACATTGTTTTAGCTGTGTTTCAGCAATTCTGGCATGTTTTATCTTTGTTTTCATTCATTTCAGAGAATTTCTTGATTTCTGCCTTAAATTTCATTCTTTACCCAAAGGTCAAAAAGAAGCATGTTGTTTAAATTCCACATAATTGAATGGCTTTGAGTCATCCTCTTAGTATTGATTTCTGTTTGTATTGCACTGTGATCCAAGAGTGTGGTTAGTATAGTTTTGACTTTTTTGAATTTGCTGAGAATTCTGTTGTGGTTGATAATGTGATCGATTTCAGATGATGTGCCATGTGCAGATGAGAAGAATGTATATTCTGTTGTTGGGAGGAGAGTTTTGTAGATGTCTGCAAGGTCCATTTGGTCAAGGGCTGAGTTCAGGTGCTGAGAATGTCTTTGTTGGTTTTCTGCTTCAATGATGTATCTAATACTGTCAGTGGACTTTTGAAGTCTCCCACTATTATTGTGTAGTTATCTAAGTCTCACATAGATCTCTAAGAATTTGTTTTATGAATCTGGGTGCCTCATTGTTGGGTTCATATATATTTAGAATAGTTAAGTCTCCTGGTTGAATTGAACCCTTTACCATTATGAAACGCCCTTTGTCTTTTTTCTATGTTTATTGGTTTAAAGTCTCTTTTGTTTGAAATTAGAATAGCAACCCGTTTGTTTGTTTGTTTGTTTTACATTTTCTTGGTAGATTTTTCTCCATCCCTTTACTTCAAGCTTGTGGGTGTTTCATGTGAGGTGGGTCTCTTGAAGACAGCCTACAGTTGGTCTTGCTTCTTTATCCAATTTGCCTTTTAAGTGGGATGTTACCTCATTTACACTCAAGTTTAATATTGATTTGTGAGGATTTGAACTTATCATTATATTGTCTGTTGACTATTATGTAGACTTGATTGTATAGTTTCTTTATAGTGTCAGTGGGCCTCGAACCTAAGCGTGTTTTTTTGGTGATAGGTAATAATCTTTTGTTTCCGTGTTTAGCACACCCTTTAAGGACCTCTTACAATACCAGTGTGATGGTAAGGAGTTCCATTAACATTTGATCGTGTGTAAAGAATTTTATTTCTCCTTTGCTTATGAAATTTAGTTTGGCTGGATATGAAATTCTTGGTTGAAAATTCTTTTCTTAAAAATGCCGAATATAGTTCCCCAATCTCTTCTGGTTTGTAAGGTTTCTGCTGAAAGGCCTGCTATTAGCCTGATGGTTCTCTTTGTACATGACCTGCTCCTAATTTCTGGCTGCTTTTTATATTTTTTCTTTCACATTGAGCTTGGAGAATCTAATGATTATGTGTCTTAGGGATGGTCATCTTGTATAGCATCTCAATGGGGTTCTCTGCATTTTCTGAATTTGCATATTGGCCTCCCTAGGGGGGTTGTGGAAGCTTTCATGAACAATACCGTCCAATATGTTTTCCAAGTTGCTTGCTTTCTCTCTCCCTTTTTCAGAGATGCCAATGAGTCATAGATTTGGTCTCTTTACATAATTTTATATTTATTGGAGGCTTTGTTCATTCTTTGTCTTGTTTTATCTTTATTTTTGTCTGATTCAGTTGATTCGAAGAACCAGTCTTCGACCTCTGGAATTCTTTCCTCAGGTTGGTCTATTCTGCTGTCAATACTAGCAACTGTATTACAAAATTCTTGTAGTGAGTTGTTCAGCTCTATCAGTTCAGTTTGGTTCTTCCTTAAAATGCCTATTTTGTTTCATATTTCTTATATTGTTTTACTGGACTCCTTAGACTCCTTGGATTGGGTTTCAATTTTCTCCTGACTTCATTCCTATGTAGATTCTGAATTATATGTCAGTCTTTTTAGCCATTTCAACCTTGTTAATAACCATTGCTGGTTAACAAGTGTGGTTATTTGGAGGTAACAAGGCACTGTGGCTCTTTGAGTTGCCAGAGTTCTTTCACTGGTGCTGTCTTATCTGCGTGGGCAGACAGTCCTTTAATCTTTGAAGTTGCTGTCTTTTGGATGGGTTTTGGATTTGTTTTTTGCTTTTATCTTTGATGCCCTTGAGGGTTTAATTGTGGTGTAAGGTGGATTCAATCAACTGGCTTCATCTTGGAAGATTTCATGGGGGGAGCGGTGCAAGAGGGCTTATCACTCCTAAACTGTGTGTTCTAGCCCTGAGGGGCTGGTACTGGGTTCCTGGATTTGTTCTTTGGCCTCTTGAGGTTAGACACCCACAGCGCTGGGTGGAGGACAAAATATTTCTGGTCCCCTGGCAACAACCCTCTAATGTGGGGTACCAGCCACAGCCCTTCTTCAGGATGATGGCAGCAGGACCCACACCTGCACACACATAAGAGTGATGGTGCAGTGGTGTGCCCACATGTTGGCAGGGCCAGGGAACCAGTGGGGGCAGTATGCTGGCCTTCATGCATTGTCAGAAAAGAGGCAACAGTGTCCGTGTGTGCATACTTGTGCCAGCAGCAGTGGGGCAACACGGTGCATGTGCACATGACAGGAGATGAGGGGAGGAGAGGTCTGCTTATGCACATGTGCCCACAAAGTGATTCATGGGGAAGGCCTGGGCTCATGGAAAAGTGCATGATGGCAAAGGGATGGGGTGAGGTTCAGTCAAGGAAGGCTGCAAGTTGATGGTTGCACATCAGTGGGGAGTAGTCTGCTGGAAGTCTACAATGGTTAGGCACGGTCTGCTAGGTGTAGTCTTCCAGCGAAGGAGCTATAATGATGGGTCCCAGGAAGCACCCTGCTTGGGCAACCAAGGCTGAGATGCAAGTGGGGGTGAGAAGACTGGAGCCCAGGAGAGGCCAGCAGACAAGGAGATGCTCAGACCAGATGCCCCAATCCCACAGACAAGACTGCCCTTCTTTGTCCAGGTCTGGCAGTTACCAAAGGCCAAAGGCATCTAGAAGAGCTTGACAAGCTTTGGCAAATAGGCATTCCTGGCCATGCTCCACTGCAGCCCTTCCCATGCCAAACATTCTGGGCTCCTCACAAGCTAGAGTCCTGCCCCTGCTGCCTCTCCAAACTTCCCTCCTTGCAAACCCAAGTGTCGTGGAGCTTGTGGGGTCTCTTGCAGCTAGGATTCTGGAGGTCCCTGGTGAGAGCAGGCCACTCCTGGCCTGTTCAACTTATCAGTTCCCTAGGAGCCACGGGGCGGGCAGAGACAAGTCCTGGTGCTCGGCAGCCCCATGCGTGGTCCCAACTTCTAACCCCTTCATCCCAGGGTCTCTGTCCTTCCTCTGTCCACTCTCAATGCCCTCCGTCTGAAGATGTGCTTAGAATGTGCCAATTTTCTCCATGGCCTGGTCTCTTGGTGGGAGATTTTTCTTCCTGGCTGCCTCTAGTCAGCCATCTTGGCTCCAAATCCTAGAGGAAGAACTTTAAAGAAATCACTTTAAATTTTTGAATCACTTTTTCCTTACCATTAATTGAAGAATATGTAACAGCTAACAGCACACACACACACACACACACACAAAATCAAATAATAGTAGTCTTCAATTATCAAGGACTTACAACATGTTACAACATGCCAATCAATTTACGACCATTATTTTGTTTAATGCATAAAACATATCCAAACCAGAAATCAGCTAAGGGAACCATGATCACTGGCTAAAGAATGAGTTGTCTGGCTGGTGATGTATCTACTAGACAGATCTAGAATCAGGCTAATGTATCCCAACATCAAGTGAGTTAAAGCAACAGGACTTAATTAAATATAATTTCTATTCACACAAAAAATAATTTAATAATTTATTTATATTCCAAAGCACCAAAATATCAAATTCAATAATAACAGTTAAACTCTATTGAGTATTTATGCATAATACTAGAAACTTTGCTAAAGCACTTCATATATTTCCTATCATTTAATCCTTACAACAACTATGTAGGGTAGGTGTTATCATCTGTGTTTTACAGATTCAAAAGCTGAAGCTCAGAAATATTAAGCAGTTTATCTAATAACTATAGATATAGATACAACCAGATTTATTAACATAGATGTAATCTTTTTCTAACTTAGGAGATTAGTTTATATTAGAGCTCAACTTAGCTCCTGTAACACAGATAAATAAATAAAATTGATTAAGAAGATCAAAGTTTATTTCTCAGTCACATATAATTCAAGGCTAGAAAGAGGCCTCTACCCTCCCCAGCACACCATTTTATCTCTAGGCCCATGAAATCTGTTCTTATTCTCAACATTTCCCAGACAAAGAGAAGGGAATGCCTTCTTTTAAGGCACAACCCAGAATTTGCACACACATATCTATGACATATAATGTGGAAGAGCAATTACTAAAACGTGATGAACATATTTCATTTTTCAGTAGACAAGACCACGCATATGCAAGCATATGAATAAGCGTTTTGCTATGTGCAGTGGAAGGGAGAAGTGCATGATGTCTTTTTGTGTGGTTTATTATTGAAAAATGTGCTACGGGGGTAATATTTTTCTTTTGTAGTGTACACTAGAAAACATGTACTGAAATTAATCTTAACAGAACAGCACTTCTGTGTCTAACAAGGACAAACACCACTCTACAATGAAAACAAGTAAATAAAACATAAGAACAGGTTATACCTGCATGCCAATCCTGCACATTGTCGTATCTAGAGTTCAGTTGGTAGTCAATAATATACATCTATATTATTGATTCAGTATTGAAGAACATGGTGAAATCTTTCATTGCAATCACATTTCATCTAGTGAATATATACATCTTTCAGCGTGTTGGTGAAAAAATTGGCAATAAATGGGTGACTAGTTTTTCACAGTGAAGTATGTTGTCAGTAAAAGGAGAAGGTATTCACCAAATTAAAATAGGAAGTGAGATGAAAAACATTACTTTATGACACTAGCGTTGCCAGAAAAGACCATTTGAATGATCACATGAAGCTTGTTTTAGTGGAACATCTCAGGAACACATTTAGTATCTTGCAGAGCCTAAAGCCATCATTTCAGCACCAAAAAATTCTAATTTTAATCATTGAAGACAAAAGTACAACAAAAGTATTAATATGAGATTACTGAGAGTTTTTCCTAGCATTGTAATGTTTTCTCACTTCTGGAGAAAAAAATAGGTTTAAAAATATATATCATTGGACAGATTTACAAACAACATCAAAATGCTGCAATAGAACAGACATTTCAGAGTTGAAAGTAAAAAGTGAATCAGGAATTAATGAATCTGGAGTCTGGAACAAACTGCCTCATTGACTTAGAAGGAAGTTTGATTCAAATATCCAGAATGATACACAATTAAAGCCATTTACAAAGTATTATTGTGACAAGATTTTCTGCTTTAGTTAAAAACAGAATTAAAAACTTGGCTGTGGAAGACTAAGGCAAGAGAACCACTTGAGGCCAGGGGTGCCAGACCAGCCTGGCCAGCATTGCAAGACCTCATCTCTACAAAAAATAATTTAATTAGCTGCTCATAGTGGCATGTGCCTATAGTTCTAGCTACTCGGGAGGCTGAGACAGAAGAATACCTTAAGCCCAGGTGTTTGAGGTTACAGTGAGCTGTGATTGCACCACTGCACTCTTGCCTGGTCAAAATGAGACCAAGACCTTGTCTCTAAAAAAAAAAAAAAAGAAAGAAAGAAAAAAATTTTGGCTGGATGAGGATTATAATTTATAACTCAAGTAACGCTTACCAAGTTTAATATTGATATATTGGTGAAAGATTACAAATGACATTCTCCTCACAAATAGGGAATTGGTATAATTACTAATTTAAAATATTGCAAACATTTTAAAACATAAATAATTTAAAATTGATGGTTTACATGTATGCTGAATGTTGTTAAGAGTTTCACAGATTCTAAAAGTTGAAGAAAACTATTCTATATTTTATAGCTATTATTCCCAGGACACTGTTTGGAGATTTACAGGATGAAGGAAACTTCTCTTAATATTTAGCATTCACCTCAACATCTAAACAAGAAGAAATTATGGAAGTGCAAAAAAGTGAAAAGTTATACAATGAATTTCAGAGCAGTGTAAATTTGAATGTAATTTTAATGTACTCCTCAACAGTCAACTCAATTGACATATCCATCCATTTTAATCAAAGTATATTTTAATAGTACATTACTACAATGTCAGTTTTTGAATTTGAGATTCCTCATTATAAGAACTACCTTGTTTTCTCTATTGACATTTACACTATTTTTATTGATCCTTTTATTGATTCTCTAACCTGTTGTATATCTTTTCAACAGTGGATTAAGAAAGAGAATGATAATTTAACTGTGTCCATTTTAATATGTATGTTTTCCTTTATTATCATACCCAGAACCATGTCATACAGATAATTAAGCTAGTTTAGCAGAATTTATTTTGTATAAAACTAGTATATATTCTACCGTTTTTGAGAAAAGTTTGCTATTTTTTCATTTATGTGATAAAGCTGGTGATTTTTTTTTCATTTTCTTATTCATAGTATGTTTTAGTACTTTCTGGACCCACTTAACAATCAGAAAAATAGCAAAAGAAGCAGCATCCTCTTTGACTTCCTCTACCGGATGTCCCCTATTTTAAAAACAGGCATGTAGCAGAGATTCAAGGCTGCAAAACAAGATGAATTGAGCAGAAGAAGATCATTAGAAAGAACAATGTGGCACTCATCATTTTGTGCTGTCACAACACCATCTGTGTTGCACCAGACCAGAGTAACTTTGACATGACAAATAAACCTCTTAGGGGAAATGGGGATTCTATTAATTGTTCCGCTGTCTGGCCAAACACTAGTGATATACTCTCCCCTAATGCAGCCCCATACACAATTGTTATTATTGAATTAACAATAGCAATGAGTTATGATTTTTAAAATAACATTTATTTCCCCTGGATGAAAAATAAGACTTAAAGTATCATAGTCTCACCAGGGTGGTATAAATATATTTATGCAGTCTCGTAATTATATTTATACCTCACCTGGGGGACTGACTGACTCCAGAAATAAATATTGTTTTCTTCCCCTTGCTAATAAATATTTTTCAATAAAACTACATCATGTGTCCTCATGGCAGTCATTTTCCTCAACCACAAAATATGGTGAGGGTACTGGTTCAAATAATTTTTGATCTACCAACACTGATCTTTTCCTGAACATTACTATTATTAAAAACAATGGCAGCTAACATTTATTGCAGGTTTATATATTCCAGTTGCCATGTTAACTACCTATGTGAATTATCTCATTTAAGCCTGACAACAATCCTATGAGACTTTTATTTAGCCGAATTTCTAGATCAGGAGTTAGCAAACATTTTTGGGAAAGAGCCAAATAACAAATACTTCAGGCTTTGCTAGCCTAACAGTCAGTCTTTGCCACAGCTATTCAACTGCTATTTTGGCTCAAAAGCTGCATATGCAATCCATGACCAAGTAAGTGTGATTGTATTACAATAAACATTTTTTAAAAGATAGTATACTAGATTTTGTCTATGGGCCATTGTTTGCCTACTGCTGTTCTAGATGATGAAACTGGGGTTTAGTAAGATTAAATGACTCGCCCAAGTCACTAACTAGTGAGGTCAAAATTTGAAAACAGACTAACTACAGATTTGAGCTGCTAACCACTATATTATACCTCCTTTAGTATTCTTTAATATGTCACAACAGAAAGATTGAGAAAATGTAAAAATTATAATGTCTTAACAGCCAGTGCTGGAATTTCTCTTAGAGAGGAAATGTATTTGTTGTAAAGACGTCTTGCTAATTCACCTGGGGAATGTTGAGAATGTAAAAGCAGTTGTCAGCAGGCCTCAGGATAAAAGAAAAGAAATGCACAGAAATTTTGAGGTGCAGAAAGACAGAGTAGAGAGAAGAGAAAATAGCTGAATGTGTGTGGTGAATGTGTGTGGCTGAATGATGGGTGATTATAGCCTGAATTATAGAAAAAAGTCAACAGACACGAATTTTTTTTAATAAAAGGAGGGGACTGGGAATTTCTAACATTGTGTTACTTAGGCTACAAGTAATAAAAAACTTACAAAATATAGAAAGACGCTTTCTCACATAACCTAAATCAAAAAGTAGGATAAGCTCCAGGTGAGATAATCACAGATCCAGCTCTGCCCCTCTGCTGCTGCCTCAGCTCTCCCCTTCTCTGTGTTGATTAGACTTTCTCCATAACAGTGTCAGCCCTCTGAGCCCAAGCCAAGCCATTGCATCCCCTGTGACTTGCACGTATACGCCCAGATGGCCTTAAGTAAGTGAAAAATCACAAAAGAAGTGAAAAGGCCCTGCCCCGCCTTAACTGATGACATTCCACCATTGTGATTTGTTCCTGCCCCACCTTAACTGAGTGATTAACCCTGTGAATTTCCTTCTCCTGGCTCAGATGCTCCCCCTCTGAGCAACTTGTGACCCCCGCCCCTGCCCACCAGAAAACAACCCCCTTTGACTGTAATTTTCCATTACCTTCCCAAATCCTATAAAACGGCCCCACCCCTATCTCCCTTCGCTGACTCTCTTTTCGGACTCAGCCCACCTGCACCCAGGTGAAATAAACAGCCATGTTGCTCACACAAAGCCTGTTTGGTGGTCTCTTCACACGAACGCACATGAAAAGCAGCAACATGGCTGCCAGCAGCTACTGAAGCAGCAGACTGCTTGTTCATGTACAGTGAAGAAGACAAATAAAATATCCTCTCTCCCAACAGTGGGGGATATTTCTGCTTATTAACAATTAGTTCCCCCAAATCCCAAGTGCTGGGAGTTTAATTATGAATTCCTAAACCATTTTCTGGAAAGGAGGATGGATTTCCCAATACTGACCTCCTAAACTACACAGGCCCTGTAACTACAAAAGTGGCCATTTCATTTGAGTCATGTGGGCTGTGGGAAGATGCATGGCTATCTGATCAAAAATGGGATGCTTTTTGGAATACAGAGAAAAGATAAATATAGATAAGCAAAATGTACATCTCCAATTCATATGATGAAATCTTTACATAGCTCTGGAACAAGACTGACTTTTAAAAAATAACAAGCAGAACAACAAACTGGGTTTGCCATTAACATGGAACTTACCTCTGTTTCAGAAACTATCACATTAAAACATCAAGTAAAACATGAATGTTTTACTTTATGCCAGGCAGTGTGACAGATCCAGGGTCGAAATAAAAATTTCTAGTCATTTGCAGGAGATAGCACATAGACATATTGAAACAATCTAGTAGTAGATTAATAGTGACATACCTGGGATGCTATGAATGTACTCAAGACTGGAGGAATCAGAAAAGTCTTCTAGAAGAAATGTCTTTGCTTTCTTTTATTATTTTTATGACTAGAAATGAATGCTATATGACATATAATCATAATATGTATATTAATATATTCAACAACAAAATATTTTCCTTACAAAAATACAGACATGGCTAAGTATATCTCACAATATCACAATATTCCTTGAAAGGCATTATGTTAGGTACCAGTAAAATCTAGAAGCAATATGTTGTAAATTCTATGTAAAATGCAGATACATATATATCAACTTTAACATTTAGCACTCTAGAGAGCATGTGTATTCACATTCATTGACATTCCTTTACAAATCCAGCAATCAAGCTTAGATATTAGATGTGAAACTATATGGTGAACATAGAAATAGAATTTTGATTTGTGCCAAAAAAACATATTTTTTAAATTGCTGCAGTATCCCTTAAATGAGTAATTTATTTTGAAATGGGAACATATTTTATCTACAGGGTATTCATTTTCTTAATAACTGATTCTGGCATAACTTGCTAACAAGACAGCTTGCACTTGCACTTAAGAGAAAGCACTAGTGGTTATAGGTAGCTGAACATTTTAGAAGGAAAATCACTTAACCGACTCAATTTAGAGCTTTAGAAGGAATACATTAATGTGTAAAGGAAAGAAGACCCAAAGCATAAATGCTTTTAAATTATCTTTTCCCTAGATAAAAATTATAGTACCATGACTTTCAAGCAGACATTAAAAATTCAACAATATGGTTTTGTTCTTGGAATTATTTTCAGATGAGGTTTATCAAGTACAGCACTATTGATATTTCAGACTGGAAATAATTCTTTGTTTTAGGCTGTCCGATGCATTATAGAATATTTAACAGCATCCCTGCCCTCTACACACTAGATGCCAGTAGCACTTCCTAGTCATGACAATAAAAAAAATGTCTCCACACATTGCCAAATATGCCCTGTGGGGCAAAATTTCTCCTGGCTGAGAACTACTTTCTTAAAGAATAATTCTAATATTAATCTACAGCATAATAATATTATATAACAATTAAATTTCTATCTTTTATTAGTTTTCTATATAAATAATCATTTGTGAAAATACTGAGCAAGCTGCTTCTGAAGTAAAATTATGAAATGGCTTCAAAATCCGTAGAAATTACTGCAGTAGCTGAAGGGTTACAAGAATCATAAGGTCAATAGAGATAAAAATCATTTCACAATGATTTCAGAATTGATCATAACATACAAAGATATCACTCCTGGTCTTCGACTTATGATCCGCACCAAAAAAAAAAAAAAAAAAAAAAAAAGGCTTGAATCATCCAAGAAATGTGGAAAATTAGTAGTGAAAGAAACAGTTTCAACCAGGAAAAACAAGGCAAAGTTTAGGATTTAGGAGCAATTCAAAAGTGGAAGTTACTGGAGGATTCAAAAGCAAAGGTTAAAGAACAGTGATTCTTAGGAATTCAAAGACTAAGTAATTGCCAGAGCCATTCTCTTTCTACCCATTTTTTAATCATCTTGGGGACCCAGATAATATTGAAAAGACAGAAACCATTCTGGCTTTAAGAATCCTAGGAGATTTTTTTAAACCATCTTATATGAAATTTTATTATATCGTGTCTTATCTCTTCTTCAGCATTAATCAAATATTTTTCACATACAAATTAATGCATATATATTTCCATACTTATTAACATATCTCTTTCAATCTGGATCCCCATTTAAAATGTCTAAGATGTTGTCTGCCACATATAGGCACAAATTGATTTTTTAAATAAATAACTGAATATTGGATAAATGATTTCTGTTTCTTCTATCACTGTAACAATCAACATTCCATAAGAACAGCTTCCATCGAGAAAGTCCTTCTTTTAGAGATCTCTATCTTTTTTGACATTTCATGATGTTTAATACTCCCCAAAATTGATCCAGATTCCAAAACCTTCAACTCTTCATGACTTAGTATCCGCAATCTCACTTTTACTGCCCTGACATTCACAAAAAAACCTACAGCATATGTTAGATAAGAAAAAATAATCTTATCTGGAGAAGCCGAAATCAGTATAGTAGAGAGAAAAATACAAGATATGACATATAGTATTGTAAAGCACTTACCTAGAAAATAAAAGAATGGTTATACATTTATTCAAAATAATCCAGCCTTGAGTAACTAAGACTCCATGCAATCTCTGGCTTGGTTACAGAGAAAGCCCAAAACAGGTTTTATATTTTAAGTACTAGACAACTATGAAATTATTTACAATCCTGTTCATATTTTAGAACACAATATGCTTAAATGTTAAGATTCTCTGGCATTAGGTCTCTAAGCAAAATAATAATTTTTAGAACCTATGTCTCTCACAGATCCTGAGGTTAAGTTACAGCAGAAAGTCAAAGCCAAATATACCATCAAAGGGGCAGAAATATATATTCATTTTCATGTTCCTATATGACATAAAGAGAGATCAGTAGTTTTCAATCCTGCCTCCATATTATAATCACCTGTAGAGCTTAATAAAGTACTACTGTCCAGATGCTATTCTTAGAAATACAGGTTTATTTTTTCTGCATTGGGGTCAGAGCCTCAATATTTTTTAAAAGCCCACAAGTATTAGATTGTTAGTTTGTGACAAAAAACGCAATTATTTTTGCACCAACCTCATAATTCCAATATGTAAACAATGAGACATAGGCATAATTAAAAGCTAAGCAATAAGGCTGGGCGCAGTGGTTAGTTAGCACTTTGGGAGGCCAAGGCAGGTGGATTGCTTGAGCCCAGAAGTTCAAGACCAGACTGGACAATGTGGAAAAACTCCATCTCTAAAAAAAAAAAAAAAAAATACAAAAATTAGCCAGGAGTGGTGGTGTGTGCCTGTAGTCTCAGCTACTTAGGAATCTAATGTGGGAGGATCACCTGAGTCCAGGGAGGTCGAGGCTGCTGTGAGCCATGAGAAAAAAAACAAACAAACAAACAAACAAAAAAAAACCTTAAGCAATGGCGGAGAAATAGAAGTAGAGAAGTTAGATAGTCATTAAAGCCATCACCTGATATTTTTAGTATTTGTTAGTGTAGTTAATTAGGTATGTCTTATTCAGAAAATACGAGGAATACAAGGCAACCTCTGCCAGTATATATCAGTGTCTGACAGTACAAACTCCTGGATTCAAATTTTCCTTGCTGCATTTCAACACGAATTAAAATATTTTCTCTTTCCTCTCACTAAAATCTTTGTTAGCATTGTCAAAATTTTGACACATTTTCCAATATTAAAAGATATAACATCTTATTGTGTGAAGAAAGGTGGTCCTTTCAGTGATAAGATTCTCCACCTCTGAAGTTAGTGGCACACAAAAAAAGTAGAGAAGAATCTAGCCAATCCCATTATAAATCAATAGTCTAGGTATTCAGATGACTAAAAAGTGATGACGACATGAAATTATCAATAGATTTCTCAAGACAACTGACAACTTATAAGGAAATAATTGTCTTCTGTCTGAATTCGGTCAAATCAGTATATCTGAAAAATACATAGCTGTTGATCCCAAGAACAACACTGATTAAGTAAATATCTAACCAACTGGGATTTCATCAAGGCAACTGCATAAAATTGAGATGAGGCTACATCAATGGTAGGTGCTTTGAAGAGCAATAGTCAAATGAGGCTTCATAGAAAGTACACCTACATGAAACATACAGATAACATATCAGTTTACATATGTACAAGAAATGCAATAAATCTCTAAATGTGCAATAAAAGGAGAGGAAACTGCTTTTTTAAAAAAAAGAATCATGCTCAAGGACAAAGAAATTGAGGCACAACAGCAGCAGCATTTTGGGAGCTAGAAAACAATTTGAGGGACCTGAAAGCTAAATCTACAAAGGATTGGAGGGTCGAGTTTTAGGAATTGGAGCGGAGCTGCTGGAAGAGATAAAAACAGGTTATTGCTCCTCCTCAACCTCAGTAAAGGACAGAAGTTTTACTCTATAGAGAGATTGTTACAGAGAGACCCAAACATGGCTACTGATAGTATACTATTTTCACATCCTAAGGTGATTAATCCAGGAGTGCCTCCCTCCAAGATTTTCTTGATAGAACGACCAGAGAAAAACTACCCTTTCTTCAAGTTGAGAAATTGAAAGGATGTAACTCAGGAAATGTTAGGAATTGTGTATACTGCCACATAAAGAAATCTAAGAAAATGAATCTGCTAAGCAATTAAGAAGACGTAGTAAGAATTGGAAACAGATAACCTCATTAATACAGACTTTAAGTTTTAGGAAATCAGTAAGTGACTGTTTTTGCTCCATGTTGACCTCAGAGTTTGGCACATACTATAGCAGGTTCTCAATAGAAGTTTGTTGAATGAATACATCAAGTTTCTGATTTCAGTTCTTAAGATCCTAGAAGATTCCCTGCTTCCTATAGATATCCCAGCAGTCATCCCTTAATATATATATATATGCTTTTTATATTTTCATATATATATTTATACCTTTATATATATAACGTATATATCCTTTTGCTGACGTTAGTTTAAATTTTGTCTTAATTTAAACTAATGTCAATTAAATACAAAAACAATACCAAAAGAGGAAGAAAAAAGTTATAAGCCCTAAAATGTAGAAGTAGCTTGTTCAAGTTGCACTAGGGGACAGTGAAGATCCTTCCATCCAATGCTGGAAAAATAATTGTTCTAAGTCAGGGAAGCAGTTTATTAAGCAATTGATAGTCTTTAATATGTGCCTGCCTAAATTCAATTTTCAATGGGAGAAAAATATTAGAGTATTGGAATGCTGCCTTTGTTTCCCAGGATTCAGCAAGTTCCCATAGGAGAGACACAAGCTTTAATCCAAGTTTCTCCATCTGAAAAGAGAAAGGCCACTACAAGCATAAATGCTTTTTAAAAGATACATTTTCTACCTGTGGCCATTAAGCTGTGACTTCTAAACCTTATAATTAATGCATACTAAAGAATTGCAAAAGTTATCTACCTTACATCAAAATTTGTGTTTGCAAAGGTTAGGAAGGGAGAAGCACTGCACTAGCTAAGACTGAAACCCAAAAGAACCAATATAATGGAGTAGTCTCTTCTATCAGGGTGCTCTTGAGCTTTCCTTTTGTTGTTGTTCTGAACTCCCTATCTGGCAAAGGTGTTAACTTTTCTCTAAAAGCATCATCAAAGAAAATGCAGACTCTAGGCTTTGAGCATTTAAGAAGCTCTGCCTTACCACTCTGGCCTACTACTTTATTGTATTTGGGCAGTGGCTTAAACCAAAGGCATTGAGCTGAGACCTGACACATTGAGAGGGTGTGGGACCTGTTGCTAAGAAACAGAAACTGCAAAGGAGAGATCCATATACAAAGATCCCAAATTCACAATATTTAATTTTATTTATTGCTGAAGAATTCCCATCAAATGAAACTTACAGGCAACTACACATAGAGCTTAAGAAAGTGAGAAGAAGAAAAAAAAAGGAGAGAAGAACAAAGAGTAGGAGGACAAGAGAAAATAAGGAAGGAAGGAAAAAAGAAAGAAAGAAAAAGAAAGAAAAGAAAGAAAGAAAGAGAAAGAAAGAAAGAAAGAAAGAAAGAAAGAAAGAAAGAAAGAAAGAAAGAAAGAAGGAAGGAAGGAAAGAAAGAAAGAAAAAGAGAGAGAAAGAAAGAAAGTCGGGGGAGAGAGAGGGAGGAAAGATTTATTGAAAAAGAAACCACAGGCTTGGTAAACAATGGTGCCTTATTATTTAACTGCAGAGGCAATCTGCATGGTTGTGACAGAATTTTCCTCCAGAGGTAGACCATCCCACCGTTGGTGAAGCCTCATAAATACCCCTGCAGATATGTCTATAAAGAACCTTGCAAAATTGAATTTTTTCAAATTTTTCCTTTTGGGTATAACAAGGACACCAAAATTTCTGACCAAATAAATCATACCACTTTCAGGAAAGTGAGTAAATATGTGGATACTTCTCAGTGTCCCAGCCTAGCTTGATAATAATGAAAGCTAACATTAATGGGACATGCACTCATTGTATGCAGGCATTGTATTAAGGGCTCATTGAATCCTCAAAACAACTCATGAGATAGTTCCTATCACTATGTTGGTTTGAAGAAAAGAAAACATGCTTACAAAAAGTTAAGGGCATTGCTCACAGTTAGAAAATTTGTAAGGGTAAGAATCCAAACCGAAAGAATTTGACTCCAGGGCTAGCCACTGTAACAGCTCCACTCTAATAATTATGTAATGGTTTTGGACTCTTGACAGCTCTATATTTCTTCACATTTTCTCCTTATTTCAGTGGTTTTTGGTTATGGGAGATTTCGCCCCTCAGAAGGTATTTGGCAATGTTTGGAGACATTGTTTATGTCACGAGTTTGGTGGAAGGGGGCTACTGACATTCAATGGATAGAGGCCAGGGATGCTACAAAACATATGAAAATACACAGGAAAATCCCCAAGAAGAAATAATTAATCAACCCAAAATATCAATAGGGCCACTGTGAGAAGCCCTGCCTTGCCTGTAAAAAAAAGTTTAGCTCTTCATTGTACGTTGTGAGTATTGGGTAGTCAAAAGTACCACTCTATACATGAGTCAGCTAACCACATCTAAACTTGAATGAGAAGATATCGCATTGCCCAGACATTCTAGATGTAAAGTTGGATTCTTTTTTTGCTTGTCACCTATATGGGAAAGGGTAGGAGAGTTTGTGATTACACATAAAGCAACTGAATATAACACAGGAATCCTTTTGAAATTATACATGTGGAGAGTGGTGTCAGAAAAATGGTGGAATAGGAGTACTGTGGCTTCACTGCCCTCGAACCAGCAACTATTTACAGACAAAGGATACCTTTGTGAATATCTCAGAATTAGGAAGTGAGGCTGAAACAACACACTGCCTTGAACTGCAGAAATTTGAGAAAAGCCATGTCCCAAGAGTAAAAGAAATGGTTGCCTTTCACCATGCTATCCCTCCTTCAAGTCAGCACAGTGCCACACAGACGATTCCCCTGGACCTCCAGTTTCTACAGTGGGAAAAGTAAGATGAAAGTAGACATTCAGCTTCCCCATGATTCTGGGGCCCCTTACAGGAAGAATTGATACACCATAGTAATAAAATAAAGGATAAAAATTATGTAATCATCTCAATAAATGCAGCAAAAGCATTTGACAGAATTCCACACCCTTTCATAATAAAAACTCTCAACAGATTAGGTATAGAGGTAATGCGCCTCAACACAATAAAGGCCATCTTTACAAACTCATAACTAATTTCATTTTCAATAGTGAAAAGCTGAATATTTTTCCATCAGAAACAAAACAAGAATGCTCTCTCTCGCCAATTCTTTTCACCATACTACTAGAAGTCTTAGCCGGAGAAATTAGGCAAGAGAGAGAAATAAGATGCATCCTAATAAGAAAGTAAGAAGTAAAATTGTCTCTATTTGATGATGACAAGATCTTATATATAGAAAACCCTAAAATCTTCATCAAAAATAAAAAAAAAATGTTTTTGGATTGATAAATGGATTAAGTTGCAGGATACAAAAGTGACATGCAAAAATCAATAATGTTTCTATATACTAATAATGAACCATCCAAAAACAAAATTAATAAAACAATTTCATTTATAATGGCAACAAAAAGATTAAATGCTTTGTTGTAAATTTAATTAAGAAGATAAAAGACCTGTATATTGAAAACTACAAAACATTGATGAAAGAAGTTACACAAAACACAAATAAATGGAAAGATATTCCATGTTCATGGAGTGGGAGATTTAGTATTGTGAAAATATTCATACTACTCAAAATGAACTACAGATTCAATGCAATCCCTATCAAAATTCTAATGTGATTTTTCAGAGAAATATAATAAAGTAATCAAATTGTATGGAACCACAAAAAGTCTGAATAGTCATAAAAATCTTTACTGAAAAGAACAAAGCTGAAGACATCCCTCTTCCTAGTTTCAAAACATATTATAAAATAGCATGGTACTGGCATAAAAACAGACCCACATGACCAATGGAACAGTATAAAAGCCCCAGGAATAAATTCGTGCATTTATGGTCAACTGATTTCTGACAAAGATGCCAAGATCATGCAATAGGAAAAGAACAGTCTGTTCAATAAATGCCATTGGGAAAATTGGATATACACCTGCAAAAGGAAGAAATTGAATTCTTGTCTCACACCATATATAAAAATCACCTTAACATGGATTAAAATTTAAACATGGAACCTGAAAGTATAAAATAAGATATAGGAGAAAAGCTCTAAAACACTGGTCTGGGCAGTGACTTTTTGGAAAGAACTCCAAAAGTACAGGCAACAAAAGCAAAAAGAGACAAATGAGATGGCACTATACTAAAAAGCTTCTGCCCAGCAAAGCAAATAACTAACAAAGTGAAGAAACAACCCAGAGAATGGGAAAAATAGTTGCAAGCCATACATCTGATAAGGGATTAATATGCAGAATACATCAGAAACTTAAACAACTCAATGACAAGGAAACAAATAACCCATTTAAAAAAATGGAAAAAGGAACTGAAAAGACGTTGCTCAAAAGAAGACATACAAATGGCCAGTAGGTACATAAAAAATGCTCATCATAACTAATGATTAGGGAAACAAAGTTAAACTTACAATGAGATATTTCTTTAAACCTTTTAGAATGACTTTTATCAAAATAAAAATGAAAGATAAATGTTGTTGAGGGTACAGAGGAAACTAACTCTTGTGCATTTGCTGGTCAGAATGTAAATTAGTAGCCACTATGAAAAAGGTATGGAGGGTCCTCATAAAACTAAAAATGGCATAACTATATGATTTAGTAATTCTACTTCTGGATATATATCCAGAGAGATTGAAATCAATGTGTTAAACAGATATCTGCACTTCCATTTTTTATTACAGCATTATTCAGAATGATCAAGATACAGAATTGATCAAAATGTTCATTAGTAGAAGAATGGATAAAGAAGATGTAGTGCATATATACACAATGGAATACTATTCAGCCTTAAAAAGGAGGGATATCTTATCATATGTGACAACATGGATGAACCTGGATGACATTATGCTAAGTGAAATATGCCAGGCACAGAAAGACAAATATGACATGACTTCACTTATATGTAAAACCTAAAAAAGTTGAACTCATAGAAGTAGAGAATACAATAATGGCTACTAGAGCCTGGGTAGGTAGAGAGGAAAAGAATGGGGAGTTGTTGATTAAAGTGTACAAAGTTTTAGGTAGACAAGAGGAATAGATTTGAAGATCTGTTGTTCAGCAGGGTGACTACAGTTTATAATAATGTATTATATATTTCAAAATAACTAAAAGTGTATTTCAAATGTCTCATCTTAAAAATGATGGGTAAGCAAGCAGATGGATATGTTAGTTTGATTTAATCAATCCACATTGCATACATATATCAAAACATCAAGTTATACCCCATAAATATAAGCCATATGATTTGTCAATCAAAAATAATATAAATAAAAATAAGAATTAATTAGAATTACTGTAGAACAACAACAAAAAATTATACACATGGAAAAATAGATGTAGGTACTTTACATTCACAGCATGGACTCTTACAGACATTTGACATTTTTGCTACCTATAACCACCTTCTTCCCCTTAGTGACTAGAACTTTGTCTTTCTCATTGAACGGCCAAATATCTTGGCCTACTTTTCTGGCCACAGACACAAATACATAATCCACTCATGACTGATCTTGGCACCTCATCCTTCTGGCCCAAAGATTTTTCCTGATGATCACATGGCTGTAACTACTCCAGTAAGAGACTTTCCTCAGTATTTTTCTATGTGGAGATTTTAGTGAAAATTCCTTTTATCTCTTGCTCTTTGGAGAAATGTTTTCATGTAGAAGAATCTAAAAGACTGGAGCCTACACCCACAGAAAGGTACAAATAAGACTGCAAGAAACAATCTTGCCAATACTGAGTCTCCAGTTCCAGTGTCTGAGATCTGCAAAGCCGCCCTCCCTTCCTTTGAAAGTTACATAATTTTTCTTTCAATCAATAGTTTATTTCCTTGACTTAGATTTCTGTCTGTTATTACTCAAAGTGTCTTTATGACTACAACATCTCATGGGTATGGCTTTCCATAGAACACTAATTGAACAATTTTGATGTAAATATTTTCAAATTTTTCCCAGGTATAAAAGTCCTATCATTCTAGTGGATCTAAAATTCTATAATTATAGTGGTCTTAGCTTTGAGCATCATCAAGCAAAATTAGCAGAGCACTTAAAGGAAACCAGATCATATTTATATATTCTGGATGCTGTCATGCAACATGCCCCACAAATACAGCTTTCTAGAAACTCTGAAGCTGTAATCACTGGACTGCTATCATTATAATTGAGCTCATAGAACAAAGTTCACAGGAGTGAACATAACATCATGGCTTTGACCAAATACTACTTCCCAGAGTGGCCTATGCACAGTAAAAGTAAAATTAAATTAAGCAATAAAATAAAAATTTTAAAGTAAAATGCAGCATCTCCTCTAATACTATATGCTCTTGTGTTGTCATTTAATCTCCTGGGAAACCACCACACTACAATGAAAGGAAAAGCAGTAGAAACTCTCCTCTGGTCTCAAACACATACATCCAAGTAGTGTATATCCTAGCATTTCTATTTCAAAAACTGTAATTCTGACAGCATTGCAAAAACACCATAGCTCAGTGGTTAATCAAAAGGTAGGATTGGGGAGGAGGTTACACTAACTACAGATGAAAAGTTTTATGCATGTCAGAGTTCATGTTCAGCTAACATCATCCTCCTATTCATGAAGACAGAAGAAAATCAACTCACATGCTATTTAGTGTCAAATAGCAATCTTCTGCTATTATTCAAAATTTGCTTGAAAATGGCCTGAAAGTAAGTACCTAGCTATTTCTACATATTCCTTTGCATGTGTGTGCAAGAGAAGGAGACAAAAAAGAACACTTTAAAGCAAATGATTTGCGAATGATTCAGGGAAATACGTGCACTTTAGATGCTGGTGTGTGAGGAATGGGAAATAACAAACTACTATTAGCAAGGTTAAGCTACTACAATTAGCAAGTGGAAGAAAAAAAGGAAAAGAGGAAGGAGAAAAAAGAAATAGAAGAAATTAAATATATTACAATGTTGAAGAAAGAGAAACTTCTTTTTAATCCTCTAGGTAATAATCCCATGCCCTGATACTTTTGTCATCTGTGACAAAAAAATGCATATGCTTTTATAAAAATACATATCTCATGTAAAACAAACAACATTAGATTAGTAATAATCCAGCTACCTGAATAGTCTAAGAACAACAATAATTTATCTGCAAGATTTATAGGTTAAAATTATAATTCAACAAAGCACATTCAGAAGAAAATATGAAAATAAAGCCACATATGAATCAACATTGCTATTTCTTCTAAATTTATTCAACAAATTACTTCAAGCAATCACATGTTTTCAACTCATCCTGAAATGCTAATTGTAATATTTTTATATAACACTGGTAATCACCTTTACCAGATATGGCTTTGGAGTTTAATATAATCTGAAGTGTTCAAGGTGTATTATTTTACATCAATAATATATGTTTTGTGAATAATAACAAAACTAAGTGGCCCAGGGAATTTGTTAGAATACAAAGTTAAACACCTTGTAGCCACGATGTTCTTTTAATTTAAAAATAAAAGTGAAGATTACAGAGAGAATTATAAATAATATAGCAAAGTCACTGTGTAATGCCTTAACATTTTGCTGCATCATTCACATAAAATTGAATTTGTATTAAATTATACAATCTTTTAATTGATCAATAAGTGTTGCTAAATAGCTGGGAATATAAAATTCACAGCTACTCAGTTCTTTTCCTTTGAATCAGTCATATTCAAGTAAAGTTCAAACAGACTATGAGATAGGTTTTATTTAATCAAACACGGAATTTAGGTAAGTGTGTTTTTGGCTTGTGTGTTGTTGTTTTGGGGAAATATTGTGAAGGAATTTAACTACAGCAAAATCTGTAGGCCACCCTAAAGAGAATTTTTATTTGTAGTCTCAAATTTGAAAGCTTGAAACATATTATACATACATTGAACGACTTCAAATTCCTTATATCTTCACACTGCAGCTATTAGATTGGAGTAGACCTGTGATTCTAAAACTAGTCTTCAAGGTGAAGGATATAAAGATAATTAAAGTGGTTACTAGACAACAGCTGCCCAAAGGATATACTTCATATTCCTTATAATCTCAGTGTCTTTCCATATTATGGACTGAATTGTGTACCACCAAAATGTACATGTTGAAGCCCTAATCACCAATGTGAGTATTTGTACATAGGGCCTTTAAGAAAGTGATTATGGGTAAATGATGTCTTAGGGTGGGGCCCTAATCTGAGAGGACTGGTATCCTTACAAGAAGAGGAAGAGACCTAGTGATTGGTCTTCTTCCATGTGCACACAGAGGGAAGGCCATATTAGGACCCAGCAAGAAGGCATTTGCCTGCAAGCCAGAAAGAGAGGCCTCACCGACACCAATGCCAATGGCACCTTGATCTTGGACTTTTAGCATCCAGAACTGTGAGAAAATAAATTTCTGTAATTTAAGCCACCCAGTCTGTGGCATTGTGTTGTTATGGCAGCCTAACAATATACTCATTGTCTTCTGTTTCTGGCTTACTTGGTCAACACTAAGCATATCTTGACACTTATCCTTATGTATCTATCAGTTTGTTTATTCAACAAATCATTGTCTGTTTCTACTGCATGCTAGGAATTGTTTTGATTCCAAAGTTGTTATCCAAAAGATTCTGAAGTCAGGTGCTCTTTCTCCTAGATCATAGATACTAGTCCTAGCCTGCCTTCTTTCCATTGCTTTCCCTTCTGTATAACCACCAAATTTCAGAGTTGATCAATGGCCATACTGCAGCCAAAGCAGGTATAAGTGTTACTTTTCCCCACTCCTGGTCCTCGGTTAAGAAGAAGGAAAAGGAAATTACATTTTTGCAAGTACTATACTAGATGTTATACATATTTTATTTTATTTAGCAAATATAGAGAGGAGAAGCCTTCAGGAATTGTAGTAGTTGAAGATTATAGGATTAGAATTCAAATACCAGTAATAAAAACGTTTTAAATTTAGAACTTTGGCTTCAAAATACAGATTTATGTCATCTGAGTAATAATGGTTTCTACCTCCATATGATCTCCACAAAGACTGCCATGTTTCCTTCTATTCCATCTTGTCTGAGCTGCAAATTGACTTTTCCAATATCTTATACAAAAATTGAGATATTAGCAGAACCCAGTAGCCCAACCTATATAAAATGAAGATGTATAACTAAATTTAGTAGTGGCTCAAGTAACTACATATAGCATTTAAACACACTTATCTTCTACGAAATGAAAAAAGAACTTTTTAGTAGACTTCCTGCATTTTAACTTTTATGACTTGCCATTTTTTCTTCAATCAGTAGATGAAATGTAACATAGTGGTAACCTTGAAATCTATCACACAAGTAAATTTTGGTTTTCTATGTTTAATTTTACAAAAACTTGGGTATACTGAATCCTATGGGCATATGACCATGATTGTTTTAATATGTAGTAAACATAAACCTTTCATCTGCATGACACAGTAACTTGAATAGGTTTTATATGAGACAAATCTTTAGCTTGTAAGACAGTATTTATAGTAAGAAATAGAAATATCACCAAGTTAACACATTCTCAGTATATATCTATCAACAAGTTTAATGTGGACGCCTAAAATACTCATCCCAGGGTATAAATGCCAAGCAATACTTTAGGTTTTGCCAAATTTCTAGAACTCTTTCAAAATTTCACAACAAGCTCTGAATTCCACTAAGTGATATTTTTCTTCCTCTTAATTTGTTTGGTTTGCAAAGGAAATGACATTTTCCAACATGTTTCAACTTAAATTAGTGTTTTCTGCTATGAAAACATAATTCACATCTTGGAGAAACTCAACATTACTGACTCTGAATGGCTGTTATGGAAGCAGTAGCTATTTTTGAGGCCTTTTGCAAGGATGTGGTTGGTCCAAAGGGCAAAACTAAAAGAAATCTGAGTGAGCATATTAGAACTCGCATGACATGATCAGTCCTTAAATAATTAACTCTATTTAAACTTGTAATTTTTTTTTAGTTGGTCTACCAAGGAATTGGGCTAGTGGAAAGAGTATCATGCATTAATTTTTATAGTTTGCATGTGTTATTTTTTTGATTTCCCATGAATATTTTTATATTAAAGAGACAACAGTTTAATTTTTTAAAAGCTTTAAGCATATAGTTGTTTTCAAAAAATGTTTGTTGATTTATCACGCTGTGACTTTGTTTTAAAAAGTAATTGTATCAGTTAGCTCTGTCTGACATAACAAAATACCACAGACTGGGTGGCTGGCTGAAACCATAGATACTTATTTTTTATAGTTCTGGAAGCTGGAGTTCAAGATCGAAGTCTGGCAGGGTTGGTTTCTTGTGGTGATCTTCACATGGTGAAGACAGAAGGTGAATTCTCTGGTATCTCTTCTTTTAAAAATATATATATATAAATATAAATATATATACTTATATAAATATATAAATAATATATATATTTGTATAAATGTATGTGGTACAAGCATAATTTTGTTACATGCACAGACTGCACAGTGGGGAAGTCAGGGCTTTAAGAATATCAATCACCCAGATAATGGACATTGTACCTGTTAAATAATTTCTAATCATCCATCCCTCTCCTACTCCCTCATCCTTCTGGGTCTTCATTGTCCATTATCCCACACTCTACATCCACGTGTACACATTATTGAACTACCACACATAGGTGAGAAGATGAAGTGTTTTTTTTTTTTTTTATCTATGTCTGAGTTGTTTCACTTAAGATCATGGCCTCCAGTTCCATCCATATTGCTGCAAAAAACATAATTTTACTCCTTTTTATGACTAAATAGTATTCTCTTCTTGTAAGGATGCTAATTCTGTTTTATCAGGGCCCACCCTTATGAACTCATTTAACATTAATTACCTTCATAATTGTCTTCAAATACAGTCATATTGAGAGTTGAGCTTTCAGTATATGAATTTGGGGGTATGCAAACATTCAGTCCATAACAACAATGTTCCACCCAGCAGAGCCAAAGAGTCTCTGCCTTAGTGGGTTTAATATGACTTAGCTGACAGCCGGGAAGTTATCTCATAGACAATGGTCTAAACAGAAAGCTCTTGTACTTTCCTGGTAAGTCAAAAGAAGCACACACTACTTGCTAATAGTTAAGATTATAGGAACTTTTCTGCTCTGATTTGCAGTGCTAGTAAAACCATGCAGCACAGCCTCAAGAAAAATCCTTGTGTAGAAAAACCTATAAACAAATGATGCATGTTGAACATTTCAGTATATTAATTTTTTTCAGGCTATTCATGTTCCAGACTGGATTATCTTAGATATAGGTTCACAAAAATTATCTACAAAAGAAGCAAATCAAATAACGAATATTTTCTGAGCCTCTATTATGTGAAACTATTACCAGCCATTTAAAGAGGGCTCTTCTACAAGATCTATATGGCTATTTCCAATAGTTCGTAGCATCAATAAACACCATCCATCCAAAGCGTTGTGTAATGACCCTATTGTTGCACATGAGGCTTTCCCACAGAGCCCTTTATTGCTAATATAAAATGAAAGGGATGTTGCTGCAAGTAAAGAAATGGATCAAGCAGCAATATACACTACATACAAAAGAAATATAACTTCTCTTTCTAAAAATTTGCTTAAAACTTAAATAATTCATATTCTCTGCTTCTTTTTGCCAAAGTGAAAAGGAGCAAAAGCTAAGAAGCAATGATTTTTACTACATGATATTACCCACAGCTAGCTTCATGAGAAAAAAACATGGTTGTACTTTATCTGGGCTCAGGAGAAGTTTCTCTGGAGTACAAAAAGAACACCTGTTTCTTCAGTCCCAGTTCTACTATTAGCTAACAATATGACCTTGGGTTAGTCACTTGGCAGTTCCCTCTCTGAAGAACTTTGAGGAAGAAAAATGTCACCCACTTCTTTCAGATGTGGAATGCTACAATATGGTTTTCTAAATGTGTTTTTAGCCCACATAAGGTGCAATGACATTAGCTTATACAATTTACTACCCTGCAATATGGCCAAAAACATTGCAACAATTAGTCAAAAATTTTAATATAGGCTTGTAACTGTTGACTTGTTTCTCTTAAGAGAGAAAATAGAAAGAGTGTACAATAAGAGATGAAATTATTTTTCTCTCTGGCTTTATGTGAATAAGATCGAAGTTATTCAGTATGCCAGGTTCTCGATGTGCTGACTATCTCAAGAGACTGCCTGGACATTTTAATTGCCTTGGGTACACAAAGCCTGCTCAGCATGTGTTGTCAGAAAGTGCTACCCAAATGTTTTGGAGGCCCCAGGGTTTTCCTATACAAGCACAGTAGAAGTGCAAGCTCTAAGATTGAGTTTGTGTCAAAGATCCTATTTTCTCTCCTGTATATACCCAGCTCTAAGAATAAGCCTTTTGTAAATGTTTATTTGTCCCTTTTTGAAAAACCTAAAAACTGGAAAGTTGGTAATGTATTAAAATAGTATTCCATGAAACAAAATGTTTTTCCCCTAAGCCCCCAGATTTCTCACACGACACATTTTTCAAACTTATGATTCTCAGTGTTTGCTTTTCACTTTCTGAATGTTTCCTCTGGTAAGATATGGCATTTTGTCCTTGAGAAGTGAGTGCAAGTTACTATATTTTCCTTCTTGGCCATCTCATGAGACAGGCAGTGAAATGCCAAGAATAATGTAAACTGTACAGGAAAATACCATGACGTACTACACCTAGAAATATCTCAGCTTAATAGGTGTTGTGCCATTAACGGTGAATTTTATGGAGGTAAGGAGATGTAAATCTGTCATGTAGACAAAGATTTACAATAATATCCACTTCAGTAGATGATTTTCATCACAGTTAGGACCGTCAGGCAACTTGCGTGTTTTCTTGAGTCTCGTAAGTTATGAAGGCCTCCTCCTGTTAATCCAAGGTTGGGCTCTTGACCTTCCTGGGGGTTGATGCTGAAGATGTAGTTTGCAACTCTTCCCTTCCATTACCACTGATGTGATTTCAGTCAGTGAGGTGGAGTTTTAGCTAAGTAGCATTTATTGAAAACAATATTTGGAACAATTTGATTTAATAATAGTTTTCTACAAATAATGCATTTTTATGGTTGTAGTGTTATATATTTACAAGCAGTTCTAGACAGAGCCTTCATTTTCCAAAGATACACACAGTACATTACTGTGAGAAATAATTTAACTTGTATTTTTATACCTTTATTTCACAGTTGTGAGGGAAAATTGAATGACAATTTTGTTAGCTATTAATGTGAAGTCACTGGGAGGCAAACCATCTTTACAAGGAGCTATTCATAGACTTGGGAAATACCACTGTATTAGGAAAATAACAACTAAAAACAGGTATTCTCTTTTTATTTGTAATAAAGCAAAAAAAATTAACAGAAAAGGTACATATAGCCTTTTGTTTTAGCTCTTTTGGTTATACATTGTTAACTGAACATGCTAGATAAGAAAGAAAATAATTTTTAATATCATACTCCATTCCTTTCTACGTATTTGGATACTAGAAAATGTATGAGAAAAATAATTTGAGATATGATTATAACATATAATATGTATTAAATATGTATGCTAAAATAGTTTTAAGTGGGACTTCCAGCCCATTGTCTACATTGGAGTCCTAACTTTGTGCCTTTACAAAGGCTATTCATTAGACAATTTAATTTTAAAATTTAAGGTAAAACTACAGGATGTATTTGACACGCATGTGTGTATTCTAGATTATATATGAGGATGAATGAAATGGCAAACTGACAGTTACAGTCAGAGCTGCTGGACCTGGGATTAGGTGCTGTCTGGAGGACTTAAGCCTTACCAGTATCAGAGTTCTGAAGATTACTAGTTAACTGGTATTCTTCCAAAGGTAAAAACATTACTGACTTTCTTCCTAGCAAAAATCCATAGACAGAATCATAGAGTAAACTGAAATAAGCCAAAAAAGTGATTTTGCAGAGATAAATATCCCTGGATTATTTTCATTTTCTCTTCATTAAAGCTACAATACCAACCATGTTTGTAATTCATAGTTTTCTAGTAAATAAGGAAGGCAAGCAAACTGCAGTAGTGTGCTAAATAACACCCATGAATCCCAAAAGAGTATCATTTATGAAGACCAAAGGAGACTTGATGGAGCTTTGAGCAAGGAGACAGTTACAGAAGGCTGCAAACAGAAAGACAACCTTCCTCTTCAGCCCAGACACAGAGACATGGAGGCGGAAAGTGTCAGTCCTCTTTACCAGTCACTACTCAAGTGCTGTATTTTTGCTTTTAAAATTTATTATTTACAAGATGTAATATTATGGCCATAAAACATACTCATCTGTGCAAGATTCTAGATAAACACTCTCAGTGGTGGAAAGTTGGTTGAAGTGTTCCAAACACTAATACACACAGTACCATATACTAAACCAATTAAGATATTCAAAAGGCCACCACTAGATGACTGCAAATGCCAGCATAAAGGTCACAGTTTTTTCAAATATTTTTGCAATGTGTACTAAAATATTTAATCTCATTTAATTTTAATTGCTGAGTTTTATTAAACTTTATAATTCTTTCACAAATAATAAATTACACATTATTACTGAAGAAGATACAGTATTAAAAGGGATAATTAGCATCTCAAACTTCAGTTTTCACTATCCAGTCCAACCCATGAAGGAAAACGTGTTGTTCACATTTACCTGTAGGTTTTAATTCCAAATTTTGGAATTTGGCACTGAGCATTTTGGTCCCAGTATCTGTCACATATAAATTTGTTTCAGGACTTTTATGATGAACAGCAAAGAGCAGGTACAGGATGACAACATTTGCTTAGTACAGTAACCATTCTGATAATTTAGATTTATAATAAAAGTTAACTTATTCTGCTTTTACTCTGTGTATATAGTTTCTATTTTAACCACTAATTATTTAAATTACTATACATTCAATGATGAGAAAAAAATAAATGTTTATGGCATACATATGTATTAAATTCATTTCACACTTAAATAGAAATAAAAGTAGTACAAGGAGACACAGATATGTTCCAAATGTATAGTCCAACAAGAAGCACCAAGAGAAAAAGATGTGATGTTTAAATTACTAGAAAATGCAGTTTGCTATACAGTCTTTTAGAAATATAATAATATATTTGCATTTTAGACTTTTTGAAAAATTATGCTGTCAGGAAACCTATTTCACTCAGTCTAACCAAATAAATTGCCAATTCACTTAACCATAAAACTTCATCCCTTTTAAAAATCTATCATCAAGACATTTTGTGTTTTTTTTAAGCTTCCTCAGGTGTCTCCTCTCTGATCACCCTTCTAACAAAAGTGATCTTTGTTTCATAGCACTCTGTACTCGCCCTAATTATTAAACTCTATTGTTACTACTCATGTAATTACTTAGACCAGGGATCAGCAAACTACAACCATCAGGCCAATCCAATCCACTGCCAGTTTGTGTAAATAAAGTTTTATTGGAACACAATCATGTTTATTTATTTACATATTGTCTATCACTGCTTCCACACTACAATGGCAGAGTTAAATATTTGCAACAGAGAACTCATGGCCAGCAAAGCCTAAAATATTTACTCTCTAGCCATTTAAGGAAAACTTTGCTGACTCCTGACAATAGTTATAGAAACTTTCTTGACTGTCCATACCTCCTAGTAAAATATATTTTGTTCTTCCAACTTTTATTTTAGCTTAAGAAGGTACTTGTGCAGATTTCTTACATGAGTAAATTACGTGTCACTGAGGTTTGGTGTACAATTTCATCATCCAGGTATTGAGCATAGACCCAACAGGTGGTTTTTTAATCATCACCTTCCTCCCACCCACCATCCTCAAGTAAGTCCTGGTTTCTACTCTTCCCTTCTTTGTGTTCATGTGTACTCAATATTTTGCTCCCATTTATAAGCAAGAACACATAGTATTTGGTTTTGTGTTCCTGCATTAATTCACTTAGGATAACGGCCTCCAGTTGCATCCATCTTGCTGTAAAGCACATGATTTCATTCTTTTTTGTGGCTACATAGTATTCCGTGGTGTATACATACCAAATATTCTTTATCCAGTCCACCATTGGTTAGCATCTGGGTTGATTCCATGTCTTTGCTATTGTAAAAAAAGTACTACAATGAACATAAGTGCACATGTATCTTTCTAGTGGAATGATTCATATTTCTTTTGGTATGTACCCAAAAATGAGATTGCTGGGTTGAATGGTAGCTCTGTTTAAAGTTATTTGAGTAATCTCCAGACTGCTTTTTACACTGGCTGAACTAATTTACAGTCCCATAAGCAGTGTATAAGTGTTCCCTTTTCTCCACAGCCTTGCCAGGCACCTGTTGTTTTCTCACTTTTTAATAATGAACATTCTGACTGATCTGAGATGGTATGTCATTGTGGTTTTGATTTGCATTTCTCTAATGATTAGTGATGTTGGACATTTTTAATATGCTTGTTGCCTGTATGTATATCTTCTTTTGAGAATTGTCTGTTCATATCCTTTGCCCATTTTCCAATGGGGTTGTTTGGCTTTTGCTTGTTATTTAAATTCTGTATAGATTCTGCATACTAGACCTTTAGTGGATGCATAGTTTTCAAATATTTTCTCCCATTCTGTAGGCTGTTTTCTCCACTGCTAGTTTCTTTTGCTGCACAGAAGCTCTTTTGTCTAATCAGGTTCCACTTGTCAATTTTTGTTTTCATTGCAATTGCTTTTGGAGTCTTCATGAAATCTTTGCCAAAGCCTATGCCCAGAATGGTATTTCCTAGGTTTTCCTATAGGATTTTTATAGTTTTAGGTTTTATATTTAAGTCTTTAATCTGTCTTAAGTTGATTTTTGTATATGGTGAAAGGAAGGGGTCTAGTTTCAATCTTCTGCATATGCTAGCCAGTTATCCCAGCACCATTTGTCGAATAGAAAGCCTTGTTATTGTCAACTTTGTTGAAGAACAGATGGCTGTAGGTGTGTAGCTTAATTCCTGGGTTCTCTAACCCATTCCATTGGTCTATGTATCTATTTTTGTACTAGTACCAGGCTGGTTTTGTTACTGTAGCCTTCTAGTATAGTTTGAAGTCAGGTACTGTGATGGTTCTGGCTTTGTTCTTTTTGCTAAGGATTGCTTTGGCTATTCGGGCTCTTTTTTGGTTCCATATGAATTTTAGAATACCTTTTTCTAATCCTGTGAAAAATGACATTAGTATTTTGACAGGAATAACATTGATTCTGTAAATTTCTTTGGGCAGTATGACCATTTTAACAATCTTAATTCTTCCTGTCTATGAGCATGAAATGTTTTTCCATTTGTTTTGTCTCTGATTTCTTTCAGCAGTGTTTTCTAATCCTCATTGTAGAGATCTTTCACCTCCCTGGTTAGCTGTATTCCTAGGTATGTTACTCTTTTTCTCTTTTTGTGGCCATTATGAATGGGATAGCATTCTTGATTTGGCTCTCAGCTTGAATATTCTTTTTTTTTTTTTTTTTTTTTTTTTTTTGAGACGGAGTTTCGCTCTTTTGCCCAGGCTGGAGTGAAGTGGCATGATCTCAGCTCACTGCAACCTCTGCCCTCCAAGTTCAAGCAATTCTCCTGCCTCAGCCTTCCAAGTAGCTGGGATTATAGGTGCCCGCCACTACGCCTGGCTAATTTTTGTATTTTTAGTAGAGACGGGGTTTTACCATCTTGGCTATGCTGGTCTCGAACTCCTGACCTCAGGTGATCCACCTGCATCAGCCTCCCAAAGTGCTAGGATTACAGGCGTGAGCCACCGCTCCAGACCTGGACGTTCTTAGTGTATAGAAATGCTACTAATTTTTGTACATCGATTTTGTATCCTGAAACTTTATGGAAGCTGTTTATCGTTCTAGGAGGCTTTGGGCAGAGACTACGGTGTTTTCTAGGTATAGAATTATACCATCTGTGAAGAGAGATAATTTCACTTTTTCTTTTCCTGTTTAAATGCCTTTTATTTCTTTCTCTTGCCTGATTCCTCTGACTGGGACTTCCAGTACTATGTTGAACAGGAGTAGTGAAAGTGGGCATCCTTTTCTTGTTCTGGTTCTCAAGAAGAATGTTTCCAAAATTTGCTCACTGGGTGTGATGTTGGCTGTGGATTTTGTTATAGATGACTTATTATTTTGAGGTTCTTTTGATTCCTAGTTTTTTGAGGATTTTTAGCTGAAGGAATCTTGAATTTAGTCAAAAGCCTCTAACTGCATCGATTGAAATGTTCATGTGGCTTGTGTTTTTAGTTCCAAATCACATTTACTGATTTTGTATGTTGAACAAACCTTGCATCACAGGAATTACAGGAATAAAGCCTACTTGATCATGGTACATTAGCTTTTTGATGTGCTGCTGGATTTGATTTTCTAGTATTTTGTTGAGTATTGTTTTGCCTATATTTATCAGAGATACTGGCCTGATGTTTTTTGTTGTTGTTGTTGTGTCGCTGCCAAGTTTGGTGTTAGAATAATGCTGGTCTTACAGGATGAGTTGGAGAGGAGTTTTTTTGAAATGCATTCCATAGGATTGGTAGCAACTTTTATTTATTTATTTATCCTAGAATTTGTCTGTGAATGCGTGTGGCTCAGCGCTTTTACTGGTTGGTAGATATTTTTATTACTGCTTCAATTTCGGAACTCATTGTTAGTATGTTTGGGAATTTAATTTCTTTCTGCTTCAGTCTTGGGAGGTTGTATGTTTCTAGGAATTTATCTATTGTAGGTTTTCTAGCTTGTGTGCATAGAAGTGTTTGTAATAGTTTCAGTGAGTTTCTTGTATTTTTGTAGGACTGGAATAATTTTTTTGTAATTTTTCATTGTGTTTATTCAAATATTTTCCTTTTTTTCTTTTTCTTTTCTTTTTTTTGAGACAGAGTTTCACTCCCATCACCCATGCTGGAGTGCAATGGCATGATCTTGGCTCACTGCAACCTCCACCTCTTGGGTTCAAGCAATTCTTCTGCCTCAGCCTCCCAAGTAGCTGGGACACAAGCACATACCACCACATTCAGCTAACTTTTGTACTTTTTGTAGAGACAGGGTTTCACCATGTTGCTCAGTCTGGTCTAGAACTCCTGAGCTCAAGTGATCCACCCACCTCGCCTCCCAAAGTGCTGGGGTTACAGGTGTGAGCCACTGTACCCAACGTTTTTTTTCTTTATTAGTCTACCAATCTTATTTATTCTTTCAAAAAACAAATTTCTGATATTGTTAATATTTTGTATGGTTTTTTGTGTCTCAATTTTCATCAGTTCACCTCTGATTTTGGTTTGGTTTTGTCTTATGCTAGCTTTGGGGTTAGTTTGTCCTTATTTTTTTAGTTCCTTTAGGTGTGATGTTAAATTGTTAATTTGAGATCTTGCTTTTTGATGTGAGTTTTTAGCTTTATAAACTTTCCTCTTGACACTGCTTTAGCTCTGTCCCAGAGACTCTGGCATGTTGTATCTCTGTTTTCCTTCATTTCAAAGAATTTCTTGATTTCTGCCTTAATTTCATTATTTACCCAGAAGTCATTAAAGAGCAAGTTATTTAATTTCCACGTAATTGTATAGTTTTTAGAAATCTTCTTGGTATTGATTTCTATTTCCATTGCACTGTAGTCCAAGAGTGTGGTTGGTATGATTTGAGTTTTTTTTTAGTTTGTTGTGAATTGCTTTATTGCTAAGTATGTGTTTGATCTTAGAGTATATGCATGTGCAGATGAGGAAAATATATATTTTGTTGTTGGGTGGTGTTCTGTAGATGTCTGTTAGGTCCACTTTGTCAAGTGTTGAGTTTAGATTCTGAATATCTTTGTGAGTTTTCCGCCTTAATGATCTCTCTAATACTCTCCATATGGTGTTGAAGTCTACTGTGTGTGGTTATCTATTATTAGTGGTAGTAATATTGTGTGGCTATCTAAGTTTCTTCATAGGTCTCTAAGAACTTGTTTTATGAATTAAGTGCTTCAGTGTTGAGTGCATATGTATTTAACATAGGTAAGTCTTCTTGTTGGATTGAACCCTTTATTATTGTGTAAGGCCCTTCTTTGTCCTTTTTAATTATTGTTGGTTTAGTTTGTTTTGTCTGAAATTAGAATAGCAACCCTGGCTCTTTTTTCTCTGTTTGCTTAATAGACCTTTTTTATTCCTTAACTTTGAGCCTATGGGTCTCCTGAAGACAGCCTACAGGTGGATCTTGCTTCTTTATCCAACTTGCCACTCTGTGGCTTTTAATTGGGGCATTATCTGATTTACATTCAAGGTTAATATTGATATGTGAGGATTTTATCATGACATTGTGTTGTTGGCAGGTTGTAATGAAGACTTGATTGTATAGTTTCTTTATTATGTGAGTGGGCTATGAACTTAAGTATGTTTTTGTGGTGTCAGGTAATGTTTTTTTGTTTTCATGTTTAGCACTCCCTTAAGGACCTCTTGTAAGGCAGGGCTGCTGGTAATAATTTGCATTATCATTTTCTTATCTGAAAAAGATCTTTATTTCTCCTTTGCTTATGAAACTTAATTTGGCTGAATATGGAATTCTTGGTTAGAATTTCTTTTCTTTAAGGATGCTGAACATAGGTCCCCAATAACTTCTGGTCTGTAAGGTTTCTGCTGAAAAGTCCACTGTTAGTCTGATGGGGTTCCTTTTGTACATGACCTGCCCCTTCTCTCAAGCTGTCTTTAATATTTTTCCTTTCATGTTGACCTGGAAGAATCTGATGACTGTGTGTCTTGGATATGTTCATCTTTTATGTTATCTTAATGGGGTTCTCTGAATTTCCTGAACTTTCATGTCAACCACTCTAGCAAGTTTAGTGAAATTTTCATGGACAATATACTCAAATACATTTTTCAAGTTGCTTACTCTCTCTCTCTCTTTCTGGGACGCAAATGCATTATAGGTTTAGTCTCTTTACATAATACCATATTTCTTGGAGGTTTCCATCCTTTTTTAATTCTTTTCTCTTTATTTTTATCTGAGTTGATTAAATGAGCCAGTCTTCAAGTCCTGAAATTCTTTCCTCAGCTTGACCTATTCTACTGTTGATGCTTCTGATTGTATTAAGAAATTATTATTATTATTTTAGCAAGTTAGGATTTTCATTTCTTTTTATTATTATTATACTTTAAGTTCTAGGGTACATGTGCAGAACGTGCAGGTTTGCTACATAGGTATACACGTGACATGGTGGCTTGCTACACCCATCAACCCATCATATACATTAGGTATTTTTCCTAATGCTATCCCTCCCCTAGGCCCCACCCCCCGGCCAGAACCAGTGTGTGATGTTCCCTGCCCTGTGTCCATGTGTTCTCATGGATCAACATTGATCAACTCCCACTTATGAGTGAGAACATGCAGTGTTTGGTTTTCTGTTCCTGTGTTAGTTTGCTGAGAATGATGGTTTCCAGCTGCATACATGTCCCTGCAAAGGACATGAACTCTTCCATCTTTATGGCTGCATAGTATTCCATGGTGTATATGTGCCACATCTTCTTTATCCAGTCTATCATTGATGGACATTTGAGTTGGTTCCAAGTCTTTGCTACTGTGAACAGTGCCACAATAAACATACATGTGCATGTGTCTTTATAGTAGAATGATTTATAATTCTTTGGGTATATACCCAGTAATGGGATTGCTGGGTCAAATGGTATTTCTGGTTCTAGATCCTTGTGGAATCATGACACTGTCTTCCACTATGGTTGAACTAATTTACACTACCACCAACAGTGTAAAAGTGTTCCTATTTCTCCACAGCCTCTCCAACATCGGCTGTTTAGTGACTTTTTAATGATTGCCATTCTAACTGGTGTGAGATGGTATCTCATTGTGGTTTGGATTTGCATTGCTCTAATGACCAGTGATAATAAACATTTTGTCATGTGTTTGTTGGCTGCATAAATGGCTTATTTTGAGAAGTGTCTGTTCATATCCTTTGCCTACTTTTTGATGGGGTTATTTGTTTTTTTCTTGTAAATTTGTTTAAGTTCTTTGTAGATTCTGGATATTAGCCCTTTGTCAGATGGATAGATTGCAAAAATTTTCTCCCGTTCTATATGTTGCCTGTTCACTCTGATGGTAGTTTCTTTTGCTGTGCAGAAGCTCTTTAGTTTAATCAGACCCCATTTGTCAATTTTGGCTTTTGTTGCTATTGCTTTTGGTGTTTTAGTTATGAAGTCTTTGCCCATGCCTATGTCCTGAGTGCTTTGCCTAGGTTTCATCTAGAGATTTTATGATTTTAGGTCTTATGTTTAAGCCTTTAATCCATCTTCAGTTAATTTTTGTATAAGGTGTAAGGAAGGGATCCAGTTTCAGCTTTCTGCATATGGCTATCCAGTTTTCCCAACACCATTTATTAAATAAGGAATCCTTTCCCCATTGCTTGTTTCTGTCAGGTTTGTCAAAGATCAGATGGTTGTAGATGTGTGGTGTTATTTCTGAGGCCTCTGTTCTGTTCCATTGGTCTACATATCTGTTTTGGTACCAGTACCATGCTGTTTTGGTTACTGTAGCCTTGTAGTATAGATTGAAGTCAAGTAGCGTAATGTCTTCAGGTTTGTTCTTTTTGCTTAGGATTGTCTTGGCAATGCAGGCTCTTTTTTAGTTCCATATGAAATTTAAAGTATTTTTTTCCAATTCTGTGAAGAAAGTCAATGGTTGCTTGATGGGGATAGCATTGAATCTACAAATTACTTTGGGCAGTGTGACCATTTTCATGATATTGATTCTTCCTATCCATGAGCATGGAATGTTTTTCCATTTGTTTGTGTTGTCTCTTATTTCCTTGAGCAGTGGTTTGTAGTTTTCCTTGAAGAGGTCCTTCACATCCCTCGTGAGTTGTATTCCTAGATATTTTATTCTCTTATTAGCAATTGTGAATGAGAGTTCACTCATGATTTGGCTCTCTGTTTGTCTGTTATTGGTATATAGGAATGCTTGTGATTTTTGCACATTGATTTTGTATCCTGAGACTTAGCTGAAGTTGCCTATCAGCTTAAGGAGATTTGGGGCTGAAATGATAGGGTTTTCTAAATATACAATCATGTCATCTGCAAACAGAGACAATTTGACTTCCTCTTTTCCTAACTGAATACCCTTTATTTCTTTCTCCTACCTGATTGCCCTGGCCAGAACTTCCAACACTATGTTGAATAGGACTGGTAAGAGAGGACATCCTTGTCTTGTGCCAGTTTTCAAAGGGAATGCTTCCAGTTTTTGCCCATTCAGTATGATATTGGCTATGGGTTTGTCATAAATAGCTCTTACTATTTTTAGATACGTTTCACCAGTGTTTTGAGCTTATTGAGAGTGTTTAGCATGAAAGTCTGTTGAATTTTGTCAAAGGCCTTTTCCACATCTATTGAGATAATCATGTGGTTTTTTTCATTGGTTCTATTTATGTGATGGATTACATTTATTGATTTGCATATGTTGAACCAGCCTTGCATCCCAGGGATGAAGCTGACTTGATCATGGCGGATTATGAAATTCTTGCAGTGAGTTTTTCAGTTTCAGAAGATCAGTTTGGCACTTTCTTAAAAGGATTATTTTTGTCTTTCAGTTCTTGTATAATTTTACTGGATTTCTTAGATTCCTTGGATTGGGTTGCAACTTTCTCCTGAATCTTGATTATCTTTGTTGCCATCCAGATTCTGAATTCTATTTCTGTCATTTCAGCCATTTCAGTCTGGTTAGGAACAATTCTTGGGGAGCTATTGCAGTCATTTGGAGGTAAGAAGACACTCTAGCTTTTAGAGTTGAAGAGTTATTGTGCTGGTTCTTTCTTGTCTGTGTGAACTGATGTTCCTTTGGTGTTTCAAATTGCTGTCCTTTGGATAGGGCTTTTTGATTTTATATTATTTGGTGCTCTTGAGGATTTTACTATGTTATAAGGTTGAGTTTAGTTGATTGGCTTTATTTCTGGATAATTTCAGATCTCAACTCTGAAGGCTCAGCTCAATACTCCTGTGCTGTTGAGCTGAGCACTCTAACTCTGGGGACTAGGACTAGGCTCACAGTTTTTTTGTTTGTTTTTGGTTTGTTTTTTGTTTTTTTGTTTTTGTTTTTGTTTTGCCCCATAAGGTTAAGCATCTGCCATGCTGGAGGGGACAAGGTGTTCCCAGTCTGCTGGCAACAATACTGTGATGGGGGGCTGCTGGCAAACGCACTTCAGTGGGTGGCAGCAGAGCAGTTGGGGTCCCCATGCACACATGTGCAGCAGCAGTGGGACAGTGGTGGAGTTAGTGTGTGCATGTGTCAGCAAAGCAGCAGGAGGAGGCTGTGGGCAAGCATGCATCAATAAAGCAGTAGGGGGAAGCTGTGAGTGAGCACATGCCACAGAGAAGTTGGGGAAGGGCTGTGGGCAGGTGCATGAGGGAGGTAGCCTGCAAAAGCTCTCTGATAGGCAGGGTCTGCCAGCAAAAAGGCTATGGCAGTGGCTGCTGGCAAGTGACTCAACTGAGCAGCCAAGGCCATGCTGCAAGTTCTTGTGGCCCGGCAGACTCTGGGATAAGCCAGAAGACAGAGGGTTACTCAGATCAGATTGGCCTGTCCCACATGAAAAATACCTCTGTTTTGTCCAATTATGGTAGCCAAAAAAAAGGCTAAAGCCAACAAGAGAAGTATAGTGAGTCTTGGGGCTTGGGCACTTACGGCTATGATCTACTGCAGCCATTCCCTGTGCCAAACCCTCTGGGCTCCATGCAGGCTGGAGTTCTGTCTCTGCCAACTCTCTGTGCATTTCTCCCTGTCAACTCAAATGTCTATGGGGGTCATGGGGTCTCCTGCAGCTAGGATTCCAGAGGTCCATGATGAGAGTGGGCTACTCCACACCTCTTTCACTCATTCCTTCCCCAGAAACTGGCCAGGAGTGAGTCCTGATGCTCAGCAACTTTGTGGAGGGTTTCTAGCTTCCTCTCTTTTCAATGTGGGGTCTGTGTCCCCTCTCTACTCACTCTCAATGCCTTCTTTCCAAAGATCTGTTTGTATTGCACCAGTCTTCTTGATGGTCCGGTCCTTCCATGGGAGAAGCTCTTCCTTTCCATGTCTAGTCATTCATCTTGTCTCCAAATCTATATCATCAAGACATTTTGAAATGTTCATCTAATTAATGGCACTTAAAATATTTATATTGACAGGGACCTCAAGAAAACGTTTAACAGAGAAAATGCTTATAGATTATTCAAACATATAATACACAGTCCTAAATATTTTATTGGACTTATTTTGAGTCCATTGAAATACTTCTCTTTTGACTTAAGATGCTTGTATAAAACCATACTTCACCTATACATAATCCCAAGTACCCAGTGTTAAAAAGAAACAATTCACAGAGACATCAATAGAGGAAAAATGGATAAAAGAACCACATTGCATAAACTTTTCCTTGATCACTATTCTTTCAAACCATCAATTTATCTAGAGCAGGAAATACCACATAATTAGCAAGGCAACCAAAGCATATTTTGCTTATTGCCAGTAATGCCACTTCCAGTTATTAGTGGAAAACATCTAATCACCATTTATATTTCTCCCATCCCAACATATCCACAAAATCCCATTTATACCTTAAGGAACTAGTATAGTCTTCTATGCAACAATACTCATAAATTACAATTCTTGTACTGAATTTTAATTTTGAAATTTATTTTAACCAAAATAGCTCACTTGAACTTTAAATTGTCTAATAATTAAGTTCTCAAAACATGACTCTAAACAGTTCAGATATTATCTTCAGAAAACCTATACATCTTCTGTGATTTTATGCAATTGTATATATATGACATATGAATATTTTTTGTAAGAGGGTTTATCATTTTAATAGTATCAGAGTTTAAGAAGACCTAACAAATTACACTAGTATTCCATGTGTGCATATGTTCAGCAGTAACAGAGAGATACACAAGAGAGTCAGGTAAATTGACACTCCCAAATTATTACCGATAAAGTTGTCTGGAGAATGAGAAAGTTAGCAGTCACATGAGAATCAGAAGTCTAGGCTTTGAGACTGTGCAAAATGGTTCTCTGGAACTTGATTTCACTTATTGAAGGAGTAGATGGAAAAATTTCATCTAACAGTAAGGAGTAGAGGTAAGTAACACACTTTCCAGGGCTCTAGATGGAAAAGATTTATGATGAAGATGATAACAGTAAAAATATTAATGAAAAATCTCCTCTGGGTTTTTGCCATTATAAACCTACTCTCTCTAGGGTTTACCAACACCACAGTTGGTAAAAACTCAAAGTGACAAAAATAAAATGGTCTCAGATTCTTTACACGCCCTGGTGCCCAGCAGAAGAAAATGCAAATTCTCATTGAAAATATATTAACATAATATATTAATATAATGTAATTAATATAATACCTTCAATCTAGACCCCAAATGACTACATATTAAGTAGAGCTCACAATCAAAACTTACCAAGTACATAAGAGGCTACCATGTATAAAAGTCAGAAGAAACCATGAAAAACAGCTTTAGATTCCTCCAGTGACATCAGAAATTTTAAATATAAGATACAGAATGTAAAATAACCACCTATGGAATCTTTAAAGAATATTAATCTCCTCTGATTCTTCCACTCCTTTATGCCCCTCTTTTATCTAATAAAATTCATCACAGTATCTATAATGAGGTTCAGAGGCTGGCAAACTACAGCCTCATAAACTAAATCTGGCTGTGCCCATTTATCTACATATTGTCTATGACTTCATTAAAGTGACAGATATATATATACACACACATATATTTTTTTTAAATTTTGTTGTTGTTTTTTAGGCAGAGTCTCTCTCTGTCACCCAGGCTGAAATGCAGTGGCGCGACTTTGGCTCACTGCAACCTCCACCTCCTGGGCTCAAGCAATTCTCATGCCTCAGCTTCCCAAGTAGCTGGGATTACAGACATGCACTACCATGCCTAGCTAATTTTTGTATTTTTAGTAGAGATAGGGTTTCGCCCTTTTGCTCAGGCTGGTCTCAAACTCCTGGCCTTAAGTGATCCCCCCGCCTCGGCCTCCCAAAATGCTGGGATTACAGGCATGGGCCACTGCGCCCAGCCTGAAATGACAGATATGAGTAGATGTGACAAAGAATGCATTGTCCTCAAATCCTAAAATACTATTATCTGGCCCATTACAGGAAAAACAAAAGGCAAACTCTGGATTAAACAAATACTTAAAGAGAAGTAATAAAAATACCAAGAACAGAGAGATCCCCACATTTGATTATAAACCCCTCTATTATACCATACACCTCCAGAGAAATAATTCAAAGTGTAAAGTATCAAAGAAATCAAAACCTCCTAAAACCTTATAGAATGTGTTTTGTTAGACATGGGTATAGCAAGTTTTTACATTGACTCTGCAGTTGCCTTCAATTATTGCTAATTCTATTATTTTATTAAAAAGTAGATTATCTTTTCAAGAATTGTTTTAAAGTAAAAAATATGTTTCATACATTTACCTACATATTTACAATTACTGGCACTCTTCATTCCTTTGTATAAATCTGAGTTATCCATCTGGCATCATTTTCTTTTTCCCTGAGGAATCTCCTTTAACATTTCTTGTTGTGCCGGTCTTCAGGTAATAAAGTAGATAACATTTTGCTTGACTTAAAACGTTTTTATTTTGCTTTCATTTATTAAGGATATTTTCACTGGATATAGATTTTTAAATTGACAGTGTTTTGTTGGTCCCCTACCTGCACTGCCCAGTACTTTTTAAATGTTATTCTATTGCTTTCTGACTTGCATTGATTCTGATGAAAAGTTGATAATTCATTCTTGGTTTCAATGTCTTTTTCTTTTTTTTTTTTTAGATGAAGTCTCACTCTGCTGCCCAGGCTGGAGTGTAGTGGTGCCATCTCAACTCACTGCAACCTCCACCTCCCAGATTCAAGCGATTCTCCTTCCTGCCTCAGCCTCCCGAGTAGCTGAGTGAGACTACAGGCACCCACCACCATGCCCGGCCAATTTTTGTATCTTTAGTAGAGACGGGGTTTCACCATATTGGCCAGGCTGGTCTCGAACTCCTGACCTTGTGATCCACCCACCTCGGCCTCCCAAAGTTCTGGGATTACAGGCATGAGCCACGACGCCCAGCCTCGATGTCTTTAAGTGTTGAACTTTGTAGGTAGGCACTCAAATAACTTGTGGTTCAGCTTTATCATTCTGAGGCTTGTTTCTAACCTTTATTGGGACAAGTTTAGTATATCCTTTTACTCCAGATTTTATCACTATGAGTTAGGTTGACTCTTCAAGGATCTTTATTGAACACCCCATATGTTCATTTATGTGTTTCCAATCTGGCTGGTCAGAACTGGAACATCTCTCAGTCCTGTGTAAATCTGGGGAATATTCAAGTGGCAACTCCCAAGTAGTTTTTGCTTGGCCTCATACCATTTTACTTAGGCATTTCCAGATTAGTACAGATTAGCATTTTGCAATAGCATCAAGGAGAATCTTCTCCACATAGCTCCTTCCTCTCCAGCACTCTGCCCTGCAAATTCTCGTCGACTCAGTCATCTGAACTCCATCTCTATCTTCTCAACTCAGTAAATGCACTATATTCTGCTTGGCTCTCACAACCTCCACCCCCAACCACACACACACACACACACACACACACACACACACACACAGTACTTTCCAGAAAGTGCCTTCAGACGGAAAGATGGGGAAATCATAGAATTTGTCTTATTTTTCTTTTTTTTGGGTAACAGTAGTGTGCTGCTGTCTGTCCAATGTCTGAAACACCTGTTTTACATATTTTGTCTGGTTTTCTAGTTGTTTTTGGTGGAAAGTCAGTATGGTACAATTATTCAAACTCAGCCAGAAATAGAAGTTAGCAGGTTGTTTTAATTATAAAGATGGGCTTCCATACTCCATCCTTTCCTAGTTATGGAATGCTCCTAAAATCCTTCAGAACTCCTGGCACATCAGCCAGTGCTGATTAAGCTATCACACATGTTGTTGATATTAGGTATTTTAATTTTCAAATATTTGGGGGTTTCTTGTGTATTTTAATTTTCAAATATTTGGAGGATTCCTGGGTATTTTAATTTCCACATATTTGGAGGATTCCTAGTTATTTTATTTTTAATTATTTCCAATTTAATTCCACTGTCAACAAAGAAATTAATCTGTATTATTTTCTTCATTTAAAATACATTTAGACTTGGATAGTTTCTCCCTTTACAATTCATTGTAGTATTACTACAATGAATTAAAGTTAGTTAGTTACCCATTAACTTTGAGTATATTTCTAAAAGTACTTTGGGGGTGGATTATAACTTTATGCCATAAAAGCAAATTAGGGTTACATGTGAATGTAACCAAGGTAAACTGTAAAGATAATCATCTGTGATCCTTCACCTTAAAAATTCTATGATCTCTTCCTGGAAATAGAATGAAGGAATAATGTTGGCAAACCTGCTGTTACCATTTGCTTTATGGGTAGGCACAATATGCAAGCCAAAGAATTATTCGAGGGCAGGAGATGACTGAAAACAGCTATTAAATGTAGATACTACAAGCAGACCTAGAACATCTATTGTTTGAACAAATCTTATTCATCTTCACCTTCTTCAGTATAACGGTGGTTAACTGAAAATTCAGGATATATAGATCAGTTCTCCCAACCTTGATTGCATTTTAAAAATTCTGATGGCCGAGGCACACTTAGACCGATTAAATCATAATTTCTAAAGTGGGATTCAAGTGTCAGAATGAGTAACTGGGAAACTGCCTCATAGAAGGGTGTGACAGCTAACCAAGTGGTTTCAGAGAATCTGAACAGATTTGAAAGTGAAAGACCGGGAAAATAAACATAAGATTAAAAATGCATATTTAACTGCATGGACTGGAAGCCAGATCCCTCAGACTTCAGCCCTACAATTTACTATCTGCATTGTCTTGAACAAATTACTTAACTTCTCTGTGCCTCAACTTATGCAGCTATAAAATACAAACAATAACAGCATATCTGCCATGTAGGATTATTATAAAGATTAAATGACTCAATATATATAGAATGCTTAGAATAAGACCTGACACATAGTAGGCACTCGATAAATACTGGCTATATTTATGGTAATCATAGGCAGGAGGTGTTCTATCAGAATAACATCTTACCCAGTCCTAGGCTCTATCTAATATAGTCCCACCATGCCCATTCCATATATCTCATCTTCACTGTACCTTCCCTGAGAACATTTGTTTTCAAAGTGTGTTATCTGAACCAGCAGCATCAGCTTCAACTGAAACTTATTACAAATTTAAATCTTGGGACTCATCCCAGACCTACTGATTACAAACTCTGGGGCTGGGACCAACCAAACTGTTTTAACCAGCCCTCCACATAATGCTGATGCATAGTCAAGTTTTAAAACCACTGCCTTAGATTCCTAATTCAATAAATCTCTGCACTATGTGAGCAAGCAGTAGCCCTGACTATAGGAATTTTATCACCTTGAAAAATATGCATTTTTAATCTTATGTTTATTTTCCCGGTCTTTCACTTTCAAATCTGTTCAGATTCTCTGAAACCACTTGGTTAGCTGTCACACCCTTCTATGAGGCAGTTTCCCAGTTACTCATTCTGACACTTGAATCCCACTTTAGAAATTATGATTTAATCGGTCTAAGTGTGCCTCGGCCATCAGAATTTTTAAAATGCAATCAAGGTTGGGAGAACTGATCTATATATCCTTGTTCAGGCACAAGTGATTCTAAATTTCCTTTTTCCAGATCTTAACACAAGAACAGTATTTTCTAGCCTCCCTTGATGATTTAAATTATTTAGGTCCTTGGAAAAAATACAAATTCCAAGGCCTCATTTCAATCCCAGTAAATCAGAATTTTCAGAGAAAGCCCCAGGAAGCGGTATTTTTAACAAGTACCTCAGGTGATTCTTTTCATTATGGAAATGTAGAGAAGAGTGATACATAAAAAATAAATAAGTATGTGTGATTCTTGCCATGTTTTATTAAGGGACAAGAATACTGTCTAGATTAGTGCACTGAACCCAGAATTACACCTCTTAGTTTTCCATTATTTTTATCTTTTTCCATTAATTGTAATGTCCTAAACCAAAAAATTATTATAGTTAGAGTCTCAAGGGACCAAAGTATGTGACATGGTCTTATGTTTTAAAATGACAGTACAACTTTAGGGCAATTTTCAGAAAGAACAATACCTAAATTCCTTGCTGATCTTGAAAGACGATTACTTGCTTGCTCAGAGAGTAAACCAAGTTTACTATCTCATGTGAAAAACTGTCACTGATACTAATCTGAAAAAAATTTACATTAAAATGAGGTTTTATTTTAAATGAAATGAAACTTCATATAGAGATTATAATATCATTGGTTATATGATAATTAAATACCAATTAATTATTACAAAGCTAGCATTTGTGAAGTTAAATAATTATTTGGCAAGAAAGATTATGAAATCCAAATTAAAAACACTAAGAAACTTAATTTGTCAAAATTACCATAAAACTTGCACAATGTCTCTTTGGAATTAATGAGACAGAACTCTGTGTGGTAGTCACATTGCAGGGTAACTTTACGTATTTCTAATGTAATAAATGTGCTTTTATCAATTAAATACACAGCTTTTAGTATTTAGCTGGTAACAGCTATCTTGCTAAGTGACAAGAAATATATTCATTAGGTTATGTGATTTAATTTATTTATAAAATTTATTCTGCATGGTAGATGTTCAAAATAGCTGAACTCATTTCACCACATTTAGTACTCATTCAGAGAATGCAGCTCCTATGTTTCGCTTGAAACTTTAATCTTAATTGAGATCTTTTGGTTCAAGGAAAATGCATCTGTAGCCAGGCTTAAAGATCGTGGCTACCTGAGGAATATCAGAGATTTTCCCCTTGAATTATTCAGTAACTATGACTGTGTCAATCTGTACACAGTTTCAAAACAGGGAGGGTTTAAAACTGTCTATCTGTTCTAGCAGTCAAATACTAAAGCACAATGAATAGACCATAACAGCAATTTGTCAAAACTGCTTCATGCGGAATCCAAAGTATAAATGAATTACATATATGTAATATTGTTATGTGCTTTAAGTTTATTGATATATAATAGTTTCAATATTTGGGAGATACATGAAATATTTAATAAACGTCTATGTACAATATGTAATGGTCAAATCAGGGTAATTAAGATATCTATCACCTCAAACATTTACCTTTTTTATGTTCGAAATATTCCAATTATCCTTTTCTAGCTATTTTGAAATATGCAATAAATTATTATTAACTATATTTTCTCTACTGTACTTCAAATACTAGGACTTTAAATAGAATATTTTTGTTTGTTGTTGTTGTTGTTGTTGTTGTTGTTGTTGTTGTTGTTTGAGACAGGGTTTCTCTTCTGTTGCCCAAGGTTGTGCAATGGCATGATCTCAGCTCACTGCAACCTCCACCTTCCGGGCTCAAGTGATTCTCCTGCCTCAGCCTCCTGAGTAGCTGGGACCACAGGTGTATGGCAGTATGTCCAGCTAATTTTTTTTGTATTTTTTATAGAAACAGGGATTTGCTATGTTACCCAGGCTGGTCTTGAACTCCTGAGCTCAAGTGATCCACCTGCTTTGGCCTCCCAAAGTGCTGGAATTATTGATGTGAGCCACACCTGGCCTAAATAAAATTTTTTCAAACTAAAGATAAGAAATACAGGATAGCACTTTTTAACACGGGGCTGAAGGGCCCCTGGAATCATTGTGAAATCTGCCTCTCAAGGCTTAATTGCCAGTTCTGTTCCCATATTGTTTCCACCAAACTGCCTCAAGCCTTCCACCACCATCTTCCAAACTAATGCTCACCTTTCCATCCAAACTTACTGTTCTACCTCCTACTCTCCCTTCTCTAGTCAATGTAACAGCTAATCTAATTAACTACACAGCAGGAACTAAATCCTATGTGTTTACTGAAGTGGTGCTGCTCACATTCTAATGTGTATAGGAATTACCTGTGGATCTTGTCAAAATGCAAATTCTGATTCTATAGATGGTGTGAATCTGTGATTTTGCAGTTCTGTCATGCTCCTGGGAGACTCTAGAATTCTGCTTGTCCACAGTTTATACTGGAAATAGACAGAGGCTGCTATAGTTTGGTTTGTTTGACCCCTCAAATCTCATGTTGAAATTTGATTCCCAATGTTGGAGGTGGTGCAAAGGGGAGGTGTTTGGGTCTTGAAGGTGGGTCCCTCATGAATGGCTTGGTGCTGTTCTCATGGTAATTAGTAAGTGAATTCTCTCTGTAGCTCTATTAGTTCCTCAGTCCCTGTGAGATCTGGCTGTTAAAAAGTGCCTGATGTTTCCTCCAACCCCAGTTCTTTCTTGCTTCCTCTCTTGCCGTGTGATCTCTGCACACACCAACTCCCCTTCACCTTTTGCTGTGAGTGGAAACACACTAAATCCCAGAATGGAAGCAGATGCTGGTGCTATGCTTCTTGTACAACCTACAGAACCATGAGACAAATAAACCTCTTTTCTTATAAGTTTCTCTGTCTCAAGTATTCCTTTATAACAACACCAATGGACTAAGGCAGAGGCTAAAAGGTAGCTTTTTTCAAGTTAGAGTGATATCTTTCCCATCTGGTCCAAGGTCTCAGTGCTTCAGAAAAATGAAGATTGCTCCGCTTAATTCCAAACCTACTGAATTTGAATCTCTGAAGGCTGAGTCCAGGAATTTGTAATTTTAAAAGTCTCTATAGGTGATTCCTGTATACCCTAAAGCTAAATTACAGCTTCATCTTCAACCCCATTCCTAGGTCTTTATCTCATAGCTATGTTTTGAGAGTTACCTTCTATAGACAATATTCTCATCCAAAGGAGCAAACCAAATAGTGGAGGTAGTAAAATAAAATGACAAGTTAGGTAAGAAATAGTTTTGGAAGAGTAGGGCATTCAGTCAATGATATTATGTCTTTATTCTAAACAACAACAACAAAAAAAAAGTAACCCTTTTATTTTCTCTGATGTAGGGCACTTTAAATATTACATAAGCATTTCTTGCAAATAAAGTTCTCTTGTGCTGCCAGCAATGGTGAGAGTGTTTGCCAGAGTAGGTGAGTCTCTGAGTTATCTCAGTATTTCCAACTTGCCAATCTTCTCTTTCTGACATTGCTTCCATTTACCATTACTTGGCACCACATGGCAGATGCTAAGTCATTGCTGGTAATTACATGCTTCAGTAGAAACTTAGATCCAGCATGCTCAGGAGAGTGTAAAAGCTGTCATGAAAATTTAAAAATAGAATCTCAAGCATGTGGCCTCTCAAAAGATCTATATGCAGCTTTCAACATCAACATTTCAAAAGAAGTGAACATGCTCCAAACTGAGCAGGTTTCTTCTGAAAATGTAAAAATTAAATGTATCTAGGTTATTTTGTGCAAAATCACCAAAAAAGCCATAAATGAAATGACTTTTGAAAGAACCGCTGCTGAAAATACCCCCAAACATATATAGACTTCATTCAGCCTTTACTCTGCATTTACACTGCCACCCTTCTTCCCACAGGGAAGTCACTGACTAATATCAATTTTATTCACTTCCACAGCTTAGAAGTTTGCTGTTTTATAGATAGGTATGTTGAGTATACTGAGATATTTCTGAGGAAGTGATATGCTGAGTAGTATTTTTTGACATTACTTTGTGTTCTCCAGATGAACTCAATTTTAAGCATGGTATGTTTTGTTGCTCAAAGCAGAATCCAAGAGAAACTCAAGATTTCATAAATTCTATACAGAGTTATGCAATTTAAAACTTTGACATTTGTAGAAATGTGTAAGGATTCAAGTCAAATTTGGTTTATTCTAAATCACTCTGCCTAACCCTAGGGAAAAATCAAATAGAGAAAAAATTCTTTGATATCAGGGAAGAGAAATAGTCACTCTGTGTCTATATGAATACATATATAGTAAAAATGAAAGAACATAAGGGAGAGAAGGGTTAAAAGAGAAAAATAATTTAACTAAAATAGAACTCTGGTACATTGAAAACTAGAACAGCAAATTTTCTTAATATATTTGATCATAACTAAATACCTCTTTCACTCCTACTTATTTCAACTATATGCTTCATTTTATAAATGAAATGCTTTTTTTATTATCTGTCAAAAATAAAAATTCAATTTAGTTCTCACATACATGTGAAAAACTAGTAAATAGCATTGTAAGATGCAAAAGTAGGCAATGTGGAGAATGAAATTATAAATAAGAAACTTTACTCTTAAGATGATAGTCACAGTGTCGGGAGAGTACAAGGTCGTTAATAAGATAACCTTACAAATATGCATATTAATAATCAGGATATAAGTGATATAGAGGGGTAGAGAGTGCTAACAGGGCTCAGAGGAGTGACTTCATCAGGAAGGGGAGATCAAGGATTGCTTCCTGAATTAAATGCTTTGTGAATGGGACCCTGATCCTTGATGAATGGGACTCTGATGCTTGATTAATAGGACCCTGATATTTGTGTAAGATTTTGAAAGAATGAATTTGAAAATGAAGATCTAGCAGAAACTACAACAAAAAAGACAAAGGCTGAAAAAGAAAGAATGTGTTTGGCTGTATTGTGGATTTGAGTTCCTTTTGGGTTCATGGAAAGAAGAAGTTGAGATGTTGCTAATCACATGGTAGGAAGCCACATTGCAGAAGCACCTTAGTAAGCAGAGGACCCTTTTCATAAATCAACAATGGAAAATATTTTAATGCTTTGAAGTAAAATGCACAATTAATCTTTATATGTGGGGCATTTAATTGAAGAGAAGACTTGTTAAGATATTCCTATGAAGGGCTGTCTTGGAGAAAAAGACAAAGACAAAGCAAAGAAAGAATTAGATGTATAGATATTGAGGAGATAGAAATTACAGAGCTTGGTAATAGGTTACATGGAAAGTATACTAGAGAGATAAGCATGGGCTATCGTACAGGCAGCTCAAAACTGACTCTAGGGTTTACAATTTAAATGACTAAAAAAATAATATTTTTCCAAAAATGACACAAAATTGAAAAGTTATATACATAACTGTTTTTCATTTCAATTCAAATATAAAATGTTTTGTCTCAGATGATCACTTCCTCTGCTTTGCTCATCTAAATAATTGTTTTAATTATCTACTTTCTTTAGCTAACATATATGTAGTCTTTTTAAGTTAATATGGATGAATCAACTGTGAAGCACATACATAAACTGAACATAAAGATAACTCCTGTGCTGGCAGATCATGCCTGACTGGTGGAGAGGTCCAGTGAGGTAGCCCCTACTGGTGCGCACCAGACCACCCGCCCCCTCCCAGCACATGTCACTTTGCTGGTGATTGTCTGCACAGGTGGGTTTTGCTTACCTAGCCCAACAGTGCACACAAGTGAAGTCCACCCACACCTCCACTTCCGTGACCACCATTGCAGACTGAGCCTTGCTGGGCACAAAGCCAGCAAATTCTGACTTTTCCTAGTGACCTGCCCTTGCACTAACACTACATAGAGAATTGCAGATCCTCCCCCTCTTTCAGCAATCACTCCTGCTTGCAGGGAACAGAGAAGGCATCCAGACCTGAGCCAGCCAGCACCCAGCCCCTGAGCCAACACCATCTGTAGCATGACCATGTACAGTCTCCAGAAGGGGCTCCCTGCTCACCCCTCCACAGCTTCCTCACCTCTGCCACTGTGGTGAATGCTCACAGGAAGGCAGGCACCCCAGCACTCACTAGCACTCTGCCACAGCTGCAGTAACTTGGATATCCAGCACAGGGGATTCCAAACCTCAAGGAACCAGAGAACAAAGTTGGGGCCCAATACAAGTGCCCCAGAGTTAGAGCACACAGTCTAAGACTTTGTAGCTGAATGTTGGCCCCCTAAAATCTCCAAGAAATAAAGCCAGTGAGCTAAACCCACCTTATAGCAAAATCAAACCCTCAAGGTCATCAAATAGGATACAAGAAAAAAAAAAAAAACTTCCAAAGGTCAACAATCTCAAAGATTGAAAGTACATAAGCCCACAAAGATGAGAAAGAATCAGTGTAAGAACAATAAAAACTCAAAAAGCAGAGTTGCATCTTTCCTTCAAATGACTGCATCACCTCTCCAGCAAAGGTTATGAACCAAGCTAAGATGGCTGAAATGACAGAAATAGAATTCATAATATGCATAGGAACAAAAATTATTGAGCTACAGGAGTATGTTGAAGCCCAATGCAAGGAAGCTAAAAATCATGATAAAGCAATTCATGAGTTAACAGACAAAATAGTCAGTATAGAAAAGAATGTAACCAACCTGACAGAGCTGAAAAACACACGCAAGAATTTCATGATGCAATCACAAGTACTAAAAGCAGAATAGACCAAGAGAGGAAAAATCTCAGACCTTAAAGACTGGCTTTCTGAAATAAGACAGGCAGTCAAGAATAGAGAAAAAAGAAAAGGAATGAAAAAAATCTCCAGGAAACATGGGATTATGTAAAAAGACCAAATCTATGATTCACTGATGTCCCTGAAAGAGATGGGAAGAATGGAACCGACTTGGAAAACATATTTCAGGATATTATCCATGAGAACTTCCCCAAACTAGCTAGAGAGGCCAATATTCAAATTCGGGAAATGAAGTTAACCCCAGTAAGATACTTAACAAGAAGATTATCCCCAAGACACATAACCATTAGATTCTCCAATGTTAAAATGAAAGAAAAAATATTAAAGGCAGCTAGACAAAAAGGGCAGGTCACCTACAAAGGGAAGCCCATCAGACTAATAGCTGAAACCTTACAAACCAGAAGAGATTTGGGGCCAATATTCAACATTCTTAAAGAAAATAAATTCCAACCCAGAATTTCATATTCTTCCAAACCAAGCTCCACAAGCAAAGAAGAAATAAGATCCTTTTCAGACAAGCAAATGCTGAAGGAATTCATTATGACTAGACCTGCCTTACAAGGTCTGAAAGAAGCACTAAATATGGAAAGAACAACCATTACCAGCCATTACAAAAACACACTGAAGTACAAAGACCAGTGACACTAGAAAGCAACCACATAAACAAGTTTGCAAAATAACCAGCTAGCATCATGATGACAGGATCAAATTCACATGTATTAATACTAACCTTAAATGTAAATGAGCTAAATGCCCCAATTAAAAAATACAAAATGGCAAGCTGGATAAAGAACAAAGACCCAATTGCTAAGCTGTTTTCAATAGACCCATCTCACATGCAATGATACACATAGGCTCAAAATAAAGGGATAGAGGAAAATCACTAAGCATATGGAAAACAGAAAAATCAAGGCTTACAATCCTAGTTTCAGACAAAACAGACTTTAAACCGACAAAGATCAAAAAAGACAAAAAAGGGCATTACAGAATGGTAAATGGTTCAATTCAACAAGGAGATCTAACTATCCTAAATATGTATACACCCAACACAGAAGCACCAGATTTATAAAACAAGTTCTTAGAGACCTTCAAAGAGACTTAGACTCCCACACAATAATATTGGGAGACTTTAACACCCACTGACAATATTGGACAGATCATTGAGACAGGAAATTAATGAAGATATTCAGAATCTTAACTCAGAACTGGACCAAATGGACCTCATAGTTATCTACAGAACTTTCCACCCAATAAGAACAGAATACACATTCTTATCATCATCACATGGCACATACTCTAAAATTGATCACATAATAGAAAGTAAAACAAACATTCCTCAGAAAATGCAAAATAACTAAAATCATAACAATCTCTTGGAGCACAGCACAATCAAATTAGAAATCAAGACCAAGAAATTCACTCAAAACCCTGCAATCACATGAAAATTGAATAATCTGCTCCTGAATGACTTCTGGGTAAATAATGAAATTCAGGCAGAAATCAAGAAGTTCTTCAAAACGAATAAGGACAATGATACAACATACAAGAATCTCTGGGACACATCAAAGGCAGTAATAAGAACAAAATTTATAGCACTAAATGCCCACATCAAAAAGTTAGAAAGACTTCAAGTTAACAACCTAACCACGCAACTAAAAGAACTAGAGAAATAAGAGTAAACAGAACTAAAGAAAAAAACCACCTGATTCCTCAACAGATACAGATAAAAGTGTTCAATAAGAAACAAATCCCCACCCTAGCAGAAGACAAGAAATAACCAAACTCAGAGCTAAACTGAAGGAAATCAAGACACAAAAAACCATTCAAAAGATCAATGTATTCAGGAACTAATTTTTTTTGAAAAAATTAATAAAATAGATAGACTACTAGCTAGACTAATAAAAAGGAAGAGAGAGAAGATGCAAATAAACACAATCAGAAATGACAAGAAGAATGTTACCAGTGACCCCATATGAATACAAACAACCATCAGAGACTATTATGAACACCTCTATGCACATAAACTAGAAAATCTAGAAAAAATGGACAAATTTCTGGACATATGCACCCTCCCAAGACTAAACCAGGAAGAAACTGAATTCCTGAACAGACCAATAACAAGCTTTGAAATTGAGTCAGTAATAAATAGCCTACCAACCAAAAAAAGCCCAGGACCAGATGGGTTCACAGCTGAATTTTACCAGATGTACAAATAAGAATTGGTACCATTCCTGCTTAAACTATTTCAACAAATTGAGGAGGAGGTACTCTAGCTCATTCTATGAGTCCAGCGTCATCCTAATGCCAAAACCTGGCAGAGATACAACAGAACAAGAAAATTTTAGGCCAATATCCTTTATACACTTCAATGCAAAAATCCCTAACAAAATACCGGCAAACTGAATTCAGGAGCACATCAAAAAGCTTATCTACCTCAATCAAGTAGACTTTATTTCTGAGATGTAAGGTTGGTCCAACATATGCAAATTGATAAATGTGATTCAGTGCATAAACAGAACTAAAGACAAAATCACCTGATTACTCAATAGATGCAGATCAAAGCTTTCAATAATATTTAACATCCTTTCATATTAAAAACTCTCAATGAACTAGTTATTGAAGAAACATATCTCCAAATAATGAGAGCCATCTATGATAAACCCACAGCCAACATCATACTAAATGAACAAAAGCTGGACATTCCCCTTGAAAACTGGTGCAGGAGAAGGATACGCTATCTTAACCTTCCTATTTAACATAGCATTGAAAGTCCTGGCCCGTGCAATCAGGCAAGAAAAAAAAATAAAGGGCACCCAAATAGAAAGATAGGAAGTCAAACTATCCCTATTTGCAGATGATATGAACTTATATCTAGAAAACCCCATAGTCTCAGCCCAAAAGCTTCTTAAGCTGATAAGCAACTTCAGCAAAGTCTCAGGATAGAAAATCAGTGCAAAAATCACAGGCATTCCTATACATCAACAATAGACAAGCACAGAGCCAAATAATAAATAAACTGTCATTCACAATTACCACAAAGAGAATAAAATACCTAGGAATACAGCAAACAAGGGAAGTGAAGAACCTCTTCAAGGAGAACTGCAAACCATTGCTCGAGGAAATCAGAGAGGACACAAACAGAGAAAAATTTCATGCTCATGGATAGGAAGAATCAATATTGTGAAAATGGCCATATTGCCCAAAGTAATTTATAGATCCATTGCTATTCCTATTAAATTACCATTGAAATTCTTCACAGAATTAGAAAAAACTACTTTAAAATTCTTATGGAACCAAAAAACAAGCCCTAATAGCCACGGCAATCCTAAGCAAAAAGAGCAAAACTGGAGGCATCACACTACCAGACATGAAATCATACACAAGGCTACAGTAACAAAAACCACATGGTTCTGGTACAAAACAGACACATAGACCAATGGAAGAAAGTAAATAACCCAGAAATAAGGCCACACACCTTCAAATCTTCAACAGTCTTGATAAAAACAAGCAATGGGGAAAATATTCCCTATTTAAGAAATGGTGCTGGAAAAACTGGCTAGCCATATGCAGAAAATTGAAACTCGACGTCTTTCTTACACCTTATACAAAAATTAACTCAAGATGGATTAAAGACAAATATAAAACCCCAAACTATAAAAACCCTAGAAGAAAATATAGGCAATACCATTCAGGACATAGGCATGGGCAGACATTTCATGACGCAATTGCCAAAAACAATCACAACAAAAGCAAAAACTGACAAATGGGATCTAATTAAAATAAAGAGCTTCTGCACAGCAGAAGAAACCATCATCAGAGTGAACGGACAACCTACAGAATGAGAGAGAATTTTTTCAATCTATCCATCTAACACAAGTGTAATATCCAGAATCTACAAGGAATTTAAATAAATTTACAGGAATAAAACAAACAACTCCATTAAAAAGTGGGCAAATGATATTAACAGATACTTTTCAATAAAAGACATTTATGTAGCAAACAACATATTTTTAAAAAAGCTCAACATCACTGATGATTAGAGAAATGCAAATCAAAACTACAATAGGATACCATCTCATGTCAATCAGAATGATGATTATTAAAAAGTCAAGAAACAACAGATGCTGGCAGGACTATGGAGAAATGGGAACACTTTTACACTGTTGGTGGGAATGTAAATTAGATCAACCATTGTGGAAGACAGTGTGGCTATTCCTGAAAGACTTAGAACCAGTAATACCATTTGACCCAGCAATCTCATTACTGTGTATATACATACCCAAAGGAATATGAATCATTCCATTATAAAGAAACATATACGTGTATGTTTACTGCAGCACTATTCACAATAGCAAAGACATGGGATCAACCCAAATGTCCATCAACGATAGACTAGATAAAGAAAATGTGGTACATATATACCATGGAATACTATGCAGCCATAAAAAGGAACAAGATCAGGTCCTTTGCTGGGACATGGATGGAGCTGGAAGCCATTATCCTCAGCAAACTAATGCAGAAACAAAAGCAAACACCACATGTTCTCACTTATAAGTGGGACCTGAAAAATGAGAACTCATGGACACAGGGAAGGGAAAAACACACACCAAGGCCTTTCAGCATTGGGCGTTGGGGGAGGCAGAGCATCAGGATAAATAGCTAATCCATTCAGGGCTTAATACCTAGGTGAGGGGTTGATACGTGCAGCAAACCACCATGGCACACATTTACTTATGTAACAAGCCTGCATGTCCTGCACATGTATCCCAGAACTTCAAAATAAAATAAAATATGTTTATATTTGGAAAAAAAAAAACCCTTTGTACATGGCTATCTTTTCTTCCTGTGTTCTTAAAGGATATCTGTAATAAAGATTCTGATTCCATTTAAAATAAATAAATAAATGTTAAAATTAAATTTTAAAGACACCCCTAAGTGAAATAATTGGCTTTAAGAAATACAAGTAATGTTTTCCTTTATGGGAGGAAAAAAAATGAGGGATTCAAATTTTTTTCTTAGCCAAGAGTATTAGTTTTCCATTGCTATATAACAAATCATTACAAACATAGAGGTTCAGAATCATGCAAATGTATTATCTCACAGATTTGATGAATCTGGACACTGGTTAATTGCATCATCATCTCAGGGTCTAACCAAGTGAAATCAAAGTGTTGGCTGGGACTATGTTCTTATCTGAGACTCAGGGTCCTCTTTCAAGCTCACTGGTTATTGTCAAAATTCATTTCCTTGCAGCTATAAAACTGAGATTGCTGCTTTATTGCCGGCCGTCAGCCATGTATTGTTCTAGCCTCTAAAAGCCACCTACTGTTCCTTCCATAGCGCCCTCTCCACACAATGACAATTTGCTTCTTTAAGGCCAAGAAGAGAACATCACTGTTGCTTCAAATCCATCCAACATCAGGAAGACCTCAGTCTCTTCTAATGGCTTGACTGATTAGATCAAGCCTACCCAGGATAATTTTCATGTGATTATCTCAAAATCACCTTATTTGCAGGCTTAATTCTACCAGCAAAATTTCCTCACCTTTCTCATCTAATGGAACATAATCACAGGAGTGACATTCTTTCTATTATCACTCAAGAGGAGTGAATAATACAGGACGTGTACTCTAGGGTATGGGGGAATTTTGAGGGTCATATCAGAATTCTGCCTACCACATCAATAGAGAGAGTGTCCTGAATTTAAATGTTTTTCTTTTCATTCCTAAAGGGAGATTTGTTTACTATTCACTCAATATGTGGGTTCCATCTCTCAAAGAATAACAGAAAAAAGACAATTATTTAAACTCTCTTAGTCCATTTTGTGTTGCTATAACAAAATACCAGACACCAGGTAATTTATAAAAAAAGAAACTTAGTTGACTCATGGTCCTGGAGGCTAGGAGGTCGAAGATCAAGTGGCCATGTCTGATGAAGATCTTCTTGCTGCATCATCCCATGAAAGAAGGTAGAAGGGCACGTGAGAGGGAGAGAGCAAGAGATTACACTCGCAGTCTCAAACCCTTTTATAATTAGCATTAATCCATTCATGAGAGTGGAGACCTCATGGCCTAAACACCTCCCATTAGTCCACCTCCCAACACTGTTGCATTGAGGATTAAGTTTCCAACACATGGTTTTGGAGGGACACATTTAAACCATAGCACTGTCTATGACAACTCTCCCCACCTTCCTTGAAGAAATAGTCTTTGGGAACTTTTGCTTCAGATTGACACCAACTGCTGTCCCACTTTTGGGCAGTGCAGGCCTAGTGCTTGAGGCAGTACTTTTACCTTTCCCTAATGGTATGGTTTGTATAAGCTCACTTGCTTCTGAACGTTCTCAGAGCGTTCAGCACTATCACAGAAAAGAAACAACAAAGTGCTAGGGACTCTTTGCCCTTTAAATTCTGGATCTCTTCCTGAAACTAGCAGAGATCAATCAGGTGAAAGTTAACCTAGTCAGGCTAGAGTTATGAATCTATTTATAATATAAACTGCTTCTACTCAGTATCAGCTCTCAAAAGAAAATTCATTTTGCTTTTGGTAGCAGACACCTGTAATCCCAGCTACTAGGAAGGTTGAGGCAAGAGGATCATTTGAGGCCAGGAGTTCTAGACTAACCTGGGGAAATATATATTTTTTTCAATATTATGGCACAAATTAATTTCTACTGCTTTCATTTTTCCAGTATTGTACAAAATTAAACTATAATATGATTCAAATGCCCAAATGGAGAAATAATTCAATGAATGTGTCTTTTCTTGTATGCAATGTATACTGGAAATTATAATACTTACAAAAAAAGAAAAAATATAGTATCTTCCTCAGCAAATTTATAAGATAATCAGATTCAAAGACTATCTAAACACGGTAGAATACAGCACTACAATCAATTAACTGTGTCTTCCATGGGCATAGAAAAAAAATGGCCATAGAGGTGCAAACAAGATTAAGAAATATTTGCCATACATTTCCAAGAAAAAAAAAAATGTAGGATAAACTGGATTAGGGAGAAGAGTAGCAACTATCAGCTATTGAATTCCCACTTCATTATAGCCATTACAGTGGATATTCTATATAGATTATCACAGATCTTCACACCTACCTTGCAAGGTATCTATATCACCTTTTAGAAATCGTACAATAGGGAGAGACAGAAAGGTTAGTAAACTTACCCAGGGACACTGAAGGGAGTGAATGAGCTGCAATTTGTCCCCAAATTTAGCTGAGCCGAAAGCCAGATCATTTTCTCATATATCATATTGTCTCTGGTAGAAAGCAGTGTCAGTGAGAAGTCTGATGTCATATGTCTCCACAGCACTGGAGTAGCACTTGCTCAAGCAATGTTAGACTCTTCTGGTTGCTCAGTGACAAGTTTTTTTTTAAAAAAAGAGTCACAAAAACATAAATAATAATGTCCACTACCCTGCATGTTATGAGATTATGTCCTTTAAACTGGTTTATTTTCATAACAATTTTTAGTAACAGATTTTTTTGTATCTTATCCATAAAAAAATTTTCAGCACAAATCTCATGGCTGATTAAATTCTTGGATTTGGTCATTTCTTTTCTTCTAGTTACAAACAAACAAAAAACCCAGCTAATAATGCTCTACATACAGAGCAGAGTTCCTTAATTTCTCAGGCTGCTTCCTGTGTTTCAGCTTGCACAAATCTAAACCAGTCTTCCTGAAAAAATAAATCATTGTTTGAGTGGGAAAGAGTCATACTACTTCGGTAACATACATATGAGTATGGGGAACAATTCTGTAGCTTTTGTATTATTATATATTGATCTAATTGCTGTTTCCTCTAGTGTTTCTCTCCTTCCCCATTGAGAAGCCAAAGTGAGAGACTTGTGCTTGCATGTCCAGAGCTAGAAACATATTACGATAGCAGCCCTGCAAGGCAGTGCTGGGAACCAAACTGTGAAATTGTGTTTCCTCCAGCGGAGTGTGAACAGCACTATGTTCTTCTAGTTTCAAATGGATTAAACCACACAATCACAGCAAATAATCAGAAAATCCTGAACATTGATTTTGTGTGTGTGCGTTTATTTTAGCAGTGTTCAAGAGAAAACTAATCAGAGAGGAAAATTTATTAAAATAAACGTTTCCTTGGCTAAGCAATGTTTGAGCTAACATTTGCTTTTCATTGGTGTTTGACATGTATTTTGACTAGTCCTTTAATTTTTTATTTCCTGAAGAATGCATTTTGACAGAGAATATGAGGGAAGAAAGATCAGTGGAATGATAATAATAATGATTTTATAATAACTAGAAAACAGATTTAGACACATATCTACAGCAAATTTTACATTCCAAAGACCATATCTATATTGCATAGAAATCTTGTACAAATTGGTATTTAAAATAATACTAACATTTGAAGAAAGTATATGAGTAATTGGAATTAAAGTTGGTAAGATAATATTTAATATATATGTATAAATGTTCAACTCTGCCAGTTATCAAAAGAACACATTGAAATAAGAGTAATGTGGCTTTTTAAATGCGTAAAATAAGAATATTTGGTAATCAAGCAGACAGTGTCATATCTAACTAATAAAAGTGATGAAAAATAAACAATCACTAATGAAACAAAATGACAAAATTGGAAGATTCTTTTTGGAAAAATATTTTTTTCTTGTGTTTCAAGACATGCAAAATTATCATAGCCTTTGATCCAATTACCCTACTTTTGGTAGACACATAGATAAAGAAAATTATCCTACACAAGGAAAAGTTAATATACATGAAAATGTTTATTGCAGCATCTCTAAAGCCCTTAAAATTATGAGGATTATATAACAACCTAGAATACTACTTATAACACAAACTGAAAAAGAAACAATTATATCTGACTGCTAATTGTAACAATATAAAAATCATGCCTAGATAAGAATTTTATGGTGGAAAACTATGAAAGCAGTTTAATCTGTTACGTGTTAGACTGCAGATCATTTTAATATATTTTATTTTAATTTCAGTAAATGTTACACTTTTATTTGTCTAGCAAAAATAATTTCTTTAAAGCAAAAGTCTTTAGCAAGGAAACTAACAAGAGCACTGGTAGTCCTCCAATATCCATTCCCTCATTCTTCCATTTCAGCTGGGCACATGGCCACCAGAATAAAGATGACAATATCCAATCTCCTGCATAGCCAGGTGTGGGCATGTGACTAAACCCTGGCCAAATGGGCTATAAGTCAGAGTGCAATGTGGCAGCTTTCTAGATACCTCCCTTAAGAGGCAGCTGTCACATGATCATCTCCCTACTTCTATGTTCCTTCCTCCTGCTATGTAGGCTGTAGAAGCCAACTTGGACAAGGGCCACTTCCTAGAGTTGGCAAAGCAGTGTAACTGAAAGTAGTCTGGGATCCTTCCAGACAGCACTGAACAGAGGAGTCATACTCCCAGAGTGAGCAACAAACTTGTGGAAACCACTGTTTTTACTTTTCTCTTACTTGCAGAAGTAACTCAGCCTACTAAATGCAGAGGTATAACCCCAAATGCCAGTTAGTTGCAATCTTTAAGCCATAATCAGATTTTAAAAAATAGCTGAAATCAAGGAAGGGAAAACAATGTGAGGCCACTCTGGCACAAAAAGTTTGCCAAAATTGACCCTAGGGAAATGAAGTTACTTGACAAGATCTAGGCATGCTAGTACTACAATGTCAGGCATTCTCAGTGGGGGTCATATTGCCACAAACAGATAAAAATTGTTTGTTAGAGGATGAAAAAGCTGTAGATATTACAGAGGTTTGTAGCTCTTCAACAGACCACCATACATATAGGGACATTCAATATATCTGTGGTATTGACATTTTATTGGGAGCAAGTGCTAGTGTTTAGAACAAGGCTCTGAAAAATTTCCTTAGGTGAGTAATAATGAAAGAGAAAGAACGAAAGAAAGAAAAAGAAAGAAAAAGAAAGAAAGAAAGAAAGAAAGAAAGATACTTCTCTCAGAAACACTGCTCAATTTGAAATGTCCTCACCCGCCTGTTCTACCAAACATATCCTATGTATTCTTTTAGACTCTGTAGTTTCCCTAATTAACCACTACTTGTCACATTGTTTTATTAGTGATTATTTATTTTTATATCTTTCCCACTAGATTTTTTAGCTGATTATAAGAAAAAGATTATGGCTTTCAGTTCTGAATCCATAACACATTGCTTGGCATGTATTAACAGCACAAGAAATCTGAATGGCTGAATGAGAACCCCAGGGGCATTTTTTCTTTTAAGTCTTCATCTCTGGCAATTTCCACTTCTTAACAATGGACACAATTCTCCCTCTGCTTGAGTGGTGACACACTGAGACAACATGTGGCGATCTCACTTCATTGAGAACACATGGCCTTTCTCAAACAATACGTGGAATAAATTGTTAAAAGAACCCAGTTCACTGCAGTAACATCCTCCTCCTCCTTATTTTTATCAGTTTAGGTTTTCCTGTAAAAAAAATAATAACAAGTAAAAATATTTAACCTTCTTTATATTCATTAACACTTAGCATTTTCCTGTTTAGTTTCAAACACTAAGTTGACTTGACGTCTGAAATAGTTTCACAGTAGTGCAGAGTTTGATATTTGGAATTTACACAAACATTTCTGAAAAGACCACTGCTAAGAGAATCTTAGCTTTTCCAGTTTACAGGAAATATCACAAACATTAATTATGAACTGAAATCTGTTTACTAGTGGTTTGTTTTATCAGTGTGGCTCAACTGTGTAGAATAATTTAAACAATAGTTATTAAGCACCCACCTACTGCATGTGAAGTGTTGTGCAAGATCTATGGGAGATACAGAGGGAAAAGAAGTATAGTTCTTGTCTTCAAAATTTTTATATTCTATTTGAGAAACTATCATGCCAGGTAATATAGTTAAGTGTCATAAAGAATATACTATAGATGGCCAGGCGTGGTGATTCACGCCTGTAATCCCAGCACTTTGGGAGGCTGAGGTGGGTGGATCACAAGGTCAGGAGTTCAAGACCAGCCTGGTCCAAATGGTGAAACCCCCGTCTCTACTAAATATACAAAAATTAGCCAGGTGTGGTGGCAGGCGCCTGTAATCCCAGCCACTCGGGAGGCTGAGGCAGGAGAATCGCTTAAACCCAGGAGGTGGAGATTGCAGTGAGCCGATATCGTGCCACTGCACTCCAGCCTGGGTGACAGACTGAGACTCCATCTCAAAAAAAAAAAAAAGAATATACCTATAAATGTTTGGGAATTTGGAAAATAAAATTCATGCAAATGAGATTTGATGGATAGGTTGACTGTGAGATGTGTTCTGGTTTATAATAAAGGGAGATGTAACAGCAAGGTATTGCAAACAGTGAACAGCACAGAACCAAAAAAGCAAATAAAACTTTCCAAGGACAGTGAATGACCTACATTTGATTTGTATGCACCTTAAATCTGAGAAGCACTTATGTAGAGTATTTGTTGAAAAGTGAAAGAAAAAACAATGGCAATGTAGTTTGAAGCCATTTCCCACAAAATCTAGTACGTTTTGATGAAAACCTTTATAAGTCAGTAGGGACCATTGGAAGCCTTTGAGCATGTGATCTGAGGCTATGTTTTAAGCAGATTAACATCACATATGTTTACAGGGTAATTTGCTAAGACTTTCAAAAGCAGGGAAACCAACAGGTAACTCTTTCGGAAGTCTGTAAAGAGTTAATGAAGACATAAATGAAGATTTAAGAGAGCAATACAAGACTGAGGATAAATGAGAGAACATTTCAGTAGTAAAATCTGCCAAGATGAAAATTGTCTTAGTCCGTGCAGTCTGTTACGATAACATACCTTTGAGTAAGTAATTTGTAAACAACAGAAATCTATTGCTCACAGTTCTGGAGGCTGGGAAGTCCAGGATCAAGGTGTTGGCAGGTTTCATGTCTGGTGAGGGCCTGTTTCTCATAGATGGCACCTTCTATGTATCCTCACATGGTGGAAACCAGCTCCTCAGTTGTTTTTTTTTTTTTTCATAAGGGCACTAATCCCATTCGTAAGGAATCTACCCTCATGAAATAATCACCTCCCAAAGGCACCACCTCTTAATACCATCACCTTGGAGATTAGGTTTCAATATAGGAATTTTGGGGGAAATAAACATTCAGAACATAGAAACAATTCTTTGAAGATCAGGGATAAGGAATTGATATAGGAAAAAATTATTCTTGGTGTTGAGCCTGGAAAGAGAAGTAGCTGAGAGAAATGTGACATTACACAGAAAGAGAAGAATAAGGAGGGCAAGTGAATTGTAGGATGTTGAGCAGATAATGAGTCCCCATATGGCCATATTGAACTTGCTATACCAGCAAACATCAAAGTGAAGATATTTAACAGGCAGTATCAGTAGTTGGAAAAATGTTGAAGCTGAAAGTATAGTACTTGAAATCACGTAAACAGAGATGACTGTTGAAGTTGTGAAAATATTGGACAAAACAGAGTATGGGGATAGCAATTAAAAGAAACAAGGGAAAACACTTGGAGTTTGCTAAATTTAAGAGATAAAAGCAAAATAGGAGGGAACAAAGCGGACAGAACAAAAGTCCCACAGGATATTTGGGGAAAAACCATAGCAGCATATGCCATCAAGACAAGAAAAGTCAGCCGGACGCAGTGGCTCACGTCTGTAATCCCAGCACTTTGGGAGGCCGAGGCAGAAAGATCACCTGAGGTCAGGAGTTCAAGACCAGCCTGACCAACATGGAGAAACCCCGTCTCTACTAAAAATACAGAATTAGCCAGGTGTGGTTGCACATGCCTGTAATCCCAGCTACTCAGGAGGCTGAGGCAGGAGAATAGCTTGAACCTGGGAGGCAGAGGTTGTGGTGAGCTGAGATCACACCATTGTACTCCAGCCTGGGCAACAAGAGCGAAACTCAGTCTCAAAAAAGAAAAGAAAAGAAAAGTCCACTTTTCCAAGAAAGAATCTGTGAGCACAGCAAGGGTGCCAAGAGATCAGGAAGAAGGATGATATTTTCTTATGATTAAAATCAATTTTGGTAATCGAGTGCTCATTACTATTTTAATTAAAGCTCTCTCTAAACTCTGTTTTTCAAGGATTTCTAAGTACATACAATATGAGTAGTGCAAAGCAAACATGAGTGTATTATAGAATAAATATCAATGCAACAATATTGAAATATGTTTCCATTTATTTAGCATTATATCCATGCTTCTAGAAAACCAATTATGCAAACAGCAATATGTATTTTCTGCATACAACTTTAGAGGATTTGTATTGCTAACTTAGTCTTTTTGAAGCCATTAATAAACTAAGGAATTATTTTCATTGTTGTCACAAGAATCACAGTGTAAACTAATCCACAACCTGAGTAGAGTTACAAAAAATATCAGCTGTGAACTTGCTTTGGAACCTTGAAAAGTCCTAACTTCACTGATCTCCATTCTCTCTTCCTTCATATAAACTGTAGGTGCTGAATAAATCTCCAATGCACCTTCCTCACTTTCTACATTTTCTAATATATTCCTGAAATGCCTTTTAACTAATTAGCTTGTTTAATATATAATGCTGGATCTGATGAAAGGAATGAAAACAGGAAGATAAAAGAGAAGAATATGAAGAATATGAAGGCCTTCCATACACAGAAAGAAAGTTGTATTAGGTTCAAAATACTACATTGAAGAGAAGCTTCAGTTATATGATAAGAGACAGGAAATGTAATCTTGGATGCTCAGCCATGCTCTTTTGCTCCAGGGAGTGACAGATTAAAATAGCAAGGACTGTTGTTTTAAGAAAAATATTAGGCAAAAACTGAGCTCTTCTACCAGAGAATACCCCAAAGATTAAAAAGAGACTATCGGATCTCAGCCTCTGCTAAAAATTGGTATTTAATCCTTTTTAAAAAAATAAATACACACAGTTAGGTCCTTCAATATCCCCTTGCTCCTAAGAGGCTGGGGTAAATTCAACACTCAGGTACTTAGGAGTCACTTAAATGAATCTCTGCGAGGAAGAGGAATTGTCATCCAATCCCAGTGGCACCACGGCCATAATAAGAGACCTTGATATCAGGGGCTGCATTTTAGAAATCTCCCATCCCACAGCAGGTTACAAAATCCACTTTAAGTATATATCAAGGGGGCAATCTGCTGTTTATTCCCAAATGTGTTCAGTAATTTTCAGAAAAATATTAAACCAAAGCTGGATTTTTTTTTCTTAACTTCTACCTCTTAATAGCACAAGCAGATAAAGAGGCTAATTGGACCAGTTCATCAGAATAAATGTATAGCTGGTTAATCTTAGAGATTTTTTTAAATGCAGTATCTGTCCCATTCATAGGAAAATTTGAAAAAAGCTGATTTTCCTTAGTGACTGATAAATTATTTTTAGCAAATAAATGAGGCTAGATAAGATGATGTATTTTATTTAATTCCATATTCATTTTTTAAGTTTTTATTTTACCAGCTTTTGCACTATTTAAAATAGTGGAAAGTTTCATTAAGGTTTCATTAAAGGCATACAAACACAAACACTAAAGACTTAAAGAGAAATAATAAACGTGTGATATTCTGATATAATAAGAAACATATATATTGATCTCTCCCCCGCCCCAGGTCCTCAGATAAGAGCTCCTAAACCCTCGTGGATAAGGGCACTAGGAGGATCTTTTTGTTCTAATATTTAATCTTTAACTCAGTTCTTGAATGTGTGTGTGTCTGTGTGTGTGTGTGTGTGTGTGTGTGCATATGTGTGTAATATTTTCAATATGTGGTTAATTGAACCCAATTTGGAACCCACAAATACAGAGGGCCACCTGTCCTTAAAAAAACAGCAGGCATATGGAGGACTGCACTCTACTGATGGACATGTAGGCTAATAACTTTTCTGAAGGACAATTTGACAATTTGTGTCCAAATTGGTAAAAATATGTTTAACTAATAATTATACTTGACTAAAAAAAAACTATGGTTACAAAAAAAATTTTACTGCAAAAGGAGCTGTGGAAGCCATATACATAATAGAAAACAAATACATAAGACAACAAAGTAAATTTTGAATGAAAATAGCATGTTATTTAAATTATGAAACTGATATACTCATACACTAGACTATTATATAGTCATTGTAAATGTTGTAATGTCTGCTAAATGGATGCTAAAAGAGGGAAAATGTTCATGATACACTAATTTTTTTAAAAGATAAGAAGACAGTATGAGAGTCTTATTCCAGCATGTATGTATTTCATACATGCAGACTGACAGAGAAGAAAGTCCTGTTTGGTAAGCTATGAGAGAAGCTACCAGTTCACTTCACATTCTGGGTAAAAATCATTCATGCTGGAGCATATTTTATGGTATAAAATGCTGATATTCTAATTTTATATTTTTTAATTAGCTGAAATAACGTTCTACACAGATACTTCTCTTATCTACCATTTGGTCACCCAAGAGTACAGTTTATACAAGAAGGCAACATAAAGGCCTATTCTTTCTCGTTGCATACTATTTTTCAAGATATGTATTAATCCCTTTACATTTTCAAAAGTTGACTAATTAATTTTTACATCATTTTAAACTCATGAATTTAAACATACCGTATGGGTTTCACAACATTGTATCTCTTATTCTATTGACTTTCAAATTGTCCTACATTTGGTCAGCTGGAGATACTTCAAGATAGCACATAATTCTTTTTGACATTGTCCTAAGGAGTCTCTGTTAGCTGTCTTGTTACCCAGTGTAACAAGATTTTCCAAATTTATCCTGTACATTTCTACCCCTATACGTAGAATCAGCCATTTCTCCATGAAGCCCCTGGCATTTCAAGGCAATTTGGTCACCAGAAACATGCACTGTTCCTGGGTTAGTCATTGTTTCCAGCCACTTTCAGTGAGTATACTCAGTATATACATATAAATAATTAGCTTTAATTTTATATATAAATATATAATGTATAAATATATGCATATATTTATAACCACATTGATATTATGTAACCTCTTCTATATTATATTTGTATCTTTTCTCTTCCACACTATGAATCTTGGTTTTCAAATATAGAAAAGATACCCTTGCTTTATCTCACATTATACACAGAATGATCCTAGAATATTAATACTAACAAAGCTACCACCAGTAATAATTATTAGAGACAATTTTTTAAAATTTTACATAAGCTAATCCCTTCTTCCTTCTTCATTTCTAAGCTTTTACTCCAGATATATTTTCTCCTTTTTAACTTTTCTTTATTTCTAGTTTTATAAGTACATATTCTCATGACCATTCCACATGTAATGTCATGGTAGTCATCTGAAGTTTGCTCTCCAGCAGATTGCTCTGAGAAGGACTCACAAGAGCAATTTTCTCTGAATTCCTGTATATTTAAGAGTTTGTAACTGTTTTACTGATAATTTTGCTGCATATAAGTTTCTCATTTTATGATTTCTCTCCTTGATGTATTAAACATATCTCTTCATTCTTTTTCTGGCATGAAGCATTACTGCTGAAAATTATGAAGATAATATAGTTTTTCCCTATAAGTGATAACTTGTTTTACCCACTCAAAAGTTTATGTTTTTTTCTCTCAAGCTCAGGAGTTTCTCTAATATATCTTAACATTAGTCTTCCTGGGTTGATATTCTTGAGCATGTGAGTATATGATGTGTTCTTTCAATAAGTTTCAAATCTTTGTTTAACCCCATAAACTTTCTAGAATTACGGTTTTGAGTATTTCTTCTTTTTTCTGGCTTTAGTTTTCTTCTTCAGATAATTCTATTATTTGTGTTAAATATTTTTTGGTTTATCTTCAATGTTCCATTTTTTTCCTTCGGCTTTAATTTTTAACCTTTCTTTTTTCTTAAGACATTATTAACTATGTTTATTTTCTCTTTTTAATATGATTTTTTCTTATATCTAATTCTTTCTTGAGTTCTGTCACTTAATTTCTGATTTTTCCTAATTCTCATGTGTGTTATTCATTTATACTTTGTATCACATTTGAATGACGTTGAAGTTGCTTTGAAATAGCAGTTTATAATTTAGATCTGTTTTACAGGCATATCGTTATGGCATACTTTCATTGTCAGTACAGATGTTATTCTGCTCCTTATTCTCTTTGTATACTGGTAAGTTTTAATGGGATTTAACTTCAACACTTTTTTGTTGTTTATGTGAAACTGTATTCTTGAATTTTTAGAAGGGATCTTGGTTCAAATGACATTTTTTAACTGCACAGAGCTCCTTCTTCTAGTATTTCTGTGTAGCATTAAAATATATGCTTCTTACTGAGGTTTTCTGGTTGTTTCTTTCTCACTTTTACTGGGACACCATGTTTCCTTCCTTGCTATTGTCTCCGGCCTGATCAATTTTGATTTTATTCTTGGCAGTTTGGTACTCTATCTTGGAAGGTTGATCAGTTTCAAGAGTTTATAAAGTCTAGACAGCTCCAGCTCCTTACACCTTAGTGTAAGCCTTACATTCACTCATCATATAAATAGGTAAGAACTCTCCTCCTTTGTAGCTGTTGTTCTCTGACAGTTTCATGTTGGCTAATTTGGAAGTTTGTATTCTCAAGTCCTTTAGTCATTCGTTGCTTCCTTCTTGTTTTTTCTAATGAAGATATTGGTATAATGCAGAGTTTGTGGCTATTGGTGACATATTTCTATCTGCTTATATTTTGAGGCTTAAAAAAATACTTTGCTACCTAGTTTCATTATAAATATTAACTTCATGGATTTTTGATTTTTGTTTTCCAGCTGTCACTATATTCCTAGAATTTCCTAGGACATACTACTTTTCAATACAGATATAAGTACAGCTATAGCTACAGATGTAGCTACAGATGCAAAATAGAATTTCAGGTGTAGATAAAAATATGGATACAGCTACAGACATAGAAACAGACAGAAATGAACATGCATGGACAAAATGACTAGTAGAATAAGCATTGAAATATATATTATTGGGTAGAATTTTGAGTGATTTTTTTTGTTGTTGTTTTGATAATAGTGGTTTTTTTAAGGCACATAATAAAAACAAAAACCAAAGCTAGTACTTACAGATCTATGAGAATAACTTTCAACTGCTCAGGGACATGTGGCAATGGCCACTTTCAGGATTCCATCAGCATCTAAATCCCAGTCACATCAAATTCAATTATTTCCCTCAGTTCAACTAGTTGTACTTTTATTTTCCTTAGGGTAAAGAAAATAGTTCACTGTTTATTTCCTCCCAACCCTTTGGTTCTTGGTATAAATTCTATTTTGAGTGAGCATATTCAAGACCAACCTCTGCCATTCCATTACAAGCCTCTTATGTCTCAATAGTGTCTAGCTTTTACTATTTAAACATTCTCAGCTTTCAGACTAATATCTCAAATAGAATATTATAAAAGCCTACTTAGGAGCTATAAAGTCAAGAATTTGACTCTCTTTGGAGTTCTTTTTTGTTTTCTTTTTCATTTTGTTCCCCCCACTCCAGGGCAATAGATCTCACATTCATTTCCTAGTTTAATCATGAAGGCTGCAGAGTTAAAAGACAATTATCAAGAAGGAAGACCAAAGTAGATAGTATTTCAAAATGTTATCCATTTTTATTTCTATATATAAGTCATTTTCTCTGGATGATAGCATTATCCTTGTCTACAATGTTGACTATAACTCTCTTGTGAAAATTAGTTAATTAATTAGTTATTTATTAATGGTTAAAAAATGAACATTTGGTTATTATCAGACCTCTTCATAGTAAGAATCCCCATTACAGTATCTTTATACTTGTTGTCAATTAAATTTGGCTGTTTTTGCTCTGAAAGAGCAACTAAGAGAAGTAACAGTTACTGCTAAAATAAAGCTTGCATTTTAAGGTTCTCTCTTTTCTACTGATGTTTTGAAAGGAATTATACAGCATAAAATCCCCTGGAAAAAAAGTCCCTTTTTCCTCTTTGAGTTCTCCTGACAGCACCACGCTTGCCCCAATTTTCCTATAGGTTTAACCATGTAAGATTACTGATATGCATGATTAGATGGGTAATGGTAAGTGGATATTCTGTAATTCTCAGCTGAAGAGATAGCAAGTGCAATGACACTTTTTTTTCGGCAGTACTTCCCATCATGCCTCAAGGGCCACGTTACCCCAAGTTTTTCAGAAACTGAAATAGATGAGAAAAACTCCATCCTAATCTTGCTCTGAAATTAAGTTTCTATGAATGAGTTCTCTTCTTCATGGCCATCCTTTAGCAAGTTTAGTTTTTGATTGATTTAGCTAATGACTGATAATAAAAACCACAGTACATCAAATGCTACTCCTACCCAGCGGCGTGGTCTTTGAAGAAAGCTATCATGATAAAGTTGCTTTTTAAATGATCTGAATAGTTTATAGATAAAATGTATTTCCATATCATGGGAGAGAATAACAAGGTTAATAAAAAGATACTAGGCCCAAAATGGAGACACTCATGCTAAAGTTCCATATTACCTATCCAAGAACTAAATTGTTTATTTGTATGAATTTGACCTTCTGAGAAATTAGGAGAAAGATGAGAACCAAATCCCCAAACAGCGTAGTTTTCAAAGAAAAAATAATAGAAGATTTATAGCAACCAAAAAAATGGGATCAGTAAATCTGAGCAGGCAAAATAAGGAAGTCCTCTCGGCTTTAACCCATACAAGGAAAGTACCTGAGGGCAACCAATCCACTTTCCACCCTTTTCTGTTTGTTTGTTTGTTTGTTTGTTTGTTTTCTACTAAATCTGCCTTACAAAAGCCAATCCTTCTGCCACTCCTGGCAGAGCTGCTTCTACTTTGTGGACTGAAAAATACTGCCTGGTTCATGAATTGCTAATAAAAGCCAATTAGAGCTTTAAAACTCAATTTATTGAAATTTTGTTCTTTGACAATAATAATGCTTGTATTTGTATAGTAATCCACAATACTTTTACATACTTATTTCATTTGATTTTTAATTCTATATTTTACTAAATAAGTATTTACTGAATATCTATCACATGTCTGGCACTAAGTTGGTCATAATGGGTACACTCAAGTATAAGAAAAAATCCCCAACAGCCCAGTGGAGATGGAGGCAGTATCATTGCTGTTTAAAGAAGGGAGAAATAGTCTCAGAAAGATTAAGCAATTTTCCAAGGTCACTGATAAGTAAACTGATAGCTGAATCTAGCATTCTGTCAGTGAGAATATGATTTTGTATCACCCACTAATAACCTCCATTGGATCATTTACACTAATAAACTGTATGTGTATATTTATATTTTCCTTAGTCACCATAAAATAAAAAGTAACACTTCTGGCTACAGAAAAAAAAATCAGCTTTATTTTAACCAAATTTTCCTGCAGATTTGTGTCTCTAGCATAAAACATTTTACACCACAATCAAATGAACACAAAATCCAAATTCTAAACTGTCAACCTTTTTCTTTGTAGAGTTCAGATATTCTGGGATGCAAGATAGTTGAGGGAAGAGAGAATTTTATCCCTGAACTAGATTTGTTAAGCCAAAACACTTCTAGGGCTTATTACCTATTCAATGACTCACTAGCCTATCAGTCTACTGTAGAAATAAAAGCTGCATTTACTTTTCTTTCTTTAATCTCAACGTTCTTAATTGCCATATTGACAAAAAAGAAACAGTTGTTTACCTTCCAAATTCTCTGGAGCACCAGCCAAATTAATCCTTTTAAGCAGTGTTGCTTCAGCTCCAGAAACAAGTAGAATGCAAAGTAGCAAGAGGCTCCCTTAACAGGCAACAAACACAAGATGCCTAGACATTAACCTTCACTGGCAGACCCCTGAAGGCATTTACTTCTTACTTTGGAAACAGTCCTGAGGTTGGGGAGGGGCTGTATGCACAACTAGAGCTGGATGAAGGAGTAGGCCAGCTAGGCAACTCCCTATGGTGTCAATCTGCAAGGGAAAGCCTGGTAAATACTGTTGATTGCCTCCCCTTACGCCGTTTTCCCTTCTTTCTTGATAACAGGATCCCAGCTATGTTCTCAACTATAATTTGTTTGGTCCGAGTGATGAATCATGATCTGTTTGAACTGATGTTGCTATCTCATTTCCTTTGAAAGCTGCTTTTATTCCTAGCCTCCCTTGCCTCTACAGGTGGCTATTTGACGCCAATTCTGAAAAACACTGTGAAAGAAATAATATGTTAGAATAGTGCTGGCTGACACCACTCCTTCTTCCTTCTTGTTTCGGACACTGCTGTGATGCTGTGCCCACAACCCAGAGGTGGGAAGAAAGGCTCACTTCCAGAGGAAGTGAGACCTAAATATGGAGAAATGATCAGGTTAAAGAGGATGGTAAATAGGGCTCCAAGAAGAAAAAGTACGCTACATAAAAACCCAGGCAAGAAACAGCATGGAAACTTATAAAACATTTAATAAGACCATTATAAAGTATGAGGCTAGGAGTGGTAAGAAACAAATTAGAGAGATAATGATTATGTGTCCGGAATTTATTCCTTCTGGTAGGTTCTTGGTCTCTCTGACTTCAAGAATGAAGCCGCGGACCCTCGAGGTGACTCTTACAGCTCTTAAAGATGGTGTGTCCGGAGTTTGTTCTTTCAGATGTTCAGATATGTCCAGAGTTTCTTCCTTCTGGTGGGTTCCTGGTCTGGCTGACTTCAGGAGTGAAGCTGCAGACCTTTGTAGTGAGCGTTACAGCTCATAAAGGTGGAGCGTCAGGAGCTGTTTGTTCCTCCCTGTGGGTTGGTGGTCTCACTGACTTCAGGAATGAAGCTGCAGACCCTCGCAGTGAGTGTTGCAGCTCATAAAGGTAGTGCGGACCCAAAGAGTGAGCAGCAGCAAGATTTATTACAAAGAGCGAAAGAACAAAGCTTCCATAGTGCGGAAGGGGACCCAAGCGGGTTGCCGCTGCTGGCTCTGGTGGCCAGCTTTTAGTCCCCTATTTGGCCCCACCCACGTCCTGCTGATTGGTCCATTTTACAGAGAGCTGATTGGTCCATTTTACAGAGTGCTGATTGGTCCATTTTACAGAGGGTTGATTGGTGCGTTTACAATCCTTTAGCTAGACACAGAGCGCTGATTGGTTTATTTTTACAGAGTGCTGATTGGTGTATTTACAATCCTTTAGCTAGACACAGAGCACTGATTGGTGCATTTTTACAGAGTGCTGATTGGTGTGTTTACAATCCTTTAGCTAGACGCAAAAGTTCTCCAAGTCCCCACCCGATCCAGAAGCTCAGCTGGCTTCACCTCTCAGTTATGCAGGACACTCTGAGCCACAGTAAGGGATTTATATTTTAAACTAAAAGCAAACGAGAGCTATTGAAAGCTTATAATTAAGGTGACAGAATTAAATTAGCACCTTAGAAGAAGAATGCATGGTATAACCAAAAGGCAGTTTCAGTCACTCACCACTTGTTAACTCCATTAACAAGAGTGGCGTCTGGTATAAATTACTTTATTCCAAAGCTTAGCTTAGGGGAAGCAGTACAGGCTCCTGCCTTTAAGGGTACCACTTCATTTTGGGGGCAGAATGCAGCAGCTTTTAAAGGGGAACTTGGCATGAATGGCATGCAGGGGAGGAAGCAAGCAGATGCGGGGCCTATATGACTCACTTCAGTGCCTTATCTACCAGGTGGTCCAGCTGGCATCATCACAGGTAGTGCTAGGTTTTAAAGTGGCCATAATCTGAGATACTCTCCAGGTGGGATGGAGTACTGTCATGGGCATCCTTGAGGATGTAAATTGACTGCCATCAGCTGAGGCAATCTCCTGGGCAGAGAGAGTTTCAGTTCTGGAGCTTCTAAGTAAGCCCATAGTTAGGTAAGCTTGCCATGTAGCCAGTGTCTGGTGAAGGGAAAGTAAAGGTTATAATTGCATTTCTAAAGAGCTAAGTGGGAAGTGGAAAACAGGAGAGAACAAGGAAAGAGAGAAGAAATTAATTTAAAAAATAATTCACTCTCTTCCTCTTAGAAAAATGGGGGTACTCAGTTACAATGGGACTTTAATAGAGACAGGGGAAACATGAAAATTACAGTTATAATAATTTCAATGAGAGATGATGTGGGCCAGACTAAGGCTAGTGACAGTGGTACTATTGAGAATTGAGTGGAATGTGGATATTTAGAAGGCAGAATAAACAGGAGCTCATTAGTGAATGAATACAGTGGGAAAGAACAGAAATTGGGGTTACCTCCCAGTTTCTGGTTCTGGCAGCTGTCAGGTGCAATGCCAGTCACGGAAAGAGGAAAATCAGGAGGAAGAGTAGGCTCAAGGGGCTTTGAGGTATTTGTGAGTCCTCCAAGGGGAGATAAAAGTCTGAGAGTCAGGAATGAGATTGGAACTGACTCAAAATATAGAGACCAGAAGAAGTTCAATGCCCTTTTCAACAGCAGGGATAAATTTGGTGTGTCTGAAACAGATGTATGCAGGAACCCTGAAGTAGCTCATCATTTCAGGTAACAAGTCTCAAACTTTACTGTGCATAAGGCTCACTCAGAGAAAATTTGCTGCAAGGAATATTCTTGGGTTCCTCACTAAGAGACTTCACTTTAAGAGGCCTGCCCTCAGTCTGACAAAAAAATTGTGTTTATTTAAATAGGAATCCTGTTATGATTGTTATGCATGCAGAAGGCAAAGACAAAGACAGAGAAGAGCTCAAAGAGACAGGAAAAGAATGGAGAACACTGTCTAAGGAAGGAGTTTTTTTACTCTACTTACTTTTCCGAGAGTAGAGAAGACCAGCTGTGCCAAAATTAGGAGGAGCTATGCTAAATTTTACTTTAGTTCTTTAAGCAAGATTGGGAATATCATCAATTCAAAGAAGTCACCAAATAGAAGAGATACATGTTTCCTTGTTTGTTTTTCTGACATTTAGTTGCAATTCACTAGTTACTATTAAATATTTAAGCCCACTTTCTCAAATGTCCTATATATAGGATTTTTTTCTTGTAAATTGTTTTTAAGTTTTGTTGATAATACTTCAAAGTTATTTTTCTTTAATTATAAAAAATAACAATTATAAATATCAAAATGAAAGAAAAGTTGTGATTAATGTTACAGATAAGAAGCAACAAATTACATAATCCATTGTTGAGCAAAGGATATGTAATTGACCAAAGGACATGCAAAGTGGTTATTAAATAAGTTTTTTGTTTGTTTTTAGAATCCCATAATTGAGAATGTTAGGACAAATGGATCATACATTTTTATTTTAATAGGTATTGTCAGATTACTTTCCAAAAATGTTGTGGCGAGCCTTTCTGTTCTCACTAACAGGACATGAATTTCTCCATATACTTGGCACTCTTCAATCTTATCAGTTTTCTAATTTTTGCCAATATGATAGCCTAGAAAGTATTTCTTAATTGGTGCTTTAATTTTCATTTCCCTAATGATCAGAAAGATTTCTATATTTTTATTGGCAATATGTATTTTCTTTCAATAGATTTCCTCCTTATAATCATGGTTTTTTTAAATTTTATTTTATTTTAGGTTCTGGAATACATGTGCAGAATGTGCAGGTTTGTTACATAGGTAAACGTGTGCCATGGTGGTTTGCTGCACCTATCAACCCATCACCTAGGTATTAAGCCCCGCATGCATTAGCTATTTGTCCTGATGCTCTGCCTCCTCCCACCTGCCCAACAGGCCCTGATGTGTGTTGTTCCCCTTCTGTGCCTAAGTCCATGTGTTTTTATTGCTCAGTTCCCACTTATGAGTGAGAACATGCAGGGCTTGGTTTTATGTTCCTATGTTAGTTTGTTGAGGATGCTAGCTTCCAACTTCATCTATGTCCCTGCAAAGTGAGAGACAGGACTAGCTGGATTTCCTAGGCGACTGAGAATTCCTAAGCCTAGCTGGGGAAGGTGACCACACCCACCTTTAAACACAGGGCTTGTAACTCAGCTCACACCCGGCCAATCAGATAGTAAAGAGGGCTCATTAAAATAACAATTAGGCTAAAGGCATGAGGTAAAGAAATAGTCAATCATATATCGCCTGAGAGCACAGGGTAAGGGACAGTGATTGCGATATAAACCCCAGGCATTCAAGCCAGGGGTGGGCAACCCCATCCGGGTCCCCTCCCATTGTATGGGAGCTCTGTTCTCACTCTTAAATCTTGCAACTGCGCACTCTTCTGGTCCGTGTTTTTCTGGCTGGAGTTGAGCTTTCACTTACCGTCCACCACTGCTGTTCACTGCCATCACAGACCTGCTGCTGACTTCCACCGCTCCGGATCCGACAGGGTGTCTGCTGTGCTTCTGATCCAGTGAGGCACCCATCACAGTTCCTGATCACACTGAAGGCTCGCCATTGTTCCTGCAGGGCTAAGTGCCCAGGTTCGTCCTCATCGAGCTGAACTCTAGTCGCTGGGTTCCACAGTTCTCTTCCATGACCCACGGCTTCCAATAGAGCTATAACACTCACCGCATGGCCCAAGGTTCCATTCCTTGGAATCTGTGAGGCCAAGAACCCCAGGTGAGAGAACAAAAGGCTTGCTGCCGTCTTGGGAGCAGCCGCCACCACCTTGGGAGCTCTAAGAACAAAGATCCACCCGTAACAAAAGGACATGATCTCATTTCTTTTTATGGCTTCATAGTATTCCATGGTGTATATGTACCCGTTTTCTTTTTTCAGTCTATCCTTGTTGGGCATTTGGGTTGGTTCCAAGTCTTTGCTATTGTGAACAGCACTGCAGTAAATATCCGTGTGCGTGTATCTTTATAATAGAATGGTTTATAATTCTTTGGGTATATTCCCAGTAATGGGAATGCTGGGTCAAATGGTACTTCTGGTTCTAGATCCTTTAGGAATTTCTACACTGTCTTCCACAGTGGTTGAACTAATGTACGTTCCCACCAACAGTGTAAAAGCATTTCTACCTCTCCACAGTCTCACTAGCATATGTTGTTTTTCGGCTTTTTGATAATCGCTATTCTGACTGCTATGAGATGTTATCTCATTGTGGTTTGGATTTGCATTTTTCTAATGATCAGTGATGTTGAGCTTTTTTGTCGTGTTTGTTGGCCACATAAATACCTCGTTTTGAGAAGTGTTTGTTCATGTCCTTTGCCCACTTTTTTATGAGGTTGTTTTTTTTTCTTGTAAATTTGTTGAAGTTCCTTGTAAATTATTGATATTAGACCTTTGTCAGATGGGTAGATTGCAAAAATTTTCTCCCATTCTGTAGGTTGCCTGTTCACTCTGATGATAGTTTCTTTTGCTGTGCAGAAGCTCTTTAGTTTGATTAGATCCTGTTTATCAATTTTAGCTTTTGTTGCAATTGCTTTTGGTGATTTCATCATAAAGTCTTGCCCATGCATATTTCCCAAATGGTATTGCCTAGATTTGCTCTTAGGGTTTTTATGGTTTTGGGTTTTACATTTAAGTTTTATGGTTTTGGGTTTTACATTTAAGTTTTATGGTTTTGGGTTTTACATTTAAGTTTTATGGTTTTGGGTTTTAACATTTAAGTTGACTTAATTTTTATATAAGGTGTAAGTAAGGGGTCCACTTTCAGTTTTCTGAATATGGCTAGCTAGTTTTCCCAGCACCATTTAGGTTATTTAATGACTTTTGATAGAGAAAAAGATATACTTTAAATGTGTCTTTTGGTTATAAAACAAAAACATTATTCTTGTTATAAGGGAAAAATATCCAAGGCCATATAAGGATCACAAAATCAAAATCTATTCTCAATATACTCCCTATTCATGAGGTGAAATCCATGAACTAGAGCATTAACATTATATCATATGTCAAATGGGAAAAAAAGAAGAGTTATGAGGAAGATTATGAGACTTTCTACTTCAAAATAATTGAGAAAATGCATAGAATGTCATTGAGCAAATTTTTAAGAAACAAAACTTTCTGGTCTCTCTCTTGTGGCTTATGGAATGAAAAATTATGGGCAACAATGCATTAAAAATGTCAGAAAGGAGTTGTGGGAATATAGTCTATTTCTTTTGGAGATTAAATACATCAAGTATATATAAGTGCTAAATATAAATGACTGAAATCTGAAAGATAAAAGTAAAATCATAGAGCCCTCTTTGTGCAATTAAGCCAAATAATTTTAGCCTCTATGATTTTCATGCTGTAGCAAAGGAAGGAAGGGTGGGAGCAAGGCAGGAAGGGAGGGAAGGAAGGAGGGAGAGAGTGAAGGCATATTATTCTGCTAGATTGTCATATAGTCTAGAAGCTGTGCAATTGCTTTTTTTCCACTACAGAAAATCTAACTTATGAACCCAATTGTCTTTGAAAAAGACATTTTGCCAATTTTTCTTTCTATTTCATAGAGTAGCCAAGCCAATTTGTTGGCCACACTGTTCTGATTATTTTACCATGCTGTATAACTCTAGTAAGAAACAGATCTTAATGTCATTCAGTTTGATAATCAAATTGAGTACATTGTTCTTACATTCTACTTCCAGTTAGTGTTGCCATCATTTCTGAACGTCTCCAATAACAAATACCCCTTGGGCAGCTTTATTTTTAATGCCACCCCATGAGAAACTTCCATTATTTGGGTGAGAAACAGTAGTAGGTTATCATGACTTGACATCCACTGTATCATGACTCCAACAAAACAGGGTCATTCAGATCAGAATGACATTACAACAGCAATTGTACGGGTCTCTCCCTTGTTACAGTCATTATCTTTGGTCATTCAATTTAAATGCATCATTTAGTTTGACAGCAAATTGTATGACAGAATAAAAGAGACCTTAGGGGTGAAAAAAACATCCCTAAGTAAAACTGATTTAACATCAAATAACTTCAAGGTTAACTCTGCACAATCAGTTGCTACCTTGCCATGTCTCCTTTACCAAGAATAATGCTGTCATAGCGAAACTGGGCCATTTAACCTTGAGAGTTAGAGAAACAAAGGAATAGGCTACAAATGTCTTTAAAGATACATATATAGAAAACTCAGCAATTATAAAACAAAACAAAACCTAAATGGTTTGCAAAAAATGTACTTCAAACACAGAAAGTAGGGTCAAGTACTGGTTAAGATTTTAAACTTTTTCTTAAGAGCACAGGCTTTAAAGTTATACAAGCTTGTGCTTCAATCCTGGTTTTGTTGTTTACAAGTGATATAATTTTGAGGTGGGCGAATGATTAAATTCACTAGTACTACTACCCTCGCCTGTAATATTGAGATTGTAATATCTATTCACGGAGTTATTTGAGGGGATAGAGTAAAATAAAAAGCTCTACTTAACACTGAAAATAACAAATGAGGGAGGGTAGTTTTTATGTATGGTACAGTTGTTATTTAACTAATAAGAGAAATGACTGCCTCTAAATAATTTTAAAGTTTAAGTTGAAGATTAAATTTAAAGAATAGGTGATTACTTCCATATTCCTTCCCAGTTGTCTTATAAATCCAGATGTGTCTTCAATTAACATAAAAACATGGTTTTTTTATGTCATAGGTCAAGGTTAAATGGCCCAGTTTAGCTATGACATAAAAACATAACAACATATTTTTTTGTATTTCCACTTCCTCTCCTTTAAAATTGGAGTATGTAATGCAAATTCAAAAAATAAAGCAAAATAGCACATATATACATGTGCTTCCTTACAAATTGACCTATTGTGTTTGCATGAATCTACAGCTTAAATTCTGAAAGCATATAACTAAATATTATAGCTCCAGTTCTTCCATTAGGAATGTATCTCTTGCATTAATAAACCATTGTTTTCAAAATGTGAGACACAACACATCCATAACCATCAAACACTCATATTTCAATGTAAACAAATGAGGCATTTCCACTGTCTTGTGGAGAACAAGGGAGGACAGCCCAGAGTGACACAAGACATCGATAAAACAGTAAAACAGCCTGAGTGAGGTTGGTAGTTTAGCAAGCATGGAAATAGGGTTGCCAACAGATATGTAAGTAGAAAGAAAGTACATATATATATATATATATATATATATGTGTACTTTCTTTATATATATATACTTTATATATATATTCTTTATATATATTATTTATATATATAAAGAATATATATAAAGAATATATATAAAAGAATATATATAAAAAGAATATATCTATAAAGAATATATATATATAAAGAATATATATATATATTCTTTCTTATATTCTGTGTATGCTATATTACAGTTTTGCCTAGAGGTTTCATAAGCTTGGGCTGTAGTAAAATCTTTATGTGCTGAAACTTGATGTAAAATATTTTATTCACATAAGGTGTGAGTAAATCTGTGCTGTGTCTATTGAGGGCCAAGAGACGCCCACCACCTGAGATACCACGTAACTGAGGATGTCCCATTGAGCCATTTAGGAACATATGGCAGAATTGGCATCATCTGCAATTCCTTGCTAATCCTAATTTTTGTCTAATCTAGTTAAATTTAGTGGATTCAATAATTCAAGGGTCTCTTTGTGGTTAACTCACTCATTTTCAGGTTATAGCTCCGTTCTTCAGCTCTGTTTCTCCCTAGGCTCTGTTATAGCTCTGTTTCTCCCTAGGCTACTTTCTAACATGTTGTATTACAAGAGTGGGCAAACTTTTTCTATAAATACTCAGATACTATATTTTAGTCTTAATTGGCCATATAGTCTCTATTGCAACTATTCAATTCTGCCGTTGAAGCAGGAAAACAATCATAGGTAAGATGTAAAGATGTAAATGAATGGGTGTAGCTATGATTTAATGAAACTTTATTTATGGATACCTCATATATAGTTTGATTTTCACACAACATTCAAGTGTTACAAAATATTTTTATTGTTTTTCAATCATTTAAAAATGTAAAAAAAAAAAAAACCCACACATTTTAGCTTCCAAGACACACAAAAAGAGGCAGCAGGCACTATTCAGCTTGTGGACTGCAATTTGCTGACCCTTGGGTATATTGTGTTCTTGGTGTGGATATTTGAATGATCTCGGGACCTGCAAGAGGGAGACTCTGTAGCTTCAAGCTAATCTTTGGGTGTGTTAGCTGGTGATCATTCAGCCATTGTTAGCCGATTTATTGTGTGGTCATACCCTGTGATCCAAAATTTCTTAGCTTGGTCCATCCCCTTACCCTTCCAAGCCAATGCATCTTCCTCTCCGCTCCCTGCTTCTGCAGACCCTGAGTCTATGCCACACCTTCCATCTCATCTTTATTCTCAGGTTGTTCCCACCATACCAATGTCCTTAAACTAATGTCCATGTCCAATGTCCATGTACTCTGGAATTGAAAGAAACATGCAGTTGTAAATGAGATCTGCTCTCCATCAGACCAAACCAGTTGCTCTCTTAATTGTGCTGGTCTGCTGCTGCAGGTTGGCCAGACAAGCTCTGAACATCACTTTCCTACTGGAGAACCAAATGCTGAGCAAGGCTGCAGGCCCTCTGCCTTAGTTTTATATCTACATGTGCAAGGAACTTCCTCCTCACTCTGGGGCTTTGAAACATTAGAAGGTAGATTACAAATTCTATTACAGTATTCACCAACATCATATTCTCCTCTCTTCAGGAAGAACATTGTCATTTTCCCTTTCTTGATGCCAAAATTGTGGAAAGCTAACTGATAAGCAAATACTTTAGTAAGTATTAAAATTACTACACCCTTAATATATAGGGTGTAGTAACTTTCGGAGCTATAACCTGAAAATGACTGAGCTAATATATTGGGTTTTCATGGGCAGAAATAAGAAGGTTAAAAATTCTGGCGAAAAAGAACATTATAACCAAAGAAGAAAGTAAACATAAGATTGTCTACAGACACATTGCTTTCACTCAAAAGCATAATGCTTATTCTGTAATTTGGTTCAGAAACCATTCTAAGATTAAGAAACCATTTACAGTGAGGCAAAATAAACTTTATGCTAATTACTAACAGGACTTTTCACAGATAGCATTGTGTTTAGAAAGTGTATTTACTAGGAGAAAAGTACTTTATCTTGTACTCTGGGTTGAAAAATATTTTATACTTTTATTGTATGCAAACTTGTATTACAGAAGCAATTTAATAATGGATTTTTTTTCCATCTGCAGGATGATGGATGAGAAATACTAGATTTGGTACTGAAAAAGAATAGAATACATTCTAAACTTTTTGTTAATGAATAGTTTTATTTCATATGACCATAAATTATTAAATAAAACTAGAAAATAATCTGCTGATAGTTTAGTAAATACTCATTTACTTGCTCAATGACCATTCAACAAATATTTGTCGAGGACTTACCATATGTCAACCACTATTGTAGGACCAGATATAATACAGTGAACAAGACACTATCAAGCACCATACAGACAATAAGCAAAATAAATAAGTAAAATATATAACATGTAAATAAGTGACGTGTGCTAAAAAAAAAAAAAAAGAGAAATTATTAAACAGGAAAGAGCTCTGTGAAATGTGAACTTAGGTATTGAAATTTTAGATAGAATGGACAGAAAAGTCCTTACAAAAATATAACTTTGGGCTGGGTGTGGTGGCTCACACCTGTAATCCCAGCACTTTGGGAGGCTGAGGTGGGAGGATCACTTGAGCCAAGGAGTTTGAGACCAGCCTCGGCAACATAGTGACTCTGCCTCTACAAAAAAGAAAAAATTAGTCGGGCACACCTATAGCCCCACCTACTCAGAAGCTGAGGTTGGAGGATTGCTTGAGCTCAGCAGATCAAGGCTGCAGTGAACCTTGATCAAGCCACTGCACTTCAGCCTGGGTGACAGAGTGAGACCCTGTCACAAACAAACAAAACGAATAAACAAACAAACAAAAAAAAACCCATGAAACTTTGGAATAAAAATCAGAAGAAAGTGAGGGAAGTAAATATTAATAACCATGACAATATGATAGAGAAGAACATTCTATTGAATGTTCTTTGAGAGCAGCAAGTACAGAGCCCTTGTTTTGAGAGTATGTTGGATAGGCTGGGGAAACAGTAAGTAGACAGAGTTGCTGAGGTCCTCAGAGGAAGAAATGAGGATTGAGAGGTAACAGCAGGCCAGATCACATGCAGAGAGGTTATAGTGTGGATCTTGACTTTTACTCTGAGTTTTAAAGCTATGGAAATAGTTGTCCAGAGGAGAGACCTGATCTGATTACAATTTAAAAGGCTCACTCTGGCCACTGTGTTAATAACAGCCTTGTCTTAATCTCTCAGGCTGCTATAACAAAATATTTTTTACTATTCTGGTTGCTGGGAAGTTCAAGATCAAGTACACACCAGAAGATTCAGCTTCTAGTGAGGGCCCACTTTCTGGTTCATAGATGATCCCTCACATGGTGAAAGGGGCAAACAAGCTTTCTTGGATCTCTTTTATAAAGGCATTAATAAAAAGCAGATTCAGTCTTATGACCTAATCATCTACCAGAGGCCTCACTTACTAATACCATCACCTATGGGTAAGAATTTCAACATGCGAATGTTGGGGGAACATAAACATTGAGTCCATTGCAAGGCTATAGAAGCGCAATGGTAAAAACAGAGGTCAGATAGGAGGCAAGAGATGATGGCTTAGACCTGGGTGACAGCAGTAGATGTATTGAGAATGGTCAGATCCTGGATATAGTTAAAGGTTCAGCTGCTAGGTTTCCCTGAGGACTTGGATGTGAGGTCCAGGAGAAAATTAGTAGTCCAGGATGACAACAGGGATTTTGGCCTAAGATACTGGAAATAGAAAATTGTCATTTACTAATATGGGAAAAAAACTGATAAAGGCATTGGCTTTGGGGAGAATATAGAGCTCAAGTTTAAACATGTTAAGTTTTAAAAGCCTGTTAGACACCTAGATACAGTGGTCAAGTAGGCAGCTGGAGCTAAAGAGAGAAGTGTGGAGCAGATAGATGTGTATATAAATGTGTGAGTCTTTAGTGTACAGAAGAATTTTATAGCCTAATGATTGAATAAGACCAAGGAAGGAGATGTCAGCAAAGAGATTGAGTAGGATTAGACAAATAGAAGGAAAACTAGATGAATAGAGTGTTTTAGAAACCAAGTGAAGATAGTACTTCAAGAAGTAGTGACAACAGTTGTTGAAACTGGTTCTCTATGTGCTCAAGTCATGATGGCCTTATGGTTTGCTTCTCTATTATGCCTTCTTTGTATTAGCTGATGTTCATTGTAGTTGGTTATATCAGATGACTCATTGAATGAGTAAAAGTACTTGAGCACCAGGGCTAATAATAATATATGAATAAGGTGGTTACCAAGACAATTTACTAGTGGGAATGTTTTGGATTAAGCTATTCAATACAATTGAACAAATATATATTAAGTTCCTACTATTTTTAAGATGCCTGGAAATCAGAAAAAGAGAGGCAACCAATGTCCTATAGAAATTCACCATCTAAAAGGATTTATTAAAGCTGGCACACAAATAACTTAAATACAAATTGATAGGGTTTAAATGGCTCCTCCAAAACCAACACTGAACTTTAATTGCCATTGTGATGGTATTAATAGGTAAAACTTTTAGGGAGTGATTAGATCATGAAACCTCTGCCCTCATAAATGGATTAATGCCATTATCTCAGAAGTTTGCCCTCCTTTTCCTCTATCTGTCTCAAGTACTTTTGCCTCTCTAGCCCTTTCTCACCATGTGATATCTTTCATCATGTTATGAAACAGCAAGGAGGCCCTCACCAGATGCAGCCCCTTGATCTTGGACTTCCCAGTCCCAAAAACCATAAGCCAAATAAGTCTCTTTTATTTATAAATTACTGAGTGTGTGGTATTCTGTTATAGCAGCAGAAAATGGACTAAGACATAAACTGTAATGGGTATGAATGTCATTCCACAAAACTCAGGTGGGCAAAAAGTGTTAATTTGTTTGTTTTCCTATATCTTAAGTTAATTTTGTATTTTTGGTTCCCATTTGATCAAAATGAAATCTTAAGTCAAGATAATCACCTTTGTTCCAGGGGTTTTGTCATAAATCGAGGGTTCTTAGGTGATGCCTCAATATAAGGGAATGAGGAGATGGTATTTTTCCTTATTCAAGAGCTCCTCCTGCTGCATCCTCTGAGATAAACATGTTAGGACCTAACAGTTACTGACCTATGTAAGTTGGCTTCAAGTTTTCCCAAGAGTTCCTGTAGGAACTCTCCAGGTGTGGTGCACTCTCTGTCTCGGTTTCTCTCTCTCTCTCTCTCTCTCTCTCTGTCTCTGATGTTTTCAACATCTCAGAAGGAGAGAAAACAACCAGCTGCTTTCCATTGCTGCTGTAAGTTGTGAGAAATTCTGTGAGGCTGCTCTACGCTCTCTCATTTCAGACATGACACTGAAGCCTTCCTTTTGCTCTCACATGATACTGGGCACCAGGGGGAGGTCTGGTCTTGGGATTTTCTTGGTTATTCACTGGGAAGAAGAGAATGGATCTTGCTTTCAAATCTGGGATTTGTCTGTGCCTTTCCAGTTTTCAAGCAAGTATGGAGGGGCAGAGCATAGCAGCTCTACCATACATAAACGCTCTTACTTATCTTCTGATTACTTCTTTCTTCTCAGTCCAAGCAAATTTTATTGAGTCACTAGGGTTGGGAAATACTAATTCTCTCTGATCATGAGTTTTTCCAACTTGATTGTTTATTTTAACTTTAAGCTTTAGAAATTCCAAAGTCTTTCACCCAACTAGGAGTTTTAAAAGTCTTTTCAAATGGCCTTTCAAAAGTTGGGTTTTTTTTTTTCTCTCTCTCTCTGTTTCTGATTCTGGTCATATTTATTCCATGAAACATAAATGTGGAATATTTTAGCTACCTTCTCTAGAAGAAAGATTATAAAGAACTACAGTCCATATCTCAAAGTATTATCCTACTACATTTCTCCCACTGGCAAATACTTGCATTCTTTAACAAAAACCCTTATTCCAAAGCTCCCTCCATGCTAAAAAGGTGAAGATTTACTTGAATTTGTTTCTACAGAATCTTAACTCCTTCATGCAAACAGCCATGGGTACTGTCTTAGTCGGTCATGTGCTGTTATAACAAAATATCACAGACTGGTTAATTTACAATAAACAGAAATTTATTTCTCATAGTTCTGGAGCCTGAGAAGTCTAAGATCAAAGTACCAGCATCTGGTGAGGGACTTCTTGCTGTGTCATAACATAAGAGAAGGACAAAAGGAGGGTGAGAGATAGAAAAGGGGGACAAAATTATAGTTTTATAAAGAATCTACTTGCATAATAATGAGCCCACTTCCATAACAGCATGAATCCATTCTTTACGGTAGAGCCTTCATAGCCTAATCACCTTTTAAGAGTCCCATCATTTAATACTGTTACAATGGCAATTAAATTTCAACATGAGTTTGGAAGGAGACAAACATTCAAACCATAGCATCTATGGTTTTCGCCACACCCTACAAGGTTGTGTTATAAGCTTAGAAGTTAGGAGAAGTTTTCACCTCACTGTATTGCGTCTTCACTCACTGTCTCAGGTGTCTCTCCATTCTCAGAAACAACTTTATTTCCTTCCATCTACAGGAGCTGAGCCATGGGTATAGGTAGAGCTTCTCTATCCTCCTATCACCATAGTTACCTGAATCTAGCCCCTAAGAAACCTCGCACATTCCATTCTGGTACAATGATGGTTCTCAATTGTTTTTGTCTAAAGTCGTCAGTGATATAAACTGACTCCCTACTCAATCTCTACCCATGCCTTCTTTCTACCAGAGTTGCATCTAGCAACTGAACATCAGCTATCTGGCTCAAGAAAGAAAATAAATTATGTCTATTTCCTTAAAGAACCATAGTGTTTCCGTAACTTTTCGACTCTGGTTTCCTCCTGCAACTCCTCAAGACCACCTTAGTTTCCACCTAACCAGTGGTGAACAGGTTACAGATACAGTCCACCTGCAGATTGGTTTTCTTATAGGAAGGCAAAAAGAAGAAAATCGATGTGTGTGAAGCTTTTAAATACTCTCCTTAAAATGTCTCTCCTGAGTTCTACTCTTCCACAATTATTGAAGATTAAAGAGTTTCTATAATTCACTTGCAAAATTATTTGACATGTTGAAATAATTCAGTTAAAACTTTATTTCTATAGTTGGTATGCTAAGTTTTCAATTTCTTAGCTATTTTCTCTTTTACTAAAAAAAAAGAGCATGGTAGCAGAAAGTTAAACTGGAGTAAAATAGCTAAAATAATGTACTTTAAAATCTATTTTGTTTATGCTGAAAATGTCTTCTGAAAGGCCGTATTAATATTTACTTTATTTTATACGTCTAAATTTTTTTTAATTCTGGGGTTATGGAATTTGAAAATTGTTTGATTCTAATTAATCAGAATTTTCTTTTATTTAGTTCTGGAAACCCATAAAAAGTTATTAGCTGTCAGCAGCTTTAATGCCAGTTTATTAGAGGCCCTGATTCAGTGCCTGCTGATAGTTATTGTGAAGGCTGAAAGGTTAACAAGAATGGGCTGCTACCAACCGCCTTGCCAGGTGTTTTTCCCTGCAGTTAATGGACTTGAGCCAATTGAAATTATTACTCTAGAACAAGTTGCAGACACTCTTAATCTTCCCATAGAAACATTGCTAGGGGAAAAAAAATCTGGGATTTGTATTGTTGCTTTTCACCATTGTAAAATTTGGAACAATTAAAATAAACTATAGCTAATCTTCTATTTGTAAATGAAGGCTTGACAACTCTAAAAAGAAAGAAAGAAATCTTTAAAAATAATGTGCATGTGTAGCATGTTTCATTAAACTAATAACAGTCCCTTCAATGAAACAATGTGTTGTAAAACCTTTCCCAATTTTTCTTTTGAGGCATGGTGGTTAAGGGCTACATAAGTATTAACATGTCTAAGTTCTTTTAATTGCTGGGTTTATAAATCTGAACAGCTGTAATGAAATAATCAGAAACAACCAGATGGAATTGGAGCCAGTCACCATGGGTATTTGAGAAGTGCATACTGTTTGGGGAGACTGAATATGTACTGATCCAATCTAAAATGGAGCAGATGGCAAAGCAAACAGGTAAGCATTTGCTTTATCTTCCAGATATTGTGATTCACTGATTACCTCTATTTATTTTGGGAACTTTAGAACATCTGTAAAAATCAGATGAAAGACAAACAGAGGTGACTGCAAAATACTTGAATAACGTGTGGAATTTTAGAGCTTTCTCATTGTCAGATGAAGACAGAGGGATTCTCACCACTTGCCAATCTTTAGGAATCACATAGAATTTTAGGTAGAAACACATGAAATTAACTGCTTAACCACAGAAAATGCAAAGGAAGTAAATGCTTTAATTGCATAAAATCCAAAATTAGATAAGTGGGAACAAGAGAAAGAGGAATGGAAATGGACCAGATACAGTAGAAGTGGAAATTGGTCATGCCCAACCTAACATTGATGTGCTCATCTGGTGCCAACATCTTAGTTTCTAAATACCATTCTCCCCATAAAGGAACTTCAGTTCCTTGGAAAAATGGCTGAGGGCAAGAAAAATCGCTGATGATTTTAAATGTTCTTATAATGTCAGAAAACAAGAAGGTCCTCAATGATTAATGGGGACATAACAAAAAGGCATAAGGACAAGTTTGAAAGATCCAGCTGACCAAATTTGAGACTATTTGAGCATTAAAGAAAAAAAATCATAACATATTGCATTTTAAGTCAACTAAATATAGAGGGGGTAGCAGGAAAAAAAAAAAAAAAAACCTCAAAAAAAGTATGCCAGCTACTATAAGTGGAAGAAATGATACAATTAGAAAATAACTATTTTGCAAACAATCTCAGAATTGATTTAGGCAACAATCATCAAATATTACTTAAAAACATAGAGTAAAATGACCTCCACATTGTCAGCATTTCACCCAACAGATTATTATGAATTATGAAGGAAAAAAAGGGAAATTTTGCAATAGTGAGAACATCTTAGCCCAGGGATCAAAGTAAGCATCACCAATAATGGGACAAATTACCATTATGTACCTCCTGATATGATACAATGGGAAGCCACAATATCACCTTGCTGTCATGTTCCTGAACAAAATATTTAACCTGATGTGTTCCAAATTGTGGAACATTTTCCAGAACAGTTTACCTGAATTTGTCAAAACTGTCAAGATACGAAAGGCCAAACAAATTAACAAACAAAACAAAAGAGATGATTATAGATTAAAGGAAGCTAAGAACACATGATAACCAAAGGCAAATTGTGATCCCTGGTTAGATTCTAAAAAGTAAAAATATTAAAAACCACATTCACACAACTTATAGGGGAAACACATAAAACAATTGGAGAACTTTGAATAGAACTGTATGTTGAATAATATTATTAATGTTCAGTTTCTCAGATATGAAAACTAATGTTCCTGTGGAAGCATGATGCTGTTCTTATAAGGCATGTGCTGAAGCATTTAGGATAAAATAGCATGATGTCTGCAACTTACTTTCAAATGTTTTAGAAAACAAAAAGGCAGTGGGGCGGGGTGGGGGGAACATAACAGTAAGTCTGAAGGCCCTGTGGAGGCAGTTTGCATGGAATGTACCAGAACCTGCAAAATGACATGGCTGGTTGAAGTGGAATGAGGAAGAGAATTATGGAACCAGGGCTAGCTTTGGTGTATGTGGTGCCTTTGTTATATTTTTTAAAGGTTTGCCACAGGTGAGCATGGAATTGTGCAAAGAAGAAGGTATCTCTTCTCCAAGGGGCATTTGTGTGTTTGCCCTGTTGCCCTCAGTTTGGCACCTTCTACAGACATAAACTGCACATTCATATGCAATGATCCCCAGTAGAATGCCAAGGAAAAAAATAGGAAGAAAAAGTCAATTCAAACATATAACAGAGATGAGTCTCATCTGAGTGTTCACTGTCCAATGCTCTAGTAGGGAGAATAACATAAAGGTATGCACAGTAAACTGATCACTTGCAGTTAGTCTCTACTCAAACATTTTTCCCCATTGGACATTATCTACTACAGCTCTTTAGTTCAACGTGTTTGCCTACCAGTCTCTCAATGAGTATTAGCCTAAAATGCAAACATAATACTAAGTACTTTAAAAAGATATTACATTTCTAGTAAAATATTTAAAATATTATGAAATTAATGAGAATGATATTGGAGATTACTTGAATCACAAGAACAATCACTAACAAATTAGGAAATGGCCAAGTCTAGACATTTAATAGTTGAAGATGAGATGTCTTCAAGAGTAATAATGCTATTTGCAATTTTAAAAGGAATAATCTGAATATTGAGAGATTTAGAGAATGTTTAGGAAAATCGATGAATAGTTTTGCAAAGTTAAGAGGAAAATTATTTGAACTTTTTTTGTTCATTCTAATAGAGTATAGTCAAATATAAATTATATTAAATGTAAGAAAAAATAAACTTACTTTCACATCCAAAGACAACCAAATTTTTAATAGCATTTACTTATGAAATTTTGATCTTCTTTTAAATTGAATTAACTTTAATTAGCCTTTCTAAAATACCAATTATTATCCTATTGAACCCTCTATTCTCTTATTCTTGTTCATCAGACCTAATTCCACAATTCCAAACCAGATCAATTTAAGACTCCCCAGCATAGTCTCCTTCCAAAAGGATATGCTATTTCTCTTGCCCTCAAGGAACTTACAAATGGCAAATATATAAAGATTTACAGTAAAAATAGAACTTGGTTTATCTTGAACTTAGTATTATAAGAGAAGCACAAAGTATTAAGGGATTCAGAAGAAGAACAGATCATCTTTATTTGGAGTCATCAATCAGTACTTCATAAAGGAAGTTGCATCTTAGAAGAATAAGTAGGATTTCTACAAGCAGAGTTGAAGAACTGAAAATATAGCAAATATCCAGGAATCAATGTATAATCCATTTTGGTCTTGCATAACATACATATAGAAGAAGGTGGACTTAAGACTAAGAATAATATTGGGGCTAGAGCTTGGAAGCCTTGCATACCAAACCAAGGTGTTTGGAATTTAGACAATGAGAAACAGGTATGGTAATCAGTCTTGTATTCATTTTCTTCAAAGAATGTGATACTATATGCTAAAGTTTTGTAAATTCATTTTCTCCAAATCTCAAAGAGAAAGCAGTTTAATTTTTTACAGCTGTTATTTTCATTGATTACCCTAAAGGAAAAATATATATTCTCATTATTTGTAAAACCTGGGAGCACTGGTCCTAAATCCTTGTAAAAGACTCACTGTTGAATTGGGACCACGACCTGATTTCCTAAGGAAAAATTGCCATGACAGCAGGTTCTAAAGTTGTTCTTCCAGACAGCAAGCAGAGAAGACGACTGCCTCTTGGAGGAGTTATCCTGCTGCCCAGGTGAATGTTTGTTTCTGCTCAGTCAGCTCAGGGCTTTGATTCCATGCCCTTTAACTAGTTTATCTGTCAAGAGGACGTGAATGAAACCAAAGGTGGCACAAACACGTTTTTAATAGAAAAAAATAACATGGAACATGGATGATCCATGTACTAATAGGCAACAATGCAAATCATTAAAATTAGACTCCGTAGATAAGCAAATATCCGCATGGCAATGCTTTAATATAGTTGAAGACAATAAGGAAATACAATTATTCTAAATGACTCAAGCACGAGCACTTCCTCTGTATTTTATTATTGGTTCATTTCTTCATTCATCAAACATTTACTCGAGCACCAGCTAAGTAAAAGGCATTGCAATGAATTGAGAAGCAATGGCCATAATCACTCCCACTTTCTCATCAGAAAATTATTATAATTAAATGTCATTTGATAATTTTAAAATTAAAATTCTAAATTCTAGGTTAGCTGCACAATCTCTAGCATCATTATTATATATTGAGCCTCCGGACTCAGGTGAGTTTTCCACTTATAAGCTGTGCAATCCTGGACAAGTTATTTATCTCTCTGGGAATCATTTGTTCATCTATGAAATAAAAATAACAAGAGCACATATTCTATGAGGTTGCTGAGAGGATTAAGTAAAGTTAGGCTAATACTTTTTTTTTTTTTTTTTTTGAGATTGAGTCTTGCTCTGTCACCCAGGCTGGATTGCAGTGGCACGATCTCAGCTCACTGCAACCTCTGCTCCCCGGGTTCAAGCAATTCTCCTGCCTCAGCCTCCCAAGCAGCTGGGATTACAGATGCCTGCCACTGCGCCTGGCTAATTTTTGTAATTTTTTTTTTAGAAGAGATGGGGTTTCACCATCTTGGTCAGGCTGGTCTTGAACTCCTGACCTCGTGATCCACCTGCCTCAGCCTCCGAAGAAGGCTAATAAAATATTTAGAGTCTAGTACTTAACAATAATTCAATAAATGTTAATTATGACTACTATTTGTAATTATTATCATTAGACTAAAGAGTCCACACCATTATTGAAAATACTATTGTTAGAATCTCAGAATGGAGTTCTATATATTTGAATTATTCTGAAAAACACAAAGATTCAATATCTATGTGTTTGTCTTATAGTAACAAGGGAAAAAACTGTTAACATTGCAATGTAATGTCATGCATTTATAGCTTCAAGCTACAGAAAGGAATGGTTGTTAAATGAAGGGAACCAGAAGGACTCAAAATGCCTAATCACTTCCTCTTTGGGATTAGTGTTGCGTCAAGTGACTTTTCCTGATCATTAGAGGGGACAGTTCACCCATAAGGACTGACCAAATCAATAACAATCAGATCAATGGACAGACACCTTGAGATACAAGGTTATTCAGATGTTTAGGCTGGATACCTATGGCAGAGAATATATTTTGTAAACTCATCATAGTTGTGCTGGCAATAAAATCTCATTCTTTTTTTTGTTTTATTATTTTTTCCTTTGGAAGTTGTGGTCAGCTATTGTATGTGCTCTGTTTTCCTGTGTATTTGATGCCCTCAAGGCAAATGTTTTTAGTCTACACAGTGGAAGATGTTGAAACATTTCTTTGGGAAACCCTTTACAACTGCCCCTAAAGGAGTTTAGGACTTCAAAGAACCATTAAATAAAGTCAGTTTACAGGCTGGGCATAGTGGCTAATGCCTATAATCCTGGCACTTTGGGAGGCCAGGCAGGAGGATCCCTTGAGCCCAGGAGTACATGACCCAGCCTGGGCAACACAGGGAGACCCCATCTCTCCAAAAAAAAAAAAAATTATCCGGGTATGGTGGCATGTGCCTGTGGCCCTAGCTACTCAGGAGGCTGAGGTGGGAGGATGGCTTGAACCTGGGAGGTTGAGACTGCAGTGAGTTGTGATTGTGCCACTGACCTCCAGGCTAGGTGACAGAGTGAGAGCTTATCTCAAAATAAATAAATAAATAAATAAAGTCAATTTATACAGAAAAAAAAAACATCATTTTTATCCTTTCACCTCCAAAGAGTGACCAGTCTAAACATCCTGATAAGCACATACAACTATTACCACATCGTCAGCAAAGGCAATGTCTCACACTTGGCTTTTCTCATTTCTATATAGCCGCTAGTACTGGAATGTTCTAACACACCAAAGAGAATGATAAGTTTGACCTTTTGAGAAACATTGATGTTAAGGTGCTGGGGGTTTTTTGTGTGTTTTTATTCCTACTGTCTTATTTGTATTTAAAAAGCTCTAAATGAAAACTGTCATCAGAGTGAACAGGCAACTTACAGAATGGGAGAAAATTTTTGCAATCTATCCATCTGACAAAGGGCTAATATCCAGAATTTACAAAAAAATTTAAACAAATTTACAAGAAAAAAACAACCCCATCAAAAAGTGGGCAAAGGATATTAACAGACACTTCTCAAAAGAAGACATTTATATGGCCAACAAACATGAAAAAAAAGCTCATCAACACTGGTCATTAGAGAAATGCAAATCCAAACCACAATGAGATACCATCTCACACCAGTTAGAATGGGGATCATTAAAAAGCCAGGAAACAACAGATGCTGGAGAGGATGCAGAGAAATAGGAACTCTTTTACACTGTTGGTGGGAGTGTAAATTAGTTCAACCATAGTGGAAGACAGTGTGGCGATCCCTCAAGGATCTAGAACCAGAAATAACATTTGGCCCAGCAATCCCATTACTGGGTATATACCCAAAGAATTATAATCATTCTACTATAAAGACACATGGACACATATGTTTATTGCAGCACTCTTCACAATACCAAAGACTTGGAACCAACTCAAATGCCCATCAACGATAGACTGGATAAAGAAATTGTGGCACATATACACCATGGAATACTATGCAGCCATAAAAAAGGATGAGTTCATGTCTTTTGTAGGGACATGGATGAAGCTGGAAACCATCATTCTAAGCAAACTATCACAAGGACAGAAAACCAAACACGGCAAGTTCTCACTAGGTGGGAGTTGAACAATGAGAACACATGGACATAGGGTGGGGAACATCACACACCGAGGCCTGTCTTGGGGTGGGGGCAGGGGGGAGGGATAGCATTAGGAGAAATACCTAATGTAGATGACGGATTGATGGGTGCAGCAAACCACCATGGCACGTGTATACCTACGTAACAAACCTGCACGTTCTGCACATGTACCCCAGAACTTAAAGTATAATAAAAAAAAAAAAAATTAAATGAAGACTATATGACACTGTTTATAGGAGTAGAACAGGTTGTTTCATCACAACTTCCTCTGTTTAACTGTCTTTTTTAACCTCAAGGCTATTCCAGATCATCAGTAAGATAGAGTACCTATGCCAGACTTCCCTGGAATTAGGAACATCCATTTTTCTTCTCCTGAGACCATTTGCTTGGGACTTTATCCTGACATGTGTAGCAGTTAAGTGGGGAAACATCCAACTGGACATTTCCAACACCTACATGGTTATATTTTGTATACCTTTAGAATCATCATGTTAAGATGGCAGGTTAGACAAGACTCTCCTAAGTATAGATGAAAATGGAAAATTGTTTTCATTGTTGGGAACAAATTGCTTGGATTTAGACAAAACCTGGATACTAACTCCAGCCTTAAAGTTTTAGCTGAGTTACCTTGGACAATTTAGCCAACTTCTTTAGACTCCATTTATCCATCTATAAAATGGGGATATGAATACCTCACAGGATTGTTGTTGTAAGGATAAATGTGGCAATTTAATTCTAAATGTGTTAGCTTTGGTGATGCTTGATGTTTAGTAAGCATTCACTAACTGGTGGCTGTTATTCTACAGCTTTCTTCATTGTTTTATGTTTCAATTTAAACACAGACTTTCAAGTTGGTCAGACCTCTGTTCAAAGAATATTACGTATAAAATCTTTGTAAGAGGCTTCATCTTCCTGAATCTCATTTTATTTATTTTCTCAAAGGGTATTTTGGGGAATAAATAAAATAATGACCATAAAGTGCCTAACATACAGTGTTGAAGTTCATCGTTACTCTGCAAGTGGCAGTTTCTTTACCCATTTCCAGTAATATATACCCTAGCTTCTGTATAAATGTGGCCTAAATATAAGCATCAAACAAAATAATACTGTTGACTAGCCAAAATCCACTTACAACTCGCTCTCCATTTCCTGTCTACCCTAGAAAGCCACTTGGACAACATGGTGACCCTGGATCCAGCAAATGCTATATTCACATGTGTGTGCTGAGGTTTTCTAGAAATGCTTTTGCTTTTCCTGATAAAGGGACAGAAGAGGTTAACACCATTCCCTTCCTCCTTCTTCCTGCCTTGACTGAGGTCATAATTTCTGGACCTCCAATAACCATCTTGAGACCACGAGAGAAAGGGCAATAAAATTTCAGAGACAGCAACCTTGGCATGATTAAATAGATAAACCAATGCCAACAACTGCTTATTAAGTATTTTTTCTTAACCAAGGTAATAACTGTTTAGTTTGGAGAGTCAAATGTTGATACGATTTTCTGTTACTTTTTAAGTGGTGTACTCTGATAGATAGTAAACCTCCTGTCTATAAATTAGTCCCAAGAAACCAAAAGAAAATATAACCCATACTCGTGCTGATGATTTGAATTTGATTTTTGATTTTGCTCTATATGCTTCTGGCCAGATGCTTCCTTATTCTCTATTCTAATATCCCTAAGAATTAGAAAATAAAGTGACATGTGTAAGTAATCTTTTATTTAGTCATTCCACCTAACTCTTATACTTAATGAATTCTTTTGTTCCTATATACAAACATTCGAATGGGTGAAGCTAGATACATGTATTATAGATGACATTGAATCCTGGAATGACCCTTTGAGGTAGGTTCTATTACCATCTCCATTTTGCAGGTGAGAAAACAGAAGAATCAAGAGGACCAAATTTTCATAGTTTGTAAGAGGTGAACCCAGGCAATCTGGGTTCTACATCATATTCTTTGGGCCTCATGTTCTTTATCAGTAAAAGGAGATGGTTTAACTAGATGGCTTCTAAATTTTCTTTCACCTCGAATTTTATACTTCTTTCAGAATATTAACCCCCAAATTTCTGCTAGTTCTGCTGTCCCCACCCAGTACCATAATTACAATTCCCTTGAAGCACCATAAGTGGGAAACAGTTTAACATAGACTGGATTTGAAGAACATTGCCTTGGTTTCAATCCTGTCTTAGTCATTTTTACTACCTGTGTGACCATGGGAAAATTACTTAACTTCTGTAAGCCAAGTTCCCTCATTTGTGAAGTTGTGTACCATACCACATAGACAGTAATTTGATCTAAGGATTTCAAAAGATTATCCGTATAAAGCACTTAATGCACAGGGCTTAGTGTATAATTCTCAGCAAATGTTAGTTATCTTTTTGTTGTTATTGCTGTTATGTTTACCTCTGAAAACTTGATTTCCAGCAAGATGGTGAAGATTTTCCTGTGACCTTAAGTCTATTGTCCTGAGAAAACCTTCACTCACAAGTTTGGTAAATTTTATTAATCTGTATTTATGATATCACAGTATTAAGTCTTTTTCTTAATATGCATGTTCTTTCTTCCCAGAAATAAAAAAATTATAAATTTAACATCCACTTTTATTTTACTAGGCTTTTAGCGAAAGAAAAAATAGGATACTTTAGAAAGCAACTTTCTTTTGTCAACACCTACCAATGATCAGATCTTGATAACACGTATCTTACGGTAGTTAAGGAATTGATTAAAGTAATTACTGAGCCACTAAATATTATTTGTGGTTGCTGGAGGACACAGTCCCTCTGATAGTAGTAACTCATCACCTTTCTTTCTGAATGATTAAGGGCAATTCTAAAAGTAATAAGCTAATCATTTTGACCAGTGGATTTCCAATCATGTGTCTTAATTTTTTCCTCATGCTTATTCACATTCCTCTTTTAACTTTCATCAAATTATACATAAACACCCACCCACACACACACACACACACACACACACACACACACACGTGTTGAGTATCCCTAATCCAAAAATTTGATATCTGAAATGCTCCAAAATCCTGAACCTTTTGAGAGCTGACATGACATCACAAGTGGAAAATTCCATGCCTGATCTCATGTGAAGAGTTGCAGTCAAAATGCAGACACACAACAAAGTTTGTTCAGCGTCCCTAAGGGAGAAAAGACCATCCCAGCCCTCTTCATCTGTGATACATCTTTTTTGTGCATGCACAGATTCCCCTACACAAGCACACCCACAAAGGGTGATAAAATGGCACATGTGCAGGTGGGATGTGCCAACAGCAGCTTCCCCAGGGTACCCCAGATGAGGCCATAACCTACAGCAATACTCACAAAATAGAACACAAAATACTATGTTTCTTTGCTTGTTCGCTGTTCTGTGGTGTAAAAGTATTACTGAAAATTTCAAAAAGACCTGTAGATACCCCTATGGGTAACAGTGATAAGAAAAAGAGGAAGCACAGAAAGTCAAGCTGTTGGAGAAACTAGACACTGGTGTAAGTGTGAAACATATTACAGAAGAGCATAATGTCGGAATGACCAACCTAAATCACCTGAAGAAACAGAAGGATAAATTGCTGAAGTTCTGTGCTGAAGTTGATGAACAAAAGTTAATAAAAAGTAGAAAAACATCACATGAAGCTAAAAATGGAGATCCTGATTGTGTATTGAAAGAGTTGATCTATCAGCTTTGCAATGAACACAAGCCACTTAATGGTATGCTGACTATGAAACAGCAAACATCATGATGAACTGAAAATTGAAAGAAGCTGCGACTATTCAACAGTCTGGTTGTGGAAATTTTAAAAAGGACACGACATTAAATTTTTTAAGATTTGTGGTAATAATGCATCTGCTGATCATAGGGAAATTCAATTAAGAAATTCATTAATGGCCAGGCACGTTGGCTCATGCCTGTAATCCCAGCACTTTGGGAGGCCAAGGGTGGGTGGATCACGAGGTCAGGAGATCGTGACAGTGAGCCGAGATCGAGCCACTGCACTCCAGCCTGGGTGACAGAGCAAGACTCCCGTCTCAAATGAACAAACAAAAAGAAATTCATTAACGAGTTTGCCAAGGTCATCACTGACAAAAAGTTGATTCCAAAACCAGTCTACAATTCTGATTTAAAAAAATCAGTGCTTGGGCATTATTGCCCAAGAAAGACACTGATTAAAGCTAGAGGTATCCCTACAGGAATTAAGGATCCCGAGGACAGAATAACTGTACTGACGTGTGCTAATGCAGCAAGTACACATAAGTGTAAACTTGTAATAGGGAAACGCTGTGTCCTCACTGTTTCCAAGGAGTGAATTTCTTACAAGCCCATTACTATGCTAACAAAACAGCATGGATCACCAGAGACATCTTTTCTGATTGTTTTACAAATATTTTGTACCAGTGACTCCTGCTTCCTGCAGAGAAGCTGGACTGGGTGATGACTGCAAGATTTTGTTATTTCTTAACTCATCCCCCTTCTGAGATGCTCATCAAAAATAATGTTTATTCCATATACCTTCTCCTAAAAGTAACTTCATTAATTCAGCTATGTGACCAATGAAGAGTAAATACAAAAAGAGCATGCTAGCAGCAGTGAACAGAGGCAAAGGCGTGGGAGGTTTTCAAAAGGAGTTTTGAATGAAGAATGCGATATATGCTGCTGCCAGCACTTGGAATACAATCACTAAAGACACAGTTGTGCATGCCCAGCACAACCTCTGGCCTGCAACTATATTCATTGATGATGCTGAACAAGATGGTGACTTTGAAGGATTCTATAGGTTAAGTTAAAAAGCATAATGTGGTCTCTACTAAAAAATACAAAAAAATTAGCCGGGTGTGGTGGTGGGCGCCTGTAGTCCCAGCTACTCGGGAGGCTGAGGCAGGAGAATGGCGTGAACCCGGAAGGCAGAGCTTGCGGTGAGTCGAGATAGCGCCACTGCACTCTAGCCTTGGCGACAGAACGAGACTCCGTCTCAAAAAAAAAAACAAAAAAAAAACAAAAAAAAACCATAATGTGTGACCTCCTTACATACACACACAAAAAAGTCTACTTTCAGAGTCCATCAGTAAGCTGGAAGAAGTGAATCTTGAAGAAATTTTTAACATAGATATTGAGGCTCCCGTTGTTCATTCATTGACTAATGGTGAAATAGCCAAAATGGTTCCAAATCAAAGTGACCATAATAATAGTGATGATGAAGATAACATTGTTAACACTGCAAAAAATGTGCCTACAGACAACATGTTGAAAACGTATGATGGGCTTATTGAAAGACAAGAGCAATGTATATTCATAATACAACAAGAAATTATGTCCGTTTATAAAATCAAAGAGAGACTTCTAAGAAAAAACATTGTTAATGAGGTGAATGACTCTGAAGGAAACACTTACAAAGCCATCCAGCAGAATGCCTCCTTATGCCTAGAGGACCCCTTTCCTGGTCTCTTAACTTTTCTGATGTTTCTTCTCACTTAAAAAAATAAAATACAGTGTCTAGTAACCGTTTAATCAAATTGCAGCATCATACATGGAGACAGAAAGCCTGTTGTTGTTTGTTGTTGCTGTTGTTTCACAGCTGATACAAGTATTCTGGAGATGCTACTGTGTTGCTTAGTTGCCTTGAACATATTATTTTTTCATTGTATTAATGGTATGTCATATTTTTACCCTTATGTACTTATGTGTAAGTGTAAGGAAAGGATTGCTTAGCAGTCATATATAAATTCAGAGTCAGGAATGAGGGCGATTCCAAACAACCAGGTTGTTCACACAAGTGCCTTAGTACACCTTTGTTTTCTGATGGTTAGATGTAGGCAAACTTTGTTTTATGCACAAAATTATTTAAAATATTTTATATAATTACCTTCACACTATTTGTATAAGGTTTATATAAAACATAAATAAATTTTGTGTTTTGACTTGGGTCCCATCCACAAGATATCTCATTACGTACATAAAAATATTCCAAAATCTGAAAAAAACTCAAAATCTGAAACACTTCTGGTCCCAAGCATTTCAGATAAGGAATATTCAATCTTTCTGTGTATGTGTGTGTATGAAAAGATTGAGTATCCCTTTATATATATGAATATTGCAAAGTGTATACACACACACATATATACACTATATACATATATCTACTTTGCAATTTACATATATACACGGAGACTACTCACTCTTGTGTGTGTGGGCATACGCTTTGTTTTTAAGAAACGTTTTAAAAGCTCAAAGGCAAAAACAAACAATCTTGAATTATTATCACTGAAAACACACAAGAAGAAAATCACCAAATTGTTTAAAATCAATAAAATTATTTTTTATTTTCAAGGCTTTTGACTCACAACCTTCAGTCAAATGAGAGTGAGTACTACAAGGATGTTGCGTATTGGAAGTGGGATTTTAATCTCTGCTCTTTAAATCTCCCATTCAGAGTATTAATGGTTAGCTAATATTGAAATCCACAGAGTACAAAGTTGGGATTTATCTGGTTAACAAGAATGAGCTAATGGGCATTCACACCATGATCTCCAGCCTACAGAGGGTACCTACCACAGAGCTGTTCAAGGACACTAATGACCCTTTACCAAGGCATTTTTAAACGCCTAATTAAGAGAGTTTCTCTCTCCTTCTGGAAAGGTATGGTTAGAGAAGTATCTGAACAGTTTGCAATATTACATGAATTCAACACGGCTATCTCCCTGGACCTTTTAACTCCTTCTACATTATGCCATGGAAGTTGCAGTATTTCTACCTTATTGATGGTAGGCCACCAATGACTCACCTATAATTAGACAACCTAATTGATTAAATAGTTTGTAGGTGCATAAGCCAGCACATTAAATTCTGTGATCTTTTTGGGCGTATCAATCATTTTATCCAACATTGTCCAATCAAGCAATGTTTTTCATCCTCCTTGGTCTAACACCCATAGAATCCAATCTTATACATTATCCTGATTCCTGCTAACACAAACTGGGGTGGTCCTACAAACCTTTGGGCATACAACCTGTATTTTTCCAGAGTAGACCTTGAATGTCTCCATCTGTGCCATGTTGAGATCCAACTTCCATTATAGACATGAGAGCCATGAAGGATAGTGAAGGTGGGTAACAAAGAGAATTGGCATTTCTTTGTGAGACAATTCACACCAATAGCAGTCATTAAGTTTCATCTTGAATGAATTCTTATTCACTCAGCTGAGGTTGGGAGGTAAGATTCTTCTATGCCCCGGAGATTAAGCTTTGAATTGATACTGTAACTCTGCAACCCTTACAGTCAGATCCTAGGCGTGGTTTTCAGCCATATCTGTCATGTGACTACAGGAAATGAGAGGCTTCCTCAAAGATGCCCTTGAACATTTCTGATTTCCTCTTTGTGTTCTGGATTGTGTTTTCATTATCTAAAACTTGTCCCTTTTACCATGTATGATCTCTAGAGCCTATGGAAATAGCCAGGTGATCCACAATCATTATAATCAATATTGTTACTATAGAACCAAATGCCACAGCACTGGATTTTCCAGTCCCTCACCTTCTAACTGCTCTTTAGCCTGTGCCACACAAGTGAAAATTTGAGGAATTATAAAAACTCTCTAAGTTATGGGTTACTAGTGTCCTATCCCTACTTCTAAGAAGACTATCTATGTGCTCCTCAAATGTGTGGAGCTATTCAATTCAAGAAACAATTTCTTAGGTCACTCCTACCACCAGATACTTTATTAGTCAATTTCCTTGCAGAAAAGAGATTGCACATGCAATCTGGCTAATTTGTGAAAAGTTTAATAAAAGACTACTTAAGGAGAAGTGGACATGAAGTGCAAAGAAAAAATAAATGAAGATTTGGTAACTCCAGAGCTAGCAACAGCTGGAAACTATTATTGTTCCTGGGCCTAAAGGAGAGTGAGCAGTTTGAGAATGTGAAGTTACTAGTTGTCCACCCAAAAGAAGCTAGGGCAACCAACTGTAGAAAGAGAATTGAGTGGGTAATGCCCTGAAATCGCTCTACTCCTAGATTTCTGGATCAGCAGACACAAATCAAAATTGTTCATCATACATAGTCTTAGTAGGGAAAACATTTCCACTGAGGCCTTGTAGCCAAAAATTACAAGTTTAGACGTTATTCTAAATGTCATGCAAAACCACTTAAAGTTTTTAAGCTGGGAAATAACATTGGATTCAATTGATGATTTAAACATAATTCTCTGGCTGTTCTGCAGAAAATAGATTGGAAAGAGTCAAGAGAGAAAATGAGATGAATTTGGAGGTTACTACAATGGTTCAGATAAGAGATGATGTTGGCTTGCATTAGAAAGGTGGCAGCAGAGATGGATATAAAAGGTATGGATTGACGTACATTTTGGAAGTAAATTAGGAGGACTTAGTGGCAAATACAATATGGAAAATGTGGTGAAAAAAATATGTCAAATATGAATCCCAGTTTTCTGAACTCACTAACAAGCTACCACGTGGTATAATTTACTGAGATTTGTTCAGTATTAGGTAGCTGAGAATTAAGTTTGAGAAAAATCCCTGAAGGGAGAAGGAAAAGAAAAAATGTAGTGCATAAAGAGTCACACAAGCTGCACTGTTTTCTAGGAACAGAACACATTTTCTTATAGTCTCTTTCAGTATTTTGGACTCTAACTACAAATAGAAAAGTCAGCTTTATGGCTGTCTTCTGTCACTGGTAAATGGGAGCTTTCAGCAATATCTGCTCACCTCTTTGAGATAAATGGGATTAGTAACTGAAGGCAATAAAGTTATTTGTGACAAATGAATTGAATATTGATTTTATTCTATTTTCTTCTGGTAACTTTTTAAGAAATATTCATAAGAAGTGAGGTTTCAAGTCTAATCAATTAAAAATAACAACAGAATCAATGTATTGTTAAGTAACCCATTCCCAATATTTCCAGCTTCTGCATTTATTTGGCTTTAGTTTATATATCCTCCATTAGTCAAAATTTTATTAACTCTTTCCAGAATTGTGCACTCCACAGACACTCTAAGGGATGAAACGGAATCTAGTTTCAGTGTCTGCTTTATCCTCGTCCCAAACTATCTGAATAACTTATTAGCTTTCCTAATAGGGAGCTAGTCATACCTGCAATGAGAGAATCTTGAAAGAATTCTTGGGGGAGCTTTTTTCCTTTTTCATGCTAATAAAAGTAATTCATCCTGTCAGACTGGGCAGCATGGCAAAACCCTGTCTCTACAAAAAATACAAAAATAAGCCAAGCATAGTAGAGTGTTCCTATAGTCCCAGCTACTCAGGAGGCTGAGATGGGAGGATTGCTTGAACCCAGGAGGTCAGTGAGCTGTGACTGCACCACTGCACTCCATCCTAGGTGACAGAGGAAAACCCTGTTTCAAAAAAAAAAATTACATATCTCAAAAAAAAATCACACTGGGATATCAGAGGAGATTGGTGACCCTCAAGCCTCACAATCCAGCTACTTCCTATAGGGATTCCTTCCAGAACCCACAAGTAGGTAATTTTGTAGGGACTTTTGCAGGGCCTTTAGCGGAGAATCTGGGTGATTGTAATGCAACCTGGGGTGGGTCTTAGTTCAGGTTTACAATGGTTTCTCTCAGTGATACCCAGAAACAATGTGTAGAGTCTATTGTAGGCAGCTACGATAAGTTGCTACTGCCTAGAACTTCTTGGCAAAAAATGTTCATAAATTGGTATGTCCAGAAAAATACAAAACATAATAACTTTTTTGCTTCCTTGGAGGTTAGAAGGATATAGGACAGTTTAATTCTCTCTATTTAAAGTTTCAGTACTGAATAGTCCATGATGCTTTGACAGCTAACCCCACCAGAAGCCACCATCTGAGAATGGAGCTAAGGGCTTGTCCTTTAGAGGTGATGGTCAGGATTTTCTCATGTGATCTGAAATACTGGCAACCACTGAATAGACCAGGAATGGATGCCAGCCCCTAGAGACTGACCAATAAAGGCACTCTTTGTGGGATTTTTACTACTACATCAAATCAGAGCCTCTTTCAGAGTTTGTGAGACACAAACAGTAATTCAGACAATAAAGTAGACAAGTCACTGAGTCAGCTGTTGTTGGTAACAGCATAGAGATAGACAGAATCACAATAGATACGACAGAAAGCAATTAGTACAAAGCAGGACAGTCTTCTAGAGCTGCCTTTGGGACATTATAACTATTATTGTGGGTTGAAAAAGAATCTATTTATCCAGAATACTAGTTCTAAAACTGTAGAGCCTGGTTCCTGTTCTTTCTTACTTTCCAGTACATCTTTCCTATGATTTATTACTCAAAGTTTTCCAAGCACATCTGGATTTCTGACACGTAACTCCTTGACATAAATCCTCATTTTGAGAATTATTTTTGAAAACTTACCAACAAACGATCGCTTTTAATGTAGTAAATGGGCGCATTACCTTTGAAATAGAATGTCTTTAATTCAAATTACGACTTTTCTATTAACATGTGTGACTTTCACGAAGTTATTTAACCTCTCTGATCTTCAGGTTTCTTATCTGTAAACTGGAGATGAAGCCAGTGTCATAGTTGTAAAGTTTAAACAAAATGTTGCATTTATAGTATTTAACAAAAGATTGTCCATTAATTGTCCATTGTAGAATATAATATTGTAGAAAATTATATTTTCTAAAGATGCATAGGCTATATATACCTTCTAAAAATGACTAGAAAATGTATACTATAAAGTTTCATACCACATTGTCTTCTTATAGTTCTTATAGTTGGTATTCCTCTATCAAACAGCTGATTCTACTTCCCCTTGAAACTGAGTAAATTTTCGTAACTGCTTCAACCCAATGAATGTAATAGTGACACTACTTGACTTCTGTCAAGATCATAAAGACTAAAATGGAAGGGGCTTAATATAAAATAAAATAATAAAGATCATAAAAGACAATATGGCTTCTGCCAGCTTTTTACTTTCTTAAAACTCTCACGCTTTGAACCCAGCCACCATGTTGTGGGAAAGCTTAGGACACTTGGAGAGCCCACGTGTAGGTGTTGGCTGTGATCTAAATGTTTATGTTCCTCAAAAATATTTGTGATGAAATCTAATCTTCAGTGTGTTGGTATTAAGAGGTGGGGCATTTGGGACATGCCTAGGTTATGAGGGCAGAACCCATAATACAAAATGGGATTTGTTCCCTTATACAAGATGCCTGAAGGAGCTTTTTTACCCCTTCTGCCATGTTAGGACACAGCAACAGGTGCTGTCTATAAGGTGCTGCTTTTGACTAGTCACTTTCTGTCATATCCATTGTGATTCTGTCTACCTCTATGCTGTTACCAACCCACATCAGACTTTCCAGCCTCCAAAACTGTGAGCAATACATTTCCTTTTTTTTTTTTTTTTTCTGAGACGGAGTCTTGCTCTGTTGCCCAGGCTGGAGTGCAATGGCACCATCTCGACTGACTGCAACCTCCGCCTCCCAGGTTCAAGCGAGTCTCCCACCTCAGCCTCCCAAGTAGCTGGGATTACAGGCATGCACCACCACACCCGGCTAATTTTTGTGTTTTTAATAGAGTTGGGTTTTTGCCATGTTGGCCAGGCTGAACTCAAACTCCTGACCTCAGGTGATGTCTGAATAGTCAAAAATAGTGTTCCAGCTGAAAGTGCTAAGGCCTTAGTTACAGCCATCATTAACCACCAGTTTTGTGAGTGAATGAGACTTCAGATCATACCACCTCTCAGTCTTGGAGTCTTCCAGTTGAGACCCCAGACATTACAAAACAGAGAAAAGTCATCTATACTGTGCCCTTTCCAAATTCCTGATCCAGAGAATCCATAAACATAATAAATGGTTGTTTTATACCATTAAATACTGGAGTTATATATTGCACAGCATTGTAACCAGAATTTTTGATAAATGATAGGTCTTGTAATGTCAGAACTCCTCAGATATAATGGAATAATATTATAATTACCAACAACTTCATTATTAACATTATCATCATACTCATCACCATTATTAAAATGACAGTATTTCATAAGTGTCCTAAATATTTTCTCTTGGAAAATACAAAGTCAAGGGAAAAGCATTACTCAATTTATTCAAAGATTCTCTAAACTTAACTTTCCTGTAGTACATATTTCTTGAAATGAAGAATGCCTATAATGTTTATAATGTGTTCTTGCCACTGAAGGCCTGAGTCAGGGGAAACTTCCAGAAGTGTTTGACAAGCTGTATGTGTTTGTTTATTTTAATTATGCTGAACAATCAAGAGAATTGAAATAGAGTACTGTGAAGACAAGCATTTTTTTGCAAGTTCCCAAACAATGCATGTTTAATGTGCCCAACTTCTTATACTAGCTATAGGGAAAAAAATTACCTAAACAAGCCCTTTCAATAGGCACTTGATGCTTTTTTGATGGTAATTGGCAGCAAGATAATTTGCTCTTGTTTATTTCTAGTGAGTTTATACAATTGTTTTTAAAAAGTAAACTTTTCACTCTTAGTAGAACCTGTACACAATACTATGTCATATGTCACCAGGGAGTGACAGATGCTGGTAATGTGGTTGGCTGCCTGGCTGGTTCTCAGCAATTCCTTGGGTTAATGAGACTTTTATGGTTATGTTTTATTCTTCCATCTTCTACCCTCACTTATCTCTAATTTCCACCTTCCTTCTTGCTGAAACTTATAAAGGCAAAATACCTTTTGAAATATGTGAAATAGCCCTATGTCTTTGACGGCAAAGTGCCAGTGTCAAAAACGAAGGATAAAAAACAGCAGTAAAACTAGAAACTATGGGAGTTTCTTTATACCTTAAATTACCCAATATATGCAGTTCTTAGAAGTTAAATATAACTTGGACTTTGGTAAATTATATTTTAGATATACTATTAGGTTTTAAACTGAAAAAAATCTTGTTAAATCTCTATTTATTTTGTAAATGTAAATGTTCAAATATTATTAAGATAAATAGTGCCTAGACTTGAAAATATCATATACAAATTGAATTAGAGATGAATAAAAAGTCTTAATGCAAAAGATAAAATAAAAACCACAAAAGTATTATACTTCAATATAAAAATTATCAATCTGATTTTGATTTTTTAATCTAAAAAAATCAGAATTTTTTAAACTCTGCAACTGTGAAGAGATCTTTAAAAATGAATTTATAAATTTAGGTTCATAAGTATTTGAAACTTAGATCTCTAAAATATAATTTGAATTAATTTAAAAGACAAATGAAAAGTATAAAAATAACTGCAATATGTACCATAAATAATTTCATATATGCATACATGTAAATATACATATATTTGTAGAGAGAGACATAGAGCTCCTACAAATCAAACACAGTAATGAAAAAATGTGTCAAGATGTAAAAAGGCAATTCAATTAAATCAATAGCATAATTAAATTATGTAAAAATATATATATATCGCAAAATACACAAATAACAAATCAAAACAATGAGCTTTTAAAAATCTAACCAATTGTCAGTCACTGAAATGGGGAAACCAAAATACTCATACACAATATCATACATTGTTTTTAAAAGTGTAAGTGGGTACCACCATTTTGAAGGGCAATTTTGCAATATCTACCAAAAAATGGATGATGGTTCATATCATTTGACTCATCAGCTTCACTTAGGGAGTTCTATAAAACTGAGATATTCCCACAAGTGAGTGCAGGTGTATGCATAAGATATTCATTAGAAAAATGTAATAGAGAGAAATTAAAGAAATATCAACAACAGAAGATCAGTTAAACAGAGGTATACATATATATATGATATATATATATGTATATGTAGCCATTAGAAAATTAAAGTTGACCTGTACAAACAACTATGCTTAAATAGGATATAAGTAAAAATGCAAGTTACAAATTAGTATTTATACCATGATTTAATTTTTTACAAAGTAATATTAAAAAATTATAGAAAAGCTGAAAACTGCACTGTTTAAAAATGGTTTTCTCTAGGGATGAGACTATAGGAACTTTCTTTAATACTTATTTCTATAGTGATCAGACTTTTATATAATGAACATGTACTATTTCCTAATTAAAAATTTGAAAATGCAGCCCGGGCACGGTGGCTCACGCCTGTAATCCCAGAACTTTGGGAGGCCAAGGTGGGTGGATGACTTGAGGTCAGGAGTTCGAGACCAGCCTGGTCAACATGGTGAAATCCTGTCTCTACTAAAAACACAAAAACTAGCTGGGCGTGGTGGTGGGTGCCTGTAATCCCAGCTACTCGGGAGGCTGAGGCAGGAGAATCACTTTAACCTAGGAGGCAGAAGTTGCAGTGAGCCGAGATCACACCACTGTACCACTGTACTCCAGTGTGGGCGACAGAGCAAGACTCCATCTAAAAAAAAAAAAAAAAAAAATTGAAAGTGCAATAAATTGCAATAAGAAAGAAGTAAAACTTAACAGAAGACTCAATTTTATCTGTTTTTGTCCAACCTACAGAACAAATCCATTTAAAACTCCAAAGGCTCAACTAGCATTAAGGCTCACATGTAATAACCTTGTCACTGATAAGAACTTGTTATGTTAAGATTTAATCCATGTGTAATGTAAATATATGATCTTCAGCAGAACTCTGTCATGTACTTCATAACTATGAATATATAAGTGAAAGAAAAAACTAAAATAAAGATACATTTTGAAAGTGTGTTAAAAACAGTCTTTAATACAGATTCCATAGGCTCAGATTCTTGGCACTTAGAACAAATCTTTTCCTTGACAGCTCTAAAAATAAAAGGATTGACTAATCAAATTCACAACTTTTAAAAATTTAAATTACTTCAGAGGGAAGCTTTCTGAGCATATTTAAATAATTCATTTACAGATAAAGTAAATTTTAATGAAACAAGAACTTCAAAATTTTGTAAATGTACTCTGCATACATTCAGTACTTAAAACTTGCCTCTAGTTTGTCTGGCCTCCTTATCCAAAGTCAACTCTTGTTTGTTTGTGTTTTTTAAGAGCACTGGTCATTCAAACACTGCATCCAAAGGCAGATCCCGGTTTTATGTGGTTTATACAATTTAAAGAGCCCTCTCTAAGAATAAGAATAAAAAGGCACATGTCTATGAAAATGCATTCCTAGTGCCCCTCCCTGGAGCATCATTATCTTCATGGGACACCTGCTTCTCTCTGTCCCTTATTTTATAATCAAGGAAAACTAGTTTTCCTCTGCCTTGATTGTAGTTGTACCCTCTTTGAAGAATTAAGAATGCTTTCCTTTTCCAACAGAATTTAGTTTACTTTCCAGACTTTTCTTTTTCCCCAACAGAGGTTTCTTGGCCTTCTTTCAGCAGCCTACTGAACTCCTTTCCACTTTGTACTTTCAAGAACAAAGACAACAATTCACTTTTCCTCATAAAGATTTGTTCTTATGACTGCAGAGATTCCCTTCGTATCGCATCATCATTTTCTCCCAGTTTTATAAAATGAAGATCATAAGGGAAGAATAAATCAAATGTTTCTATTCATTCTTTCCCAAGGAGAAAAAAGTTCAGCTTTTTCTGAGATGATTACAAGGCGAGCAAATAGCCTTTCACTGTGTTAACATGTCAGGATCAAGAACTTTACTACCTTGTTAAAATACTGTTAGTAATCAGGATACAAAAATGGAACAGATTTATATTTCTTCTTGAATGGCTATAAATGGCAGTAGGCTATGCACAATAATTACTCAAATAATCTGAAACACAAAGGAGGGTATAAAATCAAGAGAATATAAAAACAAGTGCAACCAGATTACTGCTTGCAACTTGCCTTCAGACTCTAGCTGCAATATCATAAAAAAGGGAGATATAAACAACAAAGAATGGAAAGAAGTAAGAAAGGATTAGAAAAATACTGGCAAATATTGTTGATAATTCCTTTCATTTAAATACAAATTATGATTACATTTAAGCAAGAGAACCACATACAATACATTTTGAATACTCAAATCCATTAAAAATGAATATAAACTCTCTTTCTTTACCAAGCATTTTTTTTGTAAGACAGCTTTCATGGGAAGTCTGGCTACATATTTCCAATTACTTAGCATCTCACCTAGCAATAAGGAGATATACTCATTAATTTTAAATCGTTTATTCCAGACTAACAATGAGCTGGCATACTGTTTGTGCTGGAAAGGTTGACATGGAAAGAGCTTTATTCAATATTTGTTTTTATTATTATCTTCATACCGTCTTACTAAATAGATTACTTATGAATATGGTAATGAATAATTTGGACTCATAGTTTGCTTTGTTAAACAAAGCATCAGCATCTGCCTCAGGGGAATCTCTTACTTGAGTCTTAGCTTAAAACATTCCTGCCACTTGGTGTTAGACACTAAGTTACCTCCAAGCCCCTGAAATGAAACCTCATCCAAAGCTTTGTCATTTTCTTGAGAGACAAAGACGCAGCCTTCTGAGAAATCAACTGTAAACAGTTGATCAAATTATTGCTACCTTGTAATACTACATCATGATTCATGATCTTAGGGCTTATGTTTTGAAGATAACATCTGAACTGATGTGTCAGCCCAAATTCATAAAATCCAGAAGAAAAAACATAATGTGTACCATCTACTTCCTAGGAAAAAATAAATAACTAAAAATAGAAATAAGTACAGCCTCTGTCACTCTAAAAATGCACATGAAAGCCCAAATGCAGATCCCACAGCATATGCATGGGAGCCATTTGGGACCATATGATGCAAAGAGACAGCGACCTCTCCCTGGAGTAACCCAATAGGAATAATAAACTAATTACTTATTTCAAACCAGAGGCCACTGAACATTCCTTCTTATTTCTTTTCCTCTCATTCCTTCTCCCCCAAAGAGAAAACAATTTTTAACACAGACTTTGTGCATGCAATGTGCTAGCCGTTAGAATAGTGTAACAAAAGAATTGAAAGACAGTATCTCAAGTCTCCTAATTGGGTGGGAGGGGCAGTAAGGAGGAAAGAAACAGGTAAATAAGTAAACGAATAACTACCAGTTTTCTGCATCACTTTTCCTTTAATGTACAAATTATAATAGTGCAAGTCATTATCCAATCTGTGTCTATTCAATTTTGTTGTTTATGATGTTGAGGAATCCCAGTAAGTTCTGATGCACTTCACAGTTTATTTCTGACTGCCACCGTTTGTCTTTTAGAGTGACAACCTGCCCTGGCTTCTATCCTGTGAGGAACTCATGGGATTCTCTCTGAAACACTTAACTTTCTACAGCCTGTTCCCTAATTTTCTTCACCCCCAAGCATGGATAGAGGTAAAACTAAAGGGTCTAAGAAGGCGTGGATCATATCTGGGGGATTGAAACTTATTATAACCTCAGAACCTAACACAGTGCCTGGCATACAGGAGAGGCATTATAAATACCTGTCGAATGGATGAATGAACATTTGAAAGAATTCATAAGCAAACACATGAAATATAAGATTTTTTTCTTCTCTTCTCCCCCAAGTCCTAGGCCCCTTCCTCCATATATGGACAGTCAATATGACTTTTTAAAATTTCTACAATGATACCTTCAATGATAGAATGAAAAAAAAAACTTTATATTTTGTTTCAGAAAACTCTCAAACCATTTTTTCTATGTGTTCACACCACGACAACTACAATCAACACAGAAGAAGACTTCTGTGACCAAATGTGTGGGAGGTTTTCCCCACACACTAAGCAATGGACACCAGCTGGGTGGCCTCCAATTTAAGTCCATCACTGTCTACCGGGAGATAGGCCAGATACCACAGGTTGAGGTATTAGTCCCCATGGCCACCTGCCTACACACACACCAGTCACAAGTCCAGGCCTCCAGAACTTCTGACTAACCAGTTTCAAGTTGGAGTTCTCATAACCCCATCTTTGGGGTTTGATTTGCTGAAATGGCTCACATAACTCAGGGAAACACATCTATTGGTTTATTATAAAAGATATTGCAAAGGCTACAGATGAAGAGATGTGTAGGGCAAGGTATGGAGGGAGGGGGGCAGAACTTCCATACCCTCCCTGGGCACACCACCTTCCAGGAACCTCCTTGTGGTCAGCTATCTGGAAGCTTCCTGAACCCAGTCGTCACTGGTTTTTATGGAAGCTTCATGACATCAGCATTCCTTCCACCAGGGTATAGGGCAGGACCCTCTCTGGGTCTTAAAACCTTCAATCAGAAAGGTGGGGAAGATTTGATTCCTGCCTTGAGGCAGGTGAAAGGAGGATAGGAGAAGGTCAGAGAAATTCTATTTCCTGAGGCCTTCCCCTGAAACCTAACACACCCAACTTTATAACAAAAGACTGTAACAAGGGTTATGAGAGTTATGAACCAGGAACTGTGCATGAAAATCAGTATATATAACACCACATTTTCTTACATTATTCTAATATTAAACATCTCAGTGGCCTCATATCTGTACAATTCAAAAGGCTCTCCAAAGCAGTCCTTCTCAAAATTAAGAGAGCACTCTCCTCCCCTCCTTTTTCTGCCCAGGTAAGACATGAAAATTCCATACCTTTTACTTTTATATGTAATACTTTTCCTCATATCCCTCTCTTTTGCTCATTGTTTATACTCTTATTTATTTTTGAACCTATCTCTATAATCTCCATACTCTGTAACACAGTAAATTGCAAGATGAGGTCTAGGCAAAATTATCCTCTGGGCTTTGGGAGATAAGAATTGCACCAGGTCTACACTTATAAAATAAAGCAACAAAATTTGAGAATTGTTTGCTGTAAAAAAAAAAAAAAATCCACAGAAATATTATATACATCTGTATTTAGATATATCTTGGGGTAAAATGCAAAAATGACATAATCCTTCACTCCACTCTGAATCCACATGCCTTGTCATTGAATTTGCACCTTCTTCCATCAAGAATGGGACCAGCCAGATGTGGTGGCTCACGCCTGTAATCCCAGCAATTTGGGAGACCGAGGTGGGTGGATCATTTGAGGTCAGCAGTTTGAGACCAGCCTGGCCAACATGGTGAAACCCAGTCTCTACTAAAAATACAAAACAGTTAGCCTGTAATCCCAGCTACTCGGGAGGCTGAGTCAGGAGAGTCACTTGAACCCAGGAGATGGAGGTTGCAGTGAGCTGAGATCGCCTGGGCAACAGAGCAAGACAACAGAGCAAGACCTCAAAAAAAAAAAAAAAAAAAAAAAAGAATGGAACCAGTTTCTCCTCTTCTTGTATTTGTACCAGACTATGGATCTGCTTTGGCTAATAGCATGCAGCAGAAGTAATGATGTGTCAATTCCAAGCCTAGGCCTCAAGAAGTCTTGCATACTTCCTCAATTTCTCTTGGAATCCTAACCAGACACCATGGGAAAAAAAAAAAAAAAAAAAAAAACACTGGTAAGCTCATTGTAGAATGAGAAACCACCTGGAGCAGAAATGAGCCATAGCAGCAGAAGTTATCCTAGATGAGTCAGTCCCCAGATAAACCAGCAACTGATCACATACACATGCATGCACTCAGCTAAGACTAGAAGAACCTCCCTGCTGAGCCAACCCAAGTTGTTGACCTGCAAAAAAACCATAAGTAAATACTTTTTGTTTAAGACATTAATTTCAGGCTGGCTTGTTATGTAGCAAAAGCTAACAGACTCATGGAAGCTACCAATTGTCCACTTTCTTTAAGCAGTCTTGGATCTATTTCCTGTGAACTAAGGAAATGTATCTTTGTCAGCACTGGTCTCTTCCCTCAAGTCTGAATTGTCAGGAGGCCAAAAACTACAAGGCAGTGGCTAATAGACCTAGGTTGAGAGGACAAAATTTACAGTTTTCTTCTACTATCCTGAAACCTCAAATGTTACAAAGAAAACTATTAATAATGTCTTTGTAACATTGACAACTAATAATAATGAGTTCTGCCTGTACTAGAAGATTCTGGTTCTCCTTTCATTTGGGTTTTCATGGCCTGGAATTTCTTATTTTTTTTCTGTCAAGTCTCAACTGCTGTGGACCAAAACCCCACTGGGCAAAGCCAAGAGGGGTCTTGGAAGAAGCAGGAGGCTCTTTCCCAAGGGAAACGATGACAAATCTGGTTTCAACAGGGGCTTTGTGAAACATGGGTCAACTTGCTGACCGTGTCCCCAGCACCAAAGAAGTTTGGTTCAAAATAAGGAGAAAAAGACATTCTCCCGACTTTGGATAGGACAGACCAATGAGTAAGTCAAGGCCAATGCCTGGAAGCAGTGACAGAACAGGAGGCTGACACTGATGTCCCACTAAGGAGGCAAAGGCTCTGCAGAAAAGGTGGGCACCGTGGTGTTCAGCTGTGATAGAGTCTGTTAGTGAGCATGTGTAACGAACTTCCTGAGAACACCAAGAAATAACCAAAGGCAACAGTTGCAGAAGTTCAAAGACCTGGGGGTTTTGAGCAGTAAACCCTGAATAGAACAATTAAAATGCATAGGCTGGAGGTATGTTGTGAAATTTGCATGACTGTAAATATTATGACATGTTTCATTTGGTGAATTTCTCTCAAAATAATTTTAAATATTAACATAGTCTGGAAAATAGGCTGTGATGAGGTTTCTCATTTTCAAGATCAACAACCTGCCAGCAACAGTGAGAAAAAGAGTAATTTGTTGCCTCTTGAGGAAACATGAACTCTGTCTCCATTTCCTCTCAGCCACTGCAACCCCTCCCGGCTGCCCCTGTCAGTCTCACTAATAACACCACAGTCGGTAAAGTAAGCTGGTGTCCCCCACGGTGAATGCTTTCTTCAGTTTTTAATTGGACCACTGGCTAGCTCGTCAGTGCTCCTTTCGCGCTAAAGCAATGGCTGAGCAGTCCAAGACTCCCTCTTTTCACATTGCATGACGACTTGACACCCAACAGCAAGAAAGCAACCCTCACAGATGCCTAACAAATGCTCTCAACCTGAAAGAGACACGAGTGTTTTCAGTGGCCTCTGCAATCCGCTTGTCAAGTTAGAGGACGAGAAGCAGAAGAAAAGGAGAAAGCCTGCCAGAGCACAGTCCTCCCTACCCCCTTGTCAAAAGAATTATAACCACTCTGTTTGTTTACTAACAAAGATGTCAAAGTCCTTTTCAAGCCTAGGGTTTTACATACTGATCATATCAAAGAAAAAAGCAAAAGAAAAAAGACTGGGACTTTTTTCCACCTCCCCCCCGCCCCCCCGCCACCCCGCCCCAGCTTCTTTGTCAAACAGAATATCATCAAAGAACTCCCGGACTCTGGAAGATGAAGGCATTGCCGCCATGGCCTGAGGAGATTTTACTCTTTGTCAATAATCACACCTAAGAGATGTTCAGGGTCCGGTTGGGTGTGACATATGCCACTTTCAAAACAAATGCTCTTTTAAAAATACACAAATGTTGGCAGCTGAAAAGATTGGGGGTTTCTCTGCTTTTGCAATACACAATATTTTTCAACATTCTTTAACACTGGACTCCAGAGTGATTTAAAACACACTATGTTCACGGATTCCTTTGGCCAGTACTGAAACGCACAAATAAGACAGACATGCATGTATAGAAAGATTATTACAGTTTCCAATCAAGAAGTAGGATAGGTAAATTTAAATGTTGTCACAGTCAATGTGGTTGCAAATGCACAGAGGATTCCTGGATTGGTTTAAGATTCAGTTGACCTACACCTTTCAAAATTACCGAGTTCAAGGAGGGACAGGATAAAATGCGGATTCTCAGGCCCAGTGTAAATTAACATTCCCATGGATGGGTTATAGTTATCACTATTTTAAGCAAGTCCCCCAGAAGTGTCTTACTTAATAAGCCAGATGCAGTCTGCTGTATCTGCAACTGGGACTAGTGCCTAAGGATTCTTCAGATGCCAAGATGTTGTAATTAAGAGTTTCTTTCTGTTTGTTTGTTTTGCATTTTTAAAAATAAATTGCCTACATTTGCACGACCTACGTTAGCTGCAGAAAACAGCATCCTCGCCTTCTAGAAGCTTTATAGTAGACACCTCTAATGTACATGAAGACAAAGTAAAGCGCATTTGCCCACATGCAATAGTGAAACTCCCAGACACTGTAACTGAAAAGAATTGGCAGTTGGTAGTGGAAAAAAATGAACTGTGATTTTACTTTCCCTAGTGAGGGACTAATTCCCCCAAGAGTACTTAAGTGTCCTTTCCAAGGTAATGTGGAAATGTGCTTGACAGGCTTAGCCATTAAAAGGCCTGCAAGATATGATGGACAGAAGGACAGCAGGCTCACAGAAAGAGTCTCAAAAGGTGGACAAAGGGCGATAATCTCCAGAGAATACAGCAGTTCTTCCCTGTATGGGACATGAAGTGCTGCAGGGAAACATCCCACAGTGGAGCGAGATCTCAGGAAGGGTCAGAAGACTGAGATCCTGTGGCAATTCCCAGGGCAGCCTGAGGGAGTATTAGTGCCTCTACCCAATTTCTACCACCCTGTTAAGCTGCCCAAAGTGTTTTTAATAATAACAACATCCTTTAATATGAACAATTAGTATTTCTCTTTCTTTCAGAGTAATGAATTATCTTAAGAAAACTTTGCTATTTATATGGGTCTGTAACATAAAGGTAATTTTGAAAATATTTTTGCTGGGCACACAAACAAAGCTTCTTCATTCACCTGCCCACTGGCTAAATCCTCCCTAAGTAGGAATAATGGAGCAACTACTGCTTTTGTTCTGGTCCTGGCTTGGAAAAATTACTCATTCTTTTTGGAACTTTTTTTGCAATATTCAGGATTGGCCTATGTGATTTCTATGTTCATGTAGCTAAAATACTATATTTGTTACTATTCTCCAGCTATAAAATATTAGAAATATTAGAACACTGTTTTCATCATACCAAAACCCCAAATCATCTTGTGCTTTTCCTTAATTTGGCATGAGGCTCTGCTTGTTCTGATTTGATCTCTTGATACTTGCTAATCTTCTGATGGAGGAAAAAATTAATTCCATAAATGTCCCTCTGGTGATCAGGGGATCTTAGATGCTAAGCTTTATTTGTAGCAACTTCATTCTTAGCATGAGTCCTTTTCTCCCTTTGCACATACCACAGATTCCATCTCTGCGTCTGTGCCAGCTCCTGGCAAGCACTCACACCGCCCTCGCTCACTATGATCAAGTTAGAGTGTGTATCAAAATAAGCCCTAAACATTGTAAAGCCTAATAGAAAATTTAATCCATCTCTATTTTTATGAGTTCTGCTAATACTATAAATTTTGTTTTTAACTGATGGATGCCATCCTGTGGGGAAATTTGGTAATACTGAGCCATTGCTAACTTGCCTCTGGTCAGCTCTGATGCAATTAGCAGCAGGTAAATGTGCATTTTGCACTTCACAAGCCCTGAGATTGAGCTAAAATAAGCCCAAGATGGTCCCTACCAAAACCTCCAGCTCCCGTTAGTGATAGCTGCCTAAATCATTTATTGAAAGGCTGCTAGCAAACTCAATAAGGGAGCCAGTTTTGTTCCACGGATGATTATGTCTCCTGCTACACATATAAAACCTCGTTGTGTCTTCACAGCGTCCTCCTGAAAAGTCTGCGTGACTATTTCTTTCCTTCAAAAAGCAGAAAGAAAAAAAATGTGTGGTGTTATATCTCAGTGAGGTAAGAACTCAATTCTGCTTTATAACTGAGCTTACTGCCCACCTCACCAAATGAATCAACCTGATTAGCTGTCGAGTACAAACTGCTCTCGCCCACCACAGAGCAGTCACCTTTACACTTAACAGCACAGGAAAATTACAATTTCAAAAAAAAAAAAAAACATTTAGTCACTTACTTTAAAATAGCAAATCCAGTCATTGTCATGAATGTTGCTTAACACAATTTCATGCCCTCTCAGCCTTGCTGAGCAGCGTTTTTCTCCTCGCTGTCTTTGCACAGGGGAAGGTGAATGATTAAAGCTGGCAGCCTCACCACAGGCAGGTGACTGTAAGCTTCTAAAAGCACTGAAGAAGTCTGTGGTCCTAGAGATGCCACCAGAGGAAAATGGCAAGCTGGGAGTGGCCCTCGAGATTGGCCATATTTGTCCAGCAGTGTTCATTCACCCCAGGAGTAGGTGACATTAGGGCAAGAGAATTCTCTCCTCTATAGAGGTTCAATATTTGAGAAATAAACTGACAGCAGTTAGATTAACAGGAGAAAAGGCATATCAATACATTACATGCATGGGAGCAACTCAGGAGAGTAAGGACCCAATAACACAATGAGACTTCGAAGCTTATATGCCTTCTTCATAGGGGAAAGAGAAGTGGGAAATATAGGCGATTGTAGAGGAAGAATAAATGATTTTTAGGGGAGATGAATGGGCCCAAAGAACCAACCACAGCATGGGACAAAGTCTATGTGGGCTCTGGTGTGGCGTCAACTCTGCTTTTTCTTCCTGTGATATATGTCATCTTCCCTCCTGGTCGATGAGCTCTCTGGGAAAGGGATTCACAATTGAACTTCTGGAGGACCCAGCCTTTGACGTAGATAGAGCAACTTCACAGAGAGAGCCCTTTCCTACATGTGATGCTGCCCAGACGCTCTCAGTTTGAAGTACAAAGCAGCACATTTGGGGTTATTTTTCTGGGCCCCAACAGTAACTTATTATACATGAGAGGTACTCCCTTGTACTAAAGTAATTTGAATGTTTTTCCAATTTCCACTACTAGATTGTGAGCTCCTGCAAAGCAGGAAAAATCTTACACAGTGTTGAATCTTTAAAACATAATAATAATAAAAAATAACTGAACAGCGCCTTGTAAACATTAATTACAGTACTTAGAAACTTTAAAAGTAGTGGGGGAGCAGCTAAATAAAACCTGCTCCCACTTACTTAGGTAATAGTCCTTTTAAATTACCTAACTGCACCACAGAAAAATTATTATGCCAATTTTCAATCTTATCTGTTTCTCCCAATAACACAGAAAAATGAAAACCTTAGCTAGAATAATTGTAAACACCCAGCTTACCCAGCACACATGAGAGAGAAAATAGAAGACTGAGACAGAGTGTAACACATGATTGCAGCTAGACCACCAGTGTTTTACTACCTTATTTAAGCTTGGTATTATTAACATGTAGGGCTAGAAAATTCATTGTTATGGGTTATCCTGTGTATTGTATTATGTTGGTGCAACAGTAATTGTGGTTTTTGCCATTGAATGTAACGGTAAAAACCCCAATAACTTTTGCACCAACCTAATAGGTTACTTAGTAGCATCTCGGCCTCTACCCACTAAATGCCGGAAGCATCTTCCCCTACTTGTGACAACCAAAAAGGAGCTTCCTCCAGATACTGCCAAGTGTCCCCCCTAGGGCACAGTTGGCCATGTGTGAATCATTGATTGAAGTTAACTTCAGTACTTAGGATGAACTTCCCAAAAGAAACAAAACGTGCAATAGATTTTACCTAGCATATTTTTATGTCTGGGTCATATATTATTCAGCCAATCACTTAGAAACAGTAGTTAGAAACCTATCCTTAATGATTGGCTCTACAGTTGACTCTACAGCTAAAGCCATTGGGACCCAACACATTTCCCTAGAACAGTCATTCCCTAGATCTTTTTGAGTTTCACCCTGATTTTTGTGATGAAATTAAGAATGTAAAGCAGAGGACTGGTCTGACCCAAGATATTGGATCCTCAATATCACAACCTCTTAAGCCCATTAAACCATTCCTAAGAACTGGGGACAACCCTACTGAGCTCAGACCTCTGACTCACCAGGAAACTTGGATGGGATCGAGCTGCAGTGGGTGGCAATCATTAGATTGAATCAGGGCACTCAAAAACTGAGAGGCCTCTTCCCTTCAAGATTTTGAGGACCTCTGGATATTAAAAAAGTAAAAAATTACATATCAGGATAATAGAAAAAACATTAAGGCTGTTTATGTGATAAATAATAGAAAATTTAATTCAAACCTGATTTCAAAAGAGGGGAGAATTTTTTGTCATAAACATGAAAGTTCCTCAGCTACATCAGACCTCAGAATTGGCAGATCTATAATGATATTGTTGGAGTCAAAATAAAAATGTAGAGATGACTCTCTAAATTTTACATTTTATTTGGGAAGAAATAGTTGCAATTTGGACATACAGGCAGACCAGGTGGTCTTCAGTATGTCTGAAGTACAAAGAGAAGGTTGGGGAGTTTATACAAAAGAAGAATGTTATGTGTGGTGCTAAGAGAAGGTTCTTTTGCATTATTAAAGTTTTGGGGAGCTGGCAAGATCTGCTGGGTGGGTGATGGCAGCGGGCAAAACTAGTTCTAGAGTTGCAGCAAGTTATCTCAGCAGCTATTAGATCAAACTGGTCTAAGGTTACAACAGGTAGTTTCAGCAGCCAGACTTGCATAGCACTTGAGGAGAATTATATTTCTAGAGCAATGTTATGTACCTGAGTGCTATTTCTCCTGTTCCTTCCGATTGGGGTCAAACTTTCACATTTCTCTTCCCCTTTTTTTTTTTTTTCAGACAGTGTCTGGCTCTTTCACCCAGGCTGAAGTGCAGTGATACCATCACAGCTCACTGCAGCCTTGACCTCCTGAGCTCAAGTGGTCCTCCTGCCTCAGCCTCTTGAATACCTAGGACTACAGGTACATGCCTCCATGCCAGACTAATTTTTTATTTTTATTTTTTATAGAGACAGGGTCTTACTGTGTTCCCAGGCAGATCTCAGACTCCTAACCTCAAGAGATCTTCCTGCCTCAACCTCCCAAAATTCTGGGATTACAGGTGTGGGCCACTGTATTTGGCCCATTTCTCCCTTTTGTTCAAGATATTTCTTTGCAGATATCACTAATCAATTATTTTGCAATTAAGCTTAACTGTCCCTCCATGCCTAGATGGACCTGTCCCAGTTTTCTCTGTCCCACACCAGTGAAAAAGAATAGGGATCTATGTCAGAGACACAGGCCACGTTGAGTAACAAAAAAGCCAGACTGAAATATGTCCTCAGGAAAGGTCTTTTTGGAGTCTGGTATCAAGCTCTATCTTATCAGTCCCATAGGCATCAGCAATCATCTTCAGATATTGAGCTAACATTATCCTGTTAGAAGAGTTGGCTTTACAAAGATTAGACAGACAATAAGGACAAAGCTTTAAAAATCATAATACAAAAAAAATCAGCAACAGTATAATAAATCTGGTTTGAATAATAGTTCTAAACCATTATCTAACTTTGAAAGTAACCAACTAAATAGATCAAAAAGTCCAGAAGTATCTGGTGAAAATTGTTGAAGCCATTTTTTTTATCTTGTGTAATTGTGTTTCTACTTCATTAAGTTAGCTATTGCACAAACACTAGCTTAGCTAGTAAGTAATCTAGACCAATTCTGTTAGCTAATACTACTTTAGCAAGAAAATCTGGGGAAATTTGTTGGGTCACAATGACCTTAGCTCTAGAGTCAGCTCCAATTGTTAAGCATAGGTTTCCAACCATTGTTACTAAGTGACTGATACAAGGCAGAAAAGCTCTGGCAACTGAGACCCATCTGGCTGGATGTATGCCTTCTAGGAGGGTATCTCTGTTAATATTAAAGCATAAGGTAATAGGCGTCAACAGTGTTCAAAGTTTGTTAACTTAATTTGAATCCAGAAACATCCTAAACCGCATTGGCCTTTTCCTTTCCATTTATTGAGGTGTGATGTTGCCTATACATATGATTGATTACCATATCCCCCATAAATAAAAATGTATCCTATTGGGGCACAACAGGTAATCCCATGTAGAGTACCTTATGTACCAATAGTTATTCATAGGGAAGTGTCAGCAATATTTATTCAAGGTCTTACTATCATGTTATTACATTGTTGGAAACCATCAACAATTAAAGAATTTGTATCATAAATATTTTTACAAGTTTTTAAGTTCTGATTTTTATAATTTTTAAATCTATTTTCAAAGTATTTTCTACACATTGTCAGCTCTGTTAGGGTGAAACAGGGAATCTGAACATGTGAGTCTGAAAGTTTGACTTTATAAAAAGGGCCAGATGCACAACTTGAACAAACAGTTACATTAGTAACATGAGTGAAATCTGTTATGTGGCAAACTGAAAGATCGCTTGCATCATGAACAGATCAGAGTTTTGAGTGACAGATCCAACAGTTATGTTTCCACCTTTGGCATTAGACTAGAAAATGTGCACTAGGGCATTATCTTTCCAGGAAAATGTAGGCATGTAAGAAGAGACTGAAATTTTTTTTTAAATGGTATACTGACCTAGTCCACAGTCCACTACAGATATTATCTGCTTTATCTCATCGATGAAGGGAATTTAGTTTTAAATTCCCTGTTTGGGTGCTGGTTCAGTGAGAAGTAGAAATCTTTTAAAATGAGAGATGTGGATCCAGGAGTCAATGCCCTTTAGTTTGGCAGCACAGGGATTGGTGAGAAGGACTGGTTATGGGCCTTTCGGTGAGGCTGGAGAGAATTCTTATGTAGGTGTCTTTTCCAGTAAACCAAGTTGCCAGGCTGCAGATCATGATGTTTTAGGTCTTTGTTTCCTGAGACTGTGCTGTGGAAAGATGTTCTACCAAAGTATGATTGCCATTCATTACTTTAGTAATGCCTTTACAATATTGAAGTATATCTCCTTTCATTGAGTGTCAAAAGCAGAAGGAGCCAAGTGCATAAGATGGCCTGTGACAGTTGAAAAAGGTGAAAGTTTATGAGCCCCCCAAAAAAGTGGCCTTTAGATTTAATAATACCAAAGAAAGAACTTTAGGCCAAGTGAGGTGTAGAGTTTCCATAAATCTTTCCAACTGGGTTTGTAGAGTTCCATTTGTTCGTCCTACTAGGCCAGAACACTGAGGATAGTAGGCACAATGGAAATACTATGAAGTTGTCCAAACTGAACATACTTGTTTTATTACATGGCCAGGAAAATGGGATTCTCAATCACTTTTTATTTCAAGAGGAGTTCCCTGGGTGGGATAATTTGTTCTGGAGGAATTTTGGCCATACCTGAAGCACTGGGTTATCTACAGGAAAAAGCCTCTTCCCAATGGGAGAACATGCAAGCCATTACTAGCGCATATAAATATATACCCATGGGAAGAGGTAGTTGGGTGAAATCCATTTGCCAAACCTTGAAAGGCCCATTAGGTCAACTAAAATGTCCAGGATTGGTACATATGGGTTTTTCTAGATTAAACTTAGGGCAGGTGGTACAAGCCAAATAGGCATGTTTTGCAGCTTTTTAAATGTCACCCCACCAATATTGTTTTTTAAAAGAAATTAATTTGTTAATTGCCCAGTGAGTCAAATTATGTTCTTTGGTTAACAATGAATATTTTACTAAATTTGGGAAAACTAATTTGCTATCAAGTTCAAACCATAGTTCTTTTTTGTTATCAAACCAGCAACTATGATCTTTCCTTTTCAGCTTCTGGTGCCCATTTTGTGAGTCTTTGGTAATTATTTTTCAGTCATCTTTTGAGGGCTCTTTTAGTGGGGCCACAGTAGAGATTTGATTAAGCGAACCTTTAATAGCATCATTCTTTGCAGCATTATTAGCAAGGTTGTTTCTTCTAGCTTCCATAGAGTCTACCCTGGAATGTCTGGAGTTCTGGTAACAACCCAGGCAGCTGGTAGCTAGATGGTATTCAGGAAGTCCTGTACATAGAATCCTCCATTTTTAATTTGATCTCTTGTGGAAGTGAGGAAACCCCTTTGTTTCCAGAGCATTCCACAATCCTGAGCAACACCAAAGGCCTATCTGCTGTCTGTATATATATATATATACACACACACACACACACACACACACACATATATATACGTATATATACACATATATACGTATATATGGGGCAGCATATTAACAGCCTTGTACAATAAACCAAAAATCCCTTCTCTCGATAACACTCTCAGGAGAGTCAACAAGAACAATGTGGATCTGGGAGATATAATGATGAACCTTCATTATTTTATTTAACATTCCCAGAAAAAAAGCATCAGGCACTATTCTGCTTTCTCTGTGGGTTAGCTAAGTACCAAGACATTCAGAAACAATATCTCACTGTGCTTCCAATCAGAAGTGAAAGGAAGTAGATGACTCAATTAAATGTGTATGTGTAAAATATATATGTGTGTGTGTGTGTGTATATATATATACACACATTTATATACACATACACACACATGCATATGCACATTTTCTTTTAGCAAGGAGGCAAAGCTGAGCAAGAGCAAAAAGTTTGGTCTGTTGGGCAGAAGTAGCCATAGGTAAGGGGGCATCGTCAATGACTTCAAAGGAAGTAGTAACTACATAACCTGAGCAGTATTTACCACTGTTCTTTTTTAAATATCGTTCATCTGTAAACCATAATAGTTCAGAATTATCTAGTGGAGTTTCTTCTAAATCTTTCTGAGGAGTCAGAGAGTTTCCAATAGTCGTGTGGTAGGGGTTGGGGGTTCTCACCAAAAGAAGGGGGCAAAAGGGTAGCCGGGTTGAGATTATTACATTGAAAAAGAGTGGTGTGAGGAGAAGCTTGTAAAAGGAGTTCATAAGAGGGAAGGTGACTGGTAGAGAAATGCTAGGTGTGATGTGAATTTAGAAGAGATTCCTCAGTGTGGGGAACAAAAATGCTTAAGGGAGATTCCATGATAATTTCTTCAGTGGAAGTTAATTAATAGGGTGGTAGCTGGAATTGCTTACAAACAAGAGGGTAATTCTCAAGCTACTATTGGCTCTAGTAGCTGGCTGTAATCTCCAATGGGGTGGTGCTGAAATCTATGTTTCTGGGTTAGGATGTCCAAGGCATTTCCTTTCTATTCATAAACAAAAAGAGGAAAAGAAGCTGATAATTAGGGTGTCTAGGGCAAGAGTATTTAAAAGTCCTTCATTTAAGTTTAAAAAACCAGTAACTACATATTTTTTTCCATATAATGGTATCAGGTTTAGAGGTTTTTAAGTAGGACATGCAGGGATCAGACAGTCAAAGAGAAGTTTGGTATCCAGTTAATGGCAGTATCCCATCCAGTGAATCCAAAAAGCCCTCAAAGTTGTCATTTTATTTTGAGCTTACAGAATTGTAGAACACCTTGTAGTTGTTCAGGATCCAAATGCAGCTCTGCTTCTGAAATCAGATGACCCAGATATTTAACTTGGGACTTAACTAGTTGTAGTTTTTCTTTAGAAACCATATGACCTTTGGTGGCTAGGAGTTTTAATAAATGTACACTGTCTTCCTTGCAGTCTTGCCTATGAGGAAGAACAAACTAATGTAATAAAGACAAGTTTTAAGAAAAAGCCACATCTCCTAAATCAGCATTCAGAATTTGGGAGACGTAAAAAGGATTTTCAGTATATCCCTAAGGCATAACCACCCAGGTATATTACAGTTTTACCCAGGTGAAGGCAGATACGTATTGATGGCCTTAATCAACAAGAAGCTAAAGGAGGAACTGCAGAGTTTAATTACAGTGAAAAATTTACTATCAGTTGGTATTCATGTCAGCAAAGTGTGAAAATTTGGAACTATGGGATGATGGGGTATGATGATATTATTTATCTTGAACACATCTTCATCCTTGGCTGTTAGGTTTTCTTATTGGGAGAATGGGAGTATTACAGAGACTAGTACAAAGAATTATTAAACCTCGAGGCTTCTATTTTTCAGTTGTGGGTTTTATGCGTTGTCAGGCAAATTGACTGAAGAGATACTCTTCGATATTAGGCAAGGGGGTCAATTTGGATTTTTATTAGGAGTGTACTCTGCTGATGATATGGCCCATAAAGACACAGGTGTCTGTTCCAATAAGGAATTTTGGAAGGCAACAGAGATGTCTTTGGCACATGAGACAGCATAACAAATAACTGAGACATCATTGGTAGAGTCCTGTCAACTAGAGGCTAAAATAAGAGTCAATATAAACTTAATTTTATTTTGAGCCAAATTTGAGGATTGCAATCCAGAAATGCAGAATTAGCACAAACCAAGAATATGTCCTAGAGTGGGCTACATGAGCTCAAAATTTATACATTTTGTTATCTAAAAAATGAAAGAAGGGAGACAGTGAAGCAAAGGTGACATTCTTACAATTCTGATTAGTGCTCAGTGACCTTATATATAAGACAAAGCAAATAGGTGGTTAACATATACAGAGTAAAATGTTAACTAGTATATAGTTGTCTTAAGGTCTGGAGAGAGATACCTGATTTTATCCTGTCTTTGTGCTTTATCTGATAGGAAAGGTTGTAATTAGTACATGTCAGTTAAATATTTGACAGACCTCATCCTTGTGAGTGAGAGATTAACTTTAGTTTATAGGCCTAGTTTTTATTACTCATATGTCCAAACTGAAGCAATCTTGAGTCACTTTAAAAACATATTTTTTTTTAGGTTTTCCTTTTTTTGACAGTTCAGTGAACTATTGGGGTCATCAAATTCTAGAATTATTTCCCTCTTTTGGGAGAAGGAGATGCCGGCATGGTTTTTCTCTTTAAAAAATCTTATCCCAGTAAATGAGCTGGAGCAGACTCCACCAGCAAGAAAAGATGAGTATCCTGTAAAAATCCCAAGCAGAAAGTAATAGATTGGGACAGAAATGCTATCAATGGCTTATTAGAGACTGCCACCCTTTGGATGTTTTATTACTCTGAGGTAGGGGCAGATGGGGTTGAACTGATAGGGTTGTTCCTGTGTCTCTGAGAACAGTTAGAATCTTATTGCCAATCTGAAGAGTAATCTCCTCACAGTGATTAAGAGGGAGGATTGAAGAAAACACTGAGTCCTCACATCCCCTACATTGTGGGGGAGATAATGGAAGTTCTTTTGAAGGATGTCTAATTCATTTAAGCTTAGGATAGTTCTTATTCCAGTGGTTTGGCTATTTACAATAGTGACAGTTACCAGGAAATAGCCCTTGTGGATTCAAGTTGTACCATTTAGGGTCTCAATTATGGAGTTTTTGTTCGTCTGTTTTTTGTTTGTTTGTTTTGTTTTTGAGAAAGGGTCTCACTCTGTTACTCAGGTTGGAGGGCAGTGGTGCCATCATGGTTCACTGCAGCCTTGACCTCCCAGGCTCAGGTGATCCTCCAACCTCAGCTTCCCAGGTAGCTGGGCTACAGGCATGCACCACCACACCCTGTTGATTTTTGTATTTTTTTTGGTGGAGATGGGATTTTGCCATGTTCCCCAGACTGGTCTCAACCTGTTGGGCTCAAGTGATCCAACTGCCTTGGCCTCCCAAATTGCTGGGATTACAGACATGAGTCACTGCACTCAGCCCTCAATTGTTTTTTCTGGAAGCATTCATCTGTGTAGTTGGACATTTAAAATTTTAGTGGCTTTCTTTTTATTGGTATTGTCTAAGGTTTCAGGCCATTAATTTGCCAAATTAACAAGATTAGTAGTTGATATGGTCTCCTATTTTAGGCAGGCTCTTTTTATTAGTTGAGGAAGCTCTTATGAGAGACCATTAGCAAACACAGAATTAAAGGTGACTCTAGTGGAGTCAACATCCATGGGAAAACTAGGATTTTCTCTAAGTATAGCTTGGAACCTGATATAATAGTTGTGAACCTATTCTTTTGGCTATTGAGTACAAGCTTGAATTTTATTGCAGTCTGTGGCTTTGGGAAATGCTTTGACAATGGCCCCATGTAAATTTCTTGCAAGTTGCTGAGTCTGTTCCCAGTATTGCAGACCATATGCTGAGGAAGTAGGAACAGGTCTCACTAAATCCTTTTGGAGATGTTTACAATCTGCTTTTGCATTTGGTGATGGACCTGGCTTTCTACAAGCATACAAAGAAGTCAGTAAAGGCCAGAGAAGCCAAGCTCTTTTAAGCCTGAACTGTAATGTAAAATTCATGGAAAAATAATGGGAGTCTTCAGTAACTAGGAAATTCCTTGGCTATAGCATGAGGTTCAAATTTAGTCCAAGGGTCATAAGAAATCTAGGGAACCTCAGGATTGTTAGAGAGCCTGATCTTAAAGGAGCAAGTTTTCTAGGTTGAGACTGAAAAGCAGGAGATGGGGTGTTAGCACAGGAAGATGTATTAAAAAGGAAGAAAGTTTGGAAAGTGAAAGATTGAGAGGAGAGGCAGTAGATGGCACCTGAGAGACAGAAGGATTTTGAACTTTTAAAGTCTTTTTTTCTTCTTTTAATTTATTATTTGTCTTTGTTAATTAATATTTTGGAGCAAGAAAAATTTTGATTCCCAATTGCATTTAGATGCCTCAGTGTACCAATTAAGGTACACATTTCATTCAGATTGCTTAGTTTTAGAGCCTTTGCTTTCTAGTTTATTCCTGAGACAAACTAAATTAGAGAAGTCAAAATCCCCTCATCTGAACCTGGAGGTCGAAACCTCACAGCTGAGGTCAACACGAGGAAATAACCCTCCTCAACAAAAGATATCCCAGACAAGAGAGAGAAAGACGTCTCTTCAAACAGGGAGGAGAAAGACCTCTCTCAACCAAATCCCAAATAAAATGGAACTCAAACCAAATTCAGGAGCTCTGTCCAAGAAAGACTCATCAGGGGGAAAAGGGGCACTCAAAGATCTCCATTATAGGTAACTCACACCATAATCCCAAGGGCCAGTGATTCTCCTCAAGGTCAATCAGCTTTAGAGCCCACTTCTGACACCATGTATTTCAAAGTCAAAATTAAAATGTAGAGTTGAATCTCTAAACTTAACGTTTTATTTGGGAAGCAAGAATTGTAATTCAGGGCATGTATGTAGATTAGATGGTCTTTAGTATATCCTAAGAACAAAGAGAAAGTTGGGGGTTTTATAAAAAAGAAGAATGTTATGTGTGGTCTTGAGAAAAAATTCATTGGCATTAGTAAAGCTTTGGGGAGCTGGCAAGCTTCAATAGTGGGTGATATCAGTGGGCAGCATTAGTCCTAGAGTTGCAGCAAGTTATCTCAGCAGGAGCTATAGATAAAACTAGTCTCAGGTTACAATTGTGTATTTGGTCTCAGGTTTATTGTGGCTACAAAAATGAAATGTATTGACTATCAAGAAAACCAGAACCATTCTGTATTGAAGGTAGAGTGAATACATGAGAGATGAATAGAGCAAAAATAAAATCTGAGTAATATTTGCTGAACTCTGCAAGTTCAGCAGGTGGACCTGAAGAGAATTATATTTCTAGAGCAATGTTATGTATCTCAAGTGCTTTTTTCCCCTGGCTCCTTGACTCTGATTTAGCTGGGTATGACAAGAATGACCTAATTAGTATGATCAACTTTCACAGTATAATGGAGGGACCCAATTCTTCCTCTCTATCGTCATAAGGTTCATTCTTCTTATAGTATAAAGTCCACATTTCTTTGTTCAAATCTATTGAGAGAAGAAATATAACAGCTCTCCAAGAAAGAGTCCTGGAACTCAACCAAGTTAGACCACAGAAGTCACATCTATCCCTGAACCAGTGGTTGTGGCTACAAGAATGAAACATGCTGACTGTCAAGAAAACCAGAACCATTGTGTATTGAAGGCAGAGTGAACAGATGAGAGATGAATAGAGCCGAAAGAAAATCTGGGTAATATTTGGAAGTGGGAAGGCAGGAAATGAATTCCAGAAATGCTACTGAAACTATCTACAACTGTGGTTAGATTTTCAATATTTACCTTTAAAAATTACATATTTTAAGCAAAAATTATAATGCTACTATTTTGCTATTTGCCAGATACATATAGAATAGATATTTTAAAATACATATCAATAAATTAATAAACTAATTAAAAGACATATCAATAAACTGATATCTGTATCAATTCATAGTGTGTTATGTTGATGTGGTTTGGGAACAGCAAGTTTGAAATGTACAATGATCATCTTTCAATACACTATGTATGTATCTGCATGTTATTTTCGTATTTTAAGATTATAGGAAGTCTAAATTTGAGACCTTTTCTGAATGTAAAGCTCTGGCCAAATAACCTTACTAGGCAGCTCTCACCACCACAACCACCACCACTGTGACTATAGGCACAGTTTCCACTTCTTTGGGTCTTCTAGTTTTATTAGTAAGCTTTCAAAGATAGTCACTAAATTAGAAATAGGGTTCACATTCAAATGCTCAAATGAAATATAAATATTTCTGCCTAGAGTGTATTCAGGAAAGTAAACTCCCTGTTAGGGAGAATTACTTAACAATTTCCATGAAGGTGAGTACACACTGCAGTAAAGAGCTTTAGAGATTGGGAAAAGGCTAAAGTTAAGCGGAGCTCCCTGGAGGACTGTTAAAGCAGTTTATTTTAAATATGCTAAAATGTTAGGGTATTATCTTTCTAATGAGATGAGATCAAAGAAGCATCAACAAACAAAACTAAGAAAATAGATGCTGTTTCAGAGTTCAGAAGTTCAATAGCATATGCCTTTAGGATTCCTGCTGACTTTTGCTGGGGTTGTTAGAATGTTCATGATTTTCAGGAGAGCTTGGAGAGAAACCAATAAAGATTTCTAAGCATAAAGATACCCTCTAACTTCCACATGGACATGTTCCAAGAGTTCAGGTTGCAAGTTTATTAAAACTCAATTTGCATTTTTCTGAGACACAACCAGATAGCTAAAGTGGCAGAAACAAAGTTCTGTCCTGAGAATTTTGTGAACAATAAATGCCATGTTACAATACTCCTGTGAGAAAATGCATTCAGCATGTCAACTTGGAATGGCAGGGGCATATTTCCCATCAGAGTAGGAATACTTCGGTTTCAAGTCCCTGGGCCAGGAGCCTGAGCTCCAAAACAGAAGAAGATAAGATATGAGAATTAAAGGAAATTTAAAGTGAAAACTTATAAAACTCAGGGACGCCAACCAGGGAGTAGGAAGTATCCTCTCCTCACACCCCCATAACATCCTTTACCTCCATAGGCCTAGGCCAGTCCCAAACTGGAATTTGAGAAGTTTGCTTTCTACCTGACATTTTGTAATGTAATGCTTAACTCATTTTCATTCATTTTCTTTCATCATAAAATAAGCTCATCACCATTTTGAGATTTTATAAAGGGTTATATTTTAGGCAAAAGTTGAGAGTCTTTTGACTTTTTTAACCTTTTTAAAAATTTTGACCCATGTGTAGATCAATAAAACTACCATAAATTTAAACATACCAACTTTTTACAACATTTAAGGTAATAATTGACTGTAAGAAGCATCTTATAGCCTTATAGACAAGAGATGACTAATGAGTCTTCCAAAGGTGTTCAGCCCTTGAGAAGTAGTTTAAATCATAGGAGAATATAGATTAAGAATATATTACCTATTCTTGTTACTGGGTTTTAAGTAGTTAAAATTCTTTTGGTGTTACATAATTCAGAGCTGAAATAAAATTTCAAAATTGGGTATTTTGAAAGAAAATACATTGTTCTACCAAAAAGACACCTGTACTTGTATGTTTATTATAGCACTATTCACAATAGCAAAGACATGGATTCTACCTAGGTGCCCATCAGCAGTGGATTGGATAAAGAAAATATGAGATATATATCTCCTATAGAATACTATGCAGCCATAACAAAAGAACAAAATCATGTCCTCTGCAGCAACGTGAATGCAGCTGGAGGCCATTATGCTAAGCAAATTAATGCAGGAACAGAAAACCAAATACCATATATATTCTCACTTATAAGTAGGAGTTACAAACTGTATACTCAAGGACATAAAGATAGCAACAATAGACAGTGGGGACTACTAAAGCAGGGAGGATGGGGGGGTGTAAGAGTTGATAAACTAATAGGTACTATGCTCACTACCTGGATGATGGAATCATTTGTATTCCAAACCTCAGCAGCATGAAATATACCCATGTAACAAACCTGTACATGTACCCCCTGGATCAAAAATAAAAATTGAAATTATTAAAATAAATAAATGAATTAATTAATTAAATACGATTGGCCATTGGATGCAACTGCAAATTGAAACAAGCCCAGAACTGATTATGCTAGAGCAAGAGAGAAAATTTGCCAGTGGGGTGGAAGAAATCGCCAAATGAGACAAGAAATGACCATCAGGTAGAGAAGAAAAGCCAAAAACAAGGACAATCATGTTGTATAGAGAAAGAGGGGAAAAAAAGATGACTAAGAAAAACAGTTGTTTTACACAAATAAAGAAAAGGTGAGTACAAGAGAAGGTAATAATTCCTGTCTTTCCTTTTCTAAAATCAGAATGATATTTGGCAAGCAGTGTATGGATTTCAGGATTGTCAGGATGTAAGAACTCACTAACTTGGCTGTCACTCCTGGAATTAAGGGCAAAGGTGACTAGAATTATAGGAACATTAAGGATCATGCCAACATCATCATATATCCAATCCACTGTGAGCAGTGTTTTGGCTGGCCAATCTCAAAAATCTAGGCTTTGATGTCTTAGGGAAAGCAGTGATTACATACCAATCACTGAATTACTGTTATCAGTTGTTTCACATTAATAAGCATCAATGTTTTTTGAGAAAAGTGTTAATCTGCTGGTCTTATATTAAGGAAATTCTCCTCTAGAAAAAGGACACACACCAGGATTGACAGTCCCTGACACTAATCTCCTGGGAAAATCATGTAAGAGAAGACACTAATGCATGCATATGATACTCATCTAGTAAAGACCCCCTTTCTACTCTAAAAGTGCTCCCCAGATAAAGTGCATACTGATTATTTCAAGACAAAAAAAAAAGCTTGGCAAATTTTTTTACTCTGAAACAGCCAATTACCTTGAAATTTTTTGTAACATACAGAACTTTTTAATTAAGAACAACTGATTAAGCTGGCTTCCCATAGTCAACAAGAAAAGAGGTTAAATTGGGATGAGAAAGGGTATACAAGCATACCTTGGAGACATTGTGGGTTGGTTTCCAAACCCTGCAGTAAAGCAAATATCACAATAAAGCAAGTCACACAAACTTCTTGGTTTCTCAGTGCATATAAAATTATGCTTACATTATACTGTCCTCTATTAAGTATGCAATAGCATTATGTCTAAGAAGCAATGCACGTTCCTTAATTAAAAATACTTTATTGCTCAAAATTAGTAACAATCTTCTGAGTCTTCAGCAAGTCATAAGTCTTTTTGCTGGCCAAGTAGTCTTGCCTCAATGTTAATGGCTGAATGACAGATCAGTGGGGTGGTTGCCGAAGGTTGGGATGGCTGTGGCAATTTCTTAAAATAAGAGAACAATGAAGTTTGCCACATTCATTGACTCCCCCTTTCATGAAAAATTTCTCTGTAGCGTGTGATGCAGTTTGATAGCATTTTACTTACAGTAGAAGTTCTTTTAAGACTGGAGTTGATCCCCTCGAATGCTGCCACTGCTTTCTCGGTTACGTTTAAGTAATATTCTAAATCTTTTGTTGTTATTTCACCAATGTTCGAGGCATCTTCACCAGGAGTACATGCCATCTCAAGAAACCATTTTCTTTGCTTACTCATAAGAAATAATTTCTCATCCATTCAAGTTTTATTATGAGATTATAGCAATTCAGTCTCACCTTCAGGCTCTACTTTAATTCTCACACTTTCCACCACAGCTTCAGTTACTTCCTCATCTGAAGTCTTGAATCCCTCAAAGTCATCCATGAAGGTTGGAATCAACTTCTTCCAAACTCCTTTTAACGTTGATATTTTGACCTCCTTCCATGAATCACAAATGTTCTTATTGGAATCTAGAATGGTGAATCTTTTTCAGAAGCCTTTCAATGTACTTTTCCCAGATCCATCAGAGGAATCACTGTCTATGGCAGCTATAGCCTTAAACATTTATTTCTTAAATAATAATACTTAACAGTCAAAATTCCTCTTTAATCCATGACTGCAGAATGGATATTGAATTATACAGACATGAAAATAACATTAATCTTGTACATCTTTATCAGAGCTCTTGGGTGACAAGGTGTATTGTCAATGAACAGCAATATTTTGAAAGCAATCTTTTTTTCTAAGCAGTAGGTCTCAACCATGGGTTTCAAATACTCAGTTAACCATACTATAAACAGAAGTGCTGTCATCCAAGCTTTGTTTTTCCATTTGTACAGCACAAGCCAAGTAGATTTAGCATAATTCTTGAGGACCCTAGGATTTTCAGAATGGTAAATAAGCATTGGCTTCAACTTAAAGCCACCAGATGCATTAGCCCCCTGACAAGAGAATCAGCCTGCCCTTTGAAGCTTTAAAGCTAGGCATTGACTTTTTTTTCTAGTTATGATGGTCTAAGATGGGATCTTCTTCTAATGTAAGGCTATTTTGTCTACATTAAAAATCTGTTGTGTAGTGTAGACATCTTTATCAATTATCTAAGCTAGATTTCCGGAATAACTTGCTGCAGCTTCTACATCAGGATTTGCTGCATCATCTTGTACTTTTATATTATGGAGAAGGCTTCTTTCCTTCAACCTCATGCACCAACCTCTGCCAGCTTCAGACTTTTCTTCTGCAGCTTCCTCGCTTCTCTTAGTCTTCACAGAACCTCATAGAACATAAAGAGAGCTAAGGCTTTGCTCTGGATTAGGCTTTAGCTAAAGGGAATGTTATGGCTGGTGTGATCTTCCATCCAGACCACTCAAATGTCTCCATATAAATGATAAAGATGTTTTGCTTTCTTATTATTCATTTGTTCACTGGAGTAGCACTTTTAATTTCCTTCAAGAACTTTTCCTTTGCATTCACAGCCTGGCTAAATGTTTGTGGTACAAAAGGCCTGGCTCTTGGCCTATCTCAACTTTCAACATGCCTTCCTCACTAACCTTAATCATTTCTAGCTTTTGATTTCAAGGGAGATACCTGCAATTCTTCCTTTCACTTAAACACTGAGAGGCCATTGTAGCGTTATTAACTAGACTAATTTCAATATTGTGTGTCTCAGGAAATGGGAAGGCCTGAGGAGAGGTAGCGAGATGAGGGAACGACTGGCTGGTGAAGGAGTCAGGACACGCAGGCTATTTATCAATTAGGTTTGCAGTCTTCTTTGGGCACAATCTGTGGCACTTCAAAACAATTACAATAGTAACATCAAAGGTTGTTAATCACAGATCACCCTAATACACAAGATAATAATTTAAAAGTTTCAAATATTGCAAGAATTACCAAAATGTGACACTTACACAAAGTGAGCACATGCTGTTGCTTGATGCAGGGTTGCCACAAACCTTCCATTTGTAAGAAACACATTATCTGTGAAGCACAATAAAATGAGGTTTGCCTGTATATTTATCTTATTATCAGATAGAAACCACCAGATGGCACTGTGTTAGGTGTATCCTGGTAATTTTCATTATGCATTAGTGTGCTTGTGGTTGGACCTTAGGGAAAAGCAAGATGGCACTTTGTGTATCTCATAGGAAGTAATTAAACATGCCAGTAAAGCTTGCTCTATTGCTGAATTTGTGGCTATGATCACTTCTTTACTCTCTGCTACCCACTGTGTAGAAATACACCAACCACAACAGTCTGTGCTACTAACTACTTAACTAGAGAAGGAAAGAACCACTTTGGGTGAAAGGGAGTGTTTTGTGGTTGTTGGACTTCTGCACTGTGGGCTAATAGCAAGAAATGATCTCAGCCACAAATATAACAGCGACTTGGGTGTCTTGCAGTTTACTCAATAATGCTTAGTGTTTCATATTGTGTACCTTACAGACAATATTTCATTGATCCTGAAAAACATCTCAGTGAAATAAACAAGTGGAGATATTGCAATTATCTGTTACAGAGAAATTTTTACCACACAATAATTTCATAAGAACTCAAGTATTGACTAAACATAAATTCAGAAATATATCTCTAATATTTAACTATCTAGATTATGGCTTGTTAATTATTTGGGATGTAGGGCCTCTATGTGGAATTAAAAATCTATGCAGCACTATGATGTGTAGAGAATTACAGTGATTCAACATAGTACCTAAAGGCCTAACTAATTAGCTTTGTGACCTTGGGAAGGTCATATAATGTCTGAACCTAAACTACTTCATCATAAAATTAGTGGAGTTGAACTATATCTCCATCATATCTGCAGTGTAGTGAAGTGTTTGCATGTGTAGAGTTTACAGTCAGAAAGATTCCAGTTTGAATTCCTGCTCTGTCACTTAGCTGTATGAACTTGAATAACTTATTTAACTTCTTGAGCCTTAGTTTCAATATCTTTAAAATGAGGATCATAATGATACCTATTTTTTTACTTGCTTGATAAAATCGTGTGTGATTATAAACATAGAGTGCTCAGTATAGTGCCTGGTGCACACTAAGCATTCAATAAATATTAAGTATTATTACTTACAGATACAGACTTAACCTTGTACTTCTTTATTGGGCTTTATTTACCAGGTTGAACATGCTCTAGGATCTACAGCTGACTCAGGCTGTGCCAGCTCATCATTTGGTGCTACTTAGTTTTTAGTAAATGTAGTAAGTAATAGCTTGCTTTTTCAGCTCTATCTCTTCCGCTCTGTAGTGGGGATGAGCAGGTCTGGCCATAAAGTTAAGGCAAATATTTAAGAATGCAGGAAGGGTGATTTAATCAAAATCACAGCTGGTATGAATGTCAGAGCTTTATCGACTGTTCCAAAAAGTTTTTGGCTTGCAGTAATGTCCTTAGTCCAGGCTGCATCTTGCCAACCCAAGTAATATTTCAAAGGTTGATTTAGATTTGGCTGTTCAAAGCATAGATCACTACTCCAATCTTCCTAACATTTCCAGCCCACGGCCAAGATTCTACCATCCTTAAAAGTTATTGCCACAAACACAGCAATGATACACTGCGAAATTAAATGGGGAAGAAATTATCCACAAGGAAGTATATTTTAATTATTTCACCAAGTTTAGGTCAATCTAAGTGGATTTGGTAGTATTTCCTGATAGGATCTGTGTTTCGGCATTAGGAAAAGGATTCAAAAGTGGCCCACCATGGTCTAAATCATCTCTAAGAGTATAATATCCAGCATCTCTAATGTTCCCACTAAAATACATAAGAAGATTCCGTGAGAACAAATAATAAGAAACATAAAAACTTACAGCCGTTCCTTGAATCAGAAGCTAAGAATTTTTACTCTGCATCAGAGTAGGGGATAAAAATGAAAATAACTAGCCCTTAAAAATTCAGAGTGACAGACACACGTTCTAAAGATGGTCATTCCAACATATCCCATCCCCTGTGATCTTACAAAACTGACACTCCTTCATGAACATGGGCCTCCTTAGTTATGTACTATTAACAATATACAGAGGAAATCACTGTTGGACTTCCATGGCTAGGTTAGAAAAGTCAGTACTACTTCCACCTCTCTGTCTCTCTCTCTCTGTACCTTGCCCTTGGTACTCAGACACTGTATACAGGGAAACCCAAGCCACACAGTAAGTCCACTGTTAGGTTTTCTAGCCAACAATCCCAGCTAAGGTCTAAACCAGCAGCCAGGACTGCTGGCAATGTAACAGTAACTACTAGATGTGTAAATGAGGAGGACTTCTGATGATTCCAGCTCTCAGACTTTGAGATGCCCCAGCTGGTGCTGAGTGGAGCAGAAATGAGCTACCCAAATGCAACTTATCCAAATTGCAGATTTGTAAGGAAAATAAATGTTGTTGTTTTAAGCCACTAAATTTTGGGGTGTTTTGTTACACACCAATAGATAACCAAAAGACCCTGATACACATTTTTTCACATAAATGAAAGTGATCCTTTTGTTGTTAAATTGGAATTGGAAATATTGTGTTCTTCTCTCTCTGCTTGTCCCGCCATTCAGAAAAACAGTTCAACTGCAAAATTGGACTGTTCTTCCTTTATATGCACTTTTACTATCATTAGAGTTTAGCAGGATATTACCACTAAAAACAATATCATTCACTAATATTTACTGAGTGATTATGATTAAGCATGGTGTTAAGTATTTTGCCTATAATTTCTCATTTATTACCTTCAATAATTATGTAAAATATATAAGAGAAATTCCAAAAAGTTAAGAAATATTCAAAATTTCTCAGCTATAAGCAGAACACTATTTAAAACCAATATGTTGAACCACATGGAAATATACAACCATTCTCACAAACTCTTACATCAATGAGAAAATAAAAATTTCACTGGGAGCCCTTTGGAAAATAATAACAAAGACACCATAATAAGATAAAATAGTATGTCAAAATTTATGGGATGTGGCCACAGCTATACTCAGAGAACCAGAGTAAAATATATTCAGAATAAAACTAATAGGTTTACATGTTTTCACTATAAACAAACAAACAGAATAAAAACAAATGAACCAAGAATTCAATTCAGTAATTTATGAAATCAATATAAGGAAGCCAGAATGGATTACCAATACAAAGTGAAGCTTCAATCAAATAGAAAAGGTAGAGGTATCAAAACAAAACAAAACAAAATAAACCCAAGAGCACTGTCTTCATGAAAAAATAAAACTTGCAAATATTGAATGTAGTAGTCAGGGTAGGCTAACTGTTGCAGAAAAAAATAAATAAATTTTCAGTCACATAATAAAAACTGATTGGTTGCTTATGCCATAATCTAACAATATGGCGATGGGGTCAGGAGGGCTCTGCTTCATAAACTTGGCTTTTTCCATTTTATGTGGCCATCATCTTAAACATAGAAACTCCAAGGATGCCCTGAAAGAGGAAGGGAATAAATTAACGTTAATGGGTGATGTTCACCGACTAGACCTAGAAGCTGTGTAGAACACTTCTGCCCACGTTCCATTCACAAGAATCCAGTCACAACCTTATCTATCTCAAGTTGGCTAGGAAGTTTAGTCCACCAATATTCCTCAAAGGAAAAAGAAGTGGATTTGAAAGACACATATCATTGTCTCTGCCACATTACTCTTTTGTGGAGGAAATGTTCATTTCATTTTTCATCCCACATATGGAACACACTTATCCATACCCCAAGGAAAACTCTAAGTCACAAGCATTCACTGCAATCGGTTGAAAGGTCAAAAACTCCTGATGATATAAAGTCCTTTTTAACTTGCCTCATGTTGCTTCTCACGGTCTGGTGACTAATGAACCAGAAAGAGAAATTATCTGCCTCCCTCTAACACTGACTACATAATGGTGGAGCAGGAACAGTAAAACTGCAATAACCATACCCATTCAAAAAGGGGAAGAATGGAAAACACGAAATAGTTATTGGTACATAGCAATTCTAAAATCCTGTGGGACAGATATTACAAACCTGATTCTGTGCTTCAGAAAGGACATCATATATTCATCACTCCTTTGGTCCCTGGCCTTCTCAGTTGAGAGAGTTTGTTCTTCCATGCCAAAATTCTCCATTGGCACAATTAAAATAAATTTTTGGAAATTATGCCCTCTCTGGGGGCAGAAAAGCTTTGGGAACCCACTTTCTGCTCAATGAAGGCTGAAGTTCCAATAATTGTTTTAGGGTTTAGCAGGAGAGTTTTAGTCCCGGTTTACTACTTTTTTTAGGCTTCTAAATTATTTGTTTCCAATTAGTTTGATGTATAGCAAGCATACCCAAAGTCCTTTCATGGCCATAGTTCCCAAATCTAATTTATTTATTTTATTTTTTGTCAACAGATCATTCCAAAATTAATGGCTGTTTTCTTGAGGAGTCAGAATTCCTTGAGGAAACAGGCTTAACTAGAAAGGTTTTTAAAAATATATCTAAAATATTATTACAATTGTTATTATACATAATAATATGTTTGATAATGTTAAAATATTATTAAGCATTAACTTCTTCTGCTCACAAGCTTTCTCAGTCATATTTGGTATCAAATCTTATTTCTAGTTGTTTCAGAGCTAGAAACAATCAACTTTTCCAGCTCTTCAAAGACCAGTTCTCTAGATTCATCTATTCATATGCATCTTGCTTTCAAGTTGGTCAATTCCTTCCCAAAGCTAACTTTATCTTTAACAATCCCAATTAATATTAGCCAACATGTGTTAATAGTTTTATTCTTTCAGTTGACTCCCTTAGGCCTGTCAGATGAGCAGGCATATGGTCTGCCTCCCAGTATGGCAGGTTATAGCCTTACCAATTGTGTTGTCAGTGCATTATACAGACTGCTGTATTTCCAGCCTCCAGTATCTGTTTCCTTGAACTCTGACACCCAAATGCTAACTCACTCCCATGCATTTTAGATTTTTATTATAGCCACAGCCCACTTGTGAATACATTAAGGAAGACTAGCTGCTTTTGGGGAAAAAAAAAAAAACCTTTTCAGAGTCTCAGAGGCTTAGCATATCATAATCCAATGCAGATTGACAACAGGGTTTCTACTGCATGCAGTCGTTATGGAATGAAAAGAACCTTGTTACCATACGCAGTGGTTCATGCCTGTAATCCCAGCACTCTGGGAGGCCGAGGCAGGCGGATCATGAGATCAAGAGTTCGAGACCAGCCTGGACAACATGGTGAAACCCCATCTCTAATAAGAATACAAAAATTAGCCGGGCATGGTGGTGTGTGCCTGTAATCCCAGCTACTCAGGAGGCTGAGGCAGGAGAATCGCTTGAACCAGGGAGGCGGAGGTTGCAATAAGCCAAGATCACGTCACTCCACTCCAGCCTGGGCCACAGAGCAAGACTGCATCTTGGGGGAAAAAAAAGGAAAATAACTTTGTTTTAGTTTCACTCTCTTCAACGTATGTTTTCACAACCCATATAGCATCATTCAGCCTGGGTGGAGAGAGAGAGAAAGAGAGCATCTAGAGAATGCACATCCTGCTCTTAATTGCCTCAAAATGAATACGGCACCTAACTTTTCTTAAATTTTATCAGCTGGAACTAGACTTATGTACCAGTGGCTGCGTCACTGTTCTAGATGTGAAGACCTGGGAAGCATAGTTTAGTTGTGCACCCAGGTAGAGGAAATGGCTCTGGCCGATATTTCCCAGTTCAGTAGAGCCTTTGCGTCTGTTGTAGGCAAACTCTTAGAAAGAGTTTACAGCCTAGACAGGAAAGAAAAGATAAAGCAAGGAAATCCCTCTGCTCAAAATAGGATAGGGATTAATACCAGCAAAGAGATGCAAACATATACTTAATACTATGATCTGGCCTCCTGAGACAACTGGATTCAAGGCCTTGATACCTAGTGATAGAAACAGAAGATAAGGCAGGGTGTGGTGGCTCAAGCCTGTAATACCAGCACTTTGGAGGCCGAGGTGGGAGAATCATCTGAGGTCAGGAGTTTGAGACCAGCCTGACAAACACGGAGAAACCCTGTCTCTAGCAAAAATACAAAAATTAGCCAGGTGTGGTGGCGCATGCCTGTAAATCCAGCTACTTGGGAGGCTAGGAAGGAGAATCGCTTGAACCTGGGAGGCGCACATTGCAGTGAGCTGAGATTGTGCCATTGCACTCTAGCCTGGGCAACAAGAGTGAAAATGCGTCTCAAAAAAAAGAAAGAAACAGAAGATAAAATTGCTGCCTCCAGAAGAATGGAAATTAGGAAGAAGTTTCAAGTTCCAGAAAACTAGGTCACCACAGAGAAGACCGCAGTAATGTTTCACCTAGAGGCATGTAGACCTTTAAGTAGAGTCCTTTATTACCACTTTTCCATTCCACTTTTTTATCACTCCTAAAATCAAGACTGGCTCTAAAGTGTGAGGAGCAGTTGAACCTATATGTGAGGGTTAACCTGCCAAGTCTGGATGATGTAGAGACAGAAACCAAAGCACCACACTACTAAGCCTAAAGTAAAAAAATCAAAGTTAGAGGAAAGAAAATCCATGGAAGATGGAACGGGTACTAAAATTTCTCCAATTTATATTTTTGAGAATGTACTGATGCTGAAGACGCAAAGACGTGTAAGGAACATGATGTGATCCTCAAAGGACAACTTATACTCAAGAGCAAGGCAAAGACTAATTGAGGAGGCATTAGTCAACCCAGTAGAATTAGCCCACTTCATTTCCCCTTTGGATGTTCTCCTGAAAATAATTCATTAAAACCAAAGTCTCAGAAGTTTTGACAAGAACAGTCAAAGAGCATTAGATTGCCACATTTTAAAGGATACTAGCTTTTATCTGGGAGGAGAGGTAATATAATTTTTAATGCTTCGAATCCCCAGTTTCACTCTCTGTAGAATGGATATTTTTTTCTCATCTGAGCATCCAGGCTTTTTGCCATTATCACTTGTTCTACTAATTAGAAAAGAACATACATAAAAATAACAACTTCAAGTAAATGTATCTATTTTATTTAGTACTATATGAATGATATTAAATTCTCATATGCTGTGACTTGCAATAATCATGTAATTCATTCTGCATCAATAGTGATTTATTCTTTGAAGCTTTAATACGACTCATTTTGCCAGTAGTGTACTTACCTATTACTTAATGCTTTGCTGCTGCTGACCTCAGTAGGTTTTTTGGTAAAACTTCATACAGCCTTCATATAGGTCACAAAAATGCCAACGATGTTCATTATGGTCATTTTCCAAACCACCCAACAGAAAAATGTTTTCCCTCAACTCATTTGTATGTATGTTCCTTAATTAATGCTCCACCTTATGCCAGATTATAGTGAAATTCTTGTCACTTTACATGCAGCATGACATTTACACAGATACCTGCTGAATTTATCATGAGCAATGCACACAGAATTTGTATCATGTGCCTTGAAAGCAGACAAACCAGAAACCTAGACCCACATACCTGCAGAATGAAAAGCATTAGGGAAATTAGAAAAGTGAGAGTCCTTGTAAAAGTTGAAAATGTGCCTTCTTCATCATCCTCAAAGGCATCATGACTACAAATTGCTGTTAACAAATAGATCTTCCAAAACCATTGTACAATTTATGTTTTTAGGAGGAGATTGTATATATAAGAAATATTCCTTATCTGAAAGACAGATGAGTTTTTTAAAAAAGTCAAAAAAGGTATTTGAAAGACTCTTAAAGGCTTAAAAAATGGAGCCAAACATCCATCCATTATGGAGAAAGTCCTGCCTGGAGATGACGGGGATTGAAATGGTGCCATTTGACTGTTCGAGGCATAAACATGTCATTGGGAACATAAAAGAGTTCAGTGAACAGAATTCAAAATTTTTAGATCCAAACTAGTTTCTGGTATGGGAACAGTGAAGAACTTTCTGTTGTAAGGTTGACTTACATGAGGTGTACCTAATATAAGAATGTTCCAATAGCCCCATTTTATTTGATGTCTTAAGCACAGCAAGCACAATACTAACAGTGTTTAACGTAGCCTCTGAAGCTAGGCCATTTGGGCTTCCATCTCTGCTCTGCCCCTAAGTCACTGTGACACCTTAGGTAAATGTTCTAACCTTTATGTTACTTAAGTTTCCTCATTTAGGAAATTTAAATGAAGGGAGGGCTTACGATAATAATGACTTCATGGGTTTTTATGAAGATTAAATGAGTTAATACAGGTAAAGCAATTTAGAATAGTGCCTGGCTCATAATAACCATTCATTAAAAGTTGCTATTCCTAGTATTCCTAACTTACAAGGGAGATTACATTCCAAGTGACTCCCAAGGTGGCACAGATGCTTAACGACCACTATTGTCCCCTTAATTCCATTTCCTGTCTCTCTGTCAGTCCTCTCCCAAAACTTCCCACACAAACTTAATAAAAAAAATCTAGGTTTCAGCAACATCGTAATTTTTAATTCTATTTGTATTCAAACCGCCACTCGCTAGTCCTGTCCTGCAAGTAAATTGCAGTAATCTCCCAACTCACACATTTTTTTTCCAGCTTTCTTCTTCCTTTAGGGTCCTTCAAGCCCTAAAATGTTTGAAAACTTTTTTTAATTGAAATACAATCAATCAGGACTTGGACAGGGCTCCCAATCACATTTTTCCTGGATTTCCTCTAAGTAAGGGTCAGCACTTACTCAGAGAGGGGCTAAGCCTTTCAGGCTATAGCTGCATGAGCTATTTTTGTGGTCCAATCTTAATCACCAGATGACATTTTAGGGATTTAAACGCCAAACTCGACCGCTTTGCATTGCACGCAAACAAAACCAGGACAAGATGTTAATAGACCATTTGCCCTGAAAATATCTGACTCCAAAATGTCTGACTCTACAGATACCATACAGCTACAGACACAGTACATGTCATGCAAAAATGACTCTAAGACCTGGCTTTTGTCTTAGCTCTACCTCCAATCAGCTTCTTGTCAAATAAAAAAGTAGGAATAAGTGGTACATAAGTCTTTAAAGGTTAAGATTCTAGTACAATAGTTTTTTTTATTTTTTTAAATTATGTGTCTAATTTAAGACTCTCTATTGCCAGTTGGTGATCTCACTTACCTTTCTCAAATATTTTAAACATAATGATTTTCTCTAAGAAAGATATATATATATATATATATATATATATATATCTCCAAACAGGAATGAAATCGAAAATAATCGTCTAATAAAACATACTATTATGTACAATACTCATTAGCTGAGATTTTCACACAGAAATCTTTTTTTTTTTTTGATACAGAGTCTTGCTGTGTCGCCCAGGCTGGAGTGCAGTGGTGCAATCTCGGTTCACTACAACTTTCCACCTCCTGGGTTCAAGTGATCCCAGGAATCTTTAAAACACCAACCTAGATAAAAGAAAAAAATTAATTTTGCTGACAAAATTAGATCAATTCATCAGTTAGCTATGCAATGGATATATTTCATGCATGAGGGGATATCAGCTAAATGATCTTAAAGGTTTTCTCTGAAACAGGAGGCCTTGATAGATTTTTTAGAGAGAAAAAAGGCAAAGCAATTGTAAGGTGTTTAAAATTTGTTGTGTCTTTGTAACATGGATGAACTATTTGCTATTTATCACAATTATTAAGATGAAGTTATCAACCTTATGACAGTTTAACAACTATTCTCTTTACCTTTTAAAAAATGGCAGGCTCCTTTCACAAACTAGAGTTCCCTTTTGTGGGCAGTGTGTGCTGTATGTTACAACAACCAAACAACTGTATTTAAAATAACTTTTTAAGAAGCCCCTAGAATGGTATATGTTGCTAACTCTGTGCATATCCTTTTCTGCAATGATACAATATTGCTAGGATAAGTCCATTAAAACCACATTCAAAAGGAACTGAAAATAAGAAGATAATAAAAAGGAAGAATTTTCATAGTCTACATATATAGGAATGTCCTGCTGCAGTTTATATGCTGATGGCAAGAATGAGCAAAGGTACAGTAACATATGCCTTCTGACTCACTCCAGGAGGAAGAGAAAAATACAAATTACGGAGAACAAAACATGAGATAGCTAAATTCCCCATTAATATGTGTTAATATAGATTAAAGGAGAGATGATTAAACCTGGTAGAACTTGAGAACTAGATGAGATTAAAATATTCCAAATAAGTAATTCTTCTTTGCAAGCCCAGATATTTATAACGTACTTCTAAATATTTACAACCTTTGTGCTAGCAGAAAATAAAGATTTGTACTATCAAGTCCCAAGATCTATTTGAGTGCTATTTTTTTCTAAACCTGGTATAGACTAGGAAGTTAAGCATCCTTGCTAGGAATTGCTCTAATATCTTACCAAGGAAACAAAAAGGATTTACCCATGCTTGTAATGTTTGATATATTCTTAAATATTTTTTGAAAGAATTCTGAAATGATTATAGATTCAGTGATACAGCATTTGTGATGGGTGAAAAACAGGGTTCACAGAGAAATATCAAGACTTTTGTCATCCTTTCCTTGTAGGTAACAAAGCAGGGAATAAGTATGATGAATGCTGAGCAGTCACTTCTCAACATTATATTTAGTTATTTTCTGAATCAAATTTCAGAATTTTGGCTGGACGTGGTGGCTCAAGCCTGTAATCCCAGCACTTTGGGAGGTTGAGGCAGGTGGATCACCTAAGATCAGGAATTTGAGACCAGCCAAGCCAACACGGCAAAACCCTGTCTCTACTAAATACAAAAAATTAGCTGGGCGTGGTGGCGGGCGCCTATAATCCCAGATACAGGGGAGGCTGAGGCAGGAGAGTCACTTGAACCTGGGAAGCAGCAGTCGCAGTGAGCCGAGATTGCGCCACTGCACTCCGGCCCGGTGAGAGAGCAAGACTCTGTCTCAAAAAAAAAAAAAGTTTTAAATACCACATATTTTAATAGTCATACACACATACACTCACACTTTCTAAGCAATAGCACCTTAGAATACATTTCTACCTGGTCCCTCAAGCCTAGCCAAAAACCAAAAATCAAAAAAATGAAGAACAAAAGGAAGGAAGAAAGAAAACAGACTTGATAACATTTAAAAGAGAACCATGTGAAAACTTCTGTCAGATACTCCATGATTTCTACTTGAAAGTGGATGTCAGACTGCTGCAAAACCAATTCCTAAAAAGCTCACACCACAGAGTTGACATTTCATTCTTAATTGAGCTTTCAAGAAACAGAACATTTTCAGTCTGACTTCTATTTTATGCACTTATTTTTCCTCTGCATTTTTTAACACATCAAGATACACTGAAGTTAATGAGGTCAACGATATCAACGACTGTGATAAAACTACTAACCAGTTAGTGTTTAAACTAGAGAACGAATGTTTAAACTACATTTTCCATGTTCTCTTGACTACTAGAAATTGTCGGCCCGTGAGGATATTTCTTCTATGACTAGATTTTATGCCAGCTACTAAGTTATCTATAAAGATTCTGCCAGGTTTTCAAGTTTATATGATTAACCCTGCAATGCTGGGTAATGATTAGCAATATAGATCTTGAATTTATTTTTAATAAATTACAGGTTAGTGAGAGAAGTAAAGATTACATCCAGCCTTGTAGAATACTTGATTTCATTGATTAGATTATTGCCATAAAATGAGCCAGATTCTCTCACTGCATAAATCCATATATTTTTCTATAGCAACCAAGGGTACTGAGAATAATTTAATTGATAATTCTTTCCAAATATAATCTTTGTAGTACAGTCATGTGTCACATAATGACTTTTTGGTCAACAATGGACCACATGTATGACAGTGATCCCATATGATTATAATGGAACTGAAAAATTCGTATCACCTACTGATGTTGTAGCCATGCTAACATCACAGCACAATGCATTACTTATGTGTTTCTGGTGATACTGGTTTAAACAAATCTGGTGAACTGCCAGTCACATAAAAGTATAGCACATACAATTATGTACAGTACATTATACTTGAAATGATAATAAATGACTACATTACTGGTTTATATATTTACTATACTACACTTTTTATCTTTAAAAATAGGAAAAGACTTTTAGAGTAAGAGTATAGAGAAAGAAACCTATTTTGTACAGCTGTACAATGCATTCGTGTTTTAAGCTAAGTGTTATTACAAAAGAGCCAAAAGGTTAAAAACACTAAAAAATTTGTAAGGTAAGGCCAGACACGGTCACTCATGCCTGTAATCCCAGCACTTTAGGAGGCAGAGGCGGGAAGATTACGAGATCAGGAGATCAAGACCATTCTGGCCAACATGGTGAAACCTCGTCTCTACTAAAATAATACAAAAATTAGCTGAGTGTGGTGGCACACGCTTGTAGTCCCAGCTACTCAGGAGGCTGAGGCAGGAGAATTGCTTGAACCTGGGAGGCAGAGGTTGCAGTGAGTCAAGATTGCGCCACTGCACTCCAGCCTGGTGACAGAGCAAGACTCCATCTCAAAACAAAAAAAAAAAGTGTAAGGTAAAAAAGTTCCAGTAAGCAAAGGCTAATTTATTATTAAAGAAAAAAATCTAAATAAATTTAGTGTAGCCTAAATGTGCAGGGTTTATAAAGTCCACAGTAGTGTACAGGAATGTCCTCAGCCTTCATATTCACCCACTGACCCACCAAGAGCAACTTCCAATCCTACAAGCTCCATTTACGGTAAGTGCCCTATACAGGTGCACCATTCTTTATCTTGTATACTCTACTTTTGCTATACATTTCCTATGTTTAGATACCCAAATATTTGCCATTGTGTTATAATTTCCTAGAGAATTCAGTACAGTAACATACTGTACAGGTTCATAGCCTAGGAGCAATAGGCTATACCATATAGCCTAGGTGTGTAGTATGTTATACCATCTAAGTTTGTGTAAATACACTCTATGATGTTCATCGAATGACCAAATCACCTAATTGTGCATTTCTCAGAAGTATCTCCATCATTAGTGAAACAAGACTGTAGTTTAATAATTTTGATACTTGAAGTCATCACTAAACTCTTTCTTGTAAACCTCTTGTTCACTTTTTTTTTTTCTGATATCCCCCCTCCTTTCCTCACTCAATTTCCTTCTGTTTGAATGGTCTTCATAGGGTAAGGAAGACTCAAAATTGTGGTCTACAGGATGGAGAAAGCATGATGCTATGCATAGTTAAAGGCATCTGAAGGCTTCAGGATCAATGTTTCTCAGCCTCAGTCAGAGGCTTCAGAATTTCTATATGGAAACAGAGTAAGCAAGATGGTGGGAAAAGGGCAGTTGAAGACGGACTAGAGGATTTGCCTTAATGCTGTATTTATATAGCCATTAAATATGTATTTGGGCAGTCTTGAGGTTGATGTTTTAATTGACTCAACTGATAACTGATGGAGATTTCAGGACTCTCCATTGGTCAAAACCACTACTATTGACACCTCTACCACCCAACTCTGAGAATCATTTGTCACTGAAAATCTGTGACAGACATTGCCAAATGACAGAGTAAATGCATAGTAAAGTTAAGTGGCTGTTTTAGCAACAAATGAACAAAGCAGGACAGTGAATCAATGAAGTGGGACAATGATAATTACAACCGTAATTGGTGCTTCCATAGAAAAGTCCAGGATATAGTGAATATATAACAAGAAGGCTTAAGATAGACTAGGGAGTTAGGGAAGGACTTTGTAAGGAAATTAACACTTAAGCAGCTTTATTTGTGTATTCCACACATATGAACCAAATGCAAATAAATTTATTTGTTGATTGAACAAAAATTTCCCTAACTTCTAACATGTGGCAGGAACTCATCCGAGTGCTAGAGGTACAACAGTAAATGAAATAGACAAAATCCCTGCCTCCATGTAATTTAAATTCTGTACTAAAAGACAAAAAACTCACCAGTATGGTGTGGGGTTTGGTGCTCATCACTAAGGAAGCAAATAACTGAGATGAGTCAGATGCATTCTATGAATACTCTGCAGCAGTTAGAAGCAATAAACATGTTTTATTTAAACATGGATAGATTTCTTAAAACATGGTATTGAATAAAAAGAGTAAGATATAAACTAGGCTTTAAAACATAATACCATCAAAGAAAATTAAAAATAACTCCCACATAAAACAACACTATCTATATTACAAGGATTTAAACATATCCATCTCAAACAGATTAGAGTTGATTACTATGTGTCTTAGTCCATTTTATGCTACTATAATAGAATATCTGAGACTAATTTATAAAGGACAGATTTATTTCTTACATTTCTTACAGTTTTAGAGGCTTGAGAAGTTCAAGGTCAAAGGATCCACATCTGACAAAGGCCTTCTTGCAGAAAGTGAAGGGCAAGAGAGCAAGATAATGGCATTAACCCATTTGTAAAGACAGAGTTCTCATGACTTAATCACCTCTTAAAGGTCCCACCTCCCAACACTCTTGCACTGGGGATTAGGTTTCTATCACTAACTTTGGGGAACACATTCAATCCATAACACTTTGAGAGGAGGAGAATGAGAAAGAGAATCAAAGATGAGCCTGGGTGCAGCGGCTCATGCCCGTAATCCCACCAGTTTGGAGGTGAAGCTAGGCAAATCCCTTGAGCCCAGGAGTTCAAGACCAGCCTGGACAACATGGTGCAGCCCCATTTCTACAAAAAAATACAAAAATTAGCCAGGCTTAATGGTAAGTACCTGTAGTCCCAGCTGTTCGGGAGGCTGAGGTGGGAGGATCACTTGAGCCTGGGAGGCAGAGGTTGTTGCAGTGTGCCAAGACTGTGCCACTGCACTCCAGCCAGGGCAACAAAGCGAGAGCCTGTCTCAAAAAAAGAGAGACAGAATCAAAGATGAAGAGGGAAACAACAATAAAACCAAACAAAAGGTAGACTTTACAAAACCTGATAATAGGATGTCAAGGACTTAGGAATCTGATTACCTTTTTTGAATTCCGGGTCCCAAGAACAAAAGGAAAGGAAAGGCATCTTTTCCTATTTCACATCACATTTTCACTTTTGTTACTTAAAAATAAATATACATTTCAAATATTCAATAACATAATCACGTATTTTCAATTTTCCCTTTTTTTAAAAAAAGTGAGAAATTGGCCAAAAATTAAATTCAAAGCTACCATTGCATAGAGCAGGCCTTCCATGTTCCATGCAGATAGAATAGAGGGTTAAAAAATGAGTCCACTTCTTAGAGGTGGGCATTAACTATTTCCACAATTATGGTGCAAATTTATTGTGCAGACACCTCTTTCCGAAGTGACCTAAATAAATTATTGCCCTCTCATCTATGAAAGGTCCCAGTTACCAGTTACTCCCAAGGAGAAGAGAGACCTATTATCTAAATTGTTCAAAAACTATAGGCTGAGAGTCTTAATTACCTTTCTAATTCATAAAATTCAATTGTGTGGGTCTTTCCAAATAGAGATAAGTCTGTGTGTACGTATTATTGGAATGATTGCTCAGTATTTGTTGATCTTTTTATTGTGAACAGGAGTATAATTCAGGATATAGAGTTTTTAGCAGTGACATCTTAAAGTTGGGTCATTTTGAATTACTTTTCCTGGCTATCACTATTTTTTCTGGAGTTCATAGACTCAACTACAGGGATCTCCACAGCTTTGTAGAATTTGCACAACTCTTAACAAGAGATAGGGGAATCATTCTGCCCTTGATTGGTTGGAAGATTGGGATTCTTGTAACCTTCCTATAAATTAGAAGTAAATATATATTGCCTGTTAGCTAGTTCCTCATCCTCTTCTGTAGCATAAACTAATTAAAGATGCAGAAGATTAATGTTGTAAAAGGCTGATTCTGCCATGGAAAAATCCATTTCCTCTCATTTGATTTTATATTTAAAAGTCTTTAAATGATATAAAATAGTCTAACAAGATGTTCCCTTCCTTTTCCAGTGAGATCTAATCCTATGAGTTCTGAAATAAAGAAAGGGAAGCTAGCAGAAATGAAAACAAAAAGTCCCCAGGAAACTCATCTTAGAGCTATTCCAACCAGTTTTAGAAGCAGCTGTCCAAAATTAACAGTTCTCAATTTTTTTGGTTCCAGAGTCACTTCACATTCTTAATTATTGAAAACTAAAAGAGATTTTATTTATGTGGGGTATATCTCTTCAAAATTAAAAGTGAGAAGTTATTAAAATACCTGAATGCACAAACACACATTCCATTAGCTGTCTGAGTAATGATATCATCGCATACCATGTAGCCTCTGGAAATCTCTACTGTGGCCTGGTGTGAGAATGAGGGTGAAAAAGGCAACTAATGCTCTAATGTTGTTAGAATGATAATTTTGGTCTTGCGAACTCCCTGAAAGTGTTTTAAGGACCCCTAGGAGTCTACAGACCACTTTAAGATCCACTTTTCTGAATGAATGAATGCTAAAATATATTTCTATAAGATTATATAGCTTTCATATAAGAATGTGCTGAACCTCATTTTTCCCCGAAGTGATGGAGTCAGGCCAGAGAAAAGCCAGTGGTGAAATCTCAGGACACCCTGCTAGTGATGGTATTCAGTCCTTCCATGAAGACACGGAGCCCATTCCATTCTTCCACCATTAACCGCCTGCCAGAAGAGCCACCCGCTCTGATCTCCTCCCTTTCCGTTTCCCTTTCCCGTTTCGCCTTTTAAACCTACCTTTCATTTGGCCTATTCCCTCCCAGACTCCTTCCCAACTGAATACATATAATAAACTAATTGCCTTTAAATGTTCATGGATATATGAGAATAGTGTGTATTTACATTTTAAACTGAAAGCTATTAAAATGACCTTAAGGAATCAACCTCTAGTGATAAAAATTTCTGAGGCAAGAAATTGGTGGAAAATTTCACCTGGCAAGAAATTTCAGTTGTCAACAAATCACACCAATAGCAACCACCTATAGATAAAAGAACAACTCTAATTTGAAAGATGCTTTTACACTTTTAAATATCTACAAATCCAGCTCAATGCTTGACACATTGCAAGTCCTCATTAATGTCAAAGTGAGTTCCACTGAATTTACCATTAGTCTCTGCATAAAAACAGAAACATCTGAAAGCAGATGGAATTTCCTCAAGTTATTAAAATGCAATCTACTGTGTTTTCTATGCACAAAAATGCACTTCCAGTACATTTGCAAAGTTAAGGCAATTTCCAAAGGTCCTGAATTTTAGGACTTAGAGAAACAAATATATCTTCTTACTCAATTCTTCCTTTCTAAATTCCTTCTTTTTTTTCTTCCTTTTTTTTTCAACTAATAGTTACAGGGCACATACTGTTGTGCCAGTCACTATTCTCAATGGTTTGGACTTATGATTGAATAAATATCAATCAATATCCAGGCAGATTTCTCACCTGGGAGGTGCCTATTTTCTATAACACAATATCTGACAACATATTAAATAAGTAAACTATATGATATTCAAGTTGCTTTTTCCCTGTATGATGTTGATTAGAGATGGTCCAAAGCAGAATTTGTCGGAGACATGGAAGGTGGGGTGAAGCAGCAGTCATTAACTCTCTGAGGGTCGTCTTGGTTGGATGAGGTGAGACGCAGAAATGCAAGTGCTGATGGTTCCAGCTTGCTCTCCCTGCTCATATCGAGTTCACTTTCCCATCAGGTGGACCTGCTGGCCAGCAGCAAATCTGGGCCCACTAGAAGACACAGAGGCAGGTGCTTTTCATAGATTCTTATTTATTTAGGAGATGGAGTCTTGCTCTGTCGCTCAAGCTGTAGTGCGGTTGTGCTATCTCAGCTCATTGCAACCTGTGCCTCCCGGGTTCAAGCGATTCTCCTGCCTCAGCCTCCTGAGTAGCTGGGATTACAGGCACCTGTCTCCATGCCTGGCTAATTTTTTATATTTTTGGTAGAGACGGGGTTTCACCATGTTGGCCAAGCTGGTCTCGGACCCCTGACCTCAGGTGATCCACCCATCTCGGCCTCCCAAATTGCTGGGATTACAGGCGTGAGCCAACTCACCTGGCCACCTTTCATAGACTTCTATACATATCCCCTTTGTATACCCCACGGGATGTGCTGGCTCCCCAGGTTTCACAGCGAGTTTCAACATTTTCTGCACTAGATGGCATATGAAATCAAAAAAATAAAACATAAAACTAATGTTTTCCTGTTGTTGCAAATGCTTTTCCTGTTCTAAAGCCTGATGTAGGGAGAGAAGTGTGACATATTGTAATAAGCACATTTGAGGACCACACAATCTGCGTTCTAGTCCTGTTACTACCATGTAATAGTGCTACCCTACTGTAAGGGTTTTCACCTTTGGCAATGTTGACATTTTGGTCTGGGTAATTTATTGTTGTGGGGGCCGTGTGTGTTTAGCAGCATCCCTGACCTCTACCCACCAAATGCAAGTAGCACCCCCTTCTCCAGCTATGACAACCAGACATGTGTCCAAACACTGCAAATGTCTCCTGGAGGACAAAATCACCTACGGTTGAGAACCACTGTGTTCGCGAGACAGTCACTGTGTTCATGAGATGGTTCTGCTTTTCCTCTTTTGTAAAATGAAGAGATCATATCTCTGTCAAAATGTTGTTAATTAAATGAGATATTTATTGTTAATAAATATCTTCTACAGATATTTATTAATATTGACCAATTCATTTTTAACTAATGGGTTTTGCCTTTATGTAACCACTTGCTTGGGGTTTTTCTAACTCACCTAATCATAGGCACTAATTAAGCATTTTATCAAATACAGATAGTTACCATTTAATCTTTTTTTTTTTTCAACAAAGTAAGGTAAATATTCTTGGTCTGTGCCTATTTACCAGGAACAGAGGCACATTTCCCATTCAACTCAACAGTTATCTCTCTGATTGCAACACAATATTTGATTCAAAAATTCATATTCAGTTTTAGAAACACTCACAGGGTAGACAACTGCCACTACATTTGACAGTGCCTTTTACATTTCAGCAGCTTTCCCCCCCAATCTGCATTACAATTCAGTAGAGGATGATCTACTATAGCAAGAAATGGTCTGGACAAGCTTCTGATTAGCAGGAGGTTCCAAACAGCGGTGTCTCTGCCAGACAGATGTCAGCAGAATCCAACCTCCCAACCTTGTTGCAACTGTGCACAGGAGCTGCCTAACCATGGTGCTGTGACATGCCCATCATTGGTTAAGATTTCATACAAAGATGTTCAATAACAAATCCATTTTTTCAGAGGTCAATATGTATTGGCCCTTCCAAAACCACCCTGGCATCAATCCCAGGACATAATTTATTGCCTAATAAGCAAGCAAGCTTTTCAATGATTTGCTCTCCCCCAAATCCCATTCTTTATGATTTGGCTGTCCTGATGCCAACTCCCAGAAACCTGAGGCTAGGTGGGAAGGGGAGGGGGGTCCTTAAAGAGACCGTCAATGCTACATAAAAATTTGGAAAAAATGGAAGCACCTTTACCTGATTTGGTAGTTGTCACTGATTGATTCACACTGCATTCTTCTAACTCCTCTTTCCAGAAGTCTGAGTCTATGTTAGTATTATAGTTTCCTATCAACAGCTGTCCTTTCATTTTTCCTCCCCACTTTCATTTTGCCCAGAAATCCTCTATTTAATTCCACCCACATGCTCCAGTCTAGCCACCCTGGAGAAGTTTCTGAGTTAATCAGTAAGCTTTAGCTTTTCCTGGCTAAAGCAAAGGGGCAGCTCAGAATAAAAGTCATCTTTGGCCCTTTGCATTGGGGCTTCCACCTAATTGCCTTGCCCTGCCTTCTCTCTTTGCACATCTCTTACACACTTGCAAGAGGTGGAGTTCTTTCTCCAGCAGCTGTGTCTAGCTTATGGACTGCTCATTCCTCTTCCTGACACCCGCTTCTCACCAATACTTCAAGTTATCTTCCCTGGCAATGGTCCTTCACCCGACGTCATTGACAGTCTGGTGTTAGAACACTTGAGGTGTCAGGTAATGCTGAAGTAGACTACATTTGACAAGATAACGTAGCTTCAGAAATTTTGGGCAATTATGGGCCAAAATCATTGCGTACAAGGGAAAAATAACTCCTACATCAATGCAATTCATCCTTTTAAAAGTAAGCTGTTTTACTAGTATTTTCCTTCTAGCATTTTGTTAAGTTTAATAGCTTACTGAAGACCACAAGAGGAAGAAAGCTGGAGAATGTGGAAGAATTTCTAGCCTAATACATTGTTATTCACATTTTTTCTAAATAATCTAGTTCTGGAAAAGAGGATTTGTAAAAGGTAATGAGGGATTAGTATTGGTTCAACACTCTTTTCCCTCTTCCACCCGATCCCATGCTCTGCTTGAAATCACTGAATGGGGTATAATATCAACCTGTCAATACAATCAAGTTCAACCTATTACATTTAGGTTAAACCTGAATTTTCTTACAAGAGTACCAAGTCTAGAAGCTTTAGAAGATGAAACCAATGTCCTCATATGAGATTGAGAGAGTGCTGCGTGACACTAGTAAGATCATCTATGTCAATATATCTAGCAAAGTGTTTCTACAGCTATATCTGTACACAATTTTTGGATATTTGGCTTACTATAGAAGTTTGATAGAAAAAGAAGTATAAGGGTAAATGATGGAAGAACTGTTTTGATAATTAGCAGAGCAGAATGGAAAGGTAGAGACAGAAAAACTGTTATTTTCACTTTCTGCTTCTGGACACCAGAAAGAAAAAGAAAAATCACTGCCCATGGTAACCTCTGAGATGGCAATTTGAGACATTCCAAGTATTGAAATTCTAAAAGAAAGAGAGTATTACCAGGCCAATGCTAGAAGAATGATGAGAGATTGCTTGGGCAATGCCAAGGGGATGAAGTAGGCTGTGGGATAAGAGAGCACACAGACAGGGTGTCACTCATTAGCTTTGTAGGATAAACTTCTCTCCAGGCTCTGGCCCTCAGCCACGTCCCTTATTTTGTCAGGACATCAAGAGTAAATCCATCTTTCAGGGCTAAATTCTTATTAGCAAGTTTATAAAAGGAATTTGTAAATCCAGAATTGGATAACACGTTGGATAGCAATGTGTTTTTTATGCAAAGGATTTGAACCATAGCAATTTAGCTAACTTAGAACTACATTTCCCATAATTAACTTCCCAGTGGTCCAGGAGAGCCCTTTTGCATAAGTTTTGCAAGTTAGACTGAAGCAGTGGCCATATTGTTTTCATCCTCAGGCTGGTACAGGGGCACCAGGCACTCTACCAACCCATGCTCATTGACACCTCAGCTGACACTGGATTAACATGGGGCAACACCTAGCCCTGCAGCTGCTCCAACCTACCCTCAGTTGTCCTTCAGGTTCTCTGTCTTCTTGGCCCATGTGTGTGTTAAGCTCTATGACAAAGGGCATCAATTTCTCCTGCAGGCCACCAGCACCATTGAAGTTGGAGGCAGAGTGAGACCAGGGTTTCAATCCATCCTCTTGGACTGCAGCTTGAGCCAATGGGTTACAGTTTTCCTTTCTCTCCCCACTCCAAATCTGTCTTCTTTTCTTGAAAGTCCTGCAGACTTTAAGCTCCAGAAAAGATGCAAAGGCAACAGCCTTGCAGAGGCTGATTAACCATCTCCCATGATTGCATAAGGTACAATCTGTATAAAAAAATCTTAGTGGTTCTGCTTCTCTGATCCTACCCTGACTGTTAAAAGAAAAAAAAAAAAAAGCTAGTTAAAAGATAGCTAGTATGGGTCTCAAATTCTTCAAGCCCATGTGACAAGCATACTTCTCTGTAGACAGAACTAACTGAGAATGAAATAATAACCAGAAGTTTGCTTAAAAAACTTAGAAACAGAACCGAACATTAATTAAGTGAATGAAACATGTAATGTAAAATAGATGTCTTCATATAGCATCTTCTTGCCAGTTTACTGTAATCTAAGACTCTCTTCTCTGAACTATGTTAAGATAGACTTTTCCAAAGTGTGCCTCTATACCCTTTTCAATATGGCCAAGAGTGAATGACCAATGTCTGATTGATACTTTTTTCCTTTGATGCATTAATCATTCAATCATAGTTCAATCTACATTGTTTTTTGTTTTGTTTTGTTTTTGTTTTGGTCAGCATGAGATGACTTTGTGTATCTCTTTTCTCATGTCTTATAACCCAAATACTGACCAAAAAATACAGGAGATCACATTTCTTCCCCACAGTTGAGAAGCTTTACTTCATTTCTTAGGTTCTGCAAGTTAGAGATAAACTTAACTTCTCAAGCAATCTTTTTTATGAGGCAAATACCCTGTGGAGGCTAGCAGACTTTTTCATCTTAGTATGAATTAACTCCATCTGCTTGCTTTCTTCTTGCTGTGGTCAGCTGTGCTAAAAGAATCGGTTTTTTTAGCAGAGTGTTAGGAAGGCAGAAAAATTGTTTTAGAATGCAGGGATCTTTGAGGGAAGAGGAACCCAGTTGAATCATCACAGGAGAAAGTGGGCAGACTCATGCAGTCTAATGGTTCAGGGCTTCTGAGAAGCAGGAGAGGGAACATGCTCAGGATATGTTTTCTGACTCTAAATTCTGAAGTCATAAGTACTTCAGTAGATGATCTAGATTCTTCCATAGATTCTTTCAAGTCTCAGACCTTGATTGAGAAAATTAGATGGTGAGTTGTAGTTCAAAGGCTAAGTACATGAACAGCTCTCTCCCCAGTCAGACATCAATACCATCTTCATCTATGGTTCTCATTAGATGTCCTTTGAAAGGCTTTGACACATATGTGTGGCATCCGATATCTTGATAATTGCAAAATAATCAAGCTGCGAGCAGTAATTATTGACAATATAGAAGAATCATTGTATTTTTGCTGTTGTTGTTGTTAACTTGAATACAACCTCCAAATTAAGTGCCAAATGCAAGCCAAATGTGAAGTTCTTCTCTCTATCAGAACTCCAAATATTGGTGTTTATTTGATTCTTAAAAATAGTATTTTCAGCCTTAAAAAGAAAGCTTGGAATTATTGGAATAAAAATGAAGGAGTGTATATAACCGTATTTTATAAAATTTCACTTTCAAGCAAACTTTATGAGGCATTTTATTTTGTATAGAAACTTTGAAATAGCCTAAAGGCTTTCTTTGACCAGCTGCATATTCTATCTCTTAAATGTCTTCGGAGTGAAAAGATTCCCTCAGCAGAGGCACCTGCAGGATGTGCAACGATTCATTTTTACTCTGAATATCAGTTCTGTGGAAGCATCAGCTCTACTGGCTCATCATTTACATTCACAATGGACATCTGGAGCCAGAAAAATGAAACATTAGACTTGTTTGTGTTGTCAAATTAAAAGGGAAAAAGAGAATGGTTTAAAGTTCTGAGAGTCTCTGTAACATTTAATTATGCTTTCGACTGCAGTCCAATCAAAAATATGCTTTTGCAGGAAAATGGGCACCAAGAAAAAACATGCTTTGCTATTCAGATTGTTGCTAGGTCAACCTCTCAAATCACAAGCTTGGAGAAAAGCAGCCACCACAATGAGTATAGAGTCTTTCCTCTGAAGAAGCCGAACAGCTCCACCAATATCCTCAATAGGACTCTTTCCTTACATTCCCAGGGGATGACATTATTCATTTTTTTCCTGACTGAAGCACTGTGAAGCCAACGGCATTTAAGAAGTTAACTAGATCTGGAAGATTGTGTTGCCAATATATGTACCATCCAGCTCCCATAAGATAAATTCAAATCCAAAATATATGACTGGATACCTAGTTGATAGAGGAATGGTATACAGTGCAAAGAATAATATTTTGATGATATTCTTATGGAAATTTTTGTTTTAGAAATTTTTTACATAAGAATTTTAGTAATTTTCAAAATCACTGCTCAGAAAGAAAAGGGCTTTGCTGTTTTTAAAAAAAAAAAAAAGTGTGGTCAGGCCAAGTGTGGTGGCTCACACATATAATCACAGCACTTTGGGAGGCCAAGGTGGGAGGATCACATATGGCCAGGATTTTGAGCTCAGCCTGGGCAACATCGTGAGTCCCTGTCATTATCGTAAAAGAAAAAAAAAATGGGGGCATTATTAACAACTGCTGCTTTCTAATGACTCTTATACTGATTATTCCTGGTGAAATTGTTTCAGATATTGGGCTATTTCTAGCCTAATTCAATCTGATTCAAATTAATTTAATCATTTGCTGAAGGTCTGACAAGAAAAACTTCAATAGGCAGATGATGGCATTGGCGAAAAAAAAACTGTTTTTCTTTTCTATCTTATCCAGCCATTACATCAACATTTATTGAGCCTTTACTGTGTTTACTGCACCACATTAAATAACAGGGAAAATTCAAAATGGAGTTTACAACCTCACTAGAAAGAAGGAACACAATAAATGGAAACAAGAAGACAATGATTTCTAAAACTCATATTTCACAGGGAAGTTTTGTGCAAATTAGTGATATCCCTTTGTTAAACTTTCCTTCTCTACACACACACTGATCCAATGGGACAATTTAAAACATTGTACCTCTGAAAGAAAATCGTACTTGAAGAATAAAACAAACCCCTTAAAACTCAGATTTTCTAAAAAAATTGAAACAAATTAATAACTATGAAGTTGGATACCAAATTCCTAAGATGAGTATACTGTAAGAGAACATATGAACAGTATGCAAAACTTGTCATATTATGGTTACCACATGTTGTTTATATTCAAAGTATTCTTTAAAATACTAGTACTTTTGAATAAATTTGTTATTGTTCTGAGAGACTTTACTTATGAATTGACACTTACTTCTAAGTCATTTTAATATTACACTAGACCTCATTTTTTAAGAGTTTAGGATTGTTTGGTTTTGGTTTTCACATTTCTACAAACGTTATAATTCACGTCACCTGGTAATACCTCTGAGACGAACCATGTATTTTTATTTAGCAAACGACATGGGGTTGGCACAGTGTTCAGGCTTGAAAATCTGTTCCTCACTTATTCATATTTTTTAACATACTAACAGCAGCTAGTCCTTATTTTTTCTAATTCACAAAAGTATTTAGATTCTATTCTTAAAATTGCCTTTACTTAAGTTTTGTTCCCTGTACAAGATGGAGATATTAAAATAGCAGGCTGTCTTTACCTCACTAGGATATTGCTTGTGGTTAACCTGTTCATGCCTAAATGTCCAACATCAGTTTAAGGAACCCATCAAGTAATGGTCGTAGCAGGTATGGGAGGCTTCTCCTCTACTTTGAGCTCCCAGTTTCAGTACAGTTGCACATCCTGCCAAGCTAAGTGGTGATCAGACCACCCCAGCTTGATTTTCAGGCCACCCAGAAAATCCAAGCAGATGTTCTGTTAGAGAAACATGTTTGAGAGCCAAAATATATCATGAAAAACTATTGCTTTAATTCTTCCTGTAACCCTCAAGTGATTATATCATGAAGTGTAGATTGCATTTCTCTATATTTTTCATATAGCTTATCACTAGCAGGACAGCAGAAGCACCTATAAAACTGGAGCTTTCTCTTCTCTAGCTCAGAGTTTGGTTCTCAAACTTTTCCTACACAGCAGAAGAACTTGGAGGGCTTGCAGGGCTCCACCCCCGGAGTTTCTGATATGGGAGGTCTGGGTGGCACCTGAGAATTTGCATTTCTAATGTGTTTCCAGGTATTGCTGCTGCTGCTACCCCAGAAATCAGGCTTTGAGAACCACTGCTGGCCTCACGGCTTTTCTACTTATTCTAAGATTATACACATATACACAAAACACATTCTCCATACAAATATTAAAGGTATCCAGGCCAAACCATTAATCTCAGTTCAATATAAGAGCTCTCCAGTGTTCTCTCATTAAAGTCTGGTGCTGTGGTGGGCTGTCTGCCTTCTGAGAAGTGGGTGTTGCCAGGCTCTGCTCTTTCCTTCCACTCATGTCCTGCCCCACTTGCAAACTGTTCATGCATAGGCTACTAGCTGGAAATAAGATTAGAAAGTTCTTAATTGGCTGTTACCTGTCACTGACTTAAGCTGGCTTTGCGCACTCTAAGCCTGGCAAATGTGGAAAGCCAACTCTTTGTCCTGGGTAATTTTTTGGCTCCTTTTGGTGTCTCCCTCCACCCCAGCATCCCAACACTCTGAACCTGCCTGACCAAAGCCCCAGTGATCAGGGCAGTGTCCCTTCTTTGCCTGGTGGCTGTTCTCTAAGTCTCTGCTTCTCTGGAAGTCTACTCGCTCACAATTTCTCACCGTGGGAATGTGCTTACCCTCCCTGTGAGGCAGGATTGTCTTCTTGGTCACTTTGCAAGCCAGGGACCTCCAGCTGGTGATGCCCCACCTGGGCCTCACACGGCCACACTACCTATTGCAGAAGGTGACCCATCCAGGCCGAATCGGCTCATGCACTGCTTCCCAAGTTCTTGTCCTGCACCCAAGAAGAATGAGGATGCACTGACAATCAAAGAGTGAGCAAGGCAGGGAGTTTTATTGAGTGATTAAACAGCTTTCAGCAGAGAGGGGACTCAGGTATGGTCCTCCTACCCAAAGGCAGGAAAGTCCCCCTAATATGGCTGAGTCCAGGGCTTTTATAGGCTCAGAATGGGGAAGGGTCAGGTATTGGAAAAGGCAACATTTGATTGGTTAAAAGGCAGTATTCAGAAAGAATCAGTCAGGAAAGGGCAGTCAAACAGGAACAGAAGTTCTCACTCTGGGTCACGGAATTTCAGGAATCAGCAGTCTGGTCTTTCAGCCTTCAGGCTATTTTTGCCTCAAAGGTAGGATTTCACCAGGGACCCACTCCTGTTTGCCTAGGCATTTGGCTGCCTCCTGTTGTTATCACCTCAGGGTTCTCTAGGGCAGCCTTTGAAACAAACAGTTCCAGGCCAAGTCTCTCCTTCCAGACCTTGGCCCTGGAAAATGTTCATACATTTCTTGCCCCAGTGTCATTGGGATGTTTTTACTTCCCAAATCCAGCTGTCAGTGAGCACAAGCTCACTCTCTGCTCTGCTACAGACCACACTGACTACCCAGGCACCAGTGCAAACTATATCCCACCTGTAAAGTGTGGAGTCCTGATGATAAGTTAGCAACAATGAGGGAGGGGCCCCAGGTGGGGGAGAACAATTGTTCTGAGAGACAGTTAACCACAAACAATCTGCTTGCACAACACCCTGTTCCCAAATACCTCACTCTGCAGGTAGCCCCTCCAACATGATCCTACAAAACTTCCCTCCAGCCCCTGCCTCCTGGAGGACACCTCCTTCTCTGCTGTGCTGCCCATTTGCCCCCTTGCAATGTATTTTCTCTCCAATAAACTTGCTTTAACTCACTGCTGTTTCAGGAAATTCCTTTACCAACCATGACACCAGCCCCAATCAGTCACAACCACAACATAAAGAATGCATGTCAGGTTCTGGCTGGTTTGTGGTGCCGCCTCCTCACCAGGCCTTAAGCTGAGGGAACCACTACCATCTCTAGTCCTCCTTAGGAGTAATAAGATAGGAGAGGGCTCACAGCACAACTTTGTCCTAAAAGATCCTCTCCACAGAAGGAATCTTCCACATCCTTGTCCTCTTTCTTTGTTCCACTTCTTCCTTTCACTTGCTTCTCATGAGCTTAGAGCCTTCCTACATGCAATCATGCCTTTTGAATGTCTGCATTTTCTCTGGCATCTCACTAGGAATTTTCTATGTTTTTTCTCTCTGGGCGCCACAGCCAAAAATTTCAATATAAACATCCTATAACAATTAGAATCTTGCATCCTCTTGAACCAAACTAATTGCAATACCCAGCATCAAGGCTTTGTGTTCTCTAGACCACTCACTTATGCAAATGCCTTGTGAACAGTGTAGATTTTAGTGCATCTGTCGCCTGCACCTATGCATCACATGATGATAACCTCTTTCAGCCATTTCCCTTTTCCTACGTCTCTGTCAGCTTAGAAGGCCCCATCTCTTACCATTCTCCAACCACTGGGTTCAACATCTCTTTCCTCTCCCTCAATCCTCTGGATCCAAATCCCTCTCTCCATTATCATGAAGAGTAATTTTCTTCAGGCAACCTGAACTTGCTAGAAGACATCAAGTTCCTGGAGGTTCAGCTTCTTTCTAATAATTGTCTCTCAATAAAATTGAATAGAAGCCCGTACATGCTAATTAATTCTGCTCTTTATTGTTGTAATTACAATATCTCATATAGCCTTCAGGAAAAACACTGTGAATGGATTATTAGAAAAGATAATGTTATAGATGATGAAATTGGGGTGCAAGATCTTAAGCTACTTGGCCAACATCACAAAGTAGAGGAGTGGCTACATTTACTTTTTATGTTGTCGAGGTGAATTTTATTATAAAACAATAAAACTAATGTGATAGCCTGACCCGCAGCCTTTCTTCCAACTTCACCCAGGTGTGTCCTGACAGGCTAGTGTCAGAAAAAGAAATGGGCACAAGCAAATCAGCCTGGCCCAGGAACAGTGAAGACTTACTGTCAATCGATCAGAATTAACACTCCAAGGAGAAATGGCATTGCTTTTTAGCCAGTAGCTGCTGTCACCAAGAACTGTGCTGGCCACCATTTTAAAGGATTAGTTTCAAATTGCTTGTATTCCAAATTCCCACCAATTAACTCAGACTGACACAGGTTTGTGACATATTGAAACAAGAGGGGGCAGTCGTCCTCTCCTGTGGAGAAACAAGGAATTTACTTCTGAAGCTGCTATTAGCATTAACGGGAGTTGTGAATTTACCTTGTCTCATTTCAGTGGGAGGAGAGAGTTGGCTGATGAATGTAGATAAGATTGTTCTATTCAAAGGATTGTTTGCAATTTCTATTAGTAGCCATGGTTTATCTCCTTGTATGTCTCTATGAACCAAATTTTGCTCAAAAGTCTTCATGCTTTAGATTATCAGCCATATCAGGTAATGTCACCAATGATAAGTGCCTGCTGTTAAAATAAATGCTGTGTTCTGTTTTGCATCTCAACTTGTTTTTAATGCAGACTCCTAGGGACTGGGGCAACAGTGGGAATCCATTTATCGGCACAAAACAGCCTTTTGTTTACATAAGATCACTTGGTAATCATGCCGCCTGTGCACCAGAAGTCAAGAAAAATAATAAGTGTGGCTCAATCTGCAATGCTAAAACAAGGGGGCTGTCTTTTGACAATCAAGCACTATTTATGAGGATTAATGTGGCTTTTGATAAGCTGCCAAATGACCAGAGAGGCCACATTTAGAACAAGGCCCACTGAAGACCTTCTGGCCTCTTCATTTTCATAAAGACTCTTCACAGGGCATGTTGAGCAATTTCTCAGTAATTGGAAATAAAATGTACTAAAAGAAAGCATAGCTAAGTATTCTCCCTGAAAGCTCAAATAATCCCATTTATCGTATTCTTCATAGTGAAGAAATTATGTTCTGCAATCATAAAAGGTAAAGATATTGTCTCCTTTTTCCCCATAAACCCCACTGCCCCCACACTTTTTCTGAGATTTTAATATATGCACCTGGTATAAGAAGGCAATTTTTCATGTGACGTGGCTTCAGAAATGCTACAAAGCCCTGCAAACTCCAAAATTTTCTTTTCACCTGCTTGCCTGGATGAAATTGAATTAAAATAATATTTTCAAGCTAAGTGTTGAGAGACAGTCTTTCATGTATCTCTTATGCCTGTATACATCCTGCTGGGTGGGCCAGGAATGAAAGACCATGACTGCTCCTTACACTCGGCCTTTTATGAGGGCTGTGTTTCACTGAGCAACCTTGAGAAATGAGGTAACACCTCTCTCCAGACAAAAGGCAGGCTTGCTTACTACTTGCTATAAAAGTATTGAATTGCCCAAGTTATTGTTCCTCCGATGAGATGCGAACCCACTGCATGTGAGGCATCCATCTGTCCCCTAGCACATGGGACTTGAAGCAAGGAGAACTGATGCAAACATACTGATAGTCATGCTGCTTGCTGTGTCATAAGTATTAAAGTCTTTTGTCTCTGACAAAGGAGTCTCATGTCTTCTGCCAACATCCATGAAATACTAACAGGATAACTTATTAGCTTGTAAGAGAGTCAAATCAAATTCCAACCCTGGCACTAAGATGTATTATCTGTTCATGTTATAGATACCCAGAAAACCATTGGCAAAATAAGGAAAGAAAAATCTATTAGCATATTAGCACACGTTTCTTTATTGGATTTTCTCTCTTTTTCTTTCTTTTCTTCCTTCCTGTCTATTTCCTTCCTTCCTTTCTTATTTCCTTCCTTTCCATTTCTTTCTTTTCCTTTCTCTCTTCCACTCTCAATTCATGTGGTTCAGGTGGGTCAAACCTCTTTTCTTCTTAACTCTATAACTAGAAACATGGTCTAGTCTAGCTATTTGGAGCATTCCATCCTCCTGTGAACAGCAGTTGGTTCAAGCTCAAGCTAAGTAAATGAGACTCAATTTATTGAACACCAACCACAAATAGGGACTGTTCTAGCAGCTGCAAATATATTTGGAAGCAAAACAAACAAAAAAAAAGATTCTTTTTTGGAAGAGTTTATATACAAGTGGAATTTTTCTGTACTATCAGGAAAGAACTGCTGTCCTTGAGCTGTAGTTGATAAACTTGTTTGATATAAGACTAAAGTGGCAGTGGCCATCCTTGTCTCCTCACTGAAAAGTTCTATTTGATAATAAACTCACTCCAGAGGAAAGATGACAACATTGATCCCCTAATGACCCATTTGCATTTATTTTTTAAACTGACAAATAAAAATGTTATATATTTATGATGCATAACAGTTTTAAAATATGTATACATTGTGTTATGGCTAAATCGAGCTGATTAAAATATGTGTTACTTCACATGCTTAATCATATTTTGTGGTGAGAACACTTAAAATGTACTCTCTTGGTGATTTAGAAGTATATAATACATTATTATTAACTATAGTTACCATGTTGTACAATAGATCAATTGAACTTATTTCTCCTGTCCAGCTGAAATTTTGTCTTGATGCCCCATTTGAGCACTTCTATGTAACTATGCATGCCTGAAGCCAGGCTACCCCTGGATATTTCAGTCATGTAAGTAGGTGAATTTCATTTTTAAGTCAAGTCATTTCGAGCTGTGTTTTTGTCACTTAAAGCCAAGAGTCCTATTAATACTTGGGTTAGGTAAATTTGGATAATAGTGCATACTATACCAGAGAAGACTTGTGTCGATTAGGCTATTAGAGCCACAAGAAGCCCTGCTGGAAAAAAAAAAGAGAGAGAGAGAGAGACAAAGAGAGAAAAGTTTAATTTTAAGTTGGCATTTGTCATACTATTTCTTATTTGCTTTTTTCTTCCTTTTTTTTTTTTTTTTTTTGAGACGGAGTCTCACTCTGTCACCCAAGCTGGAGTGCAGTGGCATGATCTCTGCTCACTGCAACCTCCACCTCCCAGGTTCAAGTGATTCTCCTGCCTCAGCCTCCCGAGCAGCTGGGATTACAGGTGCACAACACCATGCCCAGCTAATTTTTGTATTTTTAGTAGAGACGGGGTTTCACCATGTTGGCCAGACTGGTCTCAAACTTCTGACCTCAAGAGATCCACCCACCTCAGCCTCCCAAAGTGCTGGGATTACAGGCGTGAGCCCCCGCACCTGGCCTATTTCTTTTTTCCCATGAACCTTTTCACCCTGTTTGTTTGTTTTAGTAACTCCTATAATTTCTTATAAAATCAATGTTCCACAAATCTTGCTAAAAAATGTTTGTATATTCTTTTCCCTACATGTTCATGTCAAACTCATGAATCAGAGAACCAAGCAGAATAAACAGAAAATGAGTGCACACATGAAAGCTTTCATCTACATAGCCTTTTACTTATTCCACAAGGATTTAATGGGAACTTACTATGTGTCAGACAGAGTAGAAGGCACTGAATACATAAACTCAGAAAGAAAATTCAAGCAGAGAGTATTACACAAAACCAGTGCCCTCCCCCTGACCATAGAAACACTCTATGTCGAAAAGTAATTCAGTGTTTCATTTCCATAAGGAAAGTTGATATTAAACTCTATCATACTAAGACCATATTAGAACATGGAAAAGTCCATTCATTTTCCTGATTTTTATTAAGAATTACAAAGTAAATTTCTCAGATTATATACAGTAGCAATCTCTCAGAAGACAGCTAGAATTGTTGAAATATCTAATATATATAAGACATGAGAATAATGTAATTTTTGGAATAGGAAACTTAATAATATCAGATTTACAACCCAATTTATAGTCCAAAGGGTTTCAATTTGATCAGGAAATAAAACCAAAGTCAGTAAACTGCTGTGTTAAATATTCCGAACAATGAATGAAAACTGCTTTGTAATGTGATAAGATGGAGGAACATATAAAAGAAGATATCTGTGGAGAATAATGTAATCTTGAAAGTCGGACTCACCGGGAAAGGAGTGATGTGAATCTATTCAACAAGTTTTGGGGGTGGCAGAGATTTGTAGTTTTTTTTTTGTTGTTGTTAGTTTGCTTGTTTCTAGCATTTGTGTAGTTCTATGCTAGATACTCTGGGAGACAGTTTTAAAAACAACAAATAATAATGCAGCATTCTACAATCATATTATTCAGTTTGCATAATCAGCCCGGAAGTTAGATATCATTTTTGACTTGCCCTCCAACTGCCCATGAAAAATCAGAAAACAGAAATAGATATGCAAGCTCTAAACATAAGAAATTGAAGAAGAGAAAGATAAATTAGAACAGAAGAGCTGTGGAAAACTTCTAAGAGAATCTCAAGACAAGAAATTCATCTAAACAAAGCTATGGGGGTCATTTTTGTTTTTATTTGCTTGTTTTTAAACTTCAGAGTGTTCATTGTGTCACCAATTTGGCTGAGGCAGAGGAGTAACATTGAGAAGTAGCTAAAGTGTGAGCAGAAAGGACAGGCTTAATGGTGACAGATGATGGAAAGAAAAGGGAAATATCTTTCTCATTTATTTCAGTAGGCATTTCTTGAATAACTACTATAGGCAAAACATTGTGGTAGCCTTTGTAAGTATATAAAGATTACTAATCTCTCAGATTTTTCACCAAGAAGTATCAATAAATCAGATACAGAACACAGTGCAGTGAAGGAAACATGTAGCAAGGATCATCTGACTGATACAATTAAGGGCTACTGGAGGCTCAACGTGGGGTGGATCCCCTTTGGTGGGAAGTTAGAAAAAGTAGGATATACTCTGAGTCTTGAGGAATGAAAAAACTTTGACAGGTAGAAAAGCACATGAGGAAAAAGAGATAAAATCTGATAATTCATTGCATAGAAAGAATGTAGAAGTTTGTCTCAAATGAGATAATGTATCTAAAATTGTTACCAAGAAGTGCGAGAATCTTCAGTTCTTAGTCTTACTTGCAGAATCCTGCCAAGTGACTGATGAAGCTAAATTAAAAAAGAGAATTTATTGAAAGAAAATAGGTAGTAGATTGTTTATAGAGAGAAAGAGTACACTCTGAAAGATGAGGAAGAGCAGGCTGAAAGGGAGTGAGCCAGCAGCAGCCTGAGAATTCTGCATTGGGTTTTTATGATGTCAGATTTTTCTTGAAGTTCTTGCCTTTGTCTTAAGTCTCCACTTTTTTCCTTTGTTTAGCTTTCCCAATCTTGCCTTAAGTCCTATCCTTTTGCCCTTCCTGGTTCCCTCCCAAGGCCTGTGGGACCCTCTCTTACTATTAGTTGGTGCACATGTGTGGGCCCAGTGTTGGATAGGAATTGCCCCTGGCATCTCTTAGGAATTTTCCCTTTACTCTCTTCTCCTTATCAGCAGGCAGCTCATTACATTCTAACAGGTTAAGTGCAGAGTGCATGACTTCAGGGCATCTTTACAGGTATTCCTTTCTGCTTAGATATTTCCCTTTCTCTCTGCTCATATCTAGTATGTAAGTTCGGGTGGTCTTTGGCATTTTGGTTTTTCCAGATCTCCCTTTTCTAAGGGGCTCTCCCTTTTTGTTTCTGTCTAGCTATCTGTCTACTGTAACTAAATCATTTTGAAAATGGCTAAACACAATACCACTGTAAAGGAGCATACGGAGGCCTGGATCAATGTACTTAATGCTTCTGAGCCTTGGTTCTTCGACTCTAAAACGGGAATAGTCATGCTTTCTCTGCCCTTTCCACATTACTTTTGTAGCAGTTCTGTAAGAAAACGTAACAACTTATTTTTTTAGCCATACATATCTTTAACAGCTTTATTGAGGTATAACTGATATGTAAAAAGCGGCATATATGTAATGTATACAATTCTATGAGTATAGACCCATGAAACTGTCGCCACAATGAAGGTAATAAGCATATGTATCACCTCCAAAAGTTTCCTCATGCTTCTTTGCTTTTGTTTTTATCTCATGGCAAGAACATTTAACGTGATATCTACCCTCTTAACAAGTTTTTTAAGTGCACAATACAGTTCATTTATCTGTAGAACTTATTCATCTTGCATAAATGAGACTTACACTCATTCAACCACAGCTTCCCTTTTCTCTTCTCCCCAGCCCCTTTCAACCACCCTTTCTGCTCTCTGCTTCTATGAACTTGATTAGTTTAGAGACCTCATATAACTGAAATCATGAAGTATTTTTTAGGCCAACTTATTTTTTAATTATTAATCTCTTTAAAATTGAAGTTTATCTATGACTCCCAAACCAAAACCAAACAAAAACTCCCATACCAAAACCAAAGTTGAGGTACGCCACTCAACTTAAACAAAGCTAAAATAAAAATAAAAGTATCGCATCCCAGAAAAATCAACAAAGCCAAATGTTGGATCTCAGAAAACAATACCCCAAAGTATCCTGCTGTGCTATGTTGAGCACTTTGAATTAAAAGAAATGGGAAGACCTCAGAAGCTGCCTCAGAACCAAGGACTTGTTAACCTTCTCTTCTTTCTCCCCTTCAAGCGCAGGAAGGGGTATTCTCTGGAATTTATTTATCTGAATAAGGAAACTTCTTTTCAAAAGAAATGCAATTATCTTAATCCCCTGCATAGAACTGTCGCTAAATAAACAGGAAGAATTAATCAGAAAAGAAGAGATTAAAAATCTCTACCACACCCAGGTAGACATTTTATCTCTTCTTCTGAGGGCAGCCCTGAGATATAACCTAAAAGACTTTATTTGTATAAGATAACCTTTGTTGATGACACAGTTCAGCCTCTCACCTTCCTGTAACTGGCTAGTCCCATTCAGTTTCCTAAAAGAATCATTTACAAACGACTGTCTGCTCTTTGAGCCTATTCATTTCCCCTGAAAATCGTTTACTATTCCTCACAATTCCCTGCATCCCCCATTTCCCTCTCCCCTATGAAGAGGGGTATCTAAGCCTCAACCATCTGGCCCTTCTTTGTGTCTCATATTTTGTATGACTCTCATGTTTATGAGTGTTAATACATGTGGATGCCTTTTCTCCTATTAATTTGTCTATTGTCAGTTCTTTTCAACAGACTCAAACCTTCAGAGGGGAGAAGTAAAATTTCTTTGCCCCTATACGAAAATCTTGTGACTAATGATGCAAATAAGAAAACCCAAAAAAGTAGACTTAAATCAGAAAAAAACAGAATCAAATCTGTGTATCCCACAGTCTGATCGCAATGCAGGTTTCTGCCATAGCCTCAGAGAAATCCTAATGTGTTTTGACATATTTATCTGTGGGACTCTGCCATTGCATTAGCATTCTTCAAATTATTTCTACATTTAAATTGATTTCAATTACATAGACATTTTCAAACATTAATATTCATTTGAGATATTTCTGATATCTTCTTGGTGTGCTAAACTTTTTTAGGCACTAGTTCATAATTAACCCACTCCACATGTAACTGCTGGAGAACAACCCTATGAAATTCTGATTAGTATAAGAGCCTTTTTGCATATGCTCAAATTTCCTAAATTATAAACATTTCATTGACAAAGAGCTCACCAAGACTGCACTTTCAAATTTCTCTCTTCCCCATTGTTTGAGAATAAGTAACTCGGGTGAGGAAGAAGCTAAAACAACTAAGAGATTCATTGGCTTGTTATGAGTTAGAAGGGGAGGAATTTGGTTCTGCGGAAGAGGTTAAAAGCAGAATAAAGAGCTCAGAGGGACATAAAAAGATAACTTGATCCCTTCTTGTGAATTTCCTGAAGGACTTAGTATGAATGGAATGGATTTCCCATGGAAACTTATTTTAAAAACTAATTGATTTGTGCAAACAGAGGCATGATGTACAATTTCAGGAGCCATGGGCAGAAGAAACCATGAACATTAAACTCAGAGAAATGAACAGCACTTGCAGGGAAGAGTCATGGAAGCAATGTCATCTAAATCTCAATGTGTAGAAAAACCCACAAACGTTATCTGAGACACATTAAAATTAAATGAAATTATAGACAAAATACTTGTCCCCTAGAAAGCATCTAAGAAACAACAGTTGCAGCTATTATATTATCTCATTTAGGCTTCACAGCTTATCTAAACTTGAATGCAACGAAAGGTTTGGGGCTCCATTCCCCATGTTAGGCTGGAATGCGAGGTAAGGCAACACTGCCCCCTGGTGGTCTGCTCTGTGTAAAGTCTTATTGGCGGAATTTGAAATAGTTACTCAGCTCCATTCCTGCTCTTGGTTGGGATCCAGGGATTGATGGGAGTGAATTTGAACTTGTGTTGCAATTGAAGTACTATCTTGTCTGAGGCCTGAAACTTCCCCAAAGTTGTATTAGAATAGAGAGAACGCCTGGAATCCAGAGAAAAACCTACTGTAAGTGAAGAGTGGTACAGATGGAGCAGCAGAGTGGGGAATTGCAGAGGAACTAGCAGTTCCAGGTGAAGATCCTGCTAGGGTTGATCATCCCTTAACTTTAACCTTCTAAAAGTTCTGTCCTCTGGAAAAGAGAAGGTGCAATATTAAGAGGTAGTCAGTATCACTAGCGATGTAACAGCTTTACAATTAAAATGTCAGCTGAAGATTTCCTGGCCAGTGGCTAGTTGAAGAGATTAGTAAGAGTCAATGGGGTATGGGAGGTTGACAGCAGCATGGCAGAGGTCTACGGGTGGCCTGGAGGTCAGCACAACAGAAGAGCTCAGCACCAGCACAGGCAGAGGCTGGGCAACTGGTCCTGCTAGTCCAACAAAAATAGGAGTAGAGAGATTGCTGCTCTGCAGGCAGAACTTTTCAGAATCACCCTCGTTTCTATCCAGCCACAGATCCCAGAGGGAATAGCGAAGGAGGTCTCAGGGAGAAATCTTCTGTTAAGGACTTGTCAGGGAACATATTCACTGGCCAAACTATTTACAGTTTATAACCATTTAATAGATGTGAAAACTGAGATTCAGAAGCTTGGTCAAGTTCACACAAGTAGCTTTTTTTCTAGCAGAAAGATTAGAACATAGATCTATGTGATACTGATTTCTCTTTTACTTATACTGACCTAGCTCCCTTTTATAAACAAACAAACAAAAAACAAACACACAAAAAAACGCTTGGGTCTTCAGAGACATCTATGCCTCTGCTCCTTCCAATTTTAAAGTTTTATTATTTCACTTTACACTTAATTACATAAGCTTCTTCTAATCTTTTTTCTAGAGTAGGTGGAAGATAAATACTACATAAAATAAATTATACTTCTATGGAAAAATATTGTACAAGTTCCAAACAACTGGCCTTTGCATGAGCCTTTATAAAATAACCTTTTAATGATTTGAGGTCAGAATCTATGTGGGCCAATCAGAGGATTGTTTCACAATCTACCAACAGGCTCCATTAAAATAATAAGAAATAAATCATACTTTAAACAGCTTTGAAAAGAATATTCTGAAAGGTTAAATTATCTGACCTTGATGGATATCTTTCAATATATAGTAATTTACAAATTTATGCATATGTCAAAGAGACTTGATGTGACAAAGTTATGTTCTTAGAATTATGCATTTTCTTCTTTCATAGACTTTTAGTCTAAACTTCCAGTGAGATGGAAATAAGCAGAATTGAAAATAATGGCTGAGTCACTAAGAAATTTGTTAGCATACTTAATGTTAAAGAGAGTTGTTTTTCATAACGGGTAGAGAAATTTAATCACCAAGCTTCCTTGGAGGGAAGGAGGCCAAAAACTGTTTTCTAGTGTTTTCATAGGATGAAAGTGTGGACAATAATAATTTAAAATTAGATAGACTGGGATACACTGAACCTCAGTTCTGGTTGCTATACTATTTAAATAGTGCCTACCACTACAACTCTGATTTCCAGATAAAATATCAAATGTTTTCTTTTTTCATTTATTTACAGAATTTGATTTTTTAAACCATATTTCATGGTCCTTTTGGAGAAGAAAAATTGTCCTCAAATAATTTACATTTGACTTTTGGATTTCCCCCACACTTCTTTGTGGAGGAGGACGCTTGATTCAGTGGAGCTCAACTTCCAGCCCACAACCATACCCCGAAAAGGAGCTTCCATTTGAAAGTTACCATGATCTCAGTGTAAGCAAACAGGCACTCAAAGCTTTGAGAGGAATGTATAACAATATATTTTTATGACTTGGTAAAGATGTCCCTCAAATACCCTTCTAGCAGATGAGCTTATTTATTAGTAGAAGATAAGTGCATTAGCAATTAGTATTTGATCACTCTAGTATTTCAAGCGGAAGGAGAATTAATACAAACAGTATTAATTCTTGCTTATCAAACTATCAGACATGCTGGAGGAATAGAGGTCCGGAAATACAGACTCTTGCTATCAGTGATGGCCATTACCTCTCAAACATTCAGAAATTTGCAGTAACCACAGGAAGACACTGACAACAATCAGAGCTGCCTCTAGCACTGAGGTGGATCATTCCCAGGGCCATATCTGGAAGCCCCTGCAAAATCCGACATCACTTGAAGCCCACATTTCTGATCACTACTGCCAAGAGGAGCAATAATGGATTTCCGCGTTTCTTTCACTTTCCAAATCTCATATCTTCTATGTGAAGCAAATTTCTGCCTTCCCCTCTATGTCAGAAACTAGAAGTTTTCAGGCAGCATCAAGTCTTCCAATCACTAAAGATTTTTGGCAGAAAAAGATTCTAGGATCCTCTAAGAAGCACTTATGGTTAAGGACCAGGGAATCTGAATTGATGACCCAGACTTGACTACAACTATCTAAGAGGTTATATGGTGAGGCTTAGTTCTCACACAACATGTAGCTGAAGTTGGATGCTCTTTCAAGCCAACTGGGTCACACTCTGGAAAGAACAGCTGAGCATATGAGCATGAACTAAAAAGATGCAATTCTAAGGGAAAACTTGGACCATCCTTCACTGAAGGAGTGAGATTAACCTCCACCTGTGCAAAGGAACCTGTACAAAGATCTGGACCAGCAAATTCGTAAATACTGCAGTGAACTCTGCCAAACAGATGTACAAAAGTGACACTGGGCAGCAGCTACAGAAACCATGGCAGTGGAAAAATAAGTCCCACTAGTGAATCAGTCAATTCTCTTTTTCTCTCCCGGTGAGGTCATCGTAAGCAAGATTTGCACCTTATACTATGTTATCCCCTGGAGCAGTTAAATAATTGGAAGAGAGAAAAGATTTAGAAGATACTGGATATCCTGCTATTTTTGAAAGTATAAAATTGAGTTGATTTTAGTTTTAAAATTGTTAAAGTTTCCAGATAAAAAATGGTAAATTGAAAGTATTTAAAGGGTTGTTGCTGTCTTCTGAAAGCCCAATAAACTGTATTTTTTTAATAAAGGCATAAACTCACATAGACAAACAGTGTTGGAAAAGAGACAAAAGCGACACAGCTTTGGAAGCTAGGAAGCAGCTGGATGAGTGGTAAATTACTTGGCAAATGTGAGAAAGCTGGATTCTCAGCCAGCGGTAGGAAAAGCTGAGCAGTTCCCTGATACATGTGACAGAAGCCCCCAGAGACTCATGATTTAGTAGACCGGGCACCTCTAGAAAAACTGGGGTGGGGAAATGATGACTAAAACAGCAGGATTCTTTGGAAGTCATTTTAAAAGAAAAAATTAGACCTTCTGGCTTCTCACCAACTTTATGAAGCCAGACAACTACTGTTGTCTCGTTCTGGCAGAAGACTAACTGCTTACTTAAAGAGAGTAAAACAGGTTTTTACCCACCGAAGGAGAGCCAGGCACAGTGGCAGGCAGAGGTGCCATAACACAACCAGGAGAAGTAATTCATATGCAAGTTGAGAGCCCCCAGGTTTCTTCCCCCACCTGACTCCCAGAATATCGGTTCTGAGGTCTACCCCCTCCAACCAGGACACAAAAACACCTCTCTTGGGCAAATCTGCAAATCCAAGAGAAAAGTTTTAAAAATGCTCTCTTAAAGGATTTTTCCAAGGAAACACACCAGTCAAATTACTCCGAAGCCCACTGTTCACAGACATCCCACATATGCACAAAGCTTCCAAAGATAATTTTTTTGTTGTACTCTTCTCAAATATGAATGGCTAGTAAAGACACTTGAGGCCAACCTCTAAACGATAGACAGTTGCCAGAGTAAATATCTAGAACAGAAACCTGAAGGAAAATAAATCTATACTGGAAGAAGAAAAGAAAATTTAAAGATAGAATTAATATTCTCAGAGGAAAAATGATATTGCATCAACAAATCAAGTAGTGATATTTGTATTAATTAAGGTAGTACTAATTGTTAGAAACAACTGGGCATTTCAGTGGCTTAACAACAGACGTATTTATTTCTCACCTGTGTAAAGTTCAGTTAGGACTGAAATGGGGTGGGTGCTCTGTTCCACATAGTTGTTCAGGGTCCCAGGTTTCCTCCATTGTATGACTTCTCCATCTCTTTTGTCCTTATAGTTCAATCTGTTCATCTGACAAACAATGAAAGGAATGGTAAAGGAGGCATACCTAGATCCTAATGCTTTGGTCTAGAAAAATATGTACACATTATTCCTGTTCAATTTCCACTTACAAGGCAAGGGGAGCTTGAAAATGTGCCCCCAAACTGAGTAGTCACTTTTCATCAGCAACTCTATTTTAACAACAACAACCAAAAAAAACCTATATATGTGCCACACTGTTGTAAAAAAGCATGTGCTGCACTTTTAAAAAAAGAAAGAAGAAAAAGACCATCCAGAGGAAAAAACAGCTCTTGGAAAATTTTAAAATATAATAGCAGTTATTAAATAATCAGTGTAAGAGCTGGAAGATAAAATTAATAAAACTTGGCAGAAAGTATAGCAAAAAGACAAAGGGATAGAAAATAGGACAGAGATAGAATAAAATTACAAGTACATCCATAGAGTTCAACATTCAGATAATAAGAGTTCCAGAAAGAAAAATACAAGGGGGAAAAAAAAAGAGAGAAAAATCAAATAAATAATTCAGAGCAAATTCAGAGAACTGAAAAATATGAGTTGCCAGATTAAAAGATTTCACCCAAGGTCTGACATAGTAGATAAAATAGACTTATACAAAGATACATTACATGATGTTTAAGATCACCGGGAACAACAAAACTTTAAAAGCTTTAAGGGCAAAAGATCCTATTTCATACAATGATCAAGAATTAGAATGACATTGGATTTCTCAACACTAAAAAGGAAGTCAGAAGAGAGGGGAGCATTGTGATCAGAATTACCAAGAGGCATTGTTACCAGCTTCAAATTCTAGACACAGCCAAACTAACAATTAAAAATGATGGTATAATTAAGAGTTTCAAACATGCAAAGCCTTGAAAAGTTTACCTCCCTGCAACCTTTTCGGGTTGCCGCTATAACTTGTGTTCCACCAAAATGAGGAATAAACTGAAAAAAAGGAAGCTAAAGGAGAAAATAGGATCCAGTCTGAAAGAGAAACAAAGAGAATCCTCAGGATAATGGAGAACAGAGATCTCAAGACAGGGATTGTGCATCAGGCCTAGAGATTGACCTATCTACATGGAAGCAGGGAGATGTTTCTTTCAAAAGGTGAAATTGATAGCACACCGCAAAACTGACATTATGTTGGGAAGCTATTCAAATAGTTGTGGGGAAAGTTGGAGATAAAATAGTAGTAGTAAGAGTAGCAGCAGCAGCACAGGTGGTGGTATTACAAAAGATATTGATTTGACATAACCCTGGCTAAAAAAAAAAAAAAGACTATGAAGGAAAAGAATAACATTAAAGAACATAAGAACATGTATGAAATATTAGCAATAGATTATTGAGTAGTCAGGTAAAATTTCAGATTTTGTAAAATATCTAGTTCTCTCATTAAATGAATAAATGGATTGTTTTAAATTTTCACATTGCATTTTGTCACACATTTAAGGAACACAGCCTCTTAGGAAAGCAGAAGACAGTTGGGTGTGGTGGCTCACACTTGTAATCCCAGCACTTTGGGAGGCTGAGGCAGGAGGATCACAAGGTCAGGAGTTTGAGACCAGCATGGCCAACATAGTGAAACCCCATCTCTACTAAAAATACAAGAAATTAGCTGGGTGTGGTGGTGTTCACCTGTAATCCCAGCTACTCGGGAGCCTGAGGCAGGAGAATAGTGTAAACCCAGGAGGCAGAGGTTGCAGTGAGCCAAGATCACCATGCCATTGCACTCCAGCCCTGGCGACAGTACAAGATGCCATCTCAAAAAAAAGAAAGAAAAAAAAAGAAAAAAAAAAGGAAAGTAGAAGACAGCCTATGTTGCTACTTTGCAGATCGACTCATATTTTCTTTCTAGGTGTGGCCTGTTTTACTTCCTCTTAATTGCTACCTTTCATATGCAGCATTGAATTAAAATCATTAAGTGGCTTCTGTAAAAATATTGGCAACGTTTTCAAATTTTTATTAAAATTTCGATCTTTTAAAGTTTTAAATTATGTCCTCCGAGGAAAGGTATTGGCAATCCTCTGTGAGTTTTCTGCAAAGTAAAATTAATCTTTAATAATTAAGAATAGGAAAGGCAACTTGGAACTCTGCAAAAGTAGGAGACTTACCTATCCATCTGGTGCAATTTGTGCCAGTTATACCAATTAGTACAAATTTAACACTTATGAGAAAATTTCTATAATAAGTAGAAAACGAAGCTATATTATCCTAACCTAGCTTGCTAAATTTCAGGAATCATCTCTGGTATTTGTACCATGCAGGGATTAGGAGAGAGGAAACTGTAACCCCTGTCTTCTTTAAGCCAGGGGTAGTTTTTGTTTTGTTTTGTTTTGTTTTCTTTTTTCTATCTTCTATACACTTCTTTCAATCTCTGTTAAAAGACACCAAAATATTCTTTCCTCTCCTTCCTGCACATTGCAAGTCTGGGTCAGATAAAGCAACAAAAGGCACTGGTTAAGGGGAAAGGTTTCACAGGGTTTCTCAAAGGCCAACCTGTGAATCATATGCCTAATAATTGCCCAGAATATTTGTTAAAAATGCAATTCCTGGGCCCTGCCACAGAACTACTGATTCAGAATCCCCATGATAGGTCTAAAAATACGATTTTAAAAAAATTCACAAGCATCCCATATGGTTCTTATGCAGCTGAAATTTGAAGACTCACTGACTTACGATGTGGGATTTGAAGATCAGAGCATTACAGGCATCTTAGTGCCACAAGTTCAAGCAAGGCAAGGGACTCTTGTTCTCAGAGGCAGACAATGGGAAGGATGTAAACCTTGAAGGTACAAGTTTGCTGGGGCTGATCATCAAGGAGATCAGACATCTCAAGACAAACAAGGTTCTTCTCATTTTCTGCTGAGGTAAAGGCTATGCATAGACATTCTTGGACCTGTAATGGTATTTTATTAGTTTTATGACTAATTTTATAAATTTTCATTTTACATGAAGCACACAGAAATATAGCAATATGAGAGGGTATGTTTTGTTGTCTTTAATGGTTCCTATAGGGCTGTCTATGCAAGAGAAATAACTCTGGCTTAAGCAAGATGGAAGTGTTATTTTCCTCTCACATAAGAGCTGATAAAGCAGCTATACTTCTTCCAGGACCTATGCCTCTTCCAGGTCTCTGCTGTACCATCTTGATAGTCTGGCTATGAACTTCAGCTTACATCATGGTTTCTGAAGCTCCAGTCATCATACTTTGTTACAGGAAACAGATAACAGCCAATGGCACAGATGTGCATATCAGCCAAGTCAGTCCCCTTTTGAAGGCCCCTTCCCAGGATCCGTATGTGATAATCTTTAGCTACATTTTAGCAGCCAGATAGTTTCTACTAGCTATGCAAAGAAATCGGTGAAATGTAGTTTTGGCTGAATGCATGGCAGTCTCCAACAAAGTTGGGGTTCCATTGACCCGAGAGAAAAAGAAAGTAGATATTAAATATGACTTAGAAGTTCAGATTCTGTCTTATACTTAATATTTGGCTGTGGAAAATTTATTCATCTTCCACAGGTCTCCATTTTCTCATATGTAAAATAGGAACTGACACTTTTCATGATTATTGTAATGTTTAAGAGATAGCATATGAAAAAGACTTGGTACACAGTAGAGACTTAGTAAATGAAACAATTTGCCAAAAAATACCTGTAACTTCTAAAATATATTTTTGCACTTATTGAATGCTGTTATAGGAAAGGTTAATTATCTAGTCACATGTAATACCATCAAATACTGGAACTACATCACACTGCCTTGCCAGTATAGCTAACTACTTCATTCCATTACTTCTATCTTACCCTCTGGGGAAGTACTGATTAAGAATTAACAGACTCTTACAAAGTTCATCAACTGCTAAAGAAAAATAAGTATCTAGGAATAATAGAAAAGGCAAATAATGAAGGGATCTACTCAGTATATGTAATAGATAATGCAAATCTATATAACTCTTTACTCTCCACAAAAACAATGCCCTCATTAGCCTAATAGACATTTTGTCTTAAACACATTCTACTTTGCTTCTTTAAAGCTTGCAAGAATCTTGGGAGGGAGCAAGGGAGGGAGGGAGGGAGGGAGACTGCAGAATCTAGGCAGGGCTCCTTACAAGAGCTCCTGAAGGAAGCACTAAACATGGAAAGGAACAACCAGTACCAGCCACTGCAAAAATATGCCAAATTGTAAAGACCATCAATGCTATGAAGAAACTGCATCAATTAACGGGCAAAATAACCAGCTAACATCATAATGACAGGATCAAATTCACACATAACAATATTAACCTTAAATGTAAATGGGCTAAATGCCCCAATTAAAAGGCACAGACTGGCAAATTGGATAAAGCATCAAGACCCATCAATGTGCTGTATTCAGGAGACCCATCTCATGTGCAGAGACACACATAGGCTCAAAATAAAGGGATGGAGGAAGATCTACCAAGCAAATGGAAAACAAAAAAAAAGCAGGGGTTGCAGTCTTAGTCTCTGATAAAATAGACTTTAAACCAACAAAGATCAAAAGAGACAAAGAAGGCCATTACATAATGGTAAAGGGATCAATTCAACAAGAAGAACTAATTATTCTTAAATATATATGCACCCAATACAGGAGCACCCAGATTCACAAAGCAAGTCCTTAGAGACCTAAAGAGAGACTTAGACTCCCACACAATAATAATGGGAGAATTTAACACCCCACTGTCAACATTAGACAGATCAACGAGACAGAAGGTTAACAAGGATATCCAGGACTTGAACTCAGCTCTGCACCAAGTGGACCCAATAGATATCTACAGAACTCTCCACCCCAAATCAACAGAATATACATTCCTCTCAGCACCACATCCACTTATTCTAAAATTGACCACATAATTGGAAGTAAAGCATTCCTCAGCAAATGTAGAAGAACAGAAATCACAACAAACTGTCTCTCAGACCACAGTGCAATCAAATTGGAACTCATGATTGCCAAATCATGAGTGAACTCCCATTCACAATTGCTTCAAAGAGAATAAAATACCTAGGAATCCAACTTACAAGGGATGTGAAGGACCTCTTCAAGGAGAACTACAAACCACTGCTCAAGGAAATAAAAGAGGATACAAACAAATGGAAGAACATTCCATGCTCATGGGTAGGAAGAATCAATATCGTGAAAATGGCCATACTGCCCAAGGTAATTTACAGATTCAATGCCATCCCCATCAAGCTACCAATGACTTTCTTCACAGAATTGGAAAAAACTACTTTAAAGTTCATATGGAACCAAAAAAGAGCCCGCATCACCAAGTCAATCCTAAGCCAAAAGAACAAAGCTGGAGGCATCACACTACCTGACTTCAAACTATACTACAAGGCTACAGTAACCAAAATAGCATGGTACTGGTACCAAAACAGAGATATAGATCAATGGAACAGAACAGAGCCCTCAGAAATAACGCCGCATATCTACAACTATCTGATCTTTGACAAACCTGAGAAAAACAAGAAATGGGGAAAGGATTCCCTATTTAATAAATGGTGCTGGGAAAACTGGCTAGCCATATGTAGAAAGCTGAAACTGGATCCCTTCCTTACACCATATACAAAAATCAATTCAAGATGGATTAAAGATTTAAACGTTAGACCTAAAACCATAAAAACCCTAGAAGAAAGCCTAGGCATTACCATTCAGGACATAGGCATGGGCAAGGACTTCATGTCCAAAACACCAAAAGCAATGGCAACCAAAGACAAAATTGACAAATGGGATCTAATTAAACTAAAGAGCTTCTGCACAGCAAAAGAAACTACCAGCAGAGTGAACAGGCAACCTACAAAATGGGAGAAAATTTTCGCAACCTACTCATCTCACAAAGGGCTAATATCCAGAATCTACAATGAACTCAAACAAATTTACAAGAAAAAAACAAAGAACCCCATCAAAAAGTGGGCGAAGGACATGAACAGACACTTCTCAAAAGAAGACATTTATGCAGCCAAAAAACACATGAAAAAATGCTCATCATCACTGGCCATCAGAGAAATGCAAATCAAAACCACAATGAGATACCATCTCACACCAGTTACAATGGCAATCATTAAAAAGTCAGGAAACAACAGGTGCTGGAGAGGATGTGGAGAAATAGGAACACTTTTACACTGTTGGTGGGACTGTAAACTAGTTCAACCATTGTGGAAGTCAGGGTGGCGATTCCTCAGGGATCTAGAACTAGAAATACCATTTGACCCAGCCATCCCATTACTGGGTATATACCCAAATGACTATAAATCATGCTGCTATAAAGACACATGCACACGTATGTTTATTGCGGCATTATTCACAATAGCAAAGACTTGGAACCAACCCAAATGTCCAACAATGATAGACTGGATTAAGAAAATGTGGCACATATACACCATGGAATACTATGCAGCCATAAAAAATGATGAGTTCATGTCCTTTGTAGGGACATGGATGAAATTGGAAATCATCATTCTCAGTAAACTATCGCAAGAACAAAAAACCAAACACCGCATATTCTCACTCATAGGTGGGAACGGAACAATGAGATCACATGGACACAGGAAGGGGAATATCAAACTCTGGGGACTGTGGTGGGGTGGGGGGAGGGGGGAGGGATAGCATTGGGAGATATATCTAATGCTAGATGACGAGTTAGTGGGTGCAGCGCACCAGCATGGCACATGTATACATATGTAACTAACCTGCACAATGTGCACATGTACCCTAAAACTTAAAGTATAATAAAAAAAAAAAAAAGAACTCATGAGTAAGAAACTCACTCAAAACTGCACAACTATCTGGAAACTGAACAACCTACTCCTGAATGACTACTGGGTAAATAAAGAAATGAAGGCAGAAATAAAGATGTTCTTTGAAACCAATAAGAACAAAGACACAATGCACCAGAATCTCTGGGACACATTTAAAGCAGTGTGTAGAGGGAAATTTATAGCACAAAATGCCCACAAGAGAAAGCAGAAAAGATCTAAAATTGATACCCTAACATCACAATTAAAAGAACTAGAGAAGCAAGAGCAAACAAATTCAAAAGCTAGCAGAAGGCAAGAATAACTAATATCAGAGCAGACCTGAAGGAGATAGAGAAACAAAAAAAAACCTTAAAAAAATCAATGAATCCAGGAGTGGGTTTTTTTGAAAAGATCAACAAAATTGATAGACAACTAGCAAGACTAATAAAGAAGAAAAGGGAGAAGAATCAAATAGATGCAATAAAAAATGATAAAGGGGATATCACCACCGAACCCACAGAAATACAAACTGCCATAAAAGAATACTATAAACACCTCTACGCAAATAAACTAGAAAATCTAGAAGAAATGGATAGATTCCTGGACACATACACCCTCCCAAGACTAAACCAGGAAGAAGTTGAATCTCTGAGTAGACCACAACAGGCTCTGAAATTCAGGAAATAATTAATAGCTTAACAACAAAAAAAGTTCAGGACCAGATGGATTCACAGCCAAATTCTACCAGAGGTACAAAGAGGAGGTGGTACCATTCTTTCTGAAACTATTCCAATCAATAGAAAAAGAGAGAATCCTCCCTAACTCTTTTTATGAGGCCAGCATCATCCTGATACCAGAGCCTGGCAGAGACACAACAAAAAATGAGAATTCAAGACCAATATCCCTGATGAACATTGATGCGAAAATCCTCAATAAAATACGGGCAAACTGAACCCAGCAGCACATCAAAAAGCTTATCCAGGCCAGGCACCTTGGGAGGCCAAGGCGGGCGGATCAAGAGGTCAAGAGATCGAGACCATCCTGGCTAACACGGTGAAACCCCATCTCTCGTAAAAATTAAAAAAATTAGCCAGGCGTGGTGGTGGGCACCTGTAGTCCCAGCTACTCGGGGAGGCTGAGGCAGGAGAATGGCATGAACCTGGGAGGCAGAGCTTGCAATGACCCGAGATCACACCACTGCTCTCCAGCCTGGGCAACAGAGCGAGACTCCGTCTCAAAAAATACACAAATAAATAAATAAATATAAAAATAAAATAAAAAGCTTATCCACCATAATCAAGTAAGCCTTATCCCTGGGATGCAAGTCTGGTTCAACATTTGCAAATCAATAAACGTAATCCATCATATAAACAGAACCAACGACAAAAACCACATGATTATCTCAATAGATGGAGAAAAGGCCTTCGACAAAGTTCAACAGCCCTTCATGCTAAAAACTCTCAATAAACTAGGTATTGAAGGAATGTATCTCAAAATAGTAAGAGCTATTTATGACAAGCCCACAGCCAATAACATACTGAATGGGCAAAAACTAGAAGCATACCCTTTGAGCCAGCACAAGACAAGGATGCCCTCTCACCACTCCTATTCAACATAGTGTTGGAAGTTCTGGCCACGGCAATCAAGCAAGAGAAAGAAATAAAGGGTATTCAATTAGGAAAAGAGGTAGTCAAATTGTCCCTGTTTGTAGATGACATGATTGTATATTTAGAAAACCCCATCGTCTCATCCCAAAATCTCCTTAAGCTGATAAGCAACTTCAGCAAAGTCTCAGGATACAAAATCAATGTGCAAAAATCACAAGCATTCCTATATACCAGTAACAGACAAATTGAGAGCCAAATCATGAGTGAACTCCCATTCACAATTGCTACAAAGAGAATAAAATACCTAGGAATAAAACTTACAAGAGATGTGAAGAACTTCTTCAAGGAGAACTATAAATCACTGCTCAACAAAATAAAAGAGGACACAAACAAATGGAAGAATATTCCATGCTCATGGATAGGAAGAATCAATATTGTGAAAATGGCCATACTGCCCAAGGTAATTTATAGATTCAATGCCATCCCCATCAAGCTGCCAATGACTTTCTTCACAGAATTGGAAAAAACTACTTTAAAGTTCATATGGAACCAAAAAAGAGCCCGCATAGCCGAGACAATCCTAAGCAAAATGAACAAAGCTGGAAGCATCACACCACCTGACTTCAAACTATACTACAAGGCTACAGTAACCAAAACAGCATGATACTGGTACCAAAACAGATATATAAACCAGTAGAACAGAACAGAAGCCTAAGAAATAACACCACACATCTACAACCATCTGATCTTAGACAAACCTGACAAAAACAAGAAGTGGGGAAAGGATTCCCTATTTAATAAATGGTGTTGGGAAAACTGGCTAGTCATATGCAGAAAGCTGAAACTGGATCCCTTCTTTACACCTTATACAAAAATTAATTCAAGATGGCTTAAAGACTTAAACTAAAGAGCTTCTGCACAGCAAAAGAAACTACCAACAGAGTGAACAGGCAACCTACAGAATGGGAGAAAATTTTCGCAATCTACCCATCTGACAAAGGGCTAATATCCAGAATCTACAAAGAACCTAAACAAATTTACAAGAAAAAAAAAGCCATCAAAAAGTGGGCAAATGATATGAACAGACACTTCTCAAAAGAAGACATTTATCCAGGCAGCAGACATATGAAAAATGCTCATTATCACTGGTCATCAGAGAAATGCATATCAAAACCACAATGAGATACCATCTCACGCCAGTTAGAATGGTGATCATTAAAAAGTCAGGAAACAACAGGTGCTGGAGAGGATGTGGAGAAATAGGAACGCTTTTACATTGTTGGTGGGAGTGTAAATTAGTTCTACCACTGTGGAAGACAGTGTGGCGATTCCTCAAGGATCTAGATCTGGAAATATCATTTGACCCAGCGATCCCATTACTGGGTATATACCCAAAGGATTATAAATCATGCTACTATAAAGACATATGCACACATACGTTTATTGCGGCACTATTCACAACAGCAAAGACTTGGAAACAACCCAAAAGTCCATAAAAGATAGACTGCATTTAGAAAATGTGGCACATATACACCATGGAATACTATGCAGCCATAAAAAAGGAGGAGTTCATGTCCTTTGTAGGGACATGGATGAAGCTGGAAACAATCATTCTCACCAAACTATCACAAGGACAGAAAACCAAACACCGTATGTTCTCACTCATAGGTAGGAATTGAACAATGAGAACACTTGGACACAGGGCAGGGAACATCACAACCCAGGGCCTCTCGAGGTGGGGGCGGGGGGCTGGGGGCTGGATAGCATTAGGAGAAATACCTAATGTAAATGTTGAGTTGATGGGTGCAGCAAATCAGCATGGCACCTGTATACCTATGTAACAAACCTGCACGTTGTGCACATGTACCCTAGAACTCAAAATAAAAAAAAAAAAAGAATCTAGGCAGGGCTATTCCACTATTGTTCACTTCTCTACTTGTTTTTTATCAGTTGAAATATATGACCACATGGTCCTCCCATCATAGTGTGTGTGCCCTTTTGCAATGTGATGGATCACTTTTCCCATCCAAAGTTGAAGTCTGTTTCCCTATCTGTTGAATCTGGGCCAGGCTTGGACTTGTTTTGACCGATAGAAGGTGACAGAAGTGACATAATGTAACTTACAAAACTAAGAAGGTCGCAATAGGCCTTACATACAACTCTGACTTCCTCTACTTGGAGCACTGCTTGGAGACAGCCAAGTTCTGGAGGCAAGCGTAGGCGCTCCAGAGAACAGCTAGCACCAACCGCCAGATGTGTAAGTTAGGCCATCTCAGACCTTCTAGCCCAGGAGACCCTCCAGCTGAATGTTGCTACATGAGTGAATGAATCCAGATGAAATCAGAAGAGAAGCCACCTAGACAACCTACCAAATGGTAAGAAATAATAACTCATTGTTATTGTAAGCCATTGAGCTTTGAAGAGATTTGTTGTATAGCAATATAAACTGATATAGTATTGTTTTGTGAAGAAGTACATTGAAGCTTTTATTTGCCTTACAGTAATCTCTGACCCTGTGAAAAGAAACACAATACAGTCCTATCACATAGCGGGCACTCAATAATGACCTTGTGAAATAATTAAATGAACGAGTCCTGAGTGAATTTCCTTTAACTCAATAAAGATCTATGGTTTACACTCTGCGGCATTAAACCTCCATCAGCATCAAGATCAGGGCGCCATCTATTGGACACTCAGATAATTTGCAGAGGCAAAGTAGAGATGACTTCAAGATCCCTTCTTTAATGTGAAACTTAACTCAGTAACAGTTCTGAATGAGCCATATGCTTGCCTTAAAGAAGAAACTCATTATATAGATAACCCTATTTTTTTCTCTTCTCTATTTTTTATAATAGAGCAGCTTCAACACACAATGGTTTCCACTCTGTTATTAGCTTTGTTTTGTTTTGTTTTTAGAGATGGAATCTCGCTCAGTCGCCCAGGCTGGGGTGCAGTGGCACCGTCTTGGCTCACTGCAACCTCCTCCTCCCGGGTTCAAGCAATTCTCTGCCTCAGCCTCCCAAGTAGCGGGGATTACAGGCACCCGCCACCATGCCTGGCTAATTTTTGTATTTTTAGTAGAGACGGGGTTTCACCATCTTGGCCAGGCTGGTCTTGAACTCCTGACCTCATGATCCACCCGCCTTGGTCTCCCAAAGTGCTGGGATTACAGGCATGAGCAACCACACCTGAACGTCATTAGCTTTTTAAATAGCTACCCCAAAACACAATTCACTTTTTGTGGATACAGACTCTCCAATATCTAATGGGATTATTTCTAAGCCTTCATATTTAAAAAATAAAATTTAGTCCTCTGGTACACATTCTGTATCTAGTTAATATCAGAAGTCTCCAGGCATTTATACAGCTCAAAAGTAGATGTTTAAGAAATACCTTATTGAGAATTATTTTAATTGCCCCAACGGAAGATCTATTAACTATCCTTTGAAATCTTTCCAGGCTGAAATCACACCTGTGTTCTGTGATGTATAACTTTTGTGCATCAATTGCCCGTGTGAGTGTTGGAATATGACCAAATTGTCTTCCTAGGAAAACCTTGGCCTTGTGCACAGAATCTCATCAGGCACACATCCGTGAGAGATCACATGACCTTCGCGTCAGATGTGTGTGCTGTGTGGAAAAGAAGATTCTCCTTTTCTTGCTAACTTGTATGTTGCAAATAGAGATCAGAGGCCCATGCAACATCACCTCCACAAGCCATTTGGTACCTTTTAATTGCCATTTTATACACCTGTTCCCGGCCTGAGCAAGCAGTCAGGAACCCCTTTAGGAAAACTGACTTTATCTGTGATTAGGGATCTCCTCTTCTAAGAACAGTTTGGGGTATTTTTTCTTTTTCCATGGTCATAGGCTTCTTGTGACAGAAGAATCTGTGTGGCAGGAGTTCCTCCTAAAACAGGAAAGGCTGTGGTTAGGGTACTTCGTAACACAGCAGTGCTCTGAACAGGTGATGTAGAATGGGCCGTGGTGATGTGGTCTTCATTAATGTTAAATGTCAGAAGAGATATCAATCAATTGTTGAAGCACATACAGAATTTGTGCACTTAAAGCTGTTACCAAAAAGGGTAAACCAAAATCTCTTCTGTATAATCCTTATCAAAAGCATATATGAGAGACAGATGGACTAATGCTTCTGAAGTATTGCCTAAAGGTTATGCCATGCATCAGTTCCACTAAATATTCTAAAATGTATCCCCAGATCAAGGTAGATCATGAGGGAAGGACACATATATTTCATCATTTTAACCATCCCAGAATTTCTTTCTTTCTGTTTTTTTTGTTTGTTTGTTTTGAGAGTCTTACTCTGTCGCCCATGAATGCAGTGGCACAATCATGACGCACTGCAGCCTTGACTTCCTAGGCTAAAGCAATCCTCCAGCCTCAGCCTCCCATGTAGCTGGGACTACAGGTGCACGCCACCGTGCCTGGCTATTTTTTTCTTTTGTTTTTTGTAGAGATGAGGTTTCACCATGTTGCCCAGGCTGGTCTCAAACTCCTGGGCTTTATCCTCCCACCTCAGCCTCCCAAAGTGTGATTACAGGCATGAGCCACCACACTCAGCCCAAAATTTCTTTTTGTTTATTCAGCTATCTTCCTGTCAGGACTTTCTGCCATGTCCTCCTAAATGGTCTCCCATATACATTTTCATACCCCTCTAATGCATTCTCCACACACTAATCAGTCTGCTTCTTGAAAAATGTACATCTTATCACACATCTCCCTGAAAGCCTTCCATGACTTCCTAATGGATTTATATTAAAGTTGAAATCCTTAACATTGTCCATAGGGTTATGCATGATCTCATCCCCATCTGCCTCTCCAGTTCCTTCCAAGGCCATTTGACCTCCTTCAGTAACCTGATGGAGTTATAAGGGAGCAGGTCCAGAAAATAATATTTCTCTTCCCTACACGTTCTGCCTGTTTAGGCAAAAGAGCAAGGTAAATGAGACAAAAAAAAAAAAAAAACTCTATCACATCTAAAGATTATACTACAGAATATAGCTTTTAAATAAAGGGAGTTTTTGAACTCCAGAATTAGATTTATCCACCTAGGTTCAGGCAGCACTGAACAACTCTCCTCCTGACCGTGGACATAGCCTCAGCTGCTAAGTTTAACTCATTGCATTCTGTCAGCAGTCAGCTGCAGTACCACAGGATCTCAACATTTCAGTGCCTTGACACACAAAGGTTTACTCTTTACTCGTATAATGTGTCCGTCACGAGTCAACTGGGATTCTGCTCCACATCCCCTTCTCTCTAGGAACCAGTCTGAAGGAGCAACAACCATCTCAAACCTGGCTCGGTGCTATTACAGAAAGATAAACGGGGTTTTGGAAAGTCTCTCTTTTTGGCAATCACGTGCTCTGCTCCAGAAGTGAATCACATCACTTTCAATCTCAATCCAGTGGCCAGAACTAATAAAATTGTCCCACCAGTAAATTAAACCTTTCATGTGCCCAGAGAATGGGATGTTGGAGAGCAAAAGTAATGACTATCTCCATGGCCTAGAGTAACTGTGAGGAGGTGCTCTTGGCAGGTATGTCATCATCCTAAAAGACATGTGAGTAGAAGGTAGACTACATATACCAAAATTTGCCACTAAGAGTTTCGTGGAGTAGAATAGGGCTTCTTTAAATGAAATCCTTTTTCATAGAAGTCAGATGAATAGGGAAAGGGTATTCCCCTTTGACAAGACCCATTGTGAAAATTTGATGTTTGGTTCAATTGAAATTAAACATTAAGCATAATTTGAGTTAGGTATTCATCTGAAATCATGGGCAGCCTCATGTGGAGAAATACACTGTATAGAGCTTGCCAAATATGTAGAAGACTTCCAATAGATAACTTAAGTGGGTTCTAGAAATTACAATGTGGTATTGGCAATCCTCAAAGAATAAAGAAAGAAAGTGGTTTTGCAAGCTAATTTTTACATAGCTTTTCCCATTGGGAAAGTTGGGATGACTAACAGTATGATATGCTTGTGTATCATGGTATTCATTTTCTTTGATAAGCTTTTTAAAAAATATATTAGGTACATACAGAAAAGCGTACAAACCGGGATTGAATAGCCTGATATACTTTCACAAAATGAACATATCTGGATAATCAGCACTCAGGTCAAAAATCAGAACATCGCTGTCACCTCAGAGGGCCCCTTGTGTTTTCTTTCAGTCACTACCACCAACACCAACCTACACACTATAGATGGTGATTATACTTTTGAGGAGGGGAGTGGGAATGGAAGCAGGGGGAAAGAAGAAATATCATGTTTTGCCATGTATTGTTGTAATTGTACACAAAAAGAAATGACTATATATTACCTTTGAAATAAAACAATGTTTTAAAGGTTGCAGCCATTTTAGACCCTCCTGTCTTGATCCAGCGATTTTCCCCTGGTAATCTTGTGTTATATCAGGTTGCACTCAGATTCAGTAATTAAGAGCATGGCTTCTGGAGTAATACAGAAAAGACTTGAAGTCACGTCTTACAAATCACAAGCAAGCCTGGGCCTTGGTCAAATTACTCAAACTCTTAAAGCCTAAGTTCTATCATCTATAAAATCATTATCATAATGATTAATTAATTAAGGATTAAATGAGATCGTCTTTGTAGAGTACTCAATATAGCACCTGAAACACACTAATGGCTCCATAAATTGTACCTGTTATTATTATGTAGGAGAAAAATGTCAGGTAACTGACTTTTGGATATCGAAGAATATATTCTATTTCAATCATTAAATTAAAATACAGTTATTTCAGCCGGGCATGGTGGCTCACACCTGTAATCCCAGCACTTTGGAAGGCCGAGGTGGCAGATCATCTGAGGTCAGGAGTTCAAGACCAGCTTGGCCAACATGGTGAAACCCTGTCTTTACTAAAAATACAAAAATTAGCCGGGCCTGGTGGTGGGTGCCTGTAATCCCAGCTAGTTGGGAGGCTGAGGCAGGAGAATCACTTGAACCTGGGAGGCAGAGGTTACAGTTAGCCAAGATCACGCCATTGCACTCCAGCATGGGTGAGAGAGCAACACTCCGCCTTTTCACTCTGAAGAGTTGAAGATAATAAGTGGTACTCACCATTCACAGAGTCTGAGAAACACAGAGCTAGCTAAAAGCATCTCAGAAATCATCAGATTCATTTGTTTATTACGCAAATGAATAAACTGAAACTAAGACAATCAATGATTTATTTATGCTCATGCCAAGAACCAGATTTCAATTTCTCTGACTTCCAGTCCAGCACTTTCTCCCACTATACCATGATCCATTCACTCAGCCATATCCTAACAGAGCTAACAGTTATCGAGTGTCTTATAAGTACATGCCAGTAAAATTCAGACCAAAATGCCTATCCCAGGAAAAGGTGAAAAAACACTTTCTATTAGATCAGACTGACTTATTTCCATTTATTCCATCAGCTTACTGGAAAGGATTGCAAAGAGATTACCTAAGTATTAGAAGATTGCTAATATGTGGTATTAAAAATTAATTCCATTTTTGAATATATTGAAAAACATGAGATCTTATCAGCCATCTGCTGCTGAGTCCTCTGTTGTCCTGGTTACTTATATTTATGCTAATGAAAAATCATTTCTCAGGCCTCCAAAACTCTTATTCTTCTCTATTCCTTGTACACACCCTATCCAGAGAAAGGGACTAAGACTGAAATTAGAGAGTTGCAAATTCAACTTTAGTGGACAAGTGTAAGAAGACAGATTTGTGACCTGAGGAAAAAAAGGTGCAGGTGTTCTAGAAAAATATCCTCAAGTATTGATGGCATTGGCTTGGAAGGGGAAACTTATGATTGCATTGAGAAAAGAAGTTTGGCCTTGTATTTGAATCCTGGTTTCTCTGAGTCAAATCCAACTGTTAATTCTGTAGCCTTGTGTCAGGCCCTTCCTTTGACTCGCCATTCATTGCCTTGTCCCTAGAGAGCCTTCCATAACTGATCTGTGACTCTGTCATATAATTTTCACAAACTACCAAAAGAGAGGATTTCGAATTGTTAAAAACATAAGGAAAGCTGTATTGTTTCACCATTCGACATACAGCACAGCTAAATCAGCTTCATAATTATAACTTTCATTGTTTTCTTTAAAGTCTTATTGACAAATCAGGGAAAACTTTTTCCTTTAAAAAATTTTAAGATTGAGAAGAGTACATTTCCTGTATTTTCTTTTAATAAATAGAAAGGAATGCTGAGATCAGCAAAGAGGGTGCATTAGAGATGCATACATTAGCAGATCAAAGAAATATAAATATTTAATACATAGGGATGAACACAAGGGAGTAGAAAACCAAATTTTTTTTCTTGACCACTACATGCATTTAATCAAATGGCCATATATTTTGTGTTCTTTCAACAGCATAACACATGGAGATAGCATCAATAATTCCAGTACCTAGTTTATTAATGGATCCTTTTTTCCTCAAACAGTATGTAAACAAAGAGCAGTTATGTGATAATCTTGTTGGTGTATTCTTGAGAATAGGTAATATCACCCTATCACCTTCTATAAAGCACTTCAAAGAGATGTATTCCCCGTGTATGCATTAATACACTGACTCTTAAAAGTGAAACATTATTGAAAACACACAAGAATCAATGTCAAAACAAACTTTGCTTTCCACTTTAGTAGTCTGGCTTGTTTGAAAGAATGACATTTTTTAAGTAATCTCATTCAACAAAGCATTAAAAACCTGGTGGTTAATGATTCTAAAGAATTCATTAACCTTGAACATAAAGTTCCCGTTTTTCTCTGTTTACATTCTTCACAGTGAACAGATACATTGAGTTATAAAATCCAAAGAAAAGTAGATTGAGAAATTCTGTCCAAAGTAATTTTAATAACTCATTATGAAATGCCGCATTCAGAAAACGTACATGAAACACAAATGAAGAGTTCGGTGTTTTATATTTATAAAGCAAATGGCTATATATCTACTACCCAGGTCAAGACACAGAACACTGCTGGCCCTGTAGATGTCCACATGAGTCTCTTCTTGAACATACCTTTCTCTATCAACAAGAAATAACCAGCACCATAACTTTTATTATAATATCTCTTTTTTCATACTATCATCACTTATATGATCCTCCCTAAAAATATAGTTTAGTTTTGTCCATTTTGATTAGAGTACATTATTTTGTGCCTTGCTTCTTTTTCAACATTATACTTTCATGTTTTATCCATGTAGCTGCATAGAGTTGTAATTTGCTCACTTGTTTACACACTGTGTGCAATTTCGTGATATAAATGTATAAAATGTATTTATTACTCTAACGTTGACAGATACATGGTTTTTTCCCAGTTTTTGGATATCAGAATCAATTCTGCTCAGAATATTCTTGCAATGTATCCTGGTACATATGTGCATAACTTTGCTTGAGCACTTATGGAATTCAGTAAGTGCTACAAATTGCATTGTGTTTTGTTGGTGCTGTTTTCCCAAGAGCCATTTTTAAAACATTTATCAGCTGCATTAAATATATCTTCTAATTCTGATATTTTGACATCTTGGGGCCTTGCTGACACTAGAAGAGATGACTTTTTCCAGGGTTCACTAATTCCTAGGGATAGAATGACTCACCTGGGACGATGTGTTTCATATAGAAACCAATCAATCCAAAGCACATACCTCACAACTTCCCCCTTTATCTAGCTCTTACACTATGGGCTATTACCTACCTACCCCAGGGCCAGGTACCAGACAATGGGACAACCCCTATTTCCCAGAACCTAACAAAAAGTATTCAAACTAGCCAATTCTAAATCTGCTTACCCCGCCACCCCATTACCTCCCACAAAAAGCACATAACAGGCTTTTGCACACGTTTTCTCTCATTCCCTTTGTCCCCTGATTGACCCTGCTGTTTCCGCATATGGCTCTGCATGGTGTGCTGTACCTCCTGTTTCTAGGGATCTGTGAGTATAACAATTTCTTCTTTCATGACAGTTATGTCATACATGTCTTACAACACCTGATTAACACACAGCCCAGGTACATTTTTAAACACTAACACATCTTTTTTTTTTCTTAATTTTTCTAACATATCTTTTATAGCCAGTAACTCTAACTATACCTTACCCACACAAATGTATTCTTATAGTCATCAAAAGGTCTCTCTGTGGCCAGGCACAGTGGCTCACGCCTGTAATCCTAGCACTTTGGGAGGGTGAGACGGGTAGGTCACCTGAGGTTAGGAGTTTCAGACCAGCCTGGCAACATGGTGAAATCCTGTCTCTACTAAAATACAAAAATTAGCCAGGCATGATAGTGGGTGCATGTAATCTCAGCTACTCAGGAGGTTGAGATGGGAGAACTGCTTGAACCCAGAAGACGGTGGCTGCAATGAGCCAAGATGGCACCCCTGCACTCTGGCCTGAGCAGCTAAGAGAGACTCCATCTCAAAAAATAAAAAATAAAAAAGTCTCTCTGTTCCTGCTTATTTGTCCTGTTGTTTAGAAATGATGAAGGTAGAGACTACATACACTTTTGACTATGCTTGAAATACAAGAAATAAGGTAACAAAGGGTAAAATCAGCATGAACCTCCACCAGACAAACTCACTGCCAGACTGTCCCCCGAGGAAGAATTCTCTGAGTTTAATTACCCAGCACAGACTCCGAAAAAGTCTACAAGAGAGTTTCTAATTTTGTTGCTGAGGACAAAAAAATCAATTATCCATGCACCCCTGTCTACCCACCTCTGTATGTCTCATTGTATGTGTCTCTGTGACATACAGAAATGGAGGGTCATATGATTAATCTCCCAGGGACTCAGGAAGTGGTTGTCTAGGGAAGAATTATTCAAGAGTGAGTAAAGCAGCAACTGCGAAGTTTGCTGTAAGCTTTGTAAGGGTGACACAGGTTTCACACATAAGGAAATCTATCCCAACATCTAGCTGCTATGAACTAGGATTGGAAAGCCTCACTCGGAACAAAAGAACCTGCTATATCTGGCATATAGGGGAAATCTCTATCATGAAGAATCTTGAGAGTGTGTTAAACGTGAATAAACTTATCTCTTAGGATAAAAGTTTTGAAGATATTGACTCAGTTTTATTATCCAGACAAATTCAGTATTGGAAACGGGAGAAAATCCAACCTGAGGCTGATAAGCAGTTATTATCCAAGAGAAAGATGAAAGAGAGGAAAGCAGAAACATAGAAAAGAGTGTGGCCGGGTTACTGGAGGAATTCAATTCACCAGAAAAGAAAGCGAAATGCTTGTAAATGAGGGGAAGGAGGACAAATTATTGCTGTATTCTTCTTCCAGTCTCTCACAGTGCTAATAAGAAAGACAACTCACTGATCTGAAAAAAAGCTGCAGGCAGCCAAGGAGGTCAAGGAGGAAAAAAGAAGGAGGTCTCTGAATAAGCAAATCATTTGGGAAGTTTCTAGACAAGAAAGCAACCCTTTCTTGATTGGGACATGTGCTTCTATTTTGGCTCCAAGACAGGAACACTGTAATAAAAGCCTGTCACTGTAAATTAGATTAGGACATTTGTTTACCCAATAATGTGCCAGAAACAGAAAAAACTGCATAGGCTGGGTAGAGAAGCACTTACTGCATTTAACCAAGTCTGAGCATGAACTTGGGACAGTTGTCAAAGAGGCAAAACAAGACAAATGCGAGGACATCAGAAGGGTAGTTAGGCACCCGCTGAATCACACGGGAAAATGACTAAAAACATTGTGGAGACAATGACTGTCTCTCTGGTGTGAGATCACAGACCCCAAGGTAATGAATTGAGTTTGCAAAAAAAGGGACAAGAACAGGTTCAAAAATAACATTCTCAAGCCTGCAGTGCAGTCTCCCAGCTGAAAGCTCCAGTGCTTCCTGTTGTTGCCAGGCACCATGGAGAAAGATCAAGGAGCAGGGAGAGGAAAATGGATGCTATGAGTAGCTGGGTGCCTCCGGGTGTAACAAAATAAAAATGTGAACACTGCATTTAATTTGGCTTTCCTTGTCAGCAAGGCAGCTGTTCTGGATAAACTAAGTCATGACCTTGAAGTTCTATGCTTTGTACCAATGATATTGAGAGTTGATGAGATTAAAACTCAATATTCAGAGATTTCAGAGCCTCCAAAATGATCATCTCCAATATATCATGTTATTTTCTGCCTCAGTACATTTACTTACTGTTTTTTCCTCCTTACTATACCTCTCATCTGCCCCTATTCAAAACCAACCTTCAAGATTCCACTCCCACTTCTTCCTTAAAGTTGTACCAATTTTCAACCTTTGCTGATATTTCCTAACTTTTAAATTCTTTCAGTTAGTATCATAGAAATTATCATCTAATTGTTTTCTATTTGTCCCATGTGTATTCATTGCCATTTGTCCTATTTTATAGGACTTTGAAGAAAGATGGAGAATCTTTCTCTCCTCTCCCTTTTAATTCCCAGACTATCTGGAATAGCATTAGGCACAAAGTAAGCCCTCACTAAAGAGTCATTTTTACAAGCTCCTAAATGATGTCTTAATCAACAACAATTTTTCTTTTTAAAATAAAATGGTAGAGTGGCCTGAAAATAAAACTTCACTCATTAAAACAAGTGTTAAGAGACTGGCTGGAAAAATTCAAAGTCTAATTATTAGTTTTCCTGACGTGGCACAGGCAAACATTAAAAATGTAACACAGTCCTAACATTAGAGTGCTGCTTGTATGTGGAATTAAGGTGTAAAGTCATTAAGGTGACTTTTATAGAATCAGAATGGTTTGGAGTCACTCCATGGTGCCATTGAGTATAGACATGTAACTGTGCCAGAGCCAATTTCTTCATTTGTAAAATGACTGCATTAATGGTAACCACCTCAGAAAGTTCATATTAGGATTAAATGAGAAAATATATTTTAAAAGTTAGTGTTTGGCACATAGTAAACACCCAATACATGTTAGCTAGTTGGAACTTTTACTCATATCTTGGCATTCCAATTATATCTATGGACACTCACAGATTCTAATCAACATCAAAGATATTGTGTTAAAATTCTAAGATTATTAACTCTCACATCTGACCTTAGAGTAGAAGAATCAATTCAATTAGGTTTATATTTGGAGTAAAATGTAAATTAAAACCAAAGAGCCTTAGTATGTCTCTTCATTGACATATAAAACAACTTCGTATTATTTACCACCCACCACAAGCATACAGAGATGATTCAAATAAAAAGTTTTGGGTGCATAGGATCAGTGAGACATTACACTAGGCAGCAGATGCATAGAAAGAGAGAAAGTATTGACATCATTTCTGAATTTTCAAATAATCTTGAAAGCCAGAAAATCAAAAGAGTTGTATACTGAATGCCTCAGTTTTCATTCAGTAAGCATTTTTCTCCAGATTGAGAAGGATAACAAGAAAATACAGGACTTGGCCAGTGAACTTCAGAAGACAATCAGGTTGTAAAGTCAAACAGTGAGTTAGACAATGTTTTTAAAAATATTTATTTTAGTACACAAAGAAGTACACAAATGCATGATATAAAAAGTAAGTTTGTGGCCAGGCGCGGTGGCTCACACCTGTAATCCCAGCACTTTGGGAGGCCGAGGTGGGCGGATCATGAGGTCAGAAGATCGAGACCATCCTGGCTAACACAGTGAAACCCCGTCTTTACTAAAAACTACAAAAAAAAGTTAGCCAGGCATGATGGCAGGTGCCTGTAGTCCCAGCTACTTGGGAGGCTGAGGCAGGAGAATGGCATCAACCTGGGAGGCGGAGCTTGCAGTGAGCCAAGATTGCACCACTGCACTCTCCAGCCTGGGCGACAGAGCGAGACTCCGTCTCAAAAAAAAAAAAGTAAGTTTGTGTGAACTGTCAAAGAAGATTGAGGCAATAGCAGTGGTGTGCTCATTTAAAAACTGGTTCTGGTCAGGGAGGAAGGACTGATTTTTTTATTGTTTGCCAATTGCTATTGTGCAAATATTCCCACCATGGCTGATTTCAAGGTACTAATGAGATGTCACTGAATACAGAGTTGGGGAAAGATGTGGATACTCGATTCAGGATCCAGCACACCAATGTCAGAATTTAAGGAGAAACTTGAAGGACTGACTGAATTGGAGATAACATTAGAGAGCTGAGAAAATTCCAGATGGAGACAATAGCTGGAATAAAGCCTCTGAGTAAAGATTAAGTACAGAATATAATGGAGATTGTGTGAAGTCAATCTGATTAGAGTACAGTACACATGTTAAGAAATGGTAAATTTGAAAAAGTAGCTTCAGACAAGATTTTAGCAATTTCAAGCAAAGTAGACTAAAGGGTCATTTGGTAGCAACTGAGGATTCATTAAAGATTTCTAAGGAGAAGCTGAACTCATGAAATTAATTCTTTAAGGGGAGTGATTGATCTGTTGTATGTTGTCTGTATCAGAAGTAGGAAAAAAACAGAGCCCTGGAGACCTGTTGCAAGATGAGGAGCACCAGGTCATAGTGGTGGCATTGAGGATGAAAATGTCACTGCTTTTTATTCCCATAGTTTGGTGAGTGAAAGGGAGTGGTGTCCAGCAGCTTTTCTACTCCTGTAGTTCAGCAAGTGGGAAAGGGTGTTACAAGCCCTTTTGTTCATCAGCCAGAAAGGAGCAGCACCCAGTGGCTTTTTTCACTCCTGTAATTCAGTGAGAGAGAATGTTATAGCTCTTTTCACTCCCACCATTTGGCAGGTTTTGGGTTTTGGTCCTGCAACCAAGAGGAATGAGGTTTGCAGACACTTTAGAGTAAGCAAGGCAGAGTAGAATTTTATTGATCAACAGAAAAGCTCTTGACAATGAGAGGGGACCTGAAGTGGGTAGCCATCTCTGAAGCTGAGTCTGGGGTTTTTATGGGCTTTGAATGGAGGATTATGTGCTGATTGGTCCATGGGTGGCCTTGGAAAAAGCACCATTTGATGGTTAAAAGACATCATCCAGAAGGAACCAACTGAGAGAGAGTGGGTAAGATGGGGATAGTTCTCACTCCAGTTTTAGACTCTATCTGGAATTGGCAGTTCAGTCCACAGGTTGAAGGTCAAGCCTTACTGGGGAATCACCTTTGTCTGCCTGGAATTTGTCTGTCTACTTTCACTATCTAAAAGGCAAGAGAGTTGGAAGCAACATTGTGTGAAAAAAGGTTGATAAAATTGGAAGACTTGTTAGATGTGAAGGAAGAAGAAAAGAGAATAACTAAAACTTTCACATCTGGCCTTAAGAGTAGAAGAATCATCTCATTGAATGACAGGAGAAGCAACTGAGCAGAAGCTATTTTATGGGGCAGCCAATAGCTTCAACTTTAGAGATGTTCACTTTAAAAAAAAAAAAAGATGTTCACTTTAAATACCAGTACTGTTTCTCTGCTCCCTTCAGAATTCCACAGGCCACACAGATACCTGGTTGCCTCTCTATCTGTTATTCCCTGTCATTCTCAAAGCCCAAACCCAATATCAGAGTTCTCTCCAATTAAACAACAGAGCAGAGATTTTAAACTCTTTTTCTTCTTGGAATCATCATATCCCTCCTATTTCTCCCTCCACCCCATCTACTTACTCTCTTTCTATCCAGTTCTGAGGATTTTTCTTTTACAGTAAATGCTCTTACTTTTAAATAATTTCTTCTCCCATAGTACATTCCTATACATTTTAGTACTATGTAGTATAGAGTAAATTTAGTATATTCTTATGCTAAAATAATTTGTATTTTAAATACTTCACTTTAGATAAACTGGTATTTTTATTATTCCATCCATTCTCTTAAAATATCCCATGAGATAAGTGAGGGTAGCTATAATTAACCTCATTCTGTAAGTGGAGAAGTCATAAGAGATAATTCATATAATCAAGTAACTGATTCAGAGGCAATCACTGATTTAGGATTTCCTTCTCAATATCCTACCCAATAAACAAAATACTGCTTTTTACCTCTAAATTTCTTTAAAAGAAAGATGCCACACAAATTCATTTTTGTTGTCTATGGTAATTCTAATTGCATTTCAAAGCAATACAAGGTAAAAGCTAAACTAGAATAAAGAATAAATGCCTCATAATCAAAATTCCATTGCCTTTTCCAAACTTGGCTTGTTTTCTAGGATTATCTATAACAACTAGAAAGTGAAGACCACTAAACAAAATTCTGAAGAAGATAGTCCTAAATGCTTTTTTATTTTCTGTGCCATAATTTACTACTCAAATAACAAAAATTAGAAACCAAGTACTTAGATTTCATTACCGTCTTTAGCCTGGACATCAAAACCTTATAACTTTCAGTATATCTTTGTAAACAATAGGATGTATTTAAATACAAACAATTAGAAGTAAAGAGGGAAACAATGCAAGGCAGTTTCAGATCCAAAAGGTGCTTACTCTGTAAGAGTCTCAAACTGTAGTCTCCTCACGTCTCAGATCCTTAGCAAAAGACATGCAATCAAGCCTCTATTCTGAGCTGAATGCTTCTAACTTATTAATTCTAACAGACAAGATAAGGGGAAAGAAAACCTCTCAAGCATGTAAATTTCATTGTTTCAATGTATAAGTAGTTTTAACCCTGAAGGGTAGCTCGCCAACCACTGAGGAACTCTTGAATGCTGAATGATGTTCTTCAATTCCTCCTTTTGAATTCAACATAATTATTTTGTATATGAACGATTCCTGAAAACACTGGCTTTGAAACTTAGACCAGTTTTTTCTAATATTGGGAAACAGGCCTCTAAGAAGCAGTAGGGTTACAAGGTCTGAAGCAATAGGGATATAAACATGTTGAATGTAGACTGAGTGAATAATAGTCTCGTATTTATAGAATGAGGTTGATTAGAGCCTACCCTCACTTATCTGATAGTATTTTTTAGGATAATGGGTGAAATTATAAATATTCCTGCATAATTCATATGTCAATTTTCTAATTATGTATTTTCCAATCAATGGACTTAAAAATGTAATTATTACCTCTTTGGCATTTTCAAAATATTTTGCTACTATGCAAGGGTTTCTTACTTAAAAAAAAGGTAAGGTCCATTACTTAAATTTTAGGGTGGGAAATATATTGCACTCCTGGTGGGATTATTATTTAATGTTTTGTGATATTTTCATTTTATATTTGAGAAAATATTTTTAGTCAGTAAGCAAACATGGGAACCACGTATAATAAAACATGTAAAATGTAGAAGGGGAAAGGTTATTATAAAGTTTCCTCAATTTTGGCTGTTACTGTGAACTATCTTTAGAAAATGTTCCATCTGAAAAATGTGAACATAGCTACTTTATACTCTCCTTATTCATGGAAGTATTTTCAACATTTTTAATTTTCATAATAATAGTGAGGTAATATCTGTAAAATGCTTTGAACTCCTTGGAGAAAGGGACTATGTAAATGCAAAACATCATGATTATTACTCTGCAATAAATTCCAGCTAACATAGTAGGTAATTAAGGGACAGAGCTGAGGAGTAATTAAAAGTAATTGATATCTCACCATCCTTGCAAGGTGCTGTTTTGGCTGTTCATCAATGCCTTCAAAGTAGTGTCAAGTACAAAAAATAAATAAGTAATTGTTAGATGAAAGCAGAAACCTGTCAAATCCCTTTTTTCCAACCAGCACATTCTGATATACAGTCTCTAAAAGGATTCTCAGTAATTCACAAATTCTGTTATTAATAGAGAACAAATAAGAGGTTACAGAGTCCATAATAGCATCTAAGGTCTTTATACTTTTCACATGAGGGAGGATTCATGGAAAATAATCTCAATACTTACTGCTTGTTTTAGGGGATGCAAATATAAAGTAAGTTGTTTAGCATTCAAAAACACATATTGCTTAATTGCATGAAGAATATGAGGCTGAAAAATTTGTTAGCACTGAAATATCATAGAGATTCCTTTTGCCTCCTTCATTTCCAGCTGAAGTCTCACTGTCTGCTCCTTAAACCTTGAGCAGGTCATAGTCATCCCCACTGGCCTGAGTTTGTTCATTTCTCTACTCAGAATGCCCTGCCCATTTTTCTCTCCTCACTCAAATCTTGTCCATCACTCAAGGCCTGCTTTCCTATGACTTCACTTTTCAAAGAGAATTCAGAAGTGTCGTCCTAGGACCATATTTAGAATTTCTTACTCCAAAACTATAGTAATTCCTAAGCACCCCAGCCACACAATAACAGACCATCCACATATTTAGAAAATATTTTCTGATCAAGGTTATAGCATGTTTTCTGGAATAAGAAACCAACAGGAAATTTGGAAATCTTTTGGTTTTCTTTCAGACTTTTATGATGTTAGGTCATTAGTAGTCCATATGCAGTCATGTTGGGGTAAGGCAGCAGATGGGCAAAATTGACCAGGGTCAATAATTTTGCATGCAGGAAGAGTCTCCTAGATTGCTTTAACCTAGTGGTAAAACCAGGTCTATAATAAATAGCACAAAACAATATTTTGTCTGCCCTGATGCTACATCTCCAGAGTGGAGTCAGAATTTTCTCCAACTACTTTTAGCCTATAGATAATGCCTGCCCATTTCTAACAACACAGGTTTTTTTTTAATACTAACCCTTTCACTTTCTCCCTTCCTTGTGATAACTCCCTGTGAGAGCTACTTCTGAAATTTATCATATCACTGAAGCCACCACTTCCACTGAGACAGCCTCCTGCCTAAGGTACCACTGCCACCGGTTATGATGCCTAGCAGAGGCTGCCTAAGTCTTCAAATATGTCTAGACAAGTCAGAATCTTAGGAATTTAGTTAATGTCCAAGTTGAGATTCCCACATGATGGTCAGCAAATGTAGATATAAAGAAATAAGTAACGTCCATTTACAGGACTTGCTATGCCAGGTTTAATGACAATACATCCTTATTTCAGGTGGTCCTTAACAATAATCTGGTGGAGGATATGAAGACATGCAAAAATTAAGTAATTTTTCCAAGTTCACATTATTTCAAAACCAGAAGTACCATTCAGGTCTGTGTCATTTCAAAGCGCTTTTTCCTTGCACACAATTATATGGTCTGGCATTCAAAAGGCATCAAGTCCACTAAGAGTGCTAAAAATGTGAGCACTGGGTGAGATCTGGCTATTTGCTCTCTGAACTGTTTTACTATCAGTTGAGTATGAGAATTTTGTACTTACCCACAGTGATTATAATCAAGAAGCTTCTAGAAACTATAGGTGAATGAATCTGACCTTCAGAGAACCTGGGACAGAAAAGACAGAATTTTCTCCCAAATGTGAATAGAAAGGATAACATAAAAGAAAGTCAGCATGGTGCTCCAGTCTTCTGGAGGACACTTACAGGTCAGTAATTTTATTTCAATGGCTACTGTAGGTAGATATAGGTCTCTCTGCTACTGAGAAACAGTTGCCTTTCTCACTTAACAGCATCCCTCAAGTTGAAGCGCCGTGAGTAACACAACAAATGCATGTCGTCAATCAGACATTGGCTTGCTATTTTCCATGAACTTGACATATCCCTGCTTTCCCATATGCCTTGCCTCCTCCTGCTACACGTTGCCTTCCCACTCTCCTTCCTCCTCTTCATTTGTCACCTTCTGTTCCCTCCCCTGCTTCTTCTGTTTTCAATTTAGTGATGTTGAATGTTTTAAGTGTGAAATAATATGCATTAAACTGAGGCTCTTCAGGAGGACAATGGAAATATATGCACCAACCCTCTGTGTGTGTGTCTATGCATGATTATAACATATTGATCCATAGAAATAATATTCGCAATAATATAGTATGGGACCTGAAATAAATGTGAGATGGGTGAGTTAAGGTGTTAATAAAAACATAAAGTATGTCTCAGGGCACTCTGTCCTTCTTTGGACCTTGATATCCACTGCTATCTATGTATCACTATGAAAGCACTGGCAGATACAAGAAGCTCTGATACCTATTTTGCAGAGTAGTGTAAAGGTCTGCATGACTCTGAATGTTCTGAATATATCAACATGACAACATAGCATCTACTTGGCTATCAGTAAGGGTGATGATAAATTAGAGCATTACACATTTCTCCTATGTTAAAGAACCTCAGAACACTATATAGCTGGCAACCAAATTTACAGAGATCTCAAACACAACAATAAATAATGTCCTTTGTACATTTAATCCTTAAAGACTAGTGATCTCTGAGACAGAGTTCATAGTACAGTGATAATTGGACTAACTCAAGTCTCCCCAAAACAAAGGTATAGATGTGGGCATGGTTGGGATTTCTGTTGCCATCCTTAGCACAAGGTGAGAGGTATCGAATGAGGAAGATAAGATAGTGATGACATTTTTCCAGGCAGATCAGTTCTGGGCCCGCATGACACAAAGGCACATGTTGAGGCATTGCAAAAGGCCTCAGCCACCTGGGAATTTTGGGGTAGGGGTGAAGCTGGATGTGATCTCTCTTTTTTAAAAAAATTTTACTCTTGATTCTCCCAAACATTTAATGGAATACTAGTACATAGTAGCTCTTACATAAAATTTTCATTACTTAAAATTCTCTTGCACTCAGAAACTCACAGGAGCCTCTCAATTTCTTTGCCATCACTTCATACATACCCTCCTGGGCCCACCTTTGTGATACCTTTGGTTTTGTGTCCTCTGCTCTCCACAGTGCCATACTATACATTCTGAAGGGCCCGCCATGTGGCCTCCAGGAGAGTGAAATTCTTTTTTCACCTTTTAATGTTTTTCTTAGGCTCTAGTGGGTTTACATATGTTCCATTTTCTTCTCAAAGAGTTGGGGTGGTTGTGGGTAGAGTATTCTCTGTAATGGTGAGCTAGGTTTTTCAGATCAATGTCCCCAGAGAAAACAAACAAAAAATTTTCATTTGTTTCTCATCTCTCGGGGATCACAGTCCTTAGTTGCTTAGTGTCATTGTCTTGAATGTCATTTCTTCTTGTATTTGGTCCAGTTTTATAGTTGTTTAATGTGGGAGGGTGTTATGTTTTGAGTGTGTCCCCTCCAAAATCCAAGTTTTGCCAATATGATAGAGGCAGAGCCTTTCAGAGGTGATTAGACTATGAGGGCTGCTCTCTCATTAATGGAATTGGGCTCTTTTTAAAGAGACTTCATGTAGTATTCGGCAAGGTTGCTAAATTGCTCTTCTGCACTTCTGCCATGTGAGGATGCAGCAAGAAGGCCCTCATCAGACACCAGATGTCAGTGACTTCCAAGCCTTCAAAACCGTAAGAAATAAATTCTTGTTCTTTGTAAATTACCCAGTCTAAGATATTTTGTTGTAGCAGCACAAACAGACTAAGACAGGGGTAAATCAGGTCTCTGTTACTTCATCTTGACTGGAAGCAGAAGTTGTCTTCATGATGCAAGAAACCCAGAGCAATCAACTTGACCATAGCAGACTAGCTTTCATAGCCTTCTCAACTTGCTGTCAACTTTAAGTGGAGAAACTTTCCTTACTAGTGTATTGTAAAGATACAACTCAGGAACAGCCCGATGGAAGAGATACATAGGACAAGTTATGGGGGATGCTGGGGGAACTGAATTTCCATGTGCTCTCTGGGTATGCCACCCTCTGAATAGATCAATATGTTCACTAACCAGGAAGTTACTGCTGGATTTGATCTTGTTTGGCTTCCAAGGGAAGCTGGGACATCCAAACACTCAAGATAAAGAATGCATAGGCAGAAAATAAGAAAAGCACAAGGAAAAACATTTCTTCCTGAAAGAATAAGAGGAAGATAGCAACATTTTGAAGGATTCCCCAAGCCTTTTCATGTTACTTAATAGCAGGAATAGTAGTGGAGACAGGCTTAGCAAGAAATAACTGCAAGTCAGTGTGATCAATGCTATAATAGAGATATGTAAGAAAACTGCCATGGTGGAAGGAGAGAGAGTCCCTTCTTTGACTTTGAGATGTAAAGATTTTAAAGAAGGTATCAGAGGAGAAGTTATGTGAGGGAAAATGTTAAATCATGAGTTGGAATTGGATAGAACGATGGGGCAGAAACTTCAAATGGTAAAAAAAAAAAAAAAAAAAGCATACATAGACAAAGAGGGCGTTTAGGAAATATGAAAGCCAGCCACAAGTAGAAAAGGGCATGCCATGGGGAGTGCTCAGAATAGAGTTTTGAAATGTACAACAGAGTTACATCCTGAAGTGTTTTGTAAGCAAATCCATACAGTTTAAATCTGGAACAATGTTAAGCAGAAGTGTGACATAATCAGATTTTTATTTTTAAAAGATAAGTCAGAAAACAGTATAAATCATGAATCAAAGGTGGTACTGAGATTTCTGGATAACAAATGAAGCTACCAAATAGCTACTGAGGAGTCAAGGCAAGAGATCATAATAATCTTATTAATCATCGTAATCTATACTGCGTGTATAGATGGAAAGAAAAGATAGATTGAAGAGAAATTGAGGAGATGGAGATCTCAGGTAGTCATATTGGATATAGAGGGTTAGAGAGAGAGAAGAGACAACAGGAAATTAATATTTTTCTGCTTAAGGGACACAGTAGATGGTGATGCTATCAATCAAGGCAGAAAATATGTCCCAAATGTCTATTGTTTCCATAGTCTTCCATGTGATAGGAGCAGATCCTCATCTTCTACCTCAAAGCTTTTGTTTTTTAAAATGTACCCACAAACTAGTAAGTCAGCTAGAGTCATTATGTTGTGCCTATCATGTACCTTCTCTCTGGCTTAGGCTCCCTTTCAACTACATCTGCTTCCCACAGTGCAACTTGGAAAAACTGCCTCATCTACCATGAGAACATGCTTTGTCAATGACCATATCAAAGATGCTATACCTGAATGATCCTAAGGCTTCCGTATTTACAAGCTTCATAATGCCACTGAGTTTTACGCCAATGCAGAGGACAGATGGGCATGTACACTATAATTTCTCCCCCATCAGAATTTATGCTATGTAAATGCAGAAATTTTTATCTATTTCACTTACTGTAATTTTTTTTTTATATCCATGCAAAGATTCTTTGTTTGACCAAACTTTAGTCGGGCTACTGAATCTTCTCCTAGGCCCATCTTTGTACTTCCTTGTGAAATGTAGTTTTAACAAGACTTCTACTAAGTCACTTTAGTAAGAATCCCCCATCCTTGATACCTAATTACTCTCAATATCCGATCACAATTTCTCACTCCCTACTCTTGATAGCTCAACAACCTGGCCTGCATTCAGCAGGAATCCTGTTAGGCCATTTCAACCAGAATTGCCTAAGACAATATCTCCTTTTAGTAATTTTTCATCCACAAACCACCGTGTTCCTTGGCTATAATTCCCACTTGTCCCACTTGTATTCACAATGAAACCCAGTTCAATACTGAGGTCTCTTTTCCCCTACTGCAATAGTCCTGAATAAAATTAGTCTTGCTTTCACAACTGTTGTTGCATTGCCCTCTCTTGCCATTCCAACTTCTGTGACAAGATGTCGCAGCATAAAGGCCCTCACCAGATATCAATGCCATGCTCTTCCACTTCCCAGCCTCCAGAACCATGAGCCAAATACATTTCTATTCTTATAATTTATGCAATCTATTATAATCTGTGATAGCAGCATCTTTTCTTTTGGATATATACTCAGTAATGAGATTGCTGGGTTGAATGTTAGTTCCCTTTTGAGTTCTTTGAGTAATCTCCAAACTGCTTTCCACAGTGACTGAACTAATTTACATTCCCATCAACAGTGTATAAGTGTTCCCTCTTCTCCATAGCCTCACTAGCAACTGGTTTTGTTTTTTGGTTTGTTTTTTTTTTTGACTTTTTAATAATAGCCATTCTGATTGGTATGAGATGGCATCACACTGTGGTTCTGATATGCATTTCTCTGATGATTAGTGATGGTAAGCATTTTTTCATGTTTGTTGGCCACTCGCATATCTTCTTTTGATAAGTGTTTGTTCATATCTTCTGCCCACTTCTTAATGGAGTTATTTGTGGGGATTTTTTTGTTTAAACGTTTGAGTTTCTTAAAGATTGTGAATATTAGACCTTTGTTGTATGCATAGTTAATGAATATTTTCCCCTGTTCTGTAGGTTGCCTGTTGACTCTGTTAATTATTTTGTTGTACAGAAGCTCTTTAGCTTAATTAGATCACACTTGGCAATTTTGTTTTTGTTGCAGTTGCTTTTAAAGACTTAGTCATAAATTCTTTCTCAAGGCCGATGACTAGAATGATGTTTCCTAAGTTTTCTTCTAGAATTTTTACACTTTGAAGTCTTACATTTAAATATTTAGTTCTTCATGAGTTAATTTTGTATATGGTTAAGGGTAGGTGTTCAGTTTCATTTGCCCAGTAATGTTTATTGAATAGGGAGTCTTTCCCCATTTCTTATTTTTGTCAATTTTGTCAAAGATCAGATGGCTGTAGGTGTGTGACTTTACTTCTGTGTTCTCTATTTTGTTCCATTGGTCTATGTGTCTGTTTTTGTACCAGTACCATGCTGCTTTGGTTACTGTAGGCTTACAGTATAGTTTAAAGCCAGGTAATGTGATACCTTCAGCTTTGTTCTTTTTTCTAAGGATTGCTTTGGCTATTCAGGATCTTTATGGCTCCATATGAAATTGAGAATACCTTTTTCTAATTCTGTGAAAAATGACATTGATAGCTTGATAGGAATAGCACTGAATCTGTAGATTGCTTTGGGCAGTATGGCCATATTAACAATATTGGTTCTTCCAATGCATGAGCATGGAATGTTTTTCCATGTGTTTATATCATCTATGATTTATTTCAGCAGTGTTCTATAGTTCTTCTTGTAGAGATCTTTCACCTTCTTGGTTAGATGTATTCCTAGGTATTTTATTTTTCATGGCTATCATAAACAAGATTGCACTCTTGATTTGGCTCTCAGCTTGAACATTATTGGCATATAGAAATGCTACTAATTTTTGTACACTGATTTTGTCTTCTGAAACCTTATTAAAATTATTTATCAGTTCCAGGAGCCTTCTGGTGGAGTTTTTAGGTTTTTAGATTTCTAGGTATAGAATCATATTGACCGCTAAGAGAGATAGTGTGACTTATTTCTTTTTCTTTCCTGATTTTTCTAGCTAGGACTTCCAGTACTATATTGAATAGGAGCAGTGAGAGTGGGCATCCATGTCCTATTCCACTTCTCAAGGGGTTTGTCATAGATAGCTCTTATTATTTTGAAATATGTTCCTCCAGTGCCTACTTTGTTGAAGATTTTTATTATGAAGGGATGTTAGATTTTACTGAAAGTTTTTTTCCACATCTATTGAGATGATCATATGGTTTTTGTTTTAAATTCTTTTTATGTGATGAATCACACTTATTGATTTGTGTATGTTGAACTAACCTTGGATCCCAGGAATTAAGCCTACTTGATCATGGTGAATTAACTTTTTGACATGCAGCTGGATTCTATTTGCTAGGATTTTGTGGAGGATTTTTACATCTGTGTTAATCAGGGATATTGGTCGGTAGTTTTCTTTTTTCGTTGTGTTTTTGCCAAGTTTTAGTATCAGGGTGATGCTGGTTTCATAGAATGAATTAGGGAGGAGTCCCTCCACATCAGTTTTTTGGAATAGTTTCAGTAGAATTGGTACCAGCTTTTCTTCATATGTCTGGTAGAATTTGGCTGCAAATCCATCCACTCTGGGGATTTTTTTGGTTAGTATGTATAATAGTCTGTTCTTACATTGCTATAAATAAATACCTGAGACTGGATAATTTACACAGAAAGAAGGTTTAACTAGCTAATGGTTCTGCAGGCTGTATTGGAAGCATGATGTTGGCATCTGCTCGGCTACTGGAGAGGCCTCAGAAAACTTACAATCATGGTGGAAAGTGAAGAGGGAATAGGCTTATCACATGGCCAGAGCAGGAGCAAGAGAGAGAGAGGGAAGAAGTGTTAAACACTTTTAAAGGAAAATATCTCATGAGAACTCACTCACAATCATAAGGACAGTACCAAGGGGGATGGTGCTTAACCATTCCTGAGAAATCCACCCCCTTGATCCAATCAATTTCCACCCAGACCCATCTCAATATTTGTGATTACATTTCAATATGAGATTGGGGTGGGAACAGGCATCCACACTATATCATTCCACTCCCGTCCCTTCCCAATCTCATGTCCTTCTCACATTTCAAATTACAATCATGCCTTCCCAATAATCTTCCAAAGTTTTAAGTAATTCCAGCATTAATACTAAAGTCCAACGTTCAAAGTCTCATCTGAAACAAAGGCAAGTCCGTTCTACCTATAAGCCTGTAAAGCCAAAAACAAGCTAGTTACTTCCAAGATACAAAGGGGGTACAAGCATTGGGTAAAATGTCCCATTCCAAAAGGGAGAAATTGAGCAAAAGAAAGAGACTACAGACCCCACACAAGTCCCAAATTCAGTAGGGCAGTCATTAAATCTTAAAGCTCCAAACTAATTTCCTTTGACTCCATCTCCCACATCCTGGGCACACTGATGAAAGGAAAAATAATTCTAATCAGTGCAGCTAAATTAGTTCTTGGCCTTAAATCAAAATATTAACAAATCATTTTATTTAAAACATATTTATTTAGGTTTTCTATGGTCTGAATGTTTGTCCCCTCCAAACCTCAGTTGAAATTTGATCACCCAAAGTTGAAGATGGAGCCTAAAGAGCAGCATGTGAGTCATAGAGACAAATCCTTCATGAATGGATTAATGCTCTCCCTCAGGAGTGATTTCTTACTCTGTTATTAATAGTTCTCATGAGAGCTGGTTGTTAAAAATTGCTTGGATTCCTATGTTCTTCGCAGAACTATTCACCATAGCAAAGACATGGAATCAACCTAGGAGCCTATCAATAGTGGATTGGATAAAGAAAATATGGTACATATACACCATGGAATACAACTCGGCATAAGAAAAGAATAAAATCATGTTATTTGCAACTAGAGGTCTTTATCCTAAGTAAATTAATGCAGAAACAGAAAACCAAATATCACATGTTCTCACTTACAAGTGGGGGCTAATCATTGGGTACGCATGGACATAAAGATAGCAACAATAGACATTGGGGGCTACTAGAGTTGGGAGGAAAAGAGGGGGCCATGTTTTGAAAAACTGTTGGGCACTCTGCTGGCTACCTGGGTGACAGGATCATTCATATCCCGAACCTCAGCTCCATGCAATATACCTATGTAGCAAACTTGTACATTTACCCCGTGAATCTAAAATAAAAGTTGAAAATTGTTTAAGTGCCTGGAAGTTCCTCTATCCCCTTGCTGCTTCTCTCTCACCACGTGATCTTTGCACACACTGGCTCTCCTTCATCTTCCACCATGAGTGGAAGAAGCCTGAGGCCCTCACCAGATGCAGGTGCCCAATTTTAACTTTCCAGCTGTTATAATCATGAGCCAAATAAAACCTTTTTCTTTATAAATTATTTAGCCTCAGGTATTCCTTTATAGCAACACCAAAGGGACTAAGGTAGGTTAAACCAAAATTATAAGATAAATATACTTATTTTAAGATTGTCATTCCATATATTATAAAACTTTTTGACTAAGTAACTACTGGTCCCAACAATCTTGGATAAAATGTCTTATACCCTAGGACCATCACTCTGGTTTCATCTTTCACTCTCAAAACGGGATTCAAAATCAGTTCAAAGGAACTGATGAGAGACAAATGTCCTTTTCTCCTTCCTGTTTTACTTTTTTTTCCTTTTCAGCCTTTCCCCTCATCCCAAATTTAATTCTCTTCTTCCAATTACAAAGAAAAATTGTTGAATATGATTTTAAATATTTACGTGAGATGTTCAGGGGGAGGAGAAATAAAGGTCAACATTTTTAAGCAACAGTGAGCCACAAATGCTTTTTTTTTTTTTTTTTTTTTTTTCAGAAAAAAGTAAATAATGGAGAAGTGAAAAGCTAAGGAGGAACTGGTAATCTGAAAGTTGGTTTGAGATTAAAGATGTTACATTGCAAGACTTGCCCTCTTCATATCTATCCTTCATAGAGAAACCTGGTCATGTGACTCCTCAGCTTAACTTCTCTCTACCTAAAGACATATGGCCTATTGACATCCTGCATTCTCTCATTCCTATTATTTCTTCAGTCTTTTCATCTGCTGTTCCCTGCCATCTGCTTTACTCTCTAGGAATACCAGCTGACATTTTTTTTACACACACACTACACTGTGTCTTCCTGCAAAACCTCTGCTCATGCTGTTTCTTCTGCCCTGATTACCTCTTCTAACCCAACTTTATCCCCTCGCTTCCTCTAGCTAATGCCTAATTCTTACTCATTTCTTAAGCCCAGTGCAAACATGACTTTTTCCACAAAGCTGTCCTGGGATTCTCCCCCACTGTCTAATGAGTTAGATATACTTGAGCCTATTAATAATCAGTATTGCTTTTCTCCAACCACAGAAACCCAATTCAAATGAGCTTAGAAGAACAAAGTAAATCTGTTACTCAAAAACAAATGGGAAGAGCGCCCACTGAAGTCCATTTTACTGTGAAATCTGCATTATTACACTTAATGCATTATCTGTTTATATTTCTAGCTATTGTAATCTATATTCCTGAAATTATTCACCTTGAGATTTTCCAATGCCAATCACAATTCCCAGTGCAGTAGAAATACATTGTTGTTGAATACAGAAAATTATTAAATGTTGGTTGGAAGTTCAGGAAAGTGATATCTAGTGGGAGTATATTATACATAGGATATCTTGTTTATAAGTATATACAAGGAACTTAGAGAACAGAATTTCAGAACAAAAAAATGATAAAATCTTTGAAGAAAAATTATAACTCTAGCTTTCTATTTCAAACTTGGAGAAAAAGTGGGATACCTTTCCACTGAGCTGAAAGGGCAGGAGGTAAGGTCAATGACAATAAATGTGGGATCAGAGGTGAGGAGATGAATTGAAAGAACTCATGCCTTCTGGTATTTCTTTTCTCACTAAGATAGCAGACAATGTCATCCGCTTCACAGAGAGAAGACAGTTGTATTTACAACTGAGATAGGAGGACTGAGAAAAGTTGTAACTTGAAAAAATTCTGGGAAAAATGGAAAGAGTTTCTTCTGAGGGACAAAAAAAAGGAAGTAGTGGGATAATTTAATTATCACTTTGCCACAGGCCTAATGCCTCACAATATAGCCAATAAAACATGGGCCAGAACATTCTGTGAATTCACCTAGTAAGTTAGCTGTTTTTAAAAAGCAGTCCCTTCCATTCATGTCTATACTCATATCTGTATTTTTATCTGCTTTAACTTTCTTTTACTCCTTCTATGAATATGCTTAAATCTTACTCATCCCCAAAATGATTTTTCCTTTCCCCATGACTTAGTCCACTTTCTGTTGCTCATAACAAAATACCTGAAACAGAGTAATTTATAAAGAAAAGGAATTTATTTCTTGCAGTTATGGAGGCTGAGAAGTCCAAGGTTGAGGGGTTGCATTTGGTGAGGGCCTTCTTGCTGTTGGTGACTTTGCAGTCCTGAGGCAGCACAGGACACCTCATGGCAAGGGGGCTGAGTATGCTAGTTCAAGTCTCTCTTCCTCCAAAGTAACTAATGCCACTCTCATGATAACCTGTTAAACCACTGACCCACTAATTTATTAATCCATGAGTGGATTAATCATGAGAGTTCTGGTTTCATGACCCAATCATTTCTTAAAGTCCCCACTTTTCAATATTGCCACTTTGGGGATGAAGTTTCAACACGAGTTTTAAGGAGAACAAACATTCAAACCATAGCACCATATAACTATAGTATTTTCTCCCTCTTTTCATCCCCAGAATTTTTAAGAGTATCAACTACTCACTCTTTTATTTTCCTTACTTTCCATTCACTGCCTCATTCACCATTTCTGAATTTGGCTCTAATGCTACTTTGGCAAAGGGCACTCTATTACCTAGTTACAAAGAACCAGAGCCTTTTTTTCACAATCTTCCTTCTTTCTGGCATTTCTAAAAGCTTTTGGGCCCATTGGCAATCCCCTCTTTTTGAAACATTCTCATTCTCTGGCTTTGGACATAGCAATCAGAATCATCATACAAAATGAGACACTATAGTGGTACAATGCAAAGACTCTGACTTGATCCCCAGCCAGGCAGCTTCCTCACTGACTGGTGTTGGAGAAGTCATCTGACACCCACAGCTCAGTTTATGTAGCTGTAAAACAGATATAATAGACATAATACTCACTTGGCAGTATTGCCTTCAGAGCTCAATCTTTTAATATTTAAGAAATATTGAACACCTTCTCTGTACCAGGCACTCTCTTGGGTGCTTGAGATACCTTAGTGGGGAAAAAGAAAAGATAAAAATGTATGCGTCATTGCACTGGAAAAGGGAGAAAGATAATAAATATATAAATGGTATAGAATATTAGAGGAAGACAATGATAAAGAAAAGTATAAACCAAGGAGAGGGGATTAGAAGTGTCCCAGTGATGGAACAGATTGCAATTTTAAATAGAATGGCCAGGGTAAGCCTCATTAAGAAAATGACACTTGAGCAAAAATTTTTAGAAATGGAGGGAGTTAATCATTTGGAAATTTGAGAAAAGTATATTTCTGGCAGAAGAAATGAACTGAAAGACCAGTGTGTCTACAGTCACATATAGGATGAAGACAGCAGTAATAGATGAGTCAGAGTTGTAAAAAAGAGAGGAGTGTGCTCTTATAGGCCATTGTGAGGATTTCCCCTTTTAGTTTAAGTGAAATCAAAAGCCTTTAAAAGGTGTTGAGCAAAAAAATAACATAATCGCCAATGTTAATTAACAGGACCACTCTGGCTGATTTGTAGAGAATAGACTACACGGGATAAGGCATAAGCTAGAGACTAGGGTGCTGTGGCAACAGTCCTTGTGAAGGATGCTGGTGGTACGTATCAGAGAGATGGTGGCAAATTGTGGTGAGATTGGTGAGAAGTAGTTGGATTGCAGAGAGATTTTGGAGGTAGAAATGGAAGTATTTTCCTATTGAGTTGACTGTGAGAGCAAGAGAATAGAATGGATCATCGCAAGGTTTTGGCCAATGCCACAGGAAAGACAAAGTTGCCATTTTCTATAATGGTGATGACTGAGAGAGGTAATGAATATCATATCATAAAATCTGTATAGTAAAATATTCTGCTGTTTTGTGAATTTGCCTCTTTCATTCTAAGATTTGAGGTAATCTTTCCCTTTCTTATCATATAGTATTGCAGCATTCTTGAGGTAATTTCATATAATTCCATTTGTTTTTATTTTTATAGCCATTTTGTTTAGATAGGCCAACAAGATTTTATTATTCCCCATGTAACAGATGAGCTGACTAAGGCTTAGAAAAGCTATGAGATTAACCTAAGCCTCCAGTGTGAATACAATGGATTGTACACTGGAACACAGTATTTTGCCTCTTTGCTTGACATATTTTAAACCATATAATGCTTTCCAAGAATCAGGACAGTGCAGGATAATTTCAAGACAATGTAGTCCAAAACCTTATCATTATGCCTGAAGCAACTAACAGAGAATCTAAATAACCTTCTCTGGATCAGTCTGTTTTGTTTTTCAAATCTAGAAAAAGACTTCATATTGACCCTCTATTTTGGCACAGTAAATGACTTCTGTACTGTATTTTTTAATCAGAAAATTGCCCACTGAGGTAGAAAGAAAACCAGGAGAAAGCAATGTTCCAGAAGCTAGATGATGAAAGTCTATGAGAAAGGAACAACCTACTGCACCAAGAAGGAGGAGGCTGAGAAGTGGCCATTGCTTTTAGCGACATGACCATCACTGAGGACCTGGACAAGAACAGTTTAAGAGGAGAGGTAGGGGCAAAACCCTGACTGGGGAGCTTTAAAGATGAAGAGTGGAGAAAACTTGGAGGCAGCACGGAGTTTCTAGTAAACTGGAGCAGAAAAATGGAGCGAAGAGAAAGAGTAGGGTTTTTTTTCTTTTTTTTTTAAGATGGGGTGGGGAAGAAGAAGGTTTGTGTATAAATGGGAACAGACCAGTAAAGAGGAAATACATGGTGATGTGAGAGACGAAAGTAAGTATCATGGCAGTAATGCCCTTGAGTGAGCAAGAGGGATAAAATTTAGTGCCCAAGGGGAGGGACTGACATTGGAATAGAAATGTGTGTAGTTATTCTTCACAGGTGATAAAATTAAGCATGCAGGTCTAAAGCCTGGTCAGCAGGTAAGGGAGAAGTCTGGAAGTTATCTCTGGAGTGTTCTGAGTGTTCTGTGGAGTAGCAAACAGGTCATATGCAGAAAGTGAGGACGAAGGAGGATAAGATGGAAGAGAGGGAGAGAAAAAAGGTGTAACCCAGTCATGGAAAAGATTGAAAGAGTGAAATCCAGGGAAGAACAGCGCCATTTCCAGGTAAATGTATTTATTTACTTATTTTTAAATTTAATCAAAATGTATTTATTTACTTTTTAAATTGATAAATAAAAGTTGAATATATTTATTCTGTACAACATTTTGTTTTGAAATAGGTATACATTGTGGAATGGCTCAAGCGAGCTAATTAACATGCACATTACCACATTTAGTTATTTCTTTGTGTGGTGAGAACACATAAAATCCACTCTCAGCAATTTTCAAGAACAGAATACATTGTTATTAACTATGATTATCATGTTGTACAATAGATCTATTGAACTTATTCTTCCTATCTAACTAAAATTTTGTTATCATTTGACCAACATATCTCCAACCTCCTTCCCCCAGCCTGTGGTAACCATAAGTTTATTCTCTATTTACATGAGTTCAACTTTTTCTACACTCCACATGTGAATGAGATCCCTTGGTATCTGTCTCTCTATCTGACGCATGTCACTTAACATAATGTCCTCCAGGTTCATCTGTGTTGTTGCAAATGATAACATTTTCTTCCTTTTTAAGTAAATAGTGCTCTATTGTGTCTACATATCACATTTTCTTTATCAATTTATCTATTAATGGACCTTTAGGTTGATTCCTTATCTTGGCTATTGTGAATAATGCTGCAATGAATATGGGAGTGCAAGTATCGCTTTAACATAGTGATTTCATATTCTTTGGACATAGTGGGATTGCTGGGTCATAAGGCAGTTCTATTGTTAATTTTTTGAAGAGATTCCTTACTGTTTTCCATAATGGCTGCACTAATTTATATTCCCACTAACAATGTACAAGGGTTCCCTCTTCTCCATATTGTCTGCAACACTTTCTTTTGTCATTTTGATAATAGGTATTTTCACAGGTGCAAGGTGATAGATATCTCATTATGGTTTTAATTTGCAGTTTCTGATGATTGGCAATTTTGAGCGTTTTTTCAAATATCTGATGGCCAAAGCTCTAGGAGTCAAAATAGCATAGCACTGGCATAAAAATTGACCCATAGAGAAATGAAGCTGACTAGAGAGCACACAAATAAATCCATGCATTTTTGGTCAATTGATTTTGACAAAGGTGCCAAGAACACAAAAGGGAAAAGATGGTTTCTTCAATAAATGGTGTTGGGACAACTGGATATTCACAAGTAGAAGACTGAAATTAGACCCTTATCTCACACCATATGCAAAAATGAACTCAAAATGGATTGAAGGGCCTGCTGCTGCAGGCTCCATGAGACAGCTGAAAAGTTGTGAGTGTTCAAAGTGTGAAAGATAGAACATCTGCCCCCAAACGCACATCCTCACTGGGAAACCTGAAGGATCTAATTATGGGAGAGGATTTGACCTTACTGGGAGTGGAGATGAATTTAGAGAGCTGGGAAAAATATAGGGGTAGAGGAAGCAGCAGGAAGAGCCCTGTGGGCACTCTTGTTCCCCAGTGAAGCTATTTCTGACTTTGTCTCACAAGGGTCCTTGGGGAGGGCTCCTAGTGGAATTAGGGAAAGACCACAGGGAGAAAGAAACTTCCAGCTGAACTTTGTAACAATTTCAACCAAAGCAAAGTTTCCTGGACCAAATCTCGGGGAGGAGGTGATCTGGGATTGCAGATAGGAACACAAAAGCCATAGCAGGCAGACAGGAACAAAACCTGAAAGTCCTGCTTGTTTTTTTAGCAAGAAGGCTTGTAGCCTGGGCCAAGATCTTAGCCTTCTCACCAGCTGCCTGGAGATAAACTTGGTGCTACTGGGGGGATATGGTGGGAGTGAGACTGACCTTGCTGACTGCATGGGAATTGGTGAGGCCTGTCCCTGCTGATTTTCTCCAACTACCCTGGCAACCTGTATGATGCAGCAGAGGCAACTCTAATCCCCCCTGGGAATGTAACTCCATCAGCCTGAGAACCACACCTCCCATCCCCCAAAGAGGCCACAACAAGTCCCCTTACGGCCAGCTTGTATCCAGCTTGTATCCTCCCTAGACCACTGTAACTGATGCTCTCTTGAAAGTGCCACCTCCTGCCTGGAAGCCAACCAACACTAGGCCAGTGCACTAAACAAAACCACAACCAAAGACCTTCTCAGAGTCCACTTCACTCCCCTGCTACCTCTACCGGAGCAAGTGCTGATACCCACAGCTGAGAGTCCTAAAGACGAAACACATCACAGGACCCTTTGCAGACATTCCCTAGTACCAGCCCAGAGGCTGGTAGCTCAGCTGGGTGGCTAGACAAAGAAAAGAAATAACAATCACTGCAGTTTTTCTCTCAGAAAGCCCCATCCTTAAGGGAAGCGGGGAGAACAGCATATCAAGGGAGCACCGCATGAGACAAAAGAATCTGAACAACAGCCCTTGAGCCCTAAATCTTCCCTCTGACATAGTCTACTCAAATGAGAAGAAACTAAAAAAAAAAAAAAAAAAAAAAAAATCCCAAATCTGATAATATAACAAAACAAGTTTCTTTAATATCCCCCAAAGATCACACTAGCTAACCAGCAATGGATCCAAACCAAGAAGAAATATCTTAATTGCCAGAAAAAGAATTCAGAAAGTCAATTATTAAGCTAATCAAGGAGGCACCACAGAAAGGTGAATGTCAACTTAAAGAAATCAAAAATATGTTATAGGATATGGATGGAAAAAACTCCAGAGAAATAATAGCATAAATAAAAAACAATCACAACTTCTGGAAATGAAGGACACACTTAGAGAAATGCAAAATACACTGCAAAGTCTCAACAATAGAGTTTAACAAGCAGAAGAAATAACTTGAGAGCTTGAAGACAAGGCTTTCAAATTAACCCAGTCTGACAGAGACAAAGAAAAAAGAATTTTAAGAAAATGAACAAAGCCTCCTAGAAGTTTTGGATTATGTTAAATGACCAAACCCAAGAATAATTGGTGTTCTCAAGGAAGAAGAGAAATCTAAAAGTTTGAAAAACTTATTTGAGGGAAAAATTGAGGAAAATCTGGCCTTGTTAGAGATCTAGACATCCAAATACAAGAAGCTCAAAGAACACTCAGAAAATTCATTGCAAAAACATTACCACCTAGTCACATAGTCATCAGGTTATCCAAAGTCAAGATGAAGGAAAGAATCTTAAGAGTTATAAGGCAAAAACATTAGGTAACTTATAAAGGAAAACCTGTCAGATTAACAGCAGATTTCTCAGTAGAAACCCTCCAAGACAGAAGGAGTAAGGGACCTATATTTAGCCTCCTCAACAAAACAATTATCAGCCAAGAATTTTGTATCCAGTGAAACTAGGCTGCCTAAATGAAGGAAAGATACAGGCTTTTTCAGACAAACAAAAGCTGAGAGAATTTGCCACCATCAAGCCAGTACTACAAGATCTGCTAAAAGGACCTCTAAATCTTGAAACAAGCCCTCAAAATACACCAAAATAGAACATCCTTAAAGCATAAATCTCACAGGACCTATAAAACAGTAACACAGTGAAAAATAAAACAAAGTATTCAGGCAACAACCAACACAATGGATAGAATAATACCTCGCATCAATACTAAAGTTGAATGTAAATGGCCTAAATGCTCCACTTAGAAGATACAAAATGGCAGAGTAGATAACAATTCACCAACCAAGTATCTGCTGTCTTCAAGAGATTCACCTGACAAATAAGGTCTCACATACAATTAACATAAAGGGTTGATATTTCATGAAAATGGACACCAAAAAGAAGCAGGAGTAGCTACTCTTATATATTAGACAGAACAGACTTTAAAGTAACAAGAGTTAAAAAAGGCAAAGAGGGACATTATATAATGATAAAAGGACTAATCCAACAGGAAAATATCACAATTCTAAATATATATGCACCTAACACTGGAGCTCCCAAATTTATAAACCAATTACTACTAGACCTAAGAAATGAGATAGACAGCAACTCAATAATAGTGGGGGATTTCAATAACCCACTGACAGCACTAGAGAGGTCATAAAGAGAGAAAAATCAACAAAAAACAATGGATTTCAACTATACCCTAGAACAAATGCACTTAACAGATATTTACAGAACATTTTACCCAACAACTGCAGAATATACATTCTGTTCATCAGCACATGGAACATTCTCCAAGATAGACCATATCATAGGCCACAAAACAAATCTCAATACATTTAAGAAAATTAAAATTATATCAAGTACTCTCTCAGATCACAGTGGAATAAAACTGGAAATCAACTGAAAAGGAACCCCCAAAACCATGCAAATACATGGAAATTAAATAATCTTCTCCTGAGTAATCCTTGGGTCAACAATGAAATCAACTTAAAAATTAAATAATTATCTGAACTGAACAATAATAGTGACAAAACCGATCAAAACCTCTCAGGTACAGCAAAAGCAGTGCTAAGAGGAAAGTTAATAGCATTACATGCCTGCATCAAAAAGTCTGAAAGAGCACAAATGACAATCTAACGTTACACCTCAAGGAACTAGAGAAACAAGACAAACCAAACCCAAATGCAGCAGAAGAAAAGCAATAACAAAGATCAGAGCAGAACTAAATAAAAGCAAAACAAAAAAATACAAAAGATAAGTGAAACAAAAAGCTAGTTCTTTGAAAAGTTAAACAAAACTGATAGACAATTAGTGAGAATAACCAAAAAAGAAGACAGAACATCCAAATAAGCTCAGTTAGAAATGTAATGGGAGATATTACAACCAATACCACAGAAATACAAAAGATCATTCAAGGCTACTATGAACACCTTTATGCACACAAACTAGAAAACCTAGAGGAGATGGATACATTCCTGAAATATACAACCCTCCTAGATAAAATCAGAAAGAAATAGAAACTCTGAAAATACCAGTATCAAGCAGCAAGATTAAAATGGTAATTTTAAAATTGCCAAGAAAAAAAAAAGTCCAGAGCCATATGGATTCACAGCTGAATTCTATCAGACATTCAAAGAAAAATTGGTACTAATCCTGTTGACACTATTTCAAGAGGCAGAGAAAGAGGGAATCCTCCCTAAATCATTCTATGAAGCCAGTTTCACCCTAATACCAAAACCAGGATAGAACATAACAAAAAAAAGAAAACTACAGGCCAATATCCCTGATGAACACAGATGCAAAACTCCTCAACAAAATGCTAGCTAACCAAATCCAATAGCTTACCAAAAAAATTATCCACCATGATCAAGTGGGTTTCATACCAGGAATGCACAGATGTCATACCAGGAATGCAGAGATGTTTTAACATATGCAAGTGAATAAATGTGATACACCACATAAACAGAATTAATAACAAAAATCACATGGTCATCTCAATAGATGCAGAAAAAGCATTTGACAAAATACGGCATCCCTTTATGATTAAAACCCTTGGCAAATCAGCATAGGAGGGACATACCTTAAGGTAATAAAAGACATCTATGTCAATCCCACAGCCAACATTATATTGAACAGGGAAGAGTTGAAAGCATTCCCCCCGAGAACTGGAACAAGACAAGAATGTCCACTTTCACCACTTTTATTCAACATAGTACTGGAGGTCCTAGCCAGAGCAATCAGACAAGAGAAGGAAATAAAGGACATTTAAATTGGTAAAGAGGAAGTCAAACTGTCGCTGTTCCAATGATATAATCATATACCTAGAAAAACCTAAAGACTCATCCAAAAAGCTCCTGTAACTGATAAATGAATTCAATAAAGTTTCAAGATACAAAATTAACATATACAAATCAATATCTCTCCTATGTATCAACAGCAACCAAGCTGAGAATCAAATCAAGAACTCAACCTCTTTTACAATAGCTGCAAAAAAAAACCAAAATACTTATGAATATACCTAACCAAGGAGGTGAAAGACAAGCAAAACTACAAAACACAGCTGAAAGAAATCATAGATGACACACACAAATGAAAACACATTCCATGCTCTTGGTTGGGTAGAATCAATATTGTGAAAATGACCATATTGACCAAAAGCCATCTACACATTCAGTGCAATTCCCATCAAAGCACCATAATCACTCTTCAAAGAACTAGCAAAAACCATCCTAAAATTCAGATGGAACCAAAAAAGAACCCACATAGCCAAAGCACAAGACTAAACAAAAAGAACAAATCTGGAGGCATCACATTACCTGACTTCAAACTATACTATAAGGCCATAGTCACCAAAACAGCATGGTACTGATATAAAAATAGGCACATAGACCAATGGGACAGAATAGAGAACCCCGAAGTAAACCCAAATACTCACAGCCAACTGATCTTCAACAAAGCAAACAAAAACATGAAGTGGGAAAAGGACATTCTATTTAACAAATGGTGCTGGGATAATTTGTAAGCCACATGTAGAAGAATAAACTGGATCCTCATCTTTCACCTTATACAAAAACCAACTCAAGATGGGTCTAGGACTTAAATATAAGACCTGAAACTATAAAAATCCTGGAAGATAACATCAGAAAGACCCTTCTAGACATTGGCTTAAGCAAAGACTTCATGATCAAAAACCCAAAAACAAATGAAACAAAAACAAAGATAAATAGATGATGGGACTTAATTTAACTAAAAAGCTTCTGCACAGCAAAAGAAACAATCAGAAGAGTAAACAGACAAGCCACAGAGTGGGAGAAAATCTTCACAATCTGTACATCTATATATCTGAAAAAGGACTAATATCCAGAACCTAAAAGAAACTCAAACAATTCAGCAAGAAAAAATAAATCTCATCAAAAAGTGGGCTAAGGACATGAATAGACAATTCTCAATAGAAGATCTACAAATGGCCAACAAATGTATGAAAAAATGCTCAACATCACTAATGATCAGGGAAATGCAAATCAAAATCATGGTGCAATACCACCTTACTCCTGAAAGAATGGCCATAATAAAAAAAAATTTTTAAATAACAGATGGTGTGGATGTGGTGAAGGGGAACACTTTCACACTGCTGGTGGGAATGTAAAATAGTACAACCACTATTGAAAACAGTATGAAAATTCCTTAAAGAACTAAAAGTAGATCTACCATTGATGCAGCAATCCCACTACTGGGTATCTATCCAGAAGAAAAGCAGTGATTATATGAAAAAGACACTTGCACATGCATGTTTACAGCAGCACAATTCACAACTGTAAAAATATGGAATTAGCCCAAATGTTCATCAATCAATAAGTGGATAAAGAAAATGTGGTTCATATATACTATGGAATACTACGCAGCCATAAAAAGGAATGAGATAATGGCATCCACAGCAACTTGGATGGAGTTGGAGACTATTATTCTAAGTGAAGTAACTCAGGAATGGAAAACCAAACATCATATGTTCTCGCTCATAAGTGGGAGCTAAGCTATGAGGCTGCAAAGGCATAAGAATAATACAGTGGACTTTGGGGACTCAGAGGAAAGGGTGGAAGGTGGATGAGGGATAAAAGACTACACATTGGGTCAAGTGTACACTGCTCAGGTGATGGATGCATCAAAGCCTCAGACATCACCACTAAAGAACTTATCCATGTAACCAAACACCACCTGTTCCTGTAAAACTATTGAAATATAATAAAATGAAATAAAAAAAAGGATCAAAGACTTACAACTTGAAACTGTACTGTATAATTACTAAAAAAAAAAACATAAGGGAAAACCTCCATGATATTGGTCTGGGCAATGATTTCTTGAATATGAACCCCAAAGTACAGGCAACAAAAGCAAAAATAGTAAAATAGAATGGCATCAAACTAAAAAGCTTCACAGCCAAGGAACCAATCAACAAAGTGAAGAGACAACCTACACTATGCAAGAATGTATTTACAAACCATATGTCTGGTAAGGAATTAATATTCAAAATGTAAAAGAAACTCAAATAATAGTAAGAAAACAACCCAATTAAAAAAGAGACAAAGGATCTGAATACACATTTTTCAAAAGAAGACATACAAAAAAACAGGGTAAACTTAGAATTGCCTGGTCCATGGCCATGGGAGCATCCACAGCCCTATGTGAGTACCCCAGTGTGGTCTGCTGAGGCAGGGTTCTCTGCATGCTCAACAACTGGTAGCTATTATTATTGTATTATTCAAAAGCCCTCTCTCCCTTACTAGAGGTATTACAGAATGCTGAATTATTACCTGAAAATTGCTCAACATATTTTTAGGCAAAAATTTAAGAATTTCCTCTTTAAAGTAATTATTTGGCATTTCTACAATCATTTATATTTGCAAATTGCTCCACAGTCATGCTCATTATGTATGTTTCACCACATCTTTGACTCACAAATAGAATAAAATCAAGTTAAGTAAGTCAGAGAAGGCTCAATGCCTTCTTCAGTAAGTAACCTGGCAGCAGGGAACAGATAGGAATTATCCATTCCGGATTCAACAGTTTACAGCAGTATTTCCTCAAAGTATATTCTGTGGACCACTAATCCCAATAAATACTTCATGGGTCAAGAGTTCTATAGTCAAATAAGTGTAGGAACTTTACATAGCATATCCCACTCTTAAAGTTTTGCAATATGCATTGGCATCTTTGAGAAGCCTCGTGTTAAAGACACTTGTTTAACTTTATTTACTCTTGCATTTCTAAGCCTTATTTGACCACAAAAAATTCTTTTTCAAATGGAGCTTACCTTTATGGGCATGTAGCAGTCATAGATAGAGTCAGTTCTCATAGCCATTTATCCCTTCTTCATTTTTACAATAAATCCCATTTTAGCTGGGTACATTGCCATTCAGCCAAAAAGTTTTCTTGCCCAGATCCCCTTGCTGCTACATCTGGTCAAGTAACTAAGTTCTGACCAATGAGATGTAAGTGGACATAATGTGTGTGGCAACTTAGAAATACCCTTAAAGGCAAGGAGCATTCCTATCTTTCAGTTGCCCCCTTCCTCCTTTCAGCTGATCAGAATGCAGTGTTGGCTACAGCCTCAGAAGTTGAACCAGGAGGAGGGGCTCACTAAAGACAAGAAAGTTGCAAGACAGCAGGACCCAGACTCCTTATTGTGGGCCACCACACCAGTCAAATAGGGCCAAGCTCTAGACTTCTTTATGTGAGAGAGAAATAATCTTCAATCTTGTGTATGTAATTGTGATTTTTTTTTTCTGTTACTCAAGGCTGAGTCAAACCTCAATTAACAAGGTTTGAGTCAAACCTCAATTAACAAACCTACCATTATCTCATAGAGCTAATGTTTTTCAGAGGACTCTTTGAGAAGTGCTGGTCTAAATTCAGCTACTAAAACACTATGCCTCTTTTCCCACAACAAGTGCAGTTTTGTCTGAATCCAAACATATGTAATCTCCACTTATGTCGGATTTACATTTAATTCCAAATATTCTCAAACAAAAGGCAGCAAGTAACTTGGAAGAACACTGGCTTATGTCGAAAAATGAACATTCAAGTCCTTACTCTGCCTCTTGAACTTAGAGAAGTGTTCTAAAATCTCTGTGCCTCAGTTTACCTAAACACAGAGTAAGAATAGTATATTCACTAATTCACATAGTTGATACGATGGCTACATAAAATATAGGCCCCCAAAATCCTAAAAATTATGTAGTATACTATACAAAATATTTTACTGTTATTATTATTTTGCTGTTGTGGCTCAGAACGTGGTATCCCAAAATACGACATCTTAGCATGAATAGAAACATCACTCTCTGACCTTCCCCTGCATTTATTCTCTGAGGCCATGTAGCTAGGTCATTCTTGCATTGCTATACAGACATCCACAGCCCTGTGTGAGTACCCCAGTGTGCTCTGCTGAAGGCAGAGACTGGGTAATTTATAAAGAACAGAGGTTTAATTGGCCCATGGTTTTGCAGGCTTTACAGGAAGCATGGTGCTGGCATCTGCTTGGCTTTTGATGAGGCCTCAGGAAGCTTTCAATCATGGCAGAAGACAAAGGGGAATTTAGCAGCAACTCACACGGTGAAAACAGAAGCAAGAGAGAGAGTGGGGGAGAGGGGTACCACACACTTTTAAACAACCAGGTCTTGTGAGAACTCACTATAGTGAGGACAGGACCAAACCATGAGAGATCCACCCCCATACCCAGATACCTCCCACCAGGACCCACCTTCAACACTGGGAATTACAACTTAACAGGAGATTTGGCAGGGACACTAGACCACAAAAAGAATGCTTCGCTTCTTCCCTAAAGATCCTCACATGACAGGCATTGTGCCCCATACCAAGAGGAAAGGTATAAAGACAGAGGCACAGAAATGAATCTTAACAAACAGGCCTTGCTAAGTTCCCCCAGTTTATTACCATTAGATCATACCCTTTTTGTCCAATCTTACTTCTACATGACTGGCTATTCTTAACTGAACCTCAGCAGCAAAATACAGTTTTCCCTGGGTCTTTGGCTCTTCATTTTTGAAGGCTCCCATGTCACATAAAACTTTGGGTAAATAGATGTGCTATGCTTTTCTCTTGTTAATCTGTCTTTTGTTTTGGCCATAAACTTTGTCATGGTGAAGGAAAAGATACTGTTTTATCTTCCCTACACCAGCATATCAGCAAGAGCTCTTGTCCCAAACCTACCAACATGTAGATGTGTGTTCTTGAGCTTTCTCACATCATTTCTATAGGTGTCACTTCTCTATGGACAGGTAGGAGCAGCGAGACTTCTTGATCCCATTCCAATGTAAATTCTAAGTGCAAATGGCATTCTTAGAATCTTGTCCCAGCTTCTCAGGAGGCTGAGGTGGGAGGATTGCTTGAGCTTAGGAGGTCAAGGCTGCAGTGAGCTGTGTTCACATGACTGCCCTCCAGCCTGGGTGACAGAGTAAGAGCAAGACTGTCTCAGAAAAAAACAACAACCAAAAACAAACAAGACTAGAATGCAGCCTTTTGGGAGCTCATTAAGTCTATGTCTCTACATTAAGGCATTAAGGTGAGATCACACCTCACCCATCCTAAAATTCTAAATGTATTAATTTATAAATTCATTAGTTCATAAAGACCTTGAGAGAAAAAAATTCTAAAACCTCATCTTCAAGAGCATAGCTCAGGGTTTAACAGTCTTCACTATAAAAACATTGCTGCTTAGAATTAAATTTAAAAGGCCGGGCGCGGTGGCTGACGCCTGTAATCCCAGCACTTTGGGAGGCCGAGGCGGGCGGATCACGAGGTCAGGAGATCGAGACCATTCCGGCTAAAACGGTGAAACCCCGTCTCTACTAAAAATACAAAAAATTAGCCGGGCGTAGTGGTGGGCGCCTGTAGTCCCAGCTACTTGGGAGGCTGAGGCAGGAGAATGGCGTGAACCCGGGAGGCGGAGCTTGCAGTGAGCCGAGATCCCGCCACTGCACTCCAGCCTGGGCGACAGAGCGAGACTCCGTCTCAAAAAAAAAAAAAAAAAAAAAAAAAAAAGAATTAAATTTAAAAATTTTACCCTAATTTAAGTCTCATGCTCTCTTGTGCATACTTTGATAGCAAAAATTTGGTACCCTTTGCTCAATATTCACCCTTTATGTGTGTGTAGATATTTCCTAAAACAACCTTCTGAATATTGTGTCTGTAACTCACATTTGCCATGGCAATTGTTATTTCTATATTTTTAAAAAATCATATGAGATATCCACCTCACTAATGAGGACTTTCATGAATATAATAAAAGTACTTAACTGCTAAATTTATGGATGTTAAGAAATCTGTTTATAAGGAAAAGAGATTGAGTAACAAATTTACAAATCAAAACATGCTTTAAAGCTAAAATTGTCATTTCTAAACTAAGTAGCTAGAAAAATAAGACTATTAGTTAAAATAGGTGCATACATTATTCAAATGATACAGCTAACATTTTAAGCTTAATATAAATGAAAAGCAAATGCCTAATTGACAGTAATTTATTCTGGTCATTATACAACTAGAATAGGGCAAGCTAGTTTTGTATGTCATCATTCGAAGACAGAGTGTTCCAACATCCTTTACAAAATTAAAATAATGCATAATATTAATTTTGTTTGTTTTCAGTTTCTAGGACATGTCTGACATATACTACTGGATATGTTCAGTCTCAATTTGCTATTTTTATTGTAAATCCTGATGAAGGGTGCTAGCATTGCATTCAACAAGATTCATCAAGTGATTAATTTTCTGGAAGCAATATGAAATTAACCTAGTAAAATGGAGTTACTTAAAAACACTAATTAGATGTCTGTGTTTGCTTTTCAACCATGATCCCTATGCACTATTTAACTGCATAATCTACAGAGCTGGTAATCTCCATTTGTCTCTATTGACAAACTTACCTTTATGAAGTCTGAACTGCAAGGAAAGTAGTTGAAGTTAAAAGTAAGAACAAAATGGGCCATATAAAAACAGTGCCACTTTGGTAACCATTAAAGGTCAATTTTCATATGAAAATATATTGTGGAGAATAAGAATGAGTTTTCTTACTGTTAGAGAAAGGAATTACAAAAAAAGAATGAAAGAAAGTTAGAATAAAACCTGTGGTGGTGAACCGGAATCTGAGGTAACTATATCAGTTTTTAATATAAATATCAGTGGATATAAAAATAAATACAGACGGCCGGGCGCAGTGGCTCACACCTATAATCCAGCACTTTGGGAGGCTGAGGCGGGTGGATCATGAGGTCAGGAGATCGAGACCATCCTGGCTAACATGGTGAAACCCCGTCTCTACTAAAAATACAAAAAATTAGCTGGGCGTGATGGCTGGTGCCTGTAGTCCCAGCTACTCAGGAGGCTGAGGCAAGGGAATGGCCTGAACCCTGGAGGCGGAGCTTGCAGTGAGCCGAGATCACGCCACTACACTCCAGCCTCCGCAACAGAGTGAGACTCCGTCTCAAAAAACAAAATAAAATAAAATAAAATAAAATAAAAATAAATACAGATATGTATATATGCATAGGTTAGTTTACATACACATATTTCCTACCTCTGTCCACTGAGAGAGCCTAGGAGCAAAGCTTTTTCAGCAGTAATGAGAATACCCAGGCCTTCATTTCTTAATATCATCCTTCAGTAAAAGGAACCAGAGTTCTTGAAGGAATGCTGGATTCCAGGTCTGAGGCAGAGAAGGTGTAAGACCATCCTGGAATATCTTGTGGTGTTAGAAATAAAGAAAATGCTAAAAATTGATGGGAGCACATTGAAGAACAACTTAAAGAAACTCAATGACCAAATCAAGGTCAATTTGAGAACCAAAATAAACAAAGACACATTAGATTAAAACCCATAGTCCATAGTGATATAAATGATTGAATAAATTTAAAAATGAGTGACAAGGATAAGATTTTGCTAGCATCAAATTCTAATTAATAAATGTAGAAAGAATGGTGAAAGTAGAAAATCACCATTAGGGCAAAAATAGTACCTATTACAGGTAAGAGTCACAGATGAATGCTAAAATTAGTATTAAGGTAGGAGAAGAAGCAGAGTATTTGCCTGGCTTTAAACTATCTCCTCACCAGATACTTACTAATAACAAAAGAAAAAATAATAACTTTACAGTGGAGAAACCTAGCAGACACCACCTTAACCAAGGTATAAACGTTAAAATTTTGTAATAAGACATAATGTACTAACACATATCAACATCCTGTATGCTCTGACGTGATGCTCTGAGAAGGTCCCAATATTACTACCATGGAATTCTTGCCAAAAATGCATAGCTTGAATTTAATCATGGGAAAACGTCAGACAAATTCAAATTCAGTGACATTCTACAGAATAACTGGTCTATGCTCTTCAAAATGTCAAAATCATAAAAGACAAACAAAAACAGAGGAATTGTAATAGATTGGAGAAGACAAACTATAACACTTAAGGCAAGATAGGGTTATGGATTGAATCTTGGATTAGAAAATGGGTATTGGTGGTACAACTGGCAAAATTCAAATAAAGTCTCTAGATCAGTTAATAGTATTATTGTGTCCAGGGTCATTTCTTGATGTCATTAATTTTACTGTGGTTATGCAAGATGTTAATATTAGGAGAAGTTAGGTGAATGGTATATAAGAGTTTTCTGTGTTATATTTTAAAACTTTTGGTAAGTGTAAGATGATTTCAAATTTAAAATATTTCATCTTCACCCCCATTTTCATGAATTTCAATTGAAAACACTTAATCTTTGTGTTGAGGTTGTCTATTGCTATGAAATATACCACTTCAGAGATAGTGGCTTAAAGCAACAGTCTATTATTATTATGTCTCATGTTTCTAGGGATTGAATTTGAAATCATAGGAACAGCACAAATTGCTTTTTTTTTTTTTTTGAGATGGAGTATTGCTCTGTCACCCAGGCTGGAGTGTAGTGGCATGATCTTGGCTCACTGCAAACTCTGCCTCCTGGATTCAAGTGATTCTCCTGCCTCAGCCTCCCGTGTAGCTGGGATTAAAGCCACCTACTACCACACCCGGCTAATCTGTGTATTTTTAGTAGAGACGGGGTTTCATCATGTTGGCCAGGCTGGTCTTAAACACCTGGCCTCAAGTGACCCACCCACCTTGGCATCTCAAAGTGCTGGAATTACAGGCAAATTGCACAAATTTGATAACAGATGAAATGAAACAATTTCTTGCAGACACAACATGCCAAAACTCACACAAGAGGAAATGGACAATGTGAGTAGGCTTATATCTATAAAGGAAATTGAACCAATAGTTAATAATCTTCCAACACAGATAGCACCTGGCCCAGATGTGTTCACTGTTGAATTCTACCAACATTTAAGAAAGAAATGATACCAATTCTCTATCATCTTTCAGAAAATAGAAACAAAGGAAATAATTAATTCCATGGGGCCAGCATCATCATAACACCAAAACCAGACAAGATTTTACAAGAAAATAAAACTACAGAACAATATATCTCATAAACATAGATGCAGAGATAATAAATAAAATATTATAAAATCAAACCAACAAGGTATAAAAGGAATTATATATCACAACCAAGTGAGATTTATCCAAGATTTGAAAGGCTGGTTTAACATTTGAAATAAATCTATGTAATCCATCACATCATCAGGCTAAAGAGGAAAACTCACATGATATATCAATAGACACAGACACCAATTCATAAAAAAACAATCTCTCAGCAAGCTAGGAATAGAGTTGAACTTCCTCAACTTGATCAAAAAACATCAACAAAAAAACCCATTGCTAACACATCTTATAGTAAGAAACTTGAGGCTCTCTCACTAAGAACAGGAACAAGGCAAGGATATCCCTTGTCATTACTGCTTTTCAGCATCATACTGGAAGTCCTAGTAAATGCAATAAGGTAAGAAAGAGAAATAAAAAGTATACAGATGAGGAAGGAAGAAAAACAACTATCTGTTCACAGATGACATGACCATCTATGCAGAAAATCTGAAAGAATCAACAAAAAATTCCTGGAACTAACAAGCAATTATAACAAGGTTGCAGGATACAAGGTTAATGTACAAAAGTCAATCACTTTCCTAATACCAACAATGAACAAGTGGAATTTGAAATTAAAAGGACATTTACATTACATTACATTAGCATTCATTTACATTAGCACCCCCAAGAATGAAATACTTAGGTATAAATCTAACAAAATATGTTCAAGAACTATATGAGGAAAATACAAAAGTAATGAAAGCTATCAAAAAAGAACTAAATAAATGGGGAGATATTCCATGTTTATGGATAGAAAGACTCAATGTTGTCAGGATGTCAGTTCTTCCCAACTTGGTCTATAGATTCAACACAATCCCAGTCAAAATTCCAGCAAGTTATTTTGTGAGGGGCAAAAGCTGATTCTAAAGTTTATAAGGGAGGTAAAAGGCTCAAAATAGCCAGCTCATTATTAAAGGAGAGAAAAAAAGTCTGAGTACTGATGCCACCTGACTTCAAGACTTACTATAAAGCTATAATAATCAAGACACTGTGAACTGTCCAAAAAATAGAAAAATAACTCTATGAAATAGAACAGAGACCCTGGAAATAGACACACATAAATATAATTAACTGATCTTTGACAAACAGAGCAAAGATGGTCTTTTCAACAAATGGTGCTCATACCGCTGGACAACAATCATGCAATAAATAAGGATAAATCCAGACACAAACCTCACACCCTTCATGTAAATTAACTCAAAATGGATCATAGACCTAAATGTAAAACACAAAGCTATAAAACTCTTAGAAGATAACATATAAAAAAAAACTTGATGGCCTTGGCTATGGCAATGACTTTTTAGAGACAATACCAAATGCATAGTTCGCGAAAGGAGTTGATAAACCGGACTTCACTAAAATTGAAAATTTATACTCCGCATGACATGGTATCAAAAAAAATGAGAAGACAAGCCATAGCCTGGGAGAAAATATTTGCAAAAGATACATCTGATAAAAGATTATTATCTAAAATATACAAAGAACTCTTAAAACTCAACAATAAGAAAATGAACAACTTTATTTAAAAAATGAGCAAAAGACCTGAACAGACACCTTCCCAAAGAAGACATACAGATGGTGAGCAAGCATATGAAAAGATGTTCGACATCATATATCTTCAGAAAACTGAAAATTAAAACAACAGCAAATGGCCAAAATTCAAAACATTGAAAACACCAAATGCTGGTGAAGATGTGAAGCAGTAGATATGCTCATTCATTGCTGGTGAGAATGTGAAATGGTACAGCTACTTTGTAAGACTGTTTGGCAATTTCTCACAAAAGTAAATATTCCCTAACCATATAACCCAGCAATCACACTCCTTGATATCCCTGTTATTTACCCAAATGAATGGAAAACTTACATCCTCACAAAAACCTGCACATAGATGTTTACAGAAACTTTAGTCATAATTGCTAAAACTTGAAAGCAACCAAGCTTCCCTTCAGTAGATGAATGGATACATTCATCTGTATCCATTCATCTGTAACTGTGGTACATCCAGACAATGGAATATTATTCAGTGCTTAGAAGAAATGAATTATCAAGTCACGAAAAGACATGAAGGAATAGAAGAAACTTAAATGCACATTACTAAGTGAAAGAAGCCAACCTGGATAGGCTGCATACTGTCTGATTTCAACTATCGTAGGTTATGGAAAATACAGAACTATGGAGACAGTAAAAAGATCAGTGGCTTCCAGAGCTGAGGGAAAGGAGGGATGAAAAAGGATTTTCAAGGCAGTGAAATTATTCTATATAATACTACAAAGGTGGCTACATGTCACTATGCATTTGTCAAAACCCATAGAATGTACAACACCAAGAGTGAACCCTAATGTACACTTTGAACTTCGAATAATAATGAAGAGTCAAGCAGGTTCGTCAGCTGTAGTACATGTAGCACCATGGTACAGGATGTCAACATTAGGGGAAGTTGTGAGTTTGTGGAAATTGATATATATGGGAACTTTGTACTTTCTGCTCCATTCTGCTGTGAACCTAAAACTGCTCTAAAAAGATTAAGTTTGTTAATTTTTAAAAAACTTTTTTTATATTAAAATGATCAGTTTGGCATTTGCTGGAAATACTTATCAAGCAAAACACAGGAAGTGCCAATCACAAAAGAAAAGATTGACAATTCCTAATGCATTAAAATTAGAAACTTCTGTCAATAAGAGATACCATAAACAATTTTTTTAAAAGCTACAGTCTGGGAAAAGATATTTATAACTCATAAATGTACAGAACAACTCTAAAAAAAACCAAGCAAGCCAATAGAAAAGTAGTAAAGGAAATGAAGAGGCAATTCACAAAGGGGACCCTAAGTGACCCATAGAAATTAAAGAAATGCATAACCTCAGTAGCAATCAGGAGAATGTAAATTTAAACCTAAGATATTATTTCACATCCATCAAGTCAGCAGACATTTTTAGAAGCCTGAAATTACTAATATTTGGTGTGGATGTGAAGAAATACAGAATTTCTATACAGTGATAGGAGGATAAATTACTCTCTACCACTTTAGAGAGTAATTTAGCAATATCTTGTGAAGATAAAAATATTCAGTCCTAGAAAAACTTTATCCCACATGAACAAAAAGGTATATATATATAAAATGTTTGCTACAACATTATTTGTAACCTAAATGTCCATCAGCAGGAAATGATTAACTATGTTTTGATATATTTGTTCAATGAAACACAATACAACAATTAAAATAAGTGAACTAAAATTACATGTATTATCATGGACCAATTTCAAAACCATAGAGTGGTGTGAAAATAGTGAATAATGGGATGGTATGTGTAGTGCAATAGTATTTATGTAAAGCTAGAAAAGATGCAGATCAGTTCTACATGTTTTTTATAGATACACACAGTTTTAGAGTGTAAAAACTTGCAAGGGAGTGATAAAAACGAATTTGGGCCTCTCTCAGTTATTGTATCAGAGGAAGGTACACAGAGTAGCTTCAACTTTTTGTAAAATGTTATTCTATTTTAAAAATTGTAAAGCAAGTAGAACAAAATGGTTATATTTTATATAATATTCTCCTAAATTTTCTGTGCTTTGGAAATATTTCTTAGTTATGGATAAATATGATAAATTCAAACAATTTAAAAGTTCACTGTCTTATTAGTACTTATTCCTAGCATTGGCAGGACAATCTTCCTGAATTTCATTGCTGTAATAGGAGAAATTCTTTAATAACCTAATAACTTTGACCACAAGAAATGAAAATAGAACTAAAATCAGGACATGAATTTGTAAGAAAAATCCATAGCCGTGAATCCCCTAAATCATGAAAATGAAAGAACACCTCAAGGCATCATCTTTCACTGCTCAGTAAGAGATGAAAACTGACAGAAATTGAGTACTCTGAACATGATATTTTGTTTGGCTCTCTTACTCCAACTAGTTATTAGACAAAATTTCACTCAGGAAACAAAAAGCCAAATCATGCAGAGATGCCATCTGAAAGTGTATGAGTCACTATAGCAAATGGAAGGCTAGTCTTTCATCCTGAATTGGGAAGTTAAAAAATCAAACCTAGGTGAGGGCCTAAGTGAACATGCAATAATTTTTCATCTTGTGTTTGATTTTAGAAGTTCTCTGCAGACGTGGCAATGATAGGTCAAACAATTTTGTCTCTAGACCATCCTTGCTTTGAAATGCCATCAAGGAAAAATCAGGTATATTCCAGAGAAATGCATTTTTAAAAGATTGTCAAACCCTTTGATTAGCTTCTCTATTGCTTCTATACCTATACTGTTTTCTTCTCATAGATTGGTTTTTAGATATGCCAATGCTGAACAAGCTTCATGCATCTTTATGCTGGAATGAAAAGGTGCGAAGGCAACAATGTCCTCAAATGCTGTCTTCTCAACATGCACAGCCCCACTCCCTAGAGAGTAAAGCCTAAGGAAGGACAAGGTTTTTTGCATTCCCCAAATTTTGCAAAATTTTATCCAAATAATATTTGTCTTTACATTTCACCAAAGCACTAAAAAGTCAGCATCATTATCAACTTTAAATACTAGGCATAAAAGAAAAAAAAAATCTAAACTACTAACCTCTTTACTCCTTTAAAATTTGGCCCTTACTTATGGAGGCCTTCCATTGCTGTGTAATGGCTCTCAGGTAGAATCTAGTGAAATCCCAGGCATCCAGATAAAAATGTAGAGTTTCATGAAAATCTAACAATTGCATTTTTCAATCATGGAAAATGTTATGTATTAGGGATGACTTCTAGATAAGTAATTTATTTTTAGTTTCTATATCTGATGTTCTTTGACCTTTACCTACATCACAGATACCTTTTTGCAACGGGAAAATGAATAACATGGCAGAGAGCAAGTTATTAACTACTCAGGAGATTATGAGCAGTTAATTTTCCCAATGACTCATTTCTTGAGAATTCTATTATGATCTGAAAGTATGACAACATTCATGGGAAAAAAATGAGAAGCCCTTATATTTGAAACAATGGAGCATCTATGGGGTATTATCTTATATTGTTGGCTATTTTATGGATTTCATCAGAAGATGGGGTGAAAAGCCTGTGCATTGCTGATGCTTTGAGTACTTGAGTCCTTTCCCATTCTCTTGAGCCTCTCACAGCAACCCTCAATGATGGACTAAGGAAATGCAATTCTTCTCCCCATACCCTCTACTTAATGCTGCCTTCTGTCTCAGTCACATTCCTTAAGGACAAATAACTTCTCATTGCATTCATCTTCTTTTCTTATGCTTAGCAGACTGTCTGGTATACAGTGGGGCTCAATAAATATGAAAGAAATAAATTCTCCACATTTCACAGACGTGGAAGCTGAGGCTGAGAGAGGTAGAGAGACTTGTCCAAGGTGGAAAGGCAAATCCCGAGCCTCGTGACTTTGGCAGTCCACTTGGCCTTGCCCATGTTGAGATGGAGGGCCACTAACTCCAGACTCTCCTGTTAGGCAGCTTGCAATGAAAACTACAAATTTCTCATGTTCTTCAAAAGGAAGATGGCCCAAAGAGAGTGAAACCTAATTAAGAGGATATAATGTGATAAAATATTCATTTACTGATAGTGATAACATCCTGCTCAAGACAACTAGTGATGACATTTCTGACTGCTACCTTACTTCTCAAAGCTGCTAAAAAGGGTAATTTTCTGCTCCTACATGATTTAAATCCCTTGAGATCCATTCACAGTTAATGTAATCTAAGAATGAAAAATGAACGTTCTTTCCCACCATGTGTACCTTGAAGCATTTGCTCCTCAGCAGGATTATATAACAGACACCTTTCAAGTGATTCCGTGTTAATTAAGAGAAAGCAACTTTAGTTGTGATTATGGATATTTAAACCAGGTATGATTTCCTGGCTCTGTTTAGTCAAATCTCCCCAGGTCCCGTTCCATATAACAGCTCTGTTTGGTCTGGTCTAGGTAGATTGGGTGTACATTCCTCTTTATTGTGTCACAGCAAGCTTCCAATAGAATGTTGTTAGGGTAATTTCACACAACGGCTGGGCAGGTGTGTTCTGCATAGGAGAAACGGTTTTTCATCTTTGCGAATGCAATGAGTTTTTCATTCTGAATTCATGTAAAGCCTCAAATGAGGTTACGATGGTAAACATCACAGGAGAAAAAGTTAACAATGACGTCACGGTTCTCAAAATATATTGGCTTTTTTCACCAAATTATTTATGGAGGAAACTTGTTCTGTGCTTTACTTCTGTGGCTTGCTGTCAGGAGAGGGAGTTAGAGTAGAAGAGTGTGATTATTTTTACTAATGATCTTTTTTAATCATTATTTTTTACTGTTTATCAATGAAATGCATGGAGGAAGTAGAATAAAGTCTCATTTCATATTTAATATATTTAATATTGTTTGAATTTTCAGTGTGTGCTACCTTAGTAATTTTACATATTAATGAAATTTTTAAATGATGGACATCTTCCCAAATATGCTTATTTTTACACAATGCTCATTTTTTAAAACTCTGACAATAACAAAATGTAGCAAATAGCAAGAAATATATATATATATAAAGCAACCACATTACCCAGTGAGAGACGTCAACTGAGAACATTCATATACATATATTTATTCAAATTAAATTTGAAAAATATGTTTAACATGGATAATATAGTTTTGTTATATATTTCCTTCTCTTAATAATATATAACAATTATTTTTCCACATAAATGTATGAGTGTCTACAGCATTATTTTTAATGTCTTCAAAATATTCAAATAATGAGCATGTTTTAAATATTTGTTAACCAATCCCTAAATAACATATATTTAGTTTGCCTCCAAATATTATAATATTTCTCAATATTATAGATAATGCTACATAAGAATTTATATGCTTCTCCGATTAATTAGTTAGGATAAGGATGTTGAAGATACACAGATTTTAGGGCTCTTATTACATATCAGACTACCTTGCAAAAATTTTAACTAATAGTTATTCCTACCCACTGTATAGTAAAGATATCACCAATTTATTATTTACAATGGGTATCTTATCTATCATAAAAACAAAATAAAAAATTATTTTTAAAATTTTCATTAATGAAAACAAGCTAGAGAAGCAAGAACATTAATACCAACAGCATCCTTGTTCAAATTCCTTTCCTTGGGAGAAAGGAAGGAAGGAGCTACAATTTGTTAGGTACCTATCCTTGGCCTAAAAGGAAGAAGCTAAAGCTAAATTAATGCAAGCAGAGTTTATTTGGGCCAAGCTTGAGAACTGCAACTGGAAAGCAGAGATTTAAGTTGCCCTGAATATACACTCTGATTAGCAGCAGTTACAAATGGATTCTTAAAAGTAAAATAAGGGAAACAGGGAGTAGGCTGACACAAAGTTGTATATCAGAAATTCCGACAGGTTTACAGAAATAACATTGATCAGTGATTGGCTATACGTTGTTAAGCTATAGGTGTGGGTTATAGTGTCTGGTGTGGCATTATTAGGGTAATGTATAACTACTTGTGACAATAGCAAGCAATTTTAAGAGATGAATACATAGCTCAAAGGGGGAAGTAGAAAATAATTGCTGTCTCATTCGACTGTCTCTCTGGGCTTGATCATTAAAGAGACGGGCATTCTTCGGATAAAATTCTTTTATTTTCTCACTGTAATGGACCAGTCACCAAGAAAAGTGCTTGATATGAGGCATTTCATTCAGTCTTCGATAACAACCCTGGGGAAATAGACACATATTATTATTCCTATGTTACAGATAAGGCAGTCAAGATTCACAAAGGTTGAGTATCTTGAGCAAGGTTACCTAGATAACCTTGAGATGTGAAGGCAGATTTGTCTGACACTATATTTAGGTTTGATATTCACCAAATTTCCAACTATTTACAATGTTAGCAACACATGATCTTGCTGAGTTCAATATAATTCAAGGCACTCCTGGTCTTAGATCTGGAAGAAATATCTGGTTCAATATTTACATCTTTTATAGGGAAACACGTAAAGCAAATAGGGAGGAAATGAGAATATTAGTTTGAAATATTTTCACAAAACTTTCAACTCAGGGATTATTTATATTCTGTACAACTCAACGTTTCAACAATAGAACTTTTAAAATGGGCTTAAGGAAAAGATATTTTCAGCTACACACTTTTGCCTTAAATTAAAATTTAAAAAAAAAGACAAGTTTAACTTACTAATGAGTATGTACCCTGAGAAATAAATGGCAGATAAAAAATAAAAAGGCAAAATGAGAACTAAGAAGGCAACGACGTACATCAGGGAATACGCACTTAAGAACAATAGTGACAACTTCTAATGCATAACTCACATCCCACACGCCCATATGAAAGGCACAATCTTGAGTAATAAACGTAGCTGTAATATCTGTTCTCATACTTGGTGTTAATGAAAGTGGAGCTGCAGGAGAGAAATGCACATGTTTTCTGTTAGCAATACACGGGTAACTTCACCTGTTCCAACTTTTTACATTCCTTTTGTTGACTACATGTTTATAGAGTTTTTCATATTGGAATTTAATCATAAAGTCATCATTTTAAAAAGACAATTACACCCTATTTTACTCAGTGTCGTATCATGTTAAACTGTATAGCTTTAGTTAAGTTTCCTGTATAAATGATTACTCCTTAATATGGCATTTTAAAGAAGTGGAGCAACACAAAGATTCTGAACATTTTTTCTAGCCTTTTCCCCCATAGTAAGGCAGCACAAGCTAAAATTCCCAAATTTTAACTCAGCTGATTATGAAATCTCGTATTTCTCTTTATTTTAATGTTATATTTCGCACTTTTCTTCCAACAACGCAACCTGCTTTTGAAATATGTGCAGTGCCCCATATACACCATGGAATATTATGCAGCCATAAAAAACGGATGAGTTCCTGTCCTTTGCAGGGACATGGATGAAGCTAGAAACCATCATTCTAAGCAAACTATCACAAGTACAAAAAACCAAACACCGCAAGTTCTCATTAGGTGGGAGTTGAGCAGTGAGAACACATGGACACAGGGTGGGGAACATCACACACTGAGGCCTGTCTTGGGGTGGGAGGAGGGGGGAAGGATAGCATTAGGAGAAATACCTAATGTAAATGACGAGTTAATGGGTGCAGCAAACCAACATGGCACATGTATACCTATGTAACAAACCTGCACGTTGTGCACGTGTACCCTAGAACTTAAAAGTATATATACATATATATATATACACATATATATACACACACACACACACACATATATATATACATGTATATATATGTGTGTGTGTGTGTATATATATATATATCTCAAAAGAGGGCTGGGCGTGGTGGCTCATGCCTGTAATCCCAGCACTTTGGGAGGCTGAGGCAGGGAGATCATTAGGTCAGGAGATCGACACCATCCTGGCTAACACAGTAAAACCCCGTCTCTACTAAAAATATAAAAAATTAGCCGGGAGTGGTGGCGGGCGCCTATAGTCCCAGCTACTCGGGAGGCTGAGGCAGGAGAATGGCATGAAGCCGGGAGGCGGAGCTTGCAGTGAGCCCAGATGGCGCCACAGCACTCCAGCCTGGGCGGACAGAGCAAGACTCGGTCTAAAAAAAGAAAAAAAAAAACAAAAAACAAAAAAAAAAACCAGAATGTAATATGTTCAGTGCCCTAGTACCTGTAGGAAACTGGATGCTAATCTTGTTTTTTATTTCACAACTTAAATTTACAAAATCACAAAACTAAAATCAGAAGACAGGGAAACTAGGAAAATCCTAGCTGGCTTAAGCTTGGGAGAGAGAAAACTTTTTTCTTTTTCTGTTTGCAAATATACACCCAAAGAGAAAAATTTAGGAGTGGGAGTGATGCTGGCATTCCCGTCTAATCTGATAGATATTTGAAAAACTAACCTTTAGTCTAATTTATCTATGCTGTGGGAAATCAGTTTTAACCATGTGTTGACAAAAGGCATCTCCCAGAATCCCGATATTGATGCACGTAGGGTGATTATCTTTAATCTGAGACTGAGTTAAAAAAGTCTTCCTTCCCCCACCTCAAACACACACACACTCAAAAGGGTACTGACTTCCTAATAGAAAAATCTCCAGAATGCCCCCAAGGCATTCATCCTGTGTTAAGGCAGCGCTAATCTCAATTGAAGCACTTCTGATATAAAATCAAGTGTTTCAATCCCTTAAATCTCCCTAAATAAACAAATACATGAATAGTATGGTATTGTTTTTACCGAAGAGTTTGAGGAGTTTTAGATTTGGCAATATTCCGACTTCCCTGCAGATATAAGACACTGGCATTCATCATGCACACTATTAAGAGAAAAAAAAGTTTTATTATACTATATCTGATTAATCTCAATTAAAAAGCCACAGATAAGTTTTGTTTCACGTTATTAGTATTGGCCAGAAAGCATCCTTCAATTCTCTTGGACATATTGGGAACATAGCCTCACTCAGCTCCCTTGCCCTGGCCTCTGCAGAAGCAATGTTTCAAAGAATAAGAATTCTGTCATTAGAAGAGCAACATGTGAGAGACAAAAGACGCCCAAGCTCTCATGGGCAGACAGCGTTCATTAGACTCTGAGAGCTGAGGTCTCTCACCAACTCAATTTAGGCAACTTTTATTTACTTAACACTTAGAAAAACTATAAAGAAAGAATAGATAGCCTTCAGGCTATTCCTAAATTACCTCAGGAGTAACACAACTCTTCTTTCCTGCTGGGTAGGGTATCCACTTACTTCTCCACAGAGGGGTTCCATTTTCTACTTCACTTTTTTGACAGCAGCATGGCTCTCCTCCTACTGAGAGTCAGGCCTGGGGGGCATTTTCAATTAGAGCAGAAGGAAGCTTCTTAACAGTCTTTTCATATCTTGATCCAAATGCCCTAATGCCCTGAGTGGGATAACACATAGATTGTAAACTGATGTTCCTACAAAATCCATATATGCATCCTTGCTGCATAACTAAAATATAGGACTGCTACATTGAAAATCACAGAGAAGGGACATTTAAAATCATTTAGTTGACCTCCAGACCATAAAACCTCTACCTGTGAGCCAGACCTGACATTAACCTTCAAAACTCAGGTTAACTCTTTGTTGTTGTTGTTGTTGTTGTTGTTGAGATGGAGTTTTACTCTTGTGGCCCAGACTGGAGTGCAATGGTGTGATCTTGGCTCACCACAACCTCCATCTCCCGGGTTCAAGCGATTCTCCTGCCTCAGCCTCCCGAGTAGCTGGGATGACAGGCAAGCGCCACCACACCCGGCTAATTTTGTATTTTTTTAGTAGAGACGGGGTTTCTCCAAGTTGGTCAGGCTGGTCTCAAACTCCTGACCTCAGGTGACCTGCCTGACTCAGCCTCCCCAAAGTGCTGGGACTACAGGTGTGAGTCATCACGCCCGGCCTTATTAAGTCTTAAAAAGGGAAAGGAACAGAGGGGAAGACTCACGGGCTTGCAGACTGGGGAAGGGAAGGAGACCCAAAGTTTACATCTCTGTGAATAGTTGTAACCTCTTGTTAGTAAGAAGTATTTGAAGTACTTTAAAGTTTACATTTAATGTTTTACATGTTTTAGAAAAGATCATTTCAAAGTGTCTCCAGTTTATGTATATTAATGAACAAATATGAAGAGCAAACACACAATGCTTACATAGTACTAGACACTCTAAATGCTTTATATATATTAAACTTCCTTAATCCCCACGACAACCCTATAAAGAGGTACTATTGCTATCATCATTATTTACAGGTTAGGGAACTGAGAGGTTCGTTAACTTTCCCAAGGTCACACAGCTAGTAAGTATTACGGCTGGGTTCATTTCCAGGAATTCTGGCTCCAGAATTCATGCTGTCAACTCCCATACGATACAACCTCTTTGAGTTTTGGAAGATAATTAAATTTTATTTTTCTTTTAAACGTCATACAAAGGCATCAACTGGATTTATTCTCAGGCAATATACCTAATCCCTTCCTCCTCCTCCAAGTTCCGTGAGTAGGTTTATTTTAAAGGTGTGCACATTTAAGTTTTTATATTCTCAGAGATTATTTTGTAAATAGCATAAAATTCTTTGGAATTCCCAGATACATGCAAATAAAATTTGCAACTGATATTTGATGCTTTAGCAAGCTGTGCCACAGTCATTTTTAATACTACAAAAGATAAGTTTCAATAGCGAAATGATTGGTTTATTTATTTATTCAATTATTCACAATATGTAGAGCATGAGATCTTTTGGGTTAATTTTACAGATGAAAAATTTCATAGAAAGTGGAGAAATGAACAGATGGCATAATTCCAGGAAAAGCCAGGAAACTTAGTAGTTTTCTGCATAGTAATTTAAAGTAAAATTCACATCAAAACCAAAGCATATGACTAGTTGAAGCAGGCAATCTGTTGTCTGGGTTAGAGTTTACAGAAAAAAGCATAAATATCACCAATAAATGTATCATCTCTGACTCCAGAGATGTTCCTACACCCTCTAATTGGTGCCATTCTGTACTAATCAATACATTACAAGCACCTAATAGGCACTTCTGCAAATCCTGGAGAAACAACTCACACCACCAAAAGCACGGTAGCCCTGAATATTCATACCGAAGTGCAAATGTTAATTCATGCATTGCTTGCGTTAAACTGGTCTAATTATCTACTGAAGGAATCTATTAAAGGCATGCTGTCAATCCTACAGATTGGGTTCAGCAAAGTGAAACTGAATTGCGTGCCTTTTCAGCTAATTGCAAAATTCTGCCTGACATGCTTTAAGAATGATCAAAAAAAGTACACACAGCCAGCACACAGCTCCCAATGAACATTGCTGCTTCTCCTCTTGTCAATCAAGGGAATACAGGACACAATGATAGGAAGAGAAGCACAGCCTAGGAGACGGGTGTCCTTTCATTACATCTCATATGGTCTCATGAGGAATGTGGCATGCTGCAAACCATCTGTTTTTTTTTTTTTAATCTCAAGCTGCATATACCTGGGTTTTCATTGCATAGTTTGAAACAAGAACCAATAACTTTTAAACCTTAACGATATTTCTCAATGGCTATGTTTAGTATTCCTATCCATTTAGGGGGATAAAAAAGTCTGTTTATAGAATTCTTTTTCCCATTTGTCTCTAACATTACAATAAAAAATAAAAGTAAGATCCTTCCCCTACGGCCACCCTCACTTTCTCTAGCTTCGTTGCATCACAGGTTTCAACTAGCTTCTCCCACATTCAGATAATGCTGAGTAAACCTTGTTAGGAGGACAGAGGAACTGCTTTACAACAGACCCTCTCTATTATTTTCCAACATATTTTGTGGGGTGTGGCTGCTGTGCGGTCAAATCAGATCATCTTTTCTTCTGCCTGGAAAATGTTCAGTATCATATTGCCTTGGACAGTCAGATTTCTCACACACTTTTAATATATTCACACCTATATTCAAAACAGATACAAAAACTCAAGTTCAAAATAGTAACCCTGAGCCATCAAATAGCTGATTTAGCATTTGCATGCTATTTTAGAAGGCAGGCAGAATTTTATCAGATTTTATAAAGATTATTCTCAATAATGAATAAGGGATTGATGATTAAGTTATTTGGGAAATTCACCATATAACGATCCACATCCTATTTCTCTTTGTCTCACATTATGTGTCCAAAATATCACCCAGTCTGAGTAAGTTTACCTTCGAAATCTATCCAGATTCTATTCACTTGCTACCACCTCAACTGCTACAGCCTAGTTCAAGGTATCATCATCTCTTGCCTATAGCATTGCAATAACATAAACATTTGGATCTCTGCTTTCACCTTCGCCCTCCACACGGTATAAGAGGGGGTAGTCTTATACCCCCTCCACACACAGAAGCTATAGCGTAAAGATAACATAATGAAGTAAAAAAAAATCAAAGTGAAATAAGGCAGTCTTGAAAAGACAGATACCATATAATTCTACTCATATGAGGTATCTAAAATTGTCAAACTCATAGAAACAGAAAGTAGAATGATGGTTGCCAGGGGTGAGGGTAGGAGTGGGGAGAAGCGGGGAGTGGTCCCATGAGTCTACAGTTTCAGTTTTGCAAGATGAAAAGTGCTAGAGAGCTGTAGCACAGCAATGTGCATATAGTTGACACTACTGAATTGTACACTTACAAATGATTATGATGGTAAAAAAGGTCTTTTTAATGTCAGATCTTATCTTTTTTTCTGCTCAAAACCCTCTAATGACTTCACATATTACTCAGTAACATTCTGAACCTTTTCCTTGGCCCACAGGGCTAAGCAAGAATGCCCCCCAGTCTCCTCCATAGGGTCTGCACCAACCCCCACACCTACCTATGGAAACTCATCTCCTCTGTACTCGCTCTTCATTCATCTCTCTAGCCAAACTGGTTTTCCCTCCTCTTCCTGAAAACATCAAGCACATACCTTTCAAAGTACACTCCTCCAGAGTTCCAGCTCTCTAAAATTACACCGGATTTACTGCTCATTCTAGCATTCATCAGCACCTGATCAATAGTCTATTTATTTCTTTTCTGTCTCCCCCAATTAAAAATATAAACTCCAACAGATCAAAAAATTTGTTTTGTTCACTGCCCTGTCCCCAATGCTTGGGATAGTGCCTGGGGACATTGTAGATGCTCAATATTTATTAACTGAATGAATGAACAAATGGCATGAATGAACGTGAGTATGGATAGCTGAACTATAAAAGAAAATACATTGTATTACTTAGTCTTATTTTATTTTACTTATTTTTTTATTTTATGTTATGCTTTTTTTTTCCTTTTTTTGAGACAGAGTCTCACTCTGTCTTTCAGGCTGGACTGCATTGGTGCAATCTTGGCTCACTGCAACCTCTACCTCCTGGGATCAAGCGATTCTCCCCACCTCAGCCTCCTGAGTAGCTGAGATTACAGGTGCCCATCACCACGCCCAGCTAATTTTTGTATTTTTAGTAGAGACAGGGTTTCACCATGTTGACCAGGCTGGTCTCAAACTCCTAAACTCAAGTGATCCGCCTGCCTCGGCCTCCCAAAATACTGAGATTACAGACATGAGCCACTGTGCCTCATTACTTATTTTAGATCTTTACTCCAATTCTGGACACAATTTCCTAAGGATGTTCAGCTTAACTCAAATTTATCTCACTGAAGTGGAAATATTATTTATAGGGTCTAGGAAATATATTAATGTATGAAGTATAAAAAGCAATTTTGTCAGCTGGGCGTGGTGGCTCACGCCTGTAATCACAGCACTTTGAGAAGCCGAAGAGAGCAGATCAAGAGGTCAAGAGATCGAGACCATCCTGGCCAAAATGGTGAAACCCCATCTCTACTAAAAATACAAAAATTAGCCGGCCGTGGTGGCGGGCGCCTGTAGTCCCAGCTACTCAGGAGGCTGAGGCAGGAGAATTGCTTGAACTCAGGAGGCGGAGGTTGCAGTGAGCCAAGGTCATGCCACTGCACTCCAGCCTAGCGATAGAGAGAGACTCCGTCTCAAAAAAAGAAAAAAGTAATTTTGTCTAGTTTTTGATATTGTATATTTTTTCATTTTTCTGAGGTCACAGTGTACACAAAGGATCTCATGTGATATGAGCAGCACTGCTTAACAAAGCTGTCCTGTAGCAGAAATATTTAGTGGTTTCATTTCTGCCAGTGGATGACACACTGTGAGGTAGTCATAAATTATAGGCTGATTAAAAAAACACACACACATTTAAATTTGTGTGTTGTCTAAAGTTAAGCTTATTAACTTCAGCCTGCATTCCTGACTGCTGATATGAATTGGTGCCAAGAGGCCTGTAAGGATGGAGAGAAAAAACAGTAAGAGAGTAAATGAAGAGAGAAACATAGTTAAGAAAACTGGAACAAAAGGTAGAAACAAAAGAACACAAAATCTGTAGCTGGGAGGTAAATCAAAGCATTTATAATTATAATGAAAAAATGCAGAAATGCAATATCAGAAGTTAAATAAGGTCATTCATAAGAGAATATCCATAGCATATTTCCAACCTACTGTGGAGTAAAATTCATGAATAATATTAAAGGTATTTACATGATCCACTTTTCTCCTGAATAGTGTTTGCCTAAGGTAATAAGATCTGGATTGCTTAAGCAAAATAAAAATTTGGGGTTATAAGACCGAAACCTGACTGCCCATGTTATATTAAAAAGAAGAATAACTTTTATGAATACAATAGTTTACATCAATATTATCATTTTATTCCACTAATGTTATAGATTATTGTGATTGAATTCATACCCTGTAATAATTATGTTATCCATGATAAAGATACTACTCTCCTTTTTCAGTATACATTGGTGTTGGTTTCATTTAAAACAAAGTCTTAAAATTCAAATTTAATTTAAATACTTTTAGTTTTCCTTTGTAACTAGCATATGAGAAAATACAGTATCTCCAAAAGAAATTAGAATATTCTTTAATGAGCTAAAATCTAACTAAAAATTATTCCTCTCTCCAATTTTTCTGAAGTCACTTTTTTAAAACATACATCTATCTCATTCCCTTCCAACTCTTAAAAGTTGACAGAAATACATTTGCAAATGTAAAAAGCAAATACCCTTAGCTAAGAAGCTTTCCTCTTTCTTTTCCTTTTGTAAAAATATCATTCTCTCTGTGCATATATTTATATAAAACATCCTTGGCGAAAAATGAGAAAAAGCTCCTTTAATAGTATCAGAGTTTCCTAGCAGTTAAGTGTCTCACAAATTATATGAGTGAGGACAGGTTGTCTTTATAATTCAGTTATTTTACAAGGAACTTATCTCCAGATAGTTAGGCACTTCTGGAAGTAATTTACATGCTTTTGTGTAAAGGCTTATTTAACCCTTTATTCACATCATTATCTTGGCTCAACTAAGGAAAATGTTTGATGAGTGATAGGTTTTGTGTTTCTGTAGCGTAGGACAGATCTCTGGCTCCTCTGCTTCTGTTCATGATTGGTTTGCATTGTTTTGTTTTTGTTGCTTGTGGCCAGCATTTTAACTATCTGAAGAAATCAATCCTTATCTCTTTCCACAAGGCACCAGATGACTGTTAGCAGGTCACATAAATTTAATGTGTTTCAGATCTTTACCCCATCAAATAGGGAAGTATATTAGCAACCTAAATAATATTGGGAAAGTATGTTGAAAGCGTGTTTTCATGTTCTTGTTAAGGCAAACAGATGGGAAGGGACATTTAAACATGACACTCCATGTGCTTTTAATTGCAGGTTCATATCATTGATTCTATCAATATTTTGAGAGATTACTTGGTGCAATGCACTCTGTGCCATGGCAGATAAAGAAATGAATGAGATATGTACTTTTTCTTCAAGGAGCTTACAAAAATCTAAGGGTTTGCATTGTAGTTTTATGTATCACAGTAAGTTATAAAACACAAACAGAAGTCAGATAATTGTGTAAAATGACTGGCAAGCAAAATCTCTGTAGCAGCATTCTATCAGTAATTGAGGCTATGAAGAAGGAACTTGTGGTAGATCGATTGCCAAAATGTCCCCAATTCCTCACTTTCTATTCATGTCCCTTGCAATGTGACCAGCTCCTCCCTTACCACTGGTAGAATCCATTATTTCCCCCTTAAATCCAGACTAGCCTGGTAACTTGCTTTGGTCAACAGAAAGCACCAGAGGAGTTAATTTGCCAGTTCTGAGCTCAGGTCTCAAGAGGCTTTGATCTCTTCTGTTCTTTCCCTTGGAATCCACCACCAGTATGTGAACAAGCCCAGGCAGATGGTGAGATATGTCTGGTCCAATTATCTCTATCACCCCAACTAGCAACCAGCACACAGCAAGAAATGAGTAAACTTATTCTAGGCCAGGCAGCTTCTAGTTGATATGTCAGATTTCTACAGATGCATGAGTGAGCCCAGCTGAGATGAGCTGAGCATGGTCTGGATTAGTAGAACTGTCCAGCAGATTCATAGGCTCATATAAATAATATAAGCTTATTCATTTGAGCCACAGAGCTTTAGATGGTTTTATACAGTATAACCATCCATTTGTAATAGATAACTGACCTAGGAAAGTGGACATAGCACTTGCAAACGTATGACTTTGTCTACTAGCCATATATGATCGCATCTATACAATTTGAGCTACTGTATATACATTTCAATGTAAAAAATAAATTCCGTGAACAGAAATGTAATAAAAAAATCATTTGCAACAACATGGATAAATGGAGGATGTTATATTAAGTAAAATAAGCCAGACACAAAAAGACAAATACTGTATGATCTCATTTACATGTGGAATCTAAAAAAGTCAAACTCATAGACACATAGAGGAGAATGGTGGTTGACAAGGGGGTGGTAGTAGGGAAATAGGGACATTTTGATCAAAGCATACAAATGTTCAGTTATAAGATGAACAAGCTCTGGGGATCTAACATACAGCATGGGGGGAATGTAAGTTTCATAAGAACATGGATGTTTTTTTCTATATTGTTTGCTGGTATGGTCCAAGCACCAAGAAAAACGGCTGGCACAGAGTGGGTGCTCCAAAAAATGTGTTGAAAAAACAAGTGCATTTAACTAAAAATTTTTTTTAATTTCTGAATGTTGAGTTAAAGCCTCAGAAAATGCATGTGAGTGGACACTAAGGAAGTTTGTGGATACCAAGAGGAAATTAGAAGGCTATAGTGATACTTGATGTATACTGTGATGAGATCTTAAACTGGGGCTGAGATAGCAAGAGAAGAAGAAGGACAGGCCATTTTTGACCACATTCAGTGGGCTAAGCTTTCCCCCAAAATGTGTATAATAACCCATTATCTAGAATTCCCTCATCTTTCCCTTTCAAAATATTAACAAAAATGTAATAGAGTTTCTAATTTCAAGCATTCACAGTCTAGTGATGGAAACATACCAGCAAATTCCTCTTTGTAGTAGCAGCCAATGTGGCAGTGCTATGATGAGGGTTAAATACAGAAAGGAAAAAGAAATGAAGCAGAGAAGTTTTTCTGGAAAAAGATGATCCAGCACTGAAACCAAAAGAAATACTCAGATAAAGGATCAGGAGAAAGATGTGTCAAGGAGGAGAAGCAGTAACACAAAGACCCTGAGACAAGAGAGAGCATGGAAAGTTCTAGGAAATGCAAATAATTCAGTATGGCTAGAGCAAAGCTTCTGAGGAGACATGAGGCAAGAGGAAAAAGCAGGAATTCACCCATAAAGGAAATTGTATACCTTGATAAAAGGTTAGGTTCATTGTTAAGCTATGAAGAACCACTGAGGGGTTTTAAGCAAGGCAGTGATATAATGAGGTTTAGAGTTTAGAAAGATTCTCCCAAATGTACCATGATCGCTGAATGGAGAGAAGAAAGAATGATGTCAAGGAGAACATTATTTAACCACTACCATGGTCCTAGTGAGAAATGTGGATGCTTGAACTAATGTAGTAGCGCTGGGGATGTATATAAATAGACGTGATATTTTGGAAAGAAAGTAAGAGAAAGTGAGAAATGGATAGGTAAAATTGTGACTTTGGCAACTAGTAGTTAGAGGTGCCACACGTAAACTAAAGGATGCAGCAGGGGTGGCAGGCTGGAGAAAAGATATATTCACTCTTTGACATGCTGTGTTTGAGATCATTTGAACACTGAGGTTAAGATGTGCAAAGATAAGACTTCAACTGATGTAGCATTTTATCTAGTCCAGCATCCAACATGGTACCTGACCAAGAGTAAGTATTCAATAATTCATTTGTGAATGAATGAACAAAAGAAGTTCAGAAAAGAGGATCTGAACGTCAATCTAGAAAAAGGGAGAATCTACCTGGGAGAATTCATGCTGTAGGAGTGAATGAGATCAGTTCTGCTCAAAGTATGGCCTGTAGGCAATGCTGGTCCTCAAACTGTCACCTGTCCTCAATGAGATAAGTGCAGGTATTCAAAGTAAGCATTTGAAAACTTTCATAACAATTTACAGGGTAACTTTATGTCTGTTTTATCTGATATAAGGAAATCAGACTTATATTTTGTAAGCTCTTGATTTCTTTTTTTATGTCATAATTCAGTAACTCCTTTTTGTTTTTCACTTTTACAAAGTTTGGGTCTGCAATAGATTAGATATATTAAAAGCAAACAATAACAACAGTGAAAATCCTGGTCCATGACCACAGGTTGTTTAAGCACTGAGTTAGGCCATATTAGGAAAATGTTTATGGCAACTCCTCTTTGAGCCAGCCTCACCTCCTACTCTTCCTTCTTGTCTGTTTTTCCAAATTCAATGTTATTCTCTCCCTAGGGTCCCAAGAGTAAACTAAAGCACCTTTTGTGCATGTTTGTGTTTATTTAATTTAGCTCCAAAATCATTCCTATAGCATGAGTAAAAGGCACTTCTTTCCCTTGCCTGAGTCCTCTACAAAGAACAATGTGGCTGGCAAAATTCTAAGATACCCTTGGTGATATGCCTGTATATCTCTTGAGAGTGGGCAGGACCTATGACTTGCCTCCAGCCAGTGGAATATGGTAAGCGTGATTGAATGTCACTTTCTTGATTCATATAGATAATAGATTAATAGATAGAGAGATAGATATAGATCTCCTAGAAGATTCACTCTCACACTAGCCTTTAAGAAGGAAGCCACTATTAGTTCTAAAGCTAAAAAGCAATAAAAAAATTCTATGAACAACCTGTGGGAGCTGAGAAGTGGATCCTTTCCCAGTGGAGCATTCAGATGAGACCTCACACACAGCCAACATCTTCAGTGCAGCCTTATGCAACCTCAAGCAGAGGATTCAGTTAAGCCATGCCTGGACACCTGGCCCAGAAAAAAAAATGAGATAATAGTTTTTTTTAAGCTGCTAAATTTGTGGTAATTTGTTATGCAACATAGAACACTAATATAATTGTCAAATTATATTATTGAATTGATTGAATTTAGATGAAGAGGAGCTTAGTGAAATGGAGCATTGGTAGTGCTATTTCTATAATACAAGACATGAGGAAAAGAGAAAACTTATGAGGACAATGAAATTTTCTCGGGATACAGTGTATTTGAGGCATTGAAACTAATAGAACATTTTAATAACTTACAATTAAAATTTAGAAAAAAGACACAACTTTGTTGTCAAATATTTGAGTCACTTATTATAAATGAAATATCAAATAACAGAAGAACATAGAGATGTTGAAAAGAAAACCCACAAAAGAGCAGAGGAGTCATGAAAATGTCTTGGGAATGAGGGAAAAATTATGAAAAAGGAAAGTAACAAACAAGTCAAATGCTTAAGAGACGTCAAAAAGAGCAAGAACTATAAAAGATCATTATATTTCATAAGAAAATGAAAAATGGTCCCTGAGGCCTTTTGAGAGAGTAGCTTCAATAGAGTATGAAGCATCAAAATCAATACTGTAAGAAGTTAAAGAAAGAATGGATGGTGAAAATTTGTAGATATTGAATATGGACAAATACAACAATTTTTGGAAGATAAAGGAGAAATGTCTAATGTAAGCTGGGGGAGGCAGAGTGCGGAGTCAAAGAATGTATAGTTCAACATTGTGGAAGTGAAGGGTACAATAGAGAGAAAAGAGACTAATGATGCTGGGAAGAGAGAGGTGATTAAGGTATGACATCTGGGGCTCAAGTGGAAGCATTAGCCCTAGAGAAAGATGCTTTTTATTCATCGATTGTTAAAAAAAAAAAAAAAAAAGACAAAAGGACATGTAGAGGAGAGTAGGTTAAGAAAAATAGCTTATAGTCTCCAACTTCATGATAAAGAAGGGAAACTATCCACCTCATAATGAGAGGGAAGGATGGGACCAGGACTTGGAAGTGAATGAAGGTTTTGAACAGCTCTTGTGCAGACTGTGTTAGAGGATCAACGAGAGATTAATGAAAGGATTAAGAAGCAATTAAAGTCAGGCAGCGTGAATTGGTGGTAGGCCAAGTCTGCCGAGTTTTGCTTGAAATCTACTACTGATGCTGGGCAGCAGCTAGAAGAGAGGCTGGATTGATGGCGATCAGCGGCTCATAGAAAGCATAACATGCATCACTGATGATGAGACTTGCACATACTACTTGATTCAAAACGGACAGCCAGAAGATGGAGATTTTAAAAAGCAGATGGCAAAAGTACTTTTAGGCAGCTATGACATTGGTAAATGTTAAAATTTAACCACTAGAAAACAGAAAATACCCTAAAGTGTTTTAATCACGACTTCTTTTAACATTGTTCTTAATAGTCCAGCAAACTGCCTTTTTATTCCCCAGTTCCTCATATTTGATTTTAAAACACTTATAAGGAATTGTCATTTTCTTAAGACAGTTTAAGCAGAAGCAGTATGATCTGCTAGGAAGCTGTATGTAGAGCTTAACATCCTGGTTCTGTAATTTACTAGTTGTATTTAGAAAGTTATTTTATCTCTCTTTGCCTTAGGTTCCTCATTCTAAGTGTGATAATAATCTCTAACTCCCAGTGTAGATGTGATAATTAAATAATTTATGTGACAATGCTTGGTATCAATGGCAACTATACTGGATATTTACATAATGTTATTTATTTTTTTTTCAGAGAAACAATGTAATTCCATATATTATTACGTTGTTGCCTAGAACAAGCCTGTAAAAAATACTAAGAAAAATTGGAAAACATAGAAAAGTAGAAAAGGAAAAAATAAAGTGATCAAGAATCTATCATTCATTAAAAACCTATAATATATTGTTATATTATACAATTATGTAGCTAGAGAGAGGATTTTCAGGCCATAAATTCAATCCCTGCATTTTACAAATGAGAAAACTGAGACCCAGAGAATACTGCTGGCTTTGCTAAGAGCACCTAGCCTATTAGCTGTAGAAATCAGGGCTGAAATGAGGTCTTCTATCTTCAATACTTTTTTCCCACTGTGATGAGAGAGGTAAAAACACTGCACTGCCAACACCAGCATTTATTAGATCCATATACATACAGGGCACTCACTACTCTGGTTGCATAATCGTTGTTATAATTTCACACCTATTAAGAAACCAGTCAAAAGTATACACGTAGAACAGCAAAAAGACAACCTTTCTAAATAAAATGGGAAAAAATACCTTACAGGTATGCCTGTGGCATAAACTGTACAAAATTCATTTCTTCCAGTATCATCTTTTGCAAAAGTACATTTTTGCAAGAGAAAAACATCAGTTTTTTAACTATCCTTGGTATCAAGGAAAGTATGATTGCTGTAAGTCATCTGCTTAGTAAGCTCTAAAACTCAGTCCCTAGGGCTCTTGTGCTTTATCAACAGGTCTAAAGAATGTACATCCATCCTTTGAAAATTCAAGAAAATATATTTTTGCAGATTGTTAAAGCTCTCAAGACTAGTCTGCCAACTCTACACTTAGTCTGCAGTGTGGGAAGTCTCTGACTAGCTTTTCGATGTGAACGAGAAGAAAGAAACAAGGAGATATAGAGCGACCTCAAAATGATATTCCATGGAGGTCAATTTTGAGTTCAATTTTTATATGGTAATTTAGCAAAGAAATAACTGCTGCATATTCTTTTGGAATGACTTAGACACTAGCCCCCCAGATTCTATCTGCACAATTAACAAAAAGAATTTGTAAAAAGAATACCTTTGCCTGATTCTTTTAAAACAAGAAGTTGAAGATCAATTGGACAGTGCAACAAGTATTGTCTAGGTCACCAACCTGGGGGTATCCCTCCAGGTCAAAGTATATTTATGAAGCGTGTTAAACATTCACAGTGAAGACAGAGAAAACTCTGGTCAGTGTAAGATAATTTTCATTTGGTTTAATAAACCCTTATTATCTCCCTAATGTGTGCCAGTTACTTTAAGTACTTCAGGATTCAAAACTAAACAAGTCCTGGGCCCTGCCATTGAGAATTCTTTAGTCATCTGAGAGAAGAAAATACAGAAACAGATAATTTCAATATGTTAAATTAGAAAGATAATGAGGGTTCCAGTTTTAGCACACAAGAAAGGGAGGGTGGGCAGCACTTAGCCTCATCTCCCGTTCGCGAATCCTGAAGAAGACAACTGATATCCTGGATACTGGAGAGGGTGACTAAAGTGCTAGCGAGGTAGTGAAGATGAGAAAGGCATGCAGGCATCAACGAAGACTAAGGTATTAACCCATATGGTGTGTTCTGAGAACCACAAGCTGTTGGGTACTGCTAAATAATAACATTCAAAGCGGTGTAGGAAGAGATAAGGGTTAAGAAGTACTTAAGGCCAGTTATTGGAGAGACTCATGTACTATGCAGAAAAGCTAATGAACTTGAGCTTGATTCTGTGGGTCATGAACTACTCATCAAAGTAAGAGTGTGTGGTAGAAAGTTCACTCTAGGCAGGGTGTGGGGTGGGCTTAAAAGGTACGAGGCTAGAAGGAAGGGACCAGCTGGAAGGGTCCAGATGAGCTATGGTGAGGATCTGACACAGGGCAGTGACTGTGAGCATGAAGGAGTTAATACATGAGAGAATGGCTGAAGAGATAAGCTTAGAGGGAATCGTCTTATGTTAGAGGAGGAGAGAAAAGAGTCAAGTCCAGGATGATGCCATGGTTTCTGGCATACATGTCTTCATGTCACTACCTATGGATAGGAAGATAAGAAAGAGCAGGAAAAGGGGAAAGAAAATGAGTTCAGTTTGGAACATATTGAATGTAAGGTGTGTGCAAAATACCCAAGCTAAATGGTCTGGCAGATAGAGGTCATATGCGACTGAGGTTCTGGAGTTTCTCCTGATCACCATCTGCTTTCTGCTCTGGTAGCATGTGGCAACACCTCTTGGCTGGCCGCCTGCCCCAGGAAGAACTAACCCAGCAAATGCAGGCAGAAGCATATTCCCTTTGCACTTGGGATATGTTATCTCGTGGGAAGTTTCTTCCATCTTGGGCAGAAAGCTCAGCTCTAGATAGGGACCAAGAGAATCCAACAGGTCTGTGTTGCAGATATAAAAACTGTGGTACCTCACAGAAGCACCACTCAGCCAGGTATTTTTCTGTCTCCCTCTTCTTACTGATCATGTGGGACAATCTCAGGTATCAAGTCACTGATGCAGCTGATGATACCCCCATGCCCTCAATCCAAGAACATCTTTCAGCCTCTGCCATTTTTCTGTCTCCCTTCTCATAGCAGAGCCCCTTCCAGTGAATCTGAATTACTCAAAACCACATTCGTATTCAATGTGCATCTCCCCAAAACCCATCTTTCTTTCCCTTTGCTTCATGCCAGACACTTCCCCTTCCCACCTTTATGGCACTCACTGCGCCAGATCAGTCTGCTGGTTTGGTCTCTTGTTTCACATACAGCATAAAGGATTCTAGAAATAGGTTTTATTTAGAACAGGTTTTATTGTTCTCCTCCTGTCTTCCTGACTTTGCAGCCCACTTTCTATACTCAAAGATGTTTTATTTGTGGTAGTGTGACAGAGTGAACCTAGATTCTAATTCCAGTCCTGTCACTTAAATGGGCAAGCCATATAAACTGAGACAGTTTTTGTTTTTGTTTTTGTTTTTTGAGACGGAGTCTGGCACTCTCGCCCAGGCTGGAGTGCAGTGGCACGATCTCGGCTCACTGCAAGCTCCGCCTCCCGGGTTCATGCCATTCTCCTGCCTCAGCCTCCCGAATAGCTGGGACTACAGGCGCCCACCACCATGCCTGGCTAATTTTTTGTGTTTGTAGTAGAGACGGGGTTTCACCATGTTAGCCAGGAATGTCTCGATCTCCTGACCTCGTGATCCGCCCACCTCGGCCTCCCAAAGTGCTGGGTTTACAGGCGTGAGCCACCATGCCCGGCCCTAACTGAGACTTAGTTTCTTAATCTATAAAACAGAGATAAAAATATTTTCTTTTCAGGATTGTCGTGAAAAGTAAATAAGGAAGCATGCTAAAGTGCCTGGCCGGGGATAGGCAGCCAATAAATATTATTTCCCTTCTTGCCCACTCTTCCGAATTCTCTCTCTCATGTCTTTCCACTAGTTTATTTCGTTCTTGTTTTTCTGCTTTCCTATTTTCTAGACTTTTACTTCCCATATCCAGTTTTCTAGCTTCCTTTCCCTCCCCTTAGTAACTCCTCTTTGATTTCATAATCCTACTCAGAGATGGGATAGAACCATGGAGAGAAACGCAGATTGTAAAACGTGCACTTAATAATACCACGGTTTTCTTCTCATATCTCAAATTCTTTTTAAAAATAAAGTCTCTGGAGCAGGGCACATCTTTTCTTGATTTATTTCTATAGCGAAGTAGCCATTGAGTAGGTACTTCGTAAGCTGTTCTAAATCATTGCTGATGTGTATCTCAGTCAGTTAAATTAAGTGAGGCTTCCTTTTCTCAATTTTCTGTGTTGCTCCTCTTTTTCTCATACTATTGAAACAGAGGTCTTCTGCTTATTAGTACCTGTGTCTCTCACCCTGGTGTCCAAAGATGGCTTCTGTGTAACAAAAGGTTTCAGGTTCCTTTTTGCATTCATTAATATCAAGCCTGTGGCTGTGCAGCTCACCCCAGAAATTAAATTACGTGGATTCATAAGATCTCTGGTCTCATAAGTTGTTTGTTGTTTCTTTAACCATGCTTGAAATGAAAGGAGATATATTTTATGCCATTTAATTAAAGTGTTAAGGAAGTGGCAGTCTCCCCCACAGGCAAAACTCTTTCTGCAAACTCAGAGTACTGTGTTGCATCACCAGTTAAGACACTTTCAGCTTCAATTAACAGAAACTTGACTAAAAATGGCTTAAAACTTTTATTTCACATTATATAAAATCCAGAGGGAGCACTCATCTGTGGTTAATTCAGCAGGTCAGCCATGTCATTAAGGACCCAGGTGCTAATGTACCATCTCCAGCATGTCAGCAATCTATTCCTCATGGTTGCAAATGTTTTCACAGGGCTAGGCATCATTTGCAAACAGGACTGTGCTTAGCTAAAAACAGGAACTTCCCTCCTGTGTATTCCCTTGGATTAGTGAGGACACCTTTCCCAGGAGCACACTAGCAGAATTCCTCTAGCAGCCACTAATCAGGATTGGATCACATGACCATGGGAACCAATCGTTGGCAAGGAGGTGAGGCACCATGCTTGACTTAGACTTATTCTGACTCAGAACAATCATGACTCACCCCGCTAGGGCAAGACAGGAACTCATTAGTGAACACGTAGCTCTGTGGAGGCACCTGAACAAAACCTGGGCTGTATCAGTAAGATAAAAAGGAGAGAAATGGCTGTTGGGATGGCAACCAACAATGTCTTGCTAGAGTCCTAGCAAATATTGATAAATACAATGCCCTGCCTAGTGCTGGGACCAGCACCAAGATTATGGCAGCTGGGGCACAAAGCTTTACCTTCTCTTTGCTATGCATTTTTCCATAGTCAAATGCCTCTAAAGAGGGAATTTACTATACTATCATGTTCCTTCCTCATAACAGAAGAGATACATTTTAGAATTAAACCACTAGGTTATTTGGACACAATATCTGTGTAAGGTTTGGGATGCTTGAGGCAACTTTTCTGGGATCTCAGTGAGAGAATTTAAGTCATACTGAGAGATGCTGGGCAAAGTTTGGGAAGGAATTTTGTATTTAAGGAAACTGCCTTCAGAGCACAACGATATCTTCATAAACTTGGAGGCAATATCACTGGAAAGACATGGATCAGGAGAATAAAGAGAGTGATATTGTAAGCAGTTAGTCTTTGCTGCAGAACAAACCATCGCACAACATAAAGGCTTAAAACAACAGACATTTACTATTACTCTGGAGCTTGAGCAACAGTTGGGAGGTTCTACTGATTTGATGCAGGTTCAGCTGATGTCTATTGGGCTCACTCTTTGTGTGGCTTGGCCAGGAGCTGCATGGTTTAGGATGCTCTCACAGTAACAGGCTATATGCCCCCTATCACCCAGATGGCAAACCCTGACTTGCCCATGTAAGGTTTCCCAGGTTTCAAGAAGAACAGGGAAGCAAGAACCAAAATGCAAGGGTTTTTTAAGGCCCTGCTTGTGTCATGTTTGTTCATGTCCCACTGGCCAAAGCAAATCACATAGCCAATAAAGAATCAATGTGTATGAGCAGGGGTGGAAGGGGTGGGCACTAATAATGCAGAAAAAGAAGGTGTGTGTGTGCATGTGTGTGCATACATATTTATGGTCACTTTTGCCATGTAACACAGGAAGGGGGCTCTTGTTTGGGAGCAACTGCAAGGTACCTACAGAAGGATTCCAGAAACTGTTGGGAGGCTTACTATAGACGGGGATGAACCAAAGGGAAATTGTTATGGAAAGAAAAAATTGTGTCACTCAGAGTAGTTGTTTCCAAAAAGGAATAAAATAAAAGCTATCATAGTAGCAAATACTGGCAGTGTCCATCCAAATACTGCCTAGTGAAGAGGACAACCGGAAAATCTAAGCAGATCTTGTGTCTAGGTATCTCCACCTATGGAGATAAAGGAATTCATTTATTTGAAGCATGTAAGCAACCACCTTTGCTTACTTTCTTTCTTGTAAAGAACTCCCCATGCTCTAGCTTCATATGAATTTGATCTGCAGAATGAACCATGAAGTAAAGATAATATGAAGACGACTTGTGTTTGATATTTATATGTCTCATTGAGAATTAATACATTAGGATTCTGGTTTATATACTTCACTATTGTATGAGAATTTAACAATACCTGAGACTTTCTTTACAAAACAAATCACAAATATTGTCATATCACATTGTGACATAATATATTATTTACAAAATATTTATATTTATCACTATTTCCCTAGATCCTGTTACTTACAGGGTTAATAAAGAAGCATATATTACCATAGCACACATTGTTTATAACTTTATAACTGTATTTTAACTTCATAAACAATCACTGGCAAGTGCATTTTATGCCTTTAAAAAATTATCCTGAGAAGAGATGTTCAGACTTCATAAGACTATGAAGGGGAAAATGGCTTCAAAAAGGTTACAACTTTGAGTAACAATGAATCAGCCTCACCTAACAAAAGCAATGGTAAGCATTAATGGATTTGCAAGGTTAAGAAACAGATCCTAAACAAAGCAAAATCACCAAAGATATGCCGTTCTTTGTACTGTACTATCACATACATGCTCTACCATAGATAGTGAACTAGAAGTGCTGGTGATGATTATTAAAGTAAGGATGTTGGACTGGGAAATCTCTAAAGGCCATTTCAACCTAGCATTCTACAATTTTATAAATCTCCATCGTAACCTCAAGCCCTGGACATAGTTATCCCATAACTAAATGGAGAAATATATATTCAGCTTTCTAAAGCAAGATCTCAAACTACTACCCATAGGTCCACTGACTGTTTTTGTCCTGCTCATGAGCTAAGAATGTTTTTTCTACTTTTATTTATTTATTTTTTTTTGAGATGGAGTCTCACTGTCACCCAGGCTGGAGTGCAGCAGTGGCACGATCTCAGCTCACTGCAACTTCCACCTACCAGGTTCAAGTGATTCTTGTGCCTCAGCCCCCTGAGTAGCTGGGATTATAGATGTGTGCCAGCATGCTTGGCTACCTTTTGTATTTTTAGTAGAGATGGTTTTTCACCATGTTGGCGAGGCTGGTCTCGAACTCCTGACTTTAGGTGACCCACCCCCGCCTCGGCCTCCCAAAGTGCTGGGATTACAGGCATGAGCCATCACACCCGGCCTGTTTTCTACATTTTTAAGTAGTGGAAAAAGTCAGAAGACAAGGTTTTGTGACACATCAACATTACATGAAACTCAATATAAATGCCCATAAATTGCATTCTATTGCAGCATAGCCACACCCATTCAGTTACCTGTGACTATAGCTGCTTTACTGTCAGAACTGAGTAGAGGCAACAGAGACCATGCATCATGCAAAGCCTAAAATATTAACTATTTGGTACTTTACAGAAAAATGTTGCCAGCACTGTTCTGTAGGAAGAAAATTGAGTATCTGATCCACTGCTTCTCCATTCCTTTTAATGTCTGATTCTCTTACTAAATGTTCCTTCCCAGATTAACGAGAACTAAAATAACTTACTCTCTTCCCCACCTCTACTGGAGAGATTTTACTGTGTGTTCCACTTCACAAGTTGCATGTCAGGCAAATCATGCATATAATTCACACTTTAAATGAGTTAATTATTTAAGTGTTCAATCTTTTAGTCGGTCTATCAGCCTGCATTACAAGGAAGAAATGAATAAACATGAGGGCATTTCATACTCCACCCCCCATCATTCATTAGAAACGTTTCAGAGCCTCATTAGTCAGGAGCTTAAGCAGCCTTTATAGTAGGCTGATAAGATGCCAGACGTTACTTTCCAAACTACATGAGTCTCACCTAAATGGAGGGAGTGAAATTTCTATCAACTCAGTAGAAATTAACTGTGACTCAGCCTCTCATTGCCTTTCTCTAGCTCTTCAGGAAAATCTAATTCCATCTCTGTGATTTATTTAAATTGCTGGAAAAAAAACAGTTAAGCAAATAAAGCACTTGGATGCATAAAATGACGTGTCAGTTGCATGCCACGGAGTGCTTTCTATTCTATCACCAGGAAATAAAAGAATAAGGAAAAATGGGCAGTCTTTAAAAGGATTTTGCATCAGACACTGCACACTCCACCCCTCTCCTGGCTCCTAAAAGCCTGGGGTGTTGTACTTTTTTTTCTTTTTATGGCATTAAGATAGCAAACATATTCTCCTGCTTTGAATCCACTTTCCAAAACATGCTGTTGCTGTTGCACCAGCCGCACCTCTTGAATGACTCATATTGCAAGGCACACGATGTCCACAAGTCTTATCTGCCTATGGGTCTCCCTCCATTCTCACAGTGCATGTGTTGTAAGCGTGCGGTGGGCAGTGACTTTGAGAAAAGTCCCCTGGGTCCTGAAGCTTTGGGTGGCATTTATCATAATGCATTTTTATGGTGCCTCTTGTAGTTTTTCTGGTCACATCTGGTTGTTGTGTTCATTTGGGACTTACTGAAAAGAGCATTGTACTCGGAAAAAGGAAAAATCACTTGAGAAGGGTAATGAGAAAGGGTTTTGTGCTTCCATTTTTTTCATAAAATGCCAAGATCTGTCAGTTAAATAAAATGAGTGTCTTTTGAATGCTTGTAGTTTTTGCACTTACTCTTAATGTTATAAATCCCATGAGTTTGGCTGAAGTGCCCAGCGCCAGCGTGGCATCTGTTAGTGGAGGCCGAACAGGTTAATTTGTAGGCTCCCGATAGCTGCTTTGAGTTCCAAGGGTTGAGAGTGTATGCCTATTGGGGAGAAATGTTTATTTTGGCAGCAGGGGGAAAGGACAGAGAATTTGGGCCAATATGAACAGAAAAACATAGTGGAGGCTTGTGCTGCTGCTGAAATTAAAGCCTGTCCACCTCCTATGAAATGGTAGCTCTTGGCAATGAAGTACTGCCAATGGAAAATAATGAGCTCTCTCATTAAAAAGTAATAGTTTGTAAAGTAAAATTTCAAAGCATAATTAAGGACCTTGTAAAAAGTGCTGGGAAAATGGTAGCCTAAATGTCAGTTTTGGGAGTTATACGAGTTTATATATGGCTAGGAATATTTGCTGGCAAGGTTTGAAGGCTCACTAAAACTTCAAACTATTTTTTCTTTATAATTGTGTTTTCCTACTTTCTTTATCACCTATTGTTGATCACGTTCCTCTTGAATTTATGCACTAGTACATTTTAATTAAAACTTTAAGAAATACATAGATTAAGTCATGTAAAAACTATCAAAATATGCTTTTGTGAAAGCCAATCACTGCAAGCCTTAGGATGGAGTGATTTCGTTTCCAATACAAAATTTTGATCACATGGTCACTCAGTGGGATAGCGTATTTGAAATCAGGATTGCTCCAGAAAATCTAGGGTGGTTGGCTACTATAATGAGAAGTTAGATATAATATTGTAAATGCCTTTATTCTCAGATAGTACAGTAAGCCATGGTAGCTACTGTTTGTATGCCTAATATGCAAGCATCCTTTTCTCCTTTTCTGCTGACAAATACTGCCTAATCCCCTATCCTCTGCCAAAAGAATGACCAAGGTTTGGTCATGGGAGCAGACCATCCCATTTTGGCTTCTATGCTTGGTTCACTGGTAGTTAAGTGATCAACCAGGGCCCAACAGAGCACTTTCCTTGGATTGCAATATGAACACTGAAAGGAAAGGGCTAGCTCCCTTTTCTTTGGAGATGCTAAGCTAGTATCCTACAGGATGGGGTGGACACCAGCTATCTTGCCTGCTGGTAGAAGAAAGCTTGAAAGCAATAGGGGGGATTGAGGTTAACACAAAATGAGAGGAAGAGCTGATGGGCAGTGGAGAGAAAGCAATCTGAAGATACCATTTGTGTCCTGGATCTGGTCATATCTGGTGCCATTTGCTCTTCTTCTCTACAAGGCAGTGGATCAATAGAGGCTAGTGTTTTTCTTAGGCTAGTTCGAGTCAAGTTTCTGTCTCATATAACTTAAAAAGATCTGACAGTCTGTCAATAGGCAAGACAGTTTCTCATAAAAAGTGCAAGGTATAACTATAATGAGAAAGTTATTGAAACTGTATTTAATCAATTCTATAGCAACTATATACCAAGAGATAATATAATTTTCTTTTTCCTAGTTAAAATAAAGAGGATATTGAGCAGGAAGAAAGGTATGATTAATGATATCTATCTTCAGAATAGAAATACCATAGAATAATGTTAGGGGTAGACCACCCCAGAGAGTCTACAGAATTCATATAAAATGAGGAGTTTAGAACTATAAGCCAGACAATAGCTAGCATATTTAGTTGGGTTTTTGGAATTTAGGGCTTTTGTAATTTCCCAATATTTAGTATTTCAGCACCCCACAGATATTTCTTCTCATTGATTTTTTAAAATCCTTTAACATTTTCCAGTCAACATCATGTATACAAAAACCAAGGATACATACATAAAAGCAAAGCAGTATCTAGGGCTGGGTAACTAAAATTCAGAGAAAGAAAACTTTCTAAATAATGATTTTAAGGTTGTTGTTCAATCTTAAAACTTGGTGTATATATACATGCTGACAGCACAGGCACTTCCTCAGCAGCATAGACCATAACTGAGCCTAGTTAGCAAGACAAATTAGTCAAAAAAAGGAAGCTGCCAGATGGTGTACATTGTCAATAATGCCCATCTGTGAATTATGAAGTTGATTTGCGGGTGCATTTGGTGCTTCTTTTCTTGGACAGCAAAGTAGCTGGTAACATCTTTGTAGAGGTGCCTGGGTATGCTAGTGACTTCATAGGTAACTTTAATTTCTTCCCAGCCTGAGATTTTGAAGAAAAGTTACTTCTGGCCCAAAAAGATCTTGTACTGCACTAAAGGAGCAAAATGTGACATCAGTTCTTGGGCGTTATAGAGAATTGCTCTCCTCTTTCAAAAATCAGAAAAATCATAAAATAAGAAGGACTTTAGAGCATTAAACGGCAACCTGGACAAGGAGATTGATATGCAGAGTCACCCAAAGGGGCCAATCTTCTAGAGAAAAAAGAAATTTGGGTCCAGCCAGGAAGCAAAGAGAAAGGAGAGGCATAGGGCTCTCAGCTTTGGCAGAACCCAACTTTGGCAGTGAGCAAAAAAGAGGGAGACTTCCACACTTAACAGGTTTCAAGCATTCTTAGTTCCACCGGTAAGGTTACGCCTAAGGTGGAAATGGCATATGGAAGTTCTAGGCAACAGATTTTGAATCTCCAGGTAGTTATGTAGATGTTTCAGGCTACCTTATTCTGACACCTTTAGGTAGCTTGATTGTGCCTCTTATTCTGATTCAATACTCAACAAGCATACTTTTGACTCCAAAGCTGGTCAATCCATACTGTAGAATTTTCTAATTATTTGAATGTCATGTATTTTTACACACATGATAGTAATTTCAAAATTAACCAATAAAGTATACATGGATTATTATTGTCTTTTCATGTATTAAGTTAAACCTTATGAATTGATAATATTTGACGATTTTTTGATCTACAAAACAGTACATTCATTGCTTGGCTGCCTTAAGAAAATGAATAACACAGGCTTCAAGGATTTTTGTCCATATGTCACTTAGTTTTTGTTGCAAGCTAATAAACTGGTATTCCAATGTCTACCTCAGAATCACTTGCCTTTTAGTTAGAGTAATACAATAAAACTTCCACAGAATCAGGGAAAGTCAGAGACAGAAGAAGCCAGATAACAAATAGTCCAATTCTATAATTTTACAAAAGAGTAAACTGAAGGCTAGGCTAGTTAAGCAGCTCATTGAAAGATTCAGAGTTTGTTGAACTCAGAAGGAGGACTGGGGAACTTTGCTTCCGGAAGAGTGCTCTTGCCACTGTATTGATCGAATAAACTATGTATCCAGAAATGGCTAAGAGGAGGGGTGGGAGGCGGGGAACAAAAAAAAGACTGTAAGGGAAACTAAGTCCTGTTCCAGCTCTCCCTTAAACTTTTAACAGTTTATACTTTTGTTATTATAAGCACTAGACAAGGCACTATACAATTTTTTTTTTTTTTTTTTTTTTTGAGAGGGAGTCTTGCTCTGTCGCCCAGGCGGGAGTGCAGTGGTGCGATCTCGGCTCTCTGCAAGCTCCGCCTTCCGGGTTCACGCCATTCTCCTGCCTCAGCCTCCCGAGTAGCTGGGACTACAGGCGCCTGCCGCTACGCCCGGCTAATTTTTTGTATTTTCAGTAGAGACGGGGTTTCACCGTGTTAGCCAGGAAGGTCTCGATCTCCTGACCTCATGATCCGCCTGCCTCGGCCTCCCAAAGTGCTGGGATTACAGGCTTGAGCCACTGCGCCCGGCCTATACTATTAAAAATATATATGATAGTAGTTATAATGTTAAATATATTTATTGTTAAAAATTTGCAAAATGTGGCTGGGCGCGGTGGCTCACGCCTGTAATCCCAGCACTTTGGGAGGCTGAAGTGGGTGGATCACTTGAGGTCAGGAGTTCAAGACCAGCCTGGCAACATGGTGAAACCCCGTCTCTACTAAAAAACATACAAAAATCAGCCAGGCGTGGTGGTGGGCGCCTGTAATCCCAGCTACTCGGGAGGCTGAAGCAGGAGAATCGCTTGAACCCAGGAGGCAGAGGTTGCAGTGAGCCGAGATCAGGCCACTGCACTCCAGCCTGGGCGACAGAGGGAGACTCCGTCTCAAAAAAAAAAATTGCAAAATGCACAAATGTATGCAAAACAGTGAATATTACCTATAATTCATACAAAAAAATCAATACTGATATTTGACAAATTTCTTTTCAGATTTTTTTTTTTTTTTGAGACAGAGTCTCGCTCTGTCACCAGGCTGGAGTCCAGCAGGGCGATCTCGGCTTACTGCAACCTCCGGCTCACTGCAACCTCCGGCTCACTGCAACCTCCGCCTCCCAGGTCCAAGCCATTCTGCTGCCTCAGCCTCCCGAGTAGCTGGGATTACAGGTGTGCACCACCACGCCCAGCTAATTTTTGTATTTTTAGTAGAGACGGGGTTTCACCATGTTGGCCAGGATGGTCTCCATCTCTTAACCTTGTGATCCGCCCACCTCGGCCTCCCTAAATGCTGGGATTACAGGCATAAGCCACCGTTTCTAAGCGTACATTTGTGTTTTATTCTCTCCCCAGTAGCTTAACAGTACTCTTCGAAGAGAAGACAGAATCCAGAGGGATGAAGAACACAGAAGAAAGCCATTCTCTGCTTTTACTAATCATGTGATCTTGGATAATTAATTCACATCTCTTCCACTCATGAGGTCAAAATAGATCCTCCTTCTTCTCAAAGTTAGTGAGGATTTAATGACATTACTATTTAGAAATGCTTAGAATAGTACCTGGAATATAAGTGCTATATAAATGTTTATAAAATAAACAAATAGGTGCTTAATAAATATTTATATAATAAATGAATATATATGTATATACATAATTATAAGCTATAATACTGAATATAGACTTTATACTTTGCTTGGTTCATTGAGTATTACATTGCTAGCATTTTCCTATGTTAATCAAATAAATCAGGCCAGGCACAGCAGCTCACACCTGTAATCCCAGCACTTTGGGAGGCTGAGATGGGAGGATTGCTTGAGGCCTAGAGTTTGAGACCAGCCTGGTCAACATAGCAAAACCCTGTCTCTACCAAAAAATTAAAAAATAGCTGGATATGGTGGTGCATACCTGTAGTCCTAGCTACTCCGAAGGCTGAAGTTGGAGAATCACCTGAGCCCAGGAATTTCAGGCTATCGTGAGCTATGACCATGCTACTGTACTCCAGTCTCGGGGACAGAATGAGATCCTGTCTCAAAAAAAAAAAAAAAAAGGAGAAGAAGAAGAAGAAAAACTCCTATTTCATCAATTGTTCATTTTCTACTGAATCATTCTTATCAATGTCCATACTGCTATTTCCTTCCAGATATCTGTATAGCTAATGTCCTCACCAAGTCTTTGATCGTGTGACCTCCTCAAAGAGCCCTACCCTGGCCACTCTGCAGCTGACAACCCCAACCCTCATTACTTTGCTCTGCTTTTTTATTTTCCTCCATAGCACTTATCACCTTCTAACATACTGCATTGTATCATTATTTGTGATATTTATATTTACATTCATCCTTCCTACTGGACTGTAACCTCTGTAACAGCAAGAAAATTATTTTTTTTCTTTGATGTACCCCAACCTCCTAGAAGATTACCTGTTACAGAGTAGATACTCAGAAAATATTTGCTAAAGGGAAAAGCTTTCCTCCTCTTATTTTTCACTATTATAAATAATTTTGTGATGACTATTTCTGTAAGTAAAGTTCTCTTACAAACACCTATTTATTTCTTTTATACCTCTTGAAGTGAAATTGTTGGGTCAAATGATGTGAACATCTTTAAATTTCCTACTATTTATTGTCAAATAGTTTTCCAGTTCTCCCCTATCCAATCCAATTCACAAATTGTGGGGAGGAGAGACGATATAGCAACCAGCCTTCTCTGTGCTTCTGCTGCCCTGGCCATCATTGAGACAAACCCTTCCCCCAGGAATAAGAACTTGCCAGTTTGATTGACCCAAGTCCTGGACATTGATAGGGCAAAACATATTAGTGAATGAGGTGAATGTGCATTAAAAGATAATGCATCCGTGTGCATTCCCTCTCAAGTAGTTTTCTGTATTTGAACACCACCCATACCTGCAAACGCACACCTCTTGAAGCAGCTAATTATCTCCTTATTTTTTCCTTTGATTCAGCCTATTTTTTTCCTATGCATAGGTTCTAGGTCTATATTCTGAAAATGTGATTAAAAATGTGAACCTGAATACACAGAGCTCATTAAATATTTGAATATGCTTCTCATGTGACATAGATTTCAAATACTCTGCTATCTTAAATTCTGTTATCTGAACATAGCTTCATTTGTTTCTATTCCTTTAAAATTTTGCTATTTAGAATATAATGCAATATTCTAGCAAATGTCTGAGCAGAGTATGGCTATCACCCTCCTCTAGATAGCATTCTTGTGTTAATGCCCATTAGCTTTATTGGCTGCCACAACACCCTGTTGGTGTATTAAATTTCCTGTTGAATACATCTCCCATTTGGCTATTTGCGCTGACACCTAATCTTCGGTTCTCTATACTGGTGTCCTTCTTTTTCGAATTTAGGTTCAAGGTCTTATATAGTGCTAGTGACCATGGAAAATAGTCTATTATATACCCTATAACAACCATTTGTTCATCTCTAGATAGTTTTCCTACCTCCATTGTAATTTCATGATTATAAGAAGAATTATTCAGAAAGAAAATGAGATATGGTATATTTTATGTGAGGTACATGCCATACACAATCAGCAAGGGATTTTTCAGCATTTTCTGTAGCAAAATTCTAAGCCAATTTTAAAGGATGCTGACTGTGGAAAACTGACACAGGAAATAAGTCAGCAAAAGAATTTAAAACACAAAGGACAATGGGAGTATTGAGCACAAAAATGGCAAATAAGGTGGCTTATAAATTTGGGGAAATTAAGCTGTTATCTTTAAGCATGCATCGGTTAGATTTTAATTTTGCACCTGTTTTGCAGACAGAAGTTTTGTGTCTAATTCTCATGTAAACATTTTAAGCAATCAGAACATATATCTACATTGCTTTCATGGAGTACTGCTGGAAGAATTACTTTAATTACATTTAATCCTATTTAGGACTGATTGAGAGGCATTCTAACACAATAGGAGAGTGGAAGTGGATAAAGTTCAGGTCAGGGATTTACCAAGTTTTTATGGATTTCTTCTGTTCTGTCCTCCTTTATGGGATATAGCCATTTTGTAGATAAAATATAAAGTAGCAAACCCAGGAAAATAGGGGAAAGACACTATTGGTCACCTACTTTTGAAGAAATGTGCCCTCTTTGAAGGCTAGACTTGGTGAAGAATTTGTGAAATGACAAAGATTTTTTTTTTTAACCTTTTTTTTTTTTTTTTTAGAGAGAAAGGATCTCTCTCTCTCTGTTGCCCAGGCTGGAGTACAGTGGCACTAATATGGCTCACTGCAGTCTTAACCTCCGGGGCTCAAGTGATCCTGGCACACCAGCCTCCCAAGCAGCTGGGACTACAAGTGCATGCCACATACCCAACTAATTTTTTTATTTTTTGTAGAGATGGGATTTTGCTATGTTGCTTAGGCTGGTCTCAAACTTCTAGGCTCAAGTGAACCTCCCATCTCAGCCTCCCAAAGCCCTGAGATTACAGGTGTGAGCCACTGTGCCTAGCGGTCTCTCTCTTTTCTTGCAATGCCATCACATCAGGAACTAGCTACCTTACTAGCTAGTTAATTAAAAACTTAGCATGAGCCATGGATTTTTATTAAAGAAAACCTGTGCATTTATCTTATGGGACTTGGAGAAGCTTTCGATAATTCCTGAAAATCAAAGTACCTATGTGCTCGCATGTTGTACCTGAAAAGGGACATTATTGAAAGTGATTTGTGGTTGCCAGGTTTCTCAGGTACCATGCTGACATTCTGCCAGAAGCAGCCTTATACTCCAAAGATTATACTCTACTCAAAATAGCATAGTCATTAAAAATGAATTCTGTGATCAAATTCTCTCTCTTCCACTCCCTGGAAGTGTAAACTAACACCTTTGACCCTCCACTTTCTCATCTGTATAATGAGGATATAACTACTGCTGTAGTTTGAATGTGCCCGCTAAAGCCATGTGTCCTGACTTAATCCTCAATGCCATAGTATCGAGAAGTGAACTTTTAGGAGGTGATTAGTTCATAAGGGCTCTGCCATAATAAATGGACTAATGCCATTATAATGGGAGTGGGTTAGTTATCTTGGGAGTGGGCTCGTGATAAAAGGATAAGTTTGGCCCCTTTCCTCTCTGTCCTGCATGCTCACTTGCTCTTTCACCTTCTGCTATGGAATGATGCAGCACAAAGACCCTTTCCAGACGCCAGCACCAAGTTTTTGGACTTCCCAGTCTTCAGAAACATAAGCCAAATGAATTTGTGTTCATTATAAATTATGAAGTTTCAGCTATTCTATTATGGCAGCACAAAATGGGCTAAGACAATTCAGATGTTTGCTTTAAGAATGAAATCATATACTTGTTTGTACATGAAGGCACTCAAGAAGTGCAGTGATGATTACATTAGTTATCTACTGCTATGTAACAGTTACATCAAAACTTAATAGCTTAAAACAACAATGATCTTTTATTAGCTCACAATTCCTATGTGTCAGGACTTTGGGAGCAGTTTAGCTGGATGTTTCTGGCTCAGTTTCTCACGAGACTACAGACAAAATGTTGGCTAGGGTTTCAGTCATCTAAGTCTTGACAAGGGCTAGAAAATCCACTTCCAAAATGGCTCATTCATAGGAACTTTGGCAGAAGGCCTTAGTTCCTTGCTCCTTGGACCTCTCCAGAGGACTGTTTTATTGTCCTCAGGGCATGAAACCTGGTTTCCCTAAAGGAAATAATCTAAGAGAGAAAGGCTGAAGCTGTAATATTTTTTATGACCTAGCCTTAGAAATTACACATAATCATCTCTTATTGGTTACACACATCATCCCTATTCAATACGGGAGAGGACTACACGCTTGTGTAAAGACCATTGGCAAAGACCATTGGAAACCATCTAGCAGACTAGTTAACATGATGATGATAACTGTGATGATGATAATAAGGAGGAGGAGGATGAAGGCACAGACCACAGGAGATCAAGAGCTTACCGGAGTTCAGAGAAAATATGTGATGTTACCTTTGCTTTAGTGTACAGAAGAAAGAAGCTGGATACTCAATGTGAAACTTTAATAATTCTAAAGAACACCAAGAAAGTTTCTGAATGAACTGTTCTCTGGAAGAGCAATATAACTTACCAGTTCCCATGTTCCTAAAACATAATATATTCTAAACTCATTCAACAAATGTTTGATATGTCCTGTGAATTATTGTGTTTGCTTGGGATGCATCAGTGAATAAAATGAAGATCTCTGTCCCAATGGAGCTTGCGTTATAGTGGAGCAAGAGGCAATAAAAAAGAATAAGTTGCATGATATGCTAATGATACATTAAAAAAATAGAAGATGTACAGTGTAAAGGGGATCTAGAAATGTTGGTATGGCATATGGGGTTGGTTAAAGGACTAAATATTTGTTGAATGGATGAATGAACAAGTCATAGGCCTGCCTCTGGAGTCTCTGGGAAACAGAACTTCAAAAGTTGTATGTTCACCAATGAGAAAAAAAAATAGCTTAAAACATGAATTGAAAGCAGTAGCTTAGAAAACCTAGAACACATTGGCTCTAAGAGGTTCTGGGCCTCAGAACACCAGTGAGAGTAGCTGTTAGACTAGACACATTAGGAACCGCACACAAATACACAGTACTGGACACTGCATGTGACCAGGATTATCCAGGACAACAGGTTTACTATGAATAATGCTCAGCCAAGGGAAAGTGTGGTAGACTCAGATTCAGAAGAGTCTACCTACCTGAACGCCAGTGATTTCTAGACCATACAGTAACCCTTCATGACAGTATCACCATCTCCATTCCACAAAAGAGTAAACAAGTATTCAGAAGCCAAATGATTTACTAAGCATTTGAATCGTTTCAAAGACATTGTTCTTTCCGTATGGCATATCTCTTCTTCCAAGATCTTCTTGAACATGTGATGGGAGAAAAATAGCATTGGTAAAATATCTAAATGCACAAAAGCATGATTTGTGATTTTTACATGTGGGACTCAAGAAGGGACCACAAACTTAAATTTTGTAAGTATTGTATGGTATGTAGTGTTTGTGCAGATCTCCTCTTCACAACTTGAAACAAGATTTCTTATGCTTCACGAGTTGCAATGTGAAATATGACTCAGAACCGTTGTTCTCTCCTGAGGGGTCTGTATATATAACGAAAATGACAAGAAGAAACAGAACACAGAGATTACGCTGTAGATGTGGAACTTCAATATTTTCCTTCCTGGATTGGTGGGAAGGTGGGGATTATACTCTTCAAGACACCCCGCACTCAACATGGCAGCAGTAGCTACGAATTTGGATCAAATGATTCTCACTTAATCAGCTCTCTTGAGAAGTAAGCAGAATAAAACCTATCCTGAATTCCTTATTGCAAAATTTTATGTGAGATTGTACTCATGACTATTACTTAGTAAAGGTAGACTAGAAAATGTACCATACTTATTTTTGACACACAAATAGCTTGACTGCTAAAATAACATGCCAGTGAGAAAGAGACAGGAAGAAAGCAAATATACATTTCCAAAGAAAGCTAGTGGTAGTTAGACCAATTTTTCTACTTGCAAAAGTTATAGACCTCTCTTTGTAACAATAGAAAAGAGAGAGAAACAGAGAAAACAGCTAAAGAAATCTTGCTCAAAATGAATGGCTTAGAATACCTATCACAACACAAAGAGACAGCTCTCATCTCCTAGAATAGTTTGGAGACTTCCTGTGTGATCCAGTAGAGGAGTGCCTAGCCTAGTTTTGAACATGAACACATATGTCCTTGCTACCCAATATTAAGTAAGTGCATATGACATATTAAATGTATGCCAATGGCTTAAAAGTAAAAGAGGCTGGGCACAGGGGCTCACGCCTATAATCCCAGCACTTTGGGAGGCCGAGGCGGGCGGATCATGAGGTCAGGAGATCAAGACCATCCTGGCTAACAACGTGAAACCCCATCTCTACTAAACAAAATACAAGAAATTAGCCGGGGGTGGTGGCGGGCACCTGTAGTCCCAGCTACTCGGGAGGCTGAGGCAGGAGAATGGCGTGAACTCAGGAAGTGGAGCTTGCAGTGAGCCAAGGTAGTGCCACTGCACTCCAGCCTGGGTGACAGAGCAAGACTCCATCTCAAAAAAAAAAAAAAAAAAAGTCAAAGAAGCCAGTTTGGCTTGCCAAATAAATACAATTTCAACCTCATCTTGCTCTTTGTCAAAAAATGATGTATTCCTATACATAAATCATAAGCCCACTAAGCACAGCCTCATAATTTGACACCAATCTTTTCTCTTGATAGTCATTACTCAGGTTATCATCTTTGAAAGAGAATGGTGACATTTTTGCTTAAAAAAGAACTCATTTTAATTTTAATTTCTACCCACCGTGCATTTTAAATGAGGCAATGCAAGCTGTGGAATGCTTGCATCTGCCCCTATCAAGCCCAGGAAGCCAGTCCAGGGAAAGGAAGGCGGAAAAAGGGAAACACCTGTCAAGGACCTGAGAGCCCAGGGGTGCACAAGGTAGGCAGAGAGGCCTCCGCTGATCAACACTTTTTGACAGATGTCACATCACTGTTGCCATCTCTCTTTTGCCAACTTTTAGCTCTTATCATATTCAAGAATTTAATTCTCAACTTTGAGAGGAAAAAAAGAACAGAGACAATGTTTATTCCCCATACTCTTAGCTCTGGTTTGCCAAGCTGATTTCTGAATATGTAAATACTTTTCTCATGGAGACGCAAAAGACTGTCTTCTTGGTCTTGTTAAAGAGAGAAATTAAGCCAGAATGTTCTCAGGGTAGGCTGGCAGGGAAGCCAGGGAGGTATATTTCCACTCGTGTCGCTGTTTAAGTTAATTTAGCCAGAAATCCTGATAAAATCACTAGGTGTACTTTGTGATTGCTGCTCTAGAAATACGGCTATACCTAGTTGGGGGAGAGGAGTGAATAAAGGGCTTTAAGGAAAAACTGACTGTTCCACTGTTGACAACACTTTTGTCTCAAGGTAACTCACCAGTGAGGCAGCCTGCCAGCATAATACATGACTCCTGAGCAGCATGGGAATTGCTTAGCTGTACCGAGCTGACGGTGAGCCACTTAGGAGTCATTAGGCCTTTGAGGCATTCTAATCTGGCAGTGCTGGAAATTTGTGACATTAGATGCTAAATAGTTGACAGCACATCACACTCAGGAAAGAGAAAAATATATTATTATAATACAGGGTGAAATATATGATTACCGCTTTGCAAATTTCCTGAAATAAGGCATACTTGTGTAGTACATGTGGAAAAGTGCTAAGTATTGATAAGCCACTTTCTACAGGGCCCTTCCAAATAAGGCTGGAATTTCTGGTACATCTTTTTGCCCTCTAGGATGCATTTCAAACAAAATAAAAAGCCCCAAAAGCAACTGACTGAGCAGCAAGAAACATATAATCAGAATATTAGAGGGCCAGGGTCAACACATTCCCCTACCACCTCCGTGACCTCTTTTCCAAGTCTCAAGTCTTTAGTAAGGGTCACTGGCATCCAAATAAGTAAAACTTGTTAGCAATAATTCTGAGAGATAATCCAAGTGTTTTCCCTTTGATTGAGGGTAATCCAAGTGTTTTCCCTTTGATTGAGGTTACTGTTGTGTTTGCAAATATGCTGAGGGCTATTTCTGTTAGACATGAGTCGGAAAAGCAAGCACAAGCTAACTATGTCAGGAGATTGAGCCAAATACCTTATCTTCCCACTGTTTCTCAAGGAGGCTTACTGAACGTTCCACTAATTCATTCATTTATTCACCTATTTGTTCATTCAACAAGCATTTATTGAACATATACTATGTTGTTGACATCATTTTAGGGTTCCAGACATACAAAGATAAGATAAAATTCCTGCCTCTAAGGAGTTTACTATCCTGTAGAGATCTGCTTGAGCTGTTAAGATTCTGCAAGTTATAAAGATTAGGACTAAGAGAGGCAGGGCACGGTGGCTCATGCCTGTAATCCCAGCACTTTGGGAGGCTGAGGCAGGTGGATCACCTGAGGTCTGGAGTTCGAGACCAGCCTGACCAACATGGAGAAACCCCGTCTCTACTAAAAATACAAAATTAGCCAGGTGTGGAGGCACATGCCTGTAATCCCAGCTACTCAGGAGGCCGAGGCAGGAGAATTGCTTGAACCCGGGAGGCAGAAGTTGTGGTGAGCCGAGATAGCGCCATTGCACTCCAGCCTGGGAAACAAGAGCAAAACTCCATCTCAAAAAAAAAAAAAAAAAAGACTAAGAGAAATTAAACTACTGAAAGAGTTTCTGGACAGAATCATGGATATTGATACAAAGGAACATTTTATTGGGTTCACTGAAAGTTATAATATATGGATGTGTAAAGTTTTCAATTCCTCATAAAATCCCAATGGTGTGAGAGGCATACTAGTATAAAGAAAAGGCTTTTTAATAAGACTTTTTATTCTTAAACTGGTGGAGGAGTATTTTGTTTCTGTACTAAGGGGGGCTGCAGTAATACCTAAAGGTGTCATTCAAACAGAACCCTTAGATGAGCGCACTGCTTTGATGCCTAGTACAGAGAAGAAAAAGCACGTAATTGGGAATGTCAATATTCATGTTCTAGTCTTAACTCTGCCATGAACTCATTATGTGACTGTTACCAGAATCTTAACCACTTTGGAGGCATCAGCCTTCTTAACTACAAACAAGAGGGATAGAATATATGATTAGATTTAGCTATAAGTTTTGTGATTCTTTGACTCTTGTGTTCTTGAATCAACCAGGAACGAGTATACTCAAGAAGTAATGAAATCCAGTTAGACTGCTATGGTTCCCCGCTTAAGTCCTCTGTTCTTACCTCTCTGATACCATCTCATTACCATTGAGCATCCAAAATTAACAAATCCAATCTGTTTGCTGCTATGATTGTTCTCCTTTTCTCTGACCTCTCTGTAGCACTTGATTCTAGTAATCGACTGCTCCTTCTTAAAGTTAGTTCTTTCCTTGGCAAGTATGGCACTCTCCTGCTTCTTTTCCATCTCAACCTATTCTTACAGACTCAGCTTCAACCCTACTAAACACCGGCTTTTTGATAGCTTAGCCAGAGCTTTTTGTTACATGCGGTGCATACATACACCTTGTTTCAATAATCCCCTTACAGCTTTCTTCCCATTGCCTTCCCCTTGTCTTTCTAGGAGACTTCATTCCTACTCATGACTTGAAATTTCACTTCTATGTGTATCCTGCTTATTTGCTTGAAAATCCAATCAGGTATCACCAATCACCTAGAAAATAGTTTCACTTCTGTGCTCTCATTACCTCAAACTCAACATATCTCTCATCAACTATTTGTCTCCTCAAAGTAGTTGTCTCTATTTTCCTTTTTCAATCAACAGTAATACGATCCATCACCTTTTATCCAAAACTCTCAAGCTGGATGTAATTTGAAATTAGATGTTTTCAAATATCAGAAGAGTAACATGTTATATATACCATATGTTTTTAACACTCCCAAGAGAATCTCAGTCAGCATCCAAATTTGTCCCTTTGATTGAGCTACTGTCATACCGACAAATATGCCAAGGAATTGAGACAGATAAATAGGCAAATATAGGTCAGGAGGTTAAACCAAATATCTTTTCATAAATATGCTAATATTTGGAGAGCAAAACATATGGTTATTTAGACAGTAAACAAAGGTTCTCAGTCAGTTTGGGTAAGATTTTACTACCAAAAGACTCCAGGTCAGATCACTGCATGTGTTATCAAAAAACAAAACAAAACAAAACAACACAGCAAAAAAACCCAACCAAACAAAGAAGCAAAAGACTTTCAGAATTGTTTGGATCTCAGGATTGTGAATTAATATTAATGATGAAAATAACAATATTAAAATAACAATTATTTATTGGAAATTAAACATTCAAGTACCATGTTAGACATTTTATGTACATAACAATAATAATAGAGACATGCTTACTATAAAATACTCTTATTTTCCTCATTTTGCATACGGGAAAACTGTAAATTGCAACCATCATTTATAAATTATCCAGGCTGGAAATGCAGAGTCATTTTTGGTTCCTCTCTCTTCCTTTCCTCCATATCTAATTAGTCTTCAAATCCTGTTAATTCTTCCTTTCTATCAATCTCTCCTTTTGGAGTCCCACTGCTATCATGTGACCTAACTCAGATCCTATGAACCGCTCTCAGACTCTTGATACTCTACAGCCAAAACCAATAGTCTTCCTCCTCCTATTCAAACTTTCCCAAACTATTACTCTTCTTAAAACAGTATATTTACTATGTATTCATTCATCTTTTCACAATTACTTACTCAATATCTACTCTATGTGGAATTCCTCTTTTGAAAAAGCTTCAATGGGTTATTACTGCCTTTTGGATTAAGCCCACACTCCTTGGATTCATATTTGAGGCTCCAAATAATATCTGCACTTTCAACTTTATCTCTTCCTATTCACTTAGTTGAACTCTGGACTCCAGCCACTGCACCATTAATACGTTACATTGTGTGTGCTTCCATGTTTCTGCTCAAGCCACTCCACCCTCCTATTATATCCTCTTCCTTTCTCTTTATCTGGTGATACCTTGCCCATTTCTGTAGACTTAGCTGTGCTCTCCTACTTCCTTTAGCCATCCTTGACCTCTCCTCTCCGATTTATAATTATGACTCCATCCACTATTCATTTGTCTTATAATTATATACTGCCTTCTAGTGCTATTTAACTTTTCACATTTGTGTGAAATGTGAAAATATGTCTTACGTTTGCAACCAAATTGAAGATTCATTGAAGACAGAGATAATTTCATATTTCTCTGTACTCCTTTCATAGTTGAATATAACTCATAAAACTGAAAGTTGTAACATATTTTATGTTTCAACCACTTGTGACAGGAGGAATGAGAGAACCAATGTCTTCCTAACTCTGTAACTATTCAAACATTTTTCTCTCCTTATCAGTTATCTCAAAGTCTCCTAGATCATGATAATAATAAGAAAAACAATATAGTAGAGTTATCTGTAGAAACAATATAGAGGGCAAATAGTGCATTGATATAGTTTGGATGTTTGTCCCCTCCAAATCTCATGTAGAAATGTGACTCTCAGTGTTGGAGGGGGGCCTAGTGGGTGGCATTTCGGTCATGAGAACACATCCCTCATGAATAATTTGGTGCCCTCCCCACAGTAATGGGTAAACTCTTGCTCTATAGTTACAAATCCAATGGTCAAAAAGAGCCCGGCACCTCCTCTCCCTCTTACTTCCTTTCTCACCATGTGATGCCTGCTCCTGTTTGCCTTCCCTCATGACTGAAATCTTCCTGAGGCCTCACCAGAAGCTGGTGCCATACTTCTTGTACAGCCTGCAGAATCATAAGCCAAATAAACCTCTTTTCTTTGTAAATTATCCAGCCTCAGGTATTCCTTTATAGCAATATGAAATAGACTAACACACGTATAATCAAAATTACCTTTGAAAACCTCTTAGGAAAGTGCTATAGTAGAGACCATTGGCTGTCAATAAGTCCAACACACCTAGTTTCTCTTCTAATCTTAGAAAAAAAATGTTTTTCCAACTTAGCACCTGATTATATAGTTAAGAGCTATGCTATATAAATAATATGTGTATGTAAATAATAGAATCATAGAGTGGCAAGATGCTTACAGTAACGAAGACGTACAGGGAGGGAACATCAGCTAAAAATCTCTCATCTGTTATTCAAAGAAAGATTGTTCTTGGCATACCTGATTCAGGTGAGCACTTAAAAGGACTGGGGGTCTTTCCTGAAGGAAGAAATTAAGAGATTCCTAGAGTGAGAGGCTTATGCATGGGGCCATGTGACAAGGACTTGCGAGTGGTCTCTAGTTGTCGAGAGTGGTTCCTAGTATGAACGCTGAACCTCAGTCATGTACCTGCAAAGAAATTAATTTTGCCAAAAATTTGAGGGAGCTTGGAAAGAGATCTTTTTCCAGGAAAGCTTCTAGATAGGGGCATACCCAATTTACATCTTGATTTTAGCCTTCTGGGATCCTCAGCAGAGAACCCAACTAAAATATTCTGAACTGTTGACTCATGGGAACTGTAAGATAATACATTTGTATTCTTTTTAATTGATAAGTTTTGTAATTTGTGATGCAGCAATAGAAAATCTAATACATCATCTGCTTTCTATATATCAGGTGCTATACTAAACACTTTACATTTATGATCTTTTTTAAATTTTTTAAATTGACATATAATAATTATATGTAATTATGGGGTACATAGTAATGTTTCAACACATACAATGTGTAGTGATCAGATCAGAATGATTAGCATGGCCATCATTTCAAACATTTATCATTTCTTTATTTTGGGAACATTCAATATTCTGTCTTCTAGATATTTAAAAATATATATTATTGTTAACTATAGTCATCCTATGGTGCTATAAAACACTAGAACTTGGGCCTTCAGGATCTTTTAGTTAACTTTATTGTAGAGCTTAGGGACATGAGCTTTTAAGACATTACATGATTTGCCCACGTTTGCATAACTAGGAAGTAACAGAGACAAAAGTGTATACCCAGACTTACTAATAAAGTCCATTTTCTTAACCACGTCTGATGGGGCAGTTGACCATTCTACTCTAGCCTTACTGCCTCAGTTAATGTTCTGAATATCAAACTCTCTCTGTGCTTTCATCAATCTCTGTTTGAATTTTTACTCCTTTCTACTGAGAACTTTCTTCCTTTTTTGATATTCAAAGGAACCTGTTAAATTAATGTATTTCATTAAACATTTATGAAACACGCAGTATAAGAAAGCAGGGAATGAAGAGCTAGGGGAACTCAAAGATTCATAAAACAGCTCCTGACCCTCAAAGTTCTTATATACTAGTGGGAAAACAAACTCATACACAAATATCACAAATAAGTAAGCCTAGCCTAAGGATTCCAAAAGAAAACACTCTGTGAATTCATCTGACAAAGGGGCTTCTGCAGAGAAGATGCAAAGACAAATTTGTACGACTATTTTCTATGAAACCGTATTAATGGGAGTTTCTGAGTTCCACAAGATTAAAAGCTAACAAAACCCTCAGTAAAAAAATAATAACAATAGAAAGAAAAAAAGGGAGAAAAAGAAACCCTCAACTAATTGTAATGTCTACTTCTAAAATTTATGAGAATAGCAATAGCTTTATTTATTGTCTGCTTACTATGGGCTAAGCAATGTGCTAGTACCTAAAGGTATTACCTCATTTAGATCTCACAAAATGACTATGATATAGGTATTATGATTGTTCTTTTCATTGTTGTTATTCTAATTTTACTGATGAGGAAACTAAGATATAAAGAGGTTAAGTAACTTGCCTAACATCACACAGCTAGAGAGTGGCATAGAATTCAAACTCAGGCAGACTGACTCTGGTACATACACCCTTAGCCGGTATATCTTCTACAACATAATCATTTTTTAAAGAGGGAGGATAATGAAAGAATAAAAGCCATGTGGAGAATGGGGTAGGTGAAGGGAGATAAACAGAGATAAGTGCTGTATGTGGTCATAGAATTTAGCTGTGTTTGTCAGCACACAAAGGAAAATGGAAAATAATATAATTAATATAGGCCAAGTAATCTGAAAACATTCACTGAAATCTAGGAGAAATTAATAATTACAGGCCTACACGGGGTAGGGCTGGAGGGGAAGGCAGCAGGGAGGCTTTGAATGACATGGCATATAACACCTTATATAGGATTTTTTTTTAATGTGCTAAAATCAACACTTACTTAAACCAAGAATAAATTAGTAAAATGAATTTTTGTAAAGACACATGGAAATGAATTTACATTGTCTATTTATGTACCTTTTTACTTAACTGGATGCAAAAGGGAATGGCTAGTTATAAGTGGTTTTCAAATTGCAGATTCCAAATCATTAATGGGTCATGAAATCAATTAAGTGGGGGTCAAGGTCAATTAAGTGGGATAATATATATGTCCATGTATATATGTATGCGTGTAATACATAACAAGTTTAAGGATAAATACTGTGTAATAAAACTTTCTGTGTGTCTATGGGCTTACCTTTGTATGTCATCTTATAAACATTATTCAAATTCCCTAAAAAGTCTGAAAGCCACTGCCTTAGCTTTGACTATTCATCTTGCCTATCAGTTATCTCAGCTGGGCTCTTGCCAAAAGCTCCATTAAGTATAATATCAGACTGAAGTCATTAGACAGTGCTTGTAATGTATTTTGATTTGTTGATTAAAAGGAGACCTTCATGCTTTAGATTTCAGGCAGAGTAGAAAGGAAGTCGTTTTGTAATTAAGAAGGTTTTTATTTGCACTGAAAGGGGGAGTATCTCATTTTTGCAGAAGGGAACTGCAAGAAAGTGTGCAGGATGAAAAAAAAGCAAAAAAGAAAAAAAAAGCATTTCATCTCTCTCTCTCTCTCTCTCTCTCTCTCTCTCTCTCTCTCTCTCTTTTTTTTCCCTTGAGACTGGGTCTCATGCTATGTTGCCTACCAGGCTAGTCTGAAAACTCCGGAGCTCAAGCAATCCTCCTGTCTCAATCCAAGTAGCTGGGATTAAAGGCATGAGACTCCTGCCTGGCTTCAAAAGCATTTATCACGAAGCATGAGATCTATTTGATCTCTTCAAATGCATGAGTGCCTCCCTCACTCTTCTCTTAGGGTGACCATGTGGGCTGGACTGTCCTGGTCACTTAGTTGTCCTGGTGTAATTATTAATAGCTTGCTTTTCTACTCTCAAAAATGTCTTAGTTGGATGATAAATTACATGGTCCCCTTTTCATGGCAAGGAACAAATGTCCCTGCCCTGGAAAGATATATTTGTAGGGAAGGGCTGTACCAAAAATATTCTGTCCTTTTATTTAAATTATGACTTCCCTGTGCTTCTCTTTCTCCTGGCAAATCTTCTAAGACATACTTATCAGAGGAGATTCCATGTTTTCCAACTTAGCAGGATCAATAAAGACCACAGCACCGTTTCTCAAATTGAAGCTCAAGGACTTGGGGATTCTCAGATGACTCTCTGCTAACTGAGCTCCCAGGGAGAATGTGGGTAATTTTATATTTCATATTGAAGCTATTCCGAATTTTTAAAGATATAATGTAAGTATACTCTGTATCATCTGGATGGTCACTATGAGATTCTAGTGCTTAAGAAGGTGTTTATGGGCCGGGCGCGGTGGCTTATGCCTGTAATCCCAGGACTTTGGGAGGCCGAGACGGGCGGATCACGAGGTCAGGAGATCGAGACCATCCTGGTTAACACGCTGAAACCCCGTCTCTACTAAAAATACAAAAAATTAGCCGGGGGTGGTGGTGGGCACCTATGGTCCCAGCTACTCGGGAGGCTGAGGCAGGAGAATGGCGTGAACCTGGGAGGCGGAGCTTGCAGTGAGCCGAGATCGCGCCACTGCGCTCCAGCTTGGGGGACAGAGCAAGACTCAGTCTCAAAAAAAAAAAAAAAAAAAAAAAAGGTGTTTCTGTTATTATCAAGTTAACCCCAAGCAGTACTATTTTAATATTTGTGAAATAACTTGAAAACACCAAAGCTGTTTTTAAATATAAATTCTGTATTTAAGGAAGGTTGGAGAGAAAACAGCATCATAAGGCACTACAAAAAATCAAAGTTTTTTGGTAATTCAAACAGAGAAAATTGGTGGAAGAATTGAAAAATCATGTGATGTACAATAGCTAGGACACACTGAACACTAAAATCCTACACCTTAATGGTAAGTATCATGCTTTGATTTCATGAGGCAATATAGTTTTAACAGAACAGCATCATCTGAGGTATTAAATTAATGCTATTTATTTTCATTTTATTTTCCAATTGTTAACAACGTTTTAGAGCTTCGTGGATTTTAAAGTTGTATAAAACTATATGTATACAGAATTTTTTACACTGTGATGTTTGTTCATTTTAAAATAAATATTTTAATAAAGCACTGGGGCCCTAGAGAATATTTTTGCTCTTTTATTATACGTGGTACTTACATTACCAAAGTTTGAGATGCATAAGAGTGAAAAACATCAAGCTTGGAAACAGACTGGTCTGCTGTGAAAGAGAAACAGAAACAACCGCGCTTTCTGGAATGTTGGCTTAATAGAAATGCCAGTTTAGCAAAATGAACGTATTGCCAAGAATGTGAACATAGCTGGTTGTACTCTTCAACGAGGCTCTTTCACCTGTTTCTCCTTTGTAATTCCCATCGCCTCCTCATGCTTTATTTACTCCTGTATTTATCACTCCTCTTAGACCTATTTTGGTTCTCCACTATTTTTTTTCTTTCTCCCTTGACTTTTGTGTACAGTATTAATCCTTTGCCTCAGCTGCAGTTACAGGTCAGAAGACTTTTAGAAAGAGAAGAGACACGATCAAATAAAACACCAGTCATGTAAGTGCCTGGAATATAGTAATGGCTCAAAGTATATTCACTTTTCTTAGAGATAACCTATTTTTACTTAAAAAATCAGGCAGCCAAAGTTTAGAAAGTTTTAGGCCTATTTAATGTCACAAATTCAGTTAAAGGCAGAAGTAGTTCCAGATCACACTAATTTTTCACATTAAAAAAAACACTCTGGGCTAACTGATAAGATTATGAAGATTAAGATTTTTCTATAGTTTCTGTGCTACCTCAATAATCTATTTTTTGACTGTCCTTGATGTGAAGTACAACTTCTTTTTCTATTTTAAGATATTTTCATTTGCTGTTCTGTCCTTGGATATTCCTTGTAGGTTTGAAGCTTCCTCCAGAAGACAATTATGGATTTATCCATTGACATTCCAACCTTATTACTGAGCCTATTTCATTTTGAAATTTTCCCACACTGTATGTATGCTTCAGCATGCCCGTAATGTAGTGGATTCTCTATTTAATTTACATCTCTCAGTTCAATGCCCAAGGTTTTGAAAGTGGTTTGACTATTTCTTCAATTCACTGTGGAAAAAATAAGTATTGCAGCCAAAAATACAGATATATTGTTAACAGATAGAAGTATGAAAACAAAAAGACTGTATTTTCAAATATCTCGTTCACTGCAAAAATATCATCAGGTGCCGTAGCACAATTAGCAAATTACTTAAAGGGTATCCTAACCAACGAGCTGGAGTTGAGACACTTTAACCATTGTGATAATTAGGTTTCCTCAATAGGATTACTCAAATTTCTATGAAAAAAGTAAAAGAGAATGTAACTTGTGTGTGTGTAAAAGAGAGAGAGAGAGGAAAAAAAGAGAGAGAGAGAGAGAGATCCAGCTTTCAAAGCAAGATGGCCTAGTAGATAATATGCTAAGGGCTCAGACTTCATCGTGTAAAGTGGGAGTCACTGACAAATTTTAATCACAATAATGACATGACAGAATTTTGTTGTATGAAGAGCACTTTGGCAGCAATAGACAGTGTAGATTGTGAGGTATGAGGCAGCAGGTAAGAAGATGAGTTTGGAAGAAAATTCAATAGCTCAGTGATCTTAACTAAGGAAATGTCAATGGTATTAAGAGAAAATAATAAAAAAGACAGGTCTTGGTTATTATCTAGAGGTGAGAGTGAGGAAGAGGAAAGAGAAAAATGGAACATTACTTCCAAGTTTCTAACTTAGAATGCCGGCTGGCTAGTGGTGTTTCTAAATAAACTGAGGAGAAGAGGAGTATGAGTCAAGAAAGTTAGAGTCAAGGACATTCACTCTGATAGCCACAATTTTCTCAAGCAACAAGGAGGCAGGGGCATCATCTAAAGAAAATAGGAGAGGGTTTATGTGGGAGAGACGTAGAGAATAGTCAAAGTTTCGAAAAGTCACTAATGAAAACGGAAAAGAAAGCCGGCCAAGGAATAGTCAAAGTTTTTGAGCAGTGTAAAAATCTTAGGTGAGGCCGGGTGCGGTGGCTCACGCCTGTAATCCGGCACTTTGGGAGGCCGACGCGGGTGGATCACGAGGTCAGGAGATCGAGACCATCCTGGCTAACACGGTGAAACCCCGTCTCTACTAAAAATACAACAAATTAGCCAGGCATGGTGGCAGTCGCCTGTAGTCCCAGCTACTCGGGAGGCTGAGGCAGGAGAATGACGTGAACTCGGGAGGCGGAGCTTGCAGTGAGCCGAGATGGCGCCACTGCACTCCAGCCTGGGCGAAAGAGCGAGACACTGCCTCAAACAAACAAACAAAAAACAAACAAAACAAACAAAAAAACTTAGGTGAGCATGAATTTGTGGTAAAATAAATCTGCACAGTTGTGTGAATTTGTAGTGACGTCAATCTGCACTGTCCACTGTATGATTTTCTTCTTTTTCAAACAATGCTCAGCGATGTAGGATCTATCAGTAGAGGCATGGTCTATGGACTGATACAGAATTGCAAGTTTCAGTATCAAGTGCGATGGGAATGTAAGACAATGACGGAGATGAGAGTTCTGTGTTGTAAGTTGTAAGGCATTAACCTTAGGGTCCAGGATGAATAAAGAAAGGAAACCAGAAGGGAAAAGGATAGTCTTTAACAGAATTAAGGTTTAAAAACTACAGGTATCAAGAAAACTGGATTGCAGTTTAATAAAAATGAGAGAATAATAAAGCTGGAAGAACAAGAGGTACTGAGATTAAATATTAGTAGGTGGAGAAATTCTAGATCTGTGTTGTTCAATATGGTAGCCAAGAGCTACATGTGACTATTTACATTTACATTAATTAAAATGTAAATTCTTCTTCAGGGCTAGGCACTGTGGCTCATGCCTGTAATCCCAGCACTTGGGGATACCAAGGTGCGTGGATCACTTGAGGTCAGGAGTTCCAGACCAGCCTGGCCAACATGGTGAAACTCGGTCTCTACTAAAAATACAAAAATTAGCTGGGTATGGTGGCAGGCACCTGTACTCTCAGCTTCTCGGGAGGCTGAGGCAGAAGAACCTCTTGAACCTGGGAGGCAGAGGTCGCAGTGAGCTGAGATCTCACCACCGCACTCCAGACAGGGCAACAGAGCGAGACCCCGTCTCAAACAAGTAAACAAAAAAATTGTTCTTCAGTCACGCTGGACTGCAGTGGCACATTTTCGGCTCACTGCAACCTCTGCCTCTCAGGTTCAGGCAATCCTCCCAGCTCAGCCTCCCAAGTAGCTGGGACTAGAGGCACGTGCCACCACTCCTAGCTAATTTTCACTATATATACACACACACACGTATTATTATTATTTTTTTTTTGAGAGATGGGGTTTTGCCATGTTGCCCAGGCTGATCCTGAACTCCTGGGCTCAAACGATCTGCCCACCTCAGCCTCCCAAAGTGTTGGGATTACAGGTGTGAACCATTTCACCCAGCCACACTAGCCACATTTTAAGTGATCAGTAGACACATATGGCTGGTACTGTCCGTGTCTAATAGAGCAGATAAAACAATGCAGAAAGATCCATTGGAGAGTGTGACTCTAGACAATGCCAGGTTCTAGGAAATGCTCAGGAGTGTGAGTTACTGAATGAAGAACATGGAGACAAAAGCTGTTGGAGAAGAGGCAATCAAGGAGCCAGGAGGGTAGGATATTGGATAGGTTTTCCACAGACATGATGAATTCAGCCAGGATGGTGGCAAAAGTTCTGATGGGGAAGACATGAACTAGACACCCTAGTCCTCAGTGGATGTATTAATAGAAGGTGTGATCAGATAGACGAACACCTACGCTTTGTTTGGAGTAGTAATGTGCTTCCTGGTGATGCATCCTGAACCCTTCATGCCTTACCAGTGTCCCTTGCTCTTGAAACATGCCTGCCTGACTCAATCTAGGCTCTGTCACAGATACCACTTAAACTTCTTCTGGTTCAAAAATCACCTCTTCTAAAATTATATCAAATTGCTTCTGCCAACTCAATACTGTTGGATGGAAGAAGAATCTATTGAATTAATTTTATATGGCCAAGTTGACTAGGTAGCTGAAAATAATGCATCAATGGGCAGAGGTACAGCTCCATATAGAAGATTTACAGAGATTATCTTTACTATCACAAAGCAGTCTTTTAAGGAAGAAAGAACATAGGTAGTTTGATTTGTGTATGTCTGCTGTTTATAAACACATTTGCTATAATATAGGACTTACCCTGAAATTTTTATAATCAATTTAAGAGGAATGAATATCATGTGAAAATGTGGTATAACTAGTTATGTTGGCTATTAATGGCTAAAAATATCACACAAAACAATTTCCAGTGGCATCAGAGCTAGTTGTCACCATCATAACCTCCCTTCCTTTTGAGTTGGCAGCCATAAGCTATGAGCCCACAGTAATCCTTCCCTAGTAACATTAATTCACAAGTCAACAGAAGTTCTCCCGAGTTCTCTATCCCCTGCCCCTCACCCTAGCAATTACTGTTAATACCTTAATGAAGAAAGGTTTACCATTTTGAAAACGTTGTTAACACTTTGTTTGGATAATATGTAACTTAATAATTGTAAGCTGATATAAGCTCTGTCCCTCTCCTTTCCTTTTTGCCATTGCCAATCTCTCTGAACTTTGTCCATTCATGTTAATATCTGCAATTCTATTTCCACTGGCTTTTAAGAACTAAGAAGGAGCTGGATGCTATGCTTCTGTGTTTTATTTTTCAATGAACTATACATTTTTAGTTCTGCTAGGCTGTATAGTTATTTGTGTGTAATAGACTATTCCATAGCAATATGCAGTGGAAAATTCCTTTTGACAAGCCATAGCAAGCTTAATTGAGTCATGACATATACCATTAAACAGCTTCCAGTGGGGCAAACATCCTCTTCCTAAGGTAGCATATGCTTTCCCTGGGTTTCAACATGACAATATGTCCTCACACGACTAAGGAAATGACTCTTTTCATTTGTGAAAAGTTTCAGAAAGGTATGGAGTTAATCTTTGAGTTAACAAATTAAACTTTAAAGAGACATAAGCTCTACCACACTTTCTTCCTCCTTAGATTTAGTATAACCCATTTTTTAAAAAGCTTCGCACTGAATTACAGATCAATTTTAAAATGTCTTCTTTATTGTTTAGTCATTCCCTAATGAGAATCCCACATCTATTATTTTAAAATTTTTATTTTATTTTTATTATCACACAATAACATTAATAGAAACTATTCTGTCAAGATAGTATTTCTGGTTCTCTCCCATTGACTTTGCCTGAAGCCACTCCAAATTCTGACATTACTCTTAATGTTTTCAGGACAGATGGTATTAGAGCTTTCAGCAAAAGTAGTAGATTATCAGCATATATTAGTTAACTTGTGAATCTCCATCTGAATATTCTTCAGATACCCATGGGATCTGTGTGATTTTCTAGCTTCAATGTCAGCCTGAAGAGTAACATCAGAAATGGGCATCATCCTTACTTCCCTCCCCAGTGCAGCAATAAGGCAGGGAAAGGGAGATTGTAAACCATTGATTTAAACCATATAAATGGATTGAAAATAAATTGTGCTATCTGCTTTATTTGTCCCCAAAGCCAAATTTACCTAACACATAATACAAGTAGTCTCATTCAATTGCATCAAAGGACTTTTTGGCATCTAATAAAATTATTGCTATTGGTTCTAATTTTCTCTTTGTATTCCAGATGAGTTGCATTCATCTATGCAGATTATCTGATGCTTATCTCCCAGGCATAAAGGCTTCTTGGATAAGGGTCTATTAGATTTGTGATTATTTGGTCACATAGCCAGGTGTGCAGGTAGCTATTATTTTCTACCTACCCACATTGTATGAAAGAATATTTTTCACAATACTGCTAAGGAAGTAATATGAAATCTTGAGTATAAGGTTATAGGAATATACATAATAAGATAAAGAACTGCAGGACACCTTGATTTCCAACCACAGATAATATCTGATGCTTAAAAAAATTCAGTACAAACCATTTAAATGCATTACATTTATTCAGTCTATTTCTGAAAGTAGTGGCTGTTCAGCGTGTGGACGGCAGGGAGAAGTTAATGTGTTGGTAAGCAACCTAAATTTTTATAAAGCTATTTTGAAAGTAACTCAGTGTCACAGAAAGTAATATCAATTACTCTTTGCTTTACAATTGACACTGCAAGTCTGCTCCAAATTTCCATTCTTCAGCTCAGCATCTGCAAAGAAAAGGAAGGCAGAGAATACCCTCCACTGGAGATTTCTGGGTATCAAAATCACAAGACACACTTCTTTACAATATGGCCTGAAACAGTTCAAAGGTTGTTGTTTTTTTCCCAAGTATTGATTAATCCTTTCATCCCCTGGGAATAGGGTATGACACAAAAGGAGGAAACTGAACAATGGAAAATAGGGGTAAAGTCAGTTAATAATCTTGAGGGTTCAAACAACCTACACTCTGTGAGACAGCATAGTGTTGGGAAAAGGGCCTGGACCTCGGAGCCAGTTTTGATCGCGGCTCTACCCTTTAACTATGAAATATTAAGTAAAATGATTTATAATTAGCCAAAGAGAAGGTGAGGGAAAACATGCATCCTTTTTTACAACTAATAATATATGAGGCCGAGCACAATGGCTCACACCTGTAATCCCAATACTTTGGGAGGCTGAAGTGGGAGGATCACTTGAGGCCAGGGGTTTGAAACCAGCCTGGTGAGGTCACATCTCTACAATAATAATAATAATAATAATTTAAAAATTAGCCAGGCATGGTATTGTGGGCCTGTAGTCCAGGCTACTTAGGAGGCTGAGGCGAAAAGATAACTTGAACCCAGGAAGTCGAGGCTGCAGTGAGCCATGATGACACCACTGCACTCTAGCTGGGTTGGGGACAGTGGGAGGAACTAAATTCCATTTGATTCAAAGTGAAAAAAAAAGGGTTGAATGAAAATGAAACTTTGCTGGCTTTGCAGGACTGGCCTGGCACCTGACCAGGAAAGGTTAAAAAAGGTCAAACAAGGCTCCCACTGTGTGGCTAGGAAGAGGTTTCTGGAGAAATGGATTTGGAGGATTTATCTGGTAATTCTCAATCATTCAGCTGTGGCCAAACTGAAAGCCTGTGAGCTGTACCCCTGACACCCAGAGTGTGGAAGCCCCAGAGGCCGAAGTCCCTTGGAACATTCACGTTCTCCCCTGGGATGGGGATGAGGAGGCCATGCAGAAAGACATGTTCTGAGAAACCAGTGATCTAAGAAAATAACATGTTACAAGACCATGTTTTTTCTAGTTTTAGAACATTTTATATAACTCATAAGTGTTTGTATAAAAATTCACGCAAAGTTGCTAGAGAGCATACAATTTCCAAAAATGTCCTGGGTTTTTGTTATTTTCAGTTTTCTAAGGATGCACTCCAATCAATGGAAAAATGCAGACATTATGCAAGATTTCATTATCTTTGGTAAAAGTATTCTCATTATTTTGTCTCTTCACAGTATTAACTCTGATATCCACTTTGTGCAGGGTCTGCTATTACTAGGATGTCATAAAAATGTTAAAGCTGGATCTACAAGAGGCAAGTATTTCCAAACAGCAGTAATAGCTCCTTGGCCCCCACCCCCACTTCATATATCTATACAGTCTGTCTATACATTGGCTGAACCCTTTACTTACCAGTGTAGCCTTGGCAAACTATAAACAGAACTGAGCTTTGGTTTTCTCATTCACAAAAGGGGGTTATAATACTTATTCCTGAGTTTGTTTTAAGCATCAATAAAGACAACATACACAGTGGGTGTGGTGGCTCACGCCTGTAATCCCAGCACTTTGGGAGGCTGAGGCAGGTGGATGACAAGGTCAGGAGTTCAAGATCAACCTGGCCAAGATGGTGGAACCCCATCTTTACTAAAAATACAAAAAAAATTAGCCAAGCATGGTGGCGGGTGCCTGTGATCTCAGTTACTTGGGAGGCTGAGGCAGAAAACTGCTTGAACCCGGGAGGCAGAGGTTGCAGTGAGCTGAGATCATGCCACTGCACGCCATCCAGCCTGGGCGACAGAGCAAGACTCTGTCTCAAAAAAAAAAAAAAAAAAAAAAAAAGACAACATATATAAACAATTTATAGAATATTCAATGCTCAATATTACCTATTTCATTATAATTATGGTTTATCTTCTCATTAAAAAATAATTTCAGCTTTTTAGATTCAGGGGATACATGAACAGGTGTGTTACATGGGTATACTGGATGATGCTGAGGTTTGGGGTACAGACGATCCCGTCACCCAGGTAGTGAGTGCAGTACCCAATAGGTAGTTTTTCAGCCTACATCCCCCTCCTCCCCTCCCCACTCTAGTAGTCACCAGTGTCTATTGTTCCTTTATGTCCATGTGTACTCGATATTTAGCTCCCATTTGTAAGTGAGAATATGTATTTAGTTTTCTGTTCCTGAATTTGCTTAGGATAAAAGCATCCAGCTGCATCCATGTTGTTGCAAAAGACATTATTTCATTCTTTTTTATCACTGTGTAATATTACACGAGGTATATGTACCACATTTCCTTTATTCAATCAACTGCTGATGGGCGGTTAGGTTGATTCCGTATCTTTACTATTGTAAATATTACTGTGATGAACACACAAGCGTTTATGTCTTTTTTTGTAGGACAATTTATTTTCCTGTGGGTATATACCCACTAATGGGATTGCTAGCTCAAATGGCAATTCTGTTATAAAGTTCTTTGAGAAATCTCCAAACTGCTTTCCATAGAGGCTGAAGTAATTTACATTTCCACCAACAGTTCATAAGCAGTTCCTTTTCTCCACAGCCTCATCAGCGTCTGTTATTTTTTATTTTATTGACTTTTTAATAATAGCCATTCTGACTGGTGTAAAATATTATCTCAGTGTGGTTTTGATTTGCATTTCTCTGATGATTAGTGATGAAGAGCACTTTTTCATATGTTTGTTGGCCATGTGAATGTCTTCTTTTGAGAAATGTCTGTTCATGTCCTTTGCTCAGTTTTTAATAGGGTTATTTGTTTTTTGCTTGCTGATTTAAGTTCCTTATAGATTCTGGATATTAGACCTTTGGCAGATGCATAATTTGCAAATATTTCTCCCATCCTGTAAGTTGTCTGCTACTCTGTTGATAGTTTAGTTTGCTGTGCAGAAGCTCTTCAGTTTAATTAGGTCCCGCTTGTCAATTTCTGCTTTTGGGGCAATTGCTTTTAATAAAATTATATATATATATATATATACACACACACACACACACACACACACACACGTGCATCCATTTTTCAGTAATCATAGGAAAGTAAATTCAATAGCATACCAAGTATTCAGATTAAGCTTCATCGCATTATACTGGGAAAATACCGACATTTAACAAAGTACAGTGTGCAGATTTACTCTGTGATTAACCTACATAAAAGAAACCTATTTTTAAAACCTATAGTGTCTGAAGATAAAAAAAACAAACTAATAATGATAACTTAAAAAAGAAAACATCTTTTCCACCATCATTATTCTTCTGTATTTACCCATATACTTGATTTGGTCCAACAGTTCTAGCGTTACTTTATTTTTATTTAATTACTATTATTATTATTTTTTTGCTACGGGGTTTCACTCTTGTCGCCCAGGCTGGAGTGCAATGGCGAGATCTTGGCTAACTGCAACCTCTGCCTCCTGGGTTCAAGTGATTCTCCTGCCTCAGCCTCCTAAGTAGCTGGGATTGCTGGTGCCAGCCACCATGCCTGTCTAATTTTTTTGCATTTTTAGTAGAGTCGGGGTTTTACCATGTTGGGCAGGCTAGTCTCGAACTTCTGACCTCAGGAGATGCCCCCTGCCTCGGCCTGACAAAGTGCTGGGATTACAGGCATAAGCCACCGTGCCTGGACTTTAGCTTTACTTTAAACATATCAATTGGACATAAAGGAAAACAAATGATTAACAGACTGAAGGTACAGAAAAAAAAATTCTTCCTAAGACTTCCTGATGATATAAACCGGGTTACATATGCTTGCAAAACAAAAAATATTAATAAGCAAATAGTCTCTAGTTTAAAGGCACAGAACATAATGAACAATTCAAAAGTATTCAGCTTTAGCAGAATTTTGTATTTCTATAATCAGATAAAGTTGTTTTTTTTTAAAGGCTATTTTCCAAAGAGATGCTATTTTTTGAGATGTGCTGCATAATTTTTCTTAATAGTTGGAAAAATATGTTTGTACTCTAAGTGAAGTAATTTCTGGAGAAAAAGTGTGATGCTGACTGAAGCTAAAACCCTAAGTACATAAGAAGAAATGTATACAGTATTCCCAGGATTTATGTAAACATGGAGAGCCACTTAGTAAATGGCACTGGGTTCTGGTAATCACACAGTCCACTCTCATTAGGCATCTCCCTCTTGTGCATTAATATGTGGCATCATATTCTCAGAGAACATTTTATAACAAAGTGAAATAAAAAGCCCCTCCAGATTGTGAATGTAAGATAATCAGATTCTGTAGTGCTCATTATGACTGCAATTATGTAACAAAACTCTCCAAATATAGTTCAGTGATTGCAGTTATTAATCATTCCGGTTTTGTCTCAAGTACTTGCTTTATAGCCTGCTGGATAGACTCCATAATTCTATAAGCTGAATGTCGAAAGTCAAACATGTGCATGTGAATCTGCTGTTCTAAAGGCCTTTCAATATAATTTACCCTTTCAATTTGTATTTGTGAATGCAAAAAAAGTGGGGGAAATAAAGCTGGTGTCAGTAGAGTCACTGACCTTTGCAGTAAACATAATATAGTCTTTAACAGAAAACAACATTGCAAATAAAAAAACTATTTTGCCAGAACTAGAAATAGTGCTGCTTAAAAAGTTAGTCTCAGAATACCAATCAGTTCTGAGACAATCAGTTACAAAAGTTGGGGGGAAAAAAAAACCTTGAACAAATTTGTACATTTGATAAGCGGGAAAATGGTCGGAGCGCTGGAAAATGTGAATTTTTGAAGGTTCAAAGCACTATCATAGAAAGAATACAGAACTAAACACGTTATGCATAAAACCACATATTCTAATTAATTTAACTATAAAATGCCAAGCAAAGACAGCAGATTTATAATATAGAACAAACACCATCTGCACCACCTTAAATCATTGTTACAGATATATTTCTAGGAAAAAAATACACCTGAACAATTCTCAAGCCTAGATTCTAAGATGCTAAAGTATTAACTAAATAGGATTCCAAACAGACCCAGAGAAAGTTACTGCATAATTATTTAAATATTAACATGTACTGAGTTCAGAAATATAAATATAATAACACATAAACACAGTTTACAAATTCATGTCACCATTTTCCTGTGCTCCATGATTTCTTCAATTTGGCTACATACATTGGGCCCCAGGCTTTGCCCTTATCTGGAATCACTAAGAGCCCACATTCCTGGCCAGTGGGAGCAAATGTGAAGTCGTGGGAGCAAGTCCTTGCTATTCCTTTAATGTCCATAGGCATGATGTTACCGTGGGAGTTTAAAATTTCACTGATCACATCTTGATTTTCTGCCTTGGAAAGCGTGCATGTAGAGTATACAAGTATCCCTCCAGGACGTAAGGCCTTAATTGCAGACCTGTGTGCAATCAGAAAAATGCAAAAGATTAGTTAAGTATATTAAAAAGAAACCAGGGGGTCTGACAGCAAAGATTACGTACTTAAAACTAACCTTACTCTGACTTAGACTGCAATTACTTTGGATGTTTTCTAGTCTTTTTTTTTTTTTTGAGACAGAGTCTAACTTTGTCACCCAGGCTGGAGTGCAGTGATGCCATCTCGGCTCACTGCGATGACTGCCTCCCAGGTTCAAGTAATTCTCCTGCCTCAGCCTCCCAAGTAGCTGGGATTACAGGCGGCCTCCACCATGCCCAGCTAATTTTTGTATTTTTAGTAGAGACGGGGTTTCACCAAGTTGGTCAGGCTGGTCTTGAACTCCTGATCTCAAGTGATCGCCTGCTTTAGCCTCCCAAAGTGTTGGGATTACAGGCGTGAGCCACTGTGCCCAATCTCTGATCTTACACCTATTTCTTTCTAACTTATCCTTGAAGACTTGGAAAATGATAATCAGACCAATCAACATGGAAAAGATAGAGTAAGTTAGACTGGTTGATTGCTATTCAAAAAGTAGGAAAATAGGGGTAGAGAACAGAATAATGAGTTTGTCTTTAAATCGATGGGAGTAAAAATAAAAACAAAGCATACATATGAAAGCATACATAAGAAGTCATTGATTCCATACTTCCAATATTGCAATTTGGGCAACCAGGTAAAAAGTTGGAAGGTTTTTATCTAAGAAAATTGAATAAACTATTTGTGAAGACTTCTAAGGCAGCCACTATGGGTTTTAGACCCCAAATCAAAGATCTCTGCATTCTACCATGAAGAGAGCCTCCAGAGTAACAGTCAGCTCTTCAGAAAGTTGTATCACCAGATAAAAGGTCTCGTCCTTAAAATACACCTCTAGTACTTTTATTGTCTCATTATTAAATAAAAATGTATAACCAAGGATTGCTAGATAATTAAAGATCAGAAATGCTTAAGCAATATGTAAGAGAAAGAACAAAATAAACAATAATGACACAGGAAGAAACAGAAAATTCAGGGAACAAAAGAGAAATATGATCTATTAAATGCAGACAGATCAGCAAAGATACAATATCCATAACAGAATGCCATGAAAAAGGATCAAGAAGAGAGTTCTTAGAAACTAAATATATGGTTACCAAAATAAAGAATATTCTGTAGAAGTATTTGGAAGTTAAGGTTGAAGAAATCTCTCCACAAAAAGTACAACAGTAACAGACTGACTGAAAATGAGACAAGGTGGATCAATTACATAGGTTCAAAATCCAATTAATAGGAGTACTAGAAAGATAAGACACTCATTATTATTTATTGAGCCTCTATTATATGCTGAGCATTGTTCTAGGTGGTAAGTATATCTCAACAGACAGAACAACAACAAAAAAATCTTTCACCTCATGAAGCTTACATTCTAGCTGGGGGACATAGAATATAACAAATTAAATATGTTTTGAATTAAACTGTGTCCCTGCAAAATTCCTTTGTTGAAGTCCTAACCCATAGTGCCTTAGAAGGTGACTGTATTTACAGACAGGGTCCATAAAGAAGTAATTAAGTTAAAAGTAGTTCATTAAAGTGGGCCCTAATGGAATATGACTGGGATCCTTCAAGAAGAGGACATTTGGTCACAGAATTACAGGGGAGGACCATATAAAGAAGACGCAGGGAGAAGACAGCTATCTACCAGCCATGAAGAAGGACCTCAGACAAAACAAATCTTGCTGATGCCTTCATCTCAAACTTCTGGCATCCAAAACTGTGATTAAATAAACTTCTAGGCAGGTGCGGTGGCTCACGCCTGTAATCCTAGCACTTTGGGAGACCGAGGCAGATGGATCACCTGAGGTCAGGAGTTCGAGACCAGCATGGACCACATGGGGAAACCAGCCAGGTGCGGTGGTGGATGCCTGTAATCCCAGCTACTTGGGACGATGAGGTAGGAGAATCACTTGAACCCAGGAGGCAGAGGTTACAGTGAGCCAAGATCACACCACTTCACTCCAGCCTGGGTGAAAGAGTGAGACTCCATCTCAAAAAAAAAAAAAAAAAAAAAAGAAATAAAATAATAAAATAGAAAATAAACTTCTATTGTTTAAGCCACACAGTCTTGTTATTTTGTTATGGCAACTCTAGCAAACTAATATAAATATATACACACATACATAAACATACACATATACAAAGATAAACATATATACATATACACATATACATACATACATATATGTACAGGTTTGCACATTTTTTTATTTAGTATGCAATTTAGTGATAGATAACTATGAAGAAAATAAAAGCAGGATAAAAGGATTAGGAGTGCTTGGATGAGAGGGATTATAATTTTAAATGGGACAGTTAGAACAGTTTGCCATTTCAGAAAGTGACATTTGAACAAAGTTCTGAGGAGGTAAGGGAGTGAGCCAAGCAGATATCTGAGAGAAGAGCATTCCATACCAAAGGAATAGCCAGTGACAAGACCTTGAGGCATGTTCAAGGAAAGCGGAGGTCAGTGTGGCTGGAGCAAGGTGAGCCAGGGGTGGTAATCTGAGACGAGGTGACAGAGTTAAGAGGAGGGGGTGGAGAGGGTCTTGATGAAAACTGTCAAAACTTCACCCTTATAATGAATAAAAAACACCCACACTTAGATCCATCATTGTTAAATTTTTGAACTTCAAGAACAAAGAGGTGTTTAATGCCTCCAAAGAGAAAAACAGGTCACCTATTACGAGCCCAGGAATCAGACTGGTATCAGTGGAGAAATACATTCCAAATCCTAGGAAAAAGCAATTTAAAGTGAATTCTATTTGCAGCCAACTCATAAAATAAATATGTAGCAAGAATCCAGAAACTTGCAGATATCTCATGACTCCGAAATTTTAATTCTAGTAAAATGAGGAAATAAAGCAAGAAAGAGGAAAAATGTAATTCAGAAAAGAGTGCATGCAACATAGAAGAGCAGTGAAAGGAGTGAAGCCTCAGAGTGAGAGCTGCGTGGGAGGCCTGGAAGGCAACTACTGCAGTCTGGAAAAAGAGGGAGCTCTCCAGAAGGAAGGGAGAAGGGAGAGAAGTAAAAGAGATGAAATGACTGAAAACTGAGAAAAACTTGAAGATTTGGTATACATAATTGGGAGGGAAAGGGAGAGATCAACTTGTCTCATCTATCTGATTCTAGAAAAAATGTTTCAGTGGTATTCTGCTCATGAGATTGAACCAAGAGACAAGGAATTTTAATTCTAACATATTATTCCATTATGCAGTGGACAATATTTATAGAATTAAACAATATACACCACTTATGGGTCTTCAATGTTCAGAATTACTCCAAAGACCAAACTTACTATTGTTACAGAACAGATTTTAAGGTCTCAGAAAGAATATGATCAACCTTGACAACATGAAAGTACAGCTGTAAGATACTGGGAAGTAGAAGGGAGAGAGAAATGGAAGGCAGGGTGGGCGTGTAAGTGTTCTTATTTTATAAAAATAAAAGGCAAAAGACATTTGCCTCTAATTATTTTTTTAAAAGAATAAAGATAAATGAAGAAAAAAAGACAAAAAAGGTGTGATGTGTATTTAAGAGAACTTTCCCCCACTAATAGAATAAGAAATGTAGGTCTAAGTGTATGGTACTAAGTTTCAGAGCCGACAGAGAGAAACTGAGTACAGTGTGAGATTGCAGGGTGCAGGGTAGTGTGATGAGGGAAGGGTGGTGTAAGTGACATAAATCCTTGGGATAGGGCAGTAGTTAATGTCTAATTTTTTGACAATTTTAGAAAATGAATAAACGTATTATTTAGAGATTTGGGGGTGACCTGAAGAATGAATTAGGAACCAAAATCATTAGAAGCAATTGCCTCTGAGGACTAAGACTGGAGGAAGAGAGGAAGAGTTGCAGGGGAGCAATCCTTTTCACTAGGAGCTCATTTGTAGTTTAATTTTTTACCCATCTGATTTATTTCTGTAATACAAATTAAAGGGGAGATTTGACAAAAGAATAAATATCAGAGCTTTTGCCATGGAGGTCACTTAAATTGTTTTTTTTTTTTTTTTTTTTAGGTGGGGGGATGAGTCTTGCTCTTGTTGCCAAGACTGGAGTGCAGTGGTGCAATCCTGGCTCACTGCAACCTCCACCTCTCCAGTTCAAGCAATTCTCCTGCCTCAGCCTCCTGAGTAGCTGGGATTACAGGCACCTGCCACCACGCCTGGCTAATTTTTGTACTTTTAGTAGAGACGGGGTTTCACCATGTTGGCCAGGCTGGTCTCAAACTCCTGACCTCAGGTGATCCGCCCGCCTTGGCCTCCCAAAGTGCTGGGACTACAGGCATGAGCCACCACGCCTGGCCAGTTATATGTATTTTTAAAAATTTTGACTGTTAAGGGATAACCTCTCTAGAAAAGGTATTCCCTGAGGTTCCAGATAACTAAAATTTTATGGTATCCAGGATTTCTATACATCTCATGTATTCATTTATTGATTAAAGAGATATTTTGGGGGTTCCTACCACTGAGGGTCTTCTCATACTTCGGTGTTTGTTGTTAGTCTCTAAAAAAACTTTTTCTATGTTTCCTCTCCTCACTATTCACTGCCCTCTAAATATTCCCCATGGAAACAAAAAAGGCTCCTATCTAGATGCTGGAGATGTGAACTGCTAAAGGGATAATAAATATCCTGCGGTAGGAAGAATGAAAACCCCTCAAAGATGTCCACATCCTAATCCCCAGAACCTGTAAGCAAGCCATTTTACATGGGAAAAGGCTATGTGCAGATGTGACTAAATTAAGGATCCTGCAATGGGGAGATTATCCTGGATTATCCGAGTGGGCCTGATGTAATCACAAAGGTCCTTTATCATTGAAAGAGGGAGGCAGAGAGTTGGTGAAGATGTGATGATGGAAGCCTGGGTTGAACTGACAGGATTGCTGGCCTAGGGCAAAGAGCTCAGGTATGTGAGCTGCTTCTGAAGGCTGGAAAAGGTAAGCAAACAGATTTTCCCTTAGCACCTCCAGGAGGAACACATCTCTGCCAGCATCTTGATATTAGTCCCACAGGGCTCATTTTGGACTTCTGACCTCCAGAAGCGCAAAGGTAACAAATCTGTGCTATTTAAAGCCACTAAATTTGTGGCAAATTGTTAACAGCAGCAATAGGAAACAACTAATACACATCTAATGATGGCGTTTTTTGTTTTCTCTTTTTTTGTTTTTACAGCAACACACTAAGGTAAAGGCCAATTTGCTAAGTAAAGTTGTAACTACATTCATTTTGGATCATTTTCTACTAACTATAGCAATAGGTATAAGACTTTCTTTAAAAATGTTAGATTATTAAAATGGTATAGCCACTATGGAAAACAATATGACGGCTCCTCAGAAACTTAAAAATCAAGTTATTATGTGCTCCAGCAATTCCACTTCTGGTCATATTCCCCAAACAATTGAAAGCAGGGTCTTAAAGAGATATTTGTACCCATGTTCATAGTAGCATTATTCACAATGGCCAAAAGATAGAAGCAACCCAAGTGTCCATCAGTGGATGAACTGCCAAGCAAAATGTGTAGACAGATACATAGATATGATGAAATATTATTCAGCATCAAGAAGGAAGAAAACTCTGACAGATGCTATAACATGGATTAACCCTGAGAACATTATGCTAAGTGAAATAAGCCAGTCACAAAAAAGAAATATCACATGATTCCACTTATATGAGGCATCTAGAATAGTCAAATTCATAGAGACAGAAAGTAGAATGGTGGTTGCCAGGGGCTAAGAAGTGAAGGGAATGAAGAGTTAGTGCTTAATGGATATCGACTTTCAGTTTTGAAAGATGAAAAGAGTTCTGGAGATTGGTAGTACAACAATGTGAATGTACTTAACACTATTGAACTGTACACTTAAAAATGGTTAAGATAGCAAATTTTATGTTATGTATTTTTAAACAATTAAAAATAGAGAAATACACAATAAAAATGTTAGATTATTGTGGATATAGGCAATATTTGAATTCAGATACTTCCAACCTCCCATGAAAATGACTATTTTGGTCTTAGTTCCACAATTAGCAAAGCCAATGCTTAATCAAGTAAGTATGATTCTTTTTCATTAAAGCTGTACAAAAGTACATAGAAGCCTCATAATTTACAAACAATATGTTCCTGGCTTAATGCAAATTTAAATTAATTTCTATAATGTTGCCAATGTTGGCTGATTCTTCTGCTTACCTTTCATTTCGACATTCATAATTTATCTTTCTAAAATTAGGCAGGTATAACTTAACTGCCCACATTAATTTCTAAATGAGAAAATTGTATGTGGTAACACAAAGCCTTTTTAAAACAAATTGGGTTAATCTCAAAACCATAAGGCAAATGTTAGGGATTCCTGTCAAATGGTCTTGCTGTTTTGCTACTGCTGCATGTTGTTTAAATATCATTTTAATCCTTTTGCTTTCAGTAGTTATGTATTTTAAAACTATCAGAAATTTGTATTCAAAGATAAAGGAAGGCAGGCAATTTGTAAAAACTCACTCCTAGGGTTTATAGCTAAGATTTTTCTACTCTGAGAATTATCTTATGCTATAGATCAGAGGACCCCAATCCCTGGGCCTACAGACCAGTACCAGTCTGTGACCTATTAGGAACCCAGCTGCACAGCAGGAGTTGAGTGGTGGGTGAGCAGGCATTACCACCTGAGCTCCGGAATCTAACTAATGCCTGATGATCTGAGGTGGAACAGTTTAATCCTGAAACCATCTCCCTGTCCCCCTCCCCCAGAGCCATAAATGCCATTTTTCTTACGAACTGAACCAGACCATGTTGTGGCCTCCCACTGCTTTTGCAGAAAGTATAAAACTATCTCTATAATTACAATTTATCATTACACACTATAGTTTCTGTTAAGGCAAGAACATACAACAACTCTATAATCAGACAAGTTCAATGATTTAAAAACCAGTATTTCTGGTCTTTGTTTTCCAATCAAAATTAAAAGATGTATTTTACAATATACTAAGCAAAAATTAGCACACTACTAAAATCTAAGTACCTAAATATACAGGGCCCTGTCCATTACAATAATGTCTGGGATAAATCATCTGCTTCCATAACAATTTATACACATTTTGAAGTAGTGTACAAGAAACAAGAAATTATTATCACAGGTTTCATCCAAATCACAAACAGAGGACTGTATATGTATTTTTACAACAGTTAGATGGCAGGATGTGAGAAGGGTTGTTTGGGGGAGCAAAATGATTCACTCAAAACAAAAGAAAGATATTGCTTAATAGGTCTTAACAAGCCCACTAAGAAATTTTAAATTCTGGAGGTGGCAAAACATTTAGAGATTAGAAAGACTTGAATAATACTAATAAACTTTGGCAAAGCTGTGGTACTGACCACATAAAAAGACAAGTCAGGATTAGAGAACGAAGAAGAAAAAAAAAGACAGGTTGGGTTCTCTATGCTTGTGTAAATGTCTGTGCCATTTAGTTATTTATTATTTTTTTTTTTAAATAAGAGGAAGGAAAACTAAACAGCCAGCCAAGCAACATCCATTTCTGCATAATAGTATAGTATCCTCTATTAACCTGTCCAAATGAGCTATGGCCCCTTGGCTCCTGAATGATCCTGTGTCATGGTTTAACAAGATCCTGAGTAATGTCGTATTTGTGCTAACCACTAACTATAATGCATGAAATTATCACTAACCAAGCTGTATTAAGACTGGTATTATTCATCATTGAATTCTAATGATAACAGTAAACTTTCTAATCATACTTAAAAGTAGAAGTCAGAAAAATGTCATGACTAACAACAGTAGAAGCAAAAGTATTATTTGATCAGATTAAGTACAATGCTAACCTAATACTCTAAAATGGAAACTAGTAAACATTATCTTGGGTTTTACATATTCTTTAATATAAAATGCCCAATTATAATGCAAAGCTAGGGAAGTACTTTTTAAAAAATTGATATATCATAATTGTAGATAATCTGAAGGTATATGTTTTATTTTGATACATGTTTACAATGTAGAATGATCAAATCGGGTAATTAGGAAATCCATCACCACAAACAATTATCTTTTCTTTATCTTGGGAGCATTACAATTCTTCTCTTCTAGCTACTTTGAAATATACAATAAATTATTGTTAACTACAATTTCCTTCCTGTACCATCAAATCCTAGAATTTATACCTTCTATCTAACTGTATTTTTGTACCCATTAAACAACTTCTCTTCATTGGAGGAAGTACTTCTAAAGGAAGCAGAATTGCGACATAATATAATCCCTCTATCATTTCTCCGAAACACACATATTCCCTTCAGAAGCCTCCTATAAAAGTGCTGATCAGGTTTAAACCCTACTTGAAATATGAGGTAAGATTCTCTCTCACAACACTGCTGTAGGAAACAAAGTTGATCTTGATTAATTTTATAGCATATAATACAATGGCCTACTGCATAATGAAGGTAAGAAAAAAAGAAAAAATATATAGTAGAAAATGATTTTACCCCAAGTACTCCTAAAAGAGAAAGAAAGATGCCCTTCTTGCCATGGAATGTATACCAGATAACCTGTTACTATATGGCAGATATCAGGTATACAACTTTCCCCAAATCTTTGCTTGTCTTTCAGTGTATCATGGAACAGGCTGAAATGCATTTTGTGTTTGAACCACCTAGTTAATGAAGCTGCTAAAAACAAAACAATACACAGTTTTTAAAAAGAAACCATTAAATAGAATATAATGTTAAATTTCCCTCATTTGCAAACAGAAAATCCTCAATAGATTTTTGACAGTTCACAGAATACAACCAAGTGGTACTTCAGGTCTATCTCATACTCTGTCGTGAAATCCAAAAAGCTCTGTAACCTACAGGTTTTTAAAAATTAAGTTGTGAGGCCGGGCGTGGTGACTCACGTCTGTAATCCCAGCACTTTGGGAGGCCAAAGGGGACAGATCACTTGTGGTCAGGAGTTCAAGACCAGCCTGGCCAACATGGTGAAAACTCGTCTCTACCAAAAATATGAGAAATTAGCCGAGTGTGGTGGCGTGCGCCTATAACCCCAGCCACTGGGGAGGCTAAGACAGGAGAATCACTTGAACCCAGGAGGTGGAGGTTGCAGTGAGCCGAGATCATACCACTGCACTCCAGCATAGATGATAGAGCGAGATTCTGTCTCCCAAAAAAAAAAAAAAAAAAAAAAAAAAAAAGTTGTGGCAGATTCACTTGGCTTAAAAATCTGACCTAAACTCATGTAAGGCTATTTATGGCCAAGACTTATCTCATGTGGTATAACTATTCATATGTCTTGCTGAAAAAATGTTTATATGTTTGATTATGGAGTATTGTTCCAGACCCTCCTGTAGAAAGGAGGTTAGACCATGTATTAAGTATGTACTATATTAACTCTTTAACAAATCCAAACAAATTCTGAATTCTGAAACACATCTGCCATTAAATAAGATTTTCTCCTTGTATTTTAGATCCAAATGAATTATACTGTAAAACTATATACAATATCTTCTGTAAATATCTGCATGTATGATAAAACTAGTTAGTATGATAAAACTAGTTAACCACATAGTTAGTTATCCAATAAAAGCTTAATTTAATTATTGTTGCAAGTAAATCATTTAAATGTTAACTTTTAAAAGCATCAGATAGGCAAATCTACTGATAAGCAGTCTATATGCAGGATTCCACAAGAGTTTTCTAAGGAAAACTGGATTGTTTTGTGGTTTCAATACACCAAGGATTCCTTCTCTCACTCCCTCAAAAAATGTTTTGATCTGCGTGTCTGTATTTTAAAGAAATTCTGTAAAATCAATAATAAACGTATTTTTTAAAGGCATTCATTTTGTCTTTCCCAAAGTTTAATGCTTTGCCTTCAAGGATGAAGTTCTCCATCCTTGAAAGGTCTGCTTAGAGGGAAATAGAATCATGCCTCAAAAGCCTTTTAAGAAACTGGCTTAAAACAAGGTGAGAATGTGTTGCTTCTCTAGCACAAGACAGACCACCTTAACATTCCCAGACTAATCTACACAGGCTTCCAACTAAAGGATAGTAAGAAAGGAAAATAAAAGAAAAATTATTACTTGACTTAAATACCTTAAAGAAAAACATGTATTATCTTAATTATAGCATAAGTTCAATGATCTTGAAAAACTAAAATAAAACAAAACAAAACCTAAAATGTCTTAAAACACTGACAGTTATAAAAGTTCCAAAGGAAGGTGTTTCAAAACATAACCAAAATTTAAACCACGATGCAGGATGTCCTATTTTTCCCTTGGCAAATATCTGCGTTTCAAACACAGAATGTTATTTTTATAAATAGCTATTAAAACATCCTAACACTTTTTTAAAAATATAAATTCTCTTTCTCGGATCTATTCTTTTGGTGCTTGATTAGAAAATTTGGCATTCTGATGGGAGGGTCAGTGTTAATTAGATCACTGTATTCAACTGTTTTCTGCATTTAAAAAGGGCTGAGCAGAAAAGAATAATCAGCACAGCAACAGTGCCATCTTTTGACCGAAACGAGAGTGATTTTCCCTCTTTCATTAATTCCTCATGACTTATCACCAGAAGATAAACAAATTCTTTTTATGTCATCGCTAAAACAAGTTTGAAGTCACAATCGCTGTCTCGCCTACAATTTCTGGTACAGAAGTAAAAGAATCATACATGTCTGTGCTCTTGAAAAATTAAGATTACAGCCCCAATATACTATGATTAATATATTTATTCCTCATCTTTATTCATGTCCCTTCCTTCGCCATTAGAGTATCAAGGCAATAGTACCCTTCCGTTGGAAGCAAATATAAGTAAAGGATGCCACAATATTAGCAAGTTTTTCCTTCTCAGAAACTCTAGCATTATACATTTTTTAAAACCAAGTAAGACTGTAGAAATTTAAAAAATTTAAAATAAGCATAGGAACATCGATCCTGCAGTTGGTCCATTGTAACCATTTAATACTCAATTAATATTTCAGAAAGCCTATATGAGACTACCTTATAAAGCTATCTGCAACTTATGTAGAAAAGAAAAACAGTTATATAATTAATAATGTGAAAAATGTATGAAAACTACAGTCTTTTTATCTCACTGCCCAAATGACAGCTTAAGTCCAAAACCAAAAAGGTAAGTTGCTTCCAGAGAACACTGGACACATGTACATATTCCTCCATGAGGAAATTCTTACACTTTCTTTAAACTAGAATAGAGCAGCAAGAAAAAAAAAAGAAAGAAACCATGTCCTTTGCAGCAACATGGATGCAGCTGGAAACCATTATCCTAAGTGAATTAATGTAGGGACAGAAAACCAAGTATCACATGTTCTCAATTATAAATGGGAGCTAAACATTGTGTACTCACGGACATAAAGATGGCAGTAATAGACACTGGGAACTACTAGAAGGGAGAGGGCAGAAGGGGGGTAAGGGTGGAAAAACTATTTGGTGCTATGCTTACTACCCGGATGATGGGATCAATCGTATCCCAAACCTCGGCATCACGCAACACATCCGTGTAACAAACCTGCACATGTACCCCCGAATCTAAAATACAATAAATTATTTAAAAAAATAAGTAAACAAAATAGAAAGAATCTTCCTGAATAAAAGAGAACAGAATGTGGATTTGGTCCAGAAATCAAACAAGATGCTCACTCCTATGTTAACTGAGTGTAGGACATGTGATCAGCTTAATTAATACTACCTTATGTTTACTTGGTGCTCTAGTTAAAGAGCACTTCACAGACAGAGTCTTAATAAAACCTTATGAGGTGAGATGTACAAGGTAAATAGTCTGACAAGATTTATCAAATCGAAGGTCACAAAAAGACTCTGATTTGCCTGAAGTGACACAGCTAATTAAAGCAGCACGAAGACTGCCACTCAAATCTAGTACCGGAAAGAGGACCTCAAGCTTTTACCTCAAGCTATGTGCCCTGAAGCAAATACTATGACTGCTAAAATAAGTTTGGAATTTGAGGCAATGAGACACAGGACACCACATGCATTCATTCTAACATCCCAATTGTCTCAAATACCCATTGAAGGTAAAAAATAACTATATACCTCCAGGCACTTTTAACATAAAGAAAGTAGAATTAATAGGTCTTAAGCAATGACCTGAGAATCTTACCTAGCAGTCCTTTTATAGAGCATACAACCTCCACCTATTAAAGTGCTGCTGTACAGCATTATGATGAGGTGAATGAAAGCACATACTTCACACTGAGACATAATTTGAAACTTTTCATCACAGATTGGCATTTAAATGATAGTTGTGTACAATTTTAACATATTAGACTCAATGTAGAAACTCAAAAGTAGTTAGTCCTTCATTAAAATTCCAAATAATTTGGAATAACTTGGTAGTTATTCCAAGTAACTTGGTAATTCATTTAACAATACTTTGTTTGTATAACTCTAAAAGGTAGATAAAAATACTGTTTTCCTCAGAAGCTTGACTCAGCAAGAAAATAAGTAGACAAACAGCCTGTATTAAAAAGCCTATTTTCAGCCTTCATTTACCTGATTCTGCCATTAATCCTCAACTTCATGAAACTTTCTTCTGATGTGGCTTCCTGGAAGCTATTTTTTCTTTGTTCATCTTCTATTTCTCTGAAGTCCCCCTTTAGCCTCCGCCTCCCCATCTGCCTTTCCTCTTTTTCATATCCCTTAAATATCAGTCTGCCCTAGAACTTTATCCTTCATTTCCTTTTTTACCTGACGTTAAGTGTGTTATATGTTACCTCATTCAATCTTTCAATTAAGTTCTGAGGCATGAATTATTATTCTTACTTTGCAGATGAGAAAACTAAGGCAAGACAGTTATTTGTACAAAATTTCTCTGGAAATGTCCAAACCAGGATTAAAATCCAGGCAATATAGTTCTATAGCTCATACTTTTAATGGCAGTTATCCCCTGCCATTCATTACGTAAGGGCTATGTCAACTACTTCTTGATTATTGTAAAATCTTTCAAACTGGCTTTCTTGCTTAAGAGTTTGGTTATTCTTGGGCCGGGTGCGGTGGCTCACACCTGTAATCCCAGCACTTTGGGAGGCTGAGGTGGGCGGATCATGAGGTCAGGAGATTGAGACCATCCTGGCTAACACAGTGAAACCCTGTCTCTACTAAAAATACAAAAAATTAGCCGGGCATGGTGGCGGGTCCCTGTAGTCCCAGCTACTTGGGAGGCTGAGGCAGGAGAATGGCATGAACCCGGGAGGCAGAACTTGCAGTGAGCCGAGATTGTGCCACTGCACTCCAGCCCGGGCCACAGAGCAAGACTCCGTCTCAAAAAAAAAAGAGTTTTGTTATTCTCTTCACATCTTCCAGCATTACCTGATCAAGGAATTTCCAACTTGTAGCAGACACCTCTAGTTACTCTTCAGTATCTGTTCTCATTTCCTTCCATAGTAATGGGATTTTTAATTGGGCACAGCCAAGGCTAATTTCCTAAACTGCCTTGTAATAACCATAACCATATGACTACGTCTGATCCATGAGATGTGAGTGGAAGTAATGTTGAATTATGCTTTGACTCCTTCCTACTAGTTGCAATGCAGATTAAACAGCAAGAACTGGGATAGCCACCCTGGATTGTGAGGTTGAAGATTAGGCCTGGATCCCTGATGATTCTGGAGTCTGGCCATCTACTGATTACCTAGACAACTCTGGGAAGCCTACTCAGATTCTTATTTAAGTCCCTATTATTTTGAGTCTCTTTCTCTCTCCGTTATATTAGAAGAAAAACTGTCTTAACTAATACTGAATTTGGTACCACGTGGAGTTGTTGTAGCAGAATCTAAGTGAAGAACTGCCTTAATAAACAAGTAACAGAGGGCAAGGTCACAAACACTACAGGTTAGAAAGCCAGTATGATGGCTAGATAATTTATGTTCAACTTGGCTGAACCATGATATTCAGATATTTGGTCAAGTATTATTCTGGGTGTGTCTGTGAGGGTGTTTTTAGATGACAGTAACATCTGAATTGTTAGACTGAGTAAAGCAGATGGCCCTCCATAATGTGGGTGGGCTTCAGTCAGTTGAAGAACTGAATAGAACAAAAGACTGACCTCCCTGGAACAAGATGGAATTCTCCAGCAGATGGCCTTTGCACTTGACCTGCGATGTTGACTCTTCCCTGGGTCTCCAGGCTCTAGCACATCCAGCAAATTTGGGACTTAGCCTTCATAGCTGTATAAGCCAGTTCCTTAAATCTCTCTCTCTCTCTCGATAGAAAGACAGGCAGACAGTGGTCCCATGAGATTATAATGCAGCTGAAAAATTCCTATCATCTAGTATTTACTATACTTTTTATCATTATTTAAGCAGGTCCTCCTTCTTAAAAAAAAAAAAGGTAACTGTAAAACAGCTTCAGACAGATCCTACAGGAGGTTACCAGAAGAAGGTACTGTTATCATAGATGACAGTTCCACACATGCCACTTCCCCTGAAGACCTTCCAGTGGGATAAGACATGGAGGTGGAAGACAGTGATATTGATGATCTTGACCCTGTGCAGGCCTAGGCTAAAGTATGTGTTTGCATCTTAGTTTTTAACAAAAAAGTTTAACAACAACAACAACAAAAAATTAAATTTAAAAATAGAAAAAAACTTATAGAATAAGGATATAAAGAAAGAAAATATTTTTGTACAGCTGTACAATGTTTGTTTTAAGCTTAGTATTAGAAATGTCAAAAAGTTATTAAAAACTTTAAAACTTTATAAAGTAAAAAAGTTACAGTAAGCTAAGGTTAATTTATTACAGAAGAAAGAAAAATATTATTTTATAAATTTAGTGTAGCCTAAGTGTACAGAGTTTATAAACGCTACAGTAGTGTACAGGAATATCCTAGGCCTTCACATTCACTCACCACTCACTCACTGACTCACCCAGAGCAACTTCCAGTCCTGCAAGCTCCCTTCATGGCAAGCTCCTTATACAGGTGTACAATTTTTTTATCTTTTATAGCATATTTTTACTGTACCTTTTCCATTTTGGTATGTTTAGATACACAAATACCACTGTGTTACAACTGCCTACAGTATTCAGTACAGTAACTTGTTGTACAGGTTTATAGCCTAGGAGCAACAGGCTATACCATATAGCCTAGGTGTGTAGTAGTAGGCTGTATCATCTAGGTTTATGTAATCATCTATGTTTGTACTATGATGGCTTCCCAAGGTTGTCCAGGTAATTAGTAGATGGCCAGACTCCAGAATCATCAGGGATCCAGGCCCAATCTTCAACCTCACAATCCAGGGTGGTTATCCCAGTTCTTGCTGTTTAATCTGCATTGCAACTAGTAGGAAGGAGTCAAAGCAGATATACACACACACACACACACACACACACATATATGTATATATGTGCATACATATATATGTGTGTGTATATATATATGCGTGTGTGTGTGTGTGTGTGTGTGTGTGTGTGTATACATGTATATCTCCACTCTTTTTCTCTGGAGAACTCTAATATAGTCAGTGATTCTTACTGTGCCATGCCAAAACATTTAATAAAATCATTGTTTATGATATCGTGGAAGAGAGACTATATACTAACAACATTTACATAACTCTAGGATAACTAGAAGAAAATTGTAACATGTTAGTGTATGTTAATGAGAGAAAGCTCAGGAAAGATCTGAGGGATTTGGATGCTGAGATGGAAGAACACAGCTCTGCTCAGGAATGCTCTCTGTGTGTTGAAATCCAAGCCTACTGAGAATTCAGCAATTTGGGCCTCACAGGGTTGAAAAGATTTTGTAACCCAAAGTTATCACTGATAACTTCCTATCACTGAAAGTTATCACTGATAACTTCCTATCACTGAAAGTTATCACTGATAACTTCCTATCAATGAAAGTTATCACTGATAACTTCCTATCACTGAAAGTTATCACTGATAACTTCCTATCACTGAAAGTTATCACTGATAACTTTCTATCACTGAAAGTTATCTCTAAGGAGGCAGCTCTTCCAGGAATAATACAGTGGCCTCAAGCCTTATTCATGCACTTCTAAGTAAATGTTCTTGTCCAGACAATGGGAGTTAAGCCAAAAGCAAAAATACCACTTTTACACCTGACCCAATAAAAAGGAGCAAACTTTTGAGACACACACTATGAATAAACTTCAAAAATACTATGCTGAGAGAAAAATTCCAGATAAAAGAGTACATGCTATTTCATTACCTTTTTAAGTTTGAGAACAGGCAAAACTAATCTATGGTAAAAAGAAATCAGAAAAATAACTGCTTTTGATGAAGGGAACAATGAATTCTGAAGGCGTACTCAGAATCTTTCTGGGGTAATAAAATGTCATATATCTTGGTAACTTTGCTATGTAATCGTCAAAAACTCCTTGAGCTTAGTGTACACATATATTGTTACACATCCAGTGGCTCAACATGTAGGTAAGGGCAGCAACTGTGCCCACAGCTCCTCCAGGAATCACAGGACCTTCCTTCAGCTCTTCCAAATTCTGGACCAGGTTCCTGTGCAGGTCCATGGTGGAATCCACCAACTTTTCTGCAGATCGCTCACATCATCAAACCGGATGTGCAGAGAAGAGACGTGTTTCATCTTTTGTCTTCGTGGATTCTAGTGTGTCTTTTACTCCCCGCTAACCTCACGTGCTAACTGCCAGCCCTGCTCACTTAAAGCCTACCACCAGAAGCAGTGACGCAATAAAACAGACTACTTAAACAGCTCCCTTAATTAAATAATATCTAATTCCAATAATAAATCTCTTATATCATTTGTGGAGATTTTACTCTGACCAAACTCCGATACATAGCTAGCAATACTTCTGCCCCTTCAAAGCAAGATAGACACTCTTGTGTAATTAACTACCAAATCAAGGAATTAAAATTATTTGCCTCTTCTTTCTAGATGCTCAGAAAGTTCTAATGCTTACACAAATTGCCACAAAAATCATAAAATTTCCTTTTAACTAGGTGAATGAGCTTGTAGTCACTTAGAAAAAAAGTGAATAAAAATGGTCTCTTCACCTAGACCCACTTCAGAGCTCAGTCTTTGAAACTTTCATTGATTCTCCATGGAATTTCTCCCTATTCTGTTTTTCCCAAGGAATAAATTTTTAGCTGCTTGAAAACAGGGTTTGTGTTGCATTCATTTTGTATTTTTTACATACAGCACAACCGGAAACTATATTTTTATAACATATTTATTAAATAAATGAATGGGCTGGGTGCAGTGGCTCACGCCAGTAATCCCAGCACTTTGGGAGGCCGAGTTGGGTGAATCACCTGAGGTCAGGAGTTCGAGACCAGCCTGACCAACATGGTGAAACCCCGTCTCTACTAAATACAAAAAATTAGCCAGGTGTTGTGGTGGGTGCCTATAATCTCAGCTACTTGGGAGGCTGAGGCAGGAGAATTGATGGAACCCGGGAGGCCTCCGCCTTAGTGAGCAGCAAGCTGAGATTGTGCCATTGCACTCCAGCCTGGGCAACAGAGCAAGACTGTGTCTCAAAAAAATAAAATAAAAAGGCCAGGCGCGGTGGCTCACACCTGTAATCCCAGCACTTTGGGAAGCTGAGGTGGGTGGATCACAAGGTCAAGAGATCAAGACCATCCTGGCCCAAATGGTGAAACCCCCATCTCTACTAAAAGTACAAAAACAGCTGGGCATGGTGGCGTGCGCCTGTAGTCCCAGCTACTCGGGAGGCTGAGGCAGGAGAATCACTTGAACCTGAAAGGCGGAGGTTGCAGTGAGCCAAGATCGTGCCACTGCACTCCAGCCTGGCAACAGAGCAAGACTCCGTCTCAAAATAAAATAAAACAAACAAACAAAAAACAAATAAATGCTACCTTTATTAAGAGGCAGGTCAGGAAGAGAATTTTCAGTGTAAAACAAAGAAAATATATTTAATTGAAACTAACAAAAATTCTGAATAGAGTTCTGCACATGTATCACAGAACTTAAAGTATAATAATAAAAAAAAGTAAACGTGGTGAAATGTAAAACAGTTGATGAATCTCTATAAAGAGCACACAGGAGCTCCTTGTACTATTCTTACATTTTTTTCTAAGTTTAAAATTATATCAAAATAAAAATTTTATCAAAAAAAATTCTGAGTAGAGAATAGTTGAAGCAACCTCTAACTTTTATGTTATAGAACAAATGGAAATGATAGAGGCCAGAGGCTTTATCTGAAAAAAAAAAAAAAAAAGGAAAAAAAAAAGCTTTTGCTAACAAGTAATTTATAAAAATGAGAATGGTTTTTCTTCCTGCCAACTGGGTCGTAAATAATAAATTCCTACAGAAAGTAAAATAGCCTGTTAATGAGGGCAGCTACTTAGCAATTGTGGTCTCATTTCTGATTGAGTAGAACAGTTTGGTAACCTTTTTAAAGTAAACTTGACTTTACGGAACATGGCCACTGTTTTAAAATTGAGATATGGTGTCCCCAAAATACCATTAAGACATTTAAAAATGTCAGTTGTCCCTTACACTGCCTTTCTAGTAACAAAAGGGAAACCTAACAGAGTTTGGGAGAGTGGGGCAGGAGACAGTAGACTGTCTGATTTAAAGAAAATTAATCTAGTAAAAAAAAAATTAGCCGGGCATGGTGGCTCACACCTATAATCCCAGCACTTTCAGAGGCCAAGGCAAGAGGATTACTTGAGTACAGGAGTTTGAGACCAGCCTGGGTAACATAGAGAGACCCCTGTTTCTACAAAAAATAAAAAATTAGCCAGGTGTGGTGGCACATGCTGTGGTCCCAGCTACTCAGAAAGCTGAGACAAGAGGATCACTTGGGCCCAGGAGGTCAAGGCGGCATGATCACACCACTGCACTCCTGGACGACAGAGTGAGACTCCACCTCAAAACAAACAACAACAACAAAAACAAAACAACAACAACAAAACATATATATGCCTAATTTGATACAGCAATAGAAATATTTTAATTAGGCCAGGCACAGTGATTCATGCCCGTAATCCCAGAACTTTGGGAGGCCAAGGCAGGCGGATCGCTTGAGCCCAGGAGTTTGAGACCAGCCTGAGCAACATGGCAAAACCTCATTTCTACAAAAAATACAATTAGCTGGTGTATACCTATTGTTCAAACTACTTGGGAGGCTGAGGTGGGAGGACTGCTTGAGCGTGGGAGGTGGCGGTTGCAGTGAGCTGAGATTGTGCCAGTGCACCTGTCTCAAGAAAAAAAAAAAAGTTTTAATTGCTACAATATAATTTAACAAATGGTAAAACCACATCTTTAACCATTTCTTTTCTTCCCTGAAGCATTTTGGGAATTTTTTCTTCATTTACTTTTCCTTTCCATTTCATTTTTTTTAATACTACATTGTTGACTTCTAGTATTCCTTTCCAGTATTTCTGTTTTTGTTCCTTTTCAGCAGTTCCCATTTCTTTCATTTTTCCACTGCCTGTTTCTCATCATTTCACCCTGTTTCTATCAGTTTACTATTTCTGCTGGCAAACAGCAGTCTGGGCAAGAAAGCAAATACAAAAAAAACCCCGACCACTATTATACACTACGACCAAAGAAAACATTAAGGTGAAAAGTTGAAGCTCATGTACAATCTATCAAATAGATGCAGATTTAAAATTAAGTTTCAGGGTACTATAAGAATCTAAAACACAGACATTTCTAGGTTGATAGTTACCTAATGCCGTCATCAGTTTTAAAAGTATTATTTTACAAGCCTGAGGGTAGCCTTCACTGTGCTCACAGTTAAGTAATCAAATTTCTAGATATCACACTGTTTATTATCAAAAGACTTCTGTAAATTCAAGATAAAGAAACATGACCAAGCTTGCCGTTTTCAGAGATACCATACCCAGCGGCTATTCTTTTGTCAGAAACAAAAACAAATGCTGATAATTATCTTCTTTCCACTGACAGTAAGTTTTTACCTTGAAGAAGCAATATTTCTTATAAAGAATATTTCTTTATATTTATATTCAATATTTCTTATAAAGTACTAGTACAACAGAGTAATGACATTAGATTTTTGAAATAGATTATAAATGACAAATTTTAACATATTTATTATTGGTTTCCATTTGGAGACTTCACATTTACTACCTCTTCTTAACAGTTCATTGCCTCATTAATATGAGTATGGAACAGTAGGGATTAAAACTGCTCCACTAAAATTGAACATAAGGATCTCATTTTGTGTTGCTTAGGTGAGCAAAGAGTGACAACAAACCCACATTAGGCCTGCCTAACTTCAAGGTAGGGTCTTTGACCTATCAACCATTGCCTCTTAACTCATACAAATGAAAAAAAAAAAAGAAAAGCCTTCAAGAAAACCACCAGAATTGACCTGATTTTGTCCCATGGCAAATGTGCTTATGAATGGAGATTGCTTATAGTTGATTTTAATGATTTAAAAGGGTTTATTCAAACCGTGTGTGTGTGTGTGTGTATGTGTGTGTGTTAAGAAGAAACTTTCTTCAAGTGAAATTCTACATGCTTAACCGGAAAAAAGATACCCTGCCTCTAGCTAGATTTGGTGTGCCAGACTAAGGGGGTCTCCGGTTCATCCCTATCTATTCCTTCAAGACAGCTCCTCAAGCGATTCCACAGAAACCCTACATCTTTACAGAGCAGAGTTTGAACGCCAATGTCCTAAATAAATCTTTGGAGGAAAAAAAATGACCATCTTTTCCTAAAGAAGTCATTTGACTCCTGCAGTAGCCAGACTAAAAAAGAAATAAAAGCCTACAAAATTTACTAAAGGCATTTTAGTGACTCCATTTAGGTCGATGGCATGGTAAGTTCAAATTCCTGTAGTGAGTGGCAGAATGAGGCCAAATGCCAGGAAAATCTTGCTGACAGAAGAAGAAAGAGTCACAGGGACTCTTAACGGATAGGCTGGATCGTGGTTTTTCAGCCCAAGGTTCAATCCTTTGGATCATAAAAGTCGTTGTTCCCACAGAAAGAAGATTCGGGGGAGGCAAAAAGAACACAGAGCACCAAGAGATAACTAAGAATGCTCAAGTGACAAAGACGCACCTTTTCCCAAAATAGCCAGGTCATCCTCTGCTGCACGCAATGGTCACTCTTTAGAAATCTTGAAAAGTCAGTTCAAATTTTTTAAACTAGAAGAATTTATGTGCTCCCATGTTTCAAATACTTAAATATACTTATTATACTTATTGGCTCAGTTTTGTTTTGTAAAATATCCATTAAAAGCTTTTCAAATTATTAAGAAAAAAAGATGTTAAACTCTTGTTAACATCCGTGGTATTTTACAAATTGAATAAACTATGGTGAGTTAATGAAACGCTTAAAGTATCATCTTATTTTGAAGACTGCTTTCTTCTAACATTAATCCATTGATAATCATTGCTCATCTGGAAAAATTCCATAACTTCCTAATTATTTATTCTCAATTGCTTTCTTCTATGTTTGCTCTCTTGTGTCTACCCTCTATGTGTAATAATCTTTCTAAAATAAATGTAATTATTTGATTTCATTATTAGAAATACTTCAGTAGCTCTCCACTGTATATATAACTGTTGTGCTAAATTATGGAATAAGCTATCCCCTCATCCTCTTAATCATGTTTCCATGCCAAGCATGTAAGGGGCAAGGCTTTTATTTTCTGTCTAATAGCTGGTTGGAAGAGTTGATTGAATCCCAAGATTTAGACGTGGGACTGGAATAAAAAGCTTGCAACTGGGACTCAGGTCCAAATCATGCCCCTCAATTCAGCCTCATCACAGAGGCCTGGTTGGGGTTCAGGAGTGAGCTAACATAAAAGATCAAATTGTCAAATCAGATTCACACAGACCAGAGACCTTATCCACTATCAAGCTTTACTATTTAATAATAATTTTAAGTATACAGGCAATCAAGTGGCACAAGAGAAGCAGAGAAAGGTCTGGGACAGCTGATGTAGCTCCCCAGGTCTTGCTACCAGTATTGGGTATGGGCTTTCTAACTCAGAATAGATGAATTCTCTAAATCATGTTCACAGGTCGCCTCACACAATGGGGAGCATTTAGGTTATGTCACAACATACCTTATGAAGTTGATACGTGGTATCTCTAGGAAGCCATGCCCCATAAATCTATATAGATGCTAGTTTGTATTTACCATAGGCAATCCTAACCAGGAACATTCTGCTTAAAGCATGCCATAAATAAGAACTATCCTCTTAGCAAAACTCATTAGTCTATTTACCAAGGAGGCCAATTATCTACATGTTTATGAGAAGATTTAATTGGGTCACCTGCCTTCTTTCTTTCCTTAGGAGTATCCCCCTGGAAATCAAAACAGAAATGGATCACAGGCCAGCTGCTATAACTCCTTCCCAAAGAGTTACCAGGCTCTTGCCTGGAACTTTAAAAAGTTGATCTTTTAATCTCCTTTAGGATACATTTTTGTACTATTTCTTGCATTAATCAGATCGTGTAAGGAAAGGAGAGTTTTAGATATTCCTAACTACCTGAATAAATGAAGGAATGGCATGTTTTCAAAGACTATTGAATAATTGAAATGTTCATGATAAACTAAGTGGAAAAAGATATCAATTGTATATCATTATGATTCCTATTACTCTACATACTATAGCAGCCAAGGGTAATAAATAAATAAATTACTCTACATAGTATATATATATAAATTACTCTACATACTATAGCAGCCAAGGGTAATAAATAAATCAATAAATATATGTATCTTAGCTCCAGTATATTATACTCTATTGTATATTATTATACTATTGTATAATAATATTGTGTATTAAACAAATCTCTTTAGTTTAAATATTTACCTGTTGCTTATTTTGTACTCCATTGTTAACAAGAATAAAGTTAGGCATCCTTCCCTCTATTCCCCCAGCACCCTAACTGTTCTCTCTATTATAGGTCTTACCACATTTTACGATAACTGGCCTGAGGACCTTGAGAACAAGAATCATTTCCATATTTTAAAATCTGCAATGCTTAGCTAAGTTCCCAGTACAAAGTAGGTAATGTTAGGCCAGGCATGGTGGCTCATGCCTGCAATCCCAGCACTTTGGGAGGCCAAGGAAGGTGGGTTACCTGAGGTTGGGAGTTTGAAACCAGCCAGGCCAACATGGTAAAACCCCATCTCTGCTAAAAATACAAAAAGTAGCCAGGTATGGTGGCAGACACCTGTAATCCCAGCTACTCGAGAGGCTGAGGCATGAGAATTGCTTGAATCCAGGAGGCGGAGGTTGCAGTGAGCTGAGATCATGCCACTGCACTCCAGCCTGGGCAACAGAGTGAGACTCTCTCTCAAAATAAATAAATAAATAAATAAATAAATTTTAAAAAGTAGATAATGTAAATAAATTAATAAATGCTGATAACATCTTATTTTCAAGATTGTATTCATATTGTCAATATATATTTGACACATTTTTTATGAAAGAAAATATAATAGTTACAAATTATAGCTTTGGATGGCTCCTCAATCTTTTATCATTTCATTGAATGTGTAATACTTTGATCAGTAAACTCTTGTTAAAAAGAAGTGTGTACTTTCTGCAAACAAATTGCACATTTTAAATTTCATAACCTCTGACTACTGCCACCTAAACTTAAAGAAAAAAGAAACAAGATGAAGAATACAGAGGAGAAAGAACAGAAAGAGGAAGAAAATAATTATTAGTAGTAATTGTAGTAGTTAATAGTAGTTTGCTTTTGTTTTCTGGATTCCAAACATATGACTAAGCATACGATGACAGTATGCGACATGAACTGAATTATTAAAACTTTAAAAAGAAAACATATACATAGCTGAAGCAGTGGTGGAAATCTTCCATTCTGATAGCCCCATATATTCAAATATTATTTTTCCAATATAAACACATCAATTTTTTGGTCACTGTGTTGATGAATGATGAAGGCCATGCTGCACAGTCAACTAGGTATTCCTTATCTTAGCTCCAGTGCATCAGAGAATAGATGTTAGTGTTTTTTTTTTTTTTTTTTTTTTTAACGTTTCTTTCAAAACACAATTCTTGCTGTCAGAGTGCCACTTTTTAAGGATTGTTATCTGGATGATTTATACAAATTTTCAAAACGTTACCGAATAATCTAAGCTTCCTTTTTCAATGAGCTCACAAATTGGATTTTACTTGTCAAGTAGTGAGAAAAGAAAACCAGAAGGGGTCAGTATTTTAAATGTGATTCATTTTCTCCTAGGAAACGAATGACATGATACATTACTGCAATAAGTTACCTTTATTTTTGTTATAAATCATATTCTTCAGTTAGTGCTTTCCCACCTAAAAATCATGTAAACTTCTCTTATACAAATATCATAGTCACTTTCTAAAGACTACATGTATTTCATTTTCAGTATATTTTCCCACTTTATTTTTCGTAATACATTTAAATACAAATGAGGCAAAAGAATTTGATTATATAGTATGAACAACATAGCATGTAACAGGAATGACTGGCTCAAAAATTATTTTGAGAAATGATAATAAAGGCATACTTTTAAGTGGCATTCCATTCATAGAACTGCTTTATGTTCAATTATTCCTTTTATCCTTGCCCCTCATTCTCATCTCCTGAAAATAGCTTTGGGACAGATGTGTGAGAAAATTTTATGTAACTTTTATCTTTGTGTTCTGTAAATTCAATAGAAAATTCTAATTCTTCTACCTCTATATGGATAAATCAAAGAGTCTTTAAGTATACAAAGAACTCATATTGTTTTGAGATCTTTCTCCTGTCATCATTGTGCCTTCCAATAAGTTTTTCATGTTAAAAAAAACCAGAAAACTAGTTACATTACTATTTTTATCATTATATATACTGTTATATGTACATTAATTTTAAAAAATTTTAAGGAGTATTACATATCTACTAACAGTTTAAAAAAAAAATTTAACATCAGTGCTGGGCACAGTGGCTCGTGCTTATGGTCTCAGCACTTGGGAGGCCAAAGAGTCAGGATCACTTGGAGCCAGGAGTTCGAGACCAGCCTGGGGAATACAGTGAGACACTGTCTCTAGAAAAGAATTTAAAAATTAGGCAAGTGTGGTAGCATGCATCTGTAGTATCAGCTGTTCAGGAGGCTTAGGTGAGAGGATCACTTGAGCCCAGGAGATTGAGGCTGCAGTGAGTTATGATCGCACCACTGCTGCGCTTTAGCCTGGGAGACAGAGCAAGACCCTCTCTCTAAAATATTTTTTTAAATAAAAATAAAAAAAAAATTAACATAAAAAAACTTTTATCAAATAAGACATTAATTTTCATAAAAATGTGCCAGATTAGTATCGAGTTATAGAGTATATGGTTATAGGACACTGTCTTTCCAAAAGTTGAAATTCTGAACACTGTGTAGACTGCTTATGTAACATAAATATTTCTCATAAAGTGACTGCATGCCTTCACGCAGTCATAAAGGGCATAAATACCTTTTTAAAAACTGAAAAATAATAATTGTAAATATTTATGGAGTATAATGTGATATCTTGGTCTATGTATACATTGTAGAAAGAGTCAATCTAGTTAATTAGCATATCTATCACCCCACCAACTTATCATTCTTTTGTGGTAAGAATACTACAAATCTATTCTTTTAGCAATTTTGAAATATACATAATTAACTGTGGTCACCACATAGTGCGACAGATCATTATAACTTATTCCTTCAGTCTAACCGAGAGTTAGACTTTGATCGATGTCTTACCTTTCCCCATCCTTCCCTTCACCCTCAGCCTCCAGTAACCACCTTTATATGCTATTTCTATGAGATCAACTCTTAGATTCCACACGGAAGTGAGATCATATGGTATCTATCTTTCTGTTTCTGGCTTATTTCACTTAACATAATGCCCTACTGTCCCACCTATGTTGTAGTAAATAACAGAATGTCCTTGCTTTTAAAGGCTGTGTAAGTTCTCACGTGTATAAAGTATCTTTGAGCACCATATCTGTCAACAGACAATGTACATACAAGTCTAGCCTTTGGAAAATAGTACAATCAGAAAGTTTCCCTTATTTACCTCTTCACTATCTTTTCCACTCCTTTTCTCACTTCTGAGTGCCATCTTCTGCTCAAAATATGGGGCCAGACAATATTTGTTTATCTGCATTCCAATTGCTCTTTGTAAATGAAAATAAGGATCTGCAATCAATCCTTCATATGAATGAAACTCATACACATTAATGTTTTTACTCTCTTGCATGCCTGCATTTTAAAACCTTTTATTTCATATTGTGAAATAAAAGGATTGCCTTTTGTTAACGAAAGGTAATGCAATAACTAGCTAGCTGAGGAAAGATTGGAAGACAGGCAAGAGGAAATTCTAGGTAGTGAGATAGTGATAAAATAGAGCTATTCCTGATGATAAAAGTGCTATAGTCTTTTTTTTTTTTCATTTTTTGAAGTCAAGGGCAGGAGATAAGAGAGAGATTGTGTCTGGTATCATCATTTTTTTTCCCCTTATCTTTTTAACCCCAAGACTTGTAGATGTCAGGACTCCGATCATTTTCTCTGCCTATAGCTTGGATATCTTAATCTCTCCCCTTTGTCATCATAATCATATAGCCAAGGGACTAGGAATTTTGGCTGCTTCAAGTCATTCCAAAACCTCTCAGGCAGGCCAGGAAGCAGAGGCAGGGAATGTAGAGCAGCTGCTGAAGGAAAAGAATGGGAGATGGCTGGTGCAACAGCCTTTCCCAATCTCATATGATTACATGAAAACCTACATTCAATGTGATGTCAGTTTTGTGCCCTGCCAATTTGCTACTGAAGTGATGTGCTACTAAAACCATTCCTTTAGGGAAGTAAGATGATGGAAGAGAGGAGTGGCCACTACAGAAGAGCCTTAGTTGCTGGGACATAAGAAGGTGCCTATCTGGGGTTTATGCATGTGAATGATTTTTGCAATGATGATTGAAATGCTATACGATATTAAGAAAAGCTTATTAAATGATTTAAAAAAAACTAAACTCTATAGCCATGTTTTGGCTATGTAAAAGCAATACTAATAAAAATAAATTATGGGAATTGCTTTACATTTATGCCTAATCACCATGCAGCATAATCATTACATCATTATTTTTGTCAGATTAACTGTGCTATCAATTTAATTACAGCTATAAATTCTAAATACTCAACCCGTGTAATATACTGTTTTTAAACAATTACTTAGTCTTTTCTACATGCCAGACACCAAATTATATGGTAGGAATAAAAATAATAAAACAATCCCTGCTCCCATGGGGCTTACAGTCTTGTCAAAAAGAGAGGCACGTACTAGATAATTGAGTAGCAGAGGAACTGACAATAAATGTATCTTTAAGTGAAGGTAAGGACATGAGGACAATATCCACCCCACTCCTAGGAAGTCAGGCAAGGCTTCAGTAAGGAGACGTCAGAGCTGATTCCCGAAGAATCAGTAGAGTTTGCCAGGAGAAAGGGAAGTGTAAATTAGAATAACTCTCAAGGAAAAGGAACAGGAAATGCACTGGCCTCAGAAATGAGACACTGTGTGGACTGTTGAGAAACTGCATGGTTGCAACAAAATGAGTAGGAGTCCTGAGACAATGAGGTTGCTGAAGTAAGAAGGGGCCAGGTCAAAAGAGGACTTGAGTATTACACTAACAGTATGAAGTATTGCAGCTCTTTTAGAATTCGTCTAGCAAATCCTGGTTTTCACTGGAAAATCCCCAAATTAAAAAAACAAACAAACAAACAAAAAGAGTGTGAAATTTTGCTGGTAATGGGGAACCACTGTAGGATTTCCAGAAGGATAATTGACACGAGATTTTCATTTCGGATGTGTCACTCTGGCTTCACTGTGGAGAATCAAGCAGTATGGCTCACAACTGGAGATATGTAGGACAGTTAGAGGCCAGTTAAAATCATTTAGGTGACAATACTGGTGGCTTAGGTTAGGCTATTCAGGATGGAGAGAGTTGGGTGAACTTGAGACACATGTAATAGGTACAACTGAGACGTCTTAGTGATTGATTGAATATATGAGAAAAAGGAAAGTTGAAGATGGGTGTCTGACTTAGGCAAATATATGGTGGCGTGGCATTTACTAAAATCGAGAAGAGAGGGGGAAGAGGCAGGTTGGTGGAATTTCTAGTCTGATTTTTTGTTTTGTCGATTTGGTGAAGATTCTCCTAAGAGAATTAGAAATTATGATTTTTATCTTAATTATTTGAGTTTTAAGTTTCTGGAGATCTCGGATCGGTAATTGAATATGTAGGTCTGAGGCTAAGGAGAAAGATCTAAGCTTAGATTCATATTTGAGAGATAGTCTAAGCTCATGTATTGGGAGATATCAGTTGAAGCCATCAGATAGAGAAAAGGATCAATATCAGTAGGCTAAAGAAACCCAAAATTTGTGGGATGAGCTGATGAGGAGCGAGTTAAATAATATATGAAGAAGGCATAACTGAGAAGTAGGGAGAACCAGGAAAGCCTCTGATCACAAATGTCAAGGGAAGAGAATATTTTAAGAGGGAGCAAGCAGTAAACAAAGTCCAGTGCAGCAGGGAGTATAAACTGGTATAGCCTTTTTGGAGAACAATTCAACACAGCTATTAAAGTATTTGATCCTCAGTTCTACTTCTCAATATTTATTTAATCAAGAAAAATGCTAGCAGACCTGTCGGATGAGACAAATTAAAGAATGGTTTATAAAAGTAAACAAACAAACAAACAATGTAAATATCCAGAAATAGAGGATTAAAGGATTAAAAAGGAATACAATAGATCCTCTTGAATGTTTCACGTAAGTTAAAGAGAACAAAGTAGATCTACATGGAAAAGACTTAAGAAATATTTGGTTAAAAAAAAAAAAGACCATGTAACAGAAGAATATACATATCATGATAAAAGTTATTTTAAAATGTATTTCACTACATGCAGATACTAATCCAACAGTTAACTCTGAGAAGAAAGCTGATATTTGGTTGGGCATGTGGCCAACAGGGCCTTTTGCTTCATTTGTATTATTTGATTTATTTTTTTACAATGAAAATGGTTTCATGTGTTACCTGTATAATTAAAAATGTTTTAAAAATTCTAAAAATTTTAAAAATTAATAGTTCTTTAATAAGAATAGGTTTGGAAGAATAAAGGAAACAGACGATAAAATATAATTAATTGAGACAAAATGGGAGGAAAAACAGTAGACAGAATATATCACAGAAAACCTGGTAATAGAAAGAAAAGGAAGTCAGAGGCAGATCTGTCAGGAGACAGAGAAGAAAAATAATATTCTCAGAAAGCCTGTTTGCTTACTTATGGTTTTAAAAAATGTAGATTACAATGTTAATAAGCCATCACAAGATTTGGTATCTGTTACAGGTGTAAGGAATAACAATGGCAAGGCTGGTGTAGCAGGAATAATTAAGAAACTGAGGCTGGGGGATGCTGCCTCATGCCTGTAATACCAGCAGTTTGGGAGGCCAAGGCGGGCAGATCACTTGAGGTCAGGAGTTCGAGACCAGCCTGGTCAACATGGTGAAACCCCCGTCTCTACTAAAAATACAAAAATTAGCCAGGCATGGTTGTGGGCACCTATAATCCCAGCCACTTGGGGGGCTGAGGCATGAGAATCGCTTGAACCCAGGAGGTAGATGTTGGAGTGAGCGGGGATCACACCACTGCACTACAGTCTGGGTGACAGAGTAAGACTCTATCTCAAAAAACAAACAAACAAACACACAAAAAAACAAAGAAGCCAAATCAAAACAGCTTAGGTGAGAAAAATGATTTAGAGAAGGGTCTAGGTCATCTCAAAGCTAATAACCCAAAGGCTAAAAGGGAACGGTGGTATAAAGTTTTCAAAATATCTTAGTGTTACATGAAAGGTGGACATCAGAAGTATACAAACAAATAGTCTAACTGCTGAAATGTTCAGAAAAGCCTTCTGATAAGTACTACCAAGAATCACCATAATCAGCTGAGACGTAATCTGATACAAGGCTATGTATTAGTATTGGTTATAATATTTAGGTAATGGTATATGTTTATTGTTGTGTATCAGTCAGAAGTTGGAAATGCATACTGTCATTCACTGTCTTTCTACGTGCAAGAGGTAATGAGTGATTAAGGCACCATTTAATTGTATTTTAAATATTATAGATAATTTTGCTTTAGTGGCCAGGCGTGGTGGCTCACGCCTGTAATCCCAGCACTTTGTGAGGCCAAGGTGGGCAGATTACGAGGTCAGGAGTTCAAGACCAGCCTGACCAACACAGTGAAATCCTATCTCTACTAAAAATACAAAAAAAAAAAAAAAAAAATTAGCTAGGCTTGGTGGCGCACACCTGTAATCCTAACTACTCAGGAGGCTGAGGCAGGAGAATAGCTTGAACTTGGGAGGTGGACGTTGCAGTGAGCCGAGATTGCACCACTGCACTCCAGCCTGGGCGACAGAGTGAGACTCTGTCTCAAAAACAAACAAACAAACAAACAAAAAAATTTGGTTTAGCATTAAACAAGAGAATTACATGGGAGTAGGGCATATGTCAAAATCGCTGTTGGAACCCGAACAATAATGTTTCAAAATGGCTGTGTTCTTAATGAAACCAAATGTTCAGTGGCCAGGTCCTTCTGGAAAATTCTCAGAGGGGAGATAAGCGCTAACAACCAGCTACAACTTGCTAGGGGCTGATTCATCCAGAACAATAACAAAACATGCATCCTGATTCAAAGCTATTCCTAAGGGGCTGCTCAGATTCTGGTAAAAGAAACAGGGCTATGAACCCCCAGGGTTGGGTCCCAGTGAGCAAACAACTTTGAACTACAGTAAAATTGCCTATGCCCTTTAAAAGACAATGCACAGCAATACTACACATCACTGGGGGTGGAGGGAGGGGCGGTGAGCATTACAGTATGAGCGATAAAGGGGAAGAAGTTGGGAATTTTTTGAGTGTAGCCTTTGGAGGAATAATCATTGACACCTACACAGCAAGCCCTCCACTGGGGGCCTGACATGTTCTATTATGCCTGTGTAAATTACATCAGACACCAAAATACACTTTTGTATTAACAGTCCTTACCTTAACAGCTCTATCTGTAGAAGAGGCAAATTCCTCCTTTGACTTATCCTACAGGATGCCTTCTGAGAGTCAGAAGAAAACAACCAGCTTCGATCATTTGAACACGGAGCATCCACTAACACCTAGAGAAAAAAAAGACAAGTGATGCAAATATGCACTGACAATCTATTCTCAGGCACGAAGTAGATAGAGAAGTTCTCTAAAACATGGTAAACAAATAGGAAATAAGTAAAAACATTTCTTTTTTAACTGAAAATACACCACAGTAGGTTTTTCCTTATGACATTTCCTCACTAACACTTTTCAGAAAAACTTACCATGTACTTTCAGTGTTTGTTTTTGGGGGCTTAGGATGGGAGAATTAAAGTTTACTAGGTCTACTAATGCTATTTGATATCCTTGACAACCACAGCAAAAATTTTTACAAAAGTTACTCATTGTAATCAGACATTAATAATATTTCTGAATTCTCAGCACTTATTTCTAAGAACTAATATTTCAACTTCAGCTTACTGAAATAACCTCTTTTTCTTCAACTGTCATACTCTGATATGAAATGTTACTGAATTAAAGCAATACAGTACTGACCCAAATAATATCCGATCTTTTCCTGAGTATCTTTGAGTTACCTGCCAATATAAAACATTCTATAATCCTCAATCCCAATGTTACTGCTTCCTTTGAACCATGCTGACCATCAAATGAAAACTGCTTCCATGTTCACTTTATCAAAATTTTCCAGGGTACTGAGAAACTGTATCAGGCTATGTCTGAGAACAGATGGAAAATAACAACCACAAAGCAACATAATAGTGGTATTACTGGGCGTCCATCAGTTTGTCACAATGTAATAAAAGTACCTTGTCAAACATTTCAGGCTGGGCATCTCCCATTTTTCTGCCATCCAATTCAGACACTTTAATTACATTTATCAAAGGCTGTGGGATGAAAGATTCCAACGTCTGCCTTAGCCACCTCAATCTCAGACTATCATATTCATTACAATGAAGATAACCTAAATAAAAAGGATTAAAAAGTTTCAAATGAAGGCAATGGAACTGTTAAATTTCTACTTTTCAGCAAATAAATTTCAGAAAGAAATTAACTCATCATAATTATGCAGAAATAGGGCTCAGAGGTAAACATTATTATTTTCTTATGCTTTAAAAACAGAAATAAGGTATATGTGTATGTATATATAGATGCACATACCTACTACATAAAACATTTACAACAGTCATGCCTACACAGTCTCTCAGAAGCTCTCAGCATTTGCTCCACCAAGTTTAATTTTATTAGAGGTAAAACCTATAAAAAATTATAAATTCCTAAAGATATGTTATACAACCAATACCTCAGACATGGCTCTCACTCTAAAGAACTAACGCTTAAGAGTAAACACAGGTGGTAATTCAGGTGCAAGAAGATGAAACTCACATTGCGGCAGACGCAGGAACTGTCCTGGCTTAAAAGCTTCCTGTCCCACAGGAACCATTATTCCTTTTAAAAACTCCACAGGCTTTCAGTGTCTCCACAGGGACATGCCCAGTTATAAGAATCACTGCACTCAGAAGACCCAAAGCATGGCACCTCTATCAGGTCTCTAGGGGTTATTTATTCTTTCTCCCAGCCCACATGCAGTTTACCAATCAGGGTCATCTTTATCATAAGCAATCTTGCCTAGATCATAGTGACAATCTCTGTCAGGTTACCAAGGCAACAATACTAGAGAACTAACTGAACATTACAGTTTAACGTAGAAGGGAAAAAACATTGTAAAGCCTTTGCTCAAATACATACATACATACATATACACATACATATATGTATATGTATGTGTATATGTATTTTAACAACTCCACAGGCTTTCAGTGTCTCCACAGGGACATGCCCAGTTACATATTTTTTTTTTTCTGATTGTCATTCCACTGTTAAAAAGTAAAAAAAAAAACTTTTAGTGACTTCCCATCATCCACTGAGTAAAGTTCAAATGCAGAGTCCTTAAATCAAGGTCCATAATAGCCAGACCTCAGGACAATGTTTCCATTTTAATCTCCCACTATTTCCCCAGTATACTCTGTGCTCTACCAAACTTGATGGACTACTCCATTTCCCAAACATACTCAGTACTTCTCTTATTTATCTCACATGAGAGGTGTTTCTGTGTATGGCTTACCTTCTCTACTACGAGGGCTCCATATTTCTTTTCTTTTTTTTTTTTTTTTTTTTTTTTTTGAGATGCAGTCTCGCTCTGTTGCCCAGGCTGAAGTTCAGTGGCATGATCTCGGCTCACTGCAACCTCTGACTCCCAGGTTCAAGCGATTCTCCTGCCTCAGCCTCCCAAGTAGGTGGGATTACAGGTGTGCGTCACCACGTCTGGCTAATTTTTGTATTTTTAAATTTTTGTATTTTTAGTAGAGACGGGGTTTCGCCATGTTGGCCAGGCTGGTCTGGAACTCCTGACCTCAGGTGACCTACCTACCTCGGTCTCCCATCGTGCTGGGATTACAGACATGAGCCACCGTGCCAGGCCCAGGGCTCCATATTTCTATAGGGAAGACACTCAGGAGATGGCATCAATTTTGTTGAGAAGAGGAGTAGAAAATCATCTTAAAGCACATCTGTACAGCTAGTTTTCATGTTTATTTTGGGTGTCTTTTGGAGGACTCACTAATGGAACTTAAATAGGTGTCTAAAAGCCCTCGTCTTAGCTTGAGATCACTAGAAAACAATGTAAGACAGAAGTTCATGGTATGGACAGGGTGCAATTCTAAGGAAGCAAAAGTGAGAGAAAAAAGGAAGTAAATCATGGAAGTAGCATGATAGATACAGGAGGATTTGTAATCAAGCTGCCTAGAGCTTTGGTCAGTCTCTCAGGGCAACTCTACAGTTTGAAATTACAGAGCCTTCTCAGGAACTGGAGGTTAGTGGAGGAAGGAGGAAGAACAATCTGCTGGCTGCTTTTTGTCTCTTTCTCTCATTGGTTAAAGTCCACAACAAGAGCTGGTAACTTCTACCAACTTTGGGGTTGTGTACCTGACCCCTTCAGGCAACTGCTAAAAAAAACCAGACAGTACCCAAGGCCAGGTATTGCAAGCATACAGGTGAGGTGATCTCTGCTTGTCACCTGGCACTCATTGGGAGGCTCTTCAATTTGTGGCAGTGGTAGCATTAGCAGAAGATAACTGCATGAATGGCATGAGCCTTTGCTAGGGTTTCTCCAGTCTCTGGAAACAATTCAAGTGGCTCCAGCCACGAGGTGAGGGATGGGAGTAAAGATGAAGCCAAACATATCTGTAGTGATGCATAAGCTGGGTCCACAAGATAACCCCCAAAGTCACCCCTGCCATTGTTCACCACTGCCTATCAAATACTAAGGGCCTCAGAGAAAAGAGGTCTTACTCACCTTTCATTCAACTTTCCTCTTTTTCTAGTTTAAATGTTTTACATTCTATTTTGACTTTTCTAGTGGTAACCCAAAAGACTTTTAACATGCACGTGTTAAGAAAAATCTAAGCTAAGTCAATTTTCACCAACTTTCCTAAAAGATACAAGAATCTCGTAACACTCTTGCTTTAGATGCTACTGTTATTGTATATCTGGGTTTTCTTTTGACTTACATTTTTGGACACCACAAAACATTATCATGGTCTTATATAGCCAATGATGGTTAGGCACTCCCCACATAATATCCCACCTTTGCTATTCATTTTTTTTCTAACTCCTATCTTCCATCTTGGATGGCTTTCTTTTTTCCTGAAGCATATCCTTCAGAATTGTTGGTGAAAAACTCTTAATCTCTCTCTCTCTTTCTCTATTTTGCTTTTGCTCTTCAGGAGCATTATTGACTGAATATATTTCTGGATTGATAGTCATCTTTTATATTCCTTTGAACTCTCGTTCTCAAGAGTCAACCCTCTGTCCATCGTTCCTTTGAAAGTAAGCTCTCCATTCTTTCTGGTTGCTATTAAGGTCTTCTCTTTATTTTCAGTGTTCTGCAACTTCACTGTAATGATTTCGAAGCATACTTTCTGAGGAGGCAAGAATTGAAGTTGCTGCAGACCCATATGGATTTACCTCCCACTAACACTTTTAGTACACAGGACAGTATCATTATTCCAATTATAATATTGAGAGGAACACGGCATCAAAGTTGAAGACAGGCAGTTTTCCTTGCAGTTATTTGGAGAGGACAATTTCTTCCTGGTTTACCTTATATGGTGGGTATAGCACTTTGAATCCCAGCTTGATGTAAGTGAATCTTCTATTAGATGCTCTACTTGGGTAGGCTCTGGCTTTGTTTTTTATTCCTTCACTCTCATGAAGCAATAAAAAACATGTAAGTTTTTCATGTTAAGAAAATGTTCTTAGGTCAAAAGCCAGCTTCAGTACGTAATTTACCTTCAAGGTTCCCACTGTCTCTTAGGTTTTGGCCACTAAGTATTTAAAGATAATTGATGCATTTAAAAATTTTTGTTTAATATTATATCCTACATTTTTAGTTATTTTCTTAAGGGGGGTTGGTTAGGGTACCCAGTCTGTCACACCGCAGGAAACAGAAGTCTTCATCATTTCTATATCCCTTACCTCTATACACATACCATCCAATACCTTGCATTTAGTATGTGCATATTAAATGTAGATGACTTGATTGAAGCATGGCATTATAATAATGAATATTTAAATTATTACGACTGAAGATCAGGGCAGCTTTTCATTAAATTATATATAGTCTGAGTCAAGATTCTCAAGTCAGCATTTTAAAATAGCTTCCAGCAGAATTATTGCTTACACGTAGACTTTATTTGAAATGGTCTTAGGTTGGTTAAACTTTTTAAAAATATGAAATATAAAGTGTCACAATGCAAGTTTCATATATATACTAACACTTACTACATTGAGACAATTTTGTGCTTAAATTGTCAAAAACAACCAAATCTTAATTTTTTTTTTCATCTTAACAGGAAAAGGGGCATATTTAACAAATTCCTGAGGATTTAGCATTTGTACATGGCAATCTTTGGTCCAAAGAAAGAAACTGAAATTGGTAGTTTCATTCATTCATTTATTTTAGTAGACCTAACTTAAAAACAATAATCTTGCCTTCTTTCCAGTTTTTCCAATTATTTGGAGCCATAAGCTATAATTTATGATCATTTTCTATGTTCCTCTCAATATTATAATTGGAATAATGATACTGTCCTATGTACTAAAAGTGTTAGTGGGAGGTAAATCCATATGGGTCTGCAGCAACTTCAATTCTTGCCTCCTCAGAAGAAAGAATTAGACTGAGGGGCATAAGGCAGAAAAAGAGACCAAGCCAAGTTTAAGACCAAGAGTGGAAGTTTATTCAAAAGCTTTAGAGCAAGAAAGAAAGGACAGTTCACTTGGAAGAGACCCAAGCGAGTACTCTGGAGGTCAAGTGCCCCATTTAACCTTAATCCTATGACTTTATACACTGGCCCACTTCCGGTGTCTTGCACCCCTCTTCCTTCATTCTTCCTTAAGGGTGAGCTCCCCACATGCACAGTGCCCTCCTTACACTTGGAAGGTGAGCACGCACAGTGTGTTTAGAAACTTGTATGCATGCTCACCTGAGGCTTTCTTCCCTTTTCAGTGGAATGCCCCCAGAAGGTCACACTCTGCCATTTTGTCTCTTTATGCACATGCTTGAGCTCACTTGCCTAATTCCTGAGATTTTATTGGAAGCTGATTACCAATTTCAAATGTTTTTATCTGTTTGGGAAATTGCCTCTCCCTGGTGCCTGTGATGAATTATCACTTTAGTGTGACAACTGTGGAGCATCAGGAAATTGCCTCTCCCTGGCACTGGCTGCCAATTATCATTTTTAGAGAGGCAGTGTGATAACAGCTAAGTCATCGCCTGATGATTGCCTGACATTCCTGGTAGGTGGGGGTTAGCCCTCTCCTGCCCCACTCATGCCTGATTACCTGTAAAAAAAAGTGCTGCAAAGGATAATGGTAAGTTTCTTTAAACTTACCTGGAAGCAATGTTACAAATTCACAAAAGAACAAAATGGCAATGATTAATTTGTTAAAATGTTGTTGACATTAGATTAAAATTCACTTGAGAGTACAACCACTTTCAGATTCTGGTTTATTAAGGACTTGTTATGGACTAGGCCAGTGCTATTTGCTGCAGACACAAAGATAAATAATAATCTGGGCCAGGCGTGGGGGCTCATGCCTGTAATCCCAGCACTTTGGGAGGCCGAGGCCGGTGGATCGCCTGAGGTCAGGAGCTCGAGACCAGCCTGGCCAACGTGGTGAAACCCCATTTCTACTAAAGATACAAAAATTAGGTATGGTGGCATGTGCCTATAATCCCAGCTACTCGGGAGGTTGAGGCATGAGAATTGCTTGAACCAAGGAGGCAGAGACTGCAGTGACCCAAGATCACACCACTGCACCCCAGCCTAGGCGACAGAGAGAGACTCTATGTCTAAAAAAAAAAAAAAAAAAAGGATCTGTCCCTATGCTCCAGGACACTAACGGAGGATGCTACAGAAGTCAGCATTTGTGTATTACTGAGAGACCCTAGAATAGTCAATAGCACAACTACAACAATGAAAACTTGAGTTCAGATCCCAGCTCTGCCAGTTACCTTAGGCAATTTGGTACTTCTCCTTGTCTCAGATAACTCTTTAAAATGGGAATAATAATACCCAACTCACAGAGCTGGAGAGTTAAATAATGGTCATCAGTGATAGTCACAGTTCCTCAGAGCCCTAGGATTTTAGAAAGATTTATATATGAGGATATAACAAAAGTTGTTGGGAGAAAGTGAGAGAAAGAAAAAATAAATAAAAAACAAGATGTTGGAAGCAGAGACTACTAAAAAAAGTTTGAAAAGCAGAGGTTTAAGCAATGTGATTAACACAATCCTTAGCACATACAAAGTGTTACAAAATGGTTATTATTTTCATTCCCACAAAGAAGATGAACCTAATGCAGGGAGTTCAGAGAAGGCATTCCAGGAAAATTAAATCCTGAAGTATAATCTGAAGGATGAAAAGGAGCAGGGGAAGAGAAAGGAAAAAGAGACACCTGTAGAATGTGCAAAAAGGACTAGAGATGAAGAAGCAGGAAGGAGAGCAAAAGCAATTAAACCAAGAAAGGAGTCTTTTCAGTCTTCTCTACTAACCAGATATCAAAAAGTTATCACTATTGGGCTCAGTGGCTCACATCTGTAATCCCAGCATTTTGGGAGGTCAAGGCAGGCAGACTGCTTGAGCCCAGGAGTTCGAGGCCAGCCTGGGCAACATAGTGAAACCCCATCTCTACAAAAAATACAAAAATTAGCCAGGTTTGGTGGCATGTGCCCAGTCCCAGCTACCTGGGAGACCGAGGAGGGAGGATGACTTGAACCCAGGAAGTCAAGGCTGCAGTGAGCCAAGATCGCACCACTGCACTCCAGCCTGAGCAACAGAGCAAGACCTTGTCTCAAAAAACCAAAAAAGTTATCACTGACATCAAAGAGATTTTCATGCCTAGAGGGACATAGCCTTCAGCCAGAAAGTTGACTAAGACAATCTACCAAGCTGGGTCATCCTTAGTTAATATGCTAATGTTTTCCCATTTAGAATCCATATTGTTTGCTCTTTTTCTGCCAAGACCAGGACATTAAAAAGGCTATGTTGACAACAACCATGGTGAGTCCATCAATGTGGTAACAGGTGAGAGCAGCTGAACCAACAGAAAGTAGACTCTTTTTTTTAAATCATCCTAAAACATAAGCTTTGTAATCATTCAAAGCCATGAGCCTCTTGGCCCAGAATAAAGGTCAGTACTGATCTAAAGAAATTTGGTGTACAAATGCACATTTAGTGCAGCCATCATTTTACATTTTGCTTATAAAAGCTTTGATTAGTATTGCTTCTACATTCCAAATTCAAGCACTGTAGCTAACCTAACTTGGGCTTTAAGCATCAGCATGAAGACATCTGTACTTCTTAGTAAATCATTATCATTAGTCCTACTTAGATGAAAAGCTACTTTACTTGGAACACTGCCTGTAGTTCATTGCCCTTGATATAAGAACAGGAAGATTCTTCTCAACTTCAAACTGCTAGAATATATCAGTTTGCCTTTGGGTTCCTAATCAAATCAACTTTGCTACTATAAATGTGTAAAATATTTATAGCCTACTAATGAGGATAATTTAGAATTAAAATGCCCTCTCTTCAAAATGGTAACCAAATTTGACATTTCCCTTTCATCCTTTATAATACTAAAATTCCATATCCTGAATTAATTAGTATAAGCCTTTTAACTTATAAAAACAATGTCAAAGGACATAGAGTAGAAGTAAAAATAAGTGCTCCTTATAACATACAATTCCACAAAACTTCAGCTCAAATTATAAAAATAACGAGGTAAACTTGTAAAATAACATTTTTGCTGTGATTTCTTATTTTAAAATACAGCAAGCTTCAATAGCTGAGTTTTAACCAGAACTCTAAAACATTGGGCATATTTCCTCCTAAATATACAGTTAACTGATATATTTGTACCAATGCCTAGTACAACTGGATTCACGTTTCTCATAAAAGAATTTTAAATCTATTTCAACAGGGAATGCTCTCATATAAAAGTATAAAAGCAGTCTTCAAACTGGAACATACATGCCTTGGGGATACACACCAATGTTCTAAGGGACAGGAAGGCTTGGACAGTTTCAAAAGAATCCATTTTCAGATCATCAACTTCCTAAAGGAGGAGAACACTTCCAGTGGGGCATCTCCTTTCACAAGGTCCTTCACCAACTTTACAAATGACAAGCAAGCTTCCCACACATCTAGAATCTTATTATGGTAGAATGTGCCAGGGTATCGAAACCTCCAGAACATCAAACAAGGGCAGTTCAACACATCAGTGTTTTGGCTGAGGAAGTGAATAAGTCAGCCAGGCACAGTGGCTCACAGCACTTAGGGAGGCCCAGGTGGGCAGATCACTTGAGGTCAAGAGTTTGAGACCAGCCTGGCCAACATGGTGAAACCCCATCTCTATTAAAAATATAAAAATTAGCCAGGTATGGTGGTGGGCACCTGTAATCCCAGCTACTCGGGAGGCTGAGGCGGGAGAATCACTCGAACCTGGGAGGCAGAGGTTGGAGTGAGCTGATATCACGCCACTGCACTGCAGCCTGGGAGACACAGCGAGACTCCATCTCAAAAAAAAAAAAAAAGGCAACACTGCCTTTTGTAATTGAGATGGTGTCACGTCATTTGCTTTCAACAAAATTAAAAATGGACTTAAAGAGTGCTTACCTAATAGATCTTTAAAATAATGCTTGATGAAAGATCTGTATGTGATCTGAGGCTACAAATCAGGAGTGTGAAGAAACAGTAAAACAACTGTAACACAATTTTCTCTGGGACAGGATCTCACTCTGTTTCCCAGGCTGAAGTGGAGTGGTGCAATCTCAGCTCACTGTAATCTCTGCCTCCCAGGCTCAAGCAATCCTCCTACCTTAGCCTCCCGAGTAGCTGGGACTACAGACATGCACCACCATACCCAGGTAATTTTTTGAATCTTTTTGTACAGACAGGGTTTTCCCATGTTGCCCAGACTGGTCTAGAACTCCTGAGCTCAAGCGATCCGCCTGCCTTGGCTTCCCAAAGTGCTGGGATTACAGGCACGAGCCACCGCGCCCAGCCAACATTTCCATCTTCTTATCTGTGTGAACAGCACTGGCATCTATAAAAACAGAACCATCACACAAAAAACAGACAGAATTGATGCTGAACTCTGCCTCTTCTAGTAGTAGGTAATATTTATTCGGGGAAGCCTGTATCAGTTTTTTAAAAAAAGAATTAGCTTTAAAAGAAAAATTATTAAGAAAAAAATTGTAAATTTTGTAAATATTGTAAAAATTGTAAATGTTGACTTGTTACTTTTAACAAATATTTGTAAACCTGTGTATCACTTTGGTTCTAATAATAATATTAATGAAAAAGTCACTTGAAAAGACTTTTTGGATTGTCCAATACTATACCCTCTTCTCACATGTGGCTATGAACACCTGAAATGTGGCTAGTCTCAACTGAAATGTGATGTAACTGTAACGTAACCAATTTTAAAGACCTGTAAAAAAAAGAGAGAATGTAAAATATCTCATTATTTCTATTTTGATTACATATTGAAACAATATTTTGAATGTATTGGTTCAATGTATTATTCAAATTAATTTCACCTGCTTCTACTTTTTAAAATGGAACTACTTAAATATTTAAGGGTATATATATACTTCACATTATATTTCTACTGGAAAGAATTGCCTTGGAACCTTATAGTCTATTGACATCAAAAATTATTTTAAATGTATATGTTTTTGTTGCAGAAAAGTATGACAGGGATATCTACATAAGACTCTCAAGTATAAAGGTAAACAATAAAAAATACCTATCAGGCTTATCAGCATTCATATTATCTGACAGATTTGTATTTGCGAAATGTTGAAGTTTTGTTCCCAATCACCTGCTAGAATTAAATTGCTGAAAAAAATGTTATTTATACTGACTTCCTCAGCAAAAATTTCCATTCTTCTCCATAGCATCTCAGTTTTCAGGCTTCCTGAGTTTGCAAACTCAGTCTTACGTTTCTCCCCATATATACTTTCAGAATTCTCTATAACATACAGATATTAAAAAGTTGTCAAATACTGAAAGGAAAGCACACTACCTGGACAAGCACACTGCAGCAGAGCTATTGATTTCCCTCCAGGAGCAGCACAGAGATCCAGAACCTTCTCCCCATCCCTTAATTCCAGAGCCAACACTGGGAGAAGAGAAGCAGCATTTAGGAGATAATATTTTTTCAGGTTTCCAATTTGGTGTCTTTCTGAAGGGATTCGGCCCGGAGTTCTGCTAAGGTAACACTTCACTGATTTAGGATAGTTGGGTAAAGATCCCTGAGAGAGTGTGTGATAGCCCTTCAAATGTAAATCCTTTTCCAGTTCAAAAGGATAATTGAATCGGTTAAGCAGGACAGCATATTGCCAGCATGATGGAGATGTTAGTATCTCCCTAGAAATAGAAAAAGAGAAAATAAGAGAATATTAATATGATACATACCAATACAATTTTATATTACGAATCAGGTGAATGTGGTCCTAGTTTTACACTTCACTTACCTGTGATTTTAAGAGACAGGATCAGTATTCCTGACTCTTCCTTTTGCCTCATGAGCCTCTGACAGGACTGAATCCAGCATTGTTATGATCCTGTCTTTATTTTAAAAACTGGTATTTCGTTCACTGTGGCTTTTCAAAAACTAATTGTGATCACTGAAATATTACATTATTGAGGCAAGAGAATAGAGTCTGAAGACAAGGAACCTAAGGCCATTTCATACTGACTTCCGAGAACTAAATTGAAAGGAAAACCCTAACTTTCCATCATGCCTAAGTAACAAAAGAACCAGGCGCTACTCCCTTTGCAAACCCCCACATTTTCTGCATGGCAAATGGGAAATTGAAAGTACCTCTAATTTGTTGCTTTTTGCAACCAATCACACGCTTGCATAGAAGTGGAACTTTGTAACTTCACTTTAGTCTCTGGTTGCTGTCCATAACCAATCAGATATTTGCACAAGAGTGTAACCTTTGTAACTTCACTTCAGCCTCCGTTTGGTTGCTTTCCCCAACCAATCAGACTGATTGCGGGCCACCACATCATTTACATGAGGTAAGCACCAAGTGGCCAATGGAAAACCTCTAATGGGTGTTCGGACCCAAGAATATTCTGTATCTGGGGCCCTTGTGGCCATTCTCACACTGTGGAGTGTACTTTCAGTTTCAATAAATCTCTTCTGTTGTGGCATTCTTTCCTTGCTTTGCTGTGTGTTTTATCAGATTCTTTGTTCAAAACTCCAAGAACCTGGACAACTTGCAGTCAAGACCCTCTACTGTTAACATTATGATTACTGAGGTTTTTGAGGCTTAAATTCTGCACCAGAGAGGTATGCCTCAGCTTACACTCAGCTTAGTCCCTCCCTGCAGTACATCTTGGAAAAAAAAAAAAAAAAAGGCAGCCTGCCTTTAAATACCTCTAAGTCTGTCAAAATGAACCCATCACTCTTTGCACAAGGAAGTGTTTTTCTTAGAGACAATATTCAATTTCCTAGAGACTATTAATATTAGAGGGAAAAGTATTATCATAAAAGGGTGTTAGAGGGAATGAGTGTTTTCTTCTGATGAAGATAAAAGGTATGGAAAACTAACTACAGTGAACTCTACAGTAATGGAGTTAATGAGGCGATGAGTGGCTCAGATGATAAAAAACCAAGGATGATTTAAAAACCACTTATGGATTGATGGTGCAGGCTTTCCCCCAGCAGCTTTACCCTGTTAAATTTGCATTCGGTCCAAGAGTTCCATCTCTTAACAATCACAAACTCATATCAACTGACAGGTGATCCAGCAGGAAATATTTAATTTATTTACTAGCCGACCTTTCTAGCTGAGTTATTTGGGAGCCTCATTAACTATGGTCAATTAAATAAATTCCAGCTGCTACACACCCTGGAGTTGCCTATGTGAGGAATGGGTGGATTGAAATGTAACACCTGCGACTGGAAGCGTGCCATGTGAATTTCAATTTAGGGCTAATACGTGAAACTGCTTTCTCCTTTCACTGCCTCTTACTATGGATGGTGAGTCACAGGAGCCTGGCGTATCTGTTTCAGCTATTTTGGAGGATGACAACCTCTTTCCTTAAGAAAGAGGTTCGCAAACTTAAGTGTGCATCAAGGGTCTGTAAAACAGACTGCAGGGACCTAGCCAGAGTTTCTGATTCAGTAGGTCTGAAAGAGAGCCTGAAATTCGTAGCTCTAGCAAGTTTTCAGGTGATGCTGATGCTGCTGATCCCCAGGACCACACTTTGGGGGAGACTGCTTTAAAACTGATCCCAAAGGGAAATCTGCAAACGCCACTATTATAAGTCTTACGGCAGTTCATCCTAATCTTACCTCCAAACAGGCTGAAAAATCTATCCAGTGTTGAGTCATGTGTAATAAAAAAATGATCGGAAACACAGTTATACAGAAGGAGCGGCTTGGCTTGCATCATGTGCCTACCCATCAGCTAAAAAGGAGTAGAACACTTTCAATTAGTTAACATCAGACAGGACAAATCTCTATTCGTTCTTCTTTTTTTCTTCAGAATTTTCAAAGCTATCTTGAATGTTTATTCTTTCAGATGAACTTTGGAATAAAAGTTCAGTTAAACATAATTTATACAATATTTGTGTATGTAGACAGGTAGAGATATAGTAACCTTGCCTAGGATTATATTAAATGCTTTAAACTTGGAGATATTTCACATCTTTATTGCAGTCAATTTTTCCAATCCTGATCACAATATGTTTCTCCATTTATTCACATTTTCTTTCCTATCTCTTAGAAAGGTTAAATCCTGCATGTTTCCTTTTAAGCTTATTGTTTAAGAGGATTATTAATTCAGGAACAACATTAGCTTTTGTATATTATCCAATATGTTAAATCTTGAAGGATGAGAAGAAATTATCTGTAGGAAGAAATGAGAAAGGAAGTTTCAGGACAAAGCCAATACCACATGTACAAGCACACAGGAATGAGAAAGAACAGTGCATTTTAAAAATTAGTAGTCTGATGTGGATCATGGCAGAAGATTACCAAGTATAATATGATAAGGTTTTTGAATTTTAACTTCTAAGTGATGAGAAGCCATTAAAAAACTTTAGGGGGAGAGAGCCCCAATCAGATTTAAAGACATGTACTGAGGATTTTTGGCAAGATGGCCCAATAGGAACAGCTCCGGTCTGCAGCTCCCAGCAAGATCAACGCAGAAGGTGGGTGATTTCTGCATTTCCAACTGAGGGACCCGGTTCATCTCATTGGGACTGGTTGGACAGTAGGTGCAGCCCACAGAGGGCGAGCTGAAGCAGGGTGGGGCATCGCCTCATCAGGGAAGTGCAAGGGGTTGGGGAATTTTCTCCCCTACCCAAGGGAAGCCATGAGGGACTGAGCCTAAGGAACCATGCACTCCAGCCCAGATACCACGCTTTCCCCATGGTCTATGCAACCTGCAGGCCAGGAGATTCCCTTCGGTGCCTACCCCACCAGGGCCCTGGGTTTCAAGCACAAAATTGGGTGGCTCTTTAGGCAGACACCGAACTAGCTGCAGGAGTTTTCTTTTCCATACCCCAGTGGCGCCTGAAGCACCAGCGAGACAGAACAGTTCACTCCCCTGGAAAGGGGTGCTGAAGCCAGGAAGCCAAGTGGTCTTGCTCAGCAGGTCCCACCCCCATGGAGCCCAGCAAACTAAGATCCACTGGCTTGAAATTCTCACTGCCAGCACAGCAGCAGTCTCAGATCAACCTGGGATGCTGGAGCTTGGTGGAGGGAGGGGCGTCCGCCATTACTGAGGCTTGAGTAGGTGGTTTTACCCTCACAGTGTAAACAAAGCCATCAGGAAGTTTGAACTGGGCGGAGCCCACTGCAGCTCACCAAGGCTGCTGTGGCCAGACTGTCAGATTTTTCCTCTCTGGGCAGGGCATCTCTGAAAAAAAGGCAGCAGCTTCAGTAAGGGACTTATAGATAAAACCCCCTCTCCCTGGGACAGAGCACCTGGGGAAAGGGGCGGCTGTGGGCACAGCTTCAGCCGACTTAAACGTCCCTGCCTGATGGCTCTGAAGAGAGCAGCGGACCTCCCAGCACAGTGTCTGAGCTCTGCTAAGGGTCAGACTGCCTCCTCAAGTGGGTATCTGACCGCTGTGTATCCTGACTGGGACACACCTCCCAGTAGGGGCTGACAGACACCTCATACAGGAGAGCTCTGGCTGACATCTGGCAAGTGCCCCTCTGGGACAAAACAGGACAGAACACGCAACAATCTTTGCTGTTCTGCAGCCTCCGCTGGTGATACCCAGGCAAACAAGGTCTGGAGTGGACCTCCAGCAAACTCCAGCAGACCTGCAGCAGAGGGGCCCAACTGTTAGAAGGAAAACTAACAAACAGAAAGGAATAGCACATCCACTCAAAGACCCCACCAGCCAAAGGTCACCAACATCAAAGACCAAAGGGGATATATCCACAAAGATGGGGAGAAACCAGTGCAAAAAGGCTGAAAATTCCAAAAACCAGAATGCCTCTTCTCCTCCAAAGGATCACAACTCCTCGCCGGCAAGGGAACAAAACTGGATGGAGAATGAGTTTGACAAACTGACAGAAGTAGGCTTCAGAAGGTGGGTTATAACAAACTCTTCCAAGCTAAAGGAGCATATTCTAACCCAATGCAAGGAAGCTAAGAACCTTGAAAAAAGTTTAGACAAATTGCTAACTAGAATAACCAGTTTAGAGAAGAACATAAATGACCTGATGGAGCTGAAAAACACAGCACGAGAACTTCGTGAAGCATACACAAGTATCAATAGCTGAATCGATCAAGCAGAAGAAAAGATATGAGAGACTGAAGATCAATTTAATGAAATAAAGTGAGAAGACAAGTTTAGAGAAAAAAGAGTAAAAAGGAATGAACGAAGCCTCCAAGAAATATGGGACTATGTGAAAAGACCAAATCTACATTTGATTGGTGTACCTGAAAGTGACAGGGAGAATGAAACAAGTTGGAAAACAGTCTTCAAGCTATCATCCAGGAGAACTTCCCCAACCTAGCAAGGCAGGCCAAAATTCAAATTGAGGAAATACAGAGACCACCACAAAGATACTCCTCGAGAAGAGCAAACCCAAGGCACATAATTGTCAGATTACCAAGGTTGAAATGAAGGAAAAAATGTTAAGGGCAGCCAGAGAGAAAGGTTGGGTCACCCACAAAGGGAAGCGCATCAGACTAACAGTGGATCTCTCGGCAGAAATTGTACAAGCCAGAAGAGAGTGGGGGCCAATATTCAACATTCTTAAAGAAAAGAATTCTCAACCCAGAGCTTCATATCCAGCCAAAGTAAGCTTCATAAGCGAAGGAGAAATAAAATCCTTTACAGGCAAGTAAATGCTGAGAGATTTTGTTACCACCAGGCCTGCCTTACAAGAGCTCCTGAAGGAAGCACTAAACATGGAGAGGAACAACCAGTACCAGCCACTGCAAAAACATACCAAATTGTAAAGACCATCGACACTATGAAGAAACTGCATCAACTAACGGACAAAATAAACAGCTAGCATCATAGTGACAGGATCAAATTCACACATAACGATATTACCTTTAAACAGGCTAAATGCACCAATTAAAAGACACAGACTGGCAAATTGGATAAAGAGTCAAGACCCAGCAGTGTGCTGTATTCAGGAGACCCATCTCGCATGCAGAGACACACATAGGTTCAAAATAAAGGGATGGAGGAATATTTGCCAAGCAAATGGAAAGCAAAAATAAGCAGGAGTTCCAATCCTAATCTCTGATAAAACAGACTTTAAACCAACAAAGATCAAAATAGACAAGGGCACTACATAATGGTAAAGGGATCAATGCAACAAGAAGAGCTAACTATCCTAAATATATATGCACCCAACACAGGAGCATCCAGATTCATGAAGCAAGTTCTTAGAGACCTACAAAGAGACTTAGACTCCCACACAATAATAGTGGGAGACTTTAACACCCCGCTGTCAATATTAGACAGATCAATGAGACAGAAAATTAACAAGGATATTCAGGACTTGAACTCAGCTCTGGACCAAGCAGACCTAATAGACATCTACAGAACTCTCCACCCAAAATCAACAGAATATACATTATTCTCAGCATCTCATCACACTTATTCTAAAACTGACCACATAATTGGAAGTAAACTCCTCAGCAAATGTAAAAGAATGGAAATCATAACAAACAGTCTCTCAGAACACAGTGAAATCAAATTAGAACTCAGGATTAAGAAACTCACTCAAAACCGCACAACTACACAGAAACTGAACAACCTGCTCCTGAATGACTACTGGGTAAATAATGAAATGCAGGCAGAAATAAAGATGTTCTTTGAAACCAATGAGAACAAAGACACAACATACCAGAATCTCTGGGACCCATTTAAAGCAGTGTGTAAAGGGAGATTTACAGCACTAAATGCTCACAAGAGAAAGCAGGAAAGATCTAAAATTGACAACCTAACATCAAAATTAAAAGAACTAGAGAAGCAACAGCAAACAAATTCAAAAGCTAGCAGAAGACAAGAAATAACTAAGATCAGAGCAGAACTGAAGGTGATAGAGACATGAAAATCCCTTCAAAAAAATCAATGAATCCAGGAGCTGGTTTTTTGAAAAGATCAACAAAATAGATAGACTGCTAGCCAGACTAATAAAGAAGAAAAGAGAGAAGAATCAAATAGACGCAATAAAAAATAATATAGGGGATATCACCAGTGATCCCACAGAAATACAAACTACCATCAGAGAATACTATAAACACCTCTATGCAAATGAAATAGAAAATCTAGAAGAAATGAATAAATTCCTGGACACATACAACCTCCCAAGTCTAAACCAGGAAGAAGTCGAATCCCTGAATAGACCAATAACAAGTTCTGAAATTGAGGCAGTAATTAATAGCCTACCAACCAAAAAAAGTCCAGGACCAGATGAATTCACAGCCGAATTCTACCAAACGTACAAAGAGGAGCTAGTGCCATTCCTTCTGAAACTATTCCAAACAATAGAAAAAGAGGGAATCCTCCCTAACTCATTTTATGAGGCCAGCATAATCTTGACACAAAAACCTGGCAGAGACACAACAAAAAAAATTAAATTTCAGGCCAATATCCCTGATGAACATCAATGCAAAAATCCTCAAAAAAATACTGGCAAACCAAATCCAGTAGCACATCAATAAGCTTATCCACCACGATGTCAACTTCATACCTGGGATGCAAGACTGGTTCAACATATGCAAATCAATCCGGCCTGCAGCCTCCCTGCCCCTCCTGCAACACCCGACTCCAGTATTCCCCTGGCTCGCCTGGCCTCCATGACTGACAAGGAAGCAGCCTTTGATGACGCAGTGGAAGAATGAGTGATCCATAAGGAGTACAAAATATGGAAAAAGAACACCCCTTTTCTTTATGATTTGGTGATGACGCAGGCTCTGGAGTGGCCCAGCCTAACTGCCCAGTGGCTTCCAGGTGTAACCAGACCAGAAGGGAAAGATTTCAGCATTCATCGACTTGTCCTGGGTACACACACACATTGGATGAACAAAAACATCTTGTTATAGCCAGTGTGCAACTCCCTAATGATGATGCTCATTTTGATGCATCACACTACGACAGTGAGAAAGGAGAATTTGGAGGTTTTGGTTCAGTTAGTGGAAAAATTGAAATAGAAATCAAGATCAACCATGAAGGAGAAGTAAACAGGGCCCGTTATATGCCCCAGAATCCTTGTATTATCACAACAAAGACTCCTTCCAGTGATGTTCTTATCTTGGACTATACAAAACATCCTAAACCAGATCTTTCTGGAGACTGCAACTCAGACTTGCGTCTCCATGGACATCAGAAAAAAGGCTATGGGCTTTCTTGGCCAAATCTCAGTGGGCACTTACTTAGTGCTTCAGATGATCACACCATCTACCCGTGGGACATCAGTGCTGTTCCAAAGGAGGGAAATGTGGTGGATGCAAAGACCATCTTTACAGGGCATACAGTAGTAGTAGAAGATGTTTCCTGGCATCTGTTCCATAAGTCTCTGTTTGGGTCAGTTGCTGATCATCAGAAACTTATGATTTGGGATACTTGTTCAAACAATACTTCCAAACCAAGCCACTCAGTTGACGCTCACACTGCTGAAGTGAACTGCCTTTCAATCCTTATAGTGAGTTCATTCTTGCCACAGGATCAGCTGACAAGACTGTTGCCTTGTGGGATCTGAGAAATCTGAAACTTATGTTGCATTCCTCTGAGTCACATGGATGAAATATTCCAGGTTCAGTAGTCACCTCACAGTGAGACTATTTTGGCTTCCAGTGGTACTGATCGCAGACTGAATGTCTAGGATTTAAGTAAAATTGGAGAGGAACAATCCCCAGAAGATGCAGAAGACGGGTCACCAGAGTTGTTGTTTATTCATGGTGGTCACACTGCCAAGATATCTGATTTCTCCTGGAATCCCAATGAACCTTGGGTGATTTGTTCTGTATCAGAAGACAATATCATGCAAGTGTGGCAAATGGCAGAGAACATTTATAATGATGAAGACCCTGAAGGAATATGGATCCAGAAGGACAAGGGTCCTAGATACGTCTTTACTTCTTGTGATTTTAGACTCCCCTTTTTTTCTTCTCAACCCTGAGAGTGATTTAACACTGGTTATGAGACAGACTTTGTTCAGGTATCCCTCTATATAATAGGTACCACCAATAATGCTATTAGCCCAAACAGTGGGTGTTTTCTAAATATTATTGGGGGGGGGGGCTTGATTCAGCAAAGCCACAGACTTACGTTGAAATTTTCTTCAGGAATTTTCTAGTAACAAACCCTGGTCTAAAGTAGCTACAGAAATGAAAATATCATGTGTGATTATTTTTCTTCTTATGCTATATCGCCAAGTTTTTCAGACTCATTTAAGTAAAGGCTAGAGTGAGTAAGGAATAGAGCCAAATGAGGTAGGTGTCTGAGCCATGAAGTATAAATACAGAAAGATGTCACTTTTATTCAGGAAATAGGGAAGATTCAAGTCATATAGATTCCTACCTGAAAATCCTGACACCTGACTTTCCAGGATGCACATTTACATAAGTAGACCAGTTTCTTCTTGGTTTGTTCAGTTAAGTCAAAACTACATGTTCCTCTTTCCCCATATATTTTTGCTCATTAGTGTATTTCTTGAGCTGTTTTCATGTTGTTTCTTTCCTGTCTGTGAAATGGTGTGGCTTTTTTTTGTTTGTTTGTTTGTTTGCTTTTAACTTGAGACCACCAAGTTGTAAAGATGTATGTTTTTACCTGACAGTTATACCACAGGTAGACTGTCAAATTGAGAAGACTGAATCAATAACTTGTATTTGTTTTAAAAATTAAATTAATCCTTGAAAAAAAATAAAAGTAATCCATCACATAAACAGACCCAATGACAAAAACCACATGATTATCTCAATAGATGCAGAAAAGACCTTGACAAATTTCAACACCCCTTTATGCTAAAAACTCTCAATAAACTAGGTATCGATGGATCATATCTCAAAATAATAAGAGCTATTTATGACAAACTCACAGCCAATAGCATACTGAATGGGCAAAAACTGGAAGCATTCCTTCTGAAAACCAGCACAAGACAAGAATGCCCTCTCTCACTACTCCTATTCAACACAGTATTGGAATTTCTAGCCAGGGCAATCAGGCACGAGAAGGAAATAAAGGGTATTCAAATAGGAAGAGAGGAAGTCAAATTGTCTCTGTTTGCAGATGACATGATTGTATATTTAGAAAGCCCCATCGTCTCAGCCCAAAATCTCCTTAAGCTAATAAGCAACTTCAGCAAAATCTCAAGGAACAAAATCAATGTGCAAAAATCACAAGCATTCCTATATACCAATAACAGACAAACAGACAGCCAAATCATGAGTGAACTCCCATCCACAATTGCTACTAAGAGAATAAAATACCTGGGAATACAACTTACAAGGGATGTGAAGGACCTCTTCAAGGAGAACTACAAACCACTGCTCGAGGAAATAAGAGAGGACACAAACAAATGGAAAATACTTCCATGCTCATGGATAAGAAGAATCAATACAGTGAAAATGGCCATACTGCCCAGAGTAACTTATAGATTCAATGCTATCCCCATCCAGCTACCATTGACTTTCTTCACAGAATTGGAAAAACAAAATACTTTAAACTTCATATGGAATCAAAAAAGAACCCACATAGCCAAGACAATCCTAAGGAAAAAGAACAAAGCTGGAGGCATCATGCTACCTGACTTCAAACTATACTACAAGGCTACAGTAACCAAAACGGCATGGAACTGGTACCAAAACAGATATATACAACCAATGGAACAGAACAGAGCCCTCAGAAATAATACCACACATCTACAACTATCTGATCTTTGGCAAACCTGACAAAAACAAGAAATGGGGAAAGGATTCCCTATTTAATAAATGGTGCTGGGAAAACTGGCTAGCCATATGCAGAAAACTGAAACTGGACCCCTTCCTTACACCTTATATGAAAATTAGCTGAAGATGGATTAAAGACTTAAACATAAGACCTAAAACCATAAAAATCCTAGAAGAAAACCTAGGCAATACCATTCAGGACATAGGCATGGGCAAAGACTTCATGTCTAAAACACCAAAAGCAACGGCAGCAAAAGCCAAAATTGACAAATGGGATCTAATTAAACGAAAGAGCTTCTGCACAGTAAAAGAAACTACCATCAGAGTGAACAGGCAACCTACAGAATGGGAGAAAATTTTTGCAATCTATCCAACTGACAAAGGGCTAATATCCAGAATCTACAAAGAATTTAAACAAATTTACGAGAAAAAAACAACCTCATCAAAAAGTGAGCAAAGGATATGAACAGACACTTCTCAAAAGAAGACATTTATGCAGCCAACAAACATATGAAAAAATGCTCATCATCACTGGTCATTAGAGAAATACAAATCAAAACCACAATGAAATACCATCTCACACCAGTTAGAATCATGATCATTAAAAAGTCAGGAAACAACAGATGCTGGAGAGGATGTGGAGAAACAGGAACACTTTTACACTGTTGGTGGGAGTGTAAATTAGTTCAACCATTGTGGAAGACAGTGTGGCGATTGGTCAAGGATCTAGAACTAGAAATACCATTTGACCCAGCAATCCCATTACTGGGTATATACCCAAAGGATTATAAATCCTTCTACTATAAGGACACATGCACACATATGTTTATTGCAGCACTATTCACAAGAGCAAAGACTTGTTACAAACCCAAATGTCCATCAATGATAGACTGGATAAAGAAAATGTGTCACATATACCCCATGAAATACTATGCAGCCATATAAAAGGATGAGTTCACGTCCTTCGCGGGGACATGGATGAAGCTGGAAACCATCATTCTCAGCAAACTATCACAGAACAGAAAATTAAACACTGCATGTTCTCACTCATCAGTGGGAGGTGAACAATGAGAACACATGGACACAGGGAGGGGAACATCACACATCAGGGCCTGTCGGGTGGTGAGGGGCTGGGGGACAGATAGCATTAGGAGAAATACCTAATGTAGGTGATGGGTTGATGGGTGCAGCAAACCACCATGGCATGGGTATACCTATGTAAGAAAACTGCACATTCTGCACATGTACCTCAGAACTTAAAGTATAATAATAAAAAAAAAAGAGAAGAACTTATTGCAGACTGAGGCAGAACTCTTCAGAAATTACTCTATCTCATTCTTTAGTGACTAGACAAAATAAGGCCTAAATAGAACAAACGAAATTTTTGATCTTTCATGATCTACACCCAACCCTACTGAACTATACAGATTTCTTCTAACAAGTTTCTTTAAAATTTACTGATCTCCACATGCCCGGCCCCCAACCTCCCTGAATAACCTTTCCTCTCTCACCTATCTGTTCTCAACTTAGGGAGTTTTCTCTCTCCAACGAAGTCTTTCCACTTACCACCCGGTTCACATCCTCCACCATACTCTGATATCATTATTAATAAATGTTACTGACTGGATGTGTACAATGTTCATTTTGCATGTTTATATCATAGAACCATCACAACAACCTTGAGAGAGGCAGCTCTTACTCCTATTTTAGAGGTTAACTGAGGCTTTTAGAGATTTTGGCAACTTACCTGAGGTCACATTGCTAGTACGCAGAAGTATCTGATTCAAAATCAGACTGACTTTAAAGTCTAACAGAAGTGATTCCCAACGTGTGAGACCCTGGTACTACAGCACAGAGCTACAAAAGGGGGCAAGAAAGAGAATTTTACCCCAACCCTCACTTAGTGCAAGTGGCCATGACCTCCCTGAAACCCTCTTCTGTCTAACAATGAAATCAGCTTGCCACATCCTGCCTATAGAAGCAGCTGCAACAGACCAACTCTTGAAGGGACTGCTAAGGCTGCTCAGGCTGGTGCTTCCTAGCCCTGAGAAAGCAAAGCTGTGTATTAATATGATTCTTACAGTTCCCCTTGCACACACCTGCCACTGACCTCCATTCTCCTCCCCACAACACACACACATACAACCCCTCCTGTGCCTGCACTGGGTGGGTTGCTAACCTGGGGCTGGAGGGAAAGTGGCTTCCGAATCCAAAGCTTTTATGGATGGGCAAGTAGCTTAGCAGGCAGTAGAGGGAATGTATGTTAGATGACTCTAGAAAACAGCGGCCAGGTGCCACACTCCAGGCCTTTTCCCAAGATTCACAGTTAGTCTGAAGCGGCTCCATTTACTGGTCTTCCAGGTGAGAAGAAGTGCAAGTACCTCAGTAGCCAGCAGAACTGGAGACATACAAGGTCAGTGACCTGCAAATTTGCTAGTGCACCACTGATATCATTTTGAAAAAAAACACATTTTAAGTTGACATTAAAATCTCACCATATGTTTAAAGGATGCAATTTCCAGCATACTGTAAAAATTGACATTTTAAAATACAAATTATACTGCCTTTAGTATGTGCCCAGTGGAAACTAAATATCATAATGATTTTGATACCCATCATCATCCATTTAAAAATTCATAGACTGACTCATCTTTAACAGGTGGAAATTTTATGCTGCTCGTTTTCCTCTTTTATTTACATTCTACTTCATATAACTTCATCTTAATATATTTTCATGCTTGAAATCTTTTTATCACCCTATCATGCTTCTCTAGCCCCCACATATACACATGTGTATGTACTAAATTTGTTTTTCCTGTGGTCTTAAATCTCTAAGTGTTAAAATGGTAACTTCTGGATTCAGGGATCAATAATATTATTAGTACAAAACCGATCAAAACAACTTATAAAAGTAAAAATTGGTAAGAAATGGATACTTAATGAAATGAGCTTTTGTTTCCATATATCCATAAATGAATATTACTTCTTACTATAATAAAATCAGTCAGGATTCAACATCATTTTTATGCCTATTTTGTGTTTTTTATAAAAGCTGAGAAAAACCTTCAGTTAAATAAGTGGATGAGAATTAAATATATTTTGTTATAGCAATGTTTCTTACTTTGAATTCTTTTGGAGTTATATCCCCAAATCACTTAGCAACCTATCATCAAAAATGTCTTAAATGAATTGATAGCTGACATCTCAATCAAGGCTCCTTTACTTTTGTTGAAAGCAAAACTTGGAAACCACCTGACTTGTCAGAGAATCTGTTAGTCATTTGCTTTCTCACACTGACACTCCAATAGTTTCTGGCATATGGAGGTTTTGAATACCTGGAGGAACATAGCATAGAAGCCAGAATGGTGCAAGTGTGCCTTTCTTTTTGTGAAAAGGGTGAAGGGAAATTGGAGAAAGGCAGGTTGGGAAAGGAGAATATGTGCCCCCTTATGTACAGAGGGGCAGAGTAATTTTCTGAAAGAGAATACATGAAAGTTGAGGATGTGAAAACTGACTGCGGTCACTTGCCTGAGCCTACATACCCCCTTGAAAAGTCTTTCTATTTCTCACTCATTGTTGCTCCTCCCTCCAACATGCTAAGTCTGTTTTGTCTTCTTTTTTTTAGAGACAAGGTCTCACTCTGTCACCCAGGCTGGCGTACAGCTGTGCGATCATGGCTCAGTGAAGCCTCGACCTCCTGGACTCAAGCGATCCTCCTACCTCAGTCTCCCAAGTAGTTGCGCCTACAGGCACGCACCACCACACCCAGCTAATTGCTTATTTTTTCTAGAGATGAGGTCTTGCTATATTGCCCATGCTGGTCTTGAACTCTTGTCCTCAAGCAATCTTCCCGCCCTCAAGCAAATCTCCTGCCTTGGCCTCCCAAAGTGCTGGAATTACAGGTGTGAGCCATCGTATATTATCTTCTTGTCAACATTCATTCATTCTCTAAAAATACACCGTCTGTCAACTATAGGCTAGGCACATCTATTTACTGATAATGATATAAAATAAGCTTAAATTCCTAAGAAACAAAAGAAAAATAAATTCCTAAGAAACAAAAGAAAAATTCCTAAGAAACAAAAGAAAAATATTAAAACTGACCAAAAAAAAATTAAGTAAAACTAGACAGATGGTACACAAGAATAACTGAATTTTGAGAAACAGTTAATGAAGCTAAACTAATATATCACACTGTGTGTCACCCTGCCTGCTTACCCATTTCCCTAACTCATTTATATGGGAGCCTTGACTTATTTTTCTCCTTGGCTAAGTGCCTGGGGCCTAAATCCTGGAGTAAATGAATAAAATTGGAGTTCTGATTCAAGGCTCTCTGAACTACTTACTATTTTAACAAAATTAAAGCATTAAAAAATTAAAAGCTAGTTAAGTTAAAATTTTGCAAAACTGTATAATGTATCATTTCGATAATGTTTATTATTTGATAGTATAATTTTCATTCAACTTTTCTGTGACTTTATTCTTTTTTCCTACTACTCTACTCTCCACCCTACCTTCCGTCCTAGTGACGAAGATGAAAAATATCATTTAATCTAGAAATTGTTAAACACAATTAATATAACCCTGTAGATTACAGAACCTATTTAAATTTCCATAGCTAAAAAAGAGAAATTCCTTGATTTAGTGCTATTATTATCCACTAGAGGGTGCTCATTCAACTCTTTTAAAAGTTAGAAATGAAAAACAAATCAATTTATGGAAATGCACCAAAGTATGTTTTTGAGTCATTTTATTTTTACTCCTCAGAGATGCTAACGAAGAGCTGATGGCTTCCTATTCTATTTTGGCAATGGATCTTCCTTGTATCTCACAGAAGGGCAATTTATGTCCAGATTTGTTATTCACTGTACCTCAGATAGGAAATCCTTTGCGTTTCTGGTGGAACATCAAAAGGCTAAAAATCCTGAACATAAGAGTCCTTCATACTACGGGATCTGAGCATACATTTGGAAGGATGCAACTCTGGACCCTTCACAGCAGCACAGATGGTATAGGAAAAGGCGTGGACTTTTAAGTCACAGGACTGAATTTGCCACAACTACAAGATACCTATCAATTGTTCTAACCTCTGACTTTAAAGTGTCTAAAAGTTACTTCTTCACAGAGATTTGCACAGATTAAGGCTGAAAATGTGTGTAAAGCCAACATATAGGACAATATAGAAATCTAGATACTGGTTCATTTCTCTCTTTCTTAACCACCTCAGTCTACATCCTTCACAGATTATGGTAATATTATCAGGTTGTGTGTGTGTATGTGTGTGTGTGTGTGTGTGTGTATTTTTTTTTCCTCTCTGTATGTGAACTCTCGGTCAGTGAGGAGAGTGTCCAAAAAAAAAAAGATGTTGCAGACAGTTCAGACTTATATGGTCTGTTTGTTTTGCTTTCTATAAAGTACATGTAAAATTTCCACAGTTAATAAATATTTCTAATTAATGCTTATATTAATCATACATTTATTAAGTATCCATTAATTATCCAATTAATCATACATGTATTTGAGGGCAGGATATATACAGTCCATTTTTGTATTCTCAGTGCTTAGCACAATGCCTAGTACACAAACACTGACAAAACTGGGAATAAGCAGAAGACTTGCCCAAGTCTCAAGGTATTGGTTCTTCAAAACCCTCCCTTGTCAGGAAAAAGATAAGCAAGTTAGTAAATTATGACGATAAAACCTTGAAAGAATCACAATAGCTCTATCAACAAAATGCAATGGATACACGAAGGGCAAAACTAATTTTGCCAAGGGACATACAGAAGGCTTGATGAAGTGGTTAATCATAGTAACAAAAATAATGCTAATGCATATGAAGTCCTTACTATACGTCAAACAACATTCCATTCACATTGTATATACACAAATTCATTTTATCTTCCCAAATGATTATATGAAATAGATACTATTTTTTCCCCATTTTACAGACGAGGACAATGGAGCACAGAGATATTAACTCACCTAGGTCATATGCTACAAGATGCAGAGGTGGGATTTGAACCCACACTACTGCACAGAGGGAGAAGGGAAAAAGGCATTCCTAGCAGAAGAACAGCATAGCCAGTCCCAAAGGCATGAAGGAGCCTGCCCAGAAAGATAAGATTTTTAGTCCAAACATAATACTGCAGACTTCTGGGGAGCAAAGGTTTGTACTCAAGGTGTGACACAATGGAATTTGGTAGCACCGAGAAACAGCATGACAGAGTGGGTACAACAAACTCTCAAGGCTCTTCAAAGTGTTAGATGTGTATACTTGGGCAAGTTAAAGTGTGAGATGTGTATACTTGGGCAAGTTACTTAACCTCTGTGTGCCTCAGCTTTCCTATATATAAATGGAAATAACTATTTCAGAGGGTTGTACATAGGATTGTTATTATTCATAAAGTGATTACAACATTGACTGGTACATAGTGCCATAAAAGTGGTTGCTAAAATAAGCAAACAGGTAAGTACTAAACATGGCTGTTGCAATATGCCAGATAAGAGATTGGGAAGGTCTAAGTGAATGGCAGCAGTAGAGAATTTTTTTAAAAAGATCCAAATTAAAAGGGGGCAGGGTAGTTGAGTCTCAAAGACAACTCTCACTTCTGACACCAATTACAAGTTCAGGGATTCCAAGGATGACTCTCAGGTTTGATTATTCACTGGGACACAACCGAACTCACTGAAAGCTGTTATAATCACAGTTATAGTCACAGTTTATTATAATGAAAGCATACAGATTAAAAACAATCACAGGAAGAGACTCATAGTGCAGAATTCACAACAATTCAAAGCATGAAGCTTCCAGCTGTCCTCTCCAACGGAATCATCAACGAGGTCAACTTTTGCTGGCAGTAATGTATGACAGTATGCACAAGAGTATTGCCAACCAGGGACACTCACCAAAGCCTTGGTATCCACTTTTTATTGGGGCTTGGTCACGTATATATGATTGACTGTCCATACAGCTTTTAGTCACAAGCCCTTCTGGATGTTGAGTTGACACCTGTGGTCCCCAGGCCTCAACATAAATCACATCGTTAGATTATCAGGTGTGACCTCAACACCCAGGTAAACAAAGACACACTTATCAGGAAGCACATTCCAAGGGCTTAGAGATCGCCTCCCAGGAGCTGAGGGCAGTTGCCAGACCTATTTTTATATAAGGTTCATTTTTTACTACAAAGGTAGTGAAGGTATAGAGAAGAAAGGAGGAAACCAGACTGATGGTGATACACTTAATTGAGATAAAATATGCAGGTAGCAAAGGCAACATAAGTTTGAAAGGGAAAAATAATAATACACTTTTGAGTTTGCCAAGTAACTGAAGTTGCTAAAAAACAGAAGTATGGGACTAAATCTTAGGAAGAACCTCACAGCTTGAGATGACAGCATACTGATAAAAGTCATGCCATGAATGGGCTTACCTGAGGAGAACATGGAGGCAACAAATAGAGCAAGAATTGAACCAGGGTAAACTCCAATTTTAAAGGGCTGCTCAGAGGATGACTAGACAAGAAAGGTTACTAAAAAAGAGCAAAACTAAATACTAAATCTTCCTCACTACTACAGGAAACTAAAAATATTGAATAAATTACTTTCTAAATAGGCCAAAAAAAGAGCACTTGACTTTCCCTGGAAGTAGACTCTACAAGTACATTATGTCTTGCAAACAAGCAGTTAAAACACAAAATATTTCATTCTGTTCTTATTTCCCCATACCATCTTCCATGCTCAGACTACTTCCTAAGCTGAGAAACCTTTATTTTGCCTATGGCAAATTTAGTGTGTGTTTATGCAAAACTTAAATTACCACAAAAACCCCACAATAGGGTAAATGAAGCAGAAGGCACAGCTAATTAAATGGATTTGAGGTTCATTGCTCATTTTGCTCAGGGTCAAATAATAGTATATGACTTTCTGAGTACACTAAGTAGAAAAATAAGTCATTATAGGATATGAGTAGCCAGACTGCTACAAAGTCTACAGAAAAAAAAAAAGCCTCTTGAAATCTTTTTTTTTTTTAAATCACATCCCAGATATGAGACAGTACAGAACAAGGATGAGCTGTGGGAGTTATTGAGTCAGACAACCCAGGCACAAGCCTCAGCTCTGCCACTTATTAGCTGAGTGAACTTGGGCAAATTACTTAAACTCTTAACGGGTTTGTTCTGAGGATCATGTAAGTCAGTATTGTCTGGCATATAGTAAACATGCAATAAGTGTTTGGTTATTTGGATACTCTATTTGAGTACCTTTGTATACTGAAAACCTCATAAATTTATTACATACTTTATTATTCAGTTCTTCATCTCTGTGACAGAAAATACCCATTTGAAAATCTACTTTTGAAATAAAACCCACGAGTATAAACGGTTTGCATATTACAGCATTTACCAATTTCTATAACAGCTTAATTGTCCTAAAATTATCTCAGAATCACCTCAGACTTTGTGATCTTTATTAGCCAAAACTTAATTTGTTTTAGAAAATGCTCAGAACTGCCCTTTGTAAAGGAGAAATGCTTAAGAGTTGATCCAAGAAAAAAATGGACAAGCCAACCATCTGAAAAATTAGTCTGGACCAAGTTCCAGATAATATCTGTAGCCATGCAACTTTTTTTCCTCATGCAACATGTAGTGGGCTTTTGCCCTAACTTCATGAACAGTGCACCTTCTTCCCTCAACCTAGGAGGCCTAGTTCTTTTTGTCAAAGTAACTCCTCTAAGTCACCAAGACCCAGCTTCCCTTCAGGCCTTTGCTGGCACCCTCAGGCTTTGTTAGATACTTGGATCACAGTATTTACAAATTAGTTTATATAGTTGTAACCACACCCATCTCCTCACTTCTCCCATTAACACTAACTAGACGGCATGTAAACTGGACATGCAGACTGTCTTGCTCTGTATTCCAGAGAGGGTTATATAGTGTATCAGGCACTCAATGTCAAGAACCCATACAGTAATCCATACATTAACATCATCTTACCAAACAGACAAATCACATTTCTCCCACTTCCATGCATTAAACATTCCTTATTTTTATATTTAAATAATTTTGTGTGTATATGCACGTGTTCAAAATATACCCAGCCATCGACATAGGAAAGAAATATGATTACCAAATAAAGTGTACCTTTGGCTGAGATAAAGCAGTGCTGGCTTTAAAGATTTGTTGTATTATCTTCTAAATTTCAGAAATCAGTCAAATATTCCAAATTTTATGTTTTTTTCTTTTACAGTATAATTAATTTTGTCAAACTAGTGGGCATTCCTATTTCAAGGATCAAAGTAATTGCTCAAAGCAAAGGCGTAACAATTTGTGCTTACCATCCCGACAAAGTTTTATTTCCCCTTTCCAACATGCTATGATTCATTCTATTTCTTCTTAGTTGTTCCTTTCTATAGCTTCAGTAGGAAAAGGCAACCAGATTTAGATTCCTTTGCCTTTTAACCTCACAGCATCCCTCCCACAAAAAGGAGGACTACATATTGTACTTTGTTCCATCATAAAGCATCGAGATGAATTATACTAACCTTACTGTATTCCAGGCATCTCCGAGTTCTTTGGAATACTGTTTTTCAAAATGATCCAACACAACTTTGCAAATCTGTTTTGCAAGCTTCCCCTCTGATTTTGCTTTCAGCTATGACGATAAGAAAAAGTTGCTGACACACAGTGATATTACAAATTTACTGAACGTCAACATTAGCAAGGTCTTTTTTTAAGACAAGAACACTTTTTTTGGATAATTACTAGTTCTTGAAATGGAAGCAATACCTTACATGTACCAAAACTGTACATTATCTAATTATGAAAAAGCAAGGTTTTTCCAAATAATTATTTTCCAAATGTGAAGCAAAGGTTAAAACAGAATCTACTGGGGCTGAAGAAACTGTCAAAAGGAACAAAATTAATTTTAAAAAGTCACTGTAGGGGCTAGGCAGGTGGCTCACACCTGTAATCCCAGCACTGTGGGAGGCAGAGGCGGGAGGATCACATGAGGTCTGGAGTTCAAGACCAGGTTGGCCAACACGGGAAACCCGTCTCTACTAAAAATACAAAAATTAGCCGAGAGTAGTGGTGGGCGCCTGTAACCCCACCTACTCAGGGGGCTGAGGTGGGAGAATCGCTTGAACTCAGGAGGTGGAGGTTGCAGTGAGCCGAGATCGCGCCACTGTACTCCAGCTGGCTCATGCTTTGCAGGGACGAGGCGAGAGGATCATTTCCCAGTTCAAGACCAGACTGGAAAACATATCAAGGACGTGTCTCTACAAAAAGTAAAAAAAAAAAAAAAATTAGCCAGGCGTAGTGGCCTGCTCCTGTAGTCCTAGCTACTAGGGAGGCTGAGGCTGGAGGATCGCTTGAACCCAGGAGTTCAAGGTTACAGTGAGCTATGATGGAGCAGCTGCATTCCAGATTGGGTGACAGAGCAAGAACTTGTATCTAAACAAAACTAAAAAGTCACCGGGGATGCTGACATCAAGAAAAATTGGTGAAAGGTATTTGAGAACTCTGTACTATCTTTGCAACGTTATTTTAAAGTGAAAAGTTAATTTAGGGAGAAAAGTCACTCCAATTTCATCGTGAACTTCCTTGCAATTGTTTCATTTATTCATCCAAGAAACGTGTATTCAATGCCTACTATGTAACAGACACTGTTCTAAGCTCCCGGGATACCGCTGTGACACAGAAAACAAATCTCAGCCCTCCAAGAGCTGGAGGGAGTGGGTACTAGAAGTCTGCGAGCTGGACGGAAGGGACTCAGCATTACAGCACTCAGCATTATTTCAGGGCTTGACAGTAAAGCCAAAGAAACGCTGATCTCGCGAGGGGACGAACAAAGGTGATGTTCCCCCATCCCAGCACCCTCCCTCGCCACCTCGGCCGCGTCCAGAAGCGTCTCATTCAGATAGAGGTACCCAGCCGGGCCCCAGGTCTCACCTGGGTCAGCATTGTCCCGCTGAGAGCTTTCAAACAACAGGTGTACGCGAATCAGTATCAAAAAGCCTCCAGGGAACTGAAAAAAACAGTCTGACTTCCGGGATTCGCGGGCATCCACTTTCATTCTCACGTTTCCTCTTCAATTTCTCGCGAGATACTGATTTGCTCGCGCTATAGAATTCTTGTCGAAGAGGCTTAGCTCCCGCGGGAGATTTCGTGCGCAGTTACTTCCGGTAGCTGGTAAAGGCTGATACTTCCCAGGACGCGGAGGTAACGGGCCAGGGCCAAAGCGACTTTCGCTACTTGGATTGGTCGGCGTAGCTTTGGGCGGCCGGACCTTAGAAAGTCACACATCTGCGCGCCTGTGCGGCCCCTGCTTCTGCGGATGCTGAGGTGGGAGGATCGCTTGGGCAGAAGTTTGAGGTTGCAGTGACCCGTGATCGCGCCACTGCACTGCAGCGTGGGCGACAGAGCGAGGCTTTGTCTCAAAAATAAATAAAAAGTCGCATATTGTGCTGAACAGTGTGTATATGCATGGGGCTCAATAAAGGAATGAGTTTTGGGGTTATGTTGTATGATGACTGATTTAAAATATTCTCAAAGCGAAGCTAGTTACTGACTTAATCTACCAAATCTAGTGACCCCTGTTAACCTAGACATTCAGTACCCAAGGATAAAAGGGTGGAATATAATGAAAAAGAAATTAAGTCATGCTTTTCCCCAGACCTGGCCCATGGGGATAATCTCTCCTTTTAATGGAGAGTGTTAAACTGAAGTAGGCATGTAAAGCGGTTACAACAGTGATTAGGAAACAGTAAATGCCCAAATGTTAGCTGCTATTATTTTCACTATTGTGATCATTGTGATTTTTGTCGCGTTGATACCAAATGCGTGAAGACCAAAAGGACCCTCCACTCTAGCCTCCCCAATTCACCTTTACAAGGGAGCAATGTTTAATGGTTCTCCAAGGAAGATGTTTATTACACCTATTTTGACACGAATAGAAGTTTATTTGCTCTTTTGGTGTCATGCTTCAGTAACTATCATTTGTAGCAGCAATCAGCAATTAGAAAAAACCGGTTTGATATGGTCCCTGATAGTTAATAATCATCATTTTGAGTTGTTCCTTGATGCTCATATCAATATACGTACATGCTATAGGTACAAGTCTTATATTCATGTAAAAACATGTCTTTCCTTCTAATCTGATTTGAAGCTTAATATATTTATTTATTTAAACAAGTTTCCAAGTCACCTAAAAAATGCATCTTATTAGAATTTAGATTTGGTACAAAAGACTATGATAATCAGGAATGAAATGATGCCATCTCTTGGATGCCGTCTGTTTAATGTTTGTGGAAAAGTCGGTCTAACCTTTCAGCCTCTGTATTTTTTATAATTTTATAAATTTATATTTTATAAATATTTTATAAATTTATACTTTATAAATATATTTTATATAATTTATTTTTCTATGTTCATTCCAGAATGTTGCAATTAATTAATACAGTGGTATTGTATTTGCAATGTAGGCACGTAAAAAAATTTGAAGAAGGGAATTTCGCGGCATTCTTGGCCTGGCTTCCTGGCGTAGCCAGCAAGTTCGGAGGTGTTAACCGCTGCTGTCATGTTTCTTTTGCTAAACTGCATCGTCGCTGTGTCCCAAAACATGGGCATCGGCAAGAACGGGGACCTGCCCAGGCCGCCGCTCAGGAATGAATTCAGGTATTTCCAGAGAATGACCACAACTTCTTCAGTAGAGGGTAAACAGAATCTGGTGATTATGGGTAGGAAGACCTGGTTCTCCATTCCTGAGAAGAATCGACCTTTAAAGGATAGAATTAATTTAGTTCTCAGCAGAGAACTCAAGGAACCTCCACAAGGAGCTCATTTTCTTGCCAGAAGTTTGGATGATGCCTTAAAACTTACTGAACGACCAGAATTAGCAAATAAAGTAGACATGATTTGGATAGTTGGTGGCAGTTCTGTTTATAAGGAAGCCATGAATCACCTAGGCCATCTTAAACTATTTGTGACAAGGATCATGCAGGACTTTGAAAGTGACACGTTTTTTTCAGAAATTGACTTGGAGAAATATAAACTTCTGCCTGAATACCCAGGTGTTCTCTCTGATGTCCAGGAGGGGAAACACATCAAGTACAAATTTGAAGTATGTGAGAAGGATGATTAATATGAAGGTGTTTTCTGGTTTAAGTTGTTCCCCCTCCCTCTGAGAAAAGTATGCATTTTTACATTAGAAAAGGGACTTTTGTTGACTTCAGATCTATGGATAATTATTTCTAAGCAACGTGTTTTTATTCCTCACTAATCTTGGCTATATCAGATACCATTTATGAAACATTCTTGCTATAACTGTCTCTCCAAGACCCCGACTGAGTCCCCAGCACCTGCTACAGTGAGCTGCCATTCCACACCCATCACATGTGGCACTCTTGCCACTCCTTGACATTGTCAGGCTTTTCTAATGTTGGTAGTATTTATTAAAGATGAAGATGCACATACCCTTCAGCTGAGCAGTTTCACTAGTAGGAAATACCAAAAGCTTCGTACATGTATATCCAGAGGTTTGTAGACAAATGTTGCAGCCTTTTTTGTAACAGTGAAAAACTGAAAACAACCTGGAAGTCCAGTGATGGGAAAATGAATATATTTCTGTCTTAGATTGGGGAACCCAAAGCAGATTCCAAGACTGAAATTTAAGTGAAAGCAGTTTATTTGCTAGGTCATACCAGAAGTCATCAATCGAAGTATGGAGAAATGGAACTGAGAAGGTAAAAACCAGTTCAAAATCAGTGAGGAGGTTCTCAATGGTAACGAGCTCCATACTGCTGAGATACAGGGAAACGGAGGGGAGAAAGCTAGAGTATTTAACCCCCACTCCTTGGTTGTCAGCTCCCTGTCCTGTGTGTGGGCAGAACGTACTCCACCTACTCAATAGCAAGTTCCAGGTGTTTGCTGAAAGAAGCTGCTGTAATGTACGGGAACGGTGAATGCCAAACACTTAAAGCAATTCCATGTTTAAGTATGTAAACTCTTCATACTTTTTTTTTTTTTTCTTTTTAAGACAGAATTTCACTCTTGTTGCCCAGGCGGAGTGCAATGGAACAACCTTGGCTCACGGCAACTTCAGCCTTCCCAGGTTCAAGCAATTCTCCTGCCTCAGGCTCCTGGGTGGCTGGGACTACAGGCGCGTGCCACCACGCCAGGCTAATTTTGTATTTTTGGTGGGGACATTCCATGTTGGTCAGGCTAGTCTCGAACTCCTGACCTCAGGTGATCCTCCTGCCTCGGCCTTCAGGGGTGCTGGGATTACAGGCATCAGCCACTGCACTTGGCAGATCTTCATTCTTTTAGTAAAAAGTATAAAGCCACACATGGTTTATTTGAAATATTTTATAATTTAAAAAAGTACAGAAGCAGGAAAACCAATTCTAGGTTCAAGTGAGGGATGATGGTAGTTTGAACCAAAGGATTGCATGTGGTAAGAAATTGTGATTTAAGATATATTTTAAAGTTGGAAGTAGCAGGATATTCTGATGGAGTTTGACTTTGGTTTTGGGCCCACTGAGTTTGAGATGCCTTTGAGAAATGAAAGAAGTAGAGAGAGAATTAAAAACTGGCCAGGAGTGGTGGCTCACGCCTGTGGTCCCAGCACTTTGGGGGGCTGAGGTGGGTGGATCACCTGAGACCAGCTTGGGCAACATGGTGGAGCCCTGTCTCTACAGAAGATACAAAAATTGGCTGGGCATTGTGGCACACACCTGTAGTCTCGTCTACTCACGGGGCTGAGATGGAGGATTCAATTGAGCCCATGAGTTCAAGGCTGCAGTGAGTCGTGATTTTGCCACTGCACTCCTGCCTGGGTGACAGAAGAGACCCTGTCTCAAAAAAGAATCTGAAAACAACGGAACCATGCCTTCAGAATTCTATAAAGTTATTTTCAACTGATAAATCTATATTCAGGCAAAGAATCAAGGGTGAAGGTAAAATAATACATTTTTAGACAAGCAAAGACTCAGGGGTTACATGTACCCTTTCTTGGGAAGCTATCGGAGAAAATACTCCAGCAAAATGAAGGCGTACACAAACCAGAGAATGACGTGGATCCAGCAAATAGTATCCAACACAGGCAATATTCCAGCTATGGAGCTAGCTTTAAAAAGAAACAGTAAAAATACTAATAGATTAGCTGGGTGGGATGGCCCATGCTTGTAGTCCCAGCTACTCAGGAGGCTAAGCAAAAGGATGGCTTGAGCCCAAGAGTTCAGAGCAGCCTGGCCACCATAGTGAGATCCCTTCTCTTAAAAATAATAGGTTATTGCCAGATTTGGGGCATTTGGAAAGAAGTGCATTGAAGATAAAGCAAAAGTAAAAAAAAAAAAAAACAAAAAAAAACAAGGGGGAAGGGTTGGTTAGGCAATAATTAATTCTAGGGCAGGAAGAAGTACAGGATAGGAAGTAAGAGCATCATACGCTGTTTTTCTCAACAATGGGCAATATGTACATAGTCATAATGATGTGGTGACTGACTGCTTAGCCCCTAAATCTGGTAACTACTTTGGGACAATATGGGGGGAAAAGTGAAGATAGTGATGGTGTAAGAGCTAAATCCTCATCTGTCATATCAAGAAATCACTATATAATGTATAACATAATCAAGAAATGACTAAGTAGTTATGTGAAGAAAAGAATGGAACATTGCTAGAAGAGTTAGAAGTCATTGCTCCAGAGAATTAGGAGGGATGGGGCAGGGGACTGTTAGGATGCATTATAAACTGAAGAGGCTTTTAAAGATTACATGTATTAATATATGTATTCACTTGAAAAACTAAAAAAATAGTAATTTTTTAAAACCCATGGAGGTAACTACCAGAAGGAAAAACTAAGAGAATGAAAAGTGCTTTCCTCTGGAAAGAACAAGTCGCAGGACTGTTTTCATTGTAAGACTTTTGGAGCCATTTGATTTTACTTAACCATTTTCATATATTTCTTTAATAAAAATAATTCTATCTTAATAAAAAGTTACACTCATTCATTAAAAAAAGAATTTTAAGACTGTAATAAGAATCATAGTTTATTTCTGTTAGAGAAAGGCAATGTGTTATACTTGGAAAGAGGTCATATTAATTTTATCACATTTTTGGGACTCAGCATCTTTATATTTTCTGATTTTAAATAAACAACTTTGCTTATGAATTTTGTCTGAATCTCTAATAATCTCCTTATAATGCCTAGTTAATTATGCCCTTAGTTTGGGTAGGTTTTCAAATCTTATTAGTTATTTCTTTTTTAGATTACCGCTCATGTCCACTTATCTATAGGTGTCTTAGTATCATTTTATTTATATTTGAGATAACCATGTCAGATGTTAAAACACTTTCTCAATTTTTCTTATAACCATTTGACTTTAAGTGTGAAGGTATTTTAAAATTTTTTTTGTGCATTGTAAATTGAGTTTATTGATTCCACTGCTTTCAGGCTTATACATTTTTTCCCCGAGTGAAGCCACTTCTGTTTCTCCCCTTACCTTTTCATAGTTTGATCTTTTATGTTTAACCTCTTAATCTATCTAGAATCAATATATGTGTATCATGAGAATGTTAATGGATTTTACTCCCCATCCGCACCCCAAATAGCTACCAAAGAACAAACAATTCTACATTGAGTTTTAGGAATAAAAACTGTTAGCAGCAAACTTGAATTAAACCACTGCAGACATAAGACATTGAGCTGACACAAATAACATAAATCACATTAGTTTGTTTTTTGTGCTTTTTTTAATGTTAGCGTTAAAGAACCAAGCAGCTTAATAAGGACGTACCTCTAGGCAGGAAACAAATTTTTACATATCTAAGCAATTTTATTATAAGGTCAGTTGGTCTTAAGAAGTATTTCAGAGTAATTTATGGAATAACTCCTAAACTATGTTTTATGAATTTTCATATTTATATAAAATGTGTCAAAACCCTTCATGTTCATATAGAGGTTTATGTTGTCAAAAAGGTAAGGAGACGCTTTGTAGTAAAACAATATGACATCAAGAGAGCCCTGAGCTCCTTAAAATATATGGCAGAAAAACAACAGGAAAACACAACAGGAAACCTGTGATCAATGCTACAGAACACAGCATAGTTATAGGCAATCTTAGGCTTAAACGTCAGGTGAGATTCTCATTTTACTAAATTTCAGGGCTCCAATGTGGTCTGTACAAACTCCAGCAGACAATCCACTGTGTCTAGGAAGTAAATATAATGACTTTTATTTTTATTAAGCTTTATGTAGTCTTTTAAAATTTCTTTTTTTAGGGAAGTGTATTTAAAATGTACATAGTGCAGTAGAACAAGTATGTTAACTGTTATGGGCTGAAATTTGTCCCCCCAAAATTCACGTTGATGCCTTAACCCCCAGTACCTCAGAATGTGACTATATTTGGAGATGGGCCTTTACAAAGTTAAGTTATAAGAAGTCATAAAAAGAGGAAAATCGAACACACAGAGACAGTGGGGGTGGGTGGAGAAAAAAGGCCACGTGGGGACACAAGACAGTGTCTATCTATCAGGCAAGGAGGGGCCTCAGGAGAAAGCAAACCCACCAACTTGCTCTCAGACTACCAGTCCCCAGAACTGAGAAAATAAATTTCTGTTGTTTAAGCAACTTGTCTGTGATACTTTGTTATGGCCACCCTAGCAAACTAATACAATAACATAAACATCAATGTATATTAAAAATGTTTTCTGATAGAAGATATTATAATAAAAACTTGGAAACCACTGATCCACTTACCTAGGTTGTAAATGATTTCCTCATCCGCACACAGAAGGAACTTACAAGTTAAGCCCTCAACAAGCAAATGAACTTTTTTCCTATTTTCCATTTAATTATAAGCTGATCTCTTTCATTAAAGGAAGTTAATTTCTGGCTTTCTTTTTTTCCCCCCTCAAAAAACAGGTATCTATTATTCTGTTTCTGTAAAGATAAAGGATTATTGCTATTTTGATAACCTATGCCATGCTTAATTGAAAATTTTAAAATATTTGAATTTGTTCTTTGGATCAGTTGGAATATACTTCCTGATAAATTAATAAACCATTATTAGCAGAATCTCAGTTGCAAAGCATATTCCACTTAGCAAAAAAATTTACTAAGTAAAGCCAAGGATGATAAAGTTTATAAGCTACAGCTTTATATGTATAAACAATTTAGCTTGTGAATAGCTTTTGCTACCTAGAAGCATTTGATTTCTTTAGTTGTATTCTGCAGGTGAACTGCTCCACGATGTTCACAGGTTTTACATATTAAGGGAATTGTAGTCTTAATCTGGCATTTATAAAAGCACTTAATTTTAAACTTGCAGAAAACATGGTACTTAAATAATTTATACAATATTATAAATTTGCCTCCCTCACTACAAAAGTAAGCCAAACTACATTTCTTTCTAGTGTTGTTTCTATGCATAGTTTTATATTTGAAGTCAGTTACATACAATATCATGTATACTACGTAATATGCATTTTACACATAAAGGCACACAAGAGCCTCTTTTAAATACATAAAAACATATCTGTTGACCAACAGCTTTAACGCAAGACAGACATCAAATCCTCTAACATCATATGGTGAAATGCTATTTGTAGCTGCATTTAAAATCACAAATTCTTTCCCACATACATAAAAACTTGCAGAGAGAAAAAAGTTTTGTGTGTAAAGTATCAAAAAAATGCATTATTTTAATCTACTGATTTAAACTGTTTTTCAATAATCATATTTTAAAATCTTTACCTATTTTATTACCCAAAGGAAATCATTTAAATCTACCAATTGAAAAGAGAAACAGAATATTGATATAAATTATTTTTATTGTGTGAAAATGTCAAAATTCAGAATTAAGAATAAAAGTATAACATATAACAAAATAGGCATTTAATTGTTAAAATACACCTGGATTTACAAAACATTTTTTAAAATGTTTTTAAAATGCTTAAGGAATAAAAATTAATTTTTGAGAGAGCTATATAAAATGTGAATTCTATATTATATTTAATTTCAAAATCATTTATTTTTATTAAATGAAGCCAGTAGCTACACTATAGTAAACAGATAGAAAACACAAATTTTAAAAACACGTATACTCCCAAACGAGATAAATATTAAAAAGATAGCAAAAGTATGAGTTTAGTTTTAAAATTAAGTAAATGTTACAAAAAGCTATGCAATTTTCCCTCTAAAATCCTTTTCAAAGTTTACATTGTCTTTTCGTATTGCTTTTCATCACATTTCAGCCACCTCTCAAATTTAGGTTGTTACGAATTTTAGATCTGAAATCAAATGCTTTTACCTCACTCAGTGTGGTTGCTAAGTCCCATGTACAAACTCCAAGAATATATACAGTGCTGACTAGAGTACAGGTGACCTGATTATTAAAGTTCAGTGAGTTAAAAAATGTGAATAAAATCTGATGTTCTGAAGTACAATTTTTAAAGTAAATAATTATATTAAACGACATAAAATGTACTTAATGTTATCAGATACTAGCACATGTCTGTTGTGTCAGTACAAGTTACCAAAAGCACCAATCTTAACAAGGTGGTATAAAAATCATTCTGTTTATACTATTTTCATTGGATATAAAGGTTTGTTTTCAATTAAATGTAACATTATGAATCTATTATTAAAAATATACATCTAGAAGTTAGTCTAAATGCCAAATACAGAATCTTATGGATGCCATTCTTAAGTGCAAGAGAAGTGCTATCATTTTAAATTAAGAAATTATTTTGGAATTATTTATTTATAAAAGTAATTTTGGGCCAACATTTTTATTCTCATTACTTTAGTACACAAGCTGTTTCCCAGTTGTAAAACAGAAGTCTCTGGACCTGCAGTAGGTTTTCCAGTTTTTCTGCCTTTAATTTCATAGTTTAATTTCAAGGCATGAAAGAATTAGAATCACCTAAAAGAGTCACTGCAGCTTCTGATGGAACAAGGGAGTATAGGGAGCACCTTGATCTCTGAAAGTGTCTAACCTTTAAAATAGGACTTTACTGAGACTTTTAATAGTATCTCACAGAATGTATTTTGATTAATTTAAAAAACATTTAGGTACAAAAGGTATTTCCAGTCTCATTGAGTACTGTTTTCAAATCATGTAATTGTTAGAATAAAGATCTGAGAATCTACTACTTCGAAAATATATTATTTTTAAATTAGGTCAAATTACGATGTACACTTAAAGAACAACGCTATTACAAAACATACCTCAAGCCATATAAATATATCCTGTTTGTATAGTTCATGTCTGAAAGTAAATCAACTCTATTTTCCAGATATAATTTAAACAAATCATCTATAAAAAAGGTGTATAATCAATATCACAGTAATTAAAATTTTTAAAGATTTAAAAAAATATAAAAATAGTTTTAAAATTTTGGTTATAAATTCCTAGAAGTCCCCCTTCTATGTGCATATATCTTACAAAAAATATTTAATATCTAGAAATATAGGCTATTGAACAAATAGTAAAGAAAGTGCTGAGTCCATTGGCTCTTTTTGTAAAGTTTTCCTTCAGAAGTATGCTCATGAGTGGGGATGTATAAACCAGAGTCAACAGTAAATCTTGCTAATTTGGTCCAAATGCTGATTTCATGTACTGGTCATTGTGCTTCTTTTATTTTTTTAACCATGAAAAACACAAATAAGTAATTATCAAGTCAGGTCCTTGAGTATTAATCTTCTCACTAAAATTATTATGGTTATCTTGCCCCAGTCATCAATTTACAAGATGTTTCTTCTTCTGAGAAAGAAGAATGTCCCAGTTCACCTTGCTGATATTAAGAGAACTCCTCCATACGTCTTGTTTATGAGATCACATCATGAGCATCACTGTTAGGTCGCTGTGGCACAGCCAGGGGAGGCAGTGGCTTCCTATAGAAATCTAAGAAAAGAAAGAAAACCAAATGCACAAAACAGTTATGGTACATCAAGATTTTTGACACAGTTCATTATTTTTTAGACTTTAGACATTTTAGACATTTCCAAAGAGATAAACTTACAGAATCTTGACATGCCTCTCTAAAAGATTTCCTTCTCTCTCGTGCATTTTAAATCTTAAGAGATGGCACCAACATTCCATCCTGTTGAGCCAAATTATACTCTATTCCTTTTGCCTTCAATCCACACATGCATTAATCACATATTACTTATTATAATGGTTAAAATATTCCTTCCTTATGTTATACTCTCCAATCCAATTTCCATTCCTTACTTCTTACTTTGACTACTGCAATAGCCCCCAAATTTGGATTCTTACCCCAAATATAGCCACTATCAAGTTTGTACTTTACATTGCAACAAAAAATGTTTTTCTAAGCACCAAATATAATAGCATTTTCCCTTTTAAAAATAAAAGCATTTCTTTAAAAGTTATAGCAAGTTAAGACATCTTACCACATATATGAAGCCTTCACAATCTGGCCCTAAGCCATAACTCCACTTTCAACACTCTCTGTAATTTTATATTTTCTCTTTCTTACCCACTCAATGCACATAAACCTAATCTCCTGTCACTGGCAACTTCATGTTATTCTCCAACTAAACAATATTCTTTCCTAACTCTCTATCTTGAAATAGTCTGTTTCTTCTGCTTACTGACTCTTCTCATTCTTTGAAGACCTCGTTCTAATGCCACTTTCCCTAACTGCCCATGTACACAGTACTCCTACTGTGCACAGTACTCCAACTGTACACCATAGAACTCATTGTCATATATTCTACAGTAAGCTGAAGAATTGTCCTCTCTGTATAGTAGAATCCTCACAAAGGCAGAATGTACATCTTATTCATCTTGTTATTACCAATGTTTTAACAAACAAAATACTTGTATGTTAAATGAGTTCAACAGAAAAAATATGTCATATGAAAAATTGGTATTTTTTCTTCATATGTATGTGTGTACATATAAATATACACAGTAACATTAGTTTTCTAACAACATAGTGAATATTTATATTGACAATGTATTCTAACGTACACAAGTTCACTAAGAGTTGTGTAATAAAGAAATAAATCTACTGTAGTCAATATAAACATCACGATGTCAAGTCAGTAAACTAAACAGAGAGATGAGATTTCACTGAAAATACCACTTCAGTAATTCTGATGGAGTCTAAGGACAAACTTTTCTGTCTTTAAAAAAAAAAAAATTCATGAATTTTCACTAACGATTATCAAGAAATATTTCAATACTGACCTAAATAGAATTCTGGGGGAAAAAAGCAAATAGCACATTTATATTTAAGTACCTTTTAAACAAAAATATTTAAACTGGTTTGATATAATTTCAAATTATATGGTAATGCTTTTCTAAAGAGTAAACTTCTGAGTTTTTTCCTAGTAAGTGAAACCAAGTTCTAGACTAGGTAAACACAGAGCTGTCCAAAAAGGAATTGGATGTTCTTAACAAACAAGTTTATTGAACTACATTTATCTATAATTCTTTTGCATTCTAGAAATATTTTACTGAAGGGACCTAGACTGATGGTCTGTAATCAGAACTTCTCCTTGTTTTATAAGGCAGTTCTCTACTTCTCCTAAATATCCTTCCTCTAGTTTTTGCATCCTAGAATTCTAATGCCATAAACTATCTAGACTATAGCGTATGTTATATTCAAAGAAAACTGTTCTCTTAATTCAATAAAAATGTTAGTAACTTTCTACTTAGTCGAACTTTATTAGGTTTACTGATTTGATCTCTGATTTTATAAACTGTGTTGATCTTTACTTCACTTTAATGTTCAGCAGCTGGTTGTCTTATTAGGAGTAGAGAGAAAAAATTATGTGCCATTATCATTGAGTATATTGAGCATATACAGGAAACTACAGCTTTTAACACTTAAGTTATAAATTCTAATGTCTCATAGTTAAATTATTTTAAAACATTTCCTTTTTATTATAACTCCTTGTATAAATATATCATGGATAATAAACACAAGCTATGATTCTTTTTACCTCTGTATTCTAAGGTAAACACCAAATTAAATGATATAGATGTAAAGCATACTTAAGAATAAAAAATTAAATAAAATGAAAAAAGACGTATAATGAAAAAGGATAGCTGTGGATTTGACAAGCTTCTAAAACTAAAACATAAGTTTGTTGAAATTATAAGGCTAAAGAAAAGTGAATGTGACATGTACAGATGATATCTGAAAACCAATCCTTTTGCATTACCATTATGATGTGTTTCACCAAGAGGCTCAAGTTTTGGAAGTCTAGTGACTTTAGGGGTTCCCCAGCCAACTAAAGAAAAAGAAAAACATTTAAAAAACACTGTTAAACAAGGTTTCTTTAGGTCTGTTGAGAGGATCCCTCCCTGGAAAGGAAGCATATGTAACATTCAATGTCAATTCAAATATATTGAATGACAGTATGGAAAGCCAGAAACCCATTTTAAATGGCTTCTATATTTTAAAATGTAATTATAGGCTGCTAACATCTGCTTTAACTTTTCAGTAGCTTTTAATAAAAACTATAAGCACCTTCACCACTATCAAAAACAAACTCATGCTATCATTCTAACTCTAGGCAGAAACTAAATATTTTCTTAATAAATGGAATACTGGAAATGAGTCTATAAGAGATTCTTAAAATGTTACCAAATAATTTCTAAAGCCTTGTAGCAGGGCTATAAGGGCACTATACACATATTTATCTAGTCATTACATATTTACTGACCACCTATAGTAGGTGAGGTGCTAAGCTTAGTGCTGAAAAGTTACTCAAAATTATTGTGCAAGTTAAGTCCCAGTGTTTTATATGCATTACTCCATTTAATCCTCGTAACAACTTAGGACATGGGTATGTATATTGAAAATGTATTAGAAAAAATTAATACATCTTGGTTTCAAACATTAACTTTCAGGATGAAAGGTCCAATTTTTTTTTTTTTTTTTTTTTCCCGAGATGGAGTCTCACCCTGTCACCCAGGCTGGAGTGCAATGGAGTGATCTTGGCTCACTGCAACTTCTCCATCCCAGGTTCAAGCGATTCTCCTGCCCCAGCCTCCTGAGTAGCTGGGATTACAGGCATGTGCTACTACGCCCAGCTAATTTTTTTTTTTTTTTTTTGTATCTTTAGTAGAGACGGGGTTTCACCAAGTTGGCCAGGTTGATCTCGAACTCTTCACCTGGTTATCTGCCCGCCTCGGCCTCACAAAGTGCTGGGATTACAGGTGTCAGCCACCATGCCGAGCCGGTTCAATGTTTTAAAAACTCATGTTAGCCATCCATCGTGAAACTTAAATTAACATGTGGGTACTGATATTTCAAATAGAACTTGAACATATTCTAGGAAATACTGGGTAAAATTTTCTTAATAGTTTTTACTTATTTTTTTCTTTATAAAACATTTTTTTATTCAAAAAAGCAATGGACATTTGTGTTAGCAAATTTTGTCCAAATCAGAGTAAAAGATTCTTCTTCACAAGTATACAAGATAATGAATATACAGAATAAAAATGACAAGATTCCTTTTTTCTTTTTTTTTTTCTCTGTTGTTTAAAGCAATATTTCTAAATTCAGTATCAGTATCAATTTACTCACCAGGAGGAGGGGGTGGGGGTGGCGTTGGACTCTCAGGAGCACAGTCATCTATATTAAGTGGTTCTACCCGGTGGTTCCTTTTCATTCTTAGTTTCTTAGTTTTCTTTTTACCATTAGCTACAAGAATATAAACATGAAACTTCATGTCTTTATGAAAAAGTGCACTTTTATAATAGAAAACAAAGAATACAACAAGAATACTGATATTATTAACAAAAAACATCTTGACTATTTAACTTTGGAAATTGTTACAATAACCAAATGTGTACTTGCATTTACTAAGAATATATTTTTTAAGTGATGGCTTATTGAATGAATGAATGAGCAATGAATATGATAAAAAGAGCCAAAATTCTATATTTTAATTTCTGAGAGGTTTTTCAGAATACAAAAAAATGTCATATGACACAAATATAATTGTCTAATTGCAAGAGTTTCCATGAACTTCATAATAATCTGGGAAAAGAAGCTATTCATTATTGTGTCACTCAGTATATTTGATTTTTCTCAGTGGGATATGTAGAATGATTCCAGGTATAAATAGCCCAAATATAATCCTTTGAAATGTGACATAAAAGGCCCTAAACAAATCTAAACATGTTACTTATTTAAAATAACCCCTACAAGGCTATGCATGGCAGCTCACACCTGTAATCTCAGCACTCTGGGAGGCTGAAGTAGGAGGAATGCATGAGCCCAGGAGTTAAGAGAATGGTCTGGGCAACATAAGGAGACCTCATCTCTATGGGGGAAAAAAAAAACCCCAGCATGGCTTTGTTTTCATGTGCCTGTAGTCCCAACTATTCAGGAGGCTGAGGCAGAAGGATCACTTGAGCCCTGGAGTTCAAGGCTGCAGTGAGTGTGATTGTGACACTGCCATCCAGCTTTGGTGACAGAGTGAGAATCTATCTCAGAAAAAAAAAAATCAAATAAATAAGTAAATAAACAAATAAAATAACTCCTAAAGAAGGTAGGCCCAATACAATACAAACACGTAACCAAAATCGCATTAGAACTAGCAGAATTGAATGTGTTCTTTCTTTTAAAAATTATTTACATATTTTAACTTAAACACATATAAACACTTTAAGGAAATCTATGTTAATGTATAAATTTTAGTAAGGTAAATTAGGATGACATAGTAGTTAACTAAATTTAGAACATCAATGTTACTGCAATTTTTTTTCCTCACTCTCTGCCCAGGCTGGAGTGCAGTGGTGCGATCTTGGCTCACTGCAATCTCCACCTCCCAGGTTCAAGTGATTCTTGTGTCTCAGGCTCCAGAGTAGCTGGGATTGCAGGCATGTGCCACTATATGCTGCTAATTTTTGTATTTTTTTGTAGAGATGGGCTTTTGCCATGTTGCACAGACTGGTTTTGAACTCCTGACCAAGTGATCTGCACTCCTTGGCTTCCCAAAGTGCTGGGATTACAGATGTGAGCCACCCTGCCCAGCCAATGTAACTGCAATATTTCAAAATTGCCGTGTGTGTGTGTGTGTGTGTGTGTGTGTGTGTGTGTGTCTATGCAATGTACTTTCTAAATGGGAATTATCTGTAACATAAAATATATACAATATCTGTGAAGCCTAAAAAGCAATAAAAAATACAATCACACTTAGAAACAAATTATTATTCTAAATAAATTAGTGTTGTTTGAAACATTTCACTTCATATAAAAACAAATAGGTCTTTGTACAATTAAAGTGGTAAGCCTAACAACTGGAAGAATAGATCCACAAGATGTGGAAGAATACAACCACCAAATGGTACTTTAGGGTAGGCATTAGTTCAGGGTCACGTTAAAGCACAGGATGTGGATCAGATGATCTGGACTGGGGTCTCAGCTTACACAGACAGATATATGATCTTAAGTTACTCAACCTCTTCAAGTCCCTGGTTTCTTCATTTATATAATGGAATACTATACCCTGGGATTGCTATGTTAAATAACAAAATATTATGTTGAATAATATAGTGCATACAAAGGCATCTTTTAAAGTATAAAATATAATGTTAGTTATTATTATAGTTACATGATTTACTACCTGAGATCTCCCTGTGCTATATTTTCAAATCATTTGCCAAAATCATTTTGTTCTTTAACAAGCAGTAGAGAACTATTCAAAAACTTAGCGACCACTGTAATAGGTCTACTTCCTTTTTAACTCTGCTGACAGTTACATGGGTAATATATGACTGCCCTAACTTCCCAACTGACAAAAAGTATAACTTTCAAATTAATATTTTCATCCAGCAAAATATCCATGTTAGCTAATCTGTATCTCAGGAATTGAAATCTTATTTTCATAAGCCCTGTGATACTATAAAAATTTCTTATAAATAACAAAGCCATATTCATAACTAAAAATGTCAAGGAAGCAACAATTATAGGGCGCATCTCATGTGGCTGACACTACTAGGAGTAGAGTTATTTTCTAAGTAACCCTAAAAATCTTGTGAATAAAGACAATATTTATTTGCATTTTAGAGATGAAGAAACTAAGACTAAAGAATGTTACATAACTTAACGTATATCTAGTAGATAAGAGAGTCAAGATTCTATCCCAAGTTGTGTGATTCCAAATGCAGGCTATATCCCTACGATACCAAAAATCATGAACATTCTGTTATATAACATAGCCAGTTAGAAAAAGAAAAGCAATTATAAGTTGAAGATTTTTTATGATATTAAAATAAGAGAAAAATGGCTATTTGACAAGACATTTTAAAAATGTTGTACCAATAAAGTTTGCAACCTACAGCAATAGCCAGTCAATAAAGGAAATGATGCTGATGTAGCATTTATGAGCCTTAAAAAACAAACAAAAAACCTTAAGATGTTAAATTTATTCCAAGGATTCTTTTTTTTTGTTGTACATGAATGTTCATATCAGGTTTATTTGTAATAGCCAAAACAGTATACACCTGAATGCCCACCAACAAGTGACTAGATAAGCAAAGTACGGTACATGGATATGATGGACTACCTCAGAGCAATAAAAAAGAATGGACTATTGATACATGCTACAACATGGATGATTCTCAAAGGAATGACGTTGAGTTCAGAAAGCAAGACAAAAAAGTACATTCTATATGATTCCATTAATATAAAGGAATATATTATATTCAAGGAATAGTATATAAATATAAAGGAATATTTTATATTCAAGGAATATAAATGAATATAAATGATATAAAGCAGATCAGTGATTGCCAGGAGATGAGGTGGAGAAGTAGAGAGGGGAGGAAAGAAGGGATTACTAAAGGACATGAAGAAACTTTTGGGGATAATGTTTATGTTCACTATTTTGATTGGGCTGATGGTTTTACATATGTATACATATATCAAAATGTATCAATCTTTATACTATAAATATGTGCAGTTTGTTGTAAGTCAATTATACCTCAATGAAACTCATTAAAATTACCATATTTTGGGGATCTATTTCTAGAATCTCTATTGTGTTTTATTGATCTCTGTGTCTATCCTCTAGTCAATACTATACTGTTATGATCACTGTGGTTTTATTTTATAGTATGTCTTTTTTTTTTCTTTTTTTTTTTTTTTTTGTGATGGAGTCTTGCTCTGTTGCCCAGGCTGGAGTGCAGTGGCACCATCTCGGCTCACTGCAAGCTCTGCCTCCCAGGTTCACGCCATTTTCCTGCCTCAGCCTCCTGAGTAGCTGGGACCACAGGCGCCCACCACCACGCCTGGCTAATTTTTTGGATTTTTAGTAGAGACGGGGTCTCTACTGTGGTCTCGATCTCCTGTCCTCGTGATCCTCCCGCCTCAGCCTCCCAAAGTGTCGGGATTACAGGTATGAGCCACTGTGCCCGGCCACTACTTTATAGTATGTCTTAAATTGGGTAGTATGAGTCTTTAACCTTGATCTTTCTTCAAAATTGTTTTGGGTATTCCAGTCCTTTACTTTTACATATATTTTATAATGAACTTGCCTATATCTACAAAGACTCATGCTGGGATTTGTTTGGAATTGCCTTAAATCTACAGATCAGTTGGGGGCTCTGGCATTTTAACTCTTTTTTTTCTTTCTTTCTTTTTTTTTTTTTTTAGTATTTATTGATCATTCTTGGGTGTTTCTCGGAGAGGGGGATGTGGCACGGTCATAGGATAATAGTGGAGAGAAGGTCAGCAGATAAACACGTGAACAAAGGTCTCTGGTTTTCCTAGGCAGAGCTCCCTGCAGCCTTCCGCAGTGTTTGTGTCCCTGGGTACTTCAGACTAGGGAGTGGTGACGACTCTTAATGAGCATGCTGCCTTCAAGCATCTGTTTAACAAAGCACATCTTGCACCGCCCTTAATCCATTTAACCCTGAGTTGACACAGCACGTTTCAGAGAGCACAGGGTTGGGGGTAAGGTTATAGATTAACAGCATCCCAAGGCAGAAGAATTTTTCTTAGTACAGAACAAAATGGAGTCTTCTATGTCTACTTCTTTCTACACAGACACAGTAACCATCTGATCTCTCTTTCTTTTCCCCACATTTCCCCCTTTTCTTTTCGACAAAACCGCCATCGTCATCATGGCCCGTTCTTGATGGTCACTGTCTCTTCGGAGCTGTTGGGTACACCTCCCAGATGCGGCGGCGGGCAGAGGCGCTCCTCACCTCCCCGACGAGGGGCGGGCAGGCAGAGACGCTCCTCACTTCCCAGACGGGGCGGCCGGGCAGAGGCGCTCCCCACTTCCCAGACGGCGCGGCCGGGCAGAGGCGCTCCTCACTTCCCATTCGGGGCGGCCGGGCAGAGGCGCTCCTCACCTCCCAGACGATGGGTGGCCGGGCAGAGGCGCTCCTCACTTCCCAGACGATGGGCAGCCGGGCAGAGGCACTCCTCACCTACCCGATGGGGCAGCCGGGCAGAGGCGCTCCCCACTTCCCAGACAGGGTGGCGGCCGGGCAGAGACGCTCCTCACCTCCCAGATGCGGTGGCGGCCAGGCAGAGGCGCTCCTCACCTCCCAGATGGAGCGGCCAGGCAGAAGCGCTCCTCACTTCCCAGACGGGGCAGCCAGGCAGAGGCGCTCCCCACTTCCCAGACGGGGTGGCCGGGCAGAGGCGCTCCTCACTTCCCATTCAGGGCAGCCGGGCAGAGGCACTCCCCACTTCCTAGATGGGGTGGCGGCTGGGCAGAGACGCTCCTCACATCCCAGACGGGGTGGCGGCCGGGCAGAGGCGCTCCTCACCTCCCAGACGGGGCGGCCGGGCAGAGGCGCTCCTCACTTCCCAGACAGGGCGGCCGGCCAGGGGCGCTCCTCACATCCCAGATGATGGGCGGCCAGGCAGAGACACTCCTCACTTCCTAGACAGGGTGGCAGCCAGGCAGAGGCGCTCCACACTTCCCAGATGGGGCAGCCGGGCAGAGGGGCTCCTCACATCCCAGACGATGGGCGGCCAGGCAGAGACGCTGCTCACTTCCTAGACGGGGTGGCGGGCAGGCAGAGGCTGTAATCTTAGCACTTTGGGAGGCCAAGGCAGGCGGCTGGGAGGTGGAGGTTGTAGCGAGCCGAGATCACGCCACTGCACTCCAGCCTGAGCAACATTGAGCGTTGAGTGAGCGAGACTCCGTCTGCAATCCCAGCACCTCGGGAGGCCGAGGTGGGCGGATCACCCAAGGCCAGGAGCTGGAGACCAGATCGGTCAACATGGCGAAACCCCATCTCCACCAAAAATACAAAAACCAGTCAGGAGTGGCGGCGCGTGCCTGGAATCCCAGGCACTCGGCAGGCTAAGGCAGGAGAATCACAGGAGCCCGAGGCAGGGAGGTTGCAGTGAGCCGAGATCATGGCAGTACAGTCCAGGCTCGGCAAGAGAGGGAGACTGTAGAAAGAAAGAAAGAAAGAAAGGGGAGGGGGGAGGGAAGGAGAGGGAGGGGGAGGGGAGGAGGGGGAGGGGGAGAGGGGGAGGGGGAGGGAGAGAGGGGAAGAGGGAGAGGGGAAGAGGGAGGGGGGAGGGGGAGGAGGGGGAGGGCTATTCCAAGGATTCTTGAGAGCTATGCTGTATCCCAAATTTATGAAAATAAAAATGGAATTTTCTGCTGAAATCCTTATAAGTTACAAAGGACCACATTTTAAGTCATGGAAAAACAGGTTAGGAACAAACTGAATAATAAAAGACCTTGAGAAAATCATGGTAAATATGGCATTTGAAGACAGAAAAATATTGAAGTACTCGTTTGTAAAAACAAACATAAAAAATGAGATGAAGTATAAGTTTTATTTATATATACATAAGATAATTACTTTAAATAACTAGATTTATTACCTGATTCCAATGATGGCCGGTCTGTCTCATCTTCATTCTTTAACTGCTGTGTTAATGCCTCCTTATAATTTTCTACTAGTCCAAATTCATTATTTTTTTGGCCATTGTGATTAACCTGGCCTTGTGTCTCTATTTGCTCATGCTCCATTTTATGTTTCAGGTGGCAGCCATCACTGTCTTTCTCCATTTTTTGGTTTTTTTTCTCTCTTTCAAGTTTTCCTTCATTCTAACAAAAAATAAAATACATTATCTTTACTATGATGGTTTTATCTAAGATAGTTTTAAGGGAGAGGAAATCAAATACCTTAACAGGATTCTGTAACTTCAAGGACACTGTGAGACTTCTATTTTAAAAATGATTTCATGAATACATCATTAAAAGATGCTAAATGTCAAACATTCAGTAAAACAGAAAGTATAACAAAAGCAAACAAATATTACCAGTAATTCCACAATCTAGAGATGACTACTATTCATCTGTATTATTCCGTATATAATCTGTTCAGTATATAATCACTAAGAGATGATTTTCTCTGCCAACCCCCACACATACATACCTATATCATGTACAGACATACATCACCCAGAAACATACATAAATATATGTATCTATATATACTTATGTATTTGTTGTTTAAACAAAAAAGAATTGAAGTTTTTATTGAAGAATATACATTTCTTTCCATGCCAATGAATATATAAAGTGCTCAGAACAGTGCCTTACACATAGTAAATGCTACATAAATGTTAGATACAATTATTTTCATCAATTATTATTTTGAATGTTTATAGCATACCAATTCTGTATCAATGAACAAAGTATTTCCAATTTTTCACTATTTTAAAAAACAGAATCATCCTAATAGCTTTTTTTTAATTTTTTTAGATTAAATTGCTAACAGTAGAACTGTTGAGTCAGTGGGTAGGCAAATTTAAAAATGTCACATATAGTCACAAACTTCCCTTCAGAAAAAATGAATCAATGAACCTCAGGCAAAGGGTTGGGAGAGTGATTTTTTTCTACATCATATTCAATACCACATATCATGATTGACCTTTTACATCTCTGCCGTATTAATACATATTTTTATTTAACTTAGTGTTATTTTCATTTGAGTTTAAGTTAAAATTTTTATTGCCAGCAAAAATGAACTATTATTGAATTATTTTATTTTATTTTTTTTGAGATGGAGTCTCGCTCTGTCGCCCAGGCTGGAGTGCAGTGGCACGATCTCGGCTCACTGCAACCTCCACCCCTCCAGGTTTAAGCAATTCTCTGCCTCAGCCTCCGGAGTAGCTGGGATTATAGGTTCGTGCCACGCCTGGCTAATTTTTTGTATTTTTAGCAGAGACAGGGTTTCACCGTCTTGGCCAGGCTGGTCTTGAACTCCAACCACCTCGGCCTCCCAAAGTGCTGGGATTACAGGCGTGAGCCACCGTGCCTGGCCACTTATTGACATTTTTAATTTTTTTTTAGGAAACTGCCTTTGGTAACCCAATGCCCACTTTTCTATTAGATTCTCATTATTTTCATAGTAATTTGTAAGAGTTCTTTTGTGCATACGTGTCACTAGGACTAGTCACAGAGTCACATAAGACTATGTGTTCTATTTCTCACTAGAGTTTACTTCTTTTCATTTTTGCTTTTTAACTTTGTAGAATAGCTCTTTAAAAATTGGGTAGTATAAGATCTATCCACCTTTTTCCTTTATGATTTGTGGCTTGCTTGTCCTGCTTTGAAATTTTTTCCTCCTCCAAGCACATATAAAGACTTATCTATATTATCTACTAGTAACTTGAAGACTTTCACTTTTTAAAACGTATTTAAGTTTTTGATACTTTTGGAATTTAACTGGGTATACAATATTCAATAATTTTCCTTTTTCTAAATGGTTATTAAGTTGTTCTATTATTTTTTTCTCTCAGATTTGAAATGTTATCTTTATCTTGTACTAAAATGCTCATACATAAATAGGTTTATTAATATTCGTTCCATTGATCTGTCTGTCTCTTCTGGAACCAATACCTTCCAATATCTCACCATTTTAATTATCTGCAGTAATAATAAAAAAAAATGTTAGGTGCTTCTGTACCAAGAAACATGCTAAAAAAGTTTTGTGGGGAAAAAAAGAGAAAATCTGTATGGTTAAAAAAAAAAAACTATAGCTAATTTGCTTTTATTTCTTTACTGGCCATCTTCTTGAAATTGTAGTTTCAAAGCGTTAAGTGTACTTTCCCCATGCCACTTATTAATTTGGGAACTTTCTATATGTGATATATACTATGTCGTACACCACTATTATTCACTTCTATACATTGTGGGAAATACGGTGCTGGGAGAAGCACTAGAGCCTTCTACACAATTTATACCCATGGTACTATAAAATAATTAGCCATTATTTATAAAGCAAGCCTTATTATACACAGAGAATAATTGTTGTTTCAAAGTAAAAAGTACAACTTGACCTCTTCTCTCTCAATATTTTTAAAAGAACATAAAACAAAACTTGACAAATATAATATCTGATAGAATGGAGACAAAAAAAAAAAAAAACCTTCCAGGTAGGACCAGGAAGTCAGCCTAAGGTTTAGGAAGCAATGCCTCAGAAGAGGCATCGCTGCTGCCAGCCATAAAAGCAGAGCCAATGCAAACTCTGGACATGAGCAGAAAATGAAAACAAAAACACAGACGCGCACACACACAACCCCTTAACGTCTTCATAATTAAAATCTACAAATTAATGTTGGTAAAATTTCTGATTTAAAATGGAAATAAATGATATTCAGATATAGGAGAATTTATTGCAGTTTCAAACATCCTTAAGTATCCTGGAAAAATAGAAAATTGTTTATGTACCCTAATGCATTCTAAGTAAATATTGCAGATGGACAGTAACAGCAATACAGAAACACAGAAAATGTAAATAAGAGTAAATATGTTATTACTATATGAAATAAATGACAGAATAGATTTGTCAACACAGCAACTATAATAATTGCTACAGTCAAATTTATTTATTGTCATTTAATTCTGAAGTCATATTCCCCCTTTCACACTAGATTCAAAGGTAATTTAAGAGTAAGAAAAAGCAGTAAACCTTTAATCAGTCTCTCATGTTTAATTTCTTATAGAAATAATCTCTCAGAAGAAACACATCTGTTTCCCTGCCTCCTTTCCCAACTTTCCACCTTCTTTTCCAAGTTCCAACTTATAACTTAAGATACAAAAATTACATTTGCCATCATTCATACCTCAATGATTACAGATGCTATTGGCTGGAAAGGATTCGTTGGTTCTGGGTCCAACTCAGCCAGACCACTGGTTCCATCGAGTTCAGCCTGCTCCTGTTCATTTTGTTTTCTATCGTTTGAGGAAAAATAATTGAAATTTCCTTTGAGAAAGTGCTGAACCATGTTAAAGAAAACTGCAATAGGTATAAGGCTATTACATGTAGTAATTTAAACATCTGGACATGGTTTTGAATTACTGAGAGCATTTCAAAAATCCTTATGCAGGTAAGAGGCTGCTTCCTCCCATGTAAAGACTAATCATTTCAATTAAAAAAATGCTGATAAAAATGACATTTCCTATGAGTGACTTCTTAATATCAACAGTGCAATTATTCTTCCATGTGCCAAGGGTATTACTGATCAACTTATTAATTACCCTCCAAAATCAATGCTGTCCTCTTTACTGGTGTTAACAAATAGTAATTATTCTTTTTTTTTTTTTTTTTTTTTGAGTCGGAGTCTTGCATTCTCGCCCAGGCTGGAGTGCATTGGCACCATCTCGGCTCACTGCAAGCTCCACCTCCCGGGTTCACGCCATTCTCCTGCCTCAGCCTCCTGAGTAGCTGGGACTACAGGCGCCCGCCACCAGGCCTGGCTAATTTTTTGTATTTTTAGTAGAGACGGGGTTTCACCCTATTAGCCAGGATGGTCTCGATCTCCTGACCCTGTGATCTGCCTGCCTCTGCCTCCCAAAGTGCTGGGATTACAGGTGTGAGCCACCGCGCCCAGCCAAATAGTAATTATTCTTATTAATTCTTTTCTTAAGGGCTAAGTCTTCTCTTACAAAACTAGGAAAACATTCCTTCAACTCAACCTATGTTTTTATTTCTGCATAAACATGTTTCTTGTTTAGTATAAAAGAATAAAAGACTAGAATATCTACAGATTGATTCTATAGAAGTATATGACAGAGTAGTAATATAAAATATTTTATCAAGTTGTGTATCATATTTGAACTAGATAATAACTTCCATAATAGTGTTCAGTGGCTATAAAAATAAGTTACCATATGTATCATTCAGATTAAATAAGTATTTCCATATTAGTTACCACTGAACATTTACTATCTCTGTGATTTATAGTAATGTTGTTCCATACATGATGAGTAATGTTATTAAGATGAGCAGCCGGCCGGGTGCGGTGGCTCACGCCTGTAATCCCAGCATTTTGGGAGGCCGAGGCGGGTGGATCACGAGGTCAGGAGTTTGAGACCAGCCTAATCAACATGGTGAAACCCTGTCTCTACTGAAAATACAAAATTAGCCGGGTGTGGTGGTGCATGCCTGTTATCCCCATTACTCGGGAGGCTGAGGCAGGAGAATCGCTTGAACCTGGGAGACGGAGGTTGCAGTGCGCCGAGACTGCGCCATTGCACTCCAGCCTGGGCAACAAGAGCAAAATTCCACCTCAAAAAAAAAAAAAAAAAAAAAAAAAGAGCAGCCAGAGACCAAAAAAAAAAAAAAGAAAGAAACACAAGTATTGTGGATCTTTAACTGGACTGTAAGTATGGTATAGCAATGTAAATGTTCATTACCATAATATTTACTAGCTGTGTTCTAGATGGAAATACATATCCTTTTATTATGAACCTAGGAAGCCAAGATTTGGAGATTTGCAATTTACTACTTCTGTGACTTTGGACCTGGATCTTTTGAGCCTTAGCTTTCCCACAAATGTGAATAAAAATAACCACTTCATAGAGCTGTATCAAGGGTCAGATAAAGTAATATATGTGAGAACACTCTGTGAATTAACTTTCTCATAGGATAGTCATTGTTATTAATTTTATTTATTAGTAAGCAACTTCAGGAATACAGTATTAATATATTATTTTTACTTGGCATGTTTTACTGTTTTTCAAAAACACTAGAAATGACTATCTGAACCAATTAGATTGGATTTAGTGAAGTAAAAAGCTTGTTTTTAATCACCCGTCTCCGAATGTCAATTTGCTTTTAATTATGGAGTATTGGCTCAACAGAAGAGGTCTCCTCAAGAGGAGAGGTCTCAGACCACAACTGGCATGGATAAAGAGAAAGAAAGAAAGGGTAAGGAGTATTGGAAAAGCCTGCCATAACATGATCTAGAATATCATTATGGAAAAGGCAAAAACATTTAAAAAGTTACTAACATTAGATTTCTTTTATCCAACTCAATTTTTTTGTTGCTTCTGTTTTTATTTTCTTAGTGGAGGAAAAGGAGTTTTCACATAATTATGGCCATATATTTAATTTTTATAAATATTATATATAAAAGGTATACTTAACATGCATGATTGGTTGTACTGAGCTTTATATGATAAAAATACATACTAAGAAAAAAACAAATATTCTCACAGGAACTAAAACCTTGTATCAACAGCTGCCAAAATCATTCACTCTAATCTGTCTTTTATATAAAGAGATCCCTAGATGAAAGGCACGCTCATATTATTGAGCACTTGGGGATAGAGAGTCATTTCTATAAATATTTCTTTAAGTCCTATTGATGAATTAAATGAAAAATACCAGTTATCAGAGGATTTCCTTCACGGTATAAGGAAGTACCTCATAATGGGTCACCAAGGGTAGTGAGTTCTTGCTCACTGGGCTACAACTATGTTAAACTACATAAAAGGCCAGATGGAAGGCAACTATGGATCAGATTTTGCTTGAGTTGAATGATTCTCTAGCAGCTCACCTTCTATCCTTGCTGAAACTAAAAAGGTTCCTCAGTCTCAACGTTATTGACATATTAAGCCTGATAATTCTTTGTTGTGGGAGACTGTCCTGTGTGTCATAGGATGTTTAGCTGCATCCCTGGCCTCTACCCAATAGATTCCAAGTAGTACTCCACTCCTTCCCCTAGTGGTGAAAACTAAAAATGTCTCCAGACACTGCCAAATGTTAAAAACTACCCTGTGCATTGAGAACCACTGCACTAAGGTACCCACAAGCAATCAGAGACAAAAATTTAAAACTCTGGAAGACAATGGCTACGTAAGGAGTAAATTTAACTATTATACAACCACCAGAAAAATTAGGAATCTACCACCCAAACTTGTACAGAAAAAGATCCACAGAAATACAAAATTTACCTAGTGTCTTCCTTCACACAGAAAGAAGAAACTGAACAGATAAAACTAACAACTGATTCATAAAATTGTTATGTTTTTGATCCTTCAAATGCACTGTGGTACAAAATTAATCTACTTACCTTTCTTCTCGTAATTTTCGCACTCGTTCAGCTCTTTCTTGTTTCTCTTGTTCCTCAAGAGCACGCTGCTCTGTTGTCTCTTTTTGGATGCGTTCATTTAAGGCATCAAAGTCTCTTGCAATAACATGTAGCAGCCAATAAAGGCCTTTTTTAATGGACTTGTCAATTTTCTTTCCATACCCCGAGATTGCTGAACATGGTTCCTAAAACAGAAATTTATTTGACTAAAAGATTAAAAGGTCTCCACACAAATCTATTCATAAACCATTAAGTATAATTAATGGCAAATCAAAATTAAGCCATTTAAGTTAATAATATGAAGCATCTGCTTATTTAACTTCCAAAACATAGCACTGCAATGATTAACATCAGTATATAGAACTTAAAATATTTTACAGATAACATCTGTACACTATGTAAGATATTATAAAGAAGAGGGTGACAGTGCCACTTATAATATTAGAAGAAAAAATTTAACTACCATAAAAAGACATCTCTATTGATTAAAAATGCCAGGAAGTTTTAATTCCTTATACTACAATATACAGCAGTAAACATCCATAAGATTGACAGCCTAATGTTTTTTGAAACCAAAATAAATTATTAAATCCACTGTTCATCTTCCTTAAGACTGTATGACATCTCTCCTGATATGATTTATCTTTTCTTTTTTTGTTTTTTAGAGGCAGTGTCTCATTCTGTTGGCCAGGCTGGAGTGCAGTGGCTGAATTAGAACTCACTGCAGCCTCAGCCTCCCAGGGTCCAGTGGTCTTCCCACCTCAGCCCCCTCAAGCAGCTGGGACTACAGGAACACACTACCACACCCAGCTAGTTTTTGTATTTTTTGTAGAGCTAGGGTCTCACTATGTTGCCCAGGTTGGTCTCAAACTCCTGGGCTCAAGCAATCTGCCCCCTTCAACCTCCCAAAGTGCTGGGATTACAGGCATGAGCTACCATGCCCAGCAAAATAATTTTTCAAAATTCATTATGAATCTCTCATATGTTTAAATTTTGTATTTACACTTTTCTTTCCCATTTTACAAATTTCATGCCATGATGTGTTGGCTATGTTAAAACGCAAATGTGAAGCTCCTTGAAATCATGGAAAGATAGTTCATGGAAATAACAATGAAATAGACAACAAATATTATGGTATTAAGTTATATCAACAGAAAAATGGGAATGTGATTTCATAGGTTACAAAAAATTCTTTGAAAACATTGCCTTTTAATTGCTATCACTTTTATAAAAACCAAGTTATACTGAACCTATTTGAAAGGACAAAAAATTAAAATTAAAAAAAAAAAAAAAACCTTACTATCTGACACAGGCACTTGTGCTCATTGACCAATTTTTCCAGAGATAGACATTCAATGACATCAGCTTCTCCTAAAGCTCCTTCTTTATCTTGTTTATTTGCCAACCTGAAAGATAATTAAAGTACTTTTATACAGCATATATATAATTGGATGGAAACTTAAAGATATTTTGACCACATTCTTTTTTTTTTTTTTTTTTGAGACTGAGTCTTGCTCTGTTTCCCAGGCTGGAGTACAGTGGTGCAATCTCAGCTCACTGCAACCTCCGCCTCCCAGGTTCAAGTGATTCTCCTGCCTCAGCCTCCAGAGTAGCTGGGACTACAGTTGTGTGCCACCACGCGAGGCTAATTTTTTGTATTTTCAGTAGAGACTGGGTTTCGCCATGTTGGCCAGGCTGGTCTTGAACTCCTGACCTCAAGTGATCTGTCAGTCTCAGCCTCTCAAAGTGCTGGGATTACAGATATCATCCACCATGCCTGGCCTGACCACATTCTTTGATTCCCAAGTTTTAAATGTACTGATTACAGAACACACTAGTATCTTAAAATGTTGTAGCATCAATTTTGTCATTTTTCCCTTATTATTGCTAAAATAGTTTTTAAGTACTGGCCTATAAAAGGAAAATCAAATAAAGTGTCAAGAAAACATAAACAAGAGATCAATATGCCAACAAAACAGAAAAAGCTACAAAACAGAAAAATAAGAGGACTAATTTCCACAGGTCACATCCATAAATTATATTCTTATCTTCTTAAAATACAAACTGTAATGTTTTAAATGCCCAAATATTCATTCTGAACTTTTAATATTTGAGCTCATCTACAATTCTAATGTGTGAATGTGTCCACATAAATGTGCAATTTACTGAAGACCCAAGGCCACTTCTAATATACTTGGCAAAGCACTGGGAATTAAAAAAAAAAAAAAAATTGTACTCAATTAGAGACAAACTGGACACCAACAAAATGGAAAACCAATATATTCTACAGAAAAACAGGATTTACCACAATTTACCACTATTTAATTATATAACATAGATTTAAAAGTTTAATAAAATACTGCCTTGCTCAAAGTTTGACAGACTCTTTAGGTTAAAAAAAAAATTAAGTACATAGACTAAGAAATCTAACGAACCCTTCCCACCTATCTTTAAAAATTATCAAAACTGTGTCATTCTTGCTTATCTATATACCTTCTTTTTTTTTGTATTTCCCAAGTTACCATTAAAATCTACATACCTTCTATTTTGCTGCCTGAATCACATTACTTCACCCAGATATTAAAAAATCATTACCATGATACCACTATCACACCTAACAAAATTAACAGTAAGTCTTCAATATTACTCAATTTACTCAATATTCTCCAATATCATTTTACAAGTGTTATGTTTAAATTCAGGTCCAATATACGTTACTTATCACTTAACTCTTTTTGAATCTATATTATACCTGCCCTCCCCACTACCACCCCCATGACTCTTTTCCTCCCATGACATTTGTAATTTTTCTTTAGAATTCCCATGTTTGGGATTTGGCTAATATCTTCCTTATAAACTTATTTAACATACCTATCCTATATTTCCCGTATCTGGTGGTAAGAAGCTGGATGAGTTTCAGATGAAATCTTTTTGGCAAGCATACTTCGTAGGTGGTGCTTGTATTTAGGGAGGCATATAATATCACTTTTATATAATGTCCTATTTTGGTGGTATAAAATTAACTAATGGATTTACATTTAGCCTGATCCATCCAAAATAAAGTTCCTCATTAATCTTTCACTTAATGATTTTAGCAGCCATTGATGACCTTTACTTAATTCTATTATTTTACCAAAGTTTATGAAACAGTAACTTTATAGTTCCATATTCCTTCTGCATTTACTAGCAGGATTCTTGCTAAAAATAAGCTTTCACCAACTACTTGGTGCCTCTTAAAATTCACAAAGTCAAGATAAATGTTTGATCCTTTGCCTTTATTTCCTGATTTTCAAAATAATGAATTAATGGCGTAGCAACCTCCGAAGGTGATCAGGTTGATTTAAAAAAAAAAAATCCTATAAATTTAAGGATTATGAGTGCAGTTTTGTGATGTAAATGTATTGCATAGTGGTGATATATTGCATAGTGGTGAGGTCTGGGCTTTCAGTGTAACCATAAGCTTAATAATGTGCATTGTAGGTATTAATTTCTCATCTCTAACTCCCCTTCCACCCTCCCACCTGTCCAAGTCTCCAATGTCTATTAATCCACACTCCATGTCAATGTGTACACATTATTTAACTTCCACTTGTGAGAACACGCTAGATTTGACTGTTTCTGAATTATTTCACTTTAAAAAATGACCTCCAGCTCCATCCACGTTGCTGGAAAAAACATGCTTTTTTAAATAGTTGAATAGCATTCCATTTTATGTATGTATATACAAAACACACACACAAACATTTTCTTTCATCATCCATTGAAGGACATTTAGGTTGACTCCCTACCTTTGCTACTGTGAATAATGCTGTGATAAACATCTTGAGTTCAGATATCTTTTCTTGTATAATGATTTCTTTTCCTTTGGATAGGTACCCAGTAGTGAGGTTGCTAGACTGAATGGTAGTTCTTTTTTTAGGTCTTTAAGAAATCTCCATACTGGCCGGGCACGGTGGCTTACGCCTGTAATCCCAGCACTTTGGGAGGCCGAGGCGGGCGGATCACAAGGTCAGGAGATCGAGACCATCCTGGCTAACACGGTGAAACCCCATCTCTACTAAAAATACAAAAAACTAGCCGGGCGTGGTGGCAGGCGCCTGTAGTCCCAGCTACTCGGGAGGCTGAGGCAGGAGAAGGGCATGAACCCGGGAGGCAGAGCTTGCAGTGAGCCGAGATCGCGCCACTACACTTCAGCCTGGGCAACACAGCGAGACTCCGTCTCAAAAGAAAAAAAAAAAAGAAATCTCCATACTGTTTTCCATAGTGATTGTACTAATTTACATTCCAAGAGTGTATAAACATTCCTTTTGCTACACAATCTCGCAGACATCTGCTATGTTTTAACTTTTCAGTAACAGCTAAAAATTCTGACTGGTGTGAGATGGTATTTCATTGTGGTTTTAATCTGCATTTCTCTGATTAGGCATATTGAGCATTTTTTTCATATGCTTGTTGGCCATCTGTATGTCTTCTTTTGAAAAATGACTATTCATGTCTTTTGCACATTTTTAATGGGGTTGTTTTTTGTTGTTGATTTCCTTGTAAGTTTTGGTTATTAGTCTCCTATAGGATAAAGAGGTCGCAAATATTTTCCCTCATTCTGCAGGCTGTTTGCTCCATTGATTACTTCTTTTGCTGTGCAGAAGTTTTTACTTAATAATTAAGTCCCATTTGTCTATTTCTGGTTTTGTTGCTTTTGCTTTTGAGGTCTTAGTCATGAATTATTTGCCTAGACCAATGTCCAGAAGAGTTTCATCAGTTTTCTTCCAGTATTTTTCAGGTCTTACATTAAGTCTTTAATGCACCCTGAGTTAATTTTTGTATATGGTGAGAGACAGGGTTCCAGTTTCATTCTTCTGCATATGGCAATTGAATTTTCCTAGCATCGCTGTACCCATCATCTGGGTTCTCTATTCTTTTCCATTGATCTATTCATCTATTTCTATACCAGTACCATGCTACTTTGGTTACAATAACCTTGTAGTATAATTTAAGGTCAGATAATATGATGCCTCCAGCTTTGTTCTTTTTGCTTAGGACTGCTTTGGCTATTCAGGCTTTTTGGTACTTTTTCTTATTTTGAGAGGCATCATTATGAACTTATGGATTTAAAAATGTATTTGATGTGTTTCAATTTGTTGCAGTTATTGCTCTTTTTAAGGCTCAAAGGTACCCATTTTGAGGCAGCAGGAGTCCCCTTCAGGTTGGCTCTTGGACCCTTTTGGTACAACTCCAACAGTCTTTGATAGCTTCTTTATGTTCTACTATGAAACAAGGTTCCAGACTTGCAATCATCCATTTCCCCAAGAAGCCTTGATCTTTTCAGTGGAAAATGGCATTTTAAAGACTAAAACCTAGGAGTTATAGATAAACATTTGCTATTGACTTACTACTGCTTCTAGGCCCTTTCAGTGCACAAAGCTAGGAAATAGTTTTATTCTAGAAAAAAAAAAAATCTAACCATGTATTCGTGTTGATTTTTTCATTTCAAATCAACTACCAAGTTTTACTTAGCTTCTTAAATCTTGTTTTTGTTTATTTCTTTGAGACAGGGTCTCACTCTGTTGCCCAGGCTTAAGTGCAGAGGTGTGACAACAGCTCACTACAGCCTCTACCTCCCAGGCTTGAGCCATCCTCCCACCTCAGCCTCTCAAGTAGCTGGGACTACAGGCGCATACCACTATGCCCAGCTAGTGTTCGAACGTTCTTTTTTTAAAAAATTATTTTAGCAGAGATGGGGTTTCACTATGTTCCCCAGGCTGGTCTCAAACTCCTAGGCTCAATCCTCCTGCCTCAGCCTCCTAAAGTACTGGATTACAGGCATGAGCCACTGTGCCCAGCCTTAGATCTTATTTGTATCTCTTTTTACTTATGCTGAAAACTACAGTTTCTAATGACATTATTTGTTTTATCCAACTATATATAGGAATTTTAACATAATAATATCAATATGATTACTAAATATTAAGACTACTAAGTGCAGGTTAACATATCTTTGTGGTTACGTATCTTTGTCTCTACGCTATATCCCACTAGAGATGCAGAGTCAATAATACTGTTTTAAAATTACTTAAAATAGTACTTCTCTGTGTGGTTTTGCCATCACCTAGATATATACCTAGGTTCATTTCTTTCTAGGTGCTTTTGCATTTTAGAGATCGTTTGTGTATTTGTTTTAAGATTTAATTTCTAAAATATTTATATCGGCTGGACGTGGTGGCTCACACCTGTAATCTCAGCACTCTGGGAGGCCAATGTGGGTGGATCATTTGTCAGGGGTTCAAGACCAGCTTTGCCAACATGGTGAAACCCTGTCTTTACTAAAAAAAAAAAAAAAAAAAAATGAGCCAGGCGTGGTGGCGTGCACCTGTAATACCAGCTACTCGGGAGGCTGAGGCATGAGAATCGCTTGAACCCAGGAGGCAGAGGTTGCAGTGAGCCGAGATCGCGCCACTGCACTCCAGGCTGGGTGACAGAGTGAGACCCTGTCTCAAAAAATAAAAATAAAAAAATATTTATATGGTTCTAAATTCAGAACTATAAAAACAAGGTACAATCAGAAAGGAACTATTTGCTATCTCTCTGCCTTTTCCTTCCCTTCCCTTATAGGTAACCATTTTCATTCGTGTTTAGTTCATCCTCCCATTATTTCTTTTTGAAAATATAAACAAGCGTATGGAGAAAATGGTATTTCAAGGACCATAATTTGGGCACTGTGAATATTCAATGCTATTGACTGGTTTATGTATTTGTGTATATATACAATATTTATATCTACCCTTCCTTTCTTCCTAAAACTTAGCATATTATATATATTCTTCTGCAGCATGCTTGTTTTAACTGAACAGTAAATTTTGAAGTACCCTGAAGCAGTATAATAAAATCTTCACTATTTTCTATAATTGCAAAATGCTCCCCTTTGAATGTTCCATCATTTATTCAGCCAGTTCTACGCTGAAGGACTTTTGTGTTTCCAGTGTTTTGTTTTTACAAAGAGTGCTATAAAAAGTAGGTGTGTAAAGGAGTCATTTCTTATTTTGAGTACAGATTCCAGGAAGTAGAACTGTTAAAACAAAGAATAAATATAAATGTGATTGGCCGGGCATGGTGGTTCACATCTGTAATCCCAGAACTTTGGGAGGCTGAGGCAGGTGGATCACCTGAGGTCAGGAGTTCGAGACCAGCCTGGCAAACATGGTGAAACCCCATTTCTACAAAAAAATTAGCTGGGCGTGGTGGCAGGCAACTGTAATCCCAGCTACTTATGGGGCTCAGGCAGCAGAATTGCTTGAACCCGGGAGACGGAGGTTGCAGTGAGCCAAGATCGTGCCACTGCACTCCAGCCTGGGCTACAAGAGCAAGACTCCTTCTCAAAAAAAAAAAAAAATAAAAAAAAAATAAATATATATATATATATATATATATATATATATATGATTTTGATAGATACAGCAATTTCCTTCTTCTTGCCCTCAAATAGTAACAAGTCAGGTAGAAAAAATGGGTCTGAAATTTGGTAGTACAAGAGAAATTTTCATTTTTAATTCTTCCTATAAACATTTCCCTCTGGTATAAATTAATTTTGAGTTGTTATATTGACAAAATAAATGATTTAACATATATTGCTGGATAACTTTAGTTCTATATAAAATTTATTTTAAAATAAAAACAGCAGGCATAATAAAAAGTAAAAAAAATTAAAAGTAACGTGGGATGAATGGTTTACAGACATGAGCTCTTTCCTGGATGTTCTCCTTCTGAAATTCTATGATTTTGTGAGCTAAGCTCTTTTGGGATTTCCTAAAATAGGACAGATTTCAACCATTTTAAAGTAAATGGAACAAAAAAAGCTTTTACACCAAGCTTCTTTTCATTCCTATTTAATTCCATATTTTTAGTAAGTTTTGATATCTATAGAAAAGAAAGTAACCTTTGTTTAAATACAAACCCATTTTCTTGGAATAATATATTACATATACAATGTAGGACTAAATTTGCAGATCCAGTGCCAAATACTCTACGTAGGCAGTTTAACGAGGACTTCCTGTTACCGACTAGCTCCAATGAAAATGATCTTCCTTTAATCTAAAGAATAGGCGTCTAACAGGCAGAACCAGATTCTCCAGGTGTGAAGTAAGCAATCTATTTTCACTTGCTATTAACAGCAAACGTACAACTTTATCTCTTATTTGACTTCATTATTTGGCTTTCAAATTAACAACATGAAAACTATACAGAAATTAGTCTGTGCCCTATAAGACAGAGATTTAGATAATTTGTTCAAAACATGAGATGATATTCAGATATTCTCTCAAAGGCAGGACTCCAACACCGCAGGTGGAAAACCAACAAAAGGAAGAAAACAGAAAGGTAAATAATGACTCTTTTCTGTACTTTTTAATATGAGGTATCCATAGACTGACATCTGGTTACACTGTTACATTTAAAAATCACTCAACAAATAATGAGGGTTACTTGTTTTGCTCAGATTTGGACCGGGGTACCAGTAGCTGATTTGTTCACATATATTACTGACATGCTGACTGGGATCTGGGTATAAAGCTCTTGAAAATAGACTACGATAATAAAAATCAACTTTAGAGGAAAGAAAAAATTTTTAAGTCTTTTAAAAAGTAAGCTCTCATTTAAAAAATACTAGAAAGTCAGATGTAAAAACAGATCTAAAATTATTTCTTTTATAGACAGACTATGAATGTGCTTACTTTAGAGAACATTTTTATATTTCACTCTGAAAAGCAGCTTATACCCAAATTTGACACATACGTATAACCTTAAAAATCTGAAATAATTTGCTATAATGGTCTTAATTGCTTCATTGTTGTTTACTAGAATCTTCTAAAATTGAAAAAATGAGAAAATAATCTTGTGAAAGGGCTACCAGAAAATATCGAAGTACTCACTAACCTTTATAATATTTCAACTAGTACATTAAAAATACTTGTTATACCATTTAACGTAAGTGTTAGCATTTAATTGATAGTTTGAAAAATTTAAATCAGCATCATTTAAATACAACATATGTAGATAGGTTAGATACTTTCAAAGTTATAATTGTTACTATGTTAGAATTTAATAAATATTCCATTTCAAATCAAAATAATAATGACTTTTATATGTATTTTAAAGGTGGACTTGAGAATTGGCCACGTAATACCTCGAACACATTATCTTCACAGCTATGCAGTTTTAAATGTAATATAAAAATCATTTTATGTATGTACAGCTTACTTGAATCAGATAAAAGTTCAAAAATTATACATCATATTTAAACAAAAATGATCTTAATGTTGTTATACAAGTTAATTCAATAAGTTATTTAGACTAAATAAAATGTAGAAAAAAGCATTGAAAGTTTACATTGCAAAAAAAGTCAGATACTTCAAAATTAGACAATATATGCAATTTGCAATTTTTTTTTAGTTTTTAGAAACTACTATTTGGCCCTCACTTTAGTAGCCAAAGAGGTTAATATATTACAATAAGATCCTCTGCTTTCACTTGCACTAGAAAAATGTGGCAAGTTGACTTCATATACAAAAGCAACAGAATATTCTGTTTTCTCTTGGGTAAAAACTGGTCATATTTCTTGAAATGTTTTATTTAATCATTACAGTAACTATGAAAAGAAATGGCCTACTTTAAAAAAATCTATAAATACACTAAGTATCTATCCCAGGGCATATTTCTAAAAGTACAAGGTAATTTTTACTCATGTTTCTGTTTCTAGGGATTTTCAGTGTCTGTAATAGGGCAGAGAACCTTTTATTTGAGTCGCACCAGTTTACTTTTCTATTTCCCAGAACAAGTTGTCCAAGTTGATTATCATACATACGAGTTAGTGTTCTTTCTTTTTTAAATATCATGTTTAAGCTCACAGATACAGTTCTTGCTAGTAAAATTCAAAACTGTATAGCAATGCTGCAAGTTAAACATAATAAAAGATGATTCATATTTGTATATAACTCTTCCAACATAATAAATTTAAGGTACATAACAGACTGCATAAAATAGTAATTTCATCAATTTCACCTAGTCTAAGCAATTAAATGATTTCACAACTATGAGCTTCATATTTTATGCTTATATGAATCCTGTCCTTGCATGTTTTAAATTCTAACATGCTTATTTGTCTCATTTTGCCTAACATTCTAATTCATGAAGATATAAGATCAATAAATTGGATAGTTATACATATAGTTATGAGTATGCAACTACTAGAAAATGTAATTTATATACAGCATATAAACATATTTGAGTACCTATCAAGTCAATTTCTACACAGATGAACAAGGATTTAGGGAAACATTCTCAATTATGTTAATTCTATAAAGATAAGCAACTGTGACTTTCAGTCAAAATGCACAGATACAGAAGTTACTCCCTCTTTCTCTAAACATACAGAATTTGATGTAATCGTAAGTTTAAAAAAGACAAATTTTAAAACAACATCACTAAATTTTAGAGTAAAAAAGCGAAGTTTTCTCCTGGCTCACACGGTGAAACCCCATCTCTACTAAAAATATAAAAAGTTAGTCGGGTGTGGTGGCGGGCGCCTGTAGTCCCAGCTACTCTGGAGGCTGAGGCAGGAGAATGGCGTGAACCCGGAAGGCGGAGCTTGCAGTGAGCCGAGATGGTGCCACTGCACTCCAGCCTGGGCGACAGAGAGAGACTCCGTCTCAAAAAAAAAAAAAAAAGAGAAGTTTTCAGGTGCCAGAAATGATGAGGAAACATACTTAAAGCCAAAGTGAAGAGTAGTAATTAAAGCTAATTACACTGGGCAAATACTTTACCTTAAAGCTGAGGTTTAGAGTTTGTTGCATTATAGGGAACTAAAACTGAGTTTCCTAGATGAAACAGTTAACTAGGAATAATACAACATAATCTGTATACAAAGACAGGAATAACTCTGTTGACTTGCCCAGGATTATAGCAGGAAGTGAGATATCCACTTAGGCTATAAAAATCACTAGAGAAAAATTAGGCCTACATAATACTACCTGGGCTACAAGGGGCAAACTCCATGGGGCGTTGGTAGTGACAATCAAAAAAATAGCCTCAATGTATCCATAATTGATCAGGACACTCAGAGCATTCTTGTATAACTCCCCAATGAAGCTAGGCTACTGACGAATTTCACTAAATACACTTGCCCACATTTAACAGAGTGGTCACCAGTCCGTGGCCACAGCAAACATAGGAATTTACTCCTAAGAAACTAGAAATAACCTAATAATGTAAAGGATCTTTCACATAAATATTCTCTAAATGTTCAAAAGAAATACAGGCATAGGATCCATAAACCAAGACAAACACAGTATAACCTTTATAGCTCACTTTAAACATCGTTTACATAATACGCATTGCCATGATGTATAACACTGAAAGGAAACCTGATTCTATTTCCATGTTTTGCCTTTAATATCAATAATGTATACAGATATTAAAAAAAGGATATTTTGTTTTTTGCTTGTAAATTCATTAAGATTAATAAAAAGGACATATTAATATATTTTAAAGGGCTCCTTAAAGTACCTTTTATTCAAATATAAAAGTGTGGTGCATGTTCAGGGAATGATATTACATGGATAAAAATCCAGGAAAAAAACAACCTTTATAGAGGTCAGACTCAAATATCCTGCTTTCCAAAATCAGTGGCAGTAAAATGCACCTTCTCAAAGGCACTTCACAGGAAAATTCACCTTCCCAGAGGCCTGTGTACACTGTGCTCCAATAGCAATTTGAAATAGTCTATTTCTTAAAAATTTTTAAACTATGATGCTTTAGAAAAAGGCTTTTGATTACTTTATTTCTAATTTTTTTAAAAAAGAGGCTGGGTGCACTAGCTCATGCCTATAATCCCAGCACTTTGGGAGGCGGAGGTGGGAAGATTGCTTGAGCCCAGGAGTTAGAGATCAGCCTGAGCAACACAGCAAGACCTCATCTTTACAAAAAATTTTAAAAAATCAGCCAAGCACAGTGGCATGCAACTGTAGTCCCAGCTACTCGGGAGGCTGAGGGAGAAGGATCACTTGAGCCTGGGAGGTAGAGGCTGCAGTGAGCCGCAATTGAGCCACTATACTCTAGCCTGGGTGATAGAGTGAGATCCTATCTCAAAAATAAAACAAAACAACACGCCCAAAAAAGGACAAAGATCTTTCCAGTCATAAAAACATTAGAGGGAGTTGTTTCAGGATTTGTTCCAAACCATGCAACCAAAGAGAAAGTTCAAGATGTTGTAGTTCTTGAGGAATGTGAAAATTAAAGATTGTTAAAAGCTACTGAACCATTGTATAAATATAGGACTTAATTTTTATGGATAGAAAATCAAAATCTGTTTTGTTTGATGCCACTTTCTCTTTCTCTCGCCTCTGAGCTTCTAACATTGTTACTCTTTCTTTTTCCCTATATTTACACGGGTGCAACCCAGTTTAAAAAATAATAATGTGGCAACTAGCACTTCAGCTATATATGCTGTATTTTTAAGAATTCATAGTCAAGGTGGAAGGATCCCTTGAGGCTAGGAGTTCAAGACCAGCCTGGACAAAAGAGCGAGATCCTTTCTCTATTAATTGATTAATTAATTAATTTTTAAAAAACAATTCATAGTGACAAGCTAGTACAAGAGAAGGAAACAGAAATTTGGTTAGATGACTATGAGTTGAAGCAGAAGAAAATATAAGAATATCAATCTCCATATAGTACCAAATATAAAATGCAATATTTCTTAGACTTTCTGTAAACATCAGTCTGTGAGATCCAAATTATTTTTCTTCTTTTATAGTGTAAAGTGATCAATTTGGTCTGATTATATTAAAGATCCTAATAAAGCTTCAAACAACAACATTATTTTAGATCCTATATGCTATATTATCTCCTGCTAAATTTTTTCTTTTAAATAGATATAGTATGTATATTAGTAACATAATACAGTATTTGATATAGATAAACATTATTTGTGTATATTTCACTAGGATAACCAATTTCTACTCAATAGACAATAGGGGAAAAAGAACAGATTTGCAATCAAGTAGATATGTCTAAACGTAGGATCTGCCACCTTTTAGTTGTGTGGCCTTAGGCAAGTCACTTTAAAATTCCCCTTATTTGGACGTTGCTTTTCTTGGACTGGACTGTTTCTTTAATTTTCTTAATGTCTGAAAGGCCATGAAAATAATACAAAGAAAATGGAGAAAATAAAGTTCTTAAAGAAATTATTTAAAAAAAAAGCAAGACCGTAAATACATGAGTTTCTAGGTTGAAAAGACCAACTATATGTTTACCAAATAAATGCATCAAGACCTACCCCAGATCACATTGTTGTGAAATTTCAGAACACCAGGAATATGAAAAAAAGGTCAAGAATTTCATGAAAGGAAATATAAAAACAGATCTACAAAATATCAGAAAACACAGGGCAGAATATTCAGAGGTAACAAAACTAGAAGATGTAGTAACAAAACTTTCAAAATTTTGAGGGAATATAATTTCCAACTGAAACTTATATCCACAGAAAATATAGTATTCAAGTATAGGACAGAATAAAAATATTTTCAGTAATGAAAATTATCATTGCATTTATGTTTTGAAAAGGAGCTATGGTACACTCCCAAATCAAGGAGATAAACCAAGAAAGGTGAGGAATTGGAAATCAAAAATAGAGAATATAAAAGAGGAAGAAAATTCTAACACAATCAGGTTACATTAGAGTTTCCAGGAAAGGAGCCTCAAAAGATGAATAAAATGAAATAAAAATATATATATTCTATATTTAAATATGTCAAGAGGATATGTTCAATTCACTTCAGTTTTAGAATGAATTAGTGATGTATGTACAAAATTAAGCAGGTGAAAAACTTTGGTAATTAATATTTTCTTAAAATTAAATGTTATATGTTTCTTGATCTATGTGGTAGTTACATGGATGTATTTACTTTGTGAAAAATCACCATAATATACATTTATGTTCTGGGGGACTTTCTGTATATATAAATATGTCAATAAGAAGTTTTCTTAAATATATTCATTTTCTATCTCTATCCATTGAAAAAACTTAGAAATAATTTAAAAAATTATTTGAGAAAGGAAATACAGCTACAGTACCTTAGGTGACTCACATATAAATAATATTTGGGTAGTCACAATAATGTAAACACAAAATATTGATTAACCAAAATTTGTGATATAACTGTATTAAAAGGGGGAAGGTGAGGGAAGAATGGGGGTGTGAGAGAAGATTAAATCCACATCTTCCATAGAAGAAATTCAATAAAATAACTAAAACCAAAAAAGCAGCCGGGTGCGGTGGCTCACACCTGTAATCCCAGCACTTTGGGAGGCTGAGGCGGGTGGATCACTTGAGGTTAGGAGTTCAAGACCAGCCTGGCCAACATGGTAAAACCCCATCTCTATTAAAAATACAAAAATTAGCTGTGCGTGGTGGCAGGCGCCTGTAATTCCAGCTACTCAGGAGGCTGAGGCAAGGAGAAATCACTTGAACCAGGGAGGAGGAGGTTGCAGTGAACTGAGATCACACCATTGCACTCCAGCCTGGGTGACAACAGCGAAACTCTGTCTCAAAAAAAATAAAATAAAATAAAACTGAAGAAGCAAAAATACCTACACATGCAAATTACCTAGAAACAGGAGTTTAGATGCAACATATAGCTAAGGAGCTGAAAATGACTGCCTTTATGACTGTCTTTAAGGAATGGAGAATTGGAAAGGGGATGTGGTACGGCAGGTAAGGGTCAGATATATATCTTTAGAAGCCTTGACATGACTTGACTTGTTAACCTGTGTACATGCATTATTAATTTGAGGGAAAAAATAACATTTTTAAAAAGCTTATTTAAAAAGCTTATGGCTATATTAAATGCGACATGGTATCTTCAACACTTTGGGGAATAATTTATTTTCAGCATCAATATAGTAATACTAGAAAGAGCTTATAGATTAGGGAGTCATAAATACCACTAAACCACAAAATGAACACTAGGAAGCTATACAAGATAAATTACTAAGCCAACCTACTTTAACATCAAATTTTCTCTATACTGAAAAGAAGACTAGTTCTTATCAGATGTATATAATAAAACATGGGTGATAATTCTGCTTTCACAAAGTTGCCACATGGTAAAAAGTTTCCACATTACTTCCCAATAGTTTTACATGTCTTTAAGTATCTATACCTGGATAAGCATCAAATATTTTATACAATATTTGGCCAGGCATGGTGGTTTGTACCTGTAATCCCAGCACTTTGGGAGGCTGAGGCGGGCAGATCACTTGAGGTCAGGAGTTCAAGATGAGCCTGGCCAACATGGTGAAACCTTGTCTCTACCAGAAATACAAAAATTATCTGGGCATGGTGATGGGCACCTGTAGTCTCAGGAACTCGGGAGGCTGACGCAGGAGAATCGCTTCGAACCCAGGAGGTGGAGATTGCAGTGAGCTGAGATCATGACACTGCACTCCAGCCTGGGTAACAGAGCGAGACCCTGTCTCAAAAAAAAAATTATATATATATATATATAATAATATTAAACACGAAAGACAAAAACAACTTTTTAACACCTAAAACTGGCAATTCTTTCTATAGTATCGTCTAATATTCCTCCTGACTAATCTTCCTTTCATAATTGTTCCAGGTTTAGTATCATTCATAGCTCATTTTTTTCCTTGGATCTTATAGAAACACTAGCTTTGGTTAGCTCTACTCTGAAGGTAGAGAAACTGTTCCTTGCCAGTAAAGTAGAATATAGACAATAAAAATATGCAGAGGAAGAGGCGTATGGAATCTCCTTCCAGCTTAGAAGTCCCCTATTTACATAAATTGTACTGACTGAACTTTTTTACCTTTACTATAGCAAATCAGTGGCAAAAACAAAAGATTACCGGCTATTTGAATTAAGTATTTAAAATAGGTGAAATAAATAGTAGAATGCTTTAAGTGCATTTCAGCAACAAAAACTTGCTCTTAAATGTTTCCCACCGGTACTTAAAATGCTCAGCAATATAGTCATGTGGCAATAAAGTAATACAGCAAATGTTTCCGAATAAACTTTTAATATCTATAAAACACCTTTTCCTGACACAAACAGATTTCAAGGTCTTATCCCTTGTGATCTGGCTCTTTTCCCAACCACTTAACTGACCTAATTGCCTCTTTTCAGAACTCACCCTAAATGATCTAACACCACTGAAAAACCTTCATAGCATAGTAAAGCTATGCTATGTCATAGTGAAGTTACTATGCTCTAGTATGCTATACTGTCGTATAAAGAGTTGAGTCCTTCAAACTATACTGCCAGAATCTGAATCTCAACTCTACCACTAGCTGACAACATGGTTCAATTACTAAAGCTGAGATCGTAATTTCATTATCTATAGAATAGAGATCATGACAATACTTGTTCTTATAAGAACATAAAACACACTTAGTGCCTGGCACATATTAAGAGCTCAAGTAAATCTAAGATATCAAGATCTCAACATAAGAACTCAAGTAAATATAAGACTCATCAAGGTGCTGGGAAAGAATAAAGACCCTCTACTTTCTCCTCTAAGTATTAACTCTATGAGGTACCAGAATGAATAAAAACCCTTGATCTCATGGAGTTAATACTGGGAGGAGAAAGTAGACAATTAAGTTAATATAAATAAGTAAAATACATGGTATGTTAAATAGTGAAAAATGCTAAGAAAAATAAAGCTGGGAAGGGTCAGAGAGTTGAAAGAAGGTATAGTTCAAAATAGGGTGACAAAGAACATCCTAACTCAGGAGTGACATTTCAGTAAGGACTGGGTTGGGGAAAAACGTCACATACTACATGGGAAAGAACACTTCAAATAGAAGAGAAGGCAAGTGCCAAGGCCCTAAAGCCAGATGGTGCCAGATTTGTGTGAGAACAGCAAGGACAGTGAGACTGAAGCAGAGAAAGGGAGAGTTGTAGGAGGTGAGGTCGGAGGGGTAACAGAAGGGGTGAAGTCATTGTGGAGCTTTGTAGGCTCTAGTTTTTCCTCTAAGAGATAATGCCAAAGGAGGATTTTAGGCACAGGAATGACATGGTCTGACCTACATTTTAACTCTGAATTCTGTGTTAAGAAAAGACCAGAGGTTTTGTGGTGGGGGCAGGATGGGGGGTAGTTGGTGCAAAAAGGAAACAAGGAGAACACTTAGGAGACTATCGTTAACAATCAAGATGAAAAATAACAGGGACTTGACCAGTTGCGGTGGCTCATGCCTGTAATCCCAGCACTTTGGGAAGCCAAGATGGGCGGATCATGAGGTCAAGAGTTCAAGACCAACCTGACCAATATGGTGAAACCCTATCTCTACTGAAAATACAAAAATTAGCCAGGCATGGTGGCATGTGCCTGTAGTCCCAGCTACTCGGGAGGCTGAGGCAGAAGAATCGATTGAACCTGGGAGATGGAGGGTGCAGTGAGCCAAGATTGTGCCACTGCACTCCAGCCTAGGCAACAGAGGGAGACTCTGTCTCAAAAATAAAAAATTAACAAAAATAACAGGGACTTGAACCAGGGAGATGGTAAGAGGTGGCTAGATCCAAATACATTTTGAAAGAGATGTTGACAAGATTTGCTGTGCTTGCATATGAAATGTAGAAAAAAAAAGTCAAGAATGACTTCCAGCCAGGCGCGGTGGCTCACAGCTGTAATCCCAGCACTTTGGGAGGCCGAAGAGGGCGGATCGCCTGAGATCAGGAGTTTGCGACCAGCCTGGCCAACATGGTGAAACCCTGTCGTTAATAAAAATACAAAAATTAGCTGGGCGTGGTGGCACATGCCTGTAGTCCCAGCCACTCGGGAGGCTGAGGCAGGAGAATTGCTTGAACCCGGACGGCGGAGGTTGCAGTGAGCCGAGACCACACCACTGCACTCCGGCCTAGGGGACAGAGTGAGACTCGGTCTCAAAAAACAAACAAAAAAAGACTTCTGAGTCTCTGGTCTGAGCAACTGGAAAAATAGAGTTGCCAGAAGAGAGATGGGGCAGTTTACGGGTTCACAGGAAGATTATGAGCTCATTTTGGATAGAGGCATTCAAATGCAGCTGTCAGGTAGGCAGTTTTTTAAGAGCAACCTAAACTGGAGATACAAATTTGGGTCATCAGCTTACAAACAGCATTTAATGCCATGAGACTAAAAAATGATGATGGATAAAAATGAGACTCAGTCTAAAATCTTCCAATATTTACAGGTGGGGGAGATAAGGAGTAGCCAGGAAAAAGAAAATAGTGATAAAGGAAGAGCCAAAAAGGTAAGAGAAAAAAAACAGGAGAAATACTTTTCTTCAAAGTGTCTCAAGAAATGATTGTGTTAAGTGCTGATGGGTTAAAATCATCAAGTCCTATTGCTTCTAGTTTCAAAAATATATCCTGATGGTTCCCATTTACTCCATCTCTATCATTAAAGTCTCTTCTGTGAACTACTCCCACCCCCTCCCCAGGAAACTATTCTCTATATAGAAAGCAACAACATCTTTTAAAAATATAAATCAGGGCCAGGCATGGTGGCTTATGCCTGTAATCTTAGCACTCTGGGAGGACAAGGCGAACAGATGGCTTGAGCCCAGGAGTTCAAGACCGGCCTGGACAACATAGGGACACCCCTGTATCAGTTTAAAATTTTTTTAAATTACATATCAAAATGAAAAAATATATACAAATCATGTCAATATCCTATTTATCTTTTAACTGTCTTCTACTGCACCTAGAATAAAATCTAAACTCCTTCCTTTGGCCCACAAGTCCTTTATGATGTGGTCCATGCCTACCTTTCTACTTCATTCTTCCCATGTTACTCCTCTCATTCCTTTCTATCTACATTCACTTTGTTCTTATGCAATAACTCTGTTCCTAAAACATATCAGTCTCATTCACTGCCTTGGCAACCCAACTCCTAGACCTACAATACACTCCCTCGGCTCTTCATCTGCCTGGCTTCTCAACATTCAGTCTCACATCTCAAATATCTGCTTAGAGACCCTGCCTGATTATTGTATCAAAACCTAAAATTATCCCGTTTATCTTTTAAATTGTATATTGTCCTTCTCACCCTAAATTATAAATTCCTCAAGGACAGAAAATGTTAAATATATATTACAGCATTTAAAACTTATATACATATAAGACTTCAATGACTATTTCACAAAATACCAGTCCTTTAAAACCAAAGGAATATTACCAGGACATTGGTTTAACCTTTTACCCAAAACAGGCATCATTTCTGTAACATGCCTGCCTGGAGTCATCATTCCAGAACATCTTGAAAATGTCCAGTGATGGCAAACTCAGCACCTCATGAAGCAGCTCATTTCATCTTGGGAAAGCAATATTTGTTTGAAAAGTCTTCTTTATATTGAATCAAACCTCTTTCCATGTAATTTCCACCCACTGCCCTTTGGAGTTATGCCAAGTAAGTCTAATCTCACTTGCATACACAGACCTTTGTTTAGAAGACAGCTGTATACACACCCTACATCTTCTCTTTTACAGGACAAATATTACCATTTATTTCAATGAGTCTCCATTTGGTATGGTTTTCCAATCTCATCCTTTCCATGCTAGTCTGGTAATTCCTAACTTAAGAACTTCCATCTCAAAATATGCTCAGAAGTTTATTGAGTTCCCCTTACCCTTGCAATTTGCTCTGAATAGCATAGAGTTGGCAGAGTTTAGTCTATCCATACATCAGACTATTATTTATAAAAGCATAGTGACTATTCTGATGGTTCTGACAGAAAGCTTAATTAGGCTGGGAGCGGTGGCTCACACCTGTAATCCCAGCACTTTGGGAGGCCAAGGTGGGCGGATCACGAGGTCAGGAGTTTGAGACCAGCCTGGCCAATATGGTGAAACCCTGTCTCTACCAAAAATACAAAAATTAGCCGGGCATGGTGGCAGGCACCTGTAATCCCAGCTACTCAGGAGGCTGAGGCAGGAGAATCACTTAAACCCGGGAGGCAGAAGTTGCAGTGAGCTGAGGTCGCACCACTGCATGCCAGCCGGGGCATCAGAGCAAGACTCCATCTCCAAAAAAAAAAAAAAGAAAGCTTAATTAATTAAAATCTCCAATACTTTCATAGACACTATTGTGAACCCAAGGGTCTTCTACTCTGTAGATACGAAAATATTTTTCTTATAGCTAGATGAAATATTTTAAATCTATTCCTGTTAAATATATTTTTGTTATTTTTAGTATAAAGTTCCACACTATTTTAATATTTGAATCCCTACCCTGTACTTCAACATACTAAAGATTCCTCCAAATTTTACACCATCTACACATTTGTTAAGTATGCCTCCTATGACAACATCCAGATTAATAGAAATATTTCCATAAACATATCAAACACTGAGTCCTACAGCATAACAGCATCACATTCAGAGACCTTTTTTTTCTGGTTGATATTAATATTATATGTGGTCCAATGAGCTATCTGTACTCCCTAACAGCCTCTTCTTATCTTCAAAAATGTCTTGAAAGACATTTCTAAAATCAAGTTGCTCTGTGATAATAGCATTTTACTGCTTTTTATTCCCTTCATTTTATATGTATGTATGTCATTTCATATATATCTATATCATTAAATATAAATTATGTACATCAATTTGATTCTTACAGATAACTACCAACACAGCATGTGATAAGTGTCAATATCATTATTACTCCTAAAATAAGATTGTATATAAATATATTCTCATGTTTATAAAAGTATCACCTAACACAAATTGATATAAATTTTGTTCTAAGACAGTCTGGATATCTTTGCAAAAGAATGCTAAGAATGAGAAATCAGCATAATCAAACCAATGTTTTCACATATATGCAACAGCTAGAAAAAACATTATGCCAAGTAATACGTTAATTCAGAGGCTTCGGAAAATTTAAAATAAATTCAATATTATCCATATAGCTTAACGTTCTCATATAAAATCTGTACTGTCACTACAATGGTTTTAACTGAATGATGCATATTTAGCAAAATGAGTATTTTTTAATATTACATTGGCCAAATTAACCGGAAACAGTATCTTTAGTAACAAGGGCATTTTTGGCATCTGAAGACTAATCCTATAGGTTGAAGGTATAGTCAAAAGCATTCTTTATTACAAAAAAAAACTATCATGTGACAAATATTTTTGACCAACTGTGTCTGCATCACTGCTTTCTCAGCTATTGCACACAACTAAATAGCACTCACATGCAAAGTAACTTACAAATTATTTTATATTTCTTTCCCTATTTAAATGGTTTTTATGAGGAAACTCATTGGTTTTTTCTAACTTTTTAACCTCATTTGAGAAAACTAGGAGAACTTTTGCTGGGATATAGACAGTTATGTGAAGTCAACTGCTACTGGGGAAAAATACCAAATTTCTACTTGTTCAACACAAAAATTTTTGCTTCTTAGGAGGAAAGGGAAGATGAAAGACCGACTTCAAGAACTAAAGCAGAGAACAAAGGAAATTGAACTCTCTAGAGACAGTCATGTATCAACTACAGAAACAGAGGAACAAGGGGTGTTTCTACAGCAAGCTGTTATTTATGAAAGAGAGCCTGTAGCTGAGAGACACCTACATGAAATCCAAAAACTACAGGAAAGTATTAACAATTTGGCAGATAATGTTCAAAAATTTGGGCAGCAACAGAAAAGTCTGGTGGCTTCAATGAGAAGGTTTAGTCTACTTAAGAGAGAGTCTACCATTACAAAGGAGATAAAAATTCAGGCAGAATACATCAACAGAAGTTTGAATGATTTAGTTAAAGAAGTTAAAAAGTCAGAGGTTGAAAATGGTCCATCTTCAGTGGTCACAAGGATACTTAAATCTCAGCATGCTGCAATGTTCCGCCATTTTCAGCAAATCATGTTTATATACAATGACACAATAGCAGCAAAGCAAGAGAAGTGCAAGACATTTATTTTACGTCAGCTTGAAGTTGCTGGAAAAGAGATGTCTGAAGAAGATGTAAATGATATGCTTCATCAAGGAAAATGGGAAGTTTTTAATGAAAGCTTACTTACAGAAATCAATATCACTAAAGCACAACTTTCAGAGATTGAACAGAGACACAAGGAACTTGTTAATTTGGAGAACCAAATAAAGGATTTAAGGGATCTTTTCATTCAGATATCTCTTTTAGTAGAGGAACAAGGAGAGAGCATCAACAATATTGAAATGACAGTGAATAGTACAAAAGAGTATGTTAACAATACTAAAGAGAAATTTGGACTAGCTGTAAAATACAAAAAAAGAAATCCTTGCAGAGTACTGTGTTGTTGGTGCTGTCCATGCTGTAGCTCAAAATAAAGAAGCTATTTTAAAACTTTTTCCAGCTTTACGGTAAAAGATAGCTTATATTTCAGTGTCTTGTATTGTTTTTCTCCATCTCATGGATCCACTCACATACCTTTCATCACTGTTAAGTTGTAATTTTCCCCTTTAACCCTAACCCACTAAAATTTCAGAAACTTCTGTAGCCAGTTACATAAAACACACTTTTATTTAATTAAAGTACAAAAAAATACAGTTACCATCAACTCACAAATTAACTATTGAAAATGAGATGCATAATCTTAGTCTTCTGGTCAGGTATCAAGCTCTATATTATACATTTCTCTCATGTGTTAAGTAGTAATGACTACCTAGGCAATCCATTTGGCTGACTGGAGAATATTTTAATAGTTAAGAATCATGCTACAATAAAGCTAAACCAAACTAGAACCTTTATCAAATCTTTTCTCTTTTGAGACAGAGTTTCACTCTGTCACCCAGGCTGGAGTGCAGTGGCATGATCCTGGCTCACTGCAATCTCCACCTCCCAGTTTCAAGCGATTCTTGTGCCTTAGCCTCCTGAGTAGCTGGGATTACAGGTGTGCACCACCACACTCGGTTAATTTTTGTATTTTTAGTAGAGGGGGTGGTTTTGCTATGTTGGCGAGGCTGGTCTCAAATTCCTGACCTCCAGTGATCCGCCCCCCTGGGCCTCCCAAAGTGTTGGAATTACAGGTGTGAGCCACCATGCCCAGCCCTTTATCAAATCTTTTATCCTCAGAAGGTAACTTAACTCAATGTCAACAGATCAGGGAAAACTCAACTATGTACTTGAAGAATCTAATTTGTAACTGGGAGCTGAATCTAGCTTAAGGAATAAGAAGATGAGTTAAGGTATTGCTTTCTTGAACTTGGGTCCATACAGGGCAATGTATTACAGACTGGCAGATAAAGTCAAATTAAAGGCAACTGTATTCTTGAATATTTTGCCATGACTTTAAGATAATGCTATACTATACTATAAGCTAGAGATACAGTCTAAATTCACACAACACGGGAATAGAGTTTTGCAACTCACATTCTAATGGAGAAAGCAGATAAATACAAATATTAGATAATGTTAAGTTCTGGGCAGAGACTTAAAAGGGCAATGAAATGAGACAGAGACTGTCAAGGGGTGCTTCTTTAGATTGGGTAGTCAGCGAAGACCTTTCTGAAAGGTGAAATTTACTTGAAGATCTGAATGAGTACAAGGGAGGGTATAATTCCAGGCATAGGAAACAAATAGTACAAAGACCCTGAGGAGGGTCTGACTAACTCTGTGCAAAGAAAAATAACAATCCAGCTGGGGCATAGTCAGAAAAGAGCAGTGAGATATGAGATGAGGTTAAGAAAGGTCAGCAAGGGCTAGATGTAAGGTTTTGTAAGCCATGGAAAGAAGTCTGAAGTTCACACAAGTGTAATCAACACAAGGATCTCAGATTTTTCTAGACCTAATAGTAATATTATATAATTTACACTTGAAAAAGATCATTCTATCTACCATATGAAGAATGGGTTAGAATGGATTTGGGAGAGGTGAGTAGAAGACAAGCACATAGGTATAGAAAACAATTAGAAAGTTAATGCAGTAGGAAGAAATGATGGTGGCTTGGACTAGGATGGAAGAGGAGGTGGTGATGGTGGCAGCAACAACAGTAATATCAAAGAGGAATAAAGTATTCGCAATGTCCTACTCATTGTTCCAATTATTTCAGAGTAGATAAAGTATGAAGTAGACACTATTTTTACAATTTTACCAATATGAACACTGAGGTGCAACAAAATTAACTAACCTGTTCCAGGTCACAGAAACTGCACATAGTGAATTGGGATATGAACCCAGGCAGTCTGACTCCAGAAACAGCTCTTAACCATTCTCTTACTACATACTATATAGTGGTGGTGGAAAAAGTTAGATTAACTTCTGATAGATTTAAAAGGTAGAATTACAGGATACAGATTAGATGATGATGCCATTTCCTGACATGGGAAAAGTCAGAGACGAAGGTTTCAGAATTGGCCATGAGAAGGAAATCAAAGATGCTATCTTGGTCCAGAGAATCTGAAATGACTATTAAAAGGTCCAAGTGGAGGTTTTAGGATATTAGCTATATCAGTAGGAGTGCTTGAGATATGTCAGGACCAGAAGTACAGATTTGGGTCATTTTAGTAAATAAATGCTATGTAAGGTGGTATGAAAAGTATGTGGATGTAAAAAACTGGAAGTGCAGATAAGGGCCTGGAGTATTTCAAAATTTAGACTCAAAGAAGAAGAGGAGTTAATAAAAGAAACTAACTGAAACTGTCAATGAGGTACAAGGAAAGCCAATGCAAAAGGAGAGTTTAAAGAAAGAAAAATGTGAAGAAACAGTCAACTTTAGGTAAAATAAGAGCAGTAAAATAACAATAGATTTGGCAGCACAAAGACAATTATTGACTTCAAGAAGAGCAGTTTCAAGGAATTATAGAAACAGAAGCACAAATGGAGTCTGCAGAGGAAAGAATGTGACATGAAGAAATACAGCAGCCACTACAGGCAATTCTTTCCAGAAGTTTGAATAAGGTACTATAAAAAGTAATCAATAGCTAGAGAGATATGTAGAGTGAAAGGATTCCACTATACTTCCAGGCAAGAAACATGAAAGCACATTCTGCTGACAGGAAAGATCCAGAGAGAGAAACTCCTCACATAAGAAAGGGAAGGGATACTATTATGTAAGAGCAGAAAGAAGTGGAGTATGAAGCACAAATGCAGAAGCTGGACTTGGGTAGAAAGAGAAACCCTTCTTCCATACTATAGAAGAAAAGGCAGGGTTTAGGAATAAAAGCAGACAGTTGAGTAAATGTGGTAGTGGAAAAAATGAGAATACTCTTGTGCGATGGTTTCTATTTCCTTAAAGAACTCAGGCAAAAACTGAAAGCACAGTGGGTTTAAGGGAGAACAGAATGAGAGGACAAGGAGGGAAACTGTCATTTTGAGAGAACAACAAACATTCTAAGAAAGATAAGAAGATAACCAGGCAGTTATGATAACTTTAATGTAAGATCAGCCATCACAGTCACGTATTACTAATCTATCGATGTTTAGCATTTGTGTGCTAGCACAGAATGTGTAGATGACTGGGTCTAAGCAAGACAGTGGCTTTTCCAGGTACGTATGATGAAGGAAAATATGTCAAGAGAGGTTGAGGTATTTGAAATGACTGAATTTGTATATGTAAAATATGTATTTCATAAACAATACAAAATAATTTTTAATTTATAAAATATCACAAAATTGAAGAGCTTTCTATGGTGTCAATTATCAAGCATCGCTAGAGAAAAAGATGTTTCACGTATCTCCGCTTCAAATATTTAAGAAACATTATTAAAAAAAGATAAACTTAAAAGATGATAAACTCCACAGCTGACTAGTGATAGACGTCTCTCTGTTGTTCCTTCTAAAATTTTTTCTACAGCCTTAGTGATACCTGTTTGTAATTGTTACTAAATTGTTTATCATGAAAACTGATAATATTAAGTACTATTTAATATTCATTAGTACAATTATATCCAGATGAATTTGTAAAATAGTTATTTTCTTTCAGCATTTTATATTAGAACATACTGCTTTTAAAGCAAGACTTAAGCACAAAAAAAATCATCACAAAGCAATGTATCAGAAACCGTTTTCATTGTTCTCTTTTCAAACCAATTAGTATCACCTTAATCTAAACAAAACAGATAACATGATAACTTAATTAGTTGTAGCATTTTGTGTATTTTATATACACACTTAATAGGCACTAAAAGTCATTATTTTTTCTTAAGATAATAACCTTAAAGGGAAAAAATTATTAAAAGAGGCGAAGGCAAAATATTGCAATACTGAAAGTATGCAATAATAAAAATAAAAATTACTATGAGCACTAAAGCTCATATTCATAACTACTAAACTGTGCCATTTTCTGTAATTACAAGCTTCATAGAGCTTGAATTCGTAAGATGAAATACTTTGAAACATTAGGTTCTCCTAATTCTTCTACACTTGGACACAGTATATTATCAATAATAATGATATTCACATCCACCATTGCATTTACAGAACACTAGTGAAACACTGTACTACAGGCTTGAGAGGCTTTAAATGCATTATTTGGAATTCACATAACATGACATATTATAATCCCTATTTACAAGTGCAGACATAAAAGCTTAGAAAGATTAAATAACCTACTTAGGGCCTTTCTGACTTAACACTTTCTCCTACACCAGTAGTTCTCAATTTTTGCTATAAATCAGAATGATCTGGAGAGCACGTATGGAAAAAAAGCCCAAAGTATATCTGGTCTCACCCTCAAAAATTTTGAAGGTCTAGGCTGATGCTGATGCAGGTGGTCCATGGACAATATCTTGCTACGTAGTAACACTGCCAAAGAGTTTTTTTCTGTTATTTTGTTTTTAACTAGATTGAAGTGATAGGGAAGGCAGGGATGGGGACCTCTGCAGGCTCCCAGTACTTAAATTACCTACAAAATCAATTGGCTGAGAATCTTTACTGTAAATTACAGCTGCTATGAAGCTGAATGTCATTAAGAGACAAAAGGAAACATTCAGTAAGGACATCTGGAGATGAGTCAACAGTATAAGTAAATGACATTAATGAAGATGACAGTGTGGTAACGCTCCACTGAAAGGAGAGAAATCTTAAGCCAATAGACCTTATAAATTCAATAAGTAGGGGTTTCAGAGGAAATTAGGGGACTCACCACTCTATCTAAGGATCAACTGATTATGTGACATAGGCAGACCGTAATTCCATATCTATAGGTCTCCAGCATTCTAAAACAGGACTCAGATTCTTCTATTATTTAAATGTTTAACATACTAAAAGTATGTTTGATTCAATTTCTGATAACTGTATTAGGATAACCATAACCTATTTAACTTCTCCTGGGCACTTACAATACGGAATATGACTAAAAGAAACTTGCAAACTAACATTTTGCTGTAATACTGCCTAGAAGGAAGGTGAGTCAAATAAGCATATAAAGGTTGGAAACAAACAAAAAAAATCTCATGTTGAAAAAGTAATAATTAATGTCTGGCTATTGTTTCTCCTAATATGGAAAATCACTGACAGGGTTTTTAATCTTTTTAGTCATAAACTTCTTTAGGATCTGCTCACAAGAAAAATGTACATACACTTGGGATTCTGTGTATGATTTCAGAAGGTCTTGGGAGACCACTCATGGTGCAAAGACCAGGGTCAAGAATATCTATCTATCTATCTATCTATCTATCTATCTATCTATCTATCTATCTTTACTGCTCCTTGAGGAGCAGGGCTACCCCATACGCAGTGTGCCCAGAGTAGCCAAGAAACTTTTTAATTGGAATGCTCATAACATCCAGTAAGATCAAATCAGAGATATCATGTTGTCTTCCCCAAGTGAAACTATACATATATCACTTTTGCTGTAATCATTCAATTTGTGAAGACTGGCCAAAAGTTAAGGTAGTTCATGTAACTCCACAGAAAAGCAGGCAGTGTGTAATGAGAAAAGTGGCACCTTCCAGTAGTTTGAGAATGCTAATACAAATAGAATTGTTACCCTAAAAGAAAATTTTAGCCTGTGCCTCTCCAGGATAACTTTGGTTAAAAGCATTAGGAGATTCAACTATAAAAAGAAGGGGTAATTTATTATCTCTCTGAGGCCAACTTTTAAGACTCCACGGGTACTAGCGAGAGGGGGTGTAGAAAGAGCATATGCTTTCTTATGACATCAGTGTAACCCTGGACTGCTGAAAATTTCAACAGATTAAGCTGTTTAAAATACCTCGCAGCTCAGTTTATTCCTCAGGTAATCAACAAATCATGCCTTGTACTATTAATGGAAAATGTCTATACTGGATGTTGAGCTTAAAATTTGGTATTACTGCTGGCACTATTTATAAAGTTGCAAAACCTGTTTACTTTTTCTCTTGGAAAGGCCTTCTTTGTCAAGACTACCTAGTTTGAAGGTTTTTTGTTTGTATTTTTAAAAAAATTTCTGAAGGGCCAGCTAGATTAATTAAGCTCTAAATAGTTAAGGGGGGTGGGGAGCAGGCAAGAGTAGATAACGTAATTCATACCTTACAGTACAGGCTAAAGTTAATTTCTAAATAGTTGATGTGAGAGAAAAAGGACTTTGTAGATTAACATGATTGCAAAGCATAATGTTTGCATGGCATTTATTTTTACTCTCTTTAAAAGGAATGCAAATCATTTTTAATTTTCTATTGAAATTGGTTCTGGTTCATGCCACTCTACATAGCTGAATACACAGAATTAGAATATTTTACAGTTACTTTTATTATAGAAGAGGCATTTAACTAAGCCCAAAGAAGTAAAGTGACTTATCAGGGTTATCAACAAATTCACAGTAGCTCTTAGAATCCAGGTTCCAGACTCTGTCTTCTCCCTAAACTTTTCACCACTTATTTCAGAAGAATTAAAATATTATGCTGATTAATAAATGCTATACAACTGCCAAAAAGAACTTCTGAGCTAATAAAACAAAGAAGCCTAGTGATATTCTGATTCTGACTTTTCAAGAAAAACCTCCAGTCTGTGACATCAAGTAAAATCTGGCTGATATGGTTTACCTCTGTGTCACCACCCAAATCTCATCTTGAATTGTACTCTCATAATTCTGTGTTGTGGGAGGGACCTGGTGGGAGATGATTTCAATCATGGGGGCAGTTTCCCCCATATTGTTGTCATGGTAGTGAATAAGTCACACGAGATCTGATGGTTTTATCAGGGGTTTCTGCTTCTGCATCTTCCTCATTTTCTCTTGCCACCACCATGTAAGAAGTGCCTTTTGCCTCCCACCATGATTCTGAGGCCTTCTCAGCCATGTGGAACTGTAAGTCCAATTAAACCTCTTTTTCTTCCCAGTCTTAGGTATGCCTTTATCAGCACCATGAAAACAGAATGAGACACTGGCCAAGGCCTTATTTGCCATCACAACATGCTGTCAGGCTTGTGTGTAGGAGCAAGTAGAGAAGAACTAAAGATTGTCACAACCTGCTACTGTGGTCATCCACTCTACTTCCCACAAATAACAATGAATTCAGGCTCTGTCAATTTGTAATTTTGTGATTATAGAAAAGTTTCTTAATCTTTAGGTTTATTTCCTTCTATTAAATGAAGCTTTTCAGAGGTCTTGTTTTCTGCTTGCTTGTTATTGGGGGTAGGAGGAGAAAGTTATCCAAGCATTAAAATGACTTCTAAGGCACTGTGCGTTACCTCAACTAGTTTAGGCTCAGATAAGGCGCGGGCAGAAGAAATTAGATGCTGTAAATATTTGGCATATGAGTGGTCCAGATGTCTGTGGGCACTAAGGAGGAAGCTGTGTGCAACAAAGAGAACTGCCACCTGACTCTAATACAGGTATCCCCTCCTGCTACCCTTCTACAGCCCCCATCCCCTAGCACTGAGCTTAGCACAGTTCTGCTGAACATCTTTTCTACTTATTATACAGCAGATCTGTCAGTGCCAGACCTATTATATGCCAGGCATTATTTCTAGTTGCAGAGGTTATGTTAGTTTAAAGAAAGAATTTCTTATCTGCATGGAACTATGAAAGGAACTTGAAGGACTTTAAGCTAAGAAGCAGTAAAATTATCAAAATTGTATTTTTAAAAGTCTCATATTCTTTACATATTCTTGTATTGTTTCACTGGTCATAACAAGCATGTACCAGTTTTGTAATCTGAAAAATATCAAATAAAGAAAAGAACTGCTGGCAGTGTAGAGGAGAGCTTGGGGGGCAGGCAAGACTGGCAGTTAGAGACTGGTTAAGGGACTGTTCCTATCAGCAACACAGGTGATTAGAGAAGAGGAATTGAAGGGAGGTAACACTAAAGGGAAATGGAGTAGTGAAGAGATTCAAACGATAGTAAGACAGTAACATCAATAAGAGAAATTAATTGCAAGTCAGAGAGAAAAAGGTAAACAGGAGAACTTTCAAATATGGGGCTTGGTCAGACATTCAAGAGGTGTTTATAAACATATCAAAAAAAAGAGTAGGATACAAAATTTTATTTATTTATTTTTGAAACAGAGTCTTGCTCTGTCGCCCAGGCTGGAGTGCAGTGGCGTGATCTTGGCTCACTGCAACCTCCACCTCCCAGGTTTCAAGCAATTCTCCTGCCTCAGCCTCCCGAGTAGCTGGGACTACAGGCGCGCATGCCCGGCTAATTTTTTATATTTTTAGTAGAGACAGAGTTTCACCATGTTAGCCAGGATGGTCTCGATCCTCCTGACCTCGTGATCTGCCCTCCTCGGCCTCCCAAAGTGCTGGGATTACAGGCGTGAGCCACCGTGCCCGGCTCAAAATTGTATTTATTATATGAATACTGTATACATTACTTGTCTCATAAATATACATGCATAGGAAATTCATCAAAATGCTAACGGTGGCTGGCCCTGGATGGTAAGTCAATCATGTTTTTAAACATTCTTTTCCACATATGCACAACTATTAAATATCAAAAAAAATATACAAAAAACCTTTCCCTCTATCTTTGAAATTTACTAAGAATGTGTACTTTTGTGTACATTTTGTATATTTTTGAATCACATTCCTTCCAAAAAGCAGTTTACCTTTAATAATAAAATTCTGATTGTAAAAATCCCATGAGAAAATCTGGTCAAATGGCAAACGATTCTATATTTCATAAACATATTACACTGTCCATAATTAATTCTTATATCTTTGTGAATTCTCACTAACTATGAGTTTATAATGGTGAAGCAATCACAGTAGTTCTGTATTTTCTTTTCTATTCAGGAAATTCACTAGCTGAGAGAGGTGACAGAATTGAAAGCAAATATTTTGCTGTTATTTGATTACTCAGTAATCACTGTAGTCACTTAACAACTGTATACCCCGACTTTGAGCCGTTTCCACAGATATCTGCATGACTGACTCCCTCATTTCAAATGTCAGTTTCTCAATAAGGCCTATTAGGATCATTCTAATTATAAGAGCAACAGACCCTTGTCATCACTACCACCATAGGCTTTCTGATATTCTTTTACTTGTTTGTTTTCAATACACTGATGATCTAATATATAATGTAACTTATTAATTATATTTAGTCTGTTATCTCACCCCCTAGAATGTAAGCTCCTGAGGTCTAACTTGGATTTTTGTTATTTTTATTCCCAAACACTTTCCCAACCCTTGGCAATGTTGTGATTATAGAAAAGATTCTATGCTTGGCAACAGTAGATGCTCACGTAAATATTTGTTGAATTAATGCATGTATTAATGAATAAATCCAGAAAAGAGTAAATGAAAAAAATTAAATGACTAGTTTTAAAAAAGCACATAATATTGTTTTACAAATAACCATCATTAATATTTTTTACTTTAGTCTAGAAATCACTGATTCCCTGCTTAAACATCTGTAAACACCAATTTAGCCTATGGGGTTCTGCAAAGTTCTCTCTTCATACATATCCCTGTTAAAAGTTCTCCTTTAGATTCAATAAAACATGAGAATTGCTTATACAAATCAAATAACTTCTCTAATTAAATATATAAAAATTTAAAAGTATCAACTTTAGCAATAAATTATATAATACAGTTTTAACTTTTGCAATCAGAGCTTCCAAACCACCTCATTTAAAAATGTTCATTTACTACTGAAGACCACTGAGAAACTCTACAATTTTTCATCTAACCACATGACAGGTTGATTTTTTTTTTTTTTAATCCTTAATAATGAACCACAAGAACAAGGGAAAAGGGACAAGACGGCAAGGGCAAATATTTAGTTTACTACAAGTTAAAGAGCAATTTAAACTACTTTCAGTTTGCTATGCCTCACGGTTATAGCACCATCTACTGTTTACCATGCATAAATGCTATGAGGGCTGGTAGTGCAAAAGTCCTTTGTCACTTCGTTTTTAAAAAATGTTCACCCACATGGACGAAATCATATAAGTGTATGCCTAATTTGATAACAATCACATGTCCAATATGGAAATGTAGATGTGAAAACTGAGAAATCAATGTGGTATTAGAAAAATAAACTGTTTACATAACTCTGAAATAATAACTCTTTAAGGAAAAAAGGACAAAAGCAAAATACAAGTTACTAAAAGAGAAAAAATTAAAAGATATTTTAGAACCTTGTTAATGGAGTATTTCAAAATGCAAAATTCTATAAAAAGTAAACTATCACATAAAACAATGAGTTTATATTTGAATATCGAAGAGATCCACTTTTAAGAATTCTATAGCCTTAGCCCTTTTCCCCTATAGACAGCACTATAACAAGGCCTCAGTAAATTAACAACTCCCAGTTAATTACATACATTTTAGTATACTAAAGCGTGACTATTTTAGCTTATTCACTAGTCTGTAACAGGTAAATTTCTTTAGTGGCCAATGCCATCGTCCCTACATTTACAATGATGCTAACATTACTTACACCAATATAGGCTTTCCCGATATCCTAGGATGTCTTAGCATTTCTGACATAGCCTCTTTTGTCTCTTCCATTCTCTCTTCATCACTGGAATCCACAACAAATATTACCCCATAGGATTCAGCATAGTAATTCTTCCAGATTCCCCGAATTCTTATTCCACCTCCCAAGTCAAAGATGGTGACTTCAAACTTTCCTTGTCTAAGGTTAATTTTTGAAAATCCAACAGTAGGAGCTACATCTTCAGGGTATTCTGTTACAAATGATACACAAAAAAAGAAAATCTTTAGACTTTAATTGACAACGTTAATTTTTCAACTAAAATTTTAGCACCCAAGTGAAATATTTAGCATTCACTGACACAATAAACATTATTTTGAAGCATACTGGTTTGGGGACAGGCCAGAATATCAAACTAGAAATTTTACTCCATGCAGATAGGAATCTTTCTTTCCCCTGATATAACACCCACACCTAGTATATAATAGGTACTTAGTAAGTATCTGTTGAATTAATAAATGAATAAACTCTTGCCTTTAAGGCTATTTACTGTCCAAGTTACAAACAATAAAAATGTCAACCTTTCAATACCATAGCCATCCCCAGGGACTATTAAAACATCTGTGGAGTTATAAAGAAAACCATGAACACTTAGAGAATAGAAGAGTTTAGAAGAATCAAAGAATGAGAGAAGCTATAAAGAATAAGGCCACTCTTTTTTAATTAGCTGAATTAAAGTTATATTTACAATAAAGAGACGTTTAAGGGCAGCTTGCAACAAAAAGTAGATTTCATTCTTTCTATAGGAACATATTTTGGATGTTCCAATAAATACATAATTGAATTTTTTTGGATTTCTATATACGAAAACATAAAGAAGATACAGGAGGTATATGAACTGCCAAGGAGTGATAATGACAATAAGAGCTTTAAAAGATACCTGAGGATCTTAAAAGACCTCATTGGAGAGATAGAATTTAGGCCTTAAAGCTGTATAGGATTTAAACAGGCAGAAGAGGAAGGGAAATGGCAAAGTAAAGGAATATGAACAAATTGAACATTGTGCCTACAGCAAATCCTTAAGATTAGGAATGCAAATAGAAGAGGGTTCTGAAGATAGAGAACAAGGAATTATTGAAAATATCTGGCAGACCAATGATATAATTAAGGTGACTGAAATAGTGCTTTATTAAAATTAATCTTGCAAAAGTCTCTAGACTGACTGGAAGTGACAGTAATAGCCTCTTTTCAGAGAGGCATGAAAATAAAGGAATAGAAAAGAGAACTCATGAAAGATTAATGGCATACTGACTCATGGCTACAGAGAAAAGTTCAAACTTTATATTTTTCTGTTCTATTTTTTCTTCATCACTGGAATCCACTATAAATATTATCCCACAGAAAACATTGTTCAGAGCTGCATGGTCAAAACAAAAGCCACAAGCCACACGAGGCTTTTTAAATTTAAATAAACTAAAATAAAATTTAAAATTCAGTTCTCAGTTGCATCAGTTACATTTCAAGTGTTCAAAAGCCATATGTGGTGGCTGGGTACAGTGGCTCAGGCCTGAAATCTCAGCACTTTGGTAGGCTGAGGCGGAAGGATCACCTGAGGCCAGGAATTTGAGACTAGTCTGGGTAACATCTAGAGTTTAAAAAAAAAAGTCACATGTGGCTAGTGGTCCACCCTACTGGACAGAGCCAATATAGAACATTTCCATCATTGCAGAAAGTTCTACTGAACAACACCGGTGTTTAGAGGGTCTTATTTCCACATTTAGCAAAACATTTGCTATTACAAAGATTAATTTGAAAGGCATTCACTAAACTTAGGTGTGACTGAGAAACAGACTTGCAACACACCAATCTCTTGGTAAGCACCTTAGTGAAGTTTACACAGCACCTGAGAAAGTTAAGAGCCACTACAAGTCATACTTTTGCTAATACTTTCATTACCTAGAAAAAGAAAAAGGTAAAGTTAGACATATAAGCAGAATGATTTTCCAGAAATAGGATTATACTAGGCATTTAAAAATGTGATCTAAGCTTAACCAGAAGTAGTTTGTGTGGATAAAATAGGCAGCTGTCTTTCAGTATGAATAGAGAGGAACCCCAGGCAATCATCAGTGAAAACAAATCAACTATGCTGAAGTAGGAATAAGGGAACTAACATGTATCAAACACCTCCTTGGTACCAGGACTTTGTTAGGCATCAAGGGTGCAAAGATGAGTAAGATATGATTGCTGTCCTCAAAGTACAATGTAATATAGAGAAGTGGAATATTAATAGGAATAACACAGAATTTGTATGTTCTTTAAAAAAAATAAGCTAGAGACGATAGTGTGTAGGAATTCAAGGGAAGGAAGGTGAAAAAGGGAGGGGCAAGTTATGGTCTAGAAAGGCTTTCAGAGAAGAAATAAAATCTTGAAATGAAGACTTCATTGTGAGTGAACACATAAAAGCTACATAATTGTAACAGAGAAGGGAGAACTATATTTTAGGCAGAGGGAGCAATTTAAGTACAGATAAAATGATGGCAATATGCCCAGTAAACCAATTCAGATTAAGGATTTTTTTTCAAGGTTATATAGCAGGCAGAGACAGGCCTCAAACAGAGGTCTTCAGGACTTCCAAAGCCTGTTTCTTTTGATATATGGAACACCTTCTATTCTTTCCTCTGGTTCCTATTCAGCATTTGTGTTTCACAACTTAAGACTAAATGTTCAGGTACAACTTTCCCCATAAATCCTTTTTTGATGATTCCTCCTACTTCTACTATCACCTTTACCTCTATCATAATATTCTGTCCTCTACTGATCTTCACAATAGCCTATACCTTCCCAACACATGGGACTATGTCTTTGTATCCTTAGCATTCAGCACAAAGTATATAGGGCTCAATACTACACCACCAAACCACTGAGATAACTGAAGCTCCTGTCCCATACATCCACCCTTTCTTTTTTCCTTTCATGTATTTATCCATCTATCCTCGTACATGTATTTAGGGCCCATTATAGATGATAAATCATACAAGAACCAGGAATACAAAGATACATGGTCTCCAATTGAGAATTTCAGTAGAGTATATGTGGTAAGACATCATCTCTAGAAAGTCCAAGATAAAATGCAAATATACAATCAATAAATTTTTGAGCATTTCTTATAAGCTAAGTACTATGCATGGTTCTAGAAATACAAAGATTAATAAAATCCATCTTCTGATCCCATAGAGCTCTTAGTCTATTGGGGAAATATATATATATACATATACACACACACACACACACATACACAAATAACTACATATGAAACATAAATATATATATGAGTAACTATAATTTTTTTGTTTTTTTTTTCCTCTTCACAAATCACAAATAACTACAATATAATGAAGACATGTTAATACCCAACAATGCTAGGGACCAGTCCACGCAAAGAATTTTCGCACCAAAAATAACAATAGTTCCCTATTAGGAAACACTATCTGATAGTCAAGAGAATCCTAGATTTTTTTTTACCTAGGCTCATGACTGCTTACAACAGACCATAATCCCCAACTACTACGGCAGCAAGGGGTGGCCATGAGGGGAGGCTAGCCAGTGATGTGTTGTTAAATATTTGGAGGAGAAGAACCCTGATACATGTATGGTATCTGCCAATTTCCACAGTATAAATACTTTGACCATGGCCAATTTCAAACTAACAATGTGAGGTACCTAAACATAGAGTTGGGAAGAGATATGCATAATCGGCTCTCACTAGTTGATATGAGCCAATATGAAAAGCAGGTCCAGAACACCACTGCTTCTAGTCATGATGTGAACTAAAATGATGCAGCAGCTTTTGGTTCAGCTCCTAAAGAAAAGGAGGATGGCCTCCCCTTACCCTTTACCTCTTCCTTCTAGCTGAAATGCACATTTTGTAGTGAACTACCTTCAACCATGTAGGTGAGGGAGAACACTGGGGATGGCAAAGCAAATAGAACAAAGAATTGAGGACTAACACGATGGAGCTGACAAACCAGTCCTAGACTACTTTTGCTTAGGCTGTTATGAGAAAGAAAGAAACATCTATCTTGTTGAACCACTGTTATCTTAGGTCTCTGTGAGAACAATTGAACCTGTGTCCAACTAATGCAATTACTGACAACCATGAAGAAGAGAAGTTTGATTTAAAGAAGTAAAGTTCCAGGAAGGGGTGTTACTTTTATATTAAGAAGCTATTGTGAAAAAAATTTAGAAAGAATGAATAAAACCTAGTATTTGAAAGCACAACAGGCAGACTATAGTCAATAATAATTTAATCGAACATTTAAAAACAACTGAAAGAGTAACGCAAAGAATAGATGTTCAGGGAATAGATACCCAATTTTTCATGACGAAATTATTATGCCTTGCATGCCTATACAAAAATCTCATGTACCTCGTAATATATACACCTACTATGTACTCACAAAATTAAAAATAAAAAAGGGAAAAAAAGCTATTGTGAATAAAAAAATTAGCTAGGCATTGTGGAGCACACCTCTAGTCTAGCTACTCTCGAGGCTGAGGCAGGAGGATAGCTTGAGCCCAGGAGTTTGAGATTACAGTGAGCTATGATCACGCCACCGAACTCCAGCCTAGATGACAAAGTGATACCCTGTCTCTAAAAAACCAAAAAAATATGACCAGGCTCAGTGGCTCATGCCTACTATCCCAACACTTCGGGAGGCCAAGGCAGGAGGATCACTTGAGGCCAGGAGTTCAAGACCATCCTGGGCAACATAGTGAGACTCACCTCTATAAAAAATTATAAATAAATAAATAAATAAATAAATAGAATATGAATTAGAAAAAAGCTACTGTGACATCATAGATAAAAGAAACTGAGGGTTTGGATTTAGCCAATGGCAACACAGTCAGAGGAGAGGTAGACACATCTGAAAAGAAACTAGCAGATAACTTTTTCTCAATTTCACACGGAAATAAAAAAAAAAAAAAGAAGGCTGAGAAGTCAGAAAAGAATCAGAAATAAGTAGAAAAGTAGGAGCCATGAGAGAGGTGTTTTAAGAAGACCTAGGCGCATGGCCTAAACAATTGTGACACCAAAATAAGCAAAATGCCTTTAGAGAATTTACAGCCTGAAGAAAAAAGATACACAAACAAAATGTAATTAAGTAGTGACCAAGTAGGTATCAGGAAGAGCAGGCCAAAAAAGTGGACATGATCAATTCTACTAAGTAAGGTAGTAATTGGGGCAGCTGGGAATTAAAAAGGACTTTATAAAAGAGGAGACTATACGACAAAAATACATCTTTAAACATCAGTAGATATTCTCTCTAGTTAGGTAAGTGAGAACAACACAAAAATATAAAGGAAAGAGAAGGCTTACATCTGGGAAGTTTCAAGTAGTTCTAAGAAATTATAGTCCTAAAAAAATTTCAAAGTAAGAAACTGAAGAGTAAATATGGGATGAAGGACAAAAAGAGAATGGGGAGTGGGGCTCGAAGTTGAAGGCAGCTTTGACATTAAGCATTTTCTAGACTCAGAAAAAGGAACTTATGAATATATGGAGGTGGAATACATAAGAGAAAGAAAGGAAAGAGGATGTTCTAAGTACACCCAGTATACATAACAAATTAGGTAATCTGATTAGCACATTCTAAGGTGCCTGCTCCCATGAATGTCAGGCTTTAGAGGAATGGATAAAAGAAGGTTAGAAGAAGGTGTCATGGCCTCCAGGTCAAATCTGGTTTGCCACTTGTTTTTGTATGGCCCACAAGCTAAGAATGTGTTTTACATTTTAAATGACTAAAAAAAATTAAAAGAAAAATATTTCCTAACACATGAAAATTATATTAAATTCAAATTTCAGTGCCGGAAATAAATTTTCAGTGGAGCTTGGCCATGCTCATTTGTATACGGATTGTCTTCTTTTTTTTTGAGACGGAGTCTCACTGTTGCCCAGACTGGAGTGCAGTGGCGCAATCCCAGCTCACTCAACCTCCATCTCCGGGGTTCAAGCAATTTTCCTGCCTCAGCCTCCTGAGTAGCTAGGATTACAGGTGTGTGCCACCACACCTAGCTAATTTTGGTATTTTTAGTAGAGATGGGGTTTCGCCATGTTGGCCAGCCTGGTCTCGAACTCCTGTCCTCAGGTGATCTGCCCACCTCGGCCTCCCAAAGTGCTGGGATTATTACAGGTGTGAGCCACCGTGCCCAGCATGTATGCAGATGGTCTATGGCTGCTTTCACACTACAGTATAAAAATTTTGTAGTTCAGAAGGAGACTGGATGACTGCAAGGTCTAAAATATTTACTACTCAGCTCTTTACAGAAAAAGTTTGCTGACCACTAGTTTAAATAATGATAGTGAGTGTCCTGTGAAGATATAACGTAGAAGATAGCATAGACATAGGCTTTAGAAAAAATCATAGACAATAACAGATAATTTACTTAACATTACAGAGTAGCATTTGAGGTGAGAAAATGTTTTTTTCCAACAGTGAGTTTTGCAACCTGTTAATTAATAAATGCCCTTCCACTATTTAGTAAGCATGATATCTTACTGCAATCATCAGTTTCCAGAAACAAATACATGTTATGCATTTCTCCCAATTCTTACCCTTTAGATCAGCAGCACCAGGGACCAGTTTTGCAGAAGACAATTTTTCCATGGACTGGAGGATAGAGGTGGTTTCAGGATGATTCAAGCACATTACATTTATTGTGCACTTTATTTCTATTATTATTACATTGTAATACATAATGAAATAATTATACAACTCACCATAATGTACAATCAGTGGGACCCCAAGCTTGTTTTCCTGCAACTAGATGGTCCCATCTGGGGGGGTGATGGGAGGCAGTGACAGATCATTAGGCATTAGATTCTCATAAGGAGCACATAACCTAGATCTCTTGCATGTGCAGTTCACATAGGGTTCATGGTCCTAAGAATCTAATGCCACCACTGATCTGACAGGGGGCAATGTTCAGGCAGTAATGTGAGTAATGGGGAGAGGATGTAAATACAGATGAAGCTTCGTTCACTGGCCTGCTGCTTACCTCCTGCTTTGTGGGCTGGTTCCTAAGAACCAGCCCACAGACAGATATTGGTCCACGGCCCCGGGGTTGGGGACTCACTTTAGATGCCTGACTGGTGATACATTCTAGGTGCCCAACAAAGTCACTAGCATAGATACTGCTATATTGTAGCACAAAGCATTAAATTAAGATTACCTGGCCGGGCTGGGCGTGGTGGCTCATGCCTGTAATCCCAGCACTCTTGGAGGCCAAGGCAGAAGAATAGCTTGAGGCTAGGCATTCCAGACCAGCTTGGGCAACATAGGGAGACCCCATCTCTACCAAAAAAAGACCTAATAAATTAAAAATTAAAAAAAAAAAAAGAAGACTAGCCAGCATTCAATGAGATACACTCAATGAGATGTAATATGTATGATATATATTCAATATTCAATGAGATGCAGTACGTATGATATAAAGCCGTTTAATGATATAGATTTAATTATAAAAATTACTTATATTGAAAAAAAGCATCAAGAGATTCAAAGAGAACTATGCTGGCTAACTATACCTCTCTTTCATCTAAGCATAGGCATGTGACTAACTTCTGGCCAGGAAAATGTAAGTAGAAGATGGGTATTCTTAAAAGCAGGGGCAGCTCATCTTTTTAAATTTTCCTTCCTATTGTCTAGAATACAGATACTATTCCCTCTTAGCAGATCAAAGGCATCAAGGAGCCTCTGCATCTCTGCATGTATTCAAATCTGAAACATAATAGTCTGGTCCCATTAAGACAGAGCCTATTCGCCACAAGAGTCACAAATATACTAAGAATATAAAGTAATGCAGTGCACAGTATCTGTACCAAATTAATAAGGAATAAAGCAACTTAACAAAATAAATAATTCAGAATAATTTAATAGAGTTCAGAAAGCACATAAATGTTTTCAGCTTACCTCCTTGGATTCCCTTTGCTGTTGCGGTTTTACCAGCATTATCAAGTCCCACCATCAAAAGAGTCACCTTTCTTAAAATAATAGAAATTTAAAAATCACTTTCTTTGTTAATTTAGTATTGAGGAAAAATAAATGCAAATTCATTAATTAAATCAACATTTAAGGAGCACCTATTAAGCACAAGAAAATCTGTTGGATGCTAGGGAGTACAATGATGAATAAAATATAGATTCAAAAGCAAATTCATGAAAAATACCTTTAAAGGATCATCCTTTTGTTCTCTAAGCAAATAAAGTAAAACTCTACAATAGATAATCCAAAGGACAGAGAATAAGGGAAAGAAGGAAGATGGAAAGGGAGGTAGGGAGACAATCTAACTCTGAGTTCTCTATCATGGCTAAAGACTCAATTTTCTAGTTTATTGAAAGCTAACAAATATCACCAATCTGTTTATCTTATGAAAGTACATAACTGTTTTTAAATATGTAGCATCTTACCAAATATAAATTTATATATAATAACATGATTATGAAGTGCTAACATTTTGAGAGAAGGATACTATAATTGTAAAGTTTAAAATATTTCTCATGATACAGCTAAACTCCACAGGGGGAAAAAAAAAACACCTAGTCAACTTAAAAACTGAAGAAACATAAGTCCAGATAAATTAAGTAATCTGGTCAAAGCTCACACAATGAATCAGTTACAGACTCAGAACCAGAACCTAATTCACCTAACTCGTAGGGATTTAAATGTGGGACAGGTATAAAGGAACAAACCTATTATACTGGTCCTAGTCCTGTTAACTTGGTGATTCTGTTTACCACTATATAGTCATTTCTTTTCTAGGTTGAACTCTGCACAATATAACAGGTGAGACAGTCCATTACCACCATGGATTTGGAAATGAAAACTGCCTTGGGAATACATAGAAAAAGAAGGCCACAGCTTAACACAGCTGCCATATTTAGACCATAGGGTATGGCCAATCTCCTATGGAGTATAGTTATTCCTCTTTAGTAATCATCCCATGGAGGGCTGAAAACAGAATTTAAATGGCCGTAAAGGGTGTCCTTTCATTTCTCTAGGCTTTGCTCTCTTGGATTTAGACTTGTAAATCCAAGAGATTTACAAAAAAAAAAAAATCAGGTGTACTTGAAGGGGCCATATAACAAAGACAGAAGACAGAGGTGAGAGTATGAGGCAGTCTAGCTATGGGTCACAAGCTGGGAAAGAACAAACTCAGTCTGGCAAAAGCCAAATTGATAATTTCTTAAATAAATAACCACTGACCATCTTCTATATACCAGACACCAGTGTTCTAGGTATTTGAGACACACTTGTTTATTACAGCAACCACTATCATAATAAAACAAACAAAAACAGATAAAGAAACTCTTCCTTATTAAGCTTACATTTTAGAGACAAAAGACAGACACTAATAATACGATAAATTATTATGTAAATTTTATAGTACATTATAAGGTGATTAGGTACTACGGGGAAAAAAACAGAGTAGAGCAGGGTACAAGGGATCAAGGTTGGGGGTGGGAGGTGGGGGCAGTTTTATATAGGGTGGTCAAGGCAGACCTTATTCAGAAGGTAAAATCTGAGGAAAGACTTGAAGGAGAGAGTGAGTCATGCATATATTCGGGGCAAGAGAGAACAGCTGCTGCAAAGACACTTAGGTACAGAAATGCAGGAAGGTCCAAGAATCAGCAAGGAAGCCACTGTGATGAAACCAAGTGAGAAAGGAGCAGAATAGGAAGACAGGAAGTCAGAGACACATCAGAGACCAGTTCATGTTAGACCATAGGCCATTGTGAGGATTCTGACTTCTACTATGAGTAAAACGAATTCCATGTTAATTTCCTCTGTTATCTAGAAGCCTTTATCTTTTCTAGATGTTTCAACCATCCCATACCTAGCATGGGAAATAAACAGAAGCTGTGTCTATACTTGACTCAGTGCAAGAATAAGGTAAATCACAATAAGCAGCACTCCAGGGCCCCATTCTCAATTGGCTGGTGGCGAAGCCAGTGGGAATGCCACAAAGACCCACAGCAGATTATAGATTTATGGAGAAGAGGTAGTGGGCAAGGTCTAGGAACCTCTATCCATCTGGAAATGTACCTGCTTTATCAACTATGAAAAATATGAATTTACTTCCTAAGGAAGCTGCAAGATACTAAGAATATAATTTTATTATTTTGTTTTAAGAATTCATAATTATGAATTAATTCATAGAACTATCAAATATCAAAGAACAAGATTTAAGTACAAAATAACTTCCAAAACAAAATATAGTAAATGACTATCCAGAGAAGATGGATAACGTAGCATTTAAAATGAGTAGCTTAGCAAAGCACGGAGGCACATCCCTGTAGTCCCAGCCACTCCGGAGGCTGAGACAGGAGGACTGCTTGAGCCTGGCAGGTCAAGGCTGTAGTGAGCCATGATTGTGTCACTGCACTGAAGCCTGGGCAACACAGTAAGACCCTGTCTCAAAAATAAAACAGGCCAAGTGTGGTGGCTCACGCCTGTAATCCCAGCACTTTGGGAGGCTGAGGTGGGCAGATCACTTTGAGCTCAGGAGTTCGAGACCAGCCTGAGAAACATGGCAAAACCCCACCTCTACTAAAAATACAAAAATTAGCTGGGCATGGTGGCACACACCTGTAATCCCAGCTACTCAGGAGGCTGAGGCTGGAGAATCGCTTGAACGCAGGAGGCAGAGGTTGCAATGAGCCGAGATCACGCCCCTGCACCCCAGTCTGGGCAACAGAGCAGGACTGTATCTCAAAAATAAAATAAAATAATAAATAAAATAAAACAAGCCAGGTCAGGCCTGGTGGTTCATTCCTGTAATCTCAGCACTTTGGGAGGCTGAGGAGGGCCGATCACTCGAGCTCAGGCGTTCGAGACTAGCCTGGACGACACGGTGAAATCCCATCACTACAAAAAAAAAAAAAAAAAATACAAAAATTAGCAGGCATGGCAGCGCACGCCTGTAGTCCCAGCTACCTGGGAGGCTGAGCTGCGAGAATCGATTGAACCTGGGAGGTAGAGGTTGTAGTGAGACAAGATCGTACCACTTGTACTCCAGCCTGGGCAACAGAGTGAGATGCTGTCTCAAAAAATAAAATAAAACACAATGATAAAATAAATATTTTAGATAATTCAAGTTACTAGAGATATAATGAATTGGACTAAAGTAATGCTAATATTAAAGCTAACTCAATTGTTCTTTATGTATACAATGCATTTCAAGATCTACAGTGCTTTAAACATTGCCATGAACGAAAGCGATTACTTTTGGGGAATAAATCTCTGTTTTCTACTAGTTTACATCATTTATTCCATAAATATTAAGCACCCATTACATAGTAGCAAACAAATATCCACAATTCTTAGGCCTCATAAACCTTAGAGCCTAGCAAGAAAAAAGGCACTGGAGAGGTAATTACAGTAACATGAGATAACTGTTATAAATTAGGGGAAGCAGTGGGCAGTCATAAGGATAGACAGCAGGCTACAGAGCCCACTCTGGAAGTCAGAGAAGACAATACCACAAATAAACAAACAAGCATCAACTGAGTCGGCAGTTCCTGGAAACATCACGAAAACTTTTCACATCCCTTATGAGTCAAAGTAAAAATTCCCTGATCCACCTTTTCATGAAAAATAACTCCTTGTTCTCTATTATATAGAGCACCTCACGTTTTTCTCCATTCTTGTCAAGATTTCAGTTTTTTAAAAAAACAAACATCTAAATACATATATACTATGCATTTTGAAACACTGTTCCTAAAGCCACCAAGAAAATTAGCTTTTACCTTAAGAGTCTGTCTTTATTTATAGGCTATTAGGCTCAAACAAACAAAAATGTCCTTCAAAGAAGAAAATCACTTTAGAGAATTATAATAGTGTTGAGACTGGCATAAAATAATTCTATTTCTATTTTCACTTTTACTACCTTTGCAACTAGTTAATGTTTAAGACTATGTCCTATTCTTGAAAAAAGGCTTTAATTAAATGTTTTAGGGAATTAAAGCATTACTGAATAAACATAACTAACAAGGAGTACAAATAAAAATCACAGCATGGATTACTGCAAAGCCTGATAACAAAGCATTAAATTTATACTTTCAGGATAGAATGCAATTAAAAGGTTAACATTCACCTAAAACTCAAACTTCTATAAAGAGGTTATAATTTATTTAACCAAGTTTATAATGTACACGTGGCTATAGCTTTTTAAAATATGATAAATTGGACGGACATGGTGGCTCACACCTGTAGTCCCAGCACTCTGCGGGGCTGAAGCAGGAGGATCACTTAAGCCCAAGACCAGCTTGGGCAACATAATGAGACTCTGTCTCCACAACAACTTTTTTAAAAAATTAGCTGGGAATGGTGATGTGTGCCTACAGTCCTGGCTACTCGGAAGGCTGAGGTGGGAGGATCACTTGAGCCCATTGAAGCTGCAGTGAGCCATGACTGCACCACTGCACTGAAGCCTGGGCAACAGAATGAGACCCTGTCATCCATTCATTAATTCATTCGTACATGCATGCACACATACATACAAAAATATGGTAAATTATTATTGGGAACAGTTTGGCTGTGGTGCTGTATGACAACAGAAAGATCAAAGATTGCCAATATCTTTTAGTTTGATGATTATTTGATCAAATACATTAGCCCTTCAAATTGAAAAAATAATATACAGTACTCTTAGGTTTACAGTGTCTATAAAAGTTGACACTAGCAATAAAATCAATCATTTAATCATTTGGTCAGATGGTAATACAATTAAAGTACGTTAAGCATTGTGGACACAAAAATGCCTCAGACATCTTTTCTGTCCTGAAGTGCTCAACCTCTAGTGACAGTGACTAAAACATAAATACAAATACATTCTGACACTATGAAAGTTTAAAATGTTTAGCTATATATGTAAGATGATAATGGGATACCAAACAAGGGGACTTTATCCAGCCCAAAGTTAGGGCAGAAGGTCAGAGAAGCTTCTTAAGGTAATGCCTAACCTAAGTTCTTAAAGTGAGAAGTTAGTCAAGCAAGGGAAAGGTAAAAACAGAAGGAAGATGAAGGGATTCCAGACTGAGAACACTGCACGAGAAAATACCAATCACATTATGAGTTGATAAACAAGGGGTTAAGAGCATATCTCAGCATAGCAGCCTTAAGCAAAAGAAGAACATAGTCACAACTCAATACAACAATGTAGTGAGTCTAAAGGGAACTTGATATACTTCTACTTAAGGAACCAGTAAATGAGCATCCCTAGTCCAAAAATCTGGAATCTGAAATGCTCCAAAATCCTAAACTTTTTAAGCACCAACATGACACCACGGTGGAAAATTCCACACGTGACCTCATGTGACAGGCTGCAATCAAAACTTTGTTATATGCACAAAATTATTTAAAATATTTTATAAAATTACCTTCAGGCTATTGTATATACAACATAAATGAAATTCGTGTTTAGGCTTGGAGGCCATTCCCAAGATACTTCACTATATATATATATGCAAATATTCCAAAATCAAAAAAAAATTAAAAATTTGAGAAATTTTAGGTCCCAAGCATTTCAGCTAAGAGATACTCAAACTGGGCCAGGCACGGTGGCTCATGCCTGTAATCTCAGCACTTTGGGATGCCAACGCAGGTGGATCACTTGAGGTCAGGAATTTGAGACCAGCCTGGCCCACATGGTGAAACTCCATCTCTACTAAAAATACAAAAAAAATTAGCCAGGCTTGGTGGCGCCCACCTGCAATCCCAGCTACTCAGAAGGCTGAGACAGGAGAATCACTTGAACCCAGGAGGTGGAGGTTGCCGTGAGCTGAGATCGTGCCATTGCACTCCAGCCTGGGCGACAGAGGGAGACTTCGTCTCAAACAAAACAAAACAAAACAAAACAAAAAAAAGAGATACTCAAACTGTATTATCAAATAATTAATGATGTAACCTTTCCAGAAGTTGAAAGTGAGCCGCTTACTCCTAATATTATAGTCATCCCTGGGTCTTTGATTACTAGAAAGGCTGAGATACAAAGGACTCTGTAGTATTATAAGATTTACAGTATGTTATACTAGTAATAAGTAACATAAGAGGTATTATGGGTACTCTGAAATGTAGCCACAAATTTGGTGTTAGAGACCTGAGTTCAAGTGCCAGATTTGCCATTTCTAAGCTATATGGCACATTACTTTTCAGAATTTCATGAATGAAATAGGATAATAACAATAGCTACTCTAAAGGGATATAATGAAAATTAAATAAGGTTTCAATGAGCTGGGATCATGCCACTGCAGTCTAGCCTGGGTTGACAGCATGAGGCTGTTTAAAAAAAAAAAAAAAAATTAACCATAGCATTTTTCTGCTTAAAATCCTTATAGAGAATCAAGTCTCAATTTGGCAGCCCCCACTTCTGCCACTCCCAGGAAGCCTGCCATGCCGAGGATTCCTTCCATGCCGAGTACTCCTTCAGCCCTTCACAACCATCCCCGGCTACTTTTTATACAGGCTCCTCTACCAGAACTTCTCTTTATCAGCTCTGTAGTGCCTGTATCAAATGTGTTGGGCACACAGTAGGCTTCTTTACTGAAAGAAACAACAAACATTTTCTGAACCCCATTTGCTGAGTAAATACTAAGTAAAATTAAAATACATAACTTTAGATTGAGAAAGTACTATAATGAAGCTAATTTATATAAATCTTCACATCAAAATAGTTCATATTAAAGAATGTAATTATATCCATATATATCAAATTGGCTGAAGTTTTCTGAAAAAGCTTACATGCTCATGGTTTCAAGGTACTAATTAACAGAAAGACTTTCAAAACTGAAATAGGGGTCTCAGCAGCTCGGGCAGCGGGAGGAGTGCCAGTAGCCAGGCAGCCCAGCTTCGCGAAGGCTCTCAGCTCCGTGGCCCACAGGTGCCCAGCAAGTGCCCCTCCTGCCGCCAAGATGCCCAAGAGGAAGGTCAGTTCAGCCGAAGGGGTGGCGAAGCAAGAGCCCAAGAGGAGATCTGCGCACTTGTCAGCTAAACCTGCTCCTGCAAAAGTGGAAATGAAGCCAAAGAGGCATCAGGAAAGGCTAAATCTTCAGATTAAAAAAAAAAAAAAAATGCAAACAAATGGGAAAAGGGGAGCATAGGGAAAACAGGCCAAAGTGGCTAACCAAGAAACTAAATAAGATTTACCTGCAGAAAACGAAGAAACTAAAACCGAGGAGACTCCAACCTTTGATGAAGCAGGAGAGAAAGAAGCCAAGTCTGATTAATATCATATACCATGTCTTATCAGTAGTCCCTGTCTCCCTTCTTGTACAATCCAGGGTATTTTTATCAACTGCTTTGTAAGTGCAAGTCTTTTAGTAGCTCTAGAAACATTTTAAGTAGCAGGAACTCCCACCTCATTCCATTGTTAAGTTTTTTCTGAGGTGAAATAATTCTCTGGTTGTTTATTTTTTGGTGAAACCAGAGAATAGTATGGGATATTGAATTACAGGAAGTTTTGACTGTCTTGGATGTCAGCTTAACATTCCACAGATGGGGGCTTAGTTTTTATATACTGTAATACAAAATATACTAAATGGCAATACAGAGTCAGAATCCTGCATTTAATGTCTTGAACATTTTAAATTACTTCTATTGCCATGTTTTTTTTTTTTTTTCACAGAATTGTTTCCTAAAGAAAACCACTCCTTGATCATGGCTCTCCCTGTCAGAACTGTGTACACTATAACATCTTTGGTCACAGAAGTCCTGATTTCCTAATAACTGTGTTAATGTGCTGTGAAAGATTGAAAATTTGGGTATATAGTGTACATGCTATTAAACTGTGAATTGGTAGAACGTGTACAGCTTATCAAACACTTGTAGATACTGGCTCTTGATAATCCTCTTAAGAAAAATTTGCCTCCAAATGTTAAGTTGGAATGTCACTATAATAACTATTTAAAAAAGAGGCCGGGTGCAGTGGTTCACACCTATAATCACAGCACTTTGGGTGGCCAAGGTGGGAGAATTACTTGAGCCCAGGAGATTGAGACATGCCTGGTCAACATGGTGAGACCTTGTCTCTACAAATTAAAAAAAAAAATTAGCCAGGCATCGTGGCATGCACCTCCCAGTTACTTGGGAGGCTGAAGTGGGAGGATCGGTTGAGCCCGGGCAGTCAAGGCTGCAGTGAGCCGTGATCACTCCTCTGCACTCCAGCCTAGGCAATAGAGAGAGACCGTTTCAGAAAAAGGAATTACAATAGAGGTTTTCTAGATTTTTGGTATGTATGTTAAGAATTGTGTACAATTTGAAATGTCTGTATACTTATTCTCAACACGACAAATAAAATCTCCATTACAAAAGAAAAAACTGAAATAATTCTTAGTAAAAACAAAAAAAAATCAAAGGTAGAGATTAAGGGATCCAAAGGTCTGTTTTACATCACTTTAGCTATCTGCCGAAACAAGTGAAGACTTCCATACTCCAGAAGCTAATAATTAATATTGTTCAAGTCAACACAATGTATATAATAGATCTCCTAAGTGAGAATATGAGAATATCTTATCTCAGAATTCCTTTTTATATAACGGATATACAAATTAATATATCAGAAATACTGGTCAGGCACAATGGCTTATGCCTGTAATCCCAGTACTTTGGGAGGCCAAGACAGGAGGACTGTTTGAGCCCAGGAGTTTGAGACCAACCTGGGCAATATGGTGAGATCCTGTCTCTATTTAAAAAAAAAAAAAATCAGAAATATAAGCATCATGGCATTAGGGAGGATTGAACTTAGAAAACATTTAAATTCTGAATCTTTCCTGAATGACATTATCACAATCATTTGAACACCTACAAGTCTAAACTTCCTCATCTTTTAACTAAGGAAGACAATACTTTCAATATGATAATTAGATAAAAGCTATTCCTTTTTTTTTAGAGACGGAGTCTCATTCTGTCACCCAGGCTGGAGTGTGCAGTGGCGAGATCTCCACTCACTGCAACCTCTGCCTCCTGGGTGCAAGCAATTCTCCTGCCTCAGCCTCCCAAGTAGCTGGGATTACAGGAGTCTGCCACCATGCCTGGCTAATTTTTTGTATTTTTAGTAGAGACAGGGTTTCACTATGTTGGCCAGGCTCATCTCGAACTCCTGACCTCAACTGATCCATCCACCACGGCCACCCAAAGTGCAGGGATTACAGGTGCGAGCCATCATGCCTGGCCCATAAAAGCTGTTTCTAACTTCAAAAATATTATGCAAGTCAAAGAAAACATTTCGCTAAAAACACTAAAATCAAAGTTTGACACATCGGAACTCTATTATCTACAGTATTTAAAACTACATGAAGCAAATTCTAAATTTTAACATAAACATAAATTCTAAAAGTAACAAATACATATACAAAAAAAGACTTTAGAACAAGGTTTTATGATACATATGTGAGAATTTTAAAAAATCACTATACGACAAATTGATAGAAAGAAAAAAATGTATCGAAAAAACAGTGTGATTTTATTGCAGTACACTATTTTCTGACATTTCAATTCAGATCTAGAACCCCATATTACAGCAAAATCATTATCTAAATTTACTGAGTATGAATAAATAGTGAGAAGGCCAAGCTTGGGTTTATAGCCTGCTTTTAAGCCCTGATCAAGTCAAATTCTTAGTGTCCATTTTTTCATCTCTAAAATATAAGGGGGTAAAATAAGAATGTCTCTAGGTCCTTTTCTATATTAAAATTCTAAAATTCTTACTATGCATAATCAAGAAGAACTAGGGGGATAAAAAGAGATGTAAAATATTCCAGTTCAGCATACAGCACAATAGATAATCCTTGCTAATCTGTACATACAGCTTAATTGGAAAATTAAGAACTCAGCAATTTCTATAAATGGTCTAGATTTACAGTTATATTTATTTAGGCCAAGAATGATGGTATTAGGGAGCTAAGTATTCCCTCAGTGAAAAAGTTCATAGCAAAGAGGACAAAACAGACCACTAGAAACATTGTGTACTGTATCTTATTTTAGACTTGGCCACAGCAAACAATTTACTAATAAATTTGAAGTAAAGCTTTGATAGGTTGTATTTGTGATGCTGAAAAAACACAGATGGACAAGAAATCAGTTCCAATTAAAGGTTAACTCTGTGGAAGAATGGTGGGAGATGAATAGGGGGCAGGAAGTTTCAAGGATTTGTTACCTACTTATTAAAATAAAATTGAAATATGATGACTAAAGATTAATATTTATAAAACCTGGCAGGCATATGGTACTTATTATATCTTTCTTTTTGGTTAAATAACAGTAAAAACATTTTTGTTAGTTATGTATGCATAATATATAAGAAGTTATATAACATGTATATTTTCATATAAACAAAGAATTTTGTTGCCAAAATTTGTATGCAAAATTTGTTGCATGAATTTCTTCAAGACCCAGGTAAAATTACACCCCTTCTAAAATCCTCTTTCCTGATTCTCATTAAAAATCTTAAAAATCATATTTCAACTCTTGCATATTCGATCATTATATTTTACATGCACTATTTCATCACCTAGATGCTATGTTATAAATAACAGGAGCTCAAAATCTGTAGATGAGAATGTGTAAGGGTTAGAATCTGCTATAAGGCCCAGAGATTTACTGAGCATCATAGCTTCACAGACCTTGTGTCCTGTACTCAGGATGAAGGCTGCTCCCTATAAGCTAAATAGATTGCAATAGATTAACAGTTTTTAATGTTAAAAATGAAAATATAAAACTACAAGAAAAAAGTATATGTGAATGTAATCTTGTAATGCTGATGAACTTTCTAAACATTACACTGAAACAGTAATATATTTGAATTTAAAATTTTTATTTAGTCTTATTGATTGATTGATTGATTGATTGATTGAGACAGGGTTTCACTTTGTCACCCAGGCTAGGCTGCAGTGGGGCAACCTGGGCTTACTGCAGCCTCCACCTCTTGGGCTCAAGCGATCCTCCTGCCTCAGCCCCCCAAGTAGCTCGGACTACAGGCACATGCCACTACTTCTGGCTAATTTTTTAAAACATTTTTGTACGGATGGGGTCTCACTATATTGCCCAGGCTGATCTCAAACTCCTAGGCTCAAGCGATCTTCCCAAGTGCTAGGATTACAGGTGTGAGCCACCACACCCAGCCTGAATTCAAACATTTTAAATGTTTATATTTAAAAAGCACAAAAAGTTGAAAATATAACAAATGGAAAGAAAATACTTGCAATATTATACAACTGATCCTTGAACAACACACGTTTGAACTGCACAGTTCTACTTACACACAAATTTGTTTTTAATGAAAGTTACACGTGTGCCTTCCTCTCCTGCCTCCTCTGCCTCCCCAGCCTCCATTTCCACCTCTTCTGCCTCTGAAACCTTCCTGAGACAGTAAGACCAACCCCTCTTCCTCTTTCTCCTCAGCCTACTCAATGGGAAGAAGATGAGGATGGAGACTTTTATGATGATCCACTTCCACTTAATAAATAGTCAATGTATTTTTTTCTTCTTTTTAATTTTTTTTTTTTTAGACAAGAGTCTTGCTCTGTCGCCCAGGCTGGAGTGCAGTGGCATGATCTCAGCTCACTGCAACCTCTGTCTCCCAGGTTCAAGTGATTCTCCTGCCTCAGCCTCCCAAGTAGCTGGTATTGCAGGTGCCCACCACCACACCCAGCTAATTTCTGTATTTTTAGTAGAGACAGGGTTTCGCCATGTTGGCCAGGCTGGTCTTGAACTTTTGACCTCAAGTGATCTGCCCACCTCAGCCTCCCAAAGTGCTGGGACTACAGGCGTGAGCCACCGTGCTCCGCCCCTTATGACTTTCTTAACATTTCCTTTCCTCTAACTTTAAGAATACAATAAATTATACATATAACATAAAAAATATGTGGTAACTGACTATTCATGTTATCAGTAAGGCTTCTAGTCAACAGGAGGCTATTAGTAATTAAGTTTTTTGGAAGTCAAAAGTTATATGTGGATTTCTGTCTGTGCTGGCAAGGCAGGGTTCAGTGCTCCTAAACCCTGCGTTGTTCAAGTGTCAATTGTACTACAGAGAAACAGTAGCTACGACAAACACTTAAAATTTCTTTTTAAAAATTCATTAAGAAAACACACCTGCCCCAATAGAAAAAACACAACAGTAATCAATGGACAACTGCTGAGAGAAACAAAAATGCGCAAGGAAAAAAAGTTAATCTTCCTAGTAATAAAAACAAAACAAAACAAAAAAAACCCCAGAAACTCAAAGCAGAAAGCAGGTTCCCCTATAATGTGAAGGAGATGAAAAACCGATGACTCTTGATTTTCTCAGTGAAAAAGGCACTCCAACGTACTGTTGGTAGGAGTAGAAACTGTGTTTTCTCTTTTTTAATCCTTTCTGAGGAGCAATTTGGTAACATATTTTTAAAAGATAAACTTAGGAACAATAAAATTTCAAGAGTTTATTTCCACATTCATTGATTCATGAATGGAGCCGTACCAAACTGAACCAAAATTCATGAATGGGGCCATACCAAACCCCAAATAAGTGGGGTTCAGTACTCCACTAAGGGGGATGAAGCGTTAAACTTTTATAAGATCTTGACTGCTGACCTAGACTGGTGCCTTAACACTTGATCTCTGACTCCTGCCTTGTCCTTATCACACAAATCTAATCCCTGATTCCAATGTCTGGAATAATATGCTCACTAGGAAAGGATCTAAGTGAGGAGAGGTGAACAAATACAATGGGTACTGGGGTACAGAATGTATTAAACAAATCTGCAAAGTAATCTCAAATATAGTATATTAATAACCATCATCATCTCTTTTACAAATTCACTCCTCACATTTCATCTTCATAAAATATAAACATGAAGAGGAATCTTAATAAGAAATTCTACAGAAAACAAATATATACATAATAATCAAACAGGCAATTTCTGTTGAAAAAATAGAGAACACCATAAAAGCACAAAATTTTGTTTTTAAAATTAGCTTGCTCACCTCTCATTTATTCCAGTAAAATAAATGGAACTACTTGCTAATGTTATTTACTTCAGGATGATTATTACTAAGAAAAATCGAACTACATACAATATTTGGCAAATATTTATTCAGCCACTATTATAAATCAGGCATTGAACAAGGGGACTTAGAAGACAGGGGTAATCCAACTTGTGTTCAAATTCTTTGACAGTTATCCAAATTGAGATGTTTACCTATGTCCTTTATATTAGGCTATGATCCAGAGCAGTAAGATCCAACAGAAATGTTAACATAAGCAACATATACATTGAAATTCTCTAGTAATCTCATTTTTTAAAAAGTAAAAAAAAGTTAATTCTAATATATTATTTAACCTAGCATATGCAAAAGTTATCATTTCAACATGTAATCATACTTTTAAAAGACTGATAAGATGCTGACTTTTTTGCATAATAAATCTTTTTTCAAAGCCCACTATGTATTAAACATACACTTACAGCATCTTAATTCAGACTAGCCACATTTCAAGTGCTCAACAGCCACGTGTAGCTCGTTGTTACCCTACTGGACAGGACAAATCTAGATGGTGCTTATTAAAGAAGAAAATACACTCTGGGTTATGCAGCTAAATTTTAATAATGCTTTATTAAGAAAATTCAATTATCTGTTCTACTTGGAAATCAATACATTCTCCTTTCTCTGAACTCTTCTCTTTAAACAAATCATTCCAGAGAGTATATATACAAAAGCTGCTAAGAAAAGGAAAGACTAAGAATGATGAATTAAATTGAACACTCCTTCTTCGAATTACACGTTTTCACTGTTTCTCGTTAAAAGAACGTAAGTTATATACATGCCTTCACAGAAACCAAATACATTTCTTAAAAGCAGACACGGAGGAAAATGAGGGGTCAACTATTATGAATGACCCTCAAGTCTTAGTAGATACTGTGAAATTAGACCAGAATATAATTAAAGCAAATAAATCAGAATCTATGCACCTAAAACAACTCTTTGACTTTTTTCTTTTTTTTTTTTTTTTTTTTTTTTGAGACAGGGTTGCACTGTGTCACTCAGGGAGTGCAGCGATATCGGCTCACTGCAACCTCCGCCTCCCAGGCTCAAGTGATCCTACTGATTCAGCCTCCGAAGTAGCTTGGACTACAGGCGTGCGTCACCGTGCCCGTTTATTTTATTGTAGAAACGGGGTTTCGCCATATTGACCAGGCTGGTCTCGAACTCCAGGGCTCCAAAGATCGGCCAGCTTCGGCCTCCCAAAGTGCTGGGATTACAGGCGTGAGCCACCACACCCAGCCCATCTTTGACTTACAGAGTTGATCTTACTACTTATATTTAAAACATTCAAATTCAGTTAGGAGCTAATAATGGGGAAGAATCTCTAGTTTCATTTAAAGTTACTTTTTTTCCAATCTAGACATGTATTTTCTGTTATAATGTGTAAGTGTAGCTTTTCAGATTCATTCTTTAAAGGATAGTTCATTCTCATGGCAAATATACTTAAAATGTTAACAATTTAAAAAAAAAAACAACTTTGCTTTATCTTACCCTTGGCCCAATTCCAGACTAGAACTATGTGAAGTCAACATTATTTGTGTAACAAACACAAGATCTCTTTATAGGTTAGGCCTCAGTTTCAAAAGCATCAATTTCACTGATTATTTCCTAAGACAGTGCCTGGCACAAGGTATTGTCTTAATAAATATTTTTTGAATGAATGAATATCAAGTAACAGGTACTAATTATTAATACTTCCAGCATTTCAAAATGAAATGTTAAAAAGTGGACCCTTTCAATTAAAAGGTTTTACTAGAGACCGTATAAAAATTGGAAGCTACATTACAGTTAAGAAAACACTATCACTTGTTCTCATTGAATACAATATTTCTAAAGCAGAGTATTATCACTCTCATTTAATATTTAAGAAAGGTGGGGCCAAAATGGTTGAGTCATGTAATTATTAAGTAGTGGAGCCAGATTTCAAGCCCACGTCCTCAAATACAACTGTGTGGAGGTGTGACTTGGAATGGAATGTGCGGATATTATGAAAACTATATTCCATGTCCCCCTCTTTTTAAAAGAATTTCCATTACAAAAGCTTCAGAGGAAAAACACACAATGGATAGTTTTCAATTCCACACACACACACACACACACACACACACACACACTTTTTAACAAATTCAAACCTATTTAAAATATAACAACGGTAAGCATTGTCAATCGCAACAGAAAGTCGACCAGACAACAAGGCTACATCCTCCAATCTCTCCCTCCCGGGACACCCTGGGAATGAAAGCATCCCTTGCGGCCTGGGATAGACTCGTCCAGGCGCGGGGAAAAGGCGGCGCCTCGCCCCTGGGGCGCAGCCATCTCCAACCCCTAGGACGGCCAGGACAGCTGGCTCCAGCCTACCTGACAGGCTCCCGCCACCGCTTGAACCAGCCGCAGCAACTGGCCATCAGACTGAACATCCCGGGTCGCTCCTCCCACCACTTCCCATCCGAGCCCGGAGCGGACACCGGCACCCCGCTCTTCCCCGGGGGCCTCCGGCACTCCGAGACGCCCCTAAAGTGGATAAGTCGGGAGGAAAAGCCGGGAGGGAAGTGAAGGCGGCCGGCCCGAGCACTAAGCCTTGCTAACCGCGTGGGTCCGCGACGACTGCCCTCTTAGCCAAGGAACAACCTGACCAAAGACGCAGATACACCGTAGCCGAGTTAGCGGGACCCGGCTAAAGAAAAGCCCCGCGTCGACGTGCTGACGTTACTTCGAGGCGCGGAAGGCGTTCCCCAGGCAACGCCCGTACTGCGCTCGCCCAATCATCGGTTGAGGTCCTGAGGTAGAGGCCTCTGAGTGGCTGAAGAGTCCTGGCTACCCGCCCCTGCGCGAGACTAGGAAAAGAGAAAGGGGAGTACTCTATAAGAAGGAGGCGGAGCTCGAGGTAGCTCGTTCTCGTAACTAGGCAACCGGAGCGTCCGGAGATAAGCTGGAGGATCCGGGACAAATCTCCAGCAAGGCCTATCTTTATACCTACATAAAATGTGTTGCCAATCCACGGTGCTGTTCCTTTCCTTTCTCCAGTGTCCCCAACTGAGATTCAGAGATCTCAGGTCTTGTGCATGGGTTTTTCTTTTTCTTTCTTTCTTTTTTCTTGTTTTTTGTTTGTTTGTTTTTTGCTCAGGGATGGGGACCCTCTAGAATTCTGGCCGACTTAGGCAGCATGACTACAGGAACAATACACTGGGGCAATTCTTGTAAGTTAAAGACAAGGGGGAAATTCGCTTGCTAAATTTTCTCAGTAGTTCAGATGAGAGTGAAGCCTTAATCTCTAAAACGTTTATTACTGTTACATATGTGAAACGGAATTGTATGATATTTGTTGTAGGGGGGATTGTGATTACAAAAGAAAAATGCATTTCTTGTAGAAAATGTGAAAAATACTAAAAAGAAACAAGATGAAGAAAATGAGATCTCACAGGAGCTCTCAAAGATAACCATTTGGGGCCGGGCGCGGTGGCTCACGCCTGTAATCCCAGCACTTTGTGAGGCCGAGGCGGGCGGATCACGAGGCCAGGTGATCTAGACCATCCTGGCTAACATGGTGAAACCCCGTCTCTAGTAAAAATACAAAAAAAAAAAAACAAAAAAAAACAAAAACGGGTGTGGTGGCACGCGCCTGTAGTCCCAGCTACGCTGGAGACTGAGGCAGGGGAATTGCTTGAACCCGGGAGGCGGAGGTTGCAGTGAGCCGAGATCGCGCCACTGCACTCCAGTCTGGGCAACAGAGCAAGACTCCGTCTCAAAAATAAATAAATAACCATTTTGATGTATGTTTGTTTCAGGATTTTTAGGTACATAAATTGCTGGCTATTTGGTATCTGCAAGATGAAGATTGTTATCTCTTGACTGTTTTGTAATAGTTTATTTTTTAAAGAGGTATGTAATATTTGCATTTCTTTTATATACTTTGGAGAAAAAGAAATGACAAGGACATTCCTGTAGGGAAAAAATTATGCACAATATGTAGGGATCTGTGTGTCCATTCATTTTCTACTTAAATAAATATTTTCAAATCCTGATGAAAGGATAGAAGGCACTGAGAATCCCAGTGTATTCGCGGGGAATATAATGATTTGAGACTAAGATACATATAGGTTTTAAATTAGTCTCTGTCCTTTACTAAATCATGTAACTTTTTTTGGTTTTGTTTTGTTTTGTTTGAGACAGAGTCTCCCTCTATCACCCAGGTTGGAGTACAGTGGCATGATCTCGATTCACTGCAACCTCCGCTTCCTGGGGTCAAGTGATCCTCCTTCCTCAGTCTCCCAAGTAGCTGGGACTAGAGACGTGCACCATCACGCCCAGCTGATTTTTGTATTTTTTGTAGAGACAGGGTTTCATCATGTTGCCCAGGCTGGTCTCAAACTCCTGGCCTCAAATGATCCGCCTGCCTCGGCCTCCCAAAAGTGCTGGGATTATAGACATGAGCCATGGCACCCAGCCTCATGTAATTTTAATTCAAATTTATATACATCTCATACAGCTTGCTATCTCCAAAATACTGTGCCTTATGGGGAACAAAGGGGGTGATACCTTTTCTTCTCATCATAACAGTCACAGCCAACACTCATATAACAAAAAGAATAGCAAGAGAAAAGCATAACAAATTTATTTAATCCAAGTTTTATGTGACATGGGAACCTTGCAAATGGAGATGCAAAGATGCAGGGAAGACTACCCATTTTTATACTTGGGTTCGATGAAGAATGAAAAACCCTGAAGAACTCTCATTGGTCAAAAAGGATATGACCTAATGAGAGCAGACTGTGTGGAGAAACTCAGCAAGGCCTGTCTGTTCAGATTCCTCTTGACCTGATTGTTCAGCATTCCTTCTTCCAGGGTATGGGGTAGGACCCTTTCTAGAATGGGAGTCTTAAGACGTACTATCAAACAATGCAAGTCAAAGAATTTATTTATGGGCAGGTCTTTCATGGAAAGGAAGAAGGTTAGAGTAATATTTTGGGGTTTGTGGCTGGCTTTGGGGAAAGGGGGTTGTGGTTTCTATAACTGCACCTGGAGAAAGAGGAATTATAGTTTCTATGGCTTGCATAGTGGGAGAATGAGGGGCAAGAGACGAGGAACAGAAGGTTAGAGACAGAAACTTTGCTTCTGAGGCCTTTATTCTGGGATATTTTCTTCTAAGCTCCAACAACCCTATCTATAACATGGAAATTAAAATACCTACTTTTCCAGGTTGCTAAGGTGATGAAATGAGAGAAATGAAGCTCAAGTGTAATTTCTGATAAATAATAGATAGCAAATTTTAAAGTTGGTGTCACCTGTCCCATAAACACTTATGGTATGTGTCCTCCTACCTCCAAATATCCATGGTGGGAGACAGGAGAGCAGGGCAGGATAAGACTGCAATGCTCCATTAACTCCAAGCCAATTTAGGACTGTTTCTGCTGACTCTACTTTCATGACTCACTTTCTTAAACTAGTGTCTTGCAAACCCTAAAGTTATATTGTTTGTATTCACTCTTTGATCCATTTACTATGATTGGGCTTCTGTCCCATCTAACTACTGAAAGCATATTTTTTGATATAACTTATATCTTCCTAATTACCAAATCGGTTTTCTTTTCTATTATTTAATATATATATAATATAGTTAACTTTTCTAAAACTGTTTCCTGCCTTGGTCTTTCACAGTTATGCACTGCACTACCCTACCCTGGTTCTCTTCTTCTTTGTTTTTTTAACTTATTATGGACCGCTTCATGAATTTGCATGTCATCCTTGTTCAGGGGCCATGCTAATCTTCTCTGTATCATTCCAATTGTTGTATATGTGCTGATGAAGTGAGCACAACCCCTGGTTCTCTTCTGATCTCCCAGGCCATTCCTCCTCTGGATTTCTATATGTAACTTCTAAGATATGACCTTACCCCTCTGCTTTTCTTTTTTAAAACATGTTGTCTTGATGGAATTTGATTATTATTTCTGTGACTGAAGGATCTCATGATGTGTATGTTTCTTGAGCATTTTTAGAACTATATTCAAGACTGTTTTTTCACAAATATATACTCAACACCAGTTTTGCAGTAAATCCTCATTTATCTTCATCCAGAGGTTCTTAGAAACTATAATTTTAAACAAAATAACATACAATAAAACCAATTTTACCACAGACAAATTGATATAAATCAATTAAGTTCCTGTGGCACATTTCTGGTCACAAAAACATCACCAAACTTCAAAATAAAGATGGAACCACTAGTAATAGTAAACATTGAAATAAATGTGAGCTATACATTAAGAAAGATGAATAACAACAAGTAAGATAATTATTTGTCCACTTATTCCAGTTCAGGATCATAGGTGGCATCTCAGGGTAAAAGGTGAGAACTAGCCCTTGACAGGACACCATTCCATCACAGGGTGCTCTCATACATGCCCACACTCACTTAGACTGGGACAGTTTAAACACACCAATTCACCTAACATCCACATCTTTCAGATGTGGGAGGAAAATGGAGTACCTGGAGAAAACCCATGCAGACGTGGGGAGAACATGCAAACTCCATACACACAGTGGCCTGGGCCAGTAGTTGATTTTATTTTTCTCAGCCATGTCATAATGAAACAATACTATTAAAGCATCTGCTCTACTTCATGCCTTCCCCATTTCTGCTAGTGATAACATTACCGAGCATTCCTGGTGCCAACATGCAGTCCCTTAGCAAAGCTGACTCTTAGTTTTTGAATATCTTAAGTGGTTTGGTAGCCATAAGTGCTGCTCACCATGTCTAGTTCTCTTTCCTTACAGGCACATGAAATAACAGTTATTCCCACCCTCTTCAAGTCAGGCATACCTCGTGCCTTGCTTTGTCTAATGAAATGTAAGTGGTATGTCACTTCTTGGTAAAAGTATTTAAGAGCTGGGGCACAATTCTCAATGTTCTCTCTTCTCTTGCAATGGTAATTGTAGAAGACTATGTTGACTTTGAGGGATTGTAAAATCAAAGCAGCATGAATTGCTGAGTTCACACATGGAAGATAGTTACTTGGAAAGTCATGCAGACTTGTAGTAGACTTCCAATGAGCAAGAAATAAACACTTCTTATCTAAAACACTGTAATTTTCTGGCTTTTTAGTGTGTAATCTGGTTTATTCTGAATGATGAAAAGAGTCATGCTGCTATGATTCTAGTTAACACTGTCATTTCAGGATAATTGTTGATATTTTGGCATAAATATTCCCAGGCACACACTGTTGACTTAAATAGAATGAAACGTTTATGTACCAGTCACTGTTTTAAGCACTAGTAATATAGTTGTGAACAAAACCTTTAAAAATTCCTGCTCTCATGAATCTTACATTTTACTGGTGAAGACAGATGAAGAAGTGGATAAGTAGACACTATGTTGGTAGAAGATGATATGGAGAAGTGTAACACTGGAAAAATGATGGGATTAAGATTATGAATGAGACTAGATTAAGAGTTAAATTTTGGACAGGTTTTAATTGTATATTAAGGTCTGTATCAAAACCAAACTTTGGCTAAATGAGATTACCAAGTGTCAATTCATATTGAGCTAAAGCCAGATATCACTTTCACAAAGTTAACTTCTGAGATTAATTAAAAACCCAGAATTTTATTGAAAGATGTATTGTCAAATTGTATATTAATAGATTCCAGATGGTTTTACAAAGTTTGACGTTACAGTGTAGGACACATAAATTTTCAGTGTTGACAATTATTACTGGCAATGTGATGCAAATTTGTGGTATTAAAAAGATATTCAGGCCAGGAGAAGTGGCTCACACCTGTAATCCCAAAGCTTTGGGAGGCCAAGGCAAGAGGATCACTTGAGGTCAGGAGTTCCAGACCAGTCTGGGCAACACAGCGATACCATCTCTACCAAAAAAAAAAAAAAAAAAAAAAAACAAATTAAAAAATTAGCCTGGCATAGTGGTGTGTGACTGTAGTCCTAGGTACTCAGGAGACTGAGGCAGGAGGATTGCTTGAGCTCAGAAGTTCGAGGCTGCAGTGAGCTATGATTGCACCACTGCACTCCAGTCTGGGCAACCTAGTGAGACCCTGTCTCGGATAAATAAATAAATAAATAAATAAGGCTAGGTGTGGTGGCTCACACCTGTAATCCCAGCACTTTGGGAGACCGAGGCAGGCAGATCACTCACGATCAGGAGTTCAGAACCAGCCTGGCCAACATGGTGAAACCCTGTCTCTACTAAAAATACAAAAAAACTAGCCAGGCATGGTGTCAGGCGCCTGTAATCCCACCTACTCAGGAGGCTGAGACAGGAGAATCACTTGAACCCGGGAGGTGGAGGTTGCAGTGAGCCGAAATTGCGCCACTGTTCTCCAGCCTGGGCGACAGAGTGAGACTCTGTCTCAAAAAAAAAAAAAATTTTTTTAAATTAATAAATAGGTAGATGTATAGATAGATATTCACTTTCAACTGAAGTCTTTATCGGAGCAAGATTTTTTTTAAGGTAGATTATTCTAATATTCCCTTCTTTTCTTCATGTTCTTTACATTATTTTTATGCCTGTATGGCATACAAGACCGAAAAAACATGTGGATGATCAAAATGACCCCATTTGCTTTTACTATCACCATAGTTCTTCCTAAAGTCCTCATTGACTTCCAGGTTTTGGTTAATATCTTCAGGGACAACTCAGTGTCTCACTGTTTCTGCTTCTGAACCTAGGGATCCTGTCCTCTTGAACCCTGGAAGTTGTCTTGACCAGTCAGAGAACTGCGTTCCCCACCCCTTCCCCTTTGGAAACGTCACACTGTGGAGGAAAAGCAGCAACTAGGGAGCTGGTGAAGAAGGATGTCTCAGCAGTGTTTACTAGGCCTCCAACACTAGAGCCCATCCCCCAGCTCCGAAAAGCTTCCTGGAAATGTCCTTGTTATCACTTCCCCTCTCGGGCTGGGCGCTGGGAGCGGGCGGTCTCCTCCGCCCCCGGCTGTTCCGCCGAGGCTCGCTGGGTCGCTGGCGCCGCCGCGCAGCACGGCTCAGACCGAGGCGCACAGGCTCGCAGCTCCGCGGCGCCTAGCGCTCCGGTCCCCGCCGCGACGCGCCACCGTCCCTGCCGGCGCCTCCGCGCGCTTCGAAATGAGGGTCCTGGGTGGGCGCTGCGGGGCGCTGCTGGCGTGTCTCCTCCTAGTGCTTCCCGTCTCAGAGGCAAACTGTGAGTAATCAATAGCGTCTCTTCTCCCTTCCCCAGCATTGTCGACTGAACTGCGTGCCCTGGTTGGTAGGATTTTCTTCTCTAGAGCTGCAGCCTCCTAGAAAGTTTCCAGTAAGTACCGACAGACACCCAGCGGATGGAAACAGCCGTGGATAGAGCAGGCAGTGCAATGGTGGGGCAGGATCACTATTTGCACAGTTGCGAGAATGTATTGCCTACAGGACAGATCTAAGAACCTAGATGACACTAAGTATCAATGGAGGGATGAGAACACCTGCCCATTTCCCTTCAAAGCTGAAGTTCCCAGTCAGAGAACTAGGATGAGCAGATTCTAGCTTATGAGTAGGGAAGAAAAGGTAACACACTGTGTCTTCCCTTTGTCCAAGCGCCTGCCCCCAACCTGCACCCGTCTCCTGAAACCTGCCTCCCTTTTGCAATTTCTGGACTTTGAGCTTGGTTTGCTTGTCTCACATTAACGAAATGTTTTAGGATGACTGAGGGTTTGTATAGCAGTAGATATATGTCACTTTCTAACCCTGAAATCAAAAGGACTGTTAAATACTGTATTCTATTTCTCAGATCGTTTGTACTGAGGATTTTTTAACACTGCATGCCACTGATCTGAGGTGGTGGCATGAATTCTTTATCTTTGTGTTTCAGGTTCTTTATGTCCTTATGCCCGGATTCAAGACAGGATATTGAGTTTTCTCTGAAAAATATATAAGGAATACCAAGGCAATTAGTACATTTTAGTGGTCAGTTAATTTGTTTTCTAAAGTTGTAAGTGTGTTTATTGAATAAAAACGCCTTTTTGTTTGTTTGTTTGAGGGTGAGTCTCGCTCTGCTGCCCAGGCTGGACTGCAGTGGCTGGATCTCCGCTCAATGCAACCTCCGCCCCCCGGCTTCAAGTGATACTCATGCCTCAGCCTCCCGAGCAGCTGGGATTACAGGTGCCTGCTTCGACACCCGGCTATTTTTTTTTTTTTTTTGTATTTTTACTAGAGACGGGGTTTCACCATGTTGGCCAGGCTGGTCTCGAGCTCCTGACCTCCGGTGATCCATCCGCCTTGGCCTCCCAAAGTGCTGGGATTACAGGCGTGAGCCACCGCACCTGGCCAAAAATGACTTCTTGTTCTATGTTTTATTTTCAGGGATTGGAACAGGAGTGAGAACTCTGAATTACAAATAACTTTTAGGAGTCTAGAGCTCCAAAGTAAACTTTTTGAAGATGGAAATTTCTAGAAAATTATATATCAATTTGCTAACATTCCACTAGTTTCTATTAGTTAGTCATCAGGATGAATGCAGTACTTTAAAAATCTAACTTGGGACTAAAACATTATTTTTTGATCTTACATTAAACAGCTACAATTGCAAAACTTCAGCATTCAAACCCCTATCATTCAGCCAATTTGTAACTACATGCGCTTATTACCTAAATAGTTCATTAGGACAATTAAATATTTGCTTCATAGCTAGTGTTTTGGAGAGGAGAAAGGCAAAGTAGCTTGCCACACTTAACTCCTTGTCATCATAGAAATTTGCTAGGCTTTTTCTCTTTGTAGAGATTGTTACATTTTGACTGAATCTAGGCAGAGGTAAAAATTATATGGGTTTGTGTATGTGTATTATATATAAACATATGGGGAATTACACTTGTTATATATAACACTGATAGAGCAGATAAATTAATTCTTCAAGTATATCACATAAAGAATAGTTGGCCCCATAATGCTTTCAGTTAAAAGTTTTTGATTGCTTAATTGGATTAAAAGTCATCTGTGGTTTACTTATGAGGAAATTTGGATATAGATGTGATGTTTTTAATCCATATGATTTGATTTTACTTTATTTTTATTTATTTACTTTTTTGAGACGGTCTAGTTCTGTCACTAAGGCTGGAGTGCAGTGGCATGATCATAGCTCATGGCAACCTCCCCCTCCCGAGCTCATGGGATCCTCCCAGATCAGCACCTATCTAGCACCGCACCCAGCTAATTTATGTGTGTGTGTGTGTGTGTGTGTGTGTGTGTGTGTGTGTGTGTGGTTTTTATTTTGTTTTGTTTTTTTGGTAGAGTTGGTGTTTTGCCATATTGCCTAGGCTGGTCTTGAACTCCAGGGTTCAAGCGGCCTGCCTACTTTGGCTGCCCAAAGTGCTGGGATTACAGGTGTGAGCCACTGTGCCCAGCCTCCATATGATTTTAAATCTGAGATATAATTAGAGCTGTAAATATTTTATTTGTAATTCATTGTGTAGTTCTTTATTTAGAATTATTTATTTATTTATTTATTTATTTATTTATTTATTTATTTATTTAGAGATGGAGTCTTGCTCTGTTGCCCAGGCTGGAGTGCAGGAGTGCAGTGGCGTGATCCCAGCTCACTGCAACCTCTGCCTCCTGGGTTCAAGTGATCCCCCCACCTCAGCCTCCCAAGTAGCTGGTATTGCACCAGCTGGCATGCACCACCATACCCGGCTAATTTTTGTATTTTTAGTAGAGACAGGGTTTCACTATGTTGGCCAGGCTGGTCTTGAACTCCTGACCTCCAGTGATCTGCCCACCTCAGCCTCCCAAAGTGCTGGGATTACAGGAGTGAGCCACCTTATCCAGCCTATAATTCATTGTTTAGGCCATAGAAAGCTAAGGACGATTAAAAAAATATTTTTGTGATTAAAAAAAATCTTGCCCAGACCGGAGTGCAGTGGCTATTCACAGGCACTATTATAGGGCACTACAGCTTTGAACTCCTGGCCTCAAGGAATCCTCCCATCAGCCTTCTGAGTGTCTGGGACTGTAGGTATGCACCACCATGGCTGGCTTATAGTTGTGATTTAAAGAAAAACATTTACAAATCATAGCTTTATTTTAGAAAGAGTTATTAGAAATAATCTAATTCAACTTATTTGTTTTAAAAATAAAAAAAGAAATTGTTCAGAGATATTAACTAATTTTCCAGAATACATATATATACATACATATATGTATGAGAGAGAGAGATGAGAATCTCTATATTTAACATATATACTGTCACCCGGTCATAGCCGCTCATGCCTGTAATCCCAGCACTTTGGGAGGCTGAGGAGGAAGGATCGCGTGAAGCCAGGAGTTCAAGACCAGCCTGGGCAGCATAGTGGGACCCCGTCTTTACAAAAGAAATTAAAAAAAAAAATTAGCCGGATGTGTTGGTACACACTTGTAGGCCCAGCTACTCAGGGGTCTAAGGTGGGAAGATCACTTGAGCCCAGGAGGTTGAGGCTGCAGTGAGCATGATTATGCCACTGCACTCCAGCCTGGGTGATAGAGCGAGATCCTGTCTCCAAAAATAATAAAAATAAAATAGATACTGTCTACATATTTTAATCATTTCCCACTTAAGGCATGTGGTGAGGAAATAGGAGAAAGAGGATGTCCCTTTGGCTGTGCTAATTTGGCCTTATCTAGACTGCCACCCTGGGCCAGTGCAGGCTACTCTAGACACTACTGACTCATATTTTCCTCCTCTTTTGTACCCTCTTCTTTCTTTCTCTAACTATTCCTTTTACTAGTTATGAAGGCTTATCTTTTCTTAAATTATCTTTACTAAAAAGTCCAAAATGTTGCACTGATGGAGAGATTTTATCAAGGTTAGGTTACAGTTGGAGTTTGTGCTGGAAGAGTTAGAAACAATTTCTAATATACAGTAATACAACATCAAACCCTATGCCACATTCTCTTACTATTAATTCTGTGCTAAGAAACAATAGACCTTTTCTGTTCATCAAGTTTATATTTTTGCAGCTTGAGCGATCTATATACATACTTAAACCTTCAAAATATTATGCCTGATAATACAGTATTCTTTGCCTATAAGCAACAGTAATGAACTATTGCTAACTAAAGGAAAGAAAAAAGGAAAAGAAAAAAGAGAGGAAGGAAGGAAGGAGCAGTTAAATAATTTATTGGAAGGCTACTGAATGGCTAGCTGAACAGCCAGGCCTACAGAAGCCAGGCCTACAGAAGGAATGCGAACATTTAGGTGACCTATACAGTGGGAACTCATGTGACAGTACTTGAGGAGCTGCCAATCAGATGACTCAATTCTGTCTTCCAGTCCTATGTGTCTCTGTGAACAGCTCAAATTCCTAGGAGGCCCTGATCATTTTGGCTTAGCCTGGCACTGGAGTCCTGTGATCGACAGCTCACTAGAATTGCACAGAGTGCCGGAAGAACAGTTCCCACAAAAGAATGGATGCTGGGAAGGACACAGAAATAAGAAAAGTCTACATATTCTAATTATTGGCTGTCTAACAAATACACTTGCCCTTCTTTCCATACACACCATTTGAAAATATTTATCTGATATAATGCAAATAACTACTGCACAGAGAAAGAACCCTCTCCTCAATTGGTTCCAGGCACCACATTCAGAGAGGAAGGCTTGAGGCTTCCATTTCCTAGGTATCATCAAGTGATGGCCATGATTCCTGTATTTCTGTGCTATGCTTTATGGATAAAATGATACATTATAGTGTACCAACACATCTTATATGCAAAAAAAAAAAAAAAAAAAGAAAACAAAAGCAAAAACAAAAAAAACAGGCAAGGGAATACAGGTAATGGTTTTAGGGCTTGCCTTTCTCTCCCTTGGTTACAAGCATGAGCTGGTATTTATGACTCTTTCCCTACCCATTTCATAGCTCTCTTGCCCTCAGGATGCAAGTGCCTCATGTTTGTGTTTGCTCAATAAGATGAACCATAGCATATTCAGGAAGAATCCGAGCCCTTATTGTCCCTACCTGTGGGTGGTCCATCCATTGTTTCTTTTCCTATTTCTCCTGTGGACAGTAGTCATCCTGGAGGGGCTTCACACCTAACCCTGATTAGTATGTGGCAACAACACTATTTTGCCTGGATTATTGTCTTCCTTCTAACATAATCCTCTGATTTTTATTTCTTTATTTTTTTTCAGCAGGTAAAGAGCTTCAAATGGCAACACAGCAGTCTGAGCTTATAATTCAGTGGAAAATATGTTAGATCCCCTAGTGAATGCATTCCTTGGAAACCATTCTTGGTTTCCAAATTTGTAGGTGAGCCGAATGCAGTTGTGAGGACGGAATGTAAAAAATTTGAGATTAGGTAACTGTATTAGTCCCCTAGGACTGCCATAATAAAGTACCACAAAGTAGGTGGTTTAAACAACAGAAAGTTGTGGTCTCACAATTTTGAAGTCTAGAAGTCCAAAATCAAGGTATCAGGAAGGTTGGTTTCTTCTGAGGGCTGTGAGGGGAGAATATGTTTCATGCTTTCTCCTAGCTCCTGGTAACCTCAGATGTTCCTTGGCTTTGGGGTGGCATTATTCCTGTGTCTTCACATCGTTTTCCCTCTGTACATGTCTGTCTCTGTGCCCACATTTCCCCTTTTTATAAGGACACCAGACTCACTGGATTAAGGCCTACCCTAATGACCTCATCTTAATTTGATCATCTGCAAAGACCCTATTTCCAAATAAGGTCATATTTACAGGTACTAGGGAATTACAACTTCAGCATCTTTTGGGGTCAGCCATAGCAGTCATTAAACATCATATCATGACAAGTACTTCTTTCCTTTTTCCCTTTATTCTGGATCTGTGTATTTTGGCTTTAGTAAAATAGTGCTGTATTTTATTTTATTTTAAGCCAGTCAAATTTGCCAGTTGGAGGTTGTGTATCAACTTAATGATACTAATATTAACAAGTTCTGATAACCCACTACTATTGGACCAGCCTACAATCTTTTATTTATTTATTTATTTATTTTTTGAGACAGGGCCTCATTCTGTTGCATGGGCTGGAGGAGTGCAGTAGCACAATCATGTCTCACTGCAGCCTCGACCTGCCAGGTTCAAGGGATCCTTCCACCTCAGCCTCCCAAGTAACTAGGACTATAGGTGCATGCCATTACACCAACTAATGTTCTTTTTGATTTTTAGTAGAGATGAGATCTTGCTATGTTTCCCAGGCTGATCTTAAACTCCTGGACTCAAGGGATTCTCTGGCCTCAGCTTCCCAAAGTGCTGGGATTACAGGTGTGAGCCACTATGCCTAGATAGCACTATATTTTAATGATTGCTGGTACAGAGAACATACCATATTTTTTAAAACCATATTTTGAAAGATAGTGTTGTGTCTTACAGTGAGTGAGCCCTCTATAATTGGTGAGTTCATCATTCCATAAGGTTAGCTCCTTCCAGATATTAGGATATACACTAAGGCCAAGGAAAACTATAATCCTTCCACTGATTTGTTTTAATTGTGGTGTTAAATCCTTAGAGGTAGTGTTGTGTGGCTTAGCATAAAGCATTGAATAAGTCTACCAATAGTTGTGCTGACAGAAAAATTAAATCCCAATAAGTGTCTCTACCTATGCTGCTCCTCCATGATGGAAGAGCCCTTCTTAATCAACAATCTACCGGATAATCTGATTGAACTATGTGATATGTTCAACTTTTAGCAGCTCGAGGAATAGCAATCCTGCAGAAAAATTTGGTGTTTTTACTTTTATAAGGAGAGTCTGGGTGGGCCTTAGTGAAGGAAAGTTCATGTGGCAGATCCAGTGTGGCCAATGTGTAGCCTCCATCCTTGCCACTGTGGCTTCCTTTTTAAATAAATATTGGATAAACATTAGACTGGGGGCAACCCGAAAGCCATATGTGGCCTATAAACTTCTGTGTTTGGCCCTTATACGTTTCAAAAATTGGAACATTTCATGTCAACATTTGGTTTTATGGCTTCTCTTGAGAAACAATGAAGGAACATCTGACAACACTGGCGCACATCCCAACATGGTAAGATTCAGCTGAAGCTGATTGTGAGCTGCCTTCTTCTTTTTTTTTTTTTTTTTTGGAACAGAGTCTTGCTCTGTCGCCCTGCCTCAGCCTCCTGAGTGGCTGGGACTACAGGCATGTTGCCACCACGCCCAGCTAATTTTTGTATTTTTAGTAGAGATGGGGTTCCACCATGTTGGCCAGGCTGGTGTTGAACTCCTGACATTGTGATCCACCCGCCTTGGCCTCCCAAAGTGCTGGGATTACAGGTGTGGTGATCTGCCTTCTTTAGATAGAATGTGCCCGCTGCAGTTTGCTACAATGCTGAGCATCTCCCATTGTCTTTAACCAAATTATCTTCCTTTGTTTATGCTGCCTACTGGACACTTAGAATTTTTAGTTTGTGGTCCTTGCACTAGATAGTCTTGAGAGGAAACATAACTGATGGTCATTAAGTAGGTCATTCTGCCATCATTATTACTAATAACTTCTCTGGTGTGGTGCTGTCTTGTGAATGTTCACCTGGAACACAAACATTCTCATCTCTGGGACAATTCTTGCTTGAACTTCGTCCCTAAGCCTGTGATCTACCTCTTTACAAGTCACTGAACCTCTGGAAAGACCATTTGCAACCATCTCAGGCAATTTCTCATTGTAGGCAAAGTGAACAATGAGAAATGCCACTTATATGTCTGCCCATAGTGAGGGTTTTGCTTCTCCAGTGCCTCTCAGGACCACCCCTGAGAGAGGTTAGTTTGTTAGTTTTTGGCTGTAGCTTTATAGGAGGTATACATCTGGCTCATATTGGTATACCACAGAGAGGCGTCTGTTGATATGGTTAGGATGTTTTGTCCCCTCCATATCTCATGTTGAAAAGTGACTTCTGGCCAGGCGCAGTGGCTCATGCCTGTAATCTCAAGTCTTTAGCACTTTGGGAGGCCGAGGCAGGTGGATCACTTGAGGTCAGGAGTTTGGGATCAGTCTGGCCAACATGATGAAACCCTGTCTTTACTAAACATACAAAAATTAGCCAGATGTGGTGGTGCCCACCTGTAATTCCAGCTACTCAGGAGGCTGAGGCAGGAGAATCGCTGGGACCTGGGAGGTGAAGGCTGCAGTGAATCGAGATCATGCCACTGCACTCCAGCCTTGGTGACAGAATGAGACTCTATAAAAAATAAAAATAGAAAAGAAAAGAAAAGTATCAGGTTGTTACCGGGGGGTCCTTGCTCACAGAGCTCCCAAGATGGTGGTGAGCTGCTTCCAAGATGGTGGCAGGCAGCTTCCAAGGTGGTGGCAAGCCTAGTGTTCTCTGACCTGGGGTTCTTGGCCTCATGGATTCCAAGGAATGTAATCTTCGGCCATGCAGTGAGTGTTATAGCTCTATTAGAAGCCTTGGGTCACAGAAGAGAACCGTAGAACCCAGTGACTAGTGTTCAGCTCGATTAGGACAAACCCGGGCACTTAGCCATGCAGGAACAATGGCAAGCCTTTAGCCAGATCAGGAGCGGCAATGGGCGCCTCGCTGGATCAGGAGCACAGCGGACACCCTTCCGGATCCGGAGGGATGGGAGTCAGCAGCGGGTCTGCGACGGCGGCAAACAGCAGTTGTGGACGGCGAGCAAAAGCTCAGCTTGAGCCGTAACAAACACAGACCAGAAGAGGGCAGTTGCAAGATTTAATATTGTGAAATAGAGTGAAAACAGAGCTCCCATACAAAGGGAGGGGACCCAAAGGGGGTTGCCATTGCCGGCTCGAATGCCTGGGTTTTTATCCCGATCCTTGTCCCTCCCGCTGTGCTCTCAGGCAATAGTTGATTGACTATTTCTTTACCTCCTGTTTTTGCCTAATTCGCATTTTAGTGAGCTCTCTGATTGGTCGGGTGTGAGCTAAGTTGCAAGCCCCTTGTTTAAAGGTGGATGTAGTCACCTTCCCAGCTAGGCTTAGGGATTCTTAGTTGGCCTAGGAAATCCGAACCTGCCCTCAATATTTCAACATAGGTTCTTTCTATTTTCCATAAGTGTTGGCTGGCTGAGAAATAAAGAGAAAGAGTACAAAGAGAGGAATTTTACAGCTGCACCTCCGGGGGTGACGCCACGTATCTGTAGGACTGTGATGCCCACCTGACCCTCAAAACCAGCAGGTTTTTATTAAGGATTTCAGAAGGGGAGTGGGTGTAAGAACAGGGAGCAGGTCACAAAGATCACATGCTTCAAAGGGCAAAAGGGAGAACAAAGATCACAAGGCAAAGGGCAAAAGCAGAATTACTGATAAGGGTCTTTGTTCCGTGGTGCACATATTGTCTTGATAAACATCTTAAACAACAGAAAATAGGGTTCGAGAGCAGAGAACCAGTCTGACCTCAAATTTACCAGGGTGAGGTTTTTTCCCCACCCTAGTAAGCCTGAGGGTACTGCAGGAGACCAGGGTGTATCTCAGTCCTTATCTCAACCGCATAGGACAGACGTTCCCAGAGTGGCCGTTTATAAGCGGCCCCCCAGGAATGAATTCCTTTCACAGGGCCTTAATATTAATATTCCTTGCTAGGAAAAGAATTTAGCAATGTTCTCCTACTTGCTCATCCATTTATAGGCTCTCTGCAAGAAGAAAAATATGGCTGTTTTTGCCCAACCCCGCAGGGAGTAAGACCTTATGGTTGTCTTCCCTTGTTCCCTAAAATCACTGTTATTCTGTTCTTTTTCAAGGTGCACTGATTTCATATTGTTCAAACACACGTTTTACAATCAATTTGTACAGTTAACACAATTATCATAGTGGCCCTGAGGTGATGTACATCCTCAGCTTAGGAAGATAACAGGATTAAGAGATTAAAGTAAGACAAGCATAAGAAATTATAAAAGTATTAATTTGGGAACTGATAAATGTCCATATTAAAATGAAATCTTCACAATTCATGTTCCTCTGCTGTGGCTCCAGCCGGTCCCTCCATTCAGGGTCCCTGACTTCCTGCAACAGAAAAGAAAGAAAAGGAAAGGGAACGGAAGGGGAGGGGAGGGAAGGCACCTCCATTGTAGGAGGTGGTGCCTGGTGGGAGGTGTTTTGGTCATGGGGGTAGGTCCCTTATGAATAACTTAGCACCAGCCCCTAGGTGATGAGTGACTTCTCATATGAGATTCACAGAGGTTCACGTGAGATCTGGTTGTTTAAAGTCTGGGACCTCTCCTTCTAGCTCGCGCTCCCATTCTGGCCATGTGATCCACTGCTCCCCTTTTGCCTTCTACCATGATTGGAAGCTTCCTGAGGCCCTCACCAGGAGTAGATGCTGGCACCATGCTTCTTGTACAGCCTGCAGAATGGTGATCCTATTAAACTCCTTTTCTTTATAAATTATCCACCCTCAAGTATTCCTTTGTAGTGATGCAGACAGATTAACACATCTGTAAGCCAGAGATTAGTTGGTCATAGATCTCTTCTTATGAGACCAATGAGGGGGTTTGAGGGTGAGGAGGAAGTCAAGAGAGTGACCAACCTGTGTTGGCAACTAAGTTATGCCTTTAGGCTCATCTTATTTATAACAGTTGAGCATGGTTTATGCTATCACAACTACATAGCTCAATGGAAAAGACAGCATCCCGCTTATGATGAGCTGTTTACATCTCATGGTCACCAGGTGTCAGATAGTCAGATTTTCAGACTCCACTTAAGTCCCAAAAAACAAACAAACAACAAAAAACCCAAGAGCAGTTTCTCAAAAGAAAACGAATTGCTTGCTGAAGGAAATGAGACTTGCACAAATCGTGGAGATCTCTACTGAAATTTCTCTTCTGGAACTTGCTGCAGCTTCTGAAGAGGACCTTGCTCTTCAGAAAATTTGAGCACAATTGGATCTGATGGATCATTGGCTAGGCCAAGTGACAGACCACTTGATTTGAACTTTGAACTAGCTGGAGAGCATTCTCTTACTATGGTTCCCATCTATATTTGGCAGCCTTTCGACTCCTGTGGTAAATAGATCATAGTAGAAAACCTTAAAATGGAATATGCCTCAAAAATAAGACATCTACCAAAATTTATTCTTCTACCTTAGTGATGGACACTCAGGTACATAACAACTTCTCTCACTTCTGCAGGAATGTTCCAACATGACCAAACTCTTGCTGAAGAGTCCACTGAGAGTCCACTGCTCTCAGTCCTAGGGAAGGAATGAAAGCTTTGGGTTTGAGTCTGATTAGGCCTATAGTTAGATGGTTTTAGGACAGAATTCTGCTTATCAGCTGACTTGCATAAGCCTCAATTCCAACCAGCATACCTTAATCAGCATACATTAGGTCTTAGACATTTTGCTTCCTCAAAGCCCACTATCTAATAATCACTAAAGGTTTTTGGGATGTTTCTCTTCAGTGTAGTTATTCAGGTAAGATACTTTAGTTTGGAGAAACTGGGAGAAAAGCTTATAGTATGAAACTGTAACAGAAGGATACTTCCTTAAGGGCCTCTCTCCTCTCCTTCACTCAAGAGGTTCTGGATCAGTCAGATAACTCAAAATTGGTGATTAAGGAGAGGCAGTGATTTATTTTTATTGTGGTTGAAGTACAGCCTCTATTTGCTAGTATAGGGAGTTTGTGCATGAAACAGTGAAGAAATCGGTGGGTTGTCTATTCATCTCAATCTCGTGAGATCTCTGCTTGTTAATCCTTTCTCCAAAATGTGATCACTACACACACCCCAGTTTTTGTTCAGGTGAGTAAGAGCTGCTAACTAAGCTCAGCCACCCCTGTTTCTTCCCATTCCACTTGAAATCTGGGGGCTCATTTCCATTGCTGTCCCTCCCACCAGCATGTTTGATCTAGGGAGAACTGCCAGTAAAATGCTTATTAAAAATTCCAGTGGTTTCTCCAATAATCGTTTTTCACAGGATCAGTGAAAATGTAGTCTTCTCTTCTATATTGGGGGAGAGTGGGGATGATTGAGGAGGAGAGAATAGGTAGGGGTGACGTAAAAAATTCAAGCCAGAATTTCTGTCTCCTAGTCTTTTTGAATTCTTTCTGTTACATTATGCCAAGGAATGTCTGGCTTTTCAATGTTATTTGGTGTGTGCCAAGATTGGTCTAGGATGGCATTAGCCAACCAAGCCAACTGTTAGAACGGAAGCTGGCAGCCCTAGCTAGCAAATGGAATGAAAGCAGCAATATTACCACATTCAGCCTGATTAAAAATTATGCTATCTCTTTTTGTATTCATTTTCTATTGCTTTGTAACACATTACCAAAAATTTAACAGCTTAGGAAAACACAATTTATTATCTCACAGTTGCATAGGTCAAAAGTCCAGGCACAAATCCAGTTAAGTTGCTCAGAATCTCACAAGGCTAAAATCAATGGGTTGGTCATGGTTGAGATCTCATTTGAAGCTTGAAGTCCACTTCCAGGCTTCCTGATTGTTGGGAGAATTCAGTTCCTCACAAGTGTAGGATTGAGGCCCTCAGCTCCTGAGACCTCTCACCATTCCCGCCATGTGGCCCTCACCATAACATGGCAATTTGCTTCTATAAAATCAATTTTAAAAGCATCAGCTGCTGCTTTTTGTCTCCTATCACTGTTTCTGCAATCTGAATTTGGCATGCAAAGCTCAAAATCTAGGGGATTCCAGCCTTATCTCTTCCTACAACTGACCTTTCCCTGCTTCTCCTCTCAAAATGGACCATTCTCTGTCCCTTCTCCCCTATGGCCTTTTCACATGCTGGTCCTTCTGTTTGAAAGACAATTCCTCTTTGTCATCCTCCCAGTCATGCCAGGTGATCTATCCAAAGACTATTCAAGTTTTAACATACTTTATGATTTTGTTTCCCTTTTTTAGAATCATGAATTGAACTATCATAAAGCTTTGCAGGGTCTTAATTTTTCCATTTAAAGGATAATTTAGAAAAGTGTTTTTTTTTTCTCAATAGCTAGTCTCTAATATTTAAAAAACCGCCTTTGTTTTTTTTTCTTTTGCCCTTTTGTTTTATTGGTTATTTTATTCAAGGAATAAACCTGAACAACTCTATTTTATCTATGTGTTTTTACTTTTATTAGAGCCCTCTGATTTTTATTATTAACAAAGAAACAAGCACATTATTGAATAACCTCTGTTACAGGTATTAGTTTAAATGTTTCATACCTTTATATTAGTTAAGATAAGATGGTCTATGAAGTGATAACACATTAATCCTCAAATCTCCAAATTGATTTTCAAATTTCTAAATCTTGATGGCTTGGCAAAATAAGAGATTATTTCTTAACCATATAAAGTTCAGTGTGGTTTGCATAAATCTCTTTCATCTTTAGTTATACCATCTGGAACACATAGCATCCAAAGTTCCTGCAAAAAAAAAAAAAAAAAAAAAAAAAAAAAAGAGCAATGGAGGTGGTGTACTTGTTTTTAACTGCCTCAGCTTAAAAGTGACAAACGCAGCCAGACGCGGTGGCTCACGGCTGTAATCCCAGCACTTTGGGAGGCCGAGGCGGGCGGATCTCAGGGTCAGGAGATTGAGACCATCCTAGCTAACACAGTGAAACTCATCTCTACTAAAAATACAAAAAAATTAGCTGGGCATGGTGGTGGGCACCTGTAGTCCCAGCTACTCAGGAGGCTGAGGCAGGAGAATGGCGTGAACCCAGGAGGCTGAGCTTGCAGTGAGCTAAGATCGTGCCACTGCACTCCAGCCTGGGCGACAGAGCGAGACTCCATCTCCAAAAAAAAAAAAAAAAAGTGACAAACGCACTTCTGCTTATAGTTCAAATAGTTAAAACTCAATGAAGCACATGGAATATTTCTTCGGCACTATGTCTGTTAGAAACATTTTCTCTTAAGGTTGAAATTAATGTATTTTCCTCTAAGAGAAGTATAAATACTTATTGCCTATTTAACCTTTGGTAATATATATTACAAAGTGTGTGGTTGTTTTAATTATCTGAATAAACTTTGTGATAGAGGGAGGGCATAATTTACTATGCCTGCTAACACACCAGCTGGTAGTTACTTAGTATTATTACACTGAGTTGGCTATTAATGTAGCAGAACGAAAAAATATGGTAACAGCTGATATTGAAATTACTCCTATGGTGAGAACTGTTGTTACATTAGAAATTACCTTGAAAAGAAGCTTGAGTTTTGGAAAGTGAAGTCCCTGAAACATGGTCTATAACTTTGCTATTCCAGTATGGTCCGTGGAACATCAGCATCAGGTTTACCTGGGGACTTAACTAAAAATGAAATATATCTGGCCCTACCCTGGATGTACTCATCCAGAATATGCATTTAAACAAGACTTTCAGGTAATTTCTATCCACATTTAAAGTTTGAGACAATCTAGTTTTTAATGAGATAGAGAAGATAGATAAGTGAACAAATTTTTGCAGAATGGCCAGAGGTGGCAATTAGGGCAAGAGAAGAGGAAATGTCAGAGAAGGGAGAAAGAAAGCTGAGCACCATGGCAAGAGAATGCAGCTTGTGGAGAAGGTCTCCAGTGAGAAATTACTAGATGTGAGGTGGGTAAAGACTTTTAGGAATGGGCATTTCTTTTTTCTTTCTTTTATTATTTTTAAATTCCTTTTTTTGGTTGTTGTTATTTTGAGAAAGAGTCTTGCTCTGTCCCCCAGGTTGGAGTGCAGTGGTGTGATCACAGCTCATCGCAGCCTCGACCTTCTGGGCTCAAGCAATCCTCCTGCCTCAGCTCCTGAATAGCTGTGACTACAGGCTTGAGCTACCATGCCCAGCTAATTTTGGCCATGTTGCCTAGGCTGGTCTCCAACTCCTGAGCTCAACGGATCCTTCTACCTCAGCCTCCCAAAGTGCTGAGATTACAGATGTGAGCCACTGCACCCAGTAAAAGTGGCATTTCTAAGTTTCAACTTTAAATTACAAAAGTTGCTTAAATATAAACAACTGAACCCTGAATTCCTCTGCCTCTAGTGTTTTCAAAAAGTGTCAATTTTCACATCTAAATTGATTACGTACTCCATTAGTCTGTTTTCATGCTGCTGATAAAGACGTACCCGAGTCTGGGCAGTTTACCAAAGAAAGAGGTATAACTGGACTTTCAGTTCCATGTGGCTGGGGAAGCCTCACAATCACAGTGGAAGGCAAGGAAGAGCAAGTCCCATCTTATATGAATGGCAGCAGGCAAAGAGAGAATGAGGAAGACGCAAAAGCAGAAACCCCTGATAAAACCATCAGACTTCATGAGACTTATTCACCACCATGAGAACAGTATGGGGGAAACCACCCCAGTGATTCAATTTTCTCCCACCAGTTGCCTCCCACAACATGTGGCAATTATGGGAGTTCAATTAAAGATGAGATTTGGATGGGGACACAGAGCCAAACCATATCAAGTACAAAGAAAAGAGTCTCATAAGATGCAAGTGAGGAAGAGGTTAGTGAAAGCTAATCTACAAAACCAACAGTGACTATCCACAAGAATGAAGGAATGCAGAGGTTTTGACAGATGTTGGAATTTTATCAAATGTAGGATTGGGTTTCATATCATTATTCAGTGAATCAAAAAGGGCAGGATGATGTTTGACATTAGCAAGACCTAAACTATCTTTACATTATTAAGCTTTGATTGAGATTAACATTGCATTAATCTAAAAGAAAACAACCTTTGCGATGAAAAAAAGTCTTGACCCTTGTTCTGTTAGATGACACAAATTCTTTTTACCTAAATATTCCTGTTTTATTAGGTTTTATTTTACATATATCTTACAAAAACATATAAGTAAAAATAATAATTTAGGGGGGTTGGGTGATAATTCAATATTTTTATTTTATTTTATTTTATTATTATTATTTTTTTGAGATGGATTCTTGCTCTGTTGCCCAGGCTGGAGTGCAGTGGCATGATCTCGGCTCACTGCAACCTCCGCTTCCTGGGTTCAAGTGATTCTCCTGCCTCAGCCTCCTGAGTAGCTGGGACTACAGGCATGCACCACTGTGCCCAGCTAAGTTCTGTATTTTTTTAGAGACAGGGTTTCACCATGTTGGCCAGGCTGGTCTCGAACTCCTGATCCAGGTGATCCACCCGCCTCAGCCTCCAGCAGAACTGTGAGCCAATTAAGCCTCTTTTTAAAATAAATTGCCCAGTCTTAGGTATTTCTTCGTAGCAATGTGAGAATGGCCTAATACAATAAGTGATTTGAGCATCCTTGGATTTTTATATCTGCCGGGGTCCTGGAGCCAATCCCCCAAGAATACTAAAGGACAACCATGTTTATAGGGTACAATGTAGTGTTTTGATATTTTTATACATTGTGAAACGATCAAATCGTGCAAATTAGCATATCCATCACTTCAAATATTTATCATTTCTTTGTGTTGAGAACATATGAAGTCCTCTTTTAGTTGTTTTGAAACATACAATCCATTATTAACCTTGGAATTTAGACCTTTGGGTCTCATTGTATAACTTTCCCTGGCTTACACTGCTAGCTGTAAGCCAGTGATTCTCTAATATTTTAAAACTATTCAAGAAAGCCATGTTTAATGCAATCTAATTTGAAAATACAGATATGCAATAAAAAATGCATCTGTAGTACCACTGACCAGAGACCAATGTAACATTTTGCTCTATGTTCTTCTAAGCTTTTGTCCACACATATATATTCTTAGAAATGAAAATACATGGAATTGTGCTCTATATAATTTTTGTAACTTGATGTTTCATATCATAAAACTATGATGATTGTTTTTGTATCAGTAAGTTAAAGTCTATATCACCCTTTAAAATAGATACATAATTTTCCTTTATATGTGCTTATTATAATATATTTAACCAAAACTATATTTTCGGACTTTTAGATTATTTCCAATGTTTTGCTTATATCAATTATATTGTAATGAACATATTCATATATAGTTCTTCATATATATATATTCATGTTTATTTCCTCAGGTTAATTTTCTAGAAATAGAATTGTTAGCTGAATGTCTATATAGTGTGCCTATTTTGAAGGTTTGGGATACATATTGTTAAATTTCCTCCTGGGAACGTGCTTTTGAAGGTAGATTTAAAGGGTGTCTTGTTCCTCTCATCTTTGCCAAAGTTGGACATTAACTTCATTTTAAATCTTTGTTAATGCAAGCATAGTAAAGATTTTTTAGTGAGGTAGAGGGAGTGGATGGAGTGGATGTATTAGTTTGATGTGAGACTTGCCCAAAATGCTTTAAAAAACTTGGCAAATACTGGAATCTCTGGATCACAAAGTGAGGGTAAGAAGACCACAAAATTCAGTCACAAATGTTAATGTACCCTTGTGTATCCACTATCTTGTGAGGCTTGAAAGAATTCTGATAACGTGTGTGTGTGTGTGTGTGTGTGTGTTTGTGTGTGTGTGTGTGTGTGTGTGTGTGTAGAGAGAGAGAGAGAGAGAGACAGAGAGAGAGAGAGACAGAGAGAGAATCAGTCTGTTGCCCAGGCTGGAATGCAGTGGCATGATCTCAGCTTACTGCAGCCTCAGCCTCCCAGGCTTAGGCAATCCTCCTACCTCAGCCTCTTGAGTAGCTGGGACTACAGGCATGAGCCATCATGCTGAGATAAATGTTTATGTTTATTTCTTTTTTTCTTTGAAAATACACAATTTAATAGTAAAATTGCTGCACCTTATAAAATTCTTGAGAACCAAAGATGAGTTAAATTATTATTCTTTCTAGAGTATAACCAAAAGTTTCCCATAAAAATTAGCAAAATTGAAAGATACCAATAAAAGATACTACTATCCTACCGCTGTATATTTGTAGATACCTTTGAATAGCATTATGAAAATTATTAAAATAAGTGCTTCTGAATCTTCATTTCACTGAGACCATTTATTTACTATCATGGATGGAAACTTTCTTCTGATTATAATTCAGTCTATTTACATTAAAGCAAAACCATGGGAATTGATCTTTTTAAATCTTCTGTTATATAGTCAGGATAGAGTCAAATAGTAAACCAAGTGTTCAATATATGGTCAGTTCTGTTAAGCAAATTCTGCCCATTGTGCATATTCATCAGTGTAAAATTGAATATCTGTAGATATAGCCAACTTAAAATATATATTTTGATTGTCAGACTAGATGATTATCTTTCGTCCTCCATCTGAACTGTTCAATACTCCAAATTAAAATAATGGTAATGACAATTGCCTGCAGAATTTTCTTTGCCTTTCTTTTTTTTTTTTATACTTTAAGTTCTAGGGTACATGTACACAACGTGCAGGTTTGTTACATATGTATACATGTGCCATGTTGGTGTGCTGCACCCATTAACTCATCATTTACATCAGGCATATCTCCTAATGCTATCCATCCCCCCTCCCCCCATCCCATGACAGGCCGTCCTGTGTTATGTTCTCCATCCCGTGTCCAACTGTTCTCATTGTTCAATTCCCACCTATGAGTGAGAACATGCAGTGTTTGGTTTTCTGTCCTTGCAATAGTTTGCTGAGAATGATGGTTTCCAGCTTCATCCATGTCCCTGCAAAGGATATGAACTCATCCTTTTTTATGACTGCATAGTATTCCATGGTGTATATGTGCCACATTTTCTTAATCCAGTCTATCATTGATGGGCATTTGTGTTGGTTCCAAGTCTTTGCTATTGTGAATAGTGCCGCAATAAACATCTGTAGGCATGTGTCTTTATAGCAGCATGATTTATAATCCTTTGGGTATATACCCAGTAAGGGGATGGCTGGGTCAATTGGTATTTCTAGTTCTAGATCCTTGAGGAATTGCCACACTGTCTTCCACAATGGTTGAACTAGTTTACAGTCCCACCAACGGTGTAAAAGTGTTCCTATTTCTCCACATCCTCTCCAGCACCTGTTGTTTCCTGACTTTTTAATGGTTGCCATTCTAACTGGTGAGAGATGGTATCTCATTGTGGTTTTGATTTGCATTTCTCTGATGGCCAGTGATGATGAGCATTTTTCATGTGTCTGTTGGCTGCATAAATGTCTTCTTTTGAGAAGTTTCTGTTCATATCCTTTGCCCACTTTTTGATGGGGTTGTTTGATTTTTTCTTGTAAATTTGTTGAAGTTCTTTGTAGATTCTGGATATTAGCCCTTTGTCAGATGGGTAGATTGTAAAAATTTTCTCCCATCCTGTAGGTTGCCTGTTCACTCTGATGGTAGTTTCTTTTGCTGTGCAGAAGCCCTTTAGTTTAATTAGATCCCATTTGTCAATTTTGGCTTTTGTTGCCATTGCTTTTGGTACTTTAGTCATGAAGTCCTTGACCATGCCTATGTCCTGAATGCTATTGCCTAGGTTATCTTCTAGGGTTTTTATGGTTTTAGGTCTAACATTTAAGTCTTTAATCCACCTTGAATTAATTTTTGTATAAGGTGTAAGGAAGGGATCCAGTTTCAGCTTTCTACATATGGCTAGCCAGCTTTCCCGGCACTATTTATTAAATAGGGAATCCTTTCCCCATTTCTTGTTTTTGTCAGGTTTGTCAAAGATCAGGTGGTTGTAGATGTGTGGTATTATTTCTAAGGGTTCTGTTCTGTTCCATTGGTCTATATCTCTGTTTTGGTACCAGTACCATGCTGTTTTGGTTACTGTAGCCTTTTAATATAGTTTGAAGTGAGGTAGCAAGATGCCTCCAGCTTTGTTCTTTTGTCTTAGGATTGTCTTGGCAATGCGGGCTCTTTTTTGGTTCCATATAAACTTCAAAGTAGTTTCTTCCAGTTCTGTGAAGAAAGTCATCGGTAGCTTGATGGGGATGGCATTGAATCCATAAATTACCTTGGGCAGTATGGCCATTTTCGTGATATTGATTCTTCCTACCCATGAGCATGGAATGTTCTTCCATTTTTTTGTGTGTCCTCTTTTATTTCGTTGAGCAGGGGTTTGTATTTCTCCTTGAAGAGCTCCTTCACATCCCTTGTAAGTTGGATTCCCAGGTATTTTATTCTCTTTGAAGCAATTGTGAATGGGAGTTCACTCATGATTTGGCTCTCTGTCTGTTATTGGTATATAGAAATGCTTGTGATTTTTGCATATTGATTTTGTATCCTGAGACTTTGCTGAAGTTGCTTATCAGCTTAAGGAGATTTTGGGCTGAGACGAGGGAGTTTTCTAAATATACAGTCATGTCATCTGCAAACAGGGGCAATTGGACTTCCTCTTTTCCTAATTGAATACAATTTATTTCTTTCTCCTGCCTGATTGCCCTGGCCAGAACTTCCAACCCTATTTTGAATACAAGTGGTGAGAGAGGGCATCCCGGTCTTGTGCCAATTTTCAAAGGGAATGCTTCCATTTTTGCCCATTCAGTATGATACTGGCTGTGGGTTTGTCATAAATAGCTCTTATTATTTTGAGATACATCCCATCAATACCTAGTTTATTGAGAGTTTTTAGCATGAAGAGCTGTTGAATTTTGCTGAAGGCCTTTTCTGCATCTATTGATATAATCGTGGTTTTTGTCTTTGGTTCTGTTTATATGCTGGATTACATTTATTGATTTGTGTATGTTGAACCAGCCTTGCTTTCCAGGGATGAAGCCAACTTGATCGGGGTGGATAAGCTTTTTGATGTGCTGCTGGATTCGGTTTGCCAGTATTTTATTGAGGATTTTTGCATCAATGTTCATCAGGGATATTGGTCTACAATTCTCTTTTTTTGTTGTTGTGTCTCTGCCAGGCTTTGGTATCAGGATGATGCTGGCCTCATAAAATGAGTTAGGGAGGATTTCCTCTTTTTCTATTGATTGGAATAGTTCCAGAAGGAATGGTAACAACTCTTTTTATGTCTGGTAGAATTCAGCTGTGAATCCGTCTGGTTCTGGTCTTTTTTTGGTTGGTAGGCTATTCATTATTGCCTCAATTTCAGAGCCTGTTATTGATCTATTAAGGGATTCAACTTCTTCCTGATGTAGTCTTGGGAGGGTGTATGTGTCTAGCAATGTATCCATTTCTTCTAGATTTTCTGGTTGATTTGCATTGAGGTGTTTATAGTTTTCTCTGATGGTAGTTAGTACTTCTGTGGGATTGGTGGTGATATCTCCTTTATCATTTTTTATTGTGTCTATTTGATTCTTCTCTCTTTTCTTCTTTATTAGTCTCACTAGTGGTCTAACAATTTTGTTGATCTTTTCAAAAAGCCAGCTCTTGGATTCACTGATTTTTTGAAGGGTTTTTTGTGTCTCTATCTCCTTCAGTTCTGCTCTGATCTTAGTTATTTCTTGCCTTCTGCTAGCTTTTGAATGTGTTTGCTCTTGCTTTTCTAGTTCTTTTAGTTGTGCTGTTAGGGTGTCAATTTTAGATCTTTCCTGCTTTCTTTTGTGAGCCTTTAGTTCTATAAATTTCCCTCTACACACTGCTTTAAATGTGTCCCAGAGATTCTGGTACGTTGTGTCTTTGTTCTCATTGGTTTCAAAGAACATCTTTATTTCTGCCTTCATTTTGTTATGTACCCAGTAGTCATTCAGGAGCAGGTTGTTCAGTTTCCATGTAGTTGAGTGGTTTTGAGTGAGTTTCTTAATCCTGAGTTCTAGTTTGATTGCACTGTGGTCTGAGAGACAGTTTGTTATAATTTCTGTTCTTTTAGATTTGCTGAGGAGTGCTTTTCTTCCAACTATGTGGTCAATTTTGGAATAAGTGTGATGTGGTGCTGAGAAGAATGTATATCCTGTTGATTTGGGGTGGAGAGTTCTGTGGATGTCTATTAGGTCCTCTTGGTGCAGAGCTGAGTTCAATTCCTGGATATCCTTGTTAACTTTTTGTCTCATTGATCTAATGTTGACAGTGGGGTGTTAAAGTCTCCCATTATTATTGTGTGGGAGTCTAAGTCTCTTTCTAGGTCTCTAAGGACTTGCTTTGTGAATCTGGGTGCTCCTGTATTGGGTGCATATATATTTAGGGTTGTTAGCTCTTCTTGTTGAATTGATCCCTTTACCATTATGTAATGGACTTCTTTGTCTCTTTTGATCTTTGTTGGTTAAAAGTCTGTTTTATCAGAGACTAGGATTGCAACCCCTGCTTTTTTTTGTTTCCCATTTGCTTGGTAGCTCTTCCTCCATCCCTTTATTTTGAGCCTATGTGTGTCTGTGCACATGAGATTGGTCTCCTGAATACAGCACACTGATGGGTCTTAACTCTTTATCCAATTTGCCAGTCTATGTCTTTTAATTGGAGCATTTAGCCCATTTGCATTTAAGGTTAATATTGTTATGTTTCATTATGATGTTAACTGTTTATTTTGCTCGTTAGCTGATGCAGTTTCTTCCTAGCATCGATGGTGTTTACGATTTGGCATGTTTTTGCAGTGGCTGGTACTGGTTGTTCCTTTCCATGTGTAATGCTTCCCTCAGGAGCTCTTGTAAGGCAGGATTGGTGGTGACAAAATCTCTCAGCATTTACTTGCCTGTAAAGGATTTTATTTCTCCTTCACTTATGAAGCTTCGTTTGGCTGGATATAAAATTTTGGGTTGAAAATTCTTTTCTTTAAGAATGTTGAATATTGGCCCCTACTCTCTTCTGGCTTGTAGATTTTCTGCCGAGAGATCTGCTATTAGTCTGATGGGATTCCCTTTGTGGGTAACCTCACGTTTCTCTCTGGCTGCCCTTAATATTTTTTCCTTCATTTCAACTTTGGTGAATCTGACAGTTATGTTTCTTGGAGTTGCTCTTCTCGAGGAGTGTCTTTCTGGCATTCTCTGTATTTCCTGAATTTGAATGTTGGCCTGCCTTGCTAGGTTGGGGAATTTCTCCTGGATAATATCCTGAAGAATGTTTTCCCACTTGGTTGCATTCTCCCCTTCACTTTCAGGTACACCAATCAGACATAGATTTGGCCTTTTCACATAGTCCCATATTTCTTGGAGGCTTTCTTCATTTATTTTTACTCTTTTTTCTCTAAACTTCTCTTCTCACTTCATTTCATTCATTTGATCCATTAGGTCATTTAAGCTCTTCTCTATGCTGTTTATTCCTGTTAGCCATTCATCTAATCTTTTTTCAAGGTTTTTAGCTTCTTTGCAATGGATTCGCACATCCTCCTTTAACTTGGAGAAGTTTGTTGTTACTGATCGTCTGAAGCCTTCTCTCAACTCATCAAAGTCATTGTCCATCCAGCTTTATTCTGTTGCCAGTGAGGGGCTGCATTCCTTTGGAGGAGAAGAGGAGCTCTGATTTTTAGAATTTTCAGGTTTTCTGCTCTGGTTTCTCCCGATCTTTGTGGTTTTATCTACCTTTGGTCTTTAATGATGGTGATGTACAGAAGGGATTTTGGTGTGAATGTCTTTTCTGTTTGTTAGTTTTCCTTCTAACAGTCAGGAACCTCAGCTGCAGGTCTGTTGGGCTTTGATGGATGTCCACTCCAGGCCCTATTTTCCTGGGTATCACCAGTGGAGGCTGCAGAACAGCAAATATTGCAGAACGGCAAATGTCGCTGCCTCACCCTTCCTCTGGAAGCTTCGTCTCAGAGGGACACCTGGCTGTATGAGGTGTCAGTCGGCCACTACTGGGAGATGTCTCCCAGTTAAGCTACTTGGGGGTCAGGGACCCACTTGAGGAGGCAGTCTGTCGGTTCTCAGATATCAAACTCCGTGCTGGGAGAACCACTACTCTCTTGAAAGCTGTCAGACAGGGATGCTTAAGTATGCAGAAGTTTCTGCTGCCTTTTGTTCAGCTAAGCCCTGCCCCTAGAGGTGGAGTCTACAGAGACAGGCAGGCCTCCTTGATCTGCCATGGGCTCCACCCAGTTCGAGCTTCCTGGCTGCTTTGTTTACCTACTCAAGCCTCAGCAATGGCAGACGCGCTTCCCCCCAGCCTTGCTTCTGGCTTGCAATTTGATCTCAGACTGCTGTGCTAGCAGTGAGCAAAGCTCTATGGGCGTGGGACCCTCCGAGCCATGGGCGGGATATAATCTCCTGGTGTGCCATTTGATAAGACCATTGGAAAAGCGCAGTATTAGGGTGTGAGTGTCCCTATTTTCCAGGTACTGTCTGTCATGGCTTCCCCTGGCTAGGAAAGGGAATTCCCCGACCCCTTGCACTTCCCGGGTGAGGCAATGCCCCCCCTGCTTTGGCTCACACTCTGTGGGCTGCACCCACTGTCCAACAAGTCCCAGTGACATGAACCCGGTACCTCAGTTGGAAATGCAGAAATCACCCATCTTCTGTGTTGCTCATGCTGGGAGCTGTAGACTGAAGCTGTTCCTATTTGGCCATCTTGGAACTCCTTTCTCGTTTCTTTCAACTTCTTAAAATACCCTTATTAGTCTTTTTTTCCCTCTTTTATGAAATGCCTAATTATGTTGTTAGTTTATTTTTTTAGTAGAGCTTTTTTTCTTATAGATTTGTATATTTTCTGTATATATTAAAAGTATTAAATTTCTTTCATGTAAGTGGCATCTTTTTTCCTACTTTGCACCTTGATTTTTACTAGTACAGATTGTGTTTTTGGATGCAGACATTTTTGCTATTTATGAGCCAAATCTGTTTTTGTATTTTTCTTTTCAATTTTGTCTTTAGTGTGGTATAAAGGAATGTCTCTCCCATCCCAATAATGTATCAATATAGTAAAATCCTGCCAAATGTGGTAAGTGGGGTACGAAATACTCAATTTTATAAAAGTAGGTGACATTGATTGTGAGTTTATAAAAATGACAGAAGTGAACCTATGTAGCTAACTGTCCAGGTTTCGGGTCTGGCTTCAATATATTAAGGTTCCTATTGTGGTGTGGCACTGCCTAATATTGTCTGCTTAGCTTAAATGTTGATGAGAATGATTCTTGGTCCTGGCCCTTACTGAGACTTTAAGGACAGCAGCGATGTATTCTAGGAATCTCCTGCTTAGTGAGTGCCTGTTTCTCCAGAGCAATTTAGAGACATTGGTCCATGAGAATCCTGGAGCCTGATAAACACATGTTCCATGAACTGTTATTCTGTTACTGTGCCATGCTTGCAATGTTTTTATTTCTCTGGCACATTTTTAATATCTGAAAAATGTAACTAACAACCAGATACTTGCTACCAGATATTTTCATAAAATCAGGAACATGGAAGAAATGAATAAGAGAAATGTATAGAGCAAATAACCTCAAAGGAAATAGAAGTAATTGAAGTCATGGAAGGTATCTTTTAAAAATTGTAACTAATATACTAAATAAAATAAATGTGAGCAGATCTGGCACGCATAAAACAAAAATAGGCTGCTATGGAAAAGGAAAATTAGAGAACTAAAATATAATCTTTAGACTTAAAAAGTTATTTTCATTTATATTCTGTTTCTAAACATTATTGTTTATTGTTCTAAATAGTCTTTATAAACAACATAAAATTCTAAAAAACAACAGTTTGTGCTTTTGAGTGAAATTACATCATATGTTTATTGGCTGCATAAAAGAGACTTAGACTCCCACACAATAATAATGGGAGACTTTAACACCCCATTGTCAACATTAGACAGATCAGCGAGACAGAAAGTTAACAAGGATATCCAGGAATTGAACTGAGCTCTGCACCAAGCAGACCTAATAGACATCTACAGAACTCTCCACCCCAAATCAACAGAATATACATTCTTCTCAGCACCACATTGCACTTATAACTTCTTATTTCAATCATACTTTAGTTCTCAATTTTTTTCTTTTCATTGCAGCCTACTTTTTTTTTTTATGGATGGCAGAGCCTCTCAAATTTGTTTAGGATATTAGCTACAGATTTTAAAATGTTTTCTTCTGTGTCTTCAATTACCTCTATTTTCTTTTGGGTCATTCTTGTTTATTTCTTCCATGCTATTAACTGTATGCAAATATCTGGCGATCTTTGATTGTTAGTTTATATGTTTTGAAGAAAGTCCTAAGTAAGCTGGGTAAACTAGGTAGTTGGCATGGGTTCTTTTGCTTTTGTTTACATCTGTTTCCCCAACAGGACTTTCTCTTAATTCAGAAAATTGTTATCAGTCCTATAACTGGGCACATGTATCAATAACCAGGCTTCTATTTAGGTGCCTATGTGAAAATTGTGCAAGGGCAATGCCAAGGTAAGGGGGGAGAGTATTTATCTTTGAAAATAACTCTTTCTAGGCTGGGTGTGGTGGCTCACACCTGTAATTCCAGCAACTTTGAGAGGCCGAGGCGGGCAGATCACGAGATCAGGAGATTGAGACAATCCTGGCTAACACGGTGAAACCCCATCTCTACTAAAAATACAAAAAAATTAGCCGGGTGTGGTGGCAGGCGCCTGTAGTCCCAGCTACTCTGGAGGCTGAGGCAGGAGAATGGTGTGAACCTGGGCGGTGGAGCTTGCAGTGAGCCGAGATCACGCCACTGCACTCCAGCCTGAGCGACAGAGCGAGACTGTCTCAGAAAAAAAAAAGAAAATAACTCTTTCTAGTTGCTTTATCGGCTTTCTCCCAAACTTTAAGTGAGATGAAATTTGGAGTGACTGGAAGTCCTGCTCTTTGTCATCCCAGATCCACAGAGGGAACCTTCCCTCATGATGTTATCCCTATCTTTAGGGAGCAGTTTTTAGGTTTTATTTTAAGGGCTAGAATCCTGGTTTCTGAGCTTCTGCAAACAGAAGAGGGAGAGAGGGAGACTTAAACTGTTTTGTTATTCTGAATGGAGTTGTATAGTTAATGTGATGCTTATTCTCAGCATCTGTTGATTCCAGATCCTTGAGAAATTGCCACACTGTCTTCCACAATGGTTGATCTAGTTCACAGTCCCACCAACAGAGTAAAAGTGTTCCTTCCTATTTCTCCACATCCTCTCCAGCACTGTTGTTTCCTGACTTTGTAATGATTGCCATTCTAACTGGTGTGAGATGGTATCTCATCGTGGTTTTGATTTGCATTTCGCTGATGGCCAGTGATGATGAGCATTTTGTCATGTGTCTGTTGGCTGCATAAATGTCTTCTTTTGAGAAGTTTCTGTTCGTAACCTTTGCCCACTTTTTGATAGAGCTGTTTGATTTTTTCTTGTAAATTTGCTTAAGTTCTTTGTAGATTCTGGATATTAGCCCTTTGTCAGATGGGTAGATTGTAAAAATTTTCTCCCATCCTGTAGGTTGCCTGTTCACTCTGATGATAGTTTTTTTTTTTTTTTTTTTTCTGTGCAGAAGCTCTTTAGTTTAATTAGATCCCATTTGTCAATTTTGGCTTTTGTTGCCACTGCTTTTGATGTTTTAGATATGAAGTTCTTGCCCATGCCTGTGGCCTGAATGGTATTCCTTAGGTTTTCTTCTAGGGTTTTTATGGTTTTAGGTCTAACATTTAAGTCTTTAATCCATCTTGAATTAAATTTTGTATAAGGTGTAAGGAAGGGATCCAGTTTCAGCTTTCTACATATGAGTAGCCAGTTTTCCCAGCACCATTTTTTAAATAGGGAATCCTTTCCCCATTTCTTGTTTTTGTCAGGTTTGTCAAAGATCAGGTGGTTGTAGATGTGTGGTATTATTTCTAAGGTTTCTGTTCTGTTCCATTGGTCTATATCTCTGTTTTGGTACCAGTACCATGCTGTTTTGGTTACTGTAGCCTTTTAATATAGTTTGAAGTCATGTAGCATGATGCCTCTAGCTTTGTTCTTTTGTCTTAGGATTGTCTTGGCAATGCGGGCTCTTTTTTGGTTCCATATAAACTTCAAAATAGTTTCTTCTGATTCTGTGAAGAAAGTCATTGGTAGCTTGATGGGGATGGCATTGAATCCATAAATTACCTTGGGCAGTATGGCCATTTTCGTGATATTGATTCTTCCTACCCATGAGCATGGAATGTTCTTCCATTTGTTTGTATCCTCTTTTATTTCATTGAGGAGTGGTGTGTAGTTCTCCTTGAAGAGGTCCTTCACATCTCTTGTAAGTTGGATTCCTAGGTATTTTATTCTCTTTGAAGCAATTGTGAATGGCGGTTCACTCATGATTTGGCTCTCTGTCTGTTATTGGTATATAGAAATGCTTGTGATTTTTGCATATTGATTTTGTATCCTGAGACTTTGCTGAAGTTGCTTATCAGCTTAAGGAGATTTTGGGCTGAGACGAGGGAGTTTTCTAAATATACAGTCATGTCATCTGCACACAGGGACAATTTGACTTCCTCTTTTCCTACTTGAATGCCCTTTATTTCCTTCTCCTGCCCAATTGCCCAGGCCAGAACTTCCAACACTATTTTGAATAGGAGTGGTGAGAGAGGGCATCCCTGTTTTATGCCAGTTTTCAAAGGGAGTGCTTCCATTTTTGCCCATTCAGTATGATATTGGCTGTGGGTTTGTCATAAATAGCTCTTATTATTTTGAGATACGTCCCATCAATACCTAGCTTATTGAGAGTTTTTAGCATGAAGAGCTGTTGAATTTTGCTGAAGGCCTTTTCTGCATCTATTGAGATAATCATGTGGTTTTTGTCTTTAGTTCTGTTCATATGATGGATTAGATTTATTGATTTACATATGTTGAACCAGCCTTCCATTCCAGGGATGAACCCCACTTGATCATGGTGGATAGCTTTTTGATGTGCTGCTGGATTCGGTTTGCCAGTATTTTATTGAGGATTTCTGCATCAATGTTCATCAGGGATATTGGTCTACAATTCTCTTTTTTTTGTTGTTGTGTCTCTGCCAGGCTTTGGTATCAGGATGATGCTGGCCTCATAAAATGAGTTAGGGAGGATTCCCTCTTTTTCTATTGATTGGAATAGTTTCAGAAGGAATGGTACCAGTTCCTGTTTGTATCTCTGGTAGAATTCATCTGTGAATCCGTCTGGTCCTGGACTTTTTTTTATTGGTAGGCTCTTAACTATTGTCTTAATTTCCAAGCTTGTTATTCTTCTATTCAGAGATTCAACTTCTTCTTGGGAGGGTGCATGTGTCCCAGAATTTATCCATTTCTTCTAGATTTTCTACTTTATTTGCATAGAGGTGTTCATAGTATTCTCTGATGGTAGTTTGTATTTCTGTGGGATCGGTGGTGTTATCCCCTTTATCATTTTTTATTGCGTCTATTTGATTCTTCTCTCTTTTCTTCTTTATTAGTCTTGCAATCTTCTTTATTATTCTATCAATTTTGTTGACCTTTTCAAAAAACCAGCTCCTAGATTCATTGATTTTTTTGAAGGGTTTTTTGTGTCTCTATCTCCTTCAGTTCTGCTCTGATCTTAGTTATTTCTTGCCTTCTGCTAGCTTTTGAATGTGTTTGCTCTTGCTTCTCTAGTTCTTTTAATTGTGATGTTAGGGTGTCAATTTTAGATCTTTCCTGCTTTCTCTTGTGGGCATTTAGTGCTATAAATTTCCCTCCAATATACTGCTTTAAATGTGTCCCAGAGATTCTGGTATGTTGTGTCTTTGTTCTCATTGGTTTCAAAGAACATCTTTATTTCTGCCTTCATTTCGTTATGTACCCAGTAGTCATTCAGGAGCAGGTTGTTCAGTTTCCATGTAGTTGAGTGGTTTTGAGTGAGTTTCTTAATCCTGAGTTCTAGTTTGATTGCATTGTGGTCTGAGAGACAGTTTGTTATAATTTCTGTTCTTTTAGATTTGCTGAGGAGTGCTTTTCTTCCAACTATGTGGTCATTGATGTGGTGCTGAGAAGAATGTATATTTTGTTGATTTTTCTCAAGTCAGTTTTCTTGGTCTTTTTCATGTTACTAATAGCTGTTTTCTTCCATATTTCTGATGATTTTTTCGTTGTGTTTTCATATATAAACAGCAAAACTGGGTTAGTTTTAGGTGGCAGGTGTAGTTTTCTTCTGCTGTTTTATGTATTTATCTGGTTTCGTGTTAGTCTTTCTTCTAAATGGGAGAGTTATCAGTTAGTTCTCTGTACATTTATTATTTTCTTGTATACATATGCAATGAATGTTTATTGGGCCCAGTCTGATTATTTTACTGTCACACTCATCTGTGTGAAGTGACTACCAAACAGGCTTTGTGTGAGCAATAAAGCTTTTTAATCACCTAGGTGCAGGCAGGCTGAGTTCAAAAAGAGAGTCAGTGAAGGAAGATAGGTGTGGGGCCATTTTATAGGATTTGGGTAGGTAGTGGAAAATTACAGTCAAAAGGGTTGTTCTCTGGCGGACAGGGGCAGGGGTCACAAGGTGCTCAATGGGGGAGCTTCTGAGCCAGGGGAAGTAATTTCACAAGGTAAAGTCATCAGTTAAGGCAGGAACAGGCCATTTTCACTTCTTTGGTGATTCTTCACTTGCTTCAGGCCATCTGATTCTATATGTGCAGGTCACAGGGGATATGATGGCTTAGCTTGGGCTCAGAGGCCTGACATTCCTGTCTTCTTATATTAATAAGAAAAATAACATAAACTAATGTTGAAGTGTTAGAGCAGCAAAAATTTTGGGGGGGTGGTATGGAGAGATAATGGTCAATGTTTCTCAGGGCAGCTTCGAGTGGGATTAGGGGCAATGTGGGAGCCTAGAGTGGGAGAGATTTAGCTGAAGGAAGATTTTGTGGTAAGGGGTGATATTGTGGGGTTGTTAGAAGTGACATTGGTTGTATAGAATGGTTGGTGATGGCCTGGATACAGTTTTGTATGAATTGAGAAACTAGACAGAAGACACAAGGAGAAAGAGGAAAACAGGTATTAAAGGACTAAGAATTGGGAGGACCCAGGACATCCAATTAGAGAGTGTCCAAGGGGTTCAGTGTAATTACTTGCTTGGTTGGTGAGTTTTTGGGCTCTATCCTTGACAGAGTCCTCCTTTTTAAGTTGGAGGCTGAGCTTGGTGAGGTGTGCTTTTAAAAGATCATTAGTCCGTTCTATCTTTCCTAAAGATTGAGGTTGGTAAGGGGTATGAAGGTTCTACTGAATACCAAGAGACTGAGAAACTGCTTGGGTGATTTGACTAATAAAGGCCGGTCCGTTATTGGACTGTATAGAGGTGGGAAGCCCAAACTGAAGAATTATGTCTGACAGAAGGGAAGAAATGACCGCAGTGGACTTCTCAGACCCTGAGGGAAAGGCCTTTACCCATCCAGTGAAAGTGTCTACCCAGACCAAGAGGTATTTCAGTTTCCTGACTCATGGCATGTGAGTAAAGTCAATTTGCCAGTCCTGGGCAGGGGCAAATCCCTGAGCCTGATGTGTAGGGAAGGGAGGGGGCCTGAGTAATCCCTGAGGAGTAGTAGAAGAGCAGATGGAACACTGAGAAGTGATTTCCTTGAGGATAGATTTCCATGATGGAAAGCAAATGAGAGGTTCTAAGAGGCGGGCTAGTGGCTTGTAACCTAAATGGAAGAGGTTTTGAAATGACGACAGAATAGAATGGGCCTGTGAGGCTGGAAGGAGATATTTTCCTTGGTCCAAGAACCATTTGCCTTGTGTGGGAAGAGATTGATAGGTGAACGTTTCAGTGGGGGAATAGGTGGGAGTGACCAGTGAGAAAGAGAAAAACTGGCACTGAAGGACAGAAGTTGGAACACTAGCTGCTTCTTTAGCTACCTTATCAGCCTAAGCACTGTCCTGAGCGATGGGATCTGATGCCTTTTGATGGCCCTTGCAGTATATGACTCCAGCTTCCTTTGGAAGTAAAGCAGCCTTGAGAAGAGTTTTCATTAAAGAGGCATTAATGATGGAGGACCTTTGCATAGTGAGGCAACCTCTTTCTGCCCATATAACAGCATGGTAGTGCAGGATATGGACGGAATATTCAGAGTCAGTATAAATACTGATGTGTAGTCCCTTTGCAAGAGTGAGGGCTCTAGTTAAGGCAATGAGTTCGGCTTGCGGAGAGGGAGTGGAGGGGGGCAGAGCGGTAGCCTCAATGATAGATGTGGAAGATACTATAGCATAGCCTGCCTTTGCTGGTGAGTGGTGATTTGGCCTGGTGGAACTGCCATCGATAAACCAAGTGTGATCAGGGTGAGGAACAGGAAAGAAGGAAATATGGGGAAATGGAATGAATGTCAAGTGGATCAGAGAGATACAGTCATGGGGGTCAAGTGTGGTATTCAGAATAATGTGGGAGGCTGGATTGAAGTCCAGGCCAGGAACAATAGTAATTGTGGGAGACTCAACAAAGGGTGAGTATAGCTGAAGGAGCCGGGTAGCAGAAAGCATACGCACCAGGTGTGAGGAAGAAAATAGATTTTGGAAGTTATGAGAATTGTAGAGAGTGTGTTGAGAATAGTTTGTGATTTTGAGGGCCTCTAAAAGTGTTATGGCAGTAGCAGCTGCCGCACGGAGGCATGATGGCCAGCCTAAAACAGTAAGGTCAAGTTGTTTGGACAAAAAGGCTACAAGGTGTGGTCCTGGTCCTTGTGTAAGAATTCCAACTGCACAGCCCTGCACTTTGGCTGTGTGTAATGAAAAGGGTTGGGATGAGTCAGGGAGAGCTAGTGTGGGAGCAGTCTCTAAAGCTGTCTTCAAGGAACGGAAAGAGGAGTGGGCAAAGGATTTAGGATCTATGGGGTCAGCTAAATTTCCTTTTGTGAGTTTATGTGATGGTTTTGTTAGGATGGCAAAAGCAGGTATCCAAAGGTGAAAGTATCCAATCATGCCCAGGAAGGAAAGGAGCTGTTGTTTTGTAGAAGGGGTTGGGGTCTGAGAGATCAGTTGGTCATGATCAGCAGGGAGAGCACGTGGGTTTTCATGAAGAACTATGCCAAGTTAGGTAATGGATGGAGAAGAAATTTGAGCTTTGGAAGGAGATACTTGATATCCCATGGAGAATAAATGTTGAAGGAGCAGGAGGGTGTCTTTTTGAGAAGATTCAAAGGCAGGGCTACAAAGTAGGTCATCAACATATTGAATAAGGTGAGAAGTGGAGGAGTGGAAAGAAAGTAAATCATGAGAAAGAGCTTGGCTGAAGTAATGAGGGCTGTCCCTGAAGCCTTGCAGCAGTACAGCCCAGGTAATTTGCAGGGACTGATGGGTGTCAGGGTAAAGGCAAAGAGAGGCTGGGATGAGGGGTGCAGTGGAATAGTGAAAAAACCATCGTTAAGATCAAGAATGGAATAGTGAGTTGTGGAGGAAGGTATTGAGGGCAAAAGAGTGTACGGGTTGGGCACCAGAGGGTGGATAGGCAAAACAGTTTGGTTGATAAGGCGCAGATCTTGAACTAACCTGTAAGACTTGTCTGGTTTTTGAATAGGTAAAATGGGGGAATTGTAAGGAGAGTTTATAAGTTTTAGAAGCCCATGCTGTAGCAGGTGAGTGATAACAGGCTTTAATCCCCTTAAAGCCTGTTGTGGGATAGGATACTGGTGTTGAGCAAGGTAATGGTGATTAGGGTTTAATGGGATAGTAATGGACATGTGATCAGTTGCCAGGGAGGTAGTAGAAGTAGGGGGATATGAGAGGAAGATGTGAAGGAGGCTTTGGGTTGGGAAGAAGGGTGGCATCAGGGAAGCAGATAATTTGCTTAAGATGTGTCAGTCTAATAAGGGAGCTGGGAAGGTGGGGATAACTAAAAAGGAGTGCATAAAAGAATATTGTCCAAGTTGGCATCAGAGTTGGGGAGTTTTAAGAGATTTAGAAGCCCAGACGTCAGTACCCACAACAGTTATGGAGGCAAGGGAAACACGCCCTTGAAAAGAAGGTAATGTGGAGTGGGTAGCCTCCATATTGATTAAGAAGGTGACAGATGTACCTCTCAATGTAAGAGTTACCCAAAGCATATGTGATGGTCCAGGAGGCTTCCAGGAGACTTCCGAGGCAATCGGGCAGTGTCAGTCTTCAGCCGCTAAGCTGAGAAAATCTGGGAAGGCGTCAATCCGAGAGCCTTGGGCCAGAGTTCCAGGGGCTCTGGGAGTGACTGATGGGTGAGTTGGACTGTCCGATTTCCAGTGGGGTTCTGCACAGATGGGACATGGCTTAGGAGGTATCCCGGGCTGCGGGCATTCCTTGGCCCAGTGGCCAGATTTCCGGCACTTGAAGCAAGATCCTGGGGGAGGAGGTCCTGAAAGAATGCCTGACCACTGTGGCTTAGGCGTTTTGAAGTTCTTGTGTGCTGGAGATGTGGCTGGGGTTTCTCTCACAGTGGAGGCAAGGAATTGCAACTCAGAAATATGTTGCTACTTGGCCGCCTCTAACTCTATTATTGTATGCCTTGAAGGTGAAGTTAGTTAAGTCCTGTTGTGGGGTTTGAGGGCCGGAATCTAATTTTTGGAGCTTTTTCTAATGTCGGGAGCGGATTGGGTAATAAAATGCTTATTGAGAATAAGACGGCTTTCTGACCTTTTAGGGTCTAGGGTGGTAAAGGGTCTCAAGTTTGCTGCTAAACAAGCCATAAACTGGGCTGGATTTTTACATTTGATGAAAAAGAGCCTAAACACTAACTGCTTTGGGAGAGGTCAGATAAAGAAAAGGAGCATTAACCTTGACTATGCCTTTAGCTCCAGCCACCTCTTTAAGAGGAAATTGTTGGGCAGGTGGGGGAGGGCTAGTCTCAGAATGAAACTGTAAGCCAGAGCAGGTGTAAGGAAGGGAGGTGATAGAAGGATTATAGTGTCGGGGAGTGGAGGCCGAGGAAGAATTGGAGCCTGATTCAGCCTGGCGGGGAGCAAACTGAGGAGGAGCACTCTGGGGAAGAGGGGAGAGATCAGATTGGTTGGTAGAAAAGGAAGATTGAAAAGACTCAGTGACGCTTGGGGTTGGGACTGAGGGGACGGGCGAGAGGGAAAGAAGGAAGATTTGGGATGAGTTGCATTAGGAACAGAGACTAGGGAGGGACTGATGTGTAAAAGAATGCCTGGACGTCAGGCACCTCAGACCATTTGCTCATTTTATGACAAGAACTATCTAGATCATGTAGGATGGAGAAATTGAAAGTGGATTTTCTGGCTATTTGGAACAATTGTCGAGTTTGTATTGGGGTCAAGTGGCATTGCAGAAGAAAACAAGGTGTTTAGGTTTTAGATCAGGTGTGAGTTGAAGAGATTTTAAGTTTTTGAGAACACAAGCTAAGGGAGAAGAAGGGGGAATAGAGGGTGGAAGGTTGCCCATAGTGAAGGAGGCAAGCCCAGAGAAAAGAGAGGGTAGAGACATGGAGAAGGGGGGTGGTGAGCAGCCCTGGGCTGCAGTGTGGGTGAGCAGCCAAAGCAGGCATTCCCACCATTGACATGCCACCAAGTGAATGTGGGTGAATGAAGGCAGGCATCCCCATGGTGATCAGGCAACAATGGAGTGTGGGTGAATAATCAGGCAGGCGTCCCCACAGTGATTAAACACCAAGGGAAGGCTGTCTTCCCAAGTCCGTGACCAGCACCAGAGTTTTGGGTCCACGGATGAAATGTGTCTCCTTTGTCTCTACTAGAGAGGAAAAAAAACTGGAATTGGAAGGACAGGGAGATTGAAGGATAGCGAGAGAGGGAGATTGAAGGGTAGCAAGAGAGGCTGGAGAAGAGAGTGAAAAGACCGCTTAACCGATTTGAAATTGGTGAGATGTTCCTTGGGCTGGTTGGTCTGAGGACCTGAGGTCGTGGGTGGATCTCCTCACGGAGTGAGGACGAGGACAGGGGACAAGTCTCTGGAAGGAGTCCTCCTGTCCCAGGTCTTTGGCACCAAATGTCATGTGCGTCCGTGTGAAGAGACCACCAAACAGGCTTTGTGTGAGCAATAAAGCTTTTTAATCACCTGGGTGCCAGCGGGCTGAGTCCAAAAAGAGAGTCAGCAAAGGGAGATAGGGGTGGGGCCGTTTTATAGGATTTGGGTAGGTAGTGGAAAATTACAGTCAAAGGGGTTGTTCTCTGGTGGCAGGGGCGGGGGTTACAAGGTGCTCAATGGGGGAGCTGCTGAGCCAGGAGAAGGAATTTCACAAGGTAATGTCATCAGTTAAGGCAGGAACCAGCCATTTTCACTTCTTTTGTGATCCTTCACTTGCTTCAGGCCATCTGGATCTATATGTGCAGGTCACAGGGGATATGATGGGTTAGCTTGGGCTCAGAGGCCTGACAATTACTTCATGTACATTGGGATGGGGAAACTATTGGTGTGTCATTGGGAGATTTTCAAATTAATCCCTCTGCTTCTAGTTGCCTTCTCCCACCCTCCTGCTAAAGCTGTGTTAAAGTCTTTCTGAGGCCTCTTTAGGCAAAAGGGTTCTTCCTTTCATTGTAGGCGTCTTTAGGCAAAAGTGTTCTTATTTCCATTATAACTCTGAGTGTGTATATTGGATCTGAGGGAAGAGAGAGACCCTCTCATATTGTTTTATATTGTTTTATACTAAGTACCTGTTTCAAGAAAAAAACAAGGAAGTGAAACCAAAGACAGGCAGCCCAGCGCCAGGCCCAAAACTGGGCCTGGGCCTGCCTGGCCTAAACCTAGTGGTTAAAAATCAACTCAGGCTGAGCATGGTGACTCACGCCTGTAATCCCAGTACTTTGGGAGGCTGAGGTGGGCGGATCACGAGGTCAGGAGATCAAGACCATCCTGGTGAACATGGTGAAACCCTGTCTCTACTAAAAATACAAAAAATTAGCCAGGTGAGGTGGCGGGTACCTGTAGTCCCAGCTACTCGGGAGGCTGAGGCAGGAGAATGGCATGAACCCAGGAGGCGGAGCTTGCAGTGAGCAGAGATCATGCCACTGCACTCCAGCCTGGGCGACAGAGTGAGACTCCATCTCAAAAAAAAAAAAAAAAATCAACTCATGACTTAGAAACCAATGTTATCCATAGATTCCCGGCATTGTGTAAAAGAACACTGTGAAACTCCCTGCTCTGTTCTGTTTCAATCTGACCACTGGTGCATGCAGCCCCTGTCACGTACTGCCTGCTTGCTCAAATCAATCACGACCCTTTCATGTGAAATCTTTAGTCTTGTGAGCCCTTAAAAGGGACAGAAACTGTACACTCAGGGAGCTCGGATTTTAAGGCAGTAGCTTGCTGATGCTCCCAGCTGAATAAAGCCCTTCCTTCTACAACTCGGTGTCTGAGAGGTTTTGTCTGTGGCTCGTCCTGCTACGGATCAACTCTTCCTGTCCCTTGTTTATTCACCAACAGGTTCTCATCAGCTTTCCAGCTTGGAGAATTTGATGAAATCACTTATTTAATAATGACCCCTACCATGCTGTCAATTTGTATATTTTTTAAACAAAAAACATGTTTTTAAAAATTCTCTTACTCCTTAAAATTTTTAAACATTTATCTTAATATCATTTTTATGTGGTCCTAGAGGGAGAAGCCATAAATACTCTCTGCCATCATTAACCATAAGCATCACTTTGTATGCCTTTACAGAGCAGCTAGAAATAGTCCATGACTAACTTGCCTTGTGTATTAGTCTGCTCAGGCTGCTACAACAAAACAACACAGAGTTCATGGCTTAAACCATAGAAATTTATTTTCTTGCAGTTCTGGAGTCTAGAAAGTCCAATATTAAGTTCAGTTAACTCAGTTTCTGGTGCAGGCTTTTTTCCTGGCTTCCAAATGGCTGCCTTCTCGCTGGCTACTCAGATGGCCTTTCTTTGGTGTGTGCACAGGGGATAGAGAAAGCACAACAGAGCTATAGAGAACTCCCCTGAGTCCCTTCTTATAAGGACACTAATCCTTTATTATTATTATTGCTTTTATATTTATTTATTTATATAATTTCAACTTTCTATTTTAGATTCAGGGGATACATGTGCAGGTTTGTTACATGGGCATATTACGTGGTGCTCAGATTTGGGGCAAAATGATCCTGTCACCCAAATAGTGAGCATAGCAAACAACAGTTAGTTTTTCAACTCTTTTCCCTCTCTTCCCCCTTTAATAGTCATCAGAGTCTATTATTGCCATTTTTTGGTTCACTAATCTTAGGGGGTCACATTATGACCCCATCTAGTCTTAATTACTTCCTTAAAGGACCTGTCTCCAAATATAGCCACACTGGGTGTTAGGGCTTCAACATATGAATTTGGAGCGGGGAAGGGGTGTGGGGGGGAGATGGGGACACATTCAGTCCATAACACCTTGCCAAGTACAATGAAAATGCTTATTTTATCATTTTACTTACTATGAAAAAAAAAACAGTAGTTTTTTCATTTTGTCTGTGGCTGACTTTTTTTTTTTTTTTAATGTGGACTTGAGTTTCTATGTTAACTGCCTCTTTCCTTTCTGCTTGTTTTATTTTTATTTTTTTCCTTGATTCCTTAGCCCAATGATATTCTCTCCTTTCCTTAATGAGTTATTGTTTTATTTCACTGTTATTTAGACTGTGTCTTAAAGCCTTTTGGTTATTTGACAGAGGGTTCTGAGATGCTGGTAGAAACCATTGAATTAGAAAGACTCACTTGACGATATACCAATATTCCAAGTAATCTCACTTGCAAATAAGCACTTTAAAAAATAAATTATATCCTAAGAGTCAAAGGAATGCCATTGATATCTGAAATCCTTCTAAGCCTCTAAGCACAGTTTCAGACTTGCTTATTTCAGGGATCTAGGGGCTATTGCAAGTAGGGCGATATTGCAAAATTAGGAGAATTATTTTACTGTTGCCTTTTTAAGTGTCCAGGAACACTTTGCCTGTTGCTTTTCCAAACATAAGTACAGACCCAGGCCACAGAACTAATATATTGATGTAATTGTAACAAAATAAGTCAAATAGAACAAAAACAAAACATTTTCTGTGCAGTAACTTCTTGGTGCATGATGTCAAAATCAAATGATGTTTTGGGGTCCTAGTGGGTAGGAGATAAAAAAGACAATGAAAGCTGAGTGTGGGACTATCTTGCTGCATGTCATGAAAAAGACCTCCTGTTGTAGCATTAGGAAACATAACCAGTTTGCAATCTAGTAGTCAGGAGAAAAAAAATAGAGTTGTAGAAAATTCCTTCTTTATCCTTGCCAACATCTGAGCTCTTGAATCCCTTCAATGAAGCATCTTCATTGATCACTGACCAAGAACAAACAATTCAAATAAAAGAAATGGCCAGTGTAACTTTTTTTCTGGGTAATAAAGCCGTGTATTCTATCATTCGAGTAAAGATATTTGCTGTTTGGAGGGAATAACTAACGTGTACTGCTTTCTCTGTCTAGTTAATCAAAGGTTTTAATCTGTGGAAACAACGCCAGAGTGACTTTTTTTTTTTTTCCTAGAAAGGGGCTGTAAATTGAAGTTATAATTAAATCTTGGTGTAAGGAGAGGTCCGTTTCACTTCTGTTGTTGTTAAACAGTTCAGGCATTGCTCCTGTACTCATTCAATGATCTGTTCCAGAATGGAGGGTCAATGGTCACATTTTTTTTTTAATTCCACCAGTGGCTTTTCTACTTCTAAATAAATGCCAGCCTACACTCCCCTATCCTTAATGTTTTAGAACTCGCCTTTATATGTGTAACATTTCATTCACAGATTACTTCTTCTTTTTCTCTCCCTGGATTTAAATCTTTATCCACACCTATCTCTTAATGATCTTTGACTCTAGTAAAGTATTTCTCATCAGTCAGTATTTGTTCAGTCCTTCAAAAAGACCTAGATACAGTTCATTACAGAATGTTCTTTAACCCATTCCAACCCTTAACACAATATGAGAAGAAATCGTTGCATAGCAGCATAATCCTCAATGTGATACAAAATATAAAATCTAGAGAAAAGCAAGGATAATAGTTGGTGAATCCCTACATAAAAACCCATCTTTGAGTTTTCCTTAATCCTGGCAACCTTCACATTTTTTCAATTGCTTCTTTCCTCCAGTTGGAAATTTTCTGTGGTAGAAATCTTTATGAAAAATAACTGAAGTATTTTATAGTTAATGTAATTATTTTAAATACATTTTTGAATATACAGCCATTTTTACCATTATTATTATTATTTTTTTACCATTATTAACTAGCCTTTTTTTTTTTAATGTGATGGCGTCTTGCTCTGTCACCCAGGCTGGAGTGCAGTGGCGCAATCTCTGCTCACTCCAGCCTCCGCCTCCTGGGTTCAAGTGATTCTCCTGCCTCAGCCTCCTGAGTAACTGGGATTAGAGGTGCCCACCACCACTCCTGGTTAAATTTTTTTTTTTTTTTTTTTTTGAGACAGAGTCTCTTTCTGTCGCCCAGGCTGGAGTGCAGCAGCACGATCTCAGCTCACTGCACCCTCCGCCTCCTGGGTTCAAGTGATTCTTCTGCCTCAGCCTCCTGAGTAGCTGGGGTTACAAGCACGCACCACCGTGCCCAGCTAATTTTTGTATTTTTAGTAGAGACGGGGTTTCACCATATTGGCCAGGCTGATCTCAAACTCCTGACCTCGTGATCTGTCCTGGCTAAATTTTGTATTTTTAGTAGAGATTGCATTTCACCATGTTGGCCAGGCTAGTCTCGAACTGCTGACTTCAAGTGATCAGCTCACCTCGGCCTCCCAGAGTGTTGGGATTACAGGTGTGGGCCACCACGCCAGCCCATTATTAATTAATTTTTTAAATAATATATGCAATTCTTTTTTCTCAGGCTTTTTTTTTCTTTTTTTTTGAGGCAAGGTCTTGTGCTTTCACCCAGGCTGGAGTGCAGTGACACATTCGGGGCTCCCTGTACCTCAACCTTCTGGGCTCAAGCGATCCTTCAGCCTCAGCCTCTCAAGTAGCTGGGATTCCAGGTGTGCGCCACCATGCCCAGCTACTTTTTAAATTTTTTGTAGAGATGGTGTTTCCCTATGATGCCCAGGCTGGTTTCAAACTCTTGGGTTTAAGGGATCCTCCCACCTCAGCCTCCCAATGTGTTGGGATTACATGTGCGAGCCACAGTACCCAGCCTCAGTCTTGGTTTAAACAAAATATACTGTTTCATCAATTGAGACTTGTGAAGCACAGTTATGTCTCAAAGTATCAACTGGTGGTTCTCTATATTTGTAAAGTGAAAGCCATTTTCCTTCACCTCATCCAACACTGAAGCCCACACAAAGATAAAAATACTTGGCCAACCCAAGTGCTAGCCAAAGACTCTCTTCTCAGAAACATTCTTTCAAGGGCAATTTTTCATTTATGAGATGCCAAATAAGAAGAGCCTAGGGAAAAGAGAGATGGAAAGCAGAACTAAAAGAGAGATGAGCTTTTGGAGGGAAGAATGTGAGAACCATCTTTGCAAAAAAACAAGGGAGCAAAATGGAAGAGCTTCAGAGGATAAGCTATCCTAAAACCTGGATGCTCCTCCATCTGCCACCTCATCCTTAACCTGACTGATCAGTTTTGGACAACCTGCAGACCTTTGGTCCTGCCCTCCTTGAACAGAGGGTGGCATTAGCAGAGGGAGTGCTAGCATCACTGTCATTACAGGGGCTCTTATGAAACCAATAACAATAAATTATTTTTTGGAGGTAAGTCAATCAAATTTACACTCAAAAAACAAAGACTTACCCCCCACATGAAGAGAACATATGAAGGCTGTGAATACAATTTCAAAGAGAATTCCAGTTCATGTTTGCACAATGGTTTTATTATTGTCATAATTGTTCCACCTGCTTTGGTCATTATTTTGAAGGAGTGACTCAGATAAGTTAAAAAAATCAAGTTGACTCAGTTGTACTTCTTATCTTGAAAGACTCATAAACTCCACATTATAACCTAAAATTTTGAATCTGAATGTAACACTTTTCAAGCAACATAGTTGGGTTTTAACAAGGACTTTCTTGAGATACTTCTTAATATAAAGAAGTGAAACAAATGAGTAAGGGACAGTGTGCTAATACAAAAAGAGGACAGGGTTTGGATGCTGGTTGTCTGTGTTCTCAGCTGTGGGAACTTGCTAAAATTAACTCAACTTTAAATTTTAGCTTATTCATATATAAAACGGAAAATTTTAATCTACTTAGAACAGTTATGATTCAGATTAAAGGAGATAATGTAAAACAGCATTTATGTGCTCATATGTCATGGTTATTATGGTAAATAATGGAACTTTTAGATATTGCTGCATGTCAGCAGGGTGAATATTTTTGGGCAGAAGAACTTTGAGCCAATTGCTGAAAGCACTTCAAACCCCATGCTTGTCTCATCCAACAGTCCTGTAGTTTTAATTTGGGTTCATGATGTCATGCCTGTATCTTTCTGGCAAGAAGCAGTAGACTGCTTCAAAAGCCATTCTCTTAGATGGATGGGTTTATTTTGTAAAGGACAGCTAATTATTTAAGATAGTGACCTTATCCACTGCACAACCACATAATTTCTTTTACAAAAATTAAAGTCAGCTCATGGCAGTTGTGCAAGAGCAGAGTATGAGCTGTGGCAGCGGGAGTCATGGGAGACCAAACACGTAGAAAGTTTCTTCTGCTCTTTGACCGAGTGTTCTTTGGCTGAAAGTGGTGCAGCCAAAACCGTAACCAAAGAAGGCATTATGCTTCCAGAAAAGTCTCAGGAAAAGTATTGCAAGCAACAGTAGTAGCTGTCCGATTGGGCCCTAAAGGAAAGGGATTCAAGCAGTCAGTGTGAAAGCTGGAGATAAAGTACTTCTCTCAGAATATGGAGGCACCAAAGTAATTCTAGACCACAAGCATTATTTTTTTATTTAGAGATGGTGACATTCTTGGAAAGTAGGTAGACTGAAATAATTCACTGTTGAAATGGCATCAACATGAAGCTGCCCATTCCACTGAAGTTCTAAAATCGTACATCATATGTTAATTACTATGTCTTTTATTATAAAGTAATTATATCTAAACTAATGACATCAGTGTCTCTATAATTTAGTTTCACTGTATTGATAAACACATTTCCAAATAAAAATATGTAAATGAAAAAAGTTAAATCAGGTACATCATGGACATTTGAGTAGCAGAATACACTCAAGAAAAGAGCACTGGGCTAAGGGGATGGGTATATTTGAATTCCATTAGCACAACTCGTAGCAAATCATGTCACCTCTCTCAGCTTCAATTTCTTCAATAGGAAAATAGGGATGATAATTCTGTCTGATAGTTTATTTCAGCATGTGAAAATCAAATGAAATAATTAATTCGTGCTTTGAACATTGTTATGTATCATACCAATGTAAAGCATTGTTGGGCTGAACTAGATGAAATCCAAATTTAGTGCAAATATATTTAGACAAAATTTTTTGTTGTTGTTAGCTTAATTTTCCTGTAGGACAGAAGCATAACAGTTTTTGTTTTTTTAATATTCCTCTCAACAATTGAGACAATAAAACTTCCTGATTTTTGAAAAGCAGCAGACAATAAACAATGGATTGCAGGTCTGAGAGTTGGGATGCCTATGATCTAGCTGTAGTTTTGTTGTTTATTCACTTTACAATTATGGAAAAATATGTTGCATGCTTTTTACCTGAGTTTCATCATCTCTTAAATAATAAAGGTGGTTATGTTTACTTTTATAAACTTAAGTGGACATTCCCAAGAACTCAAAAACCTTGGCTATTCTGGGTGATTTAGACCTTTGCTTTCACAAGCATGAATACAGTATGTGTTATTACACCTGCTTTGTACCCTTTAGTTGGGGCCCATACGGGGAAAGAGATGTTCTTAAAAATCACTATCAAACTCCTAATTCCAAAAGTTAATATTGTGTAAGGAAAAAATGCCAAGAAGTGAATATATATGGAGCTTTATTTCCTAAGTGCATTTAACCTTGATTTTTAAAATTGAATCAGTGTATTCACCCTTCAATGAAAGTGTTATTGTTTTCCCCAGAAAGAATCACATAGTTGCTGTAAAGTTCAAAAAGTCCAAATTTTTTGCTGTATTTATTACAAACTAGCATGCGTAAAACTACTTAAAATAAATGAGATAATTGCCCACGTCAGGCTCTTTCACTGTTGACAGGACTGTCATTGATAAGTCAATAACACACTTGGCAGATAGCATGATCACAGAGTACCATCTTTTATATACGTTCTGCCTTGACTTAATCTCTATTTTAATGAGCATGATAAACATGTCAAGAGATAGGGTTACAAATCTAACCCAAACAATTTATTTATTTATCCATTACATTTAAACCTCTGCTTTGGCAAGTCAGAGAAATAAAGTAATATTACTTCACTCTTGAAAGATTTTTTTAGTTACTTAACTGATAAATATAGTAACTGTTGATAAATCTTTTTGCTTTTTTCTTTCTTCTATTGTCAACTTTTGAGTATTTATTGCTTATTGTTTACCAGGTAATAAGAGACAAGAAAAGGGAAAGAAATTCAGACATTTATATTACTTGTTTATCTTCTTAGTGAAAGAACCATTTGTGGTTAAGATCAGGAAAAAAGTTACTTGCAGATTTTATTTATGTTTTTTACATTTTTCATTAAAAAGCTGTATTAACATGCTAAAATAATAAACCAAAACTCGACACTCTCCATACTTTTCTCCAAATATAATTGTTGTATTAGCAGTTTGTCTTTCCAAACTCTTTTCTGTGTATTTTTCCACATGATATTTACATATATACTACTTTAGCTGATTTGTAGAGAATTATGCTATGAGTGTGGCATTTTACAACTTGCATTTTAACTTACTGTATCTTTGAGATCTCCAGTACAAGAGTATCTTCCTTTTAGCAACTGCATATTATTCCACAGTACGGGTTTATTATAGCTTTTATTTCCATTCCCCTCTTTTTTTTTTAAGTCAGGGTCTTGCTCTGTCACCCACACTGGAGTGCAGTGGTGTGATCATAGCTGACTATAGCCTTGACCCCCCACAGGCTCAAGTGATCCTCCTGCCTCAGCCTCCTGACTAGCTGGGACTACAGGTGTGCACCACTACACCTGGACAATTGTTAAAATTTTTTGGAGATGTGGGGTCTCTCTTTGTCATCCAGGCTGGTCTTGAACTCCTTGGCTCAAGTGATCCTCCTGCCTTGGCCTCCCAAAGTGCTGGGATTACAGGCATGAGCCACCGTGCCTGATCCTGTGCCCCTCTTGATAGATATTTAAGTCATTTTTAATTTTTTGATCTCACAAACAGTCTTTCAATAAACAATTCTATTTTTTCCAGCACATGGGCATATATGTAGGACATACTTAGAATCAGAGTTGTTGAGATGACGAGTATATGTGCTTTAAATTTTACCAAAATACCTTCAAATAAAACCTGCCAGTTTATGCTCCACTACCAGTGTACAAGAATGCATGTTTTCCCTTACTCTCACCAATAATTGATATTATCATTCTTTTAAAGTTTTGCCAGTCTAATATGCAAAAATATAATTTTTAAAATAGTTTGATTTGAACACTTTATAATGTTTATTTCCCGTTTATTCTCTGTAGTGATGGTTTATATGATTGTTTATATTGTTTTCTTTATAGTTTGTTTATATTTTAGAAATGATTTTATATACAACCGTGCATGCATTTCTGTATTGGTCGGCTTATCTGGATGCAATTTTTTCTATTCTATATGCTGTAAGTATTTTCCTCCAGTCTGTTGCTTGATATTGAACTTTGTTATGTTATTTTTATTGTTGCTGTTCAACAACAATCTCCACAGAGATCACAAAGGTTTTTCATTAAAATTGAGAAAGTTTATTACTCTTGCTTTAAAGATGGTATGGCTTTTTTTTTTTTTTTTTTGAGACAGAGTCTTGCTCTATTGCCCAGGCTGGAGTGCAGTGGCAGGATCTCAGCTCACTGTAACCTCTGGCTCCCTGGTTCAAATGATTCTCGTGTCTCAGTTTCCCAAATAGCTGGGATTACAGGCATGTTCCACCAGGCCTGGCTAAGACTATGGCTTTTGACATAGGCATTTCATCATGTTTTTTCTTTTTTTTCAGATTTTTTTTTTTAGAATGAGGGTCTTACTGGCTGGAGTGAAGTGGTATGATCACAGCTCACTGTAACCTTGAATTCCTGCACTCAAGTGGCACTCCCGCCTTAGCCTCCCAGGTAGCAAGGACTATAAGTGCATACCACCATGAACAATTAATATTTTTTATGTGGTGGCGCATTCTAGTAATCCCAGCTACTCAGGAGGCTGATGCAGGAGAATCACTTGAATCTGGCAGGCAGAGGTTGCAGTGAGCCGAGATCATGCCACTGCACTCCAGCCTGGGCGACAGAGCGAGACTCCGTCTCAAAAAAAAAAAAAAAAAAAAATATATATATATATATATACACACACACACATATATATACACACATATATATATACACAAGTATATATATATACATATATATATACACATATATATATACACACACACACACATATATATATATATACACATACACACATATATATATATATATATATATATGTTTGTTTTTTGTAGAAATGGGGTCTCACTATTTTGCCCAGGCTGGGTTTGAACCACCTGGGTTCAGGTGGACCTCCCACATCAGCCTCCCAAAGTGCTGGGATTACGAAGGTGAGCCACCACACCTGGCCTCAGCATGTTTTCTCTGATGTAGTCATAATAAAGGAAGTATTGAATATTATCTGGTGTGTTTAACCTCAAGTATAAACCTGAATAATTTGTGTAGACCATCATACAAGGGCTGCAGCTGCACACCAAACCCGCTCTCTGAATTGTTAACCAACGTGCTTCTGTATCTGCATTTTTTTCTTAGTTCGATCATACTGATTTTAAATGTCATACAATTCATAGGCAGAAAATGATTTTAACTCTTATTGTTTAATAAAACAATATATTTTACATGGAAAAATGATTAATTCATATAAACTGATTGTTTCCTTCAGTTTTGTCAAAGCAACAGGCTTCACAAGTCCTGGTTAGGAAGCGTCGTGCAAATTCTTTACTTGAAGAAACCAAACAGGGTAATCTTGAAAGAGAATGCATCGAAGAACTGTGCAATAAAGAAGAAGCCAGGGAGGTCTTTGAAAATGACCCGGAAACGGTAAGCATTTATGGAAACTATCAAGTTCACACATCTAGACATACAACTACAGACTGAACATTTCCAGCCTGTACTTCCTTCTGTTCCATCTTAAAGTCAATAATTCTGTGTATCACCTTCCACACATAACCACTTCCATTTCAGGAGGAAGTACCTTCAAAGGAAAGTGGGCTTGTTAGGCAGACATGATCACCAATAACAGCTTGTTCTGACTAAACTATAGTTCAGTTACACCTCATTATCAGCAAATAGTATTGACCTCATGGTTTGTAAATATTTTCTTCTAACCAGAATTTGATAGTGTTAGGGGGAGGGGAGAGGAAGTACCTTTAAAGGAAAATGGGCTTTTTAGGCAGACATGATCACCAATAACAGCTTGTTCTGACTAAACTATAGTTCAGTTACACTTCATTATCAGCAAATAGTATTGACCTCATGGTTTGCAAATATTTTCTTCTAACCAGAATTTGATAGTGTTAGAGGGAGGGGAAAGGATGTCTGAAGTATTAACGTGTGTGTGTGTGCGTGTGCGCGCGCACGCATGCATGCTAGTTTGGATTATTATTACAATGCTTCATTAAATTTCTCCATTGGCATTTATTTTTATTTTTATTTTTTGAAACAAAGTCTCTTTCTGTTGCCCAGGCTAGAGTGCAGTGGTGCAATCTCTGCTCACTGTAGCCCCCACTTCCCGGGTTCAAGAGATTCTCATGCCTCAGCCACCTGAGTAGGTGGGATTAGAGGCGTATGCCACCATGCCTGGCTAATTTTTGTATTTTTAGTAGAGACGGGGTTTTGCCATGTTGGCCAGGCAAGTCTCAAACTCCTGGGCTTAAGCAATCCACCTGCCTTGGCCTCCTAAAGTGCTGAGATTACAGGCATGAGCCACTGCGCCCGGCCCACTGTTACTTTACATGAAAGATTTTAAGTCACAATTGTAGGTATCATCTAATATTGAAATTTTAAATAGATTTTAAATAGATCTCAAAGTAGAGAGATCAGTGTAATACATTTCATTATAAAAACTCCCCCACCCCTTTAATAATAATCAACACTCTGCCATTCTTGTTTTACCTATTTTTTTCCCCATCCATTCTAATTTTTGTTTTGTTATTCTGGAATATTGTAAGGCATGCCTGTCTGCCCAAGATACCATATTAGTACATCACTCATTAATATTGAGTGTGTATTTCTAACACAATGGATACATTCTATCAGCTTAGCCTCTAAGCAGCAAAAGCCCAGTGAGGGAGAAGACCTTGATGTGGAGGAGGAAAGATAGTGAGGAAGGAAAACTCATTCATGTGCTTCCTCCCTTCCACTAATTCTAGCATTGGTCTCATTGACAGAAGAGAAAAAAATGACAGAAAGAGCAAGACAGAAAGGGGAGAAATGAAAAAAAAAGTTACTTTTTTTTTTTTTTTTTTTAGACAGGGTCTTGCTCTGTTGCCCAGGCTAGAGTGCAGTGGCATGATCATGGTTCACTGCAGCCCTGACCCCCCCGCTCAGGCAATCCTCCCGTCTCAGCCTCCTGTGTCGCTGAGACTACAGGTGTGCAGCCCCACACCTGGCTAATTTTGGTATTTTTTGTCGAGAGGGCGTTTTGCCATGTTGCCCAGTCTGGGCTCGAGCAATCTGCCCACCTTAGTCTCCCAAAGTGCTAGGATTACACGTGTGACCACAGTGATCCCTCTGCCCCACCCCCACCAAACATTTGTTACTGTGTTACAATTCTCATGATTACAGGTGTGATCATTTTCGACCCTACCCAACCACTCCCTGTCCACATCCCTAATACCACAGTCCACATTTCCAGTCCCCACAGTACTACTTATGCCTCAACATCTCTAATATATTCCTTTGACGGTCGCAATATCACCTTTGAATCCCATTATCTATTGTGTAGGTTTATATGAGAGGAGGAAAGAATGAGGCCTTTGACTCAGTTCTGGATGAGCTTATGTTCTGTACTTACTAAGTGGTAACATTGAATATGTCTTTGTGTAGAAATTCTGGTTTCTCATGAGGTATTCTTGTGCTGTTAATGGTACACATTAGATATATTATGGCTTAAGAATGCTTTTGTGGACTAGCCTGAGAACCTTACTATCAGAAATTTTTAACATTTTTCTCTTTTTAAGAAAGCACATTCTTTACTCCAAATTGACTGATTTACAGACAAACTTTTGGTACACAACCAATTTATAGGTAAGGTACTACATGTACATAAGATGTATAAGATAAATGTCTACTTTAATTCACTTCAAAGTATGTCACTGTTAGCTGGGCACCTTGGCTCACACCTGTAATTCCAGCACTTTGGGAGGCCAAGGTGGGAGGATCGCTTGAGCCCAGGAGTTTGAGGCCTAGGCAACATAGTGAGACCCCATCTCTACAAAAAAATAATTAACAACAAAAAACCAGCTGTGCATGGTGGCATGTACCTGTAGTTCCAGCTACTTGGGGGGCTGAGATGGGAGGATTACTTGAGCCCAGGAGGGTAAGGCTGCAGTGAGTCATGGTCATACCACTGCACTCTAGCATGGGTGACACAGAGAAACCTCGTCTCAAAAAAAAAAAAAAAAAGAGAGTACGTTACTGTGATTCAACATTGAATCTGGTGTAGGTGACCATTATGACATAAAATGTGTCAAATGGTTATCTAATCATTATGGAAAAATTAAAGGATGTACAAAAAAGGGCATGTATGATTATATTTACCATCCTAAATAGAGCTTGTTTTTAGATTAGAAGCTTTTGAAACATGATTAATTGATCAATATTTCTTTAAGCCTAAGTATCTTACTGGCTTAATTTTATTGTTTTCTCTTGGTATATTTTACTATATAAAAATTATAATGTGAAAATGATGGTTATATGTAACTTATTTGCATCTTTAATATAAAAACACATTATAAAATTAAGTTTTAACTCTATAATGAAATTTAGGTTTGCTAAGATATGTTTTCTTTTTCTTCTTTCTAGGATTATTTTTATCCAAAATACTTAGGTAAGTTCAAAACATCTCAATTATATAATCTTAGAAATGGAAGGGAACTTAGATATGTTCCTGTCTAACTCTCCACCTATCTATTCCATCCAATGTAATTTCATTATCCTTGGGAGTGAGGTTTCATTTTATATGCAATTTTGCTGTCTTTATATTTAACACATGTTGAGAAATTTGGAACGGTTCTTTAATTACCATGTGACATTTTAAATTTTAGTGTTTTTCTTTCTCATGTCTTTCTCATGAAGCTCTTGGGCTGATGCTCAGTTATATTGAGGTGCTAGACATAGTCTATGAGCATATGCGTTTTCATGGGTTAACTGTTTTTTTTTTTTTGTGAGGCAGCGCCTTGCTGTGTCACCCAGGCTGGAGTGCTGTGGCCTGCTCTCAGCTCACTGCAACTTCTGTCTCCCTGGTTCAAGTGATTCTCAAGTGCCTCAGCCTCCCGAGTAGCTGGGATTACAGGCATGTGCCACCACACCCAGCTAATTTTTGTATTTTTAGTAGAGACAGGGTTTCGCCATGTTGGCCAGGGTAGTCTTGAACTCCTGGGCTCAAGTGTCCACTCTCCTCAGCCTCCCAAAGTGCTAGGATTACAGGCATGACCCACCCTGCCCAGCCTTAGCTGCTGTATTTTAAAAGGGCAGTGGGATATGGATATATCCATGAAAAAGATGTTTTCTTTTGTAAAGTTACATGCAAGAATTTGTACTATTAAAGTGTAGAAAAGATAGTATATCAAGACTATTTCAGCTTTTTAATTTTAGATAGAAATGTAAATATTTTATAATAAAAATAGACAATATTTGGCTGTTAAATATTATGTGTACATTAAAAAAACAGTGTTAACTCTTGCTTCTTAGGGCCATGTAATGAGGCTGCATTTTTGCACGCACAATACTGTAGAGGATACATTCCTTTGATCAGAGTACATTTGGATAAAGATAAATACCATGCTAATACAGCATTATGTGTTCTGGGGAAGTTCCTTAGATAAAATATTTTTCATAATTTTATCCTTGTATCTCTCTTAACTTCCGCTTTTCTGGCCCTGCCCAACTCTTCTCTTTGCCTATCTCATTTGGCAACATGGTAAAAAAAACCAAAGTATAAAATAAAACAAACTAAAACAAAAACACAAGATGTGGGATCCAGGCTCAGACCTAAAAATTTTTAACTGTTTCAGATTAAACAAGTTGTTTAGCTTTCCAGCTTCTGTAGTTTTAAGTGTGCACTGTAACTATATTTTCTAACTTCAGAGCTTTTAAATCACCAAATATGTCAACGTACATAAATAACTTAATGTGTCAAAATTTCTTCAGATGTATTCTTGTTTAATCAACCCATCATGTGAAACAAAAATATACTTTTTATTATGATTTTTTTTAATTTAAATTTCATATTTTGGTCTTTATTTGTATATAGGCATGTGTGGTGAATTCCACTGTTAAAAACAATTTTTAAAAATGTCCTGCCTAAGTTACACTTTTTTTGTTATTTGATGTGTATATTCTATAGGCCAATGGCTCTAATTTGAAAAGCAAAACAAAACAGTCCTTTCTCTGGTAAATCTAACAGTAGTTTTACTAACTACAACAGCTCATACAGGAAGGTCCCTGTAGTGAGATAAGGTCACCAAAGAAATTAAAAAATTGTAACCCATATATTTGGGGCAATATTTAGACTTCGTTTTCAGGGGCTGATAAAGCACTTCAATTGGCCTACATATTCCATGTACTATCTTGAAAACATGCGATTTGGAAATAAGTACTCTGGGTTTCATTATAGTTTTTAAATTGTGTTCTTCTCTTTTGTAAGAAGTGGAATAAATAACTACCATTTCCATAGGCCTAGTATCACCTAATAGAGTGAGTGTTTCTAGTAAAGAGAGAGAAACTTCCTGGGAAGAATGGTGAACTCTGAGCCTAAATATAAACATTAGAAATCATTTTTTGATGTGAGCTGGCAAAAAATAAAATAAGGAAAAAACCTGAAAAATAAAAAAAAGAAATTATTTTTAGTTTCTAAGATAAGTTGGTGAATTACCTCAGAATGCTGACTCCCTCCCTTCAAATCTTCTCTAAAGAAACAATAAGATTCCAAGCACTAATAATAACAAAATAAAATGACAAAAAGAAGTTTAAGAAATGCCTGGGTAGGCGAAAAGCTGGCCTGACCTGCTGGTATGTGTGGTGGGGGATTGGGTTCTAACTGACAAGGCAGTAGTGACAAAACAGATTTGATAATTTAAAAAATGACATGAACTTTCCAATTGAGAAAACAAACACAAAAAATACAATAGAGCAAACCCCAAGTAACAAGAAGTTTTAAAATAACAAAAACAGAGATAGAAATAAGTGGAATAGAAAAACAAAAGTGAGCATTAACAAAAGCACATTCTCATTCTTTGAAAAGGTTAGTAAGTGAGACTGACATCTGGCAGGAATAATCAAGGAAAAACAAAAAAGAGAAAGAGGAAATGCCAATACATAGAGTACAAGATAGAAAGGGAAAATATTCTAAACTCAACACAGATTAAAAATATTATCATAAAATATTACAAACAGCTATATTAAATACACTTGGAAACCTAAATAAAATGGATGTGTTCCTAGAAAAACATAAAATATCTGTAATTTCACAGGAAGCAATAGAGAACTTAGTTATACAAACGAGTATTAAACAAGTTAAAACCGCAGCCAAAGCCCTCTTCTTCCTATTTCTCCCGAAACCCAGATCCAGATGGTTTTACAAATGAACTCTTCCAAATTTTAAGAAATTGTTAATGTTTCCCTTATTAAGATATTGTCCTTAAAAAATGAGCTTATTCTAAGAGGCTTATGTAATCTTGACTCCAAAATCAAATAAAGACATTTAGTAAACTCATTTTAAAATTTAAGTGAGGGAATAAAAGAAAAGAAAAATAGCATTCCTTTTGATTTTGAATTAATTCTAAATAAAATGATATTCAGTCCGATCTTAAGTGTGTTAAAAATAATATCATGATCAAGTAGAATTATTCCAGAAATTTAAAGGTGAGTTAACATCAGGAAATCAGCTGGGTGCAGTGGCTTATGCCCGTAATCCCAGCCACTCAAGAGGCTGAAGTGCGAGGATCACTTGAGGCCAGGAGTTTGATACCAGCCTGGATAACATAGTAAGACCCCACCACTAAAAGTATATTATTACCTCAGTTCATACAGAAAAAGCAGTTGATAGAGATCACTACTTAGTTATGATAAAAGTTTTTGTCAAACTAAGAATATAAGAAAAGTTTCTGAGCTTGATAAAGGTTAAATCTAGAATAACCATATAATTAATCTTCCAAATTTTCACACTTCAGTTCAGGATTAATAATGCATAAGGTAATGTCAGCTAGAACAAGAATAAGATAGGGTTGTTTTGAGCAAATTAGCATGAGAAAGGAGGGAGGGAGGGAGAGATGGAAAGAGAAAGAGAGAGAAAAGAAAAAGAAAGTGAACAAAATCTGCAGTAAACATTATACCTAATGAATAAAATTTAGGTATAGTTTCTTTATGGTTGAGAACAAAAAGAAAAGTACTGGAGGTTACATTCAATGCAATAAGAAAAGAAAAATAGGGATTGTATAGATCATAAGCTATAGTATATTCCTGTCATTACTTTTAATAGATATAATACTGGAAAAAAATAGAATCCATAGACAAAATATAGGAACACATAAGGTATTTAGATAATTCTATGACTCTCCTATAAAAATCCATAGTAGTTCTTTATGCAAGCAGTAGTCTAGTAGAAATTAAAAAGATGATAGCATTCACAATAGCAGCAAATCCCATAACATATCTAGAAATATCTTAAGAACACATAAAAACCCTATGGAGAAAATGTTAATACTCAAATTGAAGACTTAGAAAATGAATTAAAACCATGGAAAGATATTTCATGATCTTGAATTGAGTGATACTATACAGTGATCAGTTCTCCTCAAATTGATTTTATTTTATTTTATTATATTTTATATTTTTAGAGATGGGGTCTCACTATGTTGCCCACACTGGTCTCAAACTCCTGGGCTCAAGCAGTCCTCCTGCCAGGGCTTCCCAAAGTGCTGGGGTTATAGGTGTGAGGTACTATGTGTGGCCATCCTCAAATTTATATGTTCAGAGCAATCTTGTTTAAAAAAATATTTTTGAGAAACTCAGTAAACTCATTTTAAAATTTAACTGAGGAACTAAAAGTCCACACATGTCTAAAATACAAAAGAGAGAAATATCTTATCAAATATTAATAATATAAAGCTATAGAAATAAAACTATATGGTATTTTCAGAACATGAAACTGAACAGAAAGTTCAGAGAAAGGCTCATATCTATGACAACCTAATATTTGATAAAGATGATACTGTAAGTCACTGTGGATTATTTAAAGATGGTATTGCGAAGAATGGCCAGCTATTAGCAGACAAATAAACATGGGTTTCTAATTACCACCAAGTGTAAAGGTGAATTCTAGATGGAATAAAGACAAAAATGTTAAAATAAAACCATGAAATTAAAGAAACAATATGGGAGAATATCTTTGTGACTGATGACATGGGGGAAAATTTTAAATTCACAAGCTGTAAGGTGAAATAATAAATTGGATTATAACAAAATTAAGAATTTATCTTACAAGAGAGACATGAATAGTAAGATTAAGAGACAAATGACAGATCTGTCTCTGTCAAATAAATATCAAAAATATAAATATCAAGAGGTGATATTTATAAATGTTTATTTTTTTTCAAATCCGCAGGAAAAACAAATAAGGATCAATAGAAAAATGGTAAAAAAAAAAAATAGGGAAAATTTTCAAAGAAGAAAACTTTCAGATTTGGAAAATGACATGAAAATATGCTGCCTCTCCTTAGAAATCAGAAAAATAATGAGATATTACTTTACTACCTATTAGTCTGCCAAAAATTAGAAAGCAAGGATGTAGAAATCCTTATACTCCACTGGTGAGAATGCACCTCTGAGAGCCATTAAGTACATTCCTATTTAATGATCACACAATTCCACCACTGGGTATCTATTCCAAAGAAATTGTTATGCAGGTACTAAGGAGACATGCATGAGGATGTACTTTCCGCCTTCTTGTAGAGGTAGAAAGTTGGAGGTAATTTGAGTGTCTTATCATGGGTAGAGAGAATTATAAAGTGGTGGTTGCATACTGTGGTGTAACACTTAGTGGTTAGTAGCAATGAATTATATGTAGCAGCATGGATTGATCATAAAAATCAAGTTCTGAGAAAAAAATTAGAGGATGTGATATATAACACAAAACCATTTACACACGTGAAAAAAAACATGGAAATGAAATTGTAAATATATATTTTCAAGAACACTTACAAATTTTAAAAATACACATAACCACTGGGCATGATGTCTCATGCCTGTAATTCCAACACTTTGGGAGGCTGAGGAGGATGATTCACTTGAGGTTAGGAGTTCGAGACCAGCCTGACCAGCATGATGAAACCCCATCTCTTGTAAAAATATAAAGATTAGCCAGGAAGGAAGGAGTGGTGGCGAGGCCTGTAATCCCAGCTGTGTCCAGAATTGGTGGGTTCTTGGTCTCACTGACTTCAAGAATGAAGCCGCCGACCCTCGCGGTGAGTGTTACAGTTCTTAAAGGCGGCGTATCAGGAGTTTGTTCCTTCTGATGTTCGGAGTTTCTTCCTTCTGCTGGGTTTGTGGTCTCGCTGGCTCAGGAGTGAAGCTTCGGACCTTCGTGGTGAGTGTTACAGCTCATAAAGGCAGTGTGGACCCAAAGAGTGAGCAGCAGCAAGATTTATTGCAAAGAGTGAAAGAACAAAGCTTCCACAGTGTGGAAGGGGACCCAGTGGGTTGCCACTGCTGGCTCGGGCAGCCTGCTTTTATTCTCTTATCTGGCCCCACCCACATCCTGCTGATTGATAGAGCGAGTGGTCTGTTTTGACAGGGCGCTGATTGGTGCGTTTACAATCCCTGAGCTAGACACAAAGTTTCTCCACGTCCCCACCAGATTAGCTAGATACAGAGTGTCAATTGGTGTATTCACAAACCCTGAGCTAGACACAGGGTGCTGATTGGTGTGTTTACAAACCTTGAGCTAGATACAGAGTGCGGATTGGTGCGTTTACAATCCCTGAGCTAGACATAAAGGTTCTCCAAGGCCCCACCAGACTCAGGAGCGCAGCTGGCTTAACCCAGTGGATCCTGCACTGGGGCTGCAGGTGGAGCTGCCTGCCAGTCCCAAGCCGTGTGCCCGCACTCCTCAGCCCTTGGGTGGTCAATGGGACTGGGCGCCCTGGAGCAGGGGGTGGGGCTCATCAAGGAGGCTTCATGGCACAGGAGCCCACAGAGGCGGGGGAGGCTCAGGCATGGTGGGCTGCAGGTCCCGAACCCTGCCCTGCAGGGAGGCAGCTAAGGCCTGGCGAGAAATCAAGCGCAGCGCCAGTGGGCCAGCACTGCTGGGGGACCTAGTACACCCTCCACAGCTGCTGGCCCGGGTGCTAAGCCCCTCATTGCCCCTGCTGGCAGGGCCGGCCGGCTGCTCCGAGTGCCGGCCCGCCAAGCCCACGCCCACCAGGAACTCCAGCTGTTCCCCCTCGCGCCTTTCCCTCCACACCTCCCTGCAAGCTGAGGGAGCCAGCTCTGGGCTTGGCCAGCCCAGAAAGGGGCTCCCACAGTGCAGTGGTGGGCTGAAGGGCTCCTCAAGTGCCGCCAAAGTGGGAGCCCAGGCAGAAAAGGTGCCCAGAGCAGCGAGGGCTGCAAGGGCTGCCAGCACGCTGTCACCTCTCACAGCTACTGGGGAGGCTGAGGGACAAGAATCACTTGAACCCAGGAGGTGGAGGTTGCGGTGAGCCAAGATCGTGCCACTGCACTCCAGCCTGGGCGACAGAGACTCTGTCTCAAAGAAAAAAACAAAGAAACAAAAAACAAAACAAAACAAACAAACAAAAAAACAAAAACCACATAACCCATTAGAATGACTGCCTAAAGGGTGAATGAAAGTGGAAATGGAGGAAATGGAGACAGAAAGGAATATGTATGTATTTTTTGAAAGCAAGTAATGGGATTTTCAAACACCAGCGATCATAATATACTGTCAAAGGGGCGGGGTATGAATAACTCAGCCTTGTGCTCCTCCAGTCAAAACAAGCAAACATTCAGCCTTTTATGTGATGCGTCTTCTGTGACTTAAAGACAGAGGGGTATAAAGTAGTTTCTTAGAGAAATAAAAAATTTACCTGACTCTTGATCCATTATAATTCCAGTACAACCTTTGTCTAGGAGTCAGTGGCTGTTTGAACTATTTTTTAGAATTGACAAATCAAGATAGCTAGGATAGTGGTGCCTATAGAAAGCGGCAAAAGGAAACCAGTTTGATTGTTAATAAAACTAATAGTGAAAAATATAAGTAAAGGTACATGTAGCAAGATCTTTTCCTAAGAGGTCATGCCTTGACCACCAGAACCTCTCTTGAAAGGGTCTGTTTCTTAGCCTTTCTCTCCTGTGGTCCTAATTTCTGTTTTTAATCCCTTTTCTTGTGGGAGCTTCCGCATCAGTTTACAGAAGCAGAGACAATCTCCCTCCAACTTTCACCTTCCTGTTTACCCTCCTCAATTTTTACTATTCCTGTTGTGTGGTAAGAAAGAGAAGTGGGAATATGAGGGTTCTGTATTACACTGCTTTGGAGTAGCAAAGCAAATGGCTCTTCACACTGTAATTCTGAACACACTTTTCCATGAAATTATTATCATGAATATTAATGTAGGCTTCTATATAATGTGCCTTATGTGTTTAAGCTAATGTAGTCTGGCCTGGGGTTCTAAACTCATATGAAACATTTCACTTGGGTCTCCAGCCTCAGAGCTTTCAAATTTTGGCTGTATTCACTGTAAAATTTGCCAGAGATGCGAAATGAAGCTTTCTCAAAAACGATGATTCTAATGAAGTCTTCACACAAGAATAAATGAAGTCTGAAAGTAGATGATTCAAGAAGAAGGACAAATGAACCAAAGATAAGACTACTCGAGACCTAAAACTACTTAGGTTTTACTGGGGCTGAGTTTGGCTCCCTTCCCCTCTCTATCTCTTGTACCCTTTTGCCTTACTACCTTCTGTCATGGGATGATGCTGTAATAAGGCCTTTACCAGATGATTAGCACCTTAATATTGGACTTCCCAGCCTCCAGAACTGTAAAAAATAATTTTTTTCTTTATAAATTACTGAGTCTGTGGTATTCTGTTATAGCAATACAAAAAGGCCTAAGACGAAACATTGGTGCCAGACATTGGGTTGCTGCTATAACAAATACCTGAAAATATGGAAGCAGTTTTGGAACTGGGTAATGGCTAAAGGCTGGAAGAATCTGGAGGAGCAGGCTAGGAAGAGCCTAGATTGCTGTGAATGGAGCATTGAGGATGATTCTGGTGAGGGGTCAAAAAAAAAGAAGACATGCAGGAAAAGAATGTAACTTCTTAGAGATTACTTAAGTGTCATGATTAGATTGTTGGTAGAAATATGAATGCTAAAGCCCATTCTGATGAGATCCTAGATGGAAATGAGAAACAAAGCACTGGAAACTAGAGTAAAGACCAACATTGTTACAAGGTAGCAAAGAAATTGGCTGAATTATCTCCATGCCTGAGGGCTGTAGGGAAGGCTGAATTTAAGAGATAAGTACTAGGATAGCAGAGATTTCTAAGCAAAATATTGAAGGAACTGTGTGGCTGCATTAATTTATTTATCTATTTATTTATTTAGAGACAGAGTCTTGCTTTGTCATCCAGGCTGGAGTGCAGTGGTGTGATCTTGGCTCACTGCAGCCTCTGCCTCCCAGGTTCAAGCAGTTCTTGTACCTCAGCCTCCCAAGTAGCTAGGATTACAGGTGTGTGCCACCACACCTGGATAATTTTTGTATTTTTAGTAGAGACAGCATTTTGCCATGTTTGCCAGGCAGCCTCAAACTCCTTACCTTAAGTGATCTGCATGCCTCAGCCTCCCAAAGAGCTGGGATTACAGGTATGAGCTACCGTGCCCAGCCTTTGTGGCTACTTTTAACTGCATACAGTAATATATGAGAAAAAGAGAAATGATTTAAAGCTTGGATTTACAATTAAAAGGGAATCAGGGCAAAAATATTTGGGAAATTCGCAGCCTGGTCATATAAAGAGTGAAAAGGTCTTTAGGAGAGCAAACCAAGGGTGTGTCCCAAGTTACCATTTCCCAAAGAGACTACCATGAATAGAAAGGAGCCAGGGGCTCTTTAGTCTGAGTGAAGTAACTCAGGAATGGAAAACCAAACATTGTATGTTCACAGTCATAAGTGGGAGCTAAACTATGAGGATGCAAAGGTTTAAGAATAATACAATGGACTTTGGGGACTTCGGAGAACTGGTGGAGGTGGGGTGAAAGATAAAAGACTACATATTGGGTACAGTGTACACTGCTTGGGTAATGGATGAACCAAAATCTCAGGAATCACTATTAAAGAACTTACTTATACATGTAACCAAACACCACCTATTCCCCCCAAAACCTGTTGAAATTAAAATAAATAAATAAATAAAAGGAGCCAGGTGCTGTTTTTCAAAACAATGGGCGAAAGACCTCAAAGACATTTGAGAGATTTTTGAAGCTGCCTCTCCCATCACTGGCCCAGAGCAAGACCTTGATGCAGTTTCCAGAGGGGCACCTGCAGGACCACCACTGCTCTGCACGACCTAGGGACTCTGCTGCTTGAATTTCAGCACAGTGTCCCTTGGCCATCCCATCCATGGCTCAAGTGGGCCTAGGTGCATCTCAACCCACCACTCTGGAATGTACATACCTCATAAGCCTTGGTGGCATTCATGTGGTGTAAATTTTGCAGGTGCACAGAATGCAAGAGCTGTGGGGTCAAGGTGGCCTCCACCTAGATTTCAAAGGTTATTATGGGCAGCCTGGGGGTGTCCAGGCAAAGACTTGTTACAGCAGCAGAGCCACTATAGTGAGCCCCCACCAGGGCAATGCCTAGTGGAGCCATGGGAGTTGGGAAGCCCCGAGAGCCCAGAACTATAGGGCTACCAGTATGCAACTTCTGTCTGGGAGAGCTGCTGGCACAAGACTCCAACCTGTGAGAGCCGCAGCATGGCCTACGCCCAGCAAAGCCATAGGGATGGGCTGGCCAAGACCTTGAGGGCTCAGCCCCTACCCCTGTGTGCTCAGAAGTCAGGACATAGAGTCAAGGAAAACTATATTAGAGCTTTAACATTTTATGTTGTTTTTCTTAATGGGTTTTGGACTTCCTTAGGACCAGTTACTGTTCTTACCTGTTTTTCCTTTTTGTAATGGAAACGTCTATCATGCTTATCTCATTGCATTTTGGAAACTCATAGCTGGTGGGAATTGCCTTAGGGTGAATCATGCCTTGAGTCTCACCCATATCTGATTTAGATGAGACTTTGGACTTTGGACTTTTGAGTTGGTGCTAGTATGAGTTAATACATTGGGGCTTATATTAGTCTGTTTTCACTCTATTATAAAGACATACCCAAGACTGGATAATTTATAAAGAAAAGAGGTTTAATTGACTTATAGTTCAGCATGGCTGAGGAGGCCTTGGGAAACTTAGAATCATGGCGGAAGGCAAAGGGAAAGCGTATTAGTTCATTTTCATGTTGCTAATAAAGACATACCTGAGACTGGGTAATTTATAATGTAAAAGAGGTTTAATTGACTCACAGTTCCACATGGCTGGAAAGGCCTCATAGTCAAGGCAGAAGGTGAATGGGGAGCAAAGTTACTTCTTACCTGGTGGCAGGCAAGAGAGCTTGTGCAGGGGACCTCCCATTTATAAAACCATCAGATCTTGTGAGATTTACTCACTACCATGAGCACAGTATCGGGGAAATTGCCCCCATGATTCAATTATCTCCACCTGGCCCTGCCCTTGACACATGGGGATTATTACAATTCAAAATGAGATTTGGGTTGGGACACAGCCAAACTATATCAGGAAGCAAGGCATCTTCTTCACAAGGCAGCAGGAAGGAGAACGAATGCAGAAGGAACTACCAAACACTTAGTAATAATCAGATCTCATGAGAACTCACTCACTATCATGAGAACAGCATGGGGAAAATCGCCCCCCTGATTCAATTACCTCCACCTGGTCTGTCCCTTGACACATGGGGATTGTGGAGGATTAGAATTCAAGATGAGATTTTTCGGTGGGGACACAGCTAAACCATATCAGGACTACTGAGATGGAATGAACGTATTTTGCACATGAGAAGGACATGAATTTTGGGGGCTGGAGCAAATACTAGGCTTTGAATGTGACCCTCAAAAAGTATGTGCTGGAAACTTAATTCCCAATGGAACAGTGTTGGGAGGTGGGGCCTAATGGGAGGTGTTTAGGTCATTAAGGCTCCACCATCATGAATAGCCTAACACCAATTATAAAAGGGCTTGAGGCTGCAAATTCAGCGTCTTGCTCTTTCGCCCTCTTTTGCCATCTGCTGTGGGATGGTGTAGCAAGAGGGCCTTCATGAGACACTAAAGCACCTTGATATCAGACTTCCCAGCCTCCAGAACTGGGAGAAGTAAATTTCTTTCTTTAATAAATTAGCCCGTCTGTGGTATTTTGTTATAGCAACACAAAGTGGACTCAGATAGGGGCTCCAGAAACACCCCCACAATGTGTAAGGTAAGACTTATTTGGGAAAATATTCTATCTCACCATGGTAGGCTGAATAATGACCTCCTTCCTCCACCCTGCCTGCCCCTCCCCGCCCCAGACATATCTATGTCCTAATCCTTAGAACTTGTGACTGTTACCTTATATGGCAAATGGAGACTTTGCAGATGTGATGAAAGATCTTTCCATGGAGACATTATCCTGGGATATCTGAGAGGACCCGATAAAACCATAAGGGTCCTTATAACAGGATGGCAGGAGATTAGAGTCAGTAGTAGATATGGAGTCAGATATGGAATGATAAAGCAAGAACTGGTAGACATACAAGGATGAGGCCATGAGCCCAGGAATGCAGATGACCTCTAGAAGCTGGAAAAGGCAAGGAAAGGGATTCTTCCTTGAAGTCTCCAGAAGGAATGGATCCCTGCTAGCCCTTTTGGTTTTGGACTCTCGGCACTGTAAAACAATAAATTTTTATTATTTAAAGCTACTAAATTTGTGGTAATTTGTCATAGCAGCCATAGGTAACTTAAACACATACTGACTTCAAATGAATCTTTTAATCTGTCTGTGATACACTGTATTTTTCCAAAGATGGTTTAAAAATGTCTTCCATTCCACATACCCTTCTACAGTGTCATTTTGCTGTGTCCTCATCAAGAGGTAGAATAAATCCCCCACCCACACCCTACCCTTTGAATCTGGGTGGACCCTGGGACCCCTTTGATCAACAGAATATGATAGAAGTTATACAGTGTCCCATAACTGCCATGGCAGTTTGCTTTCTCTGTCTTAGAAGCTAGCTGTCATGAAAGAAGTGCCACTTTAAGACCAGCATGCTAAGAGAAACACCCACGTGGAGAACTTTGAAGCATGATCTATCATATGGAAAGAGAGATGCCAAAGAACTTCCAAGATGCTCCATCTTGGAAGCAGTCCCCTGCCCCAGCCATCCTGGTTGACTCCATTGGCAGCAGAGACAAACAACCCAACCAAACTCTGCAAATATTTGACCCGCAAATCATGAGAAAAATACAATGATTACTTAAGCTACTAATTTTGGGGGTGGTTTGTTCCTTGGCAAAAGCTAAGTAAAACACCATCTTTTTTATAGTAAGCTGGTGACTGTCTGAACAATGAAGTAATACATATGGTGTCTTTAGTGCCTCTTAAGAAATATATTTTTGGCACTAAGTAACTCCTAGTTACGTTAAAGTCACAAAGTATTTCATCTTTACAATTCCAGCTGTTATTTCTTAGTTTCCTAGCAATATCTACCAGGTTGCTATATCTGATTTCACAGGGTTGTAGTGAAGAATGAAGGGAATGAAGTAAACCTGATTTGTAATATAGAAGCATTATACAAATATTACTGTATTAATCTCAGGGCAACATGAGAAGAATTGGAAGTAGCCTATAGCAAGTAGAAACACGAACTGATTCTATTGACTTAATTACATATACTTTATAAATCAGACTCTGGTCAGTAGATTTGAGGGCAACATCTTGTTTCTGCTGTGGAATTAAAAACATAGACTTATATGACAATAAATTTCTATGCTAAATCAAGGTTTTTTTCACTTCTGACTTTAAGGTTCTTCTCCAGAGAGAAGAAGCTGTCACAGACTTATTTTTTATGTTTCTGTATCTGTTGCCATCTTGCTTGTAGATTTTTAATTTTTCAGAAAGGTAGATGGAAACATTTAGTGTTGCATTTTGAAGACTGAATCTTGTGAATCTACAGGAGCATAAATGTCCTACCTCTTGGGACAGTTCCTACCATGAATTCAGATCAAGTATGTGTGTCTACTCTAAGAAGATTATGTTTGTTTTTATTTTCAGTTTGTCTTCGCTCTTTTCAAACTGGGTTATTCACTGCTGCACGTCAGTCAACTAATGCTTATCCTGACCTAAGAAGCTGTGTCAATGGTAAGCACTTCTACCATCAATTGAAAAAACAAAACAAAAACTCTGTAGGTAAAGTACACCCATGGTAATATAAACTAACGTTTAAAAATTGAGAAATGATCCTTTGATGGGTTGTATGCCCAGCAAGGAAGTATTTTCAAACTGCATTTCTAATACTTGTTTATAGTTGTAAATGCTCCTGTATTACTCAAAATGAATTTTTTTGCCTAATGTTTAAACTGAACAGTGTTCTCTGTTCCTAAAGGTTATCAGCTTCAGAATTTTTATTCCCAACAGCTTTATTTTGGCTGTTGTTGCATAATCATGTAGTGTGACTAAATGTTACAGTAGATTAATAGCTCAAAGTAGAGCCATGTTTATTCTTCTAACTTTTTGGCACTGATAATATAAACATGGAAAATGTTATGTGAATCAAATTAGCTTTCTTGCTCTGAAGTTCACAAGGGGCCTAATGATAATTCTGGTACATTATTTTTGACTCTTTTTTGGTAAATTGGTAAATTAGTAAAAGCAAATGGTGCAATCACAGGATATAAATTGTGATGTTTGTTCAGAGAATATTTTACATCCAGGATTGAAATTCTCTAGATATTCTTTTAACTGTGTTTTTCTCTAATTTAAAGTGCTTGTAATTACACAGGGAGTACAGTTTGTCTGAATACGTATATTTAATGATTTAATTCATGCTTTATCTTTTCTTAAAATTTACGAAAGAACAGAATAATAATAATTTTGATAAAAATTTTCTATTATTTTCTATGATTTTAAACTAATACCTAATGTATTGCCACATTTCAAAAAAAACGATCCTATGAAGACTTTTTTAAAAAATTATGGAATTAATTAGGCGTTAGCTAGGTTGGTTATTTATTTATTTAACAACAAAAATTTTCTTTGGCTAACATATGCAAAGAGATAGAAATATAGGCAGTATTGGGAGTATTGGAAGTATTGGAAGGATGGGAAGAACATGTACAGTTGACTGGGAAGTTTAGAGGCTGGTGTGGATATGTGCAGAAATCAAGGGACTATTGCAGTGTCTAAAGAGGGGACAGAAATTACAAATAAAAAACAAATGGCATGTCATTTGCCATATTGATAAAGTGCTTCGATATTTTAGGAAGAAAATAAACAAGGCACTATAATTGATCTTTACTTGTACGTTTTTTTTTTTTTTTTTTTTTTAGACAAGCTCTTGCTTTGTTGCCCAGGCTGGAGTGTAATGGTGCAATCATGGCTCACTGCAGCCTCAACCTCCTAGGTTCAAGCAATCCTCCTGCCTCAGCCGCCTGAGTAGCTGGAACTATAGGCACATATCATCACTCCTGGCTAATTTATTTTTTATAGAGATGGGGTCTTGGGTGTGTTCTCCAGGCTGGTCTCAGACTCCTGGCCTCAAGCAATCCTCCTACCTGGGCCTCCCAAAGTGCTAGGATTACAGGCATGAAACACCATTCCAGGCCCTACTTTGTACTTCTTAATATTGCTCTTTTTCTCTGGTAATATTCCTTATTCTAAAATCTATCTTATATTAATGTTGTCACTCTGGCTTTCTTTTGTTTAGTGTTTTTATGGTTTACTTTTCCATCCATTAACTTTGAACATACCAGTGTGTTTATATTTCAAGTGAGTTTCTTTTGGGTCAGTATACAAAATAATGGTTTTGAACATTGGAGAACAGGAAGCAGAACACTGTGACTCCTAAGGAAAAGAAAATAAGCTTACAGCTTATGTTGCTGGGTCCTGGATTTTCTTTGCTTCTTCCAAACAGTGTTTGATTTTGTTGTGGCATTTAGGTAACTTATGTGGAATACATTAAAAACAAATCTTTTGAGGTTTGATTTTAAGCTCTGTTAAGGCAATCTGGAGTAGCCGTTAGCTTAAAACTAATTTAGCCTCAATAATAAGTCCTTGTGAGGATTCCACCTGATGCCATTTGTACTGTGAAATATTTTAGGTCTGGGTAGTCTAAAACAAACTATCCCTATCCCTCTCTGAGCTCTGGAAATTTTCCTGTGCAAATCATCATTCAGCCAAAGACCCTACGGGATCTTTTTGCAGATCTCTGGAGACTCTTTCTCTTTTCCTCTATCTCTCTTTCTCTCTCTCTTTCCATACACACACATTTTTTCCCTCTCTCTGCCTTTATAGTACTCTGACCAGCAGAATTCTAATTTGATCTCCCCAAACTCCAATATTTGTTTTCTCAACCCAGGGAGACCACTGGGATCTGTTTGTGTTTCTTGCACTGTTGCATAGAAGCTATCTCCAGGCAGTAATGTGGTCCAATTGTAGGTCTCAGCTTGTTTATTTTCTTTTCCTTAGGAATTACGGTGTTCTCCTTCCTGTTCTCCAATATTTGAAAAACCATTATTTTACATAGTTAGACTGAAGTTCTACTTATTTAAGGCAGGAAGATAAATCTATTCCTTGTTACATCATCTTAGTCCAAATTGAAAATTTTAATTTCTTTTTCTTTTTTTTTGAGAGAGAGCCTGGCTCTATCACAGTGGCATGATCTCAGCTTACTGCAGCCTCTGCCTCCCAGGTTCAAGCAATTCTTGCACTTTAGACTCCTGAGTAGCTGGGACTACAGGCATGTGCCACCACGCCCCGCTAAGTTTTGTATTTTTCGTAAAGACAGGGTTTCACCTTGTTGCCTAGGCCTCAAGTGATCTGCCTGCCTGCCTTGGTCTCCCAAAGTGCTGGGATTACAGGTGTGAGCCATCACACCTAGCCTCTTTTTCTCTTAATGTTGAGAATAGTATTGTTCTGTCTACCTCATGGAATTGTTCTAAGGCTCAAATGAGGTAATATATTTGGAAAAATATCTAAATTACAGTTATGAAATACTGTATATACTTGCAATCCAGAAGTAGTGTTATGGGATCTTTGGGGTGTTGCTTTTCTGGCTGGAAACTTCTGTGGCTGGTGGTGCCTTTGCCTGAGTTCTTGTCCTGCATCCATGAAGAATGAGGTATGCAGAAAAGTGGAGGGTGAGCAAGATGAACAGGAACTTTACTGAGCATTAGAACAGCTCAGAGGAGACCCTCAGTGGGTAGCTCATCTCTGTAGGCAGGTTGTCCCATCAAGTGTTCAGCCCTCAGCAGAGAGGAGGGCTTGAAGCAGGTGGCTCCTCTCTGTAGCCAGGTCATCCCATTGTCTCTGCAGCTTTCAGTAGAGAGGAGGCCTAGAGTGGGTGGCTCCTGTCTGCAGCTGGTTGTCCCATCAGCAGCTCTCAGCAGAGGAGGGCCTGGAGACAGTGGTTCTTCTCTACAGACAGGTCATTCGATGTCTGCAGCTCCCAGTACATGGGAGGCCCTGGAGATGGTAGCTCCTTTCTGCAGCTGGTTGTCTGGATATCTGTTCTGCTCTGGCTGAGTCTGGGGTTTTTATGGTCTTCAGAGAGGGAAAGTGCATGCTGACTGGTCCATGGGCTGCCATGGGTGGGCCCAGGAAAAAGCACCCAGTGTTCCCCCATCAGTCAGCAGGACTGGTAGCCCAGCCCACAGGCCTCAGGCCTTCCCCAGCCTGAAGGTGGGACTTCACAGGGGACCTACCCTTTTCCACCTAGGAAGCTGTCTACCTCCTGCCACTGTTCATGGCACCCAGGCTGTTTGTGCCAAGGGGGTGCCTGCAGGCCAGCACTGAGCTGCCCTCAGCATGCCCCTCAGCTCCCTTCCCATGCTTGTTGGAGCCCAAAGACTGGAGGGGACAGGGTGCTGGCATGTTAGCGCTGCCCTGAGCTTATGCCCACCCAGCTAGGCTGCGACAACAGCTGGCTTCAGCTCCAACCTTGTTCCATGACCAGAGTGGGTGCCAGGAGAGAGGAGAGGTCAGGAAGCAAGAGCAGGCACTTCTGAGCCTGTGGTGGGCAGAATGGGCCTCCCCAGGCCCTCAAGAGTACAGAGATGCCCAGGTTTCCAGCCAGGCTTGGGCAGCTGCAGCTGCACTCAGGGGACTCTTGTCCCACCAGTTTGGAAGGAGTGGAGCTCCCCCTTGTCCTTGGCTTTTACCAGCTCCATGGCACGTGCAGCCCTGGCCATGCCTCTAAGATCAGAGTGGATGCCTGCTGCGGGGAGAAGCCTGGCAGCGGGAGCAGGCCCCCAAGAGCACAGAGACACCCGGGTCCGGAGCCACGACAGGAAAGCTGCAGCAGCATCCGGGGAGTGTGGGGCTCCTATCTGCTCTGTGGAGTGGGAGGCCCTGGCCCACATCCCCACTGCAGCTGGCGTCTTGGCAGCGGCCACTCTACATGGGCCACTGCTGCCATCTGTAGTTTATTTTTACAAAATAATTATAAAGATTTGCCTAATAGGCTCACTTTTTAATTTAGGAAAAGTATTATTTAAAGAAAGGAGTTGTGTGTTTTTTTTTCATTGGTTCTAGGCTTCAGGATTTTTATTATAGTACACACAATTTTATTTTTCCATGACATGAGATAAAAAAAATAAATAGATGTCTATTTCCTTCAGCCATTCCAGACCAGTGTAGTCCTCTGCCATGCAATGAAGATGGATATATGAGCTGCAAAGATGGAAAAGCTTCTTTTACTTGCACTTGTAAACCAGGTTGGCAAGGAGAAAAGTGTGAATTTGGTACGTATAATAACCCCCGCCCCCCAGCTCATCAGGATTGGTCTCCTGAAAAGTTCTCTGCAGGTTATATTACTTTAAAAATAATTTATTTTTTTCCTGTTTTAGACATAAATGAATGCAAAGATCCCTCAAATATAAATGGAGGTTGCAGTCAAATTTGTGATAATACACCTGGAAGTTACCACTGTTCCTGTAAAAATGGTTTTGTTATGCTTTCAAATAAGAAAGATTGTAAAGGTAAGAGCAGGATGGTAGAATTAAAACACATTTACTATGTGAGAATAATCCCAGTTAGAGAAATTTTACTAGCAAATTTTTGGAAAAATGATATGTAAGTGCTTATACTAACACATTTTTATCGACATTGAAGCCTTGTGATACTGTGGAACTGCTTTTTAGCTTTTGTTTGTTTTTGAGAGATAGGGTCTCACTCTGTCTCCCAGACTGGAGTAGAGTGGCTCCATCATGGCTCACTGTAGCCTTGACCTCCCGAGCTTAATTGATCCTCTGACTTCAGCCTCCCAAGTAGCTGGGACTACAAGTGCATGCCACCATGCCCAGCTAGTTTTGTTTTGTATTTTTTGTAGAGATGGGGTTAATCATGTTGCCCAAACTGATCTTGAACTCAAGTGAGCCTCCTGTCTCAGCCTCCCAAAGTGTTTGGTTTACAGATGGGAGCTCTCTGCCTGGCCTGCATTTTAGTTTACAGTACTGATAACACAATTTTTAAAAATTTTCTTATTGTATGTGCGTGTACACACTTGTGTGTATGTTTCAATAAGGAATTTCATTATAAAGTGATGTTTCAATGCAAGTCTTTGCATGCTACAAACTTTGCAAAATCATTGTTTATCCTGTTTTCAGACATTATATTTTTTATTCTCTTCTAGTAAGATACATAGCCATAGAAAGAAATCCACTGCAATAACCTCTTCCATTGTATTTTATTTTTCCTTTTCAGAAATACTTTTCTGATTTCCAACATCAGCCCTTCATCTGGCACCTCATTTCCTGTTGTGGTTTTGGGAAAGTAAAAGATCTAGTTTTCTTTCTCTTTATACCTTTAAGATCATATCATTGGTCATAACTCCTTTTTCTTCTTCAGACTTAAATATTCCCTGTTAGTTTAGCTTTCTAACAAGTCATTTTACTAGTGTATTTGTTTTGTTTTTCATTGTTTTCCTATCCCTAAATTTTGACTTTTTTTCTCTTTGTATACTGTCTTTCAGTTTGGCTGTGTTAATGCTATGACTAAATCTTCAAGTATTCATACCAGGTGTATGGATGACTAAAAATAAAATTTCCCACCTGGACTTAAAATTTGCCTTTAGAAACTGGATACAATATAATATCCAAGTTCTCTCCTCCAGTACTTTTTGTTTGCTTGTTTTGCTAAAATGTTAAAAAAAAAAGTAAGTTAAAATGTGAATTTCTTGTTCGACTCTTTATTTTATATATATTTTGGTAAAGCCCTAAATTGGATTCATGTTCAAATCATCCATCTCTTACTGAATAGCAGTGTTTAGTATGATAAAATGTACTATAATATTATTTAAACTGCAGTTAAATGACTCTAAAGTGAACTACATTAACAACAAATTCTTCTAAACAGTTATCCAATTTGTGATCATGTATCTTTCTTATCTGCCTATTTGAAGGTCTGTTTGAGTTTGGATTTTGAGACTACTTAGAATATATACCCAAAGGACTATAAATCATGCTGCTATAAAGACACATGCACACGTATGTTTATTGCGGCATTATTCACAATAGCAGAGACTTGGAACCAACCCAAATGTCCAACAATGATAGACTGGATTAAGAAAATGTGGCACATATACACCATGGAATACTAAGCAGCCATAAAAAATGATGAGTTCATGTCCTTTGTAGGGACATGGATGAAATTGGAAATCATCATTCTCAGTAAACTATCGCAAGAACAAAAAACCAAACACCGCATATTCTCACTCATAGGTGGGAATTGAACAATGAGATCACATGGACACAGGAAGGGGAATATCACACTCTGGGGACTGTTGTAGGGTGGGGGGAGGGGGAAGGGATAGCATTGGGAGATATACCTAATGCTAGATGACGAGTTAGTGGGTGCAGCGTGCCAGCATGGCACATGTATACATATGTAACTAACCTGCACAATGTGCACATGTACCCTAGAACTTAGAGTATAATTAAAAAAAAAAAGACTGTCATTAGGACATGAGTGATAGAAAAACCATCACAATGCTGGATACCATATGCATTTTGTAAACAAATAGTACCCATTCTTACTTCTACGCTTAAATACTTTAATAGTCTCTTTCTAAAGAATTTGTGTTTTTATTGTTTTTTTAAGATAGATAGGGTTTTGCTCTGTCACCTAGGCTGGAGTGCAGTGGAACGATCTCAACTCAATACAGCCTCAACCTCCTGGGAGATCCTCCCACCTCAGCCTCCCAAGTAGCTGGGACTACAGGTGTGCACCACCATGCCTGGCTAATGTTTGTAGCTTTTGTACAGAGACAGATGGAGTTTTGTCATACTGTCCAGGCTGGTCTCAAATTCTTGGGTTGAAGTGATCCATCCACTTCAACCTCACAAGGTCGTGGGATTACAGGCATGAGCCACCACACCTGGCCAAATTTGTGACTTTTTAAAAATTAAAAAGTATTTAATTCTTATCCACTCAGTTAATACACATATATATGTGTAAATGATTACAAAAGTGCTCTTATTAATAGGAATGTTCCTGATGACCACATCTGTTCTTATATTCATTTGCATTATTGTTTAGTCATGATATGTAAGTAATAACGTATAAAACAGATAGAAGAATATATAAAAAACTGTTACAGCCAGGCACTGTGGCTCATGCTTGTAATCCCAGCACTTTGGGAGGCCGAGGTGGGTGGATCAACAACAGGTCAGGAGATCGAGATCATCCTGGCTAACACGCTGAAACCCCGTCTCTACTAAAAATACAGAAAATTAACCAGGGTGGTGGCGGGTGCCTGTAGTCCCAGCTACTCCGGAGGCTGAGGCAGGAGAATAGCGTGAACCCGGGAGGCAGAGCTTGCAGTGAGCTGAGATCACAACAGATCTGTCTCAAAACAAACAAACAAACAAACAAACCAAAACCACAAAAAACACTATTACAATGAGACCTTTGCCAAGATGTAGAAATGGTTGGGATCCAGTTGCCAGTAACTGTCTAAAGATGAAAGAATAAAGCTTAACTTTTCTTTTCTTCTTCTTCTTCTTTTTTTTTTTTGAGACAGAGTCTCGCTATGATGCCCAGGCTGGAATGTAGTGTGAGCTCGGCTCACTGCAACCTCTGTTTCCCGGGTTCAAGTGATTCTCCTGCCTCAGCCTCCCGAGTAGCTGGGACTACAGACGCATGCCACCACGCCTGTCCAATTTTGTATTTTTTGGTAAAGACGGGGTTTTGCCATGTTGACCAGGCTGGTCTTGAACGCCTGAGCTCAAGTGATCTGCCCACCTTGGCCTTCCAAAGTGCTGGGATTACAGACATGGGCCACTGTGCCCAGCTGAAAGAATACAACCTTTCAGTCAGACATTAGATGTCAGTTTGGAGTCATAAAACCAATGTACTGTAACTTAAACTTGTATGATCTAAATAATTCCCTGCAATATGCCTCAAACCAAATACACTTATTGACATATTTTTACTGATTTTATTTTATTTTATTATTTATTTATTTAGTGACAGGGTCTCCCTCTGTTGCCCAGGATGGAGTGGAGTGGTGCAATCATAGTTCAAGGCACCCCAGCTTCTGGGTTCAAGTGATCCTCTTGCCTTATCCTCCTTAGTAACAAGAACACATGCCACCACTCCTGGCTAATTTTTTTCTCTTTTCCTTTTTTGTTTTTAATATGTAGAAGTGGGGTTCCACCATGTTGCTCAGGCTGGTCTCGAACACTTTGACCCCCAAAGTGCTAGGATTACAGCACTGCTGCTGTGCCCGGCCACTCCTGGCTAAATTAAGAAAAAAAACTTTGTAGAGACAGTGTCCCACTGTTGCTCAGGCTTACTTTATTTCAAAAACATAGAGTTTTTAGCTCTTTTTAAAAATCGGATATTTTACTTTGAATTAATTAAAGATTCACATGAAGTTGTAAGAAGTAATACAGAGAGATGCTATATACCCTTTACCCCATTTTCCCTTAGTGGTAAGAGTTTACAAAATGATAGTACAATTTCACACTCAAGACATTGACAATGATACAGTCAAAATATAGAAAAATTCCTACAAGGGAACTGGTTTTATTATTTTTGTGCAAGTTATTTTAAATAATATCCTAAATTTTGACTATTAATCTGGAAAAAAAGCTGTCAACTTTTAGAATAGAAAACATATTTTCTGTTCTGAATTTGTCTTTCTCCAGAGAGTACACAGAATAGTTCACTAATAATTCCGTCTCCATTGAACTATTTCTGTCACATGTTTTGTTTTCTTCACAGGTGCTCATCTAGTAACTAATTGCTAACAATATGTTATCTCCTTCTTCATTTGGCAATATAATATATGCATCTGAAATTTCTGGAATATTCATTTAGCACTAAATTCATATTGGATTAACTGCAGATTTATAAGTACTTAGAGACCTTAATCTTATTTTAAATTTGAATCACTATTGTCTACTTTAGACAACAATAGTAGTGTACTAATTAGATGTTTGTTCATTTCCAAAGAAACAAGATAGAAGAGATGAGCCTTCCCATGTACAAAAAATACTTGTGATAATATGGAGTGAATCTGTTTTCAAGACCTCCATTTATTTTCGCACCACAACCTGGCAGATAAGAAAATTTCTAAAGCTTTCTCCTTCTTAACATAACTAGAAAGGAACATGGCAAACATCAATCAAATTTCCCTCTGCATTTGTAGAAAGAAATCATATTTAGTGAGCTAACATATGATGATAGATTTAATGTTTTTTGGTCCAAAGGCCAATCTGTTATCTCATTACATATATTAAACAAGATCCAGGAAACACAAATCAAGGGTTCTTTGGTAGTGTCTGCTGGTATGGGAAAAATGTTTTTTAATATAGTGATTTTATTTATAGATGTGGATGAATGCTCTTTGAAGCCAAGCATTTGTGGCACAGCTGTGTGCAAGAACATCCCAGGAGATTTTGAATGTGAATGCCCCGAAGGCTACAGATATAATCTCAAATCAAAGTCTTGTGAAGGTAGGATGATGGTGGTATCATTACTGATGGTGGAGAGGGTGGGTGTGAACCCTGAACTGATATTTAAAAGCATTGGCTTTGTTTGACATCAACAGTCATATTTTCTTATCCCTAATATAGCTTGTTCAATTGGGTAATCATTGGCTTCCTTCCTTCCAGAGCAAGAGTATGTAAGGCATATGGTCTTTAAGTTTGGTGTTAGGCACGCCAGTTGGCCCTTTGAGCTACCTATGAATTGGAGACCTCCATGTGTGGTAAAAACAAGATAAACATATTTTCACATCATTTATATCATATTCAAAGATAAAGAGAATTTCACTTTGGAAGGAAAAACAGTAGATAGAAAAGAAAGACACAAGCTTAAAAATCATCTTATTGAGACAATGAGCATGGTTAAAACTTTAGTTTTTATTCCAAGCTTTTCAGTGATTTTTCTGTGCATATATAAATAAATCATTTATTCTAAAATAAAAAATGACACAGTTCTATTATCTCATGATAAAGAAATGATAACAATACTCTAGAAATTTAAGAAATACTGATCGGTAATGTCAGAGCCTGTGGGTTTGGGGCAACCCCTTAAAGGTGCTGTTACTTCATGTGACTGCAGTGGCGCTGCCCTGTGTGCATCAGGAAGCTTCAACATATTATAGTTGTTTGTTTGTAGGTTTGTTTATTATGATATACAGATTATCTCATACCTTCCTTTCGATTTTTTAAAATTTTAAAACAGATTTACTGCCATGGCTGGAACTAATCAACACTAATTTTTCTATTGTATCTGTATATATATATGTATGTATGTATATTCACACACATGTATAATGTACCTTTTAAAAAATAGATTTAGGGGCTACAAGTACAGTTTTAATGTACTCTTTTAACCATTTTTAAATGTACAGTTCAGTGGCATTAATTACATTCATGCCATTATGCAGCCATCACTGCTATTTCCAAAACTTTTTCATCAGCCCCAACAGAAACTCTTAAGCAGTAACCATTAAGCAGTGAGTTTTCTTTTATTAGTTACCTTGATGGCGGTAACCTCTAATCTTGTTTTCTGTCTCTATGAAGTTGCCTAAATCAATAATAATTTTACAATATATTTTTTAACTACGTATGCTGCTTTTGAGATTTTGATGTCCTATCATCTCCTTTTGCAATCACCAAAAATATTCCCCTGCCAGCCCCCGCAACACATTTCTCCTTTCTCACCATTGCAGATAGAAATTACCGTGGAAAACTCTAGATGTCTGCGGAATTATCATTAGCCAACTTCATCACTTGTATTGTAGTTTTATTTAATGAATGACATATTTTTTAAAAAGATTTATATATGACTCTTATCTATAACTTTAATAATATGCAATTTTAATACTAAGGATTATTAATTTTGGGAATCTATTTTAAATTATTTTATGAGAACATATTCAATAATAGCATTTATGAGCTTGTGGAGTTTTAAAGGTCATAGGGCATATCCAATGAAAATGTCAATGATCTTATATAACTCTGAGATAGATGTTTGCTTCAACATAATATTATAAATTTCCAAGAATGATTTTCTCAAAATATGGAGTAGGGACAGGGACCATATAGAAGATTTCATAATATGGGAGATTACATCACAGTGAGGTTTTTTAAAAAAAAAAAAACAGATATTTCCCTAAATTCACTGCCAACATTAATTATCGCATTATGAGTGTTCCAATGTTCTTGATATTGTCATTTAATTCCTGATTGTATCAACCTTCAGTTAAAGGGGTCTTTTCTTCCCTTCCCTTCCCTAACTTTCCTTTCCTTTACTTCCCCATCATGCTCTCCCTTCCTCTTTCCCTTCTCATTTCTTTTTTCTTTTTTTCAAAGCAATGAATTGTGAGGTAATCTCAATGAAATTCAAATGATCAGAAATGACAGTTAAGTTGAGATTCTCAATCTTTTTTTTCTTCAAATTCAAAATGAGAAATTTGGTAGAATTGTTATACTTTACTTAATCACTGAAAGTTATAAATTAATTTTTGTTTCAAATATGTAAATAAAAACTATACTTGTAACTCGTTTAAATTTCCATGTTCAGTATTATGTTTAAATGTAGTTTGATGTCATAGTATTTCTTTCCCTAAGGTTCGATTATCATTGATTATATCATACTACAATCATAATATTCCTCTGCCTATAAGATTGAACATTTAGGGGATATTAAAGTTTGTGTGCGTGTGTTTTTTTTACCTCAGATATAGATGAATGCTCTGAGAACATGTGTGCTCAGCTTTGTGTCAATTACCCTGGAGGTTACACTTGCTATTGTGATGGGAAGAAAGGATTCAAACTTGCCCAAGATCAGAAGAGTTGTGAGGTAAACATTTTACAATGCTTAACTTCTCACCTGTTTTCTAAAATGAGAGATCCTAGATACTTATTTTCACATAGCTAAGTCAGGAAAATACAGACGTTCTGCAATAATTGCTGTAGCTTTAAGCAGGTTATGAGTCATGATTATTTACTAATTATGGTCATGTAAGTCATAAACATTGGGGATAATTAGTGGCTGGGTTTAAAAAAAAGAGGGTAGAGTCACAGTTTAGAGAGTACTTATCTGTAGTCTGTACATTTATAAAATACAACTTGTATGTTTACTTAAGAAATCAAGAAAAGCTGAGTTTAATAGCCCTCATTGTGAAAAAAAATCTCTCATAGAAACTTCAGTGAAAACATTTTCCAGTGTCTACTTTTCTGGATTCCACTCTGACTAGTTTGATCATGCCTTAGGCGTTATAGGGTTTATAAAGTGCTCATAAAATTTCAGAGGGTACAAGTGCAGTTTTAATGTACCCTTTTAACCATTTCTAGGATTTAGTGGGGTTTAAGTATATCATAATTCAGAGAGGTTGATTTCTTAATCTGTGTCTCTCAAACTTGCTTTTAATTACTTAGATTTAATGCATAATTGACCCAGGAATTGAATATTGGGGGTAGGTGCTCATTTTTACTTCATTGAAATAAATGTCACCATCTGAGCTCTTTTTTTCCTGCATCTTTTTTTGACAAGTGAAGGTAAAATTATATATTATTATGAGGCAGACCATAAAAAATGCCTAAATAATGATTTAACTAAGTATACATACATACCTCTATAGCTGTTGCCAAAACAAAGCTGTATATGTCCAGAAAAATGTCACATTCAATAATATGCAACCTACTTGGTAATAAGCTAGTTGGCATTTGTTGTAATTTTGGTACGTTACTACTTAATTGAAATGCCATGCTGTGTGAACATCTATTTTGTAATTTAGTCCTTTATTATTTCTGTATTTGGTGTAGTTACATATCACCGTCTGCCTTGAAATAGATTTATTAAAGTTTTAAGGGGAAATAAAATGTTATTTCTGGGCCTATATTTAATATAGTGCTATGTACGTAATTCTCCTCAAAATATCCTCATATGTGTTCAATAATTTGTATGTTAAAAGCTTTTCATTTTAATGTTTGTTTTCACTCGTAGAAAAAAAATACTTGATACCATATGTGATGACTTTAAATAATGTTCTTGTAAATTCCTTGGAGACTATGAGATCTGAATTTATATTTATTTCCTTCATGTTTTCCAGTATTCCCTTTACTATCTAGATAGCACATTCTTGCTCAGAAAACTTTTGCTTAATAAATGAATGAGTGAATGAATGAGGTGCTGTTTATTGGTACATTAATTCTTACACCTATTTCTGACTTCAAATAAAAATAATTTTCAGACATAATTCATGGGAGATAATATACCTGACTGTTAATTAAAGAAATATATATTGGTTCTTGAAGAAAGAGTTTGTGTTTAGGACGAAAATTTGCAAAGGAAGTATTAAAGACAAAGATCGAAAGCCATGCACATTGAACGAGGCTTTAAAACACATGTATTCTTGGAGGTTATACTGATAGATAGACTATACAAGGAAATGGAAGATATGTATTTATTATTACCAAAAATATTCTTAATTATTTTAGTGTATTACAGATGATACATTAGTAACCAAACAAAAATGCATGACCTCACACAAACATTAAGCAATAACCTGTGCATTTTGATTTTCTTGTTGTTTATTTGGTTTCTTTTATTCCAGGTTGTTTCAGTGTGCCTTCCCTTGAACCTTGACACAAAGTATGAATTACTTTACTTGGCGGAGCAGTTTGCAGGGGTTGTTTTATATTTAAAATTTCGTTTGCCAGAAATCAGCAGGTGAGGAACCAATACCAATGATAATTTCTAGAGGTTAAGCAGATAAGGGCAGAAGAAAAGTGGCCGAAAAGGTTTGAAGTGTGTGAAATTGTATTACCTATCAGATAATGTAGTCATATTACCAATCAGATGACTTGGGGAAACCTAAAGTTAATTTACTCCTTCACACATGTAATTTTCATCCTAAAACCTTTTTGAGTCATTCTAGGCTGACTTTCCCCAATGAACATTTTACATTATTCCATATTATTCCTTTTGTAGAAAATGCATATTTACTAAGAAGCTGGGAAAGTAGATTTAATGTACTTGTGAAATTTCCATTATTCTTTACACATGTTATGAAAACCAGGTAATAAAAAATACTCAGTATTGCTTTTAGAATATCATTATATTCAAAATTATTAAGGAAAAAATTTAAACTTGCTTAAGTGGCATTTTAAAGACATATATTACATAATTTTAGTTGGCTGTCTAAATACTTTATCCATTATTATCGTACTTAGATTGAGTTCAGAAATGAAGTAAATGCTTATGTTTTTTAGTCATGATTCCACTTATTTTTATAGCAATGTTTATGATCCAATTTTTATTTTATTATATTTATTTATTTTTGAGACAGAGTCTTGCTTTGTTCCCCAGGCTGGAGTGCAGTGGCGCAATCTCGGCTCACTGCAACCTTCGCCTCCCAGGTCAAGCAATTCTCCTGCTTCAGCCTTCTGAGTAGCTAGGACTACAGGTGTGAGCTGCCACACCCAGCTAATTTTTGTATTTTTAGTAGAGACAGAGTTTTACCACGTTGCCCAGGGTTGTCTCAAACTCCTGACCTCAGGTGATCACCTCAGGTGATCTGCCATAATTGTACTTCAGTTATCAGATTTTCTCAGAAGCATACATTGCTGGAAGTAGAAGAAAGAAATTGGATTTTTTTTGGAATAATGAGAAGGCAAAATACTTGAGACAGATTATACAGTTCAAATTTTAAAATATTTTAATTAAATAAGCATGTATGTTTAGAACTTGATGTTAGATACATGAATGATTATTCATTAAATAATTCAACTAAATTCATAGACGTTATTAAAAACATTGAAAATTATTCTAAGATCAATAACTTACATAAATACTTAAGTAACAGTGCTCCTTCCACACTTTATTTCTGCCAATATGTGGTTTTTTCCTTTAACATCACAGAGCAACTAATATCTTCTAATGATAGAGATTGGAGAAAACTCTTCCCTGCTATGAGAATAATAATGAGAGAAAAATATTAGTTCTAGTAAATAACACTTTTAGGAATACAATTGATCCTCCAAATCCTTGAGTTCCTCATCTGTGGATTTAACCAACCTCGGGTAGATAATATTCAGAAAAAAACACAATGACAATACAATACAAAATAATACAAATGAGACACAATACAGTATGACAACTATTTACATACATTTGCATTGTATTGAGTATTATACATAATGTAGAGACGACTTAAAGTACGTGAGAGGATGTGCATAGGTTATATGCAAATACTATGCCATTCTATATAAGGGACTTGAGCATCTGTGGATATTGATACCATCCAGAGGTCCTGGAGCCAATCTCCAGGAGTTTGTTCATTTCTCACTGACGATTCATAGTAGTTTGATCTCTAACATGGGATCAGAATTGGACAAATTATTTTTTCCAGAATTTATTATTTATTTATTTTAAACTTTTCATTGAAATATAAAGTATGTACCGATATGTACACATTAGATTAAATGTATAGCTTGATGAATTTTTATAAACTGCCCCTTGTGTGATCAACACAAAGAATAGCTAGTGCTTTTATTTATTTTTGCAAATTTCTTGACGTCTGTTGCTCATGATCAAATACTTTCCCTCCGTAAATGTCAACAAATTCATTCTATTTTCCTGTTTACCATGCTTGTGAAAAAGAATGAATTGTTCCCCATTGTAATGAATCAATATGCTGCTGATATATTCCAGAAACAAAATATGCAGAACATGACCCTTTGAAACTATGATTTCAGCCTGATTTTACAAAGAAAAGGAAATTATCTCCATAATAGAATCAACTGCTGGAAGATCCTGAGCATACACAGATTTGGATTTTGGCAAGATAATATTGCTTCACATCAGCAAAATGCTCAGATAATTATGAAAGAGCATAGAAGTCCTTATTCCAAGCAAAATTGTTCTTTTTTTCATAATCTGAGTTCAGTAAATTCCTACTACATTGTTATCCATCCAACATACTTTACTCCACATTTTACCTCTTTTTAAATATTTCTTTGGAATTCTAAAGATGAAAACATTCATTTTGTCACCTTTTCTTTGTTCCATTTGAGGGAGATACGTGCCCCATTGCAAATGGTGCCTCTATTACTATTACTATTTTACTATATTGCGGTAAGAGTGTGGGATTCTGTCCTGCCTAATATAGCAATTATCTGAAGTCCAGACTCTTTAACTTAAATTGCCTTTATTTTAAGTTAGGTGACTAATAGTTATACACCTATTGTTCCTTTTCCCTGTTTGTCTTTCGTCAATCATGTGGATTTGCTAGTCCCTTGGAAACTTCAATGCTGATTCTCATTGAAGTGTTTTAAGGATACTGAATCAACACATGTTATTTTAAGTCCTGCATCCTAAGACTTTTCTCCCCTGTAATAGCTACATATATGTCTAGAGTCTTAATAGCAACAGATGTTGCCAGCACTCAGATACCCCCCAAACACATGGGTAGACTATGTCTTTTAAGTTTTCCTTCTGTGTATTCTACAACAGTGACTTATGCAACTGGAGTTTTAGGAAAGCTAATAGATATATTTTAAGTTTTTAAATTTTACCTTTCTTACCACACATGAAGGCTTAATGATGTCTGCAGTCATCCATGTGCCATCTTGTAGATCTCCACGAGTGATTCCTGACATGTGAAATTATAGGGAAAATATGCCTTTTGATGAATAAACCAACGATGAAATTGTAACACATTTTATGATCACTTATGGATACAGCAAAAACAAAAACAAACAAAAAAGAACAACAACAAAAAAAACTACCACTTCTTAATGTCAGATTATATAGTGTATAAAAGGCTCCAGGAGAGATATAGTATGCCTGATACTTATACCTGTGTATTAATTTCAGCATTTGGAAGGTGCTATCAAAATATATGTCAAAGAAAGATGACAAATTACCAAAGCATCTGTTCCCTGGGGAAAAGATTCCAAGAATAAGCAAGAAAATATAATAACTTAATTTTAAACGTACATGGAACCAGAGATAATACATGAGCAGTCTAATTCTGCCCTTCTCTTTTATTAATTCCAGAAAAAGAAATAAATAATTGACTCTTTGTCTGTGTTACTGTTTGTCAGTACAAGAAAAAAAGAATAATGCATTGAGCTTTCTGTATTTCTTACTCTTAAGGATCTCTCTTTGTCCATTGTTTAGATTTTCAGCAGAATTTGATTTCCGGACATATGATTCAGAAGGCGTGATACTGTACGCAGAATCTATCGATCACTCAGCGTGGCTCCTGATTGCACTTCGTGGTGGAAAGATTGAAGTTCAGCTTAAGAATGAACATACATCCAAAATCACAACTGGAGGTGATGTTATTAATAATGGTCTATGGAATATGGTACGTTTGCAGATTTCATCAATATCTTCCCACTTTGATGCAGTCTGTATAAAATCATAATTTATTTTTATAGTGATACCAAACCAAAATGGATTTGGAGTTATCTGATGCTATATGAGGTATATTCTACATACTGTAAATCCCTGAAGCATCCTGAGAAATAATATTCTCACTTAATATATTAGAATCATTGTTTTTAGTTATTTGCTTGAACTACTCTGTCTTTAACTTTTTACCTTTTTTAGTTGCTGTTTGGTGAACAGTGGTGTTAGGGACTATTAGGAGGCCTAACATTTTTTTTTTTTTTTGAGACAGAGTTTTGCTCTTGTTGCCCAGGCTGGAGTGCAGTGGCGTGATCTCAGCTCACTGCAACCTCCACCTCCCAGGTTCAAGTGATTCTCCTGTTTTGGCCTCTCGAGTAGCTGGGATTACAGGCATGCGCCACCATGCCCGGCTAATTTTGTGTTTTTAGTAGAGACGGGGTTTCTCCGTGTTGGTCCAGCTGGTCTCGAACTCCAGACCTCAGGTGATCCACTTGCCTTGGCCTCCCAAAGTCCTGGGATTACAGATGTGAGCCACCGCGGCTAGCATATTTTTTTTTTTTGAGACAGTCTCACTCTGTCTGCCCAGGCTGGAGTGCCGTGGCATGGTCTTGCCTCACTGCAACCTCCACCTACTAGGTTCAAGAGATTCTTGTGCCTCACCCTCCTGAGTAGCTGGGATTACAGGTGTGCAACAGCATACCTGGCTAATTTTTGTAATTTTAGTAGAGACAGGTTTTCACCATGTTGGCAAGGCTGGTCTCAAACTCCTGGGCTCAAGCTATTCACCCACTTCGGCCTCCCAAAGTGCTGGGATTACAAGAGTGAGCAACCACACCCGGCTGGCATAACAATTTATGCAAAGACAACACTGATCAAGGAAAACTCCTCAATTGCCAACAATATTTTTTAAAGTAAGGAGAAATAAACATAGTAACAAGTCTAAAAAGGTAATTCAAATTCAAATATAAGCAGATAGATAAGTAATCCTTAAAAAAAAATAGACACAGGGTCTTGCTATGTTGCCCAGGCTGGTCTTGAACTCAAGGAATCCTCCTCCCACTTTGGCTTCCCAAAGTGCTGGGATTACAGGCATGAGCCATTGTACCGGACCTAGTTGTCAGTTTTTGTGCAAATGATATACATTAGCAGGTACCAGTGTGCTTAGAAATCAGCATTTTAGGCTGGGCGCAGTGGCTCATGCCTGTAATCCCAGCTCTTTAGGAGGCCAAGGCAGGTGGATCACCTGAGATCAGGAGTTCGAGAGCAGCCTGACCAACATGGCGAAACCCCATCTCTATTAAAAATACAAAAATTAGTCAGGCTTGGTGGCGCACGCCTGCAATCCCAGCAGGAGAATCATTTAAACCCAGGAGGCGGAGGTTGCAGTGAGCCGAGATCACGCCACTGCACTCCAGCCTGGGTGACAAAGCAAGACTGTCTCAAAAATAAAAAGAAAGAAAGAAAGAAAAGAAATTAGCATTTTAATTTAATCCTACATATAGCCTTTAATCTAATGATCAAGAATAGCACTTTAATCAACTGGATTAAAGTGGGACTTTTCTGAAGGGATTACTGCTAGTTGATAGTGGGGAGAAGTCTTTTCTGAAGTATAGAGTCATTGCTGCCATCAGCAGAGGATAGCTGAGAGAAGATTGGCTTCACCTTAGAATGTGGTGCACAAAAGAGACATCTTTTATGCCTAGAGGAGCTGGCAAGAAGTTTGTGCTGATCTCAATTTATTTATTTATGTTATTTATTTATTTATCATCACTATTATTACTATTATTTTGAGACGGAGTCTTGCTCTGTCACCCAGGCTGGAGTGCAGTGATCTCTGCTCACTGCAACTTCTACCTCCTGGGTTCAGGTGATTCTCTTGTCTCAGCCTCTCGAGTAGCTGGGACTATCAGTGCCTGACACCATGCCCAGGTAGTTTTTGTATTTTTAGTAGAGACAGGTTTCACCATGTTGGCCAGGCTGGTCCTGAACTTCAGACCTCAGGTGATCAATTCTCCTCAGCCTCCCAAAGTGCAGGGATTACAGGTGTGAGCCACTGCACCCAGACAAGAAGTTTGTATTGAGAAGTCATGTGAGGTCATCACTAAATTATTTTGGTCCTTCATTTATGCAGACATGCACTCATTTATTCAGTAAGCTTTTAGTGAGTGCTTTTGATGCTAAGTTCCTGAGTTCAAGGCATTAGAACTATAGCATATCGGGGAAACCTGCCCCCAATATTTCATTGTAGGGTCTTTCTATTTTCCATAAGTGTCGGCTGGCTGAGAAATAAAGAGAAAGAGTACAAAGAGAGAAATTTTACAGCTGGGCCTCCAGGGGTGACATCACATATCGATAGGACTGTGATGCCCACCTGAGCCACAAAACCAGCAAGTTTTTATTAAGGATTTCAAAAGGGGAGAGGGTGTAAGAACAGGGAGTAGGTCACAAAGATCACATGCTTCAAAGTGCAAAAAGGAGACCAAAGATCACATGCTTCTGAGGAAACAGGACAAGGGCAAAATCAGAAACTACTGATAAAGAGTCCAACAAAGACCACAAGCCAAAGGGCAAAAGCAGAATTATTGATAAGGGTCTATGTTCAGCGGTGCACGTATTGTCTTGATAAACATCTTAAACAACAGAAAACAGGTTTTGAGAGCAGAGAACTGGTCTGACCTCAAATTTACCAGGGTGGGGTTTTTTCCCCACCCTAATAAGCCTGAGGGTACTGCAGGAGACCCGGGCGTATTTCAGTCCTTATCCCAACTGCATAAGACAGACACTGCCAGAGCGGCCATTTATAGACCTCCTCCCAGGAATGCATTCCTTCCCCAGGGTATTAATTATTAATATTCTTTGCTAGGAAAAGAATTTAGCAATATCTTCCCTACTTGCAGGTCCGTTTGTAGGCTCTCTGCAAGAAGAAAAATATGGCTCTATTTTGCCCGACCCTGCACGCAGTCAGACCTTATGGTTGTCTTCCCTTGTTCCCTAAAATCGCTGTTATTCTGTTCTTTTTCAAGGTGCACTGATTTCATATTGTTAAACACACATGTTTTACAATCAATTTGTACAGTTAACACAGTTGTGATCCTGAGGTGATGTAGATCCTCAGCTTATGAAGATAACAGGATTAAGAGATTAAAGTAAGACAGGTGTAAGAAATTATGAGTATTATTTGAAAACTAATAAATGTCCATGAAATCTTCACAATTTATGTTCCTCTGCTGTGGCTCCATCCAGTCCCTCCATTCGGGGTCCCTGACTTCCCGCAACAATAGCAAGAGATTTTCCTTGCTCTAGAGCTTAGTACCTCACAGATAAGTAGCTGATGCTTCTTTGGGAAATAATATAATGTAACATGAAATACATTACATTAGAGGTACAAACAAAGCACACTTGGGCAAACGTGGTGAATTTATAAATGATTACATCTTATCTTTGATTATGAGTCTAATATTAATAGGAATTTTAATTGTAAATGTATCATAATTCATTCAGCAAAATATTTATTGGCACTTCTATGTGCTAATCCTTATTCTAGGTGGTAAAGATACAACAGCAAATAAAAAAAAGTCAGTGCTCTTATGGAGCTTGCGTTCTAATGGTGAGACGCAAACAACAAATGCATGAAAAAATAAATATGCCAGATAGTTATTCATGTTATAAGGAAAAAGAAAAGCCAGACAAAGACATAGAGAGTAATGGTGGTTAGTATGCATATAGAATCAGGAAAGGCATCTCTGATGAGATTAGATCTGAGCTGAGACTTGAGAGCACATGTCATGAGAAATAAATGAGGGAATATAAAAAGATTCTGTACCATGTAAACAGCAAGTACAGAATTTCTTGGAATAGGATGTGTTTGGTATTTGAGGAATAACACAGAGTAGTGTAGCAGCAGGGGAGAGTAGTTAGAAAATGAGGTTAGAAACGTGGTCTAGAATAAGATCATCTAGGGCCTTGGAGGCCATGATGAGGATGTGGATTTTATGCTAAATTGAAAGGCCCTGGATGGTTTTGAGAAGGGACATGATCTAGTTTGCATTTTAAAAGATAATCCCAATCAGAAGCTAATGGCTTTGTGGAAACCAGAAGTGGAGAATGAGTGTATAACAGGATATGGGGATATGGAGTTAGGAGACTGTTGGAATAACCCAGCGGAGAGAAGATGACAGTTTGACTGGTGTGCTGATGGTAAGAGTGGTAAGAAGTGGTCAGATTCTGGATATATTTTTGAAGTTAAGCCTTCAATTAAAATTTTTGAATACTCAGCATAAAGAGGGGTTTTAAGGCCATGAAACTGTTTGTGTTGACCAGTGGTTCCAAACACTATCTCATCCAATGTCTGAAAATATATAATGCTCCTTTACTATTCTATAATGAAATGTATCAGTAATATAAACTACCTTCACATATACCCAATCAAAACCAAAATAATTCTGTCATTATTATATTAATATGGATAAATAAAAGGAAAGTAATTTATAAGAAAATAATATGTATTTCAATATATACGTAGTCAACTATAACTATAACACTTGTCAAAGCTTGCTTCTATGCATAAAGTAAAAGCTACAAATGAAGACTAATGCTGGGGTGTTAAATTAGCAACTCAAGTACCATTAAGGGCATACATGGTGTTGCCATTGGTAATATTAATTTTCCAAAGTGGTGGGAAGTTCCTGGTAAAGATATGAACAAAACAAATATCAATCTATCCTTAGTTGTCAAGATTATTACATTCTTGAAAAATGTAATGAATGCTAAAATAGTGCAGCAAATATTTTGTGTCTATGTATGCACAAACTCAGATGATTGTAAGCATGAATATTCCCTACATGAATACCTAGCAGTGATGTTCAAAAGATTTTAAGAATACTTGATATTTTATTATTAGTTCTGCATTACTTATTATTATTAATTCTGCATGACTAGCCTATGTACATAATGCAGATTGTCTATCATCTTGCAGTGCCAGCATGGCCCCTACTCATTGTGACAAATAAAAGTGTTCCTCACCTCCAAATTTTCCAAATGCCCTGGAGTGGAGTCATAGTGTCTCACTTAAAATACTTGCATGGCTACAGGAAAAAGGTCTGGGGCCTGAGCTGTGGGGAGGGGAGGATCCAGCAAAGGAGACTGAGAAGTAGTGGTTAGAGTGTAGAAAGAGAAGCAATCAGGGTCAAGTGTTGTAGGCTAAGTTAAGAAAGTCTGTAAAGGAGAGAATAGTTGTTCACATGCTGCTAATTGGCTATATTAAAGAAGGAGTGTTGACCAACTTTAAATTTGTGTAACTAAATTTATTTTATGTTGGAGGATAGTTTTTCCCTTCCTATCATGGTGTTTTAATATGCTTATTGTTTGGCTTATATTATTGGTTAGTGAGTGAAGAGTTTGCTCTTTGAGTGCTATAGTTTTACTTGAAGTGATTGCAGCAGTGGTTCTTCAAATTGCCTTTGTAGAAGGAATTTTTATTGTTGTTTACCCTTACTTGAAACCTTTTTTAAAAACCCAAACAACTCTCAAAATTGGAAAACTCCAATTTAATTTTATGTATTTTTTTCTTATTGCCTCAATCACTTTTGAATTTTAAAGAAAAAATAATTTGTGTGCAATTAACAGAATAGTGAACATATTGATTTTTCTTACTTTATATTAAGAACTTATGGGCCGGGCGCGGTGGCTCACGCCTGTAATCCCAGCACTTTGGGAGGCCAAGGCGGGTGGATCATGAGGTCAGGAGATCGAGACCATCCTGGCTAACAAGGTGAAACCCCGTCTCTACTAAAAATACAAAAAATTAGCCGGGCGCAGTGGCGGGCGCCTGTAGTCCCAGCTACTCGGGAGGCTGAGGCAGGAGAATGGCGTGAACCCGGGAAGCGGAGCTTGCAGTGAGCCGAGATTGCGCCACTGCAGTCCGCAGTCTGGCCTGGGCGACAGAGCGAGACTCCGTCTCAAAAAAAAAAAAAAAAAAAGAACTTATTTACACTATTGATTCCATGTGCGTATTATCAGACAATTGCAAAATAAGGCCACTTAAATTTTTCCTAAGATAGAATGGCTCACTTAATTGTTAATTTTCTAGCAGCCTGGAATTGAAAGATATATAACTGGATGTTTAAGCTTAACAGAATAGTATTTTTTTTAACTTTAAAATATGGTATGCTTTTAATTTTTGATCGTGCTGCCACCCTAAATGCCTTTTTATCACATTTATCATAATTTGACATTCCAAATGAGTTGTAACAAATTAATAATTACATTAAAATGATTACTTTACAGAAGTATTTTATTGGAATAATAACATAAGTTTTAGATCCCAGTATTTCAAATGACATGTAGTAATACTTGGTTATTTGGTAATTTTTCTTTTTAATTGTAGGTGTCTGTGGAAGAATTAGAACATAGTATTAGCATTAAAATAGCTAAAGAAGCTGTGATGGATATAAATAAACCTGGACCCCTTTTTAAGCCGGAAAATGGATTGCTGGAAACCAAAGTATACTTTGCAGGATTCCCTCGGAAAGTGGAAAGTGAACTCATTAAACCGGTAATGATCCAAGCTTGTATCATTCATCATGGATGAGTTCCTTTTGTCTGTAATAGATTTGAATATGTGTGTTTCTGAGAATCAATAGAAGTTGTTTTGTTAAGCATACTAAGTGTGACAACTTGAAATGATCATGGAAAAATAACATTAGTAACCCTTGAAATTATATTAATGAAATAAAAAAATGACGTAGTGGTTTTGTGCCCATTTAAATCCCCAGCATAAATCATGAAGTGGATTTCTAAAATTCTCAAGTTAACACTTGAGAATGTTAACACTAATGTTAACATTAGTAATGTAATGTTCAGTGTTAACATCATGATAATCCATACTCAGTTGTTAAACATATAAATTCATATATTTAAGTCCAAAATTACACCATTTTGTAAAAGCCAGTCAAAGGACTTTCTCAAGTCTATTTTTAGGACTTAAATGCAAGAGCTAAAGAATAGCACATAAGGTGAAATTTATTGTTAAATATTTACTATCTTACATCCGTCTTTCATTCTCTGGAAATTCGTAGTTACTTTAACTTTTAAAAGATTTCCATTATATGATATTAAGCTTGAATTAATTAACCCATGTTGACATGAGTATACCTGTTGTTTGAAACTGAGAAATTAATACACTTTAAAAGTAAAATAAATTATTCAAAAAGTATCAATCATTTATGAAACGGTTATTACATGTCTTGAGCCTGGCAGGATACTTGATGGAGGCTAAAGAATGCAAACACTTTTGTGTCTGAAGAGACTTAGAGTCTGATTGGCAAGACAAACCCATATTATAAATGCCACTAAAGAAAAACAAGGCCAGGCGTGGTGGTTCACACCTGTAATCCCAGCAATTTGGGAGGCCGAGGCGGGTGGATCACCTGAGGTCAGGAGTTCAAGACCAGCCTGGCCAATGTAGCAAAACCCCATCTCTACTAAAAGTACAAAAATTAGCCAGGCGTGGTGGTGGGCACCTGTAATCCCAGCTACTCAGGAGGCTGAGGCAGGAGAATCGCTTGAACCAGGGAGGCAGAGGTTGCAGTGAGCCAAGATCCTGCCACTGCACTCCAGCAAGACTCCATCTCAATCAAACAAACAAAGAAGATAAACAAGACAACTTAGAGCCCAGGGCCACAGCTAGAAGCAAATATAGAACTTGAAAGCAGAAAAGTTACCACTGGATGATGTAGGAGAGGCAGGTGGGGCTTGAAGTGTTAAAAACCATTAAGATCCCACTGAGGGCTTGTGATAGTATGAGCTTGCTTGTACTGAAAAAGACTGTCCATCTGAAGAATACTTTGAAAAGAAAAACTTAAATAAAATTCAAAATATTTTCAACTATTATCAAAGAAAGGATTTTTTTTCTCTTAATGAAAACCTATACTCATAATCGAGCCACTGTTTAAGTTTAAAATGCACTCCTTGACTTGTATTTTAATTTGTTAGATTAACCCTCGTCTAGATGGATGTATACGAAGCTGGAATTTGATGAAGCAAGGAGCTTCTGGAATAAAGGAAATTATTCAAGAAAAACAAAATAAGCATTGCCTGGTTACTGTGGAGAAGGGCTCCTACTATCCTGGTTCTGGAATTGCTCAATTTCACATAGATTATAGTAAGTGATTTTCCATTTATCTCTATTTTCTCATTAATGAGTAAATTTATTCATTAACAAACAGTAATAATTTATTTGTGAAACATTATTGAGTATCTACTGTGTGCCCACTCTAGTCTTATGCTTATTCATACTATTATATACCTTTTACAAAAATTTTTCAGTGTATTGGGAAAAATATAAAGGCATTTGAATGTGCTTGTGTTGTTATTTCAGGTTTATCAGTACATAGCCTGATTCCTTATGGGTAAATTCAATTGACCTATTTTAAAGTTCACTGATTTCTCACTTGTATGGAGTCTATCAATGAATGCATCAGAAAGATTCATCTTCATTTCTAGCATTTCTATTTGATGCTTTCTTAAAATTTCTACCTCCCTGTTGAAATTCCCTATCTGTTCACACTTGTCTAGTTTATGTACTGAGTTTTCAATGTATTCATCATAATTATTTTAAATTCCCTGTCTCGTAGTTCCAACTGTGTCATATCTGAGTCTCGTCATTTTGTTTGCTTTGTCCCTTGACCAAGTGTTGTTTTTCTTGCATCTTTGTGTACCATGTAATTTTTGGTTTAGATTTGGGCATCTTACGTATAACAGTAGAGACTGAGATAAAGAATATTTGTGTCTGGAAATGAGCACATTTCTTTTGCTAGGCTCTTAGTAATGGGATTGAATCAATCTAGTGAAAAGTTGAGCTTCTTAAGTTTTGTTGGTGCCAGGATTACCCTTAATGCACCACAGGTTTCAGATCTTTTATTTTGTTTTGTTTTGTTTTTGAGATGGAGTCTCACTTTGTCACCCAGGCTGGGGTGCAGTGATGCAATCTTGGCTCACTGCAACCTCTGCCACCTGGATTCAAGTGATTCTTCTGCCTCAGCCTCCTGAGTAGCTAGAACTACAGGCGCCCGCCACCACGCCCGGCTAATTTTTGTATTTTTGTGTTTTTGGCCAGGCTGGTTTTGAACTGCTGATCTCATGATCCACCCCCTTGGCCTCCCAAAGTGCTGGGATTACAGGTGTGAGCCACCGCACCCAGCCTCAGATTTTCAAAATACTACCTTCTGCTTAGAATAAGGGAATGGTTTGGTAGCTAGTTTTTCTTTTTCTTTTCTTTCTTTTTTTCTTTTTTTTTGAGACTGAGTCTCACTCTGTCACCCAGGCTGGAGCTCAGTGCCACAATCTCGGCTCACCGCAACCTCCACCTTGCAGGTTCAAGTGATTCTCATGCCTCAGCCTCCTGAGTAGCTGGAATTACAAGGGTGCGCCACCATGCCCTGCTAATTTTTGTATTTTTGACGAGGTTTTGCCATGTTGGCCAGGCTGGTTTCAAACTCCTGACTTCAGGTGATCTGCTTGCCTTAGCCTCTCTAAGTGCTGGGATTACAGGCTTGAGCCACCGTGCCTGGCCTAGAGAGTTTTTCATCATAGCAGCTCAGTTTTATGTATTCCCTCCATAATACGCCTCAAGAAAATGTCTCTCCCACTTGTGTCTCTCAAGTGTCTTGCCCACCCCTAGCAGAGTGCTCTTGTTACCTGACATTTGCTAACATGGCAGAGAAGATGCGGAGGTTGGGGAAGCATTCTATGTTGTTGTCGTACAAATTCAGTCTTAGGCAGGTGTTGTATCCCTGGGTCTCAGGAGTGTGGAATTTTCACTGTTCCTCTTCCCTGACTCTCATCAGTAGGGGAGATGTCTAGTGATCAGGACTCAATATGTTTTCTTGCTCCTTCTGCATGATAGATAGCTTTTTTTGTTTGTTCTTCCTAATCTGTAGTTGCAATGAGTCTTCATATGTGTCCTAATGACAAGGTTTGCTGCCTTTCTCCTGGCTTGAAAACTTGTGTTGTGTAGAGGAGACCGAGAAGGATCTAGATGGGGCTTTGTGGCTTCCCTGTAGCTGGTGCTGCTTTCAGGACCATATTAAGAGAGAGGCTTTTTCGGATCTCCTTCCCTGCACTCTGTTTTCTCTTGAGTGCATGGTAAGGTCTGTGGAGAAGAGCCTGTGAATGAGCATGAATTGTCTTTGTGTCTGTAATTTCTAGGGCTTCTAAACTCTTACGTCAGCCCCTACATGGAGTTCAGCAATTTGTTTAAATCTTTACCTAAATTATTTTTACCAAATTGCATGGCATTTCCTGTCTGCCCTGGATTAGAAAGTGTTCTCATTCTGGCTTTCCTTGGAAACACCTGTCTTTCTTTAGGTTTCTGGTTAGTTTGTTGCTCTGCGACCTCAGCTCTTTGATAGTTTCAAGAAAAGTCATGATTATGCAGATAATTTGGCTTTTGTTGTTGTAAGGGTGGGAGTGGTGCCCTTTCCACTTTTCTACAGCCTAAGTGGAGCAGGGAATCTTGCCATACTGACCCTAGGTTTTTAACCTTAGAAGTAATACTTCTGTGAACATCCTAAATCATACATCCTTCTACCTTTATGTGATTAATTCTATGGAAGAAAATTTTAGAATTAGGTTATCTCTATCAAAGGTTATGCAAATATATAATTATTAGAGGTTCAATTACATTCTTTTCCAAAAATCTTTTATCAATTAATATTTCTACCAACAGAATGAGAAAGTGTATGCTTTAGTTTTTTTCCAATCTGATAGTTCAAAAATTAAATTTTGTAGGTTTGAATATTAATATTATTTCTCTAATTTCTACTGAACTTGAATATCCTCCCATATGTTTATTAGCTATTTATAAATTCTAATTATTTTATTGAATTCTTTGTCTTTTTCTTTTTTAGTAGTTCATTATTTGAGCTACTAACACTTTGCATTATAAATTGTTAACACTAATGTGATATCTCTGCTTTAAGAAAAAAATTACATTTTAATTGTGTTTATTTGTAACCTAAAAAGGGCGAGGTAAGGTGGCTCACACTTATAATCCCAGCACTTTAGGAGGCTGAGGCGGGCAGATCCCAAAGAGCTAGAGCCCAAGAGTTCAAGACCAGCCTTGGCAACATGGTGAAACCCTATCTTCACAAAAAATACAAAAATTAGCCAAGCCTGATGGCATGCACCTGTAGTCCCAGCTACTCAGGAGGCTGAGGTGTGAGGATGGCTTGAGCCCAATATGTTGACACAGCAGAGAGCCAGGATCTTATCACTGCACTCCAGCCTGGATGACAGAGTGTGAGCATGTCTCACAAAAAAAAAAAAAAAAAAAGTGCTTACTACATTAAAATACATTTTTAAATTTTTATGTAATTAGGAGGTACAAGTGCAGATTTCTTACATGCATATATTGTGATATATTGTGTAGTGGTGAAATCTGGGCTTTTGGTGTACACATCACCCAAATAGTGAACATGATACCCAATTGGTAATTTTTCAACCCCTACCCTCCTCCCACCCTCCCATCTTTCGTAGTCTATATTTACTACATTTGTTTGTTTGTTTTTGAGACAGGGTCTCTCTCTGTCATCCAGGCTGGAGTGCAGTGGTGCAATCATGGCTCACTGTAACCTAGACCTTCTGGGCTCAAGCAATCCTCCTGCCTCAGCCTCCCAAGTAGCTAGGACTACAGCCACATGCCACCATGCCTTGCTAATTTTTATGTTTTGCAGAGACAGGGTCTTCCCGTGTTGCCCAGGTCAGTTTTCAAATTCCTTAACTCAAGTGATACTCCTGCCTCAGCCTCCCAGTGCTGGTGTTACAGGCATGAGCCACTGTGCCCAGCCTTTTTTACTGTATTTTTAAGGACAAATTTTACAAAAATGATTTCCCTTTTTCTAACACAAATTGATACAATGCCTAGTTCTGTTCTGCCTATGAAAGATTTTTTTAAAGTTATAAATGGGGTGAGGATTAAATTAGGATAAAACTAAATCCATGGTGATTTGGCCAAAGGAAAAAAATCCTGAAAAGGTAATGAAAATAAGAGTTATATTGTATCTAAAAAAATTACTTTAATAAGTAATTAATCATTTCATGGATAATTTGTAAGTGATCTACTTTGTAATTAATATTTAATGTTACATTTTAACTTCTATACATTCGTGTGTTCATTTTAGTTTGAGTTTAATATTCTGTGTTAAATTTACTTATTTCAAGATAAATGTTTAGGTGATAGAAATTCCAATTACCCTGATTTGAGCATTACACATTGTATGCATTTATCAAATGACATATGTACCCCAAAATATGTGCAATTATGATATATCAATTAAAAATTACTTATTTCACAATGATTACATATAAACATTCTTTTTTTTTTGGAGACAGAGTCTCACTCTTTTTCCCAGGCTGGAGTGCAGTGGCGTGATCTCAGCTCACTGCAACCTCTGCCTCCTGAGTTCAAGCGATTCTCCTGAATCAAGCCTCCCGAGTTGTAGCTGGGACTACAGGTATACACCACCATGCTCGGCTAATTTTTTGTATTTTTTTTTCAGTAGAGATGTTTCACCATGTTGCCCAGGCTGGTCTCGAACTCCTGAGCTCAGGCAATTCCAAAGTGCTAGGATTACAGGCATGTGCCACCGTACCCGGTCTATATATTTTTTTTCTTCTGGATGGGAGTTACAGGATTATAATGAAAAACAGTGACATTATATGTGGCTAAGTGGAAGAACATCTTGTCAAAGGAAAATGATTTTCCTTATTCACATTTACCCTTTCAAGGGCTCCGTGTGGTATTTGGGCTTTGCTGTATGTTACATCATATTAAATGAGGAAGACTTCATTCAGATTATGAACTAATATTTTTAGTAATCCAACTATTCTGGAAACATATTAATTCAACAAATATCTATTGAGTGAGTGCTGGGGAAAACAAAGCAATGATAGAGATATATACCTCCTAGAGCTTGCATGTTAGTGGGATAGACAATTAACCTAGTAATTAAGAAAGAGAATGTGAAGGATTATGACAAGAGATTCACAAAACAAGGGTTCCTATTCTGATTTCAAAACTAACTGCTGATGTCAGTGTATTTCTCTAGTATCGAACTATCCAACTCTCCTATGTATATAGATCATATTTATCCTTTGGAGTGATGATGGCAACTGTACCCAGATTTTCCCTAAATTATTACAGTAAATTTGTTGAATTTTCAAACGTGTGCTTGGAAATATGACCACTCTGAGATTTGAGCATTGGTGAATGTGCAAGGGAGAAGGAAGCACTGTTAAAGAGCAAACTGGGAAAATCCATGATAATCCTTAACACCACAATCCAGAATTCTCTTCTAGGAAGAACGGGAAGATGGTACTCCATTTGCATGTTTCTTGCCTGCATTACAAAAAAGTTTGTTTTGTTTTGCCTAGGTTATATAGATCATTGAGAAAGGGAATGGAAATAGTATTACACAAGATAGTTTTGAATATTACCTGGACTGTGTTAATAATAATTCCTTCTGATGCACTTTAGGAGTGCATTGATCATGCTTCTGTTTCATTATTTTAAATAGATAATGTATCCAGTGCTGAGGGTTGGCATGTAAATGTGACCTTGAATATTCGTCCATCCACGGGCACTGGTGTTATGCTTGCCTTGGTTTCTGGTAACAACACAGTGCCCTTTGCTGTGTCCTTGGTGGACTCCACCTCTGAAAAATCACAGGTAACTTAACTCTAAACCTATATAAGCCTTGTTTTTCTTTTCATTTTTTAAAATGTATACATAGCAGTATTTACCTCAAAGGACTATTTTGAAGATTAAATAAAGTAACTTATGTAAAGTGTTTGGCACAATCTCCAGCACATCATTAAGGACTCAAAAAATGTCTATTATTGTTACTTTTTTTCTGGCTTGTTTCCAAGGTCTGAATGAAGAAGTAAGGGGAGGGAGGAATGAAAAACCTACTGCATCTATACCTAAGATTAGGCAGACTCTCACACAGGCTGCTTGGAGCCATCCGAGTACATAGAGATCCACCCTTATTAAGAATACTTTATGTGTTGTGGGAATTAGTCTGTACTGTCAACATAGAAGTGAGTCTAATTACAGTGCACTGTCAGATATTCAGTGCTTAATTATAATGTTTTGTTCTTTCTTACACTCTTAATCTTTTCTCCCAAGAGTAAGTTAGGAAAAAAGAGAGAAAGTTAAAACTGGTCCACTTGGTTTCTTACTGGCAACTCTTATTTGAAATTAGGAGGAAGAACACGAAAAAGCCTTAGATGAAAGGAAATATGAGGGTTATCAGAAAATCTGTATTATTCAGACTTCTATTAGAGCATAGTCGTTCTGTCTATGTGTCATCCACAGTGCATTCTAACAAGTTACAGCAAGAAGCTGATGTTTATGCCAAGGCTGACTTGGATGCTTTCAGTAGATTTTAGAAAGAGACCTGTGGTTGAATAATGTCTATTGTAGTAAAACAAGTTATGCTGTTTGCAACTTAAAGTATGATTCAGGGAGGAGGATGGGAAGTTTCTGGTGGTTAACCATAAGTAACCTAAAAATATCCTGATGAGTTTTTTTTTGTTTTTGTTTTTGTTTTAATCTCCTGCCTTTAAGGAGCTTTCTACATTTGGATTTCAGGGGTTTTTTGTTTGCTAGTTTGTTTTTCTTTTTAAACAAAATGGAATTCTTATCTTAAACACTACATTCATGCAGTGGAGGAGGTTAACGCATGCCATGTCTTTGATATTTAATTTATCCTTTGAGTGTTTGCCTCCGTGGTTCTTTCTTTGCATGTCAGATTTCCTTCTCAAGGTCTATGCAATATTTCATAACATTATTCCAGATATCATTGATCATTTTGGAGCATTTTCTTTATTGACAATCTCTTTTAATGAGTTTAAGGATACGGACATGTACAACACAATAACAGATTTCCTCAAGTAACCTATATTTGCAAAGTTAGTCTTTTCACTTAAAATAGGTATCTTGGATTCCTAAATAAACATTTCTGATTATGTTTTTATCACTTTCCTCTATGCCATATAAGCTATATGAAGAGATCACACTCAACACATTGAGTAATTTAGGCATAACGGCAGTTTGAAAGGTTCAGCAGAATGAACACATTTTCTTTCTGTAGAATCTTCTGGTAAATGTTCTATAACGTGCTGGTGGCAATCCCTGGTTTTTCTTTCTCAGGGCCTCTTCATTTATTTTATCCCAAGTCTGTAGGATTGCTTGTGTGGCACAAAGAAACCTGTTAGTCCTGCTGGCATATGCTTACTAAAGCATTTTAAATTTCCCAAGTCTTTTCTCAACAAAGAGTGATTCAACTCCTTCCCTTTTCATATGTAAACTTGGAAATTAGGAAGGCTCATAAACAGAAAGATATAAGACACTCCTATAGGTTCCGGTTGTTTTACGGAATTTTCAGAAACCAGTATACATTTATATTTTAGCTAAACTTTGAGTTTGTAAAACTAATGTGTATTTTAAATTTTAGTCATAATTATTATAAATTAGTCTTATAATAATTAGTGATTTTTCCCTTAAATTTAGAGGCTCTATCATACATTTTCTTTCCTTATTGAAATTTAGTTTTTGACTTTCAAAAACTCAAAAGTCACTCTTAAGCAGCATTACTCTTACTCCTTGCTTATATTGAATCTTTGCTCTGCTCTTCAGGATATTCTGTTATCTGTTGAAAATACTGTAATATATCGGATACAGGCCCTAAGTCTATGTTCCGATCAACAATCTCATCTGGAATTTAGAGTCAACAGAAACAATCTGGAGTTGTCGACACCACTTAAAATAGAAACCATCTCCCATGAAGACCTTCAAAGACAACTTGCCGTCTTGGACAAAGCAATGAAAGCAAAAGTGGCCACATACCTGGGTGGCCTTCCAGGTATCTGCTTACTTTTTCTTCAGTTTTAAAAAGTATATTTTAATCAAACCGATAATATTTTAAATATATAATTATAGTAAAAAAGCATCAGAAGGGAACATAAAATCCAGTATTCATTATTCTTTTTCTAGGGGCTAGTACCGACATTTTATTGGCATATTTTTGTTTTGTTTTGTTTAGTTTAAAAATGTTGAACTAAGGCTGATCAAGTTTTGCTTCATTTGGCTATCCCAGCCAGAAAGGATATGTTATTTTATTTCATCATCACAATAGTCTTATAAGTTCAATATTTGTTCTAATTTACCCAATATTTATTCATCTATTATTCAGTTCATCTTATCATTTATCCAGCTTTTTTTTTTTTTTTTTTTTTTTTTGAGATGGAGTCTGGCTCTGTCGCCCAGGCTGGAGTGCAGTGGCACGATCTCGGCTCACTGCAAGCTCCGCCTCCTGGGTTCACGCCATTCTCCTGCCTCAACCTCCCGAGTAGCTGGGACTACAGGTGCCCGCCACCACACCCGGCTAATCTTTTTGTATTTTTAGTAGAGAGGGGGTTTCACCGTGTTAACCAGGATGGTCTTGATCTCCTGACCTTGCGATCCGCTCGCCTCGGCCTCCCAAAGTGCTGGGATTACAGGCGTGAGCAGTGACAATAGTTGTAGTATCTAACTACCATCAACTATTGCAAAACAAACAGTCTGGGCACTGTTTAACGTGCTTCAAATATATCCACTTGTTTAATTTTCAAAATAGTCCAGTGAGGTAAGTGCTATTATTATCCCCATTTTACAGATGAGGAAACTGAGGAAGCTGCAGGACCAGGGTGATAACAATGAAGATGATGGACAGTAAATAGATCGGAGATATGTGTTAGAAACAAAATTAATAGGATTTAATAACTGAAAGACAGGTATAAGGATGACTTTTAGGTATCTGGCATGAGCAGTTGCATGGATGGAGATTCCATTTACCAAGATGGGGAAAACTGGAGGAAAAACAGATTCATCTTTAACTGAATATTGGAAAATATGAAATTGGCACCAATATTTCACTTTAAATGGAAAATTAGAGGCAGAAAGTTATTTAGAAGCATTTTCAGATGACATTTGCAATTTATTCTCATGGGGAGAATTCTGAGTTTGATGTCTGGACCTCTGATAACCTTCAATATACTGCTTAAACTGCTCATGGTCTTGATTTCCCATATATGGAAATTGTATCTGGGGTTTTGGGAAATAGAAGTAAATAGGCTTTAAAAGCTATAGAAAGACAGACAGATAGATAGATGATAGATAGATAGATAGATAGATAGATAGATAGATAGATAGATAGATAGATAGAGGTAAGTAGTGAGCATGCCTAATTATTAGGGAGTAAAATTATAGTTTAAATGAATAAATTCTATATTGAAATCTACCTACTACCTTATCCACAAGTTAGTTGAATGCAATTTTAGGAAATCAAACCAACAAAGAGTTTAAAAGAAGTAGAATTATCAAAATTTCAGTGGTTTCGGGATTTTGGCAACAGCACTGAGGACTAACTTCAGGCAAAATGTCTTGAGAGAAAGAGTGGGGAAGATTTGAGAGGAGCTAAATATTGAGATATTAAGAGTATAAACTGTGAGATGGGTAAATTATTAATTACATGCAAAGTAGGCATGTAAAATTCCATGTGAAGTACTAAAACCCAAGAGAAATGAATGATTTTGAGTAATTTCTTTCCTCAAAATCGAATGAATTTGAGTAATTTCTTTTCTCAAAAAAGGAAAAGTGGCATAATCTATGATGTTTAGCCCAACTTGAAAGGGATTCTTAACAAATGCTATGAGCTCACAGTCATAGTAAAGTAGGAACTTTATTCACTGTGTTGGCAAGTTAGAAGTTGAAAATTTAAAGGTTTTTTTTTGGCATAAGGTACTGAAGATGAAGAATAAGGGCTAAAGAATATCCATTGTGAGTTAAGATTAATGGAGAGGAGAGGCCAAAAAAGAGGAAGGAAAATTGTTATTTTTAGGAACTCTAAATAGTACATGAAAGTGAATCCTGTATCATGACCTATTGTATGCTCAACAAAAAAATTGTTTCTTTGGAAAAATACAGAAATCTGCTTTTATTCCAACAATAATAAAAGAGATATATTGATCATGACATTTAAAAGAGATTCCCAAGTAGCTATAATTTGGAGTTAAGAAAATGATTTAACAATGCTTAAACTGTTGCTTAAGTTTAAAGAGAAAATAGTATGTTATTTGTATAATAAAAATAGAATATCACAAGAATATGCTTGTTTCTACTCTCCCTCAAATGTGTTTAAGTTTAAATGGAACTAATTGTGTTTATGAAATCTGAGGAACTCATGACATGCTGAATTCAATGAAGTACAGTAACATGTATATCGGCGTCACTTAACATGTATTTATGGAATAGAATTTCACTATTAACTTTTCCTTTAGGATTAGAATTTGGTTGGAAACAGGAAGTCTGAATGACTTCTCTCACTGTAAACAAACAAGATGCTAAAAGTCTTGGACTAATATTCTAATATTTTCCTTTTACAGATGTTCCATTCAGTGCCACACCAGTGAATGCCTTTTATAATGGCTGCATGGAAGTGAATATTAATGGTGTACAGTTGGATCTGGATGAAGCCATTTCTAAACATAATGATATTAGAGCTCACTCATGTCCATCAGTTTGGAAAAAGACAAAGAATTCTTAAGGCATCTTTTCTCTGCTTATAATACCTTTTCCTTGTGTGTAATTATACTTATGTTTCAATAACAGCTGAAGGGTTTTATTTACAATGTGCAGTCTTTGATTATTTTGTGGTCCTTTCCTGGGATTTTTAAAAGGTCCTTTGTCAAGGAAAAAAATTCTGTTGTGATATAAATCACAGTAAAGAAATTCTTACTTCTCTTGCTATCTAAGAATAGTGAAAAATAACAATTTTAAATTTGAATTTTTTTCCTACAAATGACAGTTTCAATTTTTGTTTGTAAAACTAAATTTTAATTTTATCATCATGAACTAGTGTCTAAATACCTATGTTTTTTTCAGAAAGCAAGGAAGTAAACTCAAACAAAAGTGCGTGTAATTAAATACTATTAATCATAGGCAGATACTATTTTGTTTATGTTTTTGTTTTTTTCCTGATGAAGGCAGAAGAGATGGTGGTCTATTAAATATGAATTGAATGGAGGGTCCTAATGCCTTATTTCAAAACAATTCCTCAGGGGGAACAGCTTTGGCTTCATCTTTCTCTTGTGTGGCTTCACATTTAAACCAGTATCTTTATTGAATTAGAAAACAAGTGGGACATATTTTCCTGAGAGCAGCACAGGAATCTTCTTCTTGGCAGCTGCAGTCTGTCAGGATGAGATATCAGATTAGGTTGGATAGGTGGGGAAATCTGAAGTGGGTACATTTTTTAAATTTTGCTGTGTGGGTCACACAAGGTCTACATTACAAAAGACAGAATTCAGGGATGGAAAGGAGAATGAACAAATGTGGGAGTTCATAGTTTTCCTTGAATCCAACTTTTAATTACCAGAGTAAGTTGCCAAAATGTGATTGTTGAAGTACAAAAGGAACTATGAAAACCAGAACAAATTTTAACAAAAGGACAACCACAGAGGGATATAGTGAATATCGTATCATTGTAATCAAAGAAGTAAGGAGGTAAGATTGCCACGTGCCTGCTGGTACTGTGATGCATTTCAAGTGGCAGTTTTATCACGTTTGAATCTACCATTCATAGCCAGATGTGTATCAGATGTTTCACTGACAGTTTTTAACAATAAATTCTTTTCACTGTATTTTATATCACTTATAATAAATCGGTGTATAATTTTAAAATGCATGTGAATATCTTTATTATATCAACTGTTTGAATAAAACAAAATTACATAATAGACATTTAACTCTTCATACAACGAAGTAGTTCTTCAGTTAAAAGACAGATAAAGCTCCAATATTTGAATAATATTTATGGTTGGGTGGTAGACTGGAGCTCAGAAGGTGAAGAGAAGCAAAAGTAACATGTATCTTTTGACACAAACCATAAATTGTCTTGCTAAATATAATTTGTTTCCCAATTGCCACCAGGTACTATGGGGGATGAATATCAGCAAGTGACTATTGATAATTACATTCATGTAAAAGAGCAAGGAAAAAGAAAAACAGAGAAAACATACATGAGAGAGGGAAAAAAAAGTGAAAGAAAGGGGCGGAGTTCCCTGCTTTTCATTTGATTATGCCACATACAGGTCAGATATAGGGATCAATTCTACCTTTCACATCAGGAGCAGAAACCTTCCCACATGCAATGATGCTCGTAGAGGCTCCAGAGACGCATTTATAAATTTCATCTACCTTTGAGATGTGCTCATACATGCCTAGAGAGAGGGTCTAGACCTATGGCTAAGAATCTTTGATTGATGTTTAGTTTTGAACTTTGCCAAGAAATATAGATTCCTACTTTTAAAGAGTTGGTAGAGAACAAGGCAAAGTGGATATTTGGTGCCATTTCAGCTTTGTATATAAGTAAAAAAAACTCCAAATAACAGGGCCATTACAGAGTCCCTTAGAATTCACCTTTTGAAAAAGCTTTCTTTTTTCTTTTTACTTTTTGAACATGTTATGTGAGATGGTAATAGAACTTAACCATTTGCAGCGGTCAGTGATGGATCAGTGAAAGCAATGGTTAATCTGTAAGAACAGGACTATTCACCTAATTTCTCCTGTCTGAAAGTATAATTCTAGTCTCAGTCCCTATATGCCAATACAATAAAGTATTTCCAATTTTCTTTTCATTCTAGAATTAAGGAACTGGTGGGATTACTGGAAAGAGGACTTTTTCATGTGAAAATTTTTCACAAAATAATTGCCTATTTATTTTTGCATTTCCCTGGACCTTTAGTTGCTATCATCGGTGGGAACTGAAATAATAAAGAAGATGAATATCTGAAATAATTTTTAGATTTCATCATGTTGGTATTAATATTGATTTGGGAGATGACACGGTCACTAGAGACTCAAAGGGCAAGTATGATCAATTTCTAATTCATTCATTCAGCAACAAATATTTATCAAGCACCTACTCTACTCTGTGCATGTGGAGTCAAAAGTAGTATGTCTGCGGGCTAAACCCAATGGAATAGGAAGTCACAATACTCAAGTTGGCCCTTGGTAGTCCTCAGGTTCCTGTTCCTTGGAGCTACGAAGCAGCTCTTTTCTGGTCATCCTAAGAAATTGAAGTGATAAAACTTTTGGTCGGCCGGGTGTGGTGGCTTACGCCTATAATCCCAGCACTTTGGGAGGCCCAGGCAGGCAGATCATCTGAGATCAGGAGTTCGAGACCATGGCCAGCATGGTGAAACCCCGTCTTTACTAAAAATACAAAAATTAGCTGGGTGTGGTGGCGGGTGCCTGTAATTCCAGCTAGTCGGGAGGCTGAGGCAGGAGAATCGCTTGAACCCGGGAGGTGGAGGTTGCAGTGAGCCAAAATTATGCCATTGCACTCCAGCCTGGGCAACAGGGTGAGACTGTCTCAAAAAAACAAACAAACAACAAAAAAAACTTTTGGTCAGTAGTTTGCTCCTTATGAAGAAGATTGTTTTGATGGTGGTCTTGCACACGAGTTTCTCGCTATAGCAAGCTTTGAGCTTTCAGAGAACTTATATTTGAAAACTGGATCTTCTATGGCAGAGACATTGCTTAGGGGTTCATCTAGTGCTGTCCAAGATAACCTCTGGCTATCTTGTATTTGTGTTTGCAGAATGCGAAGGTGGGGGCAGTTACCTGGGTCAGCATACATGGGTTTTGGGTACATATTATTAATAATATAAACAGTGCAAGGCCAGATTACGAGGTCAAACTGACAATGGAAAAAGATCTTAGCTTCAAGTTGTGAAGCTAAGAGTGTCAGAAATAGAGGGGAACTGAGTATGGGGAGGTTTGGAACAAGTTGAAAACCAGCGAGGTTGGAGGGTATTTCCTGATCTGCAGTCCATTACTCTGTAGTGCTTTGGACGTGCCATGGTGTAGCAGTTGTCTTACCTGTGGATAAGAATAGCATTTGGTGAATTTACAGACTCATTTCTGCTAATCTACTTGCCATAACAAGCCCTCCTCAAAGAGAATCCTATTTTCATGGGAAAGAAATTGTAAAGTAATACCTGCAATTTGCTGGTGATTGATTCTCTTTCCTGCTAACATTTCAAACTGAGAAATCTGGAATCTCATTCTGTAATTGGGGTGTCCCCACTTGATACATCAAATCCTTCCTCAAGTTGATTTGAAGAGAAGGGAGAACAGGCCAATATTTAACTGACATAGGAAGAATCTGGCATTATTTTCTGGAGGTCCCAAACAATAAATAGAAAAAAATTAATTTAAATAAAGCCAAATTGAACACTCGGGCTGACACTGGATCTTCTGAAGATGAGCATCTTCCTGAGCCAACTCAGCATGTACAGATGGCCACAGGGGACTAACAACTGGCTGTTCTGAAAAATAGGCACAGTCTTAGTCTGCCTCGTACATGTAGCTAGCCAAGTTGCAAAGCTGAGATTGCAAGGCAAGTTGCAAAAAGCCAGGATGTCTGGGTCAAGAGTGCACACCCAAATTTGAAACTACACTGTATCCATATTCTAACTAGTTATCTCAGCACTTAGTCAATGGTACATGGTTGGAATGAACAATTCCAACAAATCTAACAATTGGTTGGATAGAACTAATTCTGTCTCCAGTTCTACATATAACTGGTTGTGATATTAAATCTCAGTTGTTAATATTAATCACTTTAACATTTTGAAGATTAAGTATGATATTACTTAACTGAATTAAGCAAATGCTGACACTGACTCTGAACACTTAGATAATTAAAAGCGTGGGCTAGAAAGAATCCCAAGAAAACAATGGAGCAAATATCTTGGTACTGCCATTGATGTACTCAGTCCAGGGGAGAGCAGACACATGGACAAGTAATTAAAAAGTGAGCCTGAGTTTGGTAAAAACTGAAATGCAGAAATAAACATTTGCAGGGGGTTCTGGGAAGGAGAAATGGATTCTAAATGAAAGCTCAATGAGGTGCTATTTAATGAGGCCCAAAAAGACAGATAGATATGAATTTCTGTTCATTTCCCTGCATCCAAGTACTGTCTTTGTGACCATCCCCCACAATGCTTTTAGATTCTCTCTCTCACACAGATATCTTATTTCACTGAAGTCCTCAAAACTCTCCTTTCTTTTCCTATTGGTTATTGCATGAGGTGAAAATAATTAATCTTGGCTTTCAAGGGGTTTCATCATTAAACCAGTAGATCTAAACCCAGGCTTATTAGATTCATTGACCCCTTTGCAAACAACTAAATCAGAAGATTCTCATGGGAAACCAGGGTTACAAACCACAGATTCAGTCTCTGTGGGTAGCTCTCTAACCTCATGCACTCCTCCCCTTGCCTCTCCTGTCTTCTGTGCACATGTGAGGGGTGTGCATACACGATGCACACACACACATACACAGATAAGAACAGACATAAAGCCAAAGGATGAGTTAAAAAACAGGACATGAGGCTGGGCGAGGTGGCTCACGCCTGTAATCCCAGCACTTTGGGAGGCCGAGGTGGGCGGATCACGAGGTCAGGAGATTGAGACCATCCTGGCTAACACGGTGAAACCCCGTCTCTACTAAAAATACCAAAAAATTAGCCAGGCGTGGTGGTGGGCGTCTGTAGTCCCAGTTACTCGGGAGGCTGAGGCAGGAGAATGGCGTGAACCCGGGAGGGGGAGCTTGCAGTGAGCCGAGATCGCACCACTGCACTCCAGCCTGGGCGACAGAGTGAGACTCTGTCTCAAAAAGAAAAACAAACAAACAAACAAACAAAAAAAACAAAAAGCGAGACAGGAAAAAGAAGGATAGGGAGGTAGGGAGGAAGAACAGGTGTGTGTGTGTACAAAACCAGGAGGAGAGAAAAAGACAACAAAGAGAAGACATAAAACAAGAAAGGTAGGAAACAAATTCAGTGAAAGATTTGGTAAGATAAAAATTGAAAATGAGGGAAAGAAAAGTAAAGAATATAGAAAGATACTTGATGAGGAGGGTGAAGAGGAGATGGAGAAATAATAGAAAAATAAATATCTACTTTTTTTGTAAACAAATAGCAGTAGATAGCGACAAATTGATGCCACACCAGATAAGCATATAAGAAAGAGGAGAGGGACCAGGTGCAGTGGCTCCCGCCTGTAATCCCACTGTGGGAGGCTGAGGCCAGCAGATGGCTTGAGCCCAGGAGTCAGAGATCAGCCTAGACAACATGGCAAAACCCTGTCTCTACAAAAAAATAATAATAAAAAAAAACAACCCAAAAAGCTATCCATACCTGGTCGCCCATGCCTGTAGTCCCAGCTACTCAGGAGGCTGAGGTGGGAGGATCACTTGAGCCAGGTGAGGTTGAGGATGTGGTGAACCATGATTGTATCACTGCATTCCAGCCTGGGTGACAGAGTGAGACCCTGTCTCAAAAAAAACGAAAGAAAGGAAGGAAGGAAGGAAGGAAGGAAGGAAGGGAGGGAGGGAGGGAGGGAGGAAGGAAGGAAAAAAAGAAAAGAGAGAGGAGAGAAAATTGGTAGGGGAGAGGAGGTTTAACCAAACATATTAAAGGGGATAGGTGCAGTGGCTCACATCTGTAATCCCCAAATCTTGGGGGGCCAAGGTGGGAGGATTGCTTGAGGCCAGGAGTTCAAGACCAACCTGCGTAACAAAGGAAGTCCCCATATCTACAAATATAAAAATAAAAAATAAAAAAATGTTAGCCAGGCATAGTGGCATGTGTGCCTGTAGTCCCAGTTACTTGGGAGGCTGAGGAGAGAGGATGATTTGAGCCCAAGAGTACAAGCATGCATTGAGCTATGGTCACACCACTGCACTCCAGCTTGGACAACAGAGTGAGACCCTATCTCAAAAACAAACAATAAAAACCCCAAACATAAAAAAGGGAGACAGACATAAAGAACAAATATAAATGGAAAGAAAGAGGGAAAGATTTCCAGACTAAAGACAAGAAAGAGGCAGAGATTATAAAAAATATAATTCAGAGATTATGAGAGAGAGAAGAATGTGTCTGGAAAGAGGAAATAGGAACAAGTAGAAAATGATTTTAGAAAATGAAAAAAGCCAGAGAAAGAAAGAGATGATGAGCAAAGAGAAAGAGACAGAGGATAAATCACAAAGGAAGAGACAAGGAAATGGAAAGTGAGGCAGGAGGAAGAGGGTCCTCAGCTAGTTTATCCAAGGTGAGGATGCAACCTTGACTTGCTGTGGAAATGATGTTCCAGTGCCCTGGAGGGGGAGCTGTTGGCCAAGTAGCTGCTAGACAGCATACACCCCCAAATCATCTCTGACCTTCTTGGTCATCAAGAAATCCTCTGTAGGATGGTACAGGAATGATGACCTTGTGACATTCTGCCAGGAGTGGGGATTGTGGGGAGCTTGCAACCACTAATCTCTCTCTGCCTTATTCCTGACCTCTTTGGGGTTCAGTCAATTTACAACAAATGGAGCTGTCAGTTATTGCATTTGGGGAAGTGCAGAGTAAAAAGGACTCTTCTGAACATGTGATGAATTTCATGCTGAAAATGGAACTACGAAAACGTTTAAACTTACTGCTATACAATAAGCCCAAGCATCATCAGCTGTAACTGGCACACTAATGGTGAGCTAGAAATACAATGGGCAACACCTGGGATGTCATGAGAGAAAAATCCAGTAGGATGTCAATTTACTAGCTTATGAAGACTACTGAGTTAAAGGGAGTGGTATATTCATCCTATTACGTGAAGGAAGAAGCTTGCTTGGACTGCACTCGGTGGTAGAATCAATCATTGAGATAATGCTGTAGCTACCCTTGATACATGTTCAATACCTCCTTGGAGGAGTTTTTTTTTTTTTTTTTTATCAATTTCAAACATTCTTCTGACTTTGATATAACTCAAGAAATATGTAGAATAATTATTCTAAAAGTTTAAATATTTTTTTCTTTTTCTCTGCAAGTACCATTTTTTTTTTTTTATTTAAGATTTGGGATACATGTGCAGAATGTGCTGGTTTGTTACATAGGTATGCATGTGCCATGATGGTTTGCTGCACCCATCAACCCATCATCTAGGTTTTAAGCCCTGCATGCATTAGGTATTTGTCCTAATGCTATCCCTCTCCTTGCCTCCCACCACCCGACAGGCCCTGATATGTGATGTTCCCCTCCCTGTGTCCATGTGTTCTCATTGTTCAACTCCCACTTATGAGTGAGAATATGCGGTGCTTGGTTTTCTGTTCCTGTGTTAGTTTGCTGATTTTTAAAGAATCTGCTTAGAGGTCAGAACTTGGTGCTCTTGAAAACCTTTGACAAATGTATACCCAACTAAAAAGAGTAGCTTTCAAAGAAATTTTTATCTGTGCCAAGCCAATTTGAGTGAAACTCTCCTATTCCTGGTATCTATACTCTCCCCTCTGATGTTTCAAATAGATATTCTCCAGGAATGTCTTAGAAACCTAAGTATCTGCAGCTTTTAAGCACTCACTATTTTTTCTCTCATCAGCTCATTTCAGCTTCATGGATGCCATGAAGCATGGCATCCAATCCTAAGTCTTCCCTCCTTCCTGTCAGCCTTTATTTCTAGGAAGAAAAACTAAGCCTTAATGAACCTAATTACTAGAAAGATTCTGGTATAATAATGTAGACTTCTTGGGAGTCAGATTGTTCAACCCAGAGAAGAAATACCTGGATGCCTTCGGGGGCCATAAAACTAAACATGAAGACTTGTATCTTCTACCTCCCATGTGGAACTTTCCAAAATACCCAACAAAGAAAGAAAAATCAGTAAAATCATTCATCTTAAATCTCTCATTTGCATCATAATCATCACAGTCCTCCAGTTATTTCTAACACATAGAACCTGAGAACCTATTGGTATGGTAACTGTGGGGGTGTTGGGAAGGCAATGACCAATCCATTAATCCAACAACTATTTGTGGAACACACAAAATGTGCCAAACACTATGCTTTCTGGGCATTTGGGATAGATATAGATGAATGAACAAGACACAAATATCTATGTGCCTTTGTACAAATACGGTCATAAAGATGACTAACCTAGAAAGCAAATGTGTCTTCTATGATTCTTCTCATATCATGTTTTCAAAGATGCTAATTTAGTCTTTTATCTTAGTATCAAACTGACAGATTCCAGGTTACTTTTAATTGTTAATGTTCCATAAAAAATAAATAACTCTGTGAGTGTGGAATTTAGATAGAAATCTAATCAAGTGGACCAGTCACTGTCACTGGACAGTCATCTCTCAGGCTCTGTGTGACCATCTTCACTGATGCAGAGCTCACTATTAACCAAAGTCAGCTCATTTTCCCTTTGTTCACGGCATCAGTTTGGGACTTTCAAAAAGCAGATTCCAACAGAGATTAGACAGGTGTTAAGGACTGAATTGTGTCTCCCCAGAATTCATATGTTGAAATATTGAAGTCCTAAACTCCAAAGTGACTACATTTGGAGATAGGGCCTTTAAGGAAGTAAGTAAGGTTAAATGAGGTCATATGGGTTGGGCCAGAATTCAATATGACTGGTGTCATTTTATAAAGAGAGAGAGACACCAGGCATGCTCAGACACAGAGGAAAGGCCATGTGAGGACACAGTAAGAACATGACCATTTGTAAAGAAGGAGAGAGACATCAAGAGAAACCAAACCTGCTCATGCCTTGGTCTTAGATTTTCAGGCTCGAGAACTGCAAAAAATCCAATTGCCCCCTACTCTGTAATATTTCATTATGGCAGCCCTAGCAAACAAATAAAACAGGGAGAAACATCTGTGAAGGAAAAAGGAGGGTACAGGAATGGGTAGGAAGAATCTTCATGTAGCCATGTAAATTGGACACCTGTGAAGGAGAGAAGGAAGTAGGATGATAGGAAGTCTCAGATCTGAGTGCAGTTCTAAGAAGGTTTCAGCTATGTTGATGAGGAGTTCTTGAAAAAAGTTGCCCATCAGAAGGGTCCTGCATCAAGCAGGAAGGGCCTGGCATAAGTACCCTCACTGTGCTCAGTCATTAGTTGGGAAGCAGCCCGGTAGGTCCAGAGGAATAACAAGTGGTCTGTCAGTCAGCTCTATTTTGCAGAAGGTTCTCTTGGAGGTGGTCTGGGCAGAACCCCGTTCATGTCTGCTACAGTGAGCTCTGACTATTAGAAAGCAATCCTTTTCATGAAACCAAAAGCAGACTCTTCATATTCAACACTAAATACTCCTGTGTTACTGAGAGTCAATATAAATGAGCTTACAGCTCCCTTGGTTGCAAGTAGTAGAAACTCAATTTGAATTAGCTTAAGCAAAAGGAGAATTTTAGAAAAGGTATTTAGTTATCTTATGGAATTCTAGGGCTGAAAGAATATTCCTGGGGCTTGGATTTGCTGTAGTGAAATAAGGAAGTTCCTTCACTTTGTTTCTCATTACTGTTTCTCTTCAAGCAACTACATATTACTCTCTCAATACATGCTGGTTTCCTCAACTCTTCAGTTTACATTGTGGGGCATGCCTGCCAACCACTTCTGCATTTATATGTTCATGTTAGATACAGTTCAGACATGGCAGAGTAATAATCATTTCTAGGTTTCAGTCCCAGTTCCAGAATTCCGAGAGAAGTATTATTGCTTTAATCCAGTGTATTTGTTTATGGAAAGTGAAACACAAAGGTGGACTGTTGAGTAAAAAGAAATATTACAATATTGCTGAATACTCTGTATTGCTACTATTTGTGCTATTACTATTGTAATTTACCAATTTATAGGCTCCAAGAATAAATTTAAAAATAAAATTAACATTAAAAATGTGGTACATGTATATCATGGAATCCTACATAGCTGTAAAACATGATGAAATCATGTTCTTTGCAGCAACATGGATGCAGCTGGAGGCCATTATCCTAAGAGAATTAATGCAGAAACAGAAACCAAATACCAAATGTTCTCACTTATAAAAGGGAGCTAAACATTGGGTACACATAGACACAAAGATGGGAACAATAAACATTGGATATTCTAAGTGGGGAGAGAGGAAGGGTCCAAGTGCTGAAAAACTACCTATTGAGTTGTGTGCTTACTACTTGTGCAATGGGATCATTAGAAGTCCAAATCTTAGCATTATGAAATATATCCACATAACAAACCTGTCTTGTCTTAAACCAGACTTGAAAATGGTAACAGGCTGCTTTATTTGCCTCATTTCAATTTTGTGGGGAAGAAGAGAGACTGTACTTTCCTTTTGATCTAAAGTGGCTCAAATCTGTCCCTTTGTTTAACAGTGCCAGATTTAAGAAAAGAGTAATATTTTAAAATCTTAAAATGTGTTTTTATGCCGTATATTTCAGCATCACAATTTTCACCAGCACCATTAGAACATACGTTCAGATCAGTATGGTGTATGAACAGAAATGCTAATCCACTAAGCACTCATGTTAATGGTCATTTAACAAAAGAAATAGATTCTGAGTTGCTTGTAAATTATGTGAGGAGGAAGGTAAAGAACCTAGGAAATAATTAACTAGCATAATTCATTCAGATGTATTTCCTCTGAAAGCATTAAAATGTCATTATTGCTTCCTGAAAGAATTACTTTAAAGCACTGATATATTGTGGTTCTTTTATATGATTTTCAGAGAGCTGATTGTGTGGTTCAGAAAGTTAAAAAAAATACTAGAATCTCATATTCAATTTGGCCTTGATTTGTAGACTGTAGATTCATACAAATAAAAATTTAATTTTATGATCTATTCATTTAATGGTAGTTATATAATGCTTTTAAAATTTTTTTAATCCCTTTTATTAAAACAAATATAAGGCTTCTTTGGAGTGGGCAGAATGGGAGATATTAAATAAATCAAATGTTAAATAAGAAAAAATAGTTTTAATTAATAAAGCTGTGTTTCCAAAAGTAGCTTTTATCACCTTTACTATTACTTACATTTAATTTGACTGACTAGAAACTAGAAGGTGTCAGGCTATTAGACCTGAAAAAGTAGTGCCATGACCATGTTGAGGTAAAGTCAGGAAAAGTGTCATTCGAAATTATTCTGGGGATTTATATTATTCTGTATCCAGGGACTAAATTATTTAGCTCTATTAATTGTATAATAGAATATGTAAAGTATATTTTAGACTGAGAAAAGAAGCTCAAAATACTTCCTATAAGTGGTACAAGTTTACTAATTTGAATATATACTTTTTATTTGTGTTTTTTTAACAACTGCATTGGTTAATTTTAGGTGCCCAACTTAACTGGATTAAGGGATACCCAGATAGCTGGTAAAGGACTATTTGGAGGTCTATCTGTGAGGGTGTTTCTACAAGAGACTGGCATTTGAATCAATGACCTGAATAAGCAAGATCCATCCTCACCCAGTGTGAGCAGGCACCATCCAATAGGCTGATGTCTGGGATGAAACATAAAGGCAGAGGAAAGGCGAATTCCCTCTCACTTCTGGACCTGAGGAAATTTTCCTTTCCTGCCCTTGAACATCAGAACTCCAGGCTCTCCAGCCTTTGGACTCTGGGATCTGCACCAGCAGGTCCCAAGGTGCTCAGGCCTTCAGCCTTGGACTGACAGTTCCATCATTGCTTTCCCTGGTTCTGAGGCCTCCAGACTTGGACTGAGCCATGCTAGTGGCTTTCCAGGTTCTCCAGCTTGCAGATGGCCCACTGTGAGACTGACTTCCCAGCCTCTATAATTGCATGAGCCAATTCCACTAATAAATTCCCTCTTATCTCTCTCTCTATATATATATGTATGTATATGTATAAAATATCCTTTATATATTTATATATAAATAAATATAATACATATATATATATATCCCCTTTGGCTCTATCTCCCTAGAGAACCCTAATACAGCAACTTAGATTTTTAAAGTAGCATTTGGCATCCACCTTCTCTCCATGTATGCCTTTAGTTTAGCACATCAGTGGAACCCATAATTAGAGACAAATGTGAGATGTTGCTATGTTTCCTCCATTTTCCCTCATGCCAACATTTTTCCTCATCTGTAAAACTCTTCAGTTATAAGACTAAAAATAAATCCTCATTACTGACAAAAGGAGCTAGTCCTGTGGTAAAGCCCATTTTAAAAGCAGGCTACTTTTTTGGCCACTAATTGCTTTACTTTATATTCAAGCTCTCTGGGGGTTTCCAAGTTCCTTCATGATCTTTTTCCTACCTACTGTCCTCAGCCATCCACTTTATCAGGTCATTACTTTGTGGTTCTTCACAGGTACCATCTAATCCATTTGTCTTCATCATTTAGCTTTTGCTTATTATGATTTTTATTCAACTAAGACAACCTTCCCCAGCTTCCATTCAGACTTTTTCCAAATGGATCCATCCATTCTCCTTTTAGCATATTTCTATATAATTTCATGGATACTGTTTATTTATAACATGTCTCCCTCCATAGATTATAATTTTTATGAAAGGATGGGCATTGTCTGGACCCCGGTGCCTGGCACTTAGTAAGTGTTGAATAAATACATAATTTCTATCGTCTATAAGTACTTGCTTGACTTCCTTACTAACTAGGCTGTCAACATTTAAGTATAGCTGCTTCTGGACAATATCACTCCCTCATGAAATGCCAATGACTTCATGGATACTGAAAAAGTCATGGTTTATTAAAATCATGAGGTACCAGTGATGGCCAAAGGGAGAACAAGGAATAAGTAAAAAAGGATGAATCATGTGAATTTCAGTAAGCACTCTTTTAGCATGCTGAGATGAACTATAATATGCTTCACTATCGTGTCCTCTAGAAGGAGAATATTTCAACAATGAAATTTTTCAGAGCTGAGTGTTTATAGCAGAGCATTAACAGATGATAAAAGGAAATATAAAAGGCTTCTGTATTTGTGTTTCATCTATAAAGAAACCGGAATGAACTGCCCCTACTCAAGACCATAACAGAATGATTTAGGGTAAATGATATTGTACCCTAAAGAGATATTACCCTGTATGGAAGGTATTAACATGCAAAGATGCATCCTATTTTTCTTCTCATTATTGGGATTTCATGTCCCAGGCAAAACAGATGACTCCTATTACTGTAGAACATCCCACACCCACAAATCATGCCAGAACTGTCCCAAACGAAATCTTCAATTTTTATATCAATCTGGACATGTCATTATTTTTCAAATACTCTTACAAAAGAAGTGCTTCATCATTACTTTGACATCATTGAGAATAACTCATATGAAATCTATTCATCGCAAAGGAAAAAACACAATTATTTACATTTAACAGACCTGTTTTCTTCCTCTAGACTGAGAAGCCTAATATCTTCATAAAATAATTTTAGGTTTTCCGTTTATTTTAGATTCGGGGGAACATGTGCAGGCTTGTTACATGGGCATATTGCATGATGCTGAGGTTGGGGATACAAACGATCTTGTTACTGAGGTAGTGAGCATAGCACCCACTAGGTAGTTTTTCAGCCCACAGCCCCTCTCCTTCTTTCCCTGCTGTAGTAGGCCCCAGTGTCTATTGTTCCTATCTTTGTGTCCATGTGTACCCAATGTTTAGCTCCCACTTATAAGGGAGAACATATGGTATTTGGTTTCCTGTTCCTGTATTAGTTAATTTAGGATAATGGCTTCCAGCTGCATCCATGTTGCTGCAAAGGACATGATTTCATTCTTTTTAATGGATGCATAGCATTCCATGGTGTATTGTACCACATTTTCTTTATTCAGCTCACTATTGATGGGCATCTAGGTTGATTCTATGTCTTTGTTATTGTGAATAGTGAATTTATTGTGAATATTTTCTTCTTTCCTATTTTCTTGCACAAACCTTGATTGCATGCTTTTTAGTTTTTGCTCATTACCTTTTTTTAATTGAGATGAAATTCATATAATATATAATTGTAGTCATTTTAAAGTCATCTAATAGCATTTAGTGTGTTTACAATGTGCTCACCAATTCTTTTACTTCTCTCTGGTTGATTCCTTATGTTAGTGTTCTCCAGAGAAACAGAGCCAATAGGATATTTAGAGAGATATATAAAAGGGAATTTATTTTGAAAATTGGTTCACAGGATTGTGGATGCTGAGAATTCTCATGATATGCTGTCTGCAAAGAGGAAAACAAGGGAAGCCTGTGGTGTAATTCATTCATGTCTGAAGGCCTGAGAATCAGGGCAGCCCATGATGTAACTCCCACTCTGAGAACACAGGGGCACTGGTGTAAGTCCTGAAGTTTGAAGCCCAGAGTGCCTGAAGTTCTGATGTCCAAGGGTAGGAGAGGAAGGATTTCTCAGCTCCAGGAGACAGTCTGATCTTCCTCTGCTTTTTTGTTCTATTCAGGTCCACAATGGACTGGATGAGGCCAACCCACATTGGTGAGGGCACATCGTGTTGATTGGGTCTGCTGATTCAAATGTTTATCTCTTCTGGAAACATTTTCCCTCAGACACTTGCAGGAATCATGTTTTACCAGCTATCTGGGCACCCCTTAGTCCAGTCAAATTGACACAGAAAGCTAATCACGCTTCTTTTCCTGTGAATGTAACAAACTTTTATTGTCTCTTTATGCCTAAGCTCAATCCTGTGTCTTCCAGAACTCAGCAGATAAACTGATGTCTAAATTCCCTGAGAAAAACTGAAGCCTCACAATCTCTCCCTGTCTCCCTGTCAACCTAGCTTTTCACTCTCTTTCACCTCTTCTCTTTTCTCGCTCTCTTTTTTTTTTTTTTTTTTTTTTTTTTTTTTTTGAGACTGGGTCTTGCTCTGTCGCCAAGGCTAAAGTGCAGGGTGTGATCCTGGCTCACTCCAGCCTCCGCCCTCCAGACTCAAGCAATTCCTGTGCCTCAGCCTTCTGAGTAGCTAGGATTACAGGTGTGTGCCACCACACCCAGCTAATTTTTGTATTTTTAGCAGAGACAGGCTTTCACCGTGTTGGCCAGGCTGGCCTCAAACTCCTGACCTCAGTTGATCTGCCCGTCTCATTCTCCCAAAGTGCTGGGATTACAGGTGTGGGCTACCATTCTTGGCCCCTTCTTTATTGAAGAGGAAAAGCAATTTTTCTCCTGTCCAGAACAACCTTTCCTTTCTTCTCCCACTTCATTTTCTTAATTTTCTTGGCACCTTCCTTTCATTCCTAATGAGTTTTTTCTTCTGCCTGTTTTGCCTGGTCTACAAATTTATCCAAGATTTCTCCATTCTGAAAACAGCCTTTAGTCAATTCTTCTTATTTCTTTCCAGATACCTATTTTTCTCCTTCCCTTCATCACTGCTAACCTTCTCAAGAGTAATTAATATTCTCTGCCTCATTTAAAAAATATTTTATTTATTACTTAACCCTCCACCCAACTCAGCTCTTCCACTAAAATTGCTCTTGTAAAAGTCACCATTCACTTCCCGTTTGCTAAAGTGAAGGCCTCAGTTATAATTCTCATTGACCTTTTAACCAAATTTGACACATATTGACCAAAGCCTCCTATCTGATCTGAAATAGTCTTTGGTTGCTGTGCCCTGCCTCTCTCAGAATTCCTTTCCAGCCTCTCAGATTTTTGGGGGGTTGGGGTTGGGGGTAGAGCAACTCTGGGAAAATCATCCTTTAAATGTGAGTTTTTCCAAACTTCAACTTTGGCTTTCTGTTTACTTTATATACTTCCATGGCTAGTTTCGTAATCTTTCATTGCAGCTCCTATCTTCTGTTTTAGTTGCTTTGCAAACTGAAAAAGCACCATCGAAAGCATTGGGAAGTGAACTTGTATCTTTTGGGTATTAATATTTGGAACCATAACCTGATATTTTTCACCCCCAGCACAAACTTACTTTGAGGTCTTGAGTTTTATCTTAACTCAGGTAGATTTTATATTCTAATTGATATTATACCCACCATTGTTTAATTTTAAAAAGAACATGTTACTGTGTAACTAAGATATCAGTCGAGGTAGTTTGTCTTTGGGATTTTCTTTTTTTAAATCTCATCCCATATACTGTGGGTGTCTTCCTGTTGCTCCAGGAATTGGGGATTTGGTGTGTACATGGAATGGGTATAGTTTAACCTTTCCTTATTCACCTCTTATTTTCAGTTCCTGCTTCTAACACAGTTCACTTCATAGATTATTTTGCTGTCCTTTAGTACCATCCATTCTTGTCAGGATATTATCATTCCAGATGTGGAAAATGGACTCTTCAATTTTCCCAAACATAGCTGACACAATGAATTTGTAGGCATAGCAAACTGACTAAAGGTTTGATGGCAACTGAGTGGACCTTAATAAAGTAAGTACAAATTTATATTAGCCATTTCTGTTTATAAAATTTCTCTCTTATCACATCATGTGATCATTTTCCACTTGCCTCTGTCTCTTTGCTTCCTGAAGATTTTCTGCATCTACAATGAACAATAAGAACCACTTCCTTAACCTCTTCCTAGAAACTGAATTCTTTCAGCATGGAGTAGTGACAGGTTGACAGTCCTTCATCTGAAAATCCAAAATCTGAAATGCACCAAAACCTAAAACTTTTTGAGTGCCGACCTGATACCACAAGTGCAAAATGCTACACCTGAGCTCATGTGACAGGTGACAGGCAAAATGCTGTCAAAACTTAGTTCCATGCACAAAATTATTAAAAGTATTATATAAATTTACCTTCAGGCCTCGTGTATATAAACCATAAAAGTGCTTAGATTTGGATTCCATTCCCAAGATATCTCATTATATATATGCAAATATTACAAATTCTGAAAAATTTGAAATCTGTAACAATTCTGCTCCCAAGCATTTTGGATAAAGGATACTCAACCTGTACTTTGAATTTAGCTTTTAATCTGTTTTTATCACAAATGCTTGAAATTACTTACCATGGAGTAAAATGGATGATTCAAGAGGACGCTTCTTGTATCTCCTGAGATGTAGCATCGCCTCAGTGCACTGCTGAGTATACTCACTTTGAAGTGTGCCCTACATTTTGAGAGTTCAAATTCTTTGGAGATGACATCCAAAGATTTATCTCCGGTTCTGATTTCTGTAGTGTTTTTTTTTTGTTTGTTTTTTTGTTTTTTTGTTTTTTTTAAATCTGTACCTCTAGAGTATCCACAGTGCCTATCTGGGATTACAAAATTAACAAAGCCAGAAATTGTACTTTTTATTAATTCTGGCAAGTCTGTTTTTTCTGTTGTGTTCTCTATTTTAAATAAAAGGATTATCCTTCACTTGAGTATTTTCTCTAAAAACCTCGTGCATGTGTAACTTCATGCTTCCTTCTTCCCTTGCTTCTCTCATGTGTATACACACATATATATAAACGCACATATAATTCAGCCATCAAGTCTTGTAAATACTACTACTATATTATTTGGGAATTTGTTTCTTTTTCTGAATTACCACTGTAGACCCCTTGTTTTAGGCTCATATTCACTCTTAACCTGAATTATTGCATTTGTCTCTTAAATGTCTTTCTGCCTCAACTTTCTAATCACCTTGTCTTCATTCTCCTTTGTTGCCATTACGTACTTTTTGTAAACAAAGATTAAGTTGTTCTTGTACCTTAAAACCATCTTTGTGCGGCCAGGTGCAGTGGCTCATGCCTGTAATCCCAGCACTTTGGGAGGCCAAGGCAGGCGGATCAGAGGGTCAGGAGATCAAGACCCTCCTAGCTAACACGATGAAACCCCGTCTCTACTAAAAATACAAAAAATTAGCCGGGCATGGTGGCACGGGCCTGTAGTCCCAGCTACTCAGGAGGCTGAGGCAGGAGAATTGCACCCAGGAGGCGGAGCTTGCAGTGAGCCAAGATTGCATCACTGCACTCCAGCCTGGGCATCAGAGCGAGACTCCGTCTCAAAAAAACAAAACAAAAACAAAAAATACTGTCTTTGTTTTCTCACTGCCTAAAGGGGAAGTTCAACCTCATTTTATTTTTGTCTATGGGTTTTTTTTGTTTCTTTTTATATACAATTTCTTTTATGCCTTCTATAGTTCAGCTACTCTAGATGGCACTTATTTTTTGAACACATTTCTTTGTGAAAAGATACTATAGGCCAAACATTGTGATAAGTGCAGAGAATAAAAAATGTGCCCCAAATTTTCTGCTCCCAAAGAGCTTCACTTTTAAGACTCCTTTGGTTTGGTCACTGCTATGGTTTGAAGATTTGTCTCCTGCAAAACTCATGTTGAAACTTAATCCCCAATGTGGCAGGATTGCGAGGTGGAGCCTTTAAGAGGTGATTGGGTCATGAGGTTTTGCCCTCACAAATGGATGAACACATTCATGGATTAATGGATGAATGATTAATGCGTTATCATGGGAGTGAGACTGGTGGCTTTATAAGGAGAGGAAGAGAGGCCTCAGCCAGCACATTAACATGTTCAGCCCTCTTGCCATGCGATGCCCTGCATTGCCTTGAGAATTGGCATGGAGCCCCCACTGGCAAGAAGACTCTCATCAGATAGGAATGGCTCCTTGACCTTGGACTTTCCAGCTTTCAAGACTGTAAGAAATAAATTCCTTAAAAAATTAATTACCCAGTTTCAAGTAATCTGTTACAAGCAACAGAAAATGAACTAAAACACAAAATTGGTACTGATACATGGGGTGTTGCTGATAATGAATAACTGAAAATGTGGAAGAAGCTTTGGAATTGGGTAATGGGCAGAGGCTGAAAGAATTTGGAGGAGCCTAGATTCTGGGGAGAGCCTAGAAGACCAGGGAATGTTTGGAACTCCTTAGAAACTGGTTAAGTAGTGGTGATCAGAATGCTTATAGAATTATGAACAAAAAGGCCATTCTGATGAAGTTTCAGGTGAAACTGAGGAACAAGGTGTTGGAAATTGGGGTAAAATCCATCCTTGTTGTAAATTGGAAAAGAACTTGGCTGAACCAGGTTCATGCCTGAGGGCTTTGTGGAAGACCAAACTTGAGAGTCATTAACTAGCATATCTGGCAAAATAAATTTCTAAGCAAAGTATAGAAGGAGCTGCATGGTTACTTTTGGCTCCTTACACTGAAATTCAGGAGTAAAGGAAGGATTTAAAGATACAATTCATAGTTAAAAGAAAAACAGAGTGGGAAGATTTAGAAAATTGAGACAGGCCACATAAAGAGTCAAAAAGTGTGTTCAGGACAAGAGACAAAGAATGTAGCCCAGGGACCATTTGCTAAAGAGATTAGCATGGATAGGAGGGAGCCAGATGCTATTCCACAAGACAATGGAAGAAAGACCTCAAAGGCATTTCAGATATCTTTGAAACTGCTCCTTTCATAACAGGCTAAAAGGTCTAGGAAGGCAGAATGTTTTTTGGGTACAGGCCTGGAGTGCCCTCCATAGGCTCCTGCCCAGAGATCCCTTAGGTATATGCTCTCTATATTTCAGCACAGCACTCCTGTACCACCCAGCTGTGGCTCAGTTGACCCCAGGTGTGGCTTCACTAGGCACCACTCCAAAGGTACAAATCTTAATCCTCAGGGGCATTCACATGATGTTAATTCTTCAGGTCCACAGAATGCAAGAGCTGTGGAGGCATGACAGCTTCCACCTAATTTCAAAGAATGTATCAAACAGCCTGTGGGCCCACACAGAGACTTGTTGCAGGGGAGGAGTCACCATAGAGAACCCCATACTAGGGCAATGACTTGGGGGAGCTGTAGGAGTGAAATTACCACTGAGATCTTAGAACTGTAGAGCTACTAGGGTGCAACACCAGCCTGGAAGAGCTGAAGTGTGGGCTGAGCCATGGAAAGTCATGGAAGCAAGGCTGCCTGAGGACTTGTGGGTCCAACCCCTGTACCAGTATGCACAGAATGCTGGATATGGAGTCATGGGAGATTATTCTATAGCTTTATAATTTAATGTCTGAACTTTTGGTGCCCTCAGTCTTGTACTTGTCAGCCTCCATAACTGTAAGAAATACATTTCTTTTAAAAAATAGATTGCCTGGCTTCAAGTATTTTGTTATAAGTAACAGAAAACAAACTAATAAAGTTGTGCCGTTTTCTCTGCATAAAATATAATTCTCTCAGTTTTGCCCTGATAAACTTCTATTTGTTATTTAAGTACCCATTGAATACTACTTCTGTGAAGTCTTTCTTTTTTACTCTAGGAAGAATGAATTATTCTGTCAATATTCTGGCCAAATATTTTTATGCTCTTTTACATTTTTGTTGGTATTAGCTCCTAAATACTTCACAAAAATATTTATTTCTGACCATCTTCAACACTACTACTCTTGGCAAAGCCACTGACACCTTCCATCTTTACTGCTACAGTCTTTTTCTATCTGGTTGTTCTTTATCCTTATTTGCTTCTATCCATTCTCTTTACTGCAGCCAGAGTGATCTAGTTGCCACTCTCCAGCAAAATCTCTTCAGTGGCTTTCTTGGCTCTTAGATGAGGATTAGCATTCTTAATTTAGTATCCTACTCTCTGCCTGGCCTGGCCTACATTAGCAGCCTAATCTTATACTTTTTCCTTCCTTGTACTTTGCTCTCCATTCATTCTGGATGTTATTCAGTTTCTCAAACAGCCGTTCATGGGACTTTAGCATATGTTAATTTCTCACTCTAGAAACCCACAATTCCCCTTTTAATTTTATTTAGCTCACCCTGACTCTGTCATCAAATCTTAGCTGAATCATCGTTTGTTCAAGGAGGTCTTTGCTGCCCTCCATGATAGACTGAGCACCTCTGTTACACACTTACATAACACTACATTCCTTTCCTTCACAGACTTACCCATTTTAATGATTATTTGTATTATTCCTTTATAAATATCCATCTACTCTACAAAATCTTGTATACGATTAAAGCAGCCTTTTCTTTCACCTTGGATTCCAGTTCCCTGAAGAATGCACTCAATAAATATACCTTGAATGAATAGAATGTAATATATTATGTTATAGCAAGGTTGTAAGTGCCGTCCTTGAGGTCACGGCCCATGGATCTCTCATACTGATATGCTCAGAATCTAACACAGAGCCTGAGTTGCAATAAAACATTGAATTCAGGGGGGTCCATTCAAAGATGGCCGAATAGGAACAGCTCTGGTCTGCAGCACCCAGCGTGATCGATGGAGAAGACAGGTGATTTCTGCATTTCCAACTGAGGTACCTGGTTCATCTCATTGGGACTGGTTGGAGAGTGGGTGCAGCCCACCGAGGGTGAGCTGAAGCAGGGTGGGGTGTCGCCTAACCCAGGAAGTGCAAGGGGTTGGGGGATTTCCCTTTCCTAGCCAAGGGAAGCCATGACAGACTACCTGGAATACTGCGCTTTTCCAACTGTCTTAGCAAATGGCACACCAGGAGATTATATCTTGTGCTTGGCTCGGCTGGTCCCACACCCACGGAGCCTTGCTCACTGCTAGCTCAGCAGTCTGAGATTAACCTGTGAGGCAGCAGCCTGGCAGGGGAAGGGGTGTCCACCATTGCTGAGGCTTGAGTAGGTAAACAAAGCTGCCAGGAAGCTCGAACTGGGCGGAGCCCACTGCAGCTCACCAAGGCCTGCTGCCTCTGTAAACTCCACCTCTGGGGGCAGGGAATAGCTGAACAAAGGACCGCAGAAACTTCTGCAGGCTTAAACGTCCCTGTCTGACAGCTCTCAAGAGAGCAGTGTTTCTGCCAGCATGGTGTTTGAGCTCTGAGAACAGACAGACTGCCTCCTCAAGTGGGTCCCTGACCCCCGTGTAGCCTAACTGGGAGACACCTCCCAGTAGGGGCCAACTGACACCTCATACAGGTGGGTGCCCTTCTGGGATGAAGTTTCCAGAGGAAAGATCAGGCAGCAATACTTACTGTTCTACAATATTTGCTGTTCTTCAGGCTCCACTGGTGATACCGAGGCAAACAGCGTCTGGAGTGGACCTCCAGCAAACTCCAACAGACCTGCAGCTGAGGGACCTGACTGTTGTTAGAAGGAAAACTAACAACAGAAAGGAATAGCATCAACATCAACAAAAAGGACATCCACACCAAAACCCCATCTGTAGGTCACCAATATCAAAGACCAAAGTTAGATAAAACCACAAAGATGGGGAGAAACCAGAGCAGAAAAGCTGAAAATTCTAAAAACCACAGCACCTCTTCTCCTTTAAAGGGTTGCAGCTACTCGTCAGCAACAGAACAAAGCTGGATGGAGAATGACTTTGACAAGTTGAGAGAAGAAGGCTTCAGATGATCAGTAATAACAAACTTCTCTGAGCTAAAGGAGGATGTTTGAACCCATCACAAGCAAGCTAAAAACCTTGAAAAAAGATTAGACAAATAGCTAACTAGAATAAACAGTGTAGAGAAGACCTTAAATGACCTGATGGAGCTGAAAACAACTTCATGAGAACTATGTGATGCATGCACAAGCTTAATAGCTGATTCGATCAAGTGGAAGAAAGGGTATCAGTGATTGAAGATCAAATTAATGAAATAAAGCAAGAAGACAAGTTTAGAGAAAAAAGAGTAAAAAGAAACAAACAAAGCCTCCAACAAATATGGGACTATGTGAAAAGACCAAATTTACATTTGATTGGTTTACCTGAAAGTGACAGGGAGAATGGAACCAAGTTGGAAAATATACCTCAGGATATTATCCAGGAGACCTTCCCCAACCTAGAAGGCAGGCTAACATTCAAATTCAGGAAATAAAGAGTACACCACAAAGGTGCTCCTTCAGAACGGCAACCCCAAGACACATAATTGTCAGATTCACCAAGGTTGAAATGAAGGAAAAAATGTTAAGGCAGCCAGAGAGAAAGGTTGGGTTACCCACCAAGGGAAGCCCATCAGACTAACAGCGGATCTCTTTGCAGAAACCCTACAAGCCAGAAGAGAGTGGGGACCAATATTCAACATTCTTAAAGAAAATAATTTTCACCCCAGAATTTCATATCCAGCCAAACTAAGCTTCATAAGTGAAGGAGAAATAAAATCTTTTACAAATAAGCAAATGCTGAGAGATTTTGTCACCACCAAGCCTGCCTTACAAGAGCTCCTGAAGGAAGCACTAAACATGGAAGGAACAATCAGTACCAGCCATTGCAAAAACATGCCAAATTGTAAAGACCATCGATGGTAGGAAGAAAATGCATCAGCTAATGGAGAAAACAACCAGCTAATATCATAATGACAGGATCAAATTCACACATAACAATATTAACCTTAAATGTAAATGGCCTAAATGCCCCAATTAAAAGACACAGACTGGCAAATTGGATAAAGAGTCAAGACCCATCAGTGTGCTGATTTCAGGAGACTCATCTCATGTGCAAAGACACACGTAGGCTAAAAATAAAGGGATGGAGGAAGATCTACCAAGCAAACGGAAAGCCAAAAAAAAAAAAAAAAAAAAGCAGGAGTTGCAAACCTAGTCTCTGATAAAACAGACTTTAAACCAACAAAGATCAGAAGAGACCAAGATGGCCATTAAGTAATGGTAGAGGGATCAATTCAACAACAAGAGCTAACTATCCTAAATATATATGCACCCAATACAGGAGCACCCAGATTCATAAAGCAAGTCCTTAAGGACCTACAAAGAGACTTAGACTCCCACACAATCATAATGGGAGATGTTAACACCCCACTGTCAATATTAGACAGATCAACGAGACAGAAGGTTAATAAGGATATCCAGGACTTGTACTCAGCTCTGAACCAAGTGGACCTAATAGACATCTACAGAACTCTCCACTCCAAATCAACAGAGTATAAATTCTTCTTAGCACCACATTGCACTTATTCCAAAATTTACCACATAGTTGGAAGTAAAGCATTCCTCAGCAAATGTAAAAGAACAGAAATCACAACAAACTATCTCTCAGACCACAGTGCAATCAAATTAGAACTCAGGATTAAGAAATTCACTCAAAAACACACAGCTACATGGAAACTGAACAACCTGCTCCTGAATGACTACTGGGTAAACAACAAAATGAAGGCAGAAATAAAGATGTTCTTTGAAACCAATGAGAACAAAGACACAACATACCAGAATCTCTGGGACACATTTAAAGCAGTGTATAGAGGGAAATTTATAGCACTAAATGCCCACAAGAGAAAGCAGGAAAGATAAAAAATCGATACCCTAACATCACAATTAAAAGAACTAGAGAAGCAAGAGCAAACACATTCAAAAGTGAGCAGAAGGCAAGAAATAACAAAGACCAGAGCAGAACTGAAGGATATGGGGACACAAAAAACCCTTCAAAAAAGCAGTGAATTCAGGAGCTAGTTTTTTGAAAAGATCAACATAATTTATAGACTGCTAGCAAGACTAAAAAAGAAGAAAAGAGAGAAGAATCAAATAGATGCAATGAAAAATGATAAAGGGGATATCACCACCAATCCCACAGAAATAGAAACTACCATCAGAGAATACTATAAACACCTCTACGCAAATAAACTAGAAAATCTAGAAGAAATGGATAAATCCCTCGACACGTACACCCCCAACAAGACTAAATCAAGAAGAAGTTGAATCTCTGAATAGACCAATAATAGGCTCTGAAATTGAAGCAATAATTATTAGCCTAGCAACCAAAAAAAGTCCAGAACCAGATGGACTCAGAGCCAAATTCTACCATAGGTACCATTCCTTCTGAAACTATCCCAATCAATAGAAAAAGAGGGAATCCTTCCTAACTCATTTTATGAGGCCAGCATCATCCTGATACCAAAGCCTGGCAGAGACACAACAAAAAATGAGAATTTTAGACCAGCATCCCTGATGAACATCGATGTGAAAATCCTCAATAAAAATACTGGCAAACAAAATCCAGCAGCACATCAAAAAATTTATCCACCATGATCAAGTGGGCTTCATCCCTGGGATTCAAGGCTGGTTCAATGTATGCAAATCAATAAATGTAATCCATCACATAAACAGAACCAATGACAAAAACAACATGTTTATCTCAATAGATGCAGAAAAGGCCTTCAGCAAAATTCAGCAGCCCTTCATGCTAAAAACTCTCAATAAACCAGGTATCGATGGAATGTATCTCAAAATAATAGCAGCCAATTATGACAAACCCACAGCCAATATCATACTGAATGGGCAAAAACTGGAAGCATTCCCTTTGAAAACCAGCACAAGACAAGGATGCCTTCTGCCACCTCTTCTATTCAACATATTGTTGGAAGTTCTCGCCAGGGCAATCAGGCAAGATAAATAAATAAAGGATATTCAATTAGGAAAAGAGGAAGTCAAATTGTCCCTGTTTGCAGACGACATGATTGTATATTTAGAAAACCCCATTGTCTCAGCCCAAAATCTCTTTAAGCTGATAAGCAACTTCAGCAAAGTCTCAGGATACAAAATCAATGTGCAAAAATCACAAGCATTCTTATACACCAATAACAGACAAACAGAGAGCCAAATCATGAGTGAACTCCCATTCACAATTGCTTCAAAGAGAATAAAATACCTAGGAATCCAACTTACAAGGTATGTGAAGGACCTCCTCAAGGAGAACTACAAACCTCCGCTCATTGAAATAAAAGAGGACACAAACAAATGGAAGAACATTCCATGTTCATGGATAGGAAGAATCAATGTCGTGAAAATGGCCATACTGCCCAAGGTAATTTATAGATTCAATGCCATCCCCATCAAGGTACCAATGACTTTCTTCACAGAATTAGAAAAAACTACTTTAAAGTTCATATCAAACCAAAAAGGAACCACATTGCCAAGACAATCCGAAGCAAAAAGAACAAAGCTGGAAGCATCACACTACCTGACTTCAAACTATACTACAAGGCTACAGTAACCAAAACAGCATGGTCCTGGTACCAAAACAGAGATATAGATCAATGGAACAGAACCGAGGCCTCAGAAATAACACCACACAGCTACAACCATCTGATCTTTGACAAACCTGATGAAAACAAGAAATGGGCAAAGGAGTCCCTATTCAATAAATGGTGCTGGGAAAACTGGCTAGCCATATGTAGAAAGCTGAAACCAGATCCCTTCCTTACACCTTATACAAAAATTAGTTCAAGATTGATTAAAGACTTAAATGTTAGACCTAAAACCCTAAACACTGTAGAAGAAAACCTAGGCAATACCATTCAGGACATAGGCATGGGCAAGGACTTCATGTCTAAAACACCAAAAGCAATGACAACAAAAGCCAAAATTGACAAATGGGATCTAATTAAACTAAAGAGCTTCTGCACAGCAAATGAAACTCCCATCAGAGTGAACAGGTAACCTACAGAATGGGAGAAAATTTTTGCAATCTACCCATCTGACAAAGGGCTAATATCCAGAATCTACAAAGAACTTCAACAAATTTACAAGAAAAAAACAAACAACCCCATCAAAAAGTGGGCAAAGGATATGAACAGACACTTCTCAAAAAAAAGACATTTATGCAGCCAACAGACACATGATCAAATGCTCATCATCACTGGCCATCAGAGAAATGCAAATCAAAACCACAGTGAGATACCATCTCACATCAGTTAAAATGGCGATCATTAAAAAGTCAGGAAACAACAGATGCTGGAGAGAATGTGGAGTAATAGGAACACTTTTACACTGTTGGTGGGAGTGTAAATTAGTTCAACCATTGTGGAAGACAGTGTGGCGATTCCTCTAGGATCTAGAACCAGAAATACCGTTTGACTCAGTGATCCCATTACTGGGTATATACCCAAAGATTATAAATCATGCTGCTATAAAGACACATGCACACGTATGTTTATTGTGGCCCTATTCACAATAGCAAAGACTTGGAACCAACCCAAATGTCCATCAGTGATAGACTAGATTAAGAAAATGTGGCATATATACACCATAGAATACTATGAAGCCATAAAAAATGATGAATTCATGTCCTTTGTAGGGGTATGGATGAAGCTGGAAACCATCATTCTCAGCAAACTATCACAAGGACAGAAAAGCAAACACCACATGTTCTCACTCATAGGTGGGAACTGAACAATGAGAACACTTGGACAGTGTGGGGAACATCACACACGGGGGACTGTCGTGGGGTTGGGAGCTGGGGGAGGGATAGTATTGGGAGAAATACCTAATGCAAATGATGAGTTAATGAGCACAGCAAACCAACATGGCACATGTATACCTATGTAACAAACCTGCACGTTGTGCACATGTACCCTGGAACTTAAAATATAATAATAATAATAACAATAAAAAGAACAAAAACATCGAATTCCAGCATACTGAACTGAAATAGATTTTAATTAGGGAACACAATCATGAACGTATAGTCAGTGACAGATGCATGGTGTTTGGGAATTTGTGTATATGGTCCAAATTCACCAATTAAAGTAGAAATAATAACTTTGTGATATGGATCATAATTAAATTTTATATTATTTTCACTAATCTATATGATGTCTTAATTCATCTGAACAGTTTAAAATGTGTATTTTTTGTGATTTTCCATAAGGTAGTAATTTTTCTACTGTTTATTCTTAAGTAGTAATCTCTGATTCAAAGCTTCAATGAGACAGAGTCATTTTAATTTCTGTTTTTTGTCAAGGACAATCAAGAACTCTTCTCCACTTTATATGTGTGGCTTAAGTTATAACCAGGTAGGATTATTTTTAAATAAAATAATTACAATGGAGTGACAGGTCATTTGGTATATTCTGCTGTGTGTTGCCTAATTGCATTTAATTCATTGTAGAGACAAGAACGCTTAAGCTTGTTTGAAATTTATCACATGGATCCAGGTGAAGGCTCATAACTTCCTGCAGAGAACATTTCTGCACATTCTGAGAAACTAGACAGGGCATGACATGGGACAATGTGCACATGTGATATGTCCTTCACTCTTCATGAATCCCTTTCATTAGCACCATGGGCTTGATGGGAAGGAACTTCTCAGAGAGAAAGAAGTAAAGCTGAAGCAGCTGACGCAGTAGACCAAGCACTGGCTTAGAAACAGAGTTGTTCATTGACACACTGAGAGAAAGAGCTAACACAGATGACAGCTTAAGATGGTATAGCAGTGTGGAAATGACCTGGGCTCTGGTGACAAAGATCTAGTTTTCCCTTCCAGATGATTAGCTGTGAGTGAGCTATTATTCTTTAAGTTTCAGCTTTGGAATATTTAAAATAGGAATAATATCCACATCAAAGTATCAATGTGACATGTAAATGAGCTATGGCATGTAGAGATTTAAATACAGGGCTTGATATATAATAGGTATTAGGTAAAAAAGTTACCTTTTAAATAGTAATAATATTATATTTAATCATAATAGTAAAAACACTCTCTTAAATTATTTTAACCAGTAAAACTCCCAATGGCCAAGTTAACATTGTACTCCTCAATAAATGGTGTAATTGTTAATTATTTTTTAAAATGTCACATTCAGTTTAAACTCTTTCTATTCTCAAAGACAAATACACTCTTGGCTCAGGAAATGCCTCTGTGTCAGATAGGGTTTTTCTCACTTTTTTCTCCAAGGTCAAATAATAAGGCTCTCTTTGCAGATACTCCCTGTAGCCTGAACTTGGGTGGCTATGTACAATACCGAGTGCCATACCTTGAGCCAAACCATGCACCTTTTCTTTTAAAGGAGAAGGAAACTTCCGAAAGTGGTAGGACTTGGCAGTCATTTGTATACTGTATAATTCTACTAATTTTTATCAGTATCATTACACTTTCTATCAATAAAATGAGTCAACCATATTTACTTTTATTCCACACAAATGGGACTAGAAATAATCTGGCTTATCACTATAAAGAGTTTTGTAATCTTTAGAGTTATGTAGTAATCTTTCTTTTCTATTAAAGTTTATTGAAATACATTTCTTTTACATAAAACTTTATTTTCAAATTCTTAAAAAGGTTTTGAAAAGTTACTATATTAAATGAAAGGAAATCATGAATTGAAACAGAAGAGTTAGATTGAGAGCTCTGGTTAAGTGCCATAAAGCAGAGATGTGTGTGCAGAGACAAAAATAAAACAGACGTGAAGGAAGAAACAGAGCAGCCATGAGGCTCCAGTGGCCTGGAGAGACAGAGAGATGATTTGGTTTCAGTTCTTCAAGGGGGATTGGCTGCTCATATTGCTCTTTGTTTGTATGACATAATCTTTGTCTTAGGTTGGGTTCCCCAATCTAAGGAAACGCTAAACAAGGCATCTGAAAGATACTCTTGGCCGGGTGTGGTGGCTCACGCCTGTAATCCCAGCACTTTGGGAGGCCAAGGCGGGCCGATCACGAGGTCAGGAGATAGAGATCATCCTGGCTAACACGGTGAAACCCCGTCTCTACTAAAAATAAAAAAAAATTAGCCGGGCGTGGTGGCGGGCCCTGTGGTCCCAGCTACTCGGGAGGCTGAGGCAGGAGAATGGCGTGAACCCAGCAGGCAGAGCTTGCAGTGAGCCGAGATCACTCCACTGCACTCCAGCCTGGGTGACAGAGCGAAACTCCGTCTCAAAAAAAAAAAAAAAGAAAAAAAGAAAGTTACTCTTTGTGTTAGATCAGTTTCTTCAAAATAAGGAGATATTAGGCTAGGGATTCATATGCAAGTAATTTATTAAAGAAGTGTTCCGGGTTAAATTGCCAAGGGAATGAGGGAAGGAGGGGAGGGAAGCTAAGAAGCCAGGGTACCACTTCAAGTAGGGGTGATGCCAGTCTGATTCAGCAGGGAATTTTGGAATGTAAGTTACAAGGCACTGTTTGTCCTGACAAAGGCAAGGGAACTGGGCTTTCATACTCCCACACCAATGAGTCATTAGCTTGTGACCATCTTGGGAGGCATGGTAGTTGCAAATTCCAAGCATTTCCTGTTCTCTGCTTATGCTGGCAGAGATGCTTCACTAGCTCAAGGCCCTTCTTCAAAGAGGATGGCTGGAGTGGCATCCAGAACTGTGGCAGAATAAATTTTTTTTATGCCGCGAAGTTTGTGGTAATGTGTTACAGTCGCCATGGGAATCACACAGCGACCATGCCTTTTTATTAAAGAATCAGCAGGCAAAAAACTGCTTTCTCAAATTGCTCACAACTTTCTAAATGCTTCATCTCAAATTCTATACCAAATTCCATCATGATTTTTAGATCTTTTTTTAAATATTAATAAATTTTTAGAACGTGTCATCCTTGCACAGGGGCCACACTAATCTCTGTATCATTCTAATTTTAGTATATGCACTGCCAAGGCAAACACTAAATCATTCTTTGAGTAGCACTATACACTTATATCTACAGAATGCATACCCTTTTTTTGTGTAAACTATCTCAAATGAGTTTCTGTACTTGCAGTCAAAAGAATATTGACTAAGATTGCTTCCATTCTTCCTTCTCCCTAGAAAACAGACTTGTATTTATGAAGCTGACCAGTGCTCCTTCCTTGATGTTGCCTGTAGCTAGATCTTCTGGTTGTCCATCATATCTTCATGAGGGTTAAAAATTTAGGACACTTTCATTTGTAGCCCTATCATAAGCAACTTCCAAGACACTCGTGTTGAACCACATGTAATAATGGTGACTAAATTCAATTTTTCCCGGATTGGCAGGCAATTAAATAATGTGTAGACTGGTCTTAATCGTGGACCTATCTCTTTTCATTATTAAGTCTTTTAAGAGTGTCAAAATTTGGCTAGGCTTCTACCTGTTTTAATATGTCTATTTACTGAGTTTGTTTTGTTTTCCATAATAGAAACTCATAACCAAAAAAAGTGCATATCTAATCTTTAGATTGGATAATCTTCATTTCTACTCAATACATTTTTTCTTTCTTCATTAAAATATTTACTTATTAGTTCTTTTTCTCTCATATACAAATATCTTTCTTTCCTACTAAAGGTCATGAGAGAAAAGTTATTTTATATGACCATTATAAACTCATGAACATGCAGGAAGTCACTGTATTAAATGGAAGAAAGTTATAAAATTAGTGATAATTTAAGACCAAAATTTAGACTGATAGTTACGTTTAGGCTGATTTTATATTTGTTGATAACTTTTTATGTTTCATCTAATAAGAAATTTGTGGTGAGTGTTCAATAAAAAAGGGAAAGAAGGAAAGTAAATTAGGATTTTGTCTCATAAAATTTGTTGGTGTATTTAAATCTTACATGCTGAGATAATATTTTGAAAGGCATTTGGCATTTCTTGAAACAATACATAAAGATATGAGAGTTGAAATGATATTTCTCTCTCTAAAACTATCAGTTGAAGGTAGAAAATTCATTAGCTCATCTGATACTTTCTAAGGTGAAAGAAGTCATTAATAGAATTATGCTTCCCTGTAGTTCTTGCTATATTTAAATGTTGAAAAGGTTTTATTTCTGGAAAACAATTTAAGGGCTTTACAATATAAGAACTTTTGTATTTAAATCCAGAATTACTCTTTTATCAAATAGAGCTTTTGATTTTCATGTTCTGACTGGAAGAAAGATTTTAATTTATAAGATATGAATCCATTAAATAATTTCATCATGATTACGATTTGAATGATTACACCCACCCTCAGTATTAGAGATGATACTAAAAATTAAGTAGAAGGGAGTTGGACCTCATTTGATTTTGTACTCTTGAAGACAGATGAAATTATCTAAACGAGAAAAGTATGATCTTGTGCTGTGTGTTTAACGTTTCCAATTTAAATTGCTTTGACTTCCCCTGTATCTGCACTTATATTTGTCCATTTATGCACACAGCTTTTTTTAGTTGCATTAAAAAGGCACTACAGTTATAAAATATCATTTTAACTGTAACTTGTGATTTTGGAAAAAGTTATATAAATAACACAACTTCGAACTTTTGATAGATCTTCTATATGAAATATCCAGAATATTAAACAGGAAATAAATATTATTTGCTCCCTGTGGTTTTATCAGCTAGATTGACTTGGTTCTGACTTCAAACACACACTGCCTGGGTCCTCTGGTAAATAAAAGTGCTTGGGTTTACATCTATGGTATATTCCAGCTAACTCTTTTGCTAAGCTCTTTTTGGCAAGATGAAGGCTATCAGCATGAACCAAAACAAATAGCACAGTCTTTTTTTTTTTCCTTGACTTTTCATACCATTTCAAATAAGCTGATGTGTGCTGGATTGACCACACGATGGCAGTACATGAATGTCTTATAAATGAAAGCAAAGTAAAATGACTCTTCAGACTGCGCAATGACCGAAAGTATCCTCTTAAAACACGAATGTGGCCGGTCCCGGTGGCTCATGCCTGTAATCCCAGCAATTTGGGAGGCCGAAGCGGGCGGATCACGAGGCCGGGAGTTCGAAATCATCCTGGCCAACATGGTGAAACCCCCGTCTCTACTAAAAATACAAAAATTAGCGCCGAGTATGGTGGCGGGTGCTTGTAATCCGAGCTACTTGGGAGCCTGCGGCAGGAGAATTGCTTGAACTCAGGAGGAGGAGGTTTCCGTGAGCCTAGATCCTGCCACTGCACTCCAGCCTGGGTGACAGAGCAGGACTCCGTCTCGAAAAATAAATAAATAAATAAATAAATAAATAAACCCCACGAATGCGTCCCTATTCCATGGAACATCTTTCGTATTGAAAATATTGTCAATTTATGTCCTTAATATTGAGATTTTCCCTTTCACCACAGACTGATAGAATTGTTACTATTCAGTGAAAGCAGGTATATGTTAAAGACATTGCTTTGGCTTTATTTTAATTGAAAGAATGGCCAGGCTATATATAATTATATATTATAATATATATATATATTATATATAGCCAGGCTATATATAATTATATATTATAATCAGTAGGCATAAAGTAGCTATATAATATATATAGCCAGGCTATATATAATTATATATTATAATCAGTAGGCATAAAGTAGCATTAACCCCTCACTAACTTATACAGCTCTTGCAAAAATAATAATTTCTATAGTGTTTTTCCACTCATTATTAATGCTCAAGACATCCTTCAGAGGTTACTAATAAACTAAATAACTATTTTAATGATGAAAAATGTAACCTAGATATTAAAATTTCAAGACAAGTGGAAAATCATGGGAGTTATCTTTTAGAAGGGGACAGTTTTCAGGTCAGTGGTTATACTCCTATCAACCAAAGTGAAATAAAATCAATAGATAGGAGTATGCATATTTTAAAAGAGAAATGAGGCAACAGAAAGTAAATAAGATGTATTTGATTAGTTATAAAAGAGTTAAATCTTGTAATCTATACTGTACTCATGACATGTAGGGACAGAAAATATTTATTCTTATTATTTGTACATTTTTCATGGCACCTTATTTCTTTTTATTGTTGTGTTTTCAAGCAGCTTGTTCAAGTTTTCAAAAATGCTTCAGTTAGTTCTGCCTGTGACAGGTATTCATACTGTCCAAGAATTCATTCTATGGGGAAAATATTTCTACCAGTTTTTTGAGGTTTCCCTTTGAATAATAGAAATTCCAAATATCTATATAATCTAAGTACACCATCTTGCTCTTCTACATTACTTTTGCTTATCTTAAACATACCCAAGCCGAGTTGCATACCCTGTCTTCATTGTTTGACCCTACTTGACATTATGTGTTTCCTGAGCCTTTTTGGGAAAATCAGTTATTGAAACAAATTCCTGTAGTTACAAAAAAATCTTCTGGCATTTGAAAACTAAGCACAGAACTCCTAGTTGTCCTGTGGATGCTTCTGAGAATGGACTATCGATCTGTTTCCCTTTACTACCTTACTTGTATGCATAAACTATACCGTACGCAGAATCACAGAGCTTGTCTATTAAAATAAGGAAATGTTGTCTATTCTAATTTTATCTTTGGATTAGTCTGTTCTCTGTTTAGATTGCTCCCTTAAATCACTTGTGTGTGCAAAAGTAAAAGCTACAGAGAAAGGACTCATAGAAAATTTTACCCTTCCTCTTATCTCCTTTCTCTGCCTCATTCAACCTTTCATTTCCTTTTCTCTCTCCTCTCTTCTCCCTTTTTCTTAAATTGGAATTCTAGTTTCTCAAAGACAGATGAGAATTATAGGAAATACAGGAGGAAATGCACTATTATCAAATTACAACCTCAAGGGATACAGTAATAAACATCAATCTGAAGTTATTTGGGAATAGATTGCATGGTTATTATAGACACATGCAAACTGTATGTAAATAAACTTGTGACCCACTTACATATTGATCTTGGAAGTCATACCTCACTTCTTAAATGCTGCTTAGTCTGACTATCCTGAAATTTCTCTATCCTCAGCATGAAAGATTATCCCCATTAAAAGTAATATCAATATTTTCATTTCAATAGCTTTAAATATGGAGCCAAAATAAGCATATGTGAACTGTTGCTTCATCCTGTCATCCTCATCTATTTGGTCATGATAATTACACCACTATAACCAGCTTGAATTTTCTTTTAGTTCTAATTCTAAAATGATCCATGTTACTATGATGAATACGTGTTTTTATGGAGCTGGCTCCATTTCCTCATCCTTAGGATTGGGTGATTGTGTTTCCTCTCAGGATGAATTAGAGTAGTATATTTGAGATTATATTTCATTAGTTTTATTGCTGCTTGTTAAAGGTTTATTATCCTCTCTGTTTTATACTTCAGGCTGGCAACACTTGCCAGCAGTGCTAAGTGACTTGACATATATGAATCATAAGTTTGTGGCCAAAGAACATGCTGTCTGCAAATATAATGGTGACTTAGAAGTGATATTTTATAATGCTATTAAACATATGCATACACAAAACAGCTATCTAGAATTAAGGAACTTTATTTCAAACTTTCTCTCATATCAGTTCAAGTTTGCAGCATTTCCCATAAGTGGTATATAATATGCTTTAAATAGGAATTCATTCATTCGGAATGATTTCATTTATTTCATGTAAGTGTTATCTACTATGTAGTTGGAATTCAATAATGTCTTTAAAGCAATCTAGCACTTGGATAAAATCTGAAGCCACTTTGTGTTACTTAGGTTGATGTCTCTTTACTTAGCTGAATAAACAGTTAAGTAGATATAACGAAGAGTTGCACGTCACATAATTGAAGTAGTGCTAGACAGGTTGATGGCTGAACAGAAAGTATGTGTTCTACTATAGATACAATCCCCATTCCTCTGAACTCACTATCTTGTGTTGTACTCCCTAATACATTTATAGCAATCATTAAAACGTGTGCAATTATTATCATAGGGAACATTATTCAAATAAACTACCTGAAATTGGACTTTTTCTAAAGAGTAAATTTGTAAGCAAATCTTTGTTTTTCAAAAATGCAGTGTTTTAGTTTTCCAGTAAAGGGAATATTAGCTGCAACCTCTTCCAATAATGTAGTCTCTTGAAAAATGATTCATTTATGAATATTTATTAAAGTCCCATTATGTACCAAAGGATATCTTGAATTTTTTAAAAACACATTGTCATTTTCATATTATTAAACTTCACATAATTGAAACTAGTAAATGATAAGAAAATCTATGGTTAGCTTAATGTTCAATTAACAATAACCTAAAATTTATGGAACATTTTAGAAAAAAAGAAGTGTAATCTATATTTTTTTATTTTTTAAATTATTTTATTTTATTATTATTATACTTTAAGTTTTAGGGTACATGTGCACAACGTGCAGGTTTGTTACATATGTATACATGTGCCATGTTGGTGTGCTGCACCCATTAACTCGTCATTTAGCATTAGGTATATCTCCTAATGCTATCCCTCGCCGCTGCCACCACCCCACAACTGTCCCCAGAGTGTGGTGTTCCCCTTCCTGTGTCCATGTGTTCCCATTGTTCAATTCCCATCTATGAATGAGAACATGCAGTGTTTGGATTTGTGTCCTTGTGATAGTTTGCTGAGAATGATGGTTTCCAGTTTCATCCATGTCCCTACAAAGGACATGAACTCATCAATTTTTATGGCTGCACAGTATTCCATGGTGTATTTGTGCCACATTTTCTTAATCCAGTCTATCATTGTTGGACATTTGAGTTGGTTCCAAGTCTTTGCTATTGTGAATAGTGCCGCAATAAACATATGTGTGCATGTGTCTTTATAGCAGCATGATTTATAATCCTTTGGGTATATACCCAGTAATGGGATGGCTGGGTCAAATGGTATTTCTAGGTCTAGATCCCTGAGGAATTGCCACACCGACTTCCACCATGGTTGAACTAGTTTACACTCCCACCAACAGTGTAAAAGTGTTCCTATTTCTCCACATCCTCTCCAGCACCTGTTGTTTCCTGACTTTTTAATGATCACCATTTTAACTGGTGTGAGATGGTATCTCATTGTGGTTTTGATTTGCATTTCTCTGATGGCCAGTGATGATGAGCATTTTTTCCTGTGTTTTTTGGCTGCATAAATGTCTTCTTTTGAGAAGCGTCTGTTCATATCCTTTGCCCACTTTTTGATGGGGTCGTTTGTTTTTTTCTTGTAAATTTGTTTGAGTACATTGTAGATTCTGGATATTAGCCCTTTGTCAGATGAGTAGGTTGCAAAAATTTTCTCCCATTCTCTAGGTTGCCTGTTCACTCTGATGGTAGTTTCTTTTGCTGTGCAGAAACTCTTTAGTTTAATTAGATCCCATTTGTCAATTTTGGCTTTTGTTGCCATTGCTTTTGGTGTTTTAGACATGAAGTCCTTGCCCATGCCTATGTCCTGAATAGTATTGCCTAGGTTTTCTTCTAGGGTTTTTATGGTTTTAGGTCTAACATGTAAGTCTTTAATCCATCTTGAATTAATTTTTGTATAAGGTGTAAGGAAGGGATCCAGTTTCAGCTTTCTACTTATGGCTAGCCAGTTTTCCCAGCACCATTTATTAAATAGGGACTCCTTTGCCCATTTCTTGTTTTTGTCAGGTTTGTCAAAGACCAGATAGTTGTAGTTATGTGGCATTATTTCTGAGGGCTCTGTTCTGTTCCATTGATCTATATCTCTGTTTTGGTACCAGGACCATGCTATTTTGGTTACTGTAGCCTTGTAGTATAGTTTGAAGTCAGGTAGCATGATGCCTCCAGCTTTGTTCTTTCGGCTTAGGATTGACTTGGCAATTCGGACTCTTTTTTGGTTCCATATGAAATTTAAAGTAGTTATTTCCAATTCTGTGAAGAAAGTCATTGGTAGCTTGATGGGGATGGCAATGAATCTGTAAAATACCTTGGGCAGCATGGCCATTTTCATGATATTGATTCTTCCTACCCATGAGCATGGAATGTTCTTCCATTTGTTTGCATCCTCTTTTATTTCCTTGAGCAGTGGTTTGTAGTTCTCCTTGAAGAGGTCCTTCACATCCCTTGTAAGTTGGATTCCTAGGTATTTTATTCTCTTTGAAGCAATTGTGAATGAGAGCTCACTCATGATTTGACTCTCTGTTTGTCTGTTATTGGTGTATAAGAATGCTTGTGATTTTTGCACATTGATTTTGTATCCTGAGACTTTGCTGAAGTTGCTTATCAGCTTAAGGAGATTTTGGGCTGAGACGATAGGGTTTTCTAGATATACAACCATGTCATCTGCAAACAGGGACAATTTGACTTCCTCTTTTCCTAATTGAATGCCCTTTATTTCCTTCTCCTGCCTAATTGCCCTGGCCAGAACTTCCAACACTATGTTGAATAGGAGTGGTGAGAGAGGGCATCCCTGTCTTGTGCCAGTTTTCAAAGGGAATGCTTCCGGTGTTTGTCCATTCAGTGTGATATTGGCTGTGGGTTTGCCATAGATAGCTGTTATTATTTTGAGATACGTACCATCAATACCTAATTTATTGAGAGTTTTTATCATGAAGCGTTGTTGAATTTTGTCAGAGGCCTTTTCTGCATCTATTGAGATAATCATGTGGTTTTTGTCTTTGGTTCTGTTTATATGCCAGATTACATTTTTTGATTTGCATATATTGAACCAGCCTTGCATCCCCCCTGGGATGAAGCCCACTTGATCATGGTGGATAAGTTTTTGATGTGCTGCTGGATTCAGTTTGCCAGTATTTTATTAAGGATTTTTGCATCAATGTTCATCAAGGATATTGGTATATAATTCTCTTTTTTTGTCATGTCTCTGCCAGGCTTTGGTATCAGGATGATGCTGGCTTCATAAAATGAGTTAGGGAGGACTCCCTCTTTTTCTACTGATTGGGATAGTTTCAGAAGGAATGGTACCAGCTTCTCCTTGTACCTCTGGTAGAATTTGGCTGTGAATCCATCTGGTCCTGGACTTTTTTTGGTTGGTAAGCTATTAATTATTGCCTCAATTTCAGAGCCTGTTATTGGTCTATTCAGAGATTCAACTTCTTCCTGATTTAGTCTTGGGAAGATGTATGTGTCAAGGAATTTATCCATTTCTTCTAGATTTTCTAGTTTATTTGAGTAAAGGTGTTTATAGTATTCTCTGATGGTAGTTTGTATTTCTGTGGGATCGGTGGTGATATCCCCTTTGTCATTTTTTATTGCGTCTATTTGATTCTTCTCACTTTTCTTCTTTATTAGTCTTGCTAGTGGTCTATCAATTTTGTTGATCTTTTCAAAAAACCAGCTCCTGGATTCATTAATTTTTGGAAGGGTTTTTTTGTGTCTCCATTTCCTTCAGTTCTGCTCTGATCTTAGTTATTTCTTGCCTTCTGCTGGCTTTAAGAATGTGTTTCCTCTCGTTTCTCTAGTTCTTTTAATTGCGATGTTAGGGTGTCAATTTTAGATCTTTCATGCTTTCTCTTGTGCGCATTTAGTGCTGTAAATTTCCCTCTACACACTGCTTTGAATGTGTCCCAGAGATTCTGGTATGTTGTGTCTTTGTTCTCGTTGGTTTCAAAGAACATCTTTATTTCTGCCTTCATTTCGTTGTGTACCCAGTAGTCATTCAGGAGCAGGTTGTTCAGTTTCTTTATAATTGAGCAGTTTTGAGTGAGTTCCTTAATCCTGAGTTCTAGTTTGATTGCACTGTGGTCTGAGAGACAGTTTGTTACAATTTCTGTCCTTTTACATTTGCTGAGGAGTGCTTTACTTCCAGCTATGTGGTCAATTTTGGAATAGGTGTGATGTGGTGCTGAAAAGAATGTATATTCTTTTGATTTGGGGTGGAGAGTTCTGTAGATGTCTATTAGTTCCACTTGGTGCAGAGCTGAGTTCAATTCCTGGATATCCTTCTTAACTTTCTGTCTGGTGGATCTGCCTAATGTTGACAGTGGGGTGTTAAAGTCTCCCATTATTATTGTGTGGGAGTCTAAGTCTCTTTATAGGTCACTAAGGACTTGCTTTATCTGGGTGCTCCTATATTGGGTGCATACATATTTAGGATAGTTAGTTCTTCTTGTTGAATTGATCCCTTTACCATTATGTAATGGCCTTCTTTGTCTCTTTTGATCTTTGTTGGTTTAAAGTCTGTTTTATCATAGACCAGGATTGCAACCCCTGCCTTTTTTTGTTTTCCATTTGCTTGGTAGATCTTCCTCCATCCCTTTATTTTAAGCCTATATTTGTCTCTGCACATGAGATGGGTTTCCTGAAAACAGCACACTGATGGGTCTTGACTCTTTATCCAATTTGCCAGTCTGTGTCTTTTAATTGGAGCATTTAGCCCATTTACATTTAAGGTTAGTATTGTTATGTGTGAATTTGATCCTGTCATTATGATGTTAGCTGGTTATTTTGCTCGTTAGTTGATGTAGTTTCTTCCTAGCCTTGATGGTCTTTATAATTTGGTATGTTTTTGCAGTGGCTGGTACCAGTTTTTCCTTTCCATGTTTAGTGCTTTCTTCAGGAGCTCTTTTAGGGCAGGCCTGGAGGTGACAAAATCTCTCAGCATTTGTTTGTCTGTAAAGTATTTTATTTCTCCTTCACTTATGAAGCTTAGTTTGGCTGGATATGAAATTCTGGGTTGAAAATTCTTTTCTTTAAGAATGTTGAATATTGGCCCCAATTATCTTGTGGCTTGTAGAGTTTCTGTTGAGAGATCAGCTGTTAGTTTGATGGGCTTCCCTTTGTGGGTAACCCGACCTTTCTCTCTGGCTGCCCTTAACATTTTTTCCTTCATTTCAACTTTGGTGAATCTGACAATTATGTGTCTTGGAGTTGCTCTTCTTGAGGAATATCTTTGTGGCATTCTCTGTATTTCCTGAATTTGAATGTTGGCCTGCCTTGCTAGATTGGGGAAGTTCTCCTGGATAATATCCTGCAGAGTGTTTTCCAATTGGTTCCATTCTCCCCGTCACTTTCAGGTACACCAATCAGACATAGATTTGGTCTTTTCACATAGTCCCATATTTCTTGGAGGCTTTGTTTGTTTCTTTTTATTCTTTTTTCTCTAAACTTCTCTTCATGCTTCATTTCATTCATTTTGTCTTCCATCACTGATACCCTTTCTTCCAGTTGATTGCATTGGCTACTGAGGCTTGTGCATTCGTCATGTAGTTCTCATGCAGTTGTTTTCAGCTCCATCAGGTTCTTTAAGGACTTCTCTGCATTGGTTATTCTAGTTATCCATTCATCTAACTTTTTTTCAAAGTTTTTAACTTCTTTGAACTTCCTCCTTTAGCTTGGAGTAGTTTGATCTTCTGAAGCCTTGTTCTCTCAACTCATCAAAGTCATTCTCCGTCCAGCTTTGCTCCATTGCTGGTGAGGAGCTGCGTTCCTTTGGAGGAGGAGAGGTGCTCTGATTTTTAGAGTTTCCGGTTTTTCTGCTCTGTTTTTTCCCCATCTTTGTGGTTTTATCTACCTTTGGTCTTTGATGATGGTGACGTACAGATGGGTTTTTGGTGTGGATGTCCTTTCTGTTTGTTAGTTTTCCTTCTAACAGTCAGGACCCTCAGCTGCATGTCTGTTGGAGTTTGCTGGAGGTCCACTCCAGACCCCGTTTTCCTGGGTATCAGCAGGGGTGGCTGCAGAACAGTGGATATTGGTGACCCGCAAATACTGCTGCCTGATTGTTCCTTTGGAAGTTTTGCCTCAGATGAGTACCTGGCCGTGTGAGGTGTCAGTCTGCCCCTACTGGGGGTGGCTCCCCATTAGGCTACTCGGGGGTCAGGGACCCACTTGAGGAGGCAGTCTGCCAGTTCTCAGATCTCAAGTTGTGTGCTGGGAGAACCACTGCTCTCTTCAAAGCTGTCAGACAGGCAGTGTAATCTATATTTTTATAGGGTTGCCCTTTCTTGGTAGTATTCTAACACTTAATAAATTTTACAAATTTGTATTAATCGTGAAATCTAACTTCTCCTTATCCATTAAAAGCAAAACAGTACAAAAACACAGTTTGTGTGAGAAAAAGAGGTAATCTGGAAATGTCAGCTTATGCGTTCTTGAAGCAGACAGAATTTCATGCATGCCTTCTGAGTAGCAATGAAGGGGCCACAGACCCCTGAGCACCTGGCATTACACTGTGTCCCTGTCCCAGCATTTCTTCTAAGGGGCTGGGGAAGTACCAAAGAATTTGGCACATCCAACCTTAGAGAACTCTTGAGATCTCTGTGGTTTCACATAACTGTGGAGATTTTTATTCAGTTCCCTACTGATTCAAGAGCCCAAGGGATCCTAAAAAAGAATGATCCTGATACATCATAAGAATTCGAATTGTCTTTTAAAGAGCTTGGAGTTTCAGAACAAAATAAAACATAATGACAGTAAATTGTTTTGAAACTAAGCATTTACATGGGATGGGAACAAAAAAATTTAATGTGTACCCACTTGTCCCTTCTTTTCTGCTTGCCTCTAATTGCTAAGGAGAATTCTTTCCTTTCCTATATTACATTCATGCTAATTTGGGCCAATGAATAAAAACAACCTGAAAAGGAAAAAGTAGGGTATTTACTTTGGGAAAAGAGAAAAATAATGGGATTGAAGGAAAATAACAGAGGAAGGAAAGGCAAAAGCCCACATGGGGTGTTCGGGCTGAGTAGAGTGCTCAGTTGGGAGCTACGAGTAGCAGAGAGGGGGCCAGCCATGGTGGCTCATGCCTGTAATCCCAGCACTTTGGGAGGCTGAGGTGGGCAGATCACGAGGTCAGGAGATACAGACTATCCTGGCTAACACGGTGAAACCCCGTCTCCACTAAAAATACCAAAAAAAAAAAAAAAAATTAATTGGGCGTTGTGCTGAGCACCTGTAGTCCCATCTACTCAGGAGGCTGAGGCAAGAGAATGCCCTGAACCCGGGAGGCGGAGCTTGCAGTGAGCTGAGATGACACCTCTGCACTCCAGCCTGGGCGACAGAGCAAGACTCCTCTCAAAAAAAAAAAAAAGAGTATCAGAGAGGAAGTTGCTGCTACCCATGTGGGAAACAATGAGTTACAGAGAGTGCTATCATTTGAAATTCATGTTAAAATTTAATTGCCATTGTAACAGAATTAAGAGGTGGAAGCTTCTAGAAGAGATTATGGTGTGAGGGCTCCACTCTCATGGGTAGCATTAGGATGTGATGCCTCCATTGTCATGGGTGCCATTGGTGTCATTATAAAAGGGCGAGTTTGGCCCCATCTTGCTCTCTCTCACGGTCTAGAGTCTTCTAACTTTTGCCTTGTGAGGATTCATTCTTTTTTCCCTCTGGAGGATGCAGCATGAAAGACGCCATCTTGGAAGAAGAGAATGAGCTCATCAGACATGGAAACTGCCATTAACATAACTTAGATTTCTCAGATTTTCAGAACTGTGAGCCAATAAATTTCTATTTATAAATTATCCAGTCTGTGGCATTGTTTTTTAGCAGCACAAAACGGACTAAGGCAGGTGGAGAGAAAAGAATGTGAGATGATCTATGGTTTTTAAAGTATTTTTCCATTCTGTTGCCATTTTGAAAAGGACATGTTTAAATGATTTGAATGTCTTAATTACTTCTGGTTACTGTTTGTGTTTCTCTGACCACACAAGGCTGAGCTGAGCCTGAATCACATGGGCATGGTTTTTATCCACAATACTCTACATTTCTGAAAGATATCAGGTTGCCAAATGTAGGAAACTCTTACGATTTTGCTTATCTCTTGGTAGGGAGCTTGTATCAGGCCATTTTTTCAGGCAATGCAAAGACAGAAGTGTGATCATGCTCCTCTTCATTTTGAAGTTTTAGGCCTCTCATCTCTGGAGCAAAGTTTATGTTCTTGAATTACAAGACTCTTGAAAGAGAAAACCTTGTGGTGAGTGAGGGAAAATGAGCCTATAAGAAAAATCTTGGAAGGAGGCTTTGTTCAGTGCCACTGAGTTCAACTCCATTCCCTGGAGATGCTGAAATTGAGGAGGCCTAGGGTATTCTACCGAAACTTTCATTGAGACCATCCATTGCTCTGTGTTTTGTATTGAAAGAAGAGAGGCTATAGTCAAAACAATTAAGCATTTTAGCTATTGCGTTTTTCCCAGTAGCAGAAATGGTGGCAGTGATCTTCTGTCCTTATTCTCATGTTGATCAAGTTAAATACCATTCTTCATTTTCTTCTGGCTGTCAAAAGTAATAAAAAAATTCAACACATTCAAACTTAAACTTAGGCTTTTCCCTCCTGAGATTTCCCCTCCAACTTTTCTTACCTTTGGTCTCCTGGTCTCTCAGTTTTAGAACTTAGAAATAATCTTTTGTTTTCATCTTCACTCTTGTCCAATCTTTGATGATCCACAATTTCTGCTCTTATAATGTTTCTCAGACTCTGATGATTGGCAACAATATGATTTTACTCAAGGTGTTCCAAATGGAGAAGCCTGTCCCCTTCCTCTCTAATTCTTTTAAGAGCACAAGTTAGTCTCCTACCTTAAGGTAGTGTGTGCTCTTTATTCTAGTGCCCCAGCCTCTGTCCCATCCCATACATACTTGGCAATTATCTAGTGCTTGTGGGAATGATTGTGAAGTTTATTAAAATGCATTATTTTCATGTGCATCTGTCCTATATGTGTACTGAGTCCATAAACTATAAAAATTGCTATGTTTGCCTTCTTTTCTCAATGACAGTGTCTTGTGGTTGAGTATCCTTTTGAATGTATACATTTTAAAATGTTGGGTTTGTAAGAAGTTCTTGTCACTTGGTGAATTTAATCATAAGAAGCACATTTTCAGTGTATAATGCAAGGTAAGAGATGTGAATGACAGTTCAATGAACAAGAGGAGGGGAATACAGCCACACTTCTCAAGTACCCCTTGAAACAGAGAAAAGTAGACATGTATCCTAAATGGCTGGAGTATAGCTGGAAGCAGCTGTATTAAATATGTTTGATGTTCCTGTTTAATCATGAAAATTCTGGGGAATTATTCTTATTTCCATGGTATCAGTATTTATTTTAATATAAAAATAATCATTTAAATTATATACTAGTTTAACAACTTCTCTTCCCCTTTTGTGCCTCCAAAGTGTAACAAAATTGATACTCTAAAACTTGTCTGCGTAATGGTATTTCTCATCTTTTCAAAGGCATCTTTGAGATTTTAGAAACTTGTTGATAACAAGGCCAACACTAGGCAGAAAATGAACAGCACATTAAAGGCTATTAAACAAGTGAGAAACAGTTTCATACACAATTTCCAAATGGAGAGCTGTATGTATTTTCACTGACTGAAATTGTGAATATAGTAGCAGAGATTTAAAAATTGAAAGTGTTCATTAAACTCATAATAAATTATGTTTCATTTATCTGTTTTAATTGTGTTTAAATAAATTTACATATTCTACACAAACCATTTTGGTATATATCTCTAAAATACAAAATCTGAACTATTCTATTTAAAATTTAATTTGACCTCTAAAGAGATTTATGTGAACTTAAATGTTTGAATATGGTGCTTCTTAATCACTTTTTAAATAAAAAAACTTGTATTATAAGTTCAGGGTAGAATTATTAGAATATTAATATAAAAACTTGTTACAAATTATAAATACATATGGTGAAATGCTTTAATTTTATGCATTTAAATACTTACGTTTTGCATTTTAATTATGTATACTATTATTTATATCTAATCACATATATAATACCAATGTTATTATTATATGTAATTACTTATGCATGATACTTATAATAAAATGGCATATTTATAATATACATAATATTAACATTACATTATGTTTACAGTATCATTTGTTTTTTTAATTTAATTTTAATTATTATTATACTTTAAGTTTTAGGGTACATGTGCACAATTTGCAGGTTAGTTACATATGTATACATGTGCCATGCTGGTGTGTTGCACCCATTAACTCGTCATTTAGCATTAGGTATATCTCCTAAATCTGTTTGCATATTATTTTAGTTATGGCACAATTCCAAATAAAATAAAACATTACTGAAAAGTTAAATAAAATGAATACAAGAAAATAGACCATTAAAGACATCATTAATATTACCATCTTAGAAGTCACATGTTAAGGATCCATGTTATCTTAAGATGTATTGCAGTATTTTAAATGTGATTTTCATGTTTACTATAGACTAGCCCACAGCATTCTGGTAAAGTCTTTAAAAATTTTCTTATTTTGGTTAACACGTTAATTACCCCAATGTCTTCCTTCAAATTCTATGGAGTACACTTTCTATTTCTACATTTAAAGTTGTGTAAAAAATATATTTGATTATGAACTTTTCAGCTATAAAAATATGTTTAACTACATCTACTTGTAAGTAGTTCACTTTCCAGATTGCTATAATATTATTTGCATCTTTTCAGATGGACAGACTGATTCTGAGAGGGCATGTCTCATAATTTCAATTTCAATTTTGGAAAAGTGGGCAAAGATCAACTTTGATGCATCCTGAAGTCCCCTGTCTTGTTCTTCATATTAACTGCTTTCAGGCCATAGCCTGTTAAAATTCCTTTAATTCACGGGAACTGCTAGTTTTCTCAGGAGTATTTTCTGCAAGTGATCAATGCTTAAAGTCGTGCTTAGCAGCACTGGTGGCATTTCGGTCATAATTGATGGGATTGGGGGATATGGTATTATGGCAGTTACCTCCATAATCTGACCCTGTAGATAAATGCCTACTCTACTCACAATTTCAACCTTGCATTATTTTGTTTAGTAGAGTGCCTCTTTTGAATAAGGATTTGTAACAGCTATAATTTTTTTTTCTAGATATGTAAAATTTTCTTAAATCTAAAATCTGAAATATTTTGGGAATAACAATTTCATAATATTTTTTACTCTGTATGTGTTAGTTCTTGGTTCTCTTTCAGATTTACCTCTCTGAGACTGACAAACACTTGGCATTATAAGTAAATATTTTCTGAAGATTTATATTGCTTTTCTAAAATCAAAGTATTTAAATATATATGTATCTTATTTAAATATATTTATTTAAAATATATATAATTTAAATATCTTAGAAATGGAAATAAACAATTAGGTTAAAGGAATTCATCCTCCATCAGCCAATCAATAAACACTGAGCTCCGTTCAAGGCTAGTACTGTGCAGATTCCACAATTACTTTAGGACATAGTCCCTGTTCTAGTTGATCAAATGTTACAAGAAAACTTCAGAATGGCTGCAGGGCATTTTTCTTTCAACCTTTTCACAATAGCAAACAAAAAGCCTAATAAAAGAAAGAACTCTATTTTTAATCATTATTGTGTTTAAAAACATTATTATTATGCCTAAGAACCTGCTATACTGCATACTTGTAGTATCACTGAAAAAATCAGCCTTATTTCAGTGAATGTCAATTGTAAAGCTGAGAAAAATTAAAAAGCGCTTGGTGGGATCTACTGATTTGTGTTTTCTCAAAGCCTCCTCTTATATTAGTCTGTTTCTAACTTCAGTTGGGTAAAAGTGTAAAGTTTCTAACTACATATTGTAAAACTGATATGGTAAATATTCTATTTATTTTCTGGTAAATTGTATATTTCATTTTCCTCCCAAACTCAGTAACCTTATGATTTATGCTTTTTTCCCATATGAAGAAGTTGTTCTTGACCTTGGGTGCACGTTAGGATGACCTGGGGAACATTTAAAACACAGGGACTCACCAGCTGTCATAGAGGTTCTTACTTAATTGGATTAGGAGGAGCCCTGGCATCTGTACATAATAAAATCTCACAAGGCAATTTTAATATGCAATCAGGACTGAGAATCACCAGTGGTAGGGGAAGGGGTTTTATTTAAATTATGTGGAAAATCCCATCACTGGGAATATTAATACACCCTGTGTGCATAGTGACACAGCATATGTTTTGAAAAAGCTCTCCTACCAATTCTAAGCACTGCAAGCAACCCCAGTGTGAGGAAATAAGTTCTTAATGTGCTTGGTTGTATTGTCCATTTGCAGCTCTTTGGAAAAATCATGTTGGGAAGATGTTGGTTTATAAAGTTCCTTTACCATCAGTCAATGTCAGCGAATTATCTCTGCACCTCTTGACATATTAACACTTTAGTTTGATTAGTTATTAAATGTACAGCTTAGATGAAGAACCTTTGTAATCAGATTACAAGACAGATATGTTTTGATGAGGACAATGGGAAAACCTAGAAGGCTTAGGACAGTACTGGTGGCCTATCACCTATGGAGATGAGTTGCTGGGAAAAGGAAGTGTCAGCTTCATTAACTGTACCTAGAGTCAATCCTTCATCTCTTTTCATCAGTATCTCAAAATTTTACTTAGAAAACTGTTCCTGTTGGGTCACTAAATACACTAAAAACTTTGTCACTGACTATGGCCAAACTCAATCACTTTGGAGCATTCAGCTTTTCCTATTGTTTCTACCAACACCAATTAATCTTAACTTTTTCAATAGTAATTTATAATAACAAAGAGATTTGGAGAAGAAATGTTATTTCTTTTTTATATTGGATTCAACACTGTGTACAAATGAGGCTATGTGATGGCTAATTTTATGTGTTAACTTGGTCAGGTCCTGATGCCTAGATATTTGGTTAAACAGTATTCTGGATGTTGCTGTGAATGTGTTTTTTGGAAGAGATTAACATTTAAATTGGTAGACTCTGAGTAAAGCAGATTGCCCTCCATAGCGCATGTGGGTCTCATTCAATCAGTTGAAGACCTTCATAGAACAAAGACTGGCCTCTCAAGAAGGTATTCTGCCAGGAGACTGCCTTTGATCTTGAACTGCAGTTCTTCCAAGGGTCTCCAGACTGTGGCCTACCCTGCAAATTTTGGACTTACCAGGCCAGTAAAATCATGTGAACCAATTCCTTAAAATAAATCTGTCTCCTTTCTCTCTCTCTGTGTATATATATATTTTATACATATGTATAATATATACACCTATTATATAGATCTATCTATATATTATATAGATATAAAGAATATATAGAGATATAGATCTATATTCCTATATCTATAGAGAGATATAGGTCTATATTGATTTATCTATAAATAGATCTGTTTATCTATCTATGTAATCTACATATATTCTGTTGACTCTGTTTGTCTGGAGAGCCCTGACTAATACAGGCCATACTAAAGATATGGACAGTATGGTGGTTACTGTGGGCCCATCTGTCCCCACTTCTGTTCATCTGGACCAGTGATAAGAATATTCCATGGGAGCTTGTTAGAAATGGCAATCTTTGGGCTTTATCCTAGACCTGCTAATTCAGAAACTGTGGCTGTGGCTTGCAATCTTTGTTTTAACAAGTCCTCCCTGTAATTCCTAAGCACACTAAACACTAAGGACAACAGTTACTATGGTTTGAATATCTGTGTCTCTCCAAAATGTATATGTTGGAACTTAAACCCCAAAGAAGGTGGGGTCTTTGGTGGTGGTTAGATCCTGAGGAGGTCGACCTTCATACATGGGATTAATGCCCTTATAAAAGGGCTGAAGGAGACTATCTAGGCCCTCCTTTTGCCCCTCTGCCTTCCACCATGTGAGGACACAGCAACAAAGCACCATCTTGGAAGCAGAGAGCTAGCCTTCACCAGATACCCAATTTGCTAGTGTCTTGATATTGGACTTCCCAGACTCGAGAACTGTGAGAAACAAATTTCTGTTGTTTATAAAGAACCCAGTCTGTGGTATTTTCTTCTAGCAGTAGGAATGAACTGAGACAACAGTCATAGGTCATAGAGGACTTTGGAAATTAGCATAAACTACCCGCAATCTCACTCTGACTCTCTTTTCTAGAGGTAATCCATCTAGGTAAGAAGGGACATAGATCAATGGTTCTTAAGCTTGGCTGCACATTCAAAACATCAGAAGCTTTGAAAAACCCATGCCTGCATTGCAGCCTACACCAGTTATGAGTATTTCTAAAATGTGTCCAGGTGATGCCAATGTGCAGTCAATTTTAAGAATCAGTAGCATAGATAAATCAGATATGTTTGCCGTTGGGAATAGAAGAAACAGTTATAGCGTTAAATGATCAAAATATCCTCTGAGAAACTATAAATTATGAAATATAATAATCATAACTAGCATATATTTTAAGAGTTATACATATTAACTTATTTAATCTTAATAATAACCTTACACTTATCCTCCTTTAGCAATTGAGGCAAGAGAGATGCAGAAAGGTTAAGTTGGCCAAAGTGAAGGTGACAAAACAGGGACTGACTCAATCTCAGGTACTCTGCTCCAGACTTGTGCTCTTTGCTATTACCCACCACTACCTTGCAAATATTAGTTGATGTGGGTGAATGCATGCTTTTCCTGCAATTGACTCACAACTTGAAGAAAACTGGCATTTGCAATCATTGCTAATTTCCTATCAGTGATCTATGCAGGCATGAAAGGAGATTGCTAACCAAAAGGCCAGGACATAACTCACCACTCCTCAATCATTTAAACAAAAATAGAATCCTGGAAAATATCTCAAACTAGAAAAAAATCTGAATGATGAGAAAATTTTTTTGTGTTAAGCCCAGAGGACAAAAAATGAGCAGGCTCTGGTTGGTGACAAGGAACTATCTTCTCGATTCATGGTAATAGCCTGGCATGGCCTAGCTTCTTCATTAATGGAGCCATATGGTGTCATCAATGATGAATTTATGTGGGGAAAAACATACTCACAGTTTTGAAAATGTTTTAAATCAATTGTTGCATGCTGTCGTTCATGAATAGAGTGTGTGATGCAAAGGAAAATACTGCATTTGCTTTAAGTGCCTATTAAATTTTGGAATCTTTAAAATATGATATCCACTAAATCCACTTAATATTCAGCATGTTAATTAAGTTTGGCACTTTTTCTGTTTCATTTATCATTTTACACATAATTAAATTTGGAGTCTGGTCATAGCCATTGGGTACAGAATCATTTACAGATGTCTCTATGACAAGTTTTTAATTCAACTTGCCAGTATGAGGGTCTGATTTGGGGGAAGAAAACAAAACAAAATAAAAAAAAAAAAGGAACAGTTGAAGAACAACTACAGTGTGATAGCATTGTAGACTTCAAACATCAATCTGACTGAGATTCCGAATTAACATGATCTTAGTTTTACTTGAGTTTTCTATACAGCAATGATTGATTCTACAATATGGATTTGTCTTACACTTAATTGTGAGCCATTTGTGTTGCTGGGTGGTAAAAATTTGCTAAGTAATTCCCATCCTGTAAAAGAAAAACTCACAAACATACAGCTTGGTATATATCCTATCTAATGATTTAGTCTCAAACTCAGAAAAAAAAACCAACAACATTTTTTAAGTTTTGAGATGGCACTTGGTGCTTATTTACATTATGGGTTTTTGTAATTTACACTTTGAAACGTTCTTTAAGTGCCTTAGAATCCTTGGTTGACTATTTTGTTTTGTCCTTATAAAAGAGAGCCTCTGAAGAAATTGATTGGTTTACTTTAAAAATGTATCATTTCTTCAGTGTACATTAGGCAGACATAGAAATCTATTCTTGGCAATCACATCACAAGAATTCCTATGAAAACATCTATACTGGAGAAAAAGCTGGCCTATTATTTCCTGTTAACTGTAAAATTATTGGTTGCAGAATAAAGAATAGCACTGGTAATCTTTTCCTTAATCAAGCTCTTAACTTCACCTGCTGTTTATTTGCTGAGAAGCAGAAATCTAAGTTACTGCTTTTGTTCCAAACTCAGTGAAACAGTGTCTTTAAAGTATCAAATATAAAGAAAAAAATATAAAATTTCTCCCCAAATAATAGGAATCCAAGAAGGTACAATATGTACAAAGTAAATTCATTTTCCCAATTAATTTATCTGCAATCATTTGTTAAACCTAACATATTTTCTCTTAAATAGGAGCAAATAATAATGGACGCAGGCCATCTACTTATTTTCATTAGCCATTAATTTATCAATAAATTCACAGAACTTTATACATTAATAAAATGATTCTTTTTAAATTTAACTTTTAAAATTGACAAATAATAATTGTACATACTCATGTGGTACCTAGTGATGTTTCAATGCATATAATGTATAGTATTCAGATCAGGGTAATTAACATACCCATGTAAAACAGTTATTTGTTTGTGTTGAGAATGTTCAATATCCTCTTTCCAGCTATGTGAAATTATGTATTATTGTTAACTACAGTCATCTGACAATGGCATAGAGCAGGCGTCCCCAACCCCCAGGCCACAGACAGGTAGTGGTCCATGTCCTGTTAGGAACTGGGCTGCACAGCAGGAGGTGAGTGGCAGTTGAGTGAGCATTATCACTTGAGCTCTACCTCCTGTCAGATTAGTGGTGGCATTAGATTCTCATAGGAGAGAGAACCCTATTGTGAACCACGCATGCAAGGGATCTAGGTTGCATGCTCCTTATGAGACTCTAATGCCTGATGATCTGAGGTGGGCCAGTTTCATCCTGAAACCATCTCCCCAAGCAATCTGTGGAAAAATTGTCCTGTCCCTGGTGCCCAAAAGTTTGGGGACTGCTGGCATAGAGCATTGGAACTTATTCCTCCTATCTAGCTGTAATTTTGTATCCTTTAACAAATCTCTCCCTATCCTTTCCTTCCTCTACCCTTCCCAGCCTGTAGTATCTTCTGTTCTAGTTTTCACTTCTACAAAATCAACTTTTTTTTTTCAGCTTCCACATATTAGTGAGAACATGCAATGTTTAACTTTTTGTTCCTGGCTTATTTCACTTTTGTGTTTGTCGTTCTCTTTGTGTGCATGTTGCAGAAAGAAAGAGACATTGAAGGAGAGAGATAGTTTTAGTTCTTAATTTGGAGTAATTTAGACACACATATCTTTTCATAAGACAGATAATTGTTAAAATAGAATAGCACATGACTTACTATATTAGTCCATTCTCACACTGCTATGAAGAAATACCCAAGACTGCATAATTTATAAACAAAAGAGGTTTAATTGACTCTCAGTTCCACATGCCTGGGGAGGCATCAGGAAACTTACAATCATGGTGGAAGGCACCTCTTTACAGGGTGGCAGAAGGGAGAATGAGTGCCAAAAGAGGGGGGAAGTCCTTTTTAAACCTATCAGATCTTGTGAGAACTCACTCTCACTAGAACAGCATGTGGGAAAACACCCCCATGATTCCATTAACTCCATCTGCTCCCACCCTTGACACTTGGGGATTATTACAATTCAAGGTGAGATTTGATTGGAGACCCAGCCAAACCATATCACTTACCATTCTGTGTGGGGATGGATGTTGGCTTTGGAACCTTTTCATTTCTTTATCTTGATTACTATTTAGTAGAAACTGACACAAAATTAATGCTCCTGTAATGGTAACATTAATTTTACTGGTTAAGATAGAATTCTAGTTCTTATTAAAAGGAGATGCATATATATCATGAGGAATTGCTTTTGTTTTCTAAAAATAAAAGTTTTGCTAAGAAATTCCATCTCATATTTATGTCACTTTTACTTACTCTATGTCAGGAAGAAGGAAGAAGTCATTGCTGATATAGTTTAGTGCAATAATATCTGTATAAGCATACTGTAAACAGCAACACACTTTTTAAATTTGGGGCGCTATTTTGATTTTTTAAAAACACCCAAAACCCACAAATACCTCTGACAAAGCAAGTGACCCATTTGAAGGTACTAGAATATTAGTCTTTCAGCAATGGTATGAGGCAGTAGGCAAATTTGAAAGGAGATGATTAATTTCTTGAAGAAAAATCTCAGCAAATATATTATTTATATGGCTTCATTATATTTCTCTCTTCTCTTCCTTGTCTTTTTTCCCTGATGTATTAGCAGTTTGTATGACACTGTCCAGTTTAGTTAGTCCCTGAATGTATCAACTTCTAATGATTAATAAAAGCTAAAAAATTCAAATATAGTTTGAATTAACCTGGCATTGTCTTTGTAACAATAGAATTTTTAGTATACTAGAGCAGACAACACAGATGTGAGGGCCTTAAAAATGTAAATAAAAGGACAAATATTGAGTATAAAGGAGCAGTTTAATGTACTGGCTAAGAGCATGGACTCTGGAGTCATAGTGTCTCTATTCAAATTCTAGTTCTTCCAGTCACTAATGTGTGACCTTTAGCAATTAATCAATGTGCACCTCAGTTTCTTTCCCTGAGAAATGGGACTCACAATGCACTTACCTTATAGAGTGTTTGCGAAGATTAAATAAGTTGACACGTGTAAAATGTGCAAGGTTTAACTCTATTTAAAAATAATAAATTAGAAAAGCACTTAAAATTGATGACATGTGTGAAAGGCTGGATTTAGTTCATAACCTTGAGAACAGGATAGAAGAGAAACAAAGGGATTTCATGCTGTGATTGGGAGGGAGGGGTAGAGAGAGGAAAATAATTCTTTCTATCAATGATGGAAAGCTTCAAGGAGGAAGGAGGAAGACTGGAGAGGTTGATATTGTAGGCTGTTAAGGAGAACTTTTGGAAAAGAGAGAGAAAAAAGTGGAACAGGCATTGAAACCTAGGGAGAGATCATTGTAAACTCGAATGGGGCATACACAAGATAGGTTTTAGACTTAATCAGAAATGTTATGGAAAGCTATTTTAAGACTTAGAGAGTTAAAGTCAAGTGAGTTACGGGATAAAGAAGAGAAAGGATTAACTGTGGCTTTGGTAGTGAGAGGAAGTTTTGTACAAAGCAGTTACTGAGGTAGAATATGTATGTAGAAACAATAGATTTTGTCAATAGAATATATACGTAATGTATAGATATGAATATATCATGTATGTATAGGCATATATATTATATATACACATATACATTTATAAAGAAAATAAGTTTAATTGATTCACAGTTCTACATGGCTGGGGAGGCCTCAGGAAACTTACAATCATGGTGGAAGTCACCTCTTCACAAGGTGGCAGGAGAGAGAATGAGTGCTGAGTGACGGCGGAAGCACCTATGTGTGTATAGGCATATATATTATGTATACACATATGCATATTATATGATACACATATGATAGATAAGGACAATTATTCATCAAACTTTAAGTTCAATTTATTTGGAAGTGGCTTTTTGGTAACTCTCATTTCTTATACTTGGCCAAAGAGAAAAAACACAACTGGATTAAGTTTAGACATAAATTAACTATAGGAAACTCATACTCCATAGTGTGAGGCCTAAACATTTTTGTGGCCTCTGTCCACATTTTTGTTGTTTTGTTGAGTGAATACTTGAAGACAAGTTATAATCTCCTAATAAGTGTGGCATGATTTGATAAATTATAAAAACATCTGTTTTTTCTGGGGAAACATATTTCAATAATTGAATCATAATTTATTTTGTATAAAATACCCATTGACTTTAGCATAGCAAGTCCATCTGTCAAAAATTAACAATGTCATAAATTTAAGGCTACTTTTTTAGACATAGATTCTATTGTACTTCTGGATTCCCCATTTGATTGATACTGTATGCCAGTTTCAGAAGTTTAGAGGCAAGTGCAAGTGAATATAACTTTATTTCCATTTTTCTAAATTGCTTAAGATGAGCCTTATCAAGTTGGACAAACAACTTTAATAGTGGGAAACAACAGTATTTCATTGTGAAGGGAGAAGTTGCCACTTTAGCAAAGGATTACTTCATAACCTCCATATATTAGTTGGTGCAAAAGCGATTGCGTTTTTTGCCATTAAACGTAATGGCAAAAACCACAATCGCTTTTGCACCAACATATTATACCTTGGCACCTAGTTGCAGAAACATATTGAGAACTGCTTCTGCACTGTGTGTGGTGGAGTGGAGAAGAAATGAGCAAAAGGGAAAGACATGTGAGTTACACAAAACCTAGAGAACTTTAGCTAATAGGGGAAGGGCTGGCAGTAAAAAGTGATGTCCAAATAGAAATGTGGCCAAATTATACCTGTTTTGACAAGCATAACTACTCAAGGTGAGTCTTGTTAAAGGTTGAAGGATGATTCACTCACCAGGTGAAGATGACTGGCAGCAATCAGAGACCCCAGCTAAGGTTCTGCTGGGACTAATGATGCTATTTTGCTCATTGCTTTTCTCTCTTTTTCCCATCTAACCTTAAATTATGGTAAGAACCTCAGGGACCTTGAGATCTGGATGAAATATTGGCAACACGTTGCTGGTAGTGATGGGAGATAGGAGAGAAGGCTCTGGTGTGATGGTGGTAGCAGGTGTAGTAGTAGGGCTGTCTAACTTAAAGCACAGGCAGGAACTGCCAGAAGAGACTAACATTTCTAGATTTTGTTTGCCACCATTGACCGGACTGACACATTTCTGTTCGGTTTGGCTTGCAGTAAACTGTCAGCTGATCTGGGTTGATTAGCTCAGGTAGATATTAATCCTGATAGGAGTCAATCAGGAAAAAGGGAGTAGGATTAGAGGTGATGGGTGTTGTCAAGATATTTTTTGTGTATCAAGTGGCCCTACCATCCACAAAAAATGGAAGGATCAGCATAATAGAAACCACACTGTGTTCCACTTCCATCTTTAAAAGATTTGTCTTCTTAGTCAGAAGAAGACAAATTTTCCAATCTATTCTTATATATTTTTTCCTCTTCAGAGGTCAGTATAATTATTCTCAAGTCAAAATAACCATATTTTTACTGGTAGAGTTTTCTTTGAGGTGCAAAGCAATCAGATATGGGAAGAGTGTATCTCAAAATAGCTACAAAATAGAGAAATAGCTAAACAATAGCTTTCTTTTTCATGGTAAAAAAAATATTGCTTACATGAAGAAGTTGTAAATGTTTCACATACGCTAGTTGAAGATTTCTATTTTTTCTAGTAGATTTATACTTGAAGTCGTAAAAATGGTCCTGAAACTTTTGGTTTTATTTTGGTTATCAAATTTAGCGTTTCATTGTTGTTATTAAGAACACCTGTCTTCCCAGTTAGATGGTAACATCACTTCCTTTCTATGTGTCTAGAATAGGTCTCTTCACTTTGCTTAATTGATGTCAGTTGAATGAGAATCTTCTTAGTTCTCTACTTTTTAAATGGTGGTTCAGTACTAAAACCTTTTCTTCATTAAAAGTTCTCATGTCTCAGTTGAACAGTTTTCTTTTTTTTGGTATTAGATGCTTTTATAGACCTGTCTATGCCCTGCTTTTAATGATTTTTACCTGCAGTGAAGTCAGGGAGTTTCTGAAGGAATCTTCACTGAGCATTACAGATTTAGACTCTTTAACCTTGGGGTGTAAACTGTTCTTTTACCTTGGCAGCGCTTGAGGCCAGTCCTTTGTTATGAATCCTCTTGACCTCTACCATAATTTTAAACTAAAGGTGAATTACCAAATGATTAACACTGTGATTTGTCTTAGGAGATAAGGAAAGAAGATTCAATGATCGTATTTTCTTCAACATGTTTCTTCAGCCTTAAATTAAATCAAAGATGATGTTTAGAAAAGACCCGCTATAGATAATGTACATGCAAATACAGAGTTTTGGTATGACTAGCCGAAAGACTATTTGTTTCTTTGAAACATCCTATTTAGGGTATCTTAATCTGGAGTCCATATTTTGTAGGACAATTAAACTATGCATTATTTTCTAGACAATATTTATTTCTGATTCAAAGGAGATACAAAGAAAAGGCTGTAAATGCTCTGTCTCCTGGTACTTTTCTCTCATCTCTTGTACTTCTCTTCATCCTCTCCCTTGGCTCTCAGTAGAGTAAGCTCCTTTGTGCTTTCAGGTTTTTCACCAAAACTCACCTTCACATTGAGCCACCCCAGTCAACATTAACATCTCAATCTTCCATCTCCACACTTCAAGTCCTCCCTCCTTACTTTATCTTTTTCTCCTTAGAGCTGTTTACAATCTAACACATCACATATATGATTGAGTAATTAGTTTTCTATCTTCCACACCATAATTTAAGCTCCGTGAGAGCAAGGTATTGTGCGCTATCATATTCATACTGCCTAGCAATGTGTTGGCACATCTAAGTATTCTGTAAATGTTGGCTAATTTAATGACTGAAAAAAGAATGATTGTCATGTCTGAACAAATGGCTAAATTTTTCCTTCTTTGAGTGTAGTCTATGCTGAATGTAAATTTCTCCTTTGTAAGGCTAAACTAAGAATTTTTGGAAGACATAGAATTAGTTAGAACCTCTATGGTATTTGAAATCATCACTGTAAATTAAGGGTCAATGTATTAAAAATGTACATGTATTAGCTTGTAAGAACCTTGGATAAGGAAATTATATTCTTTGTCATATGGCTTTCTTTTTCTTGGGTTTCTTTATTTTTGTTCTGAGGAATAGATAAATAAATCAGCAGAAAAATATTTAGATAGGTAGAATGCAATGGCACTATTGGGAAATGTATTTGATGACTTATAATAAACCATATTCCAAGTAAATTATAATTGCTACCCAGGACAGAAAAAACCCAGAAATTAGTTTCACCTTTATTTGATGGGAATTGTGTGCACACAATGCACTTGACAAAAAATAATCACAAAGTAGAGGTAGAATGATTCACTGCAAAATATTTATAATTTCACAATTGGGTACAAGTCAAATGTGAGTCTGCCTAAAATGGAGGGAAGTCACAACATTTTTCAAAAGCAATTACTAGAAATAATAGAAATTGTCTTTTTCTTTTTTTCTTTCTTTCTTTTTTTTTTTTTTTTGAGATGGAGTCTCACTCTGTCACCCAGGCTGGGGTACAGTGGCATGGTCCCGGCTCACCGTTACCTCTGCCTCCTGGATTCAAGTGATTCTCCTGCCTCAGCCTCCTGAGTAGCTGGGATTACAGGCGCCTGTCACCATGCCTGACTAATTTTTTGTATTTTTCGTATAGACGAGGTTTCACCATGTTAGCCAGGTTGGTCTCAAACTCCCGACCTCAGGTGATCCACCTGCCCTGGCCTCCCAAAGTGCTGGGATTACAGGTGTGTGCCACTGCACCCGGCCCAAACTGACTTTCGTTTTGAGCTTGTTCCTTAAACTGTGCACCACGTTAAGGACTTTGCACACGTTAACACACTAAATCCTCCACACTGTGAGGTAGGTACTATTTTTTCTATTTTGCAAGTGAGAAAATTGAATCTCAGGGAGGTTATGCATCTTTCCTAGTTAGGCAGCTCAGCTGCTAAATGGTTGGACAGAGATTCTCTTCCACCTAAACCTAACTCTTAAGTACTCAACATATTACTGTGCATTGAGGCCTTAACTTGAATGCTAGACCTAATAGCCATTTTTGGCGATTTGAACTCAACTCCATGAGGTATTCCAACATCTTTGGAATGTCCCTTAGGATCAAATTAGCCAACTGATACTGATAGTGAATGTATCTCATAGCAACTTTTTAACATCTAGTCTTTCATAGTCATCAGAAGTAGATAACTTCAAGTCATAGTAACGTTAGGGTCTTGAATTTGCATTAGTTCTTGAATTAATTTATCCAAATTCTGAAGCCAACGTTTTAAGTAGATTCAATGTTTGAAAGAGTCACCCTTCTAAAGAACTGACAATACGAAAAGAGAGAAAAGAAGTTAAGGGAGACTGCAGATTCATAGATGGAGAATTTCCTTGGATCCTGGAGATCAGCCTATCTGTCCCCTTGACAGCGAGATGTTACCAGCTATACATAGGAAGAGAGGGAGCCACATAGCAGTAAAGCAAATGCCAAGCTGGAAAAAAAAATACTAAAAGGTTTAGTGTCTGGTGTGAGTGCAGTAAACGTTTGGAAGTAGGGTAGAAATGATAGAGAGCTGTAAGTGTAGAGTCAGAAGAAAGGGTCTTGCAAAAACCCACCATTTGGCCTTTCAGCCTCTGCTTCCCTAGATTATCCTTGCCTTTCATGTTTGTTAGCCAATCCCCCACGCAGGACTGCCTACATGGTCTTTTCAAACAGATTTGGTCACAGTCGCCAGTTCTGCTGACTCAAATGCTATTAAACAAGCAATGATTTCTTTTTTTTTTTAAACTCTGGAGAATATAATATATATATATAGTAAACCAATAACTTTTTCCCTCTTTTCTCTCCTTTGTTTAATTTTCCCTGGTTGCTCTTAAAACTATGTTTACCAATATAGGTAAAATTCTTCCTATATTGTTAAGTTAGTCATAATCCATTGTGGATTTTATATTTGTCATAGTAATTTAATCTGTTATAGCATAACCATGCTCAATTTGTTTACTTCAGTGACCTACTATACTGGAGTGGTTAAAAACAAACAAACAAACAAACAAACAAAAAAACCCAAGTTCCCTGATGAGGATATTAAGCCAAATTCCCTCTGTCCAGATGGCTCCTGCTACTAAGCCAGGAAAATGCAGATCCTCCATACTTCCTGATGATTTGTTTATAGTGGCCCTTGATTGCTATTAATGATCCCCAGCTGTAGTGACTACCTAGCCCTGTCTACCTTCTGTCTCTTACACCCTCATTAACCCCTTGGGATTGGTTCCAGCTTCTCTGCTGTCTATTTCTTCCTTGCTTCTTTGCAAAGGAAACAAAACTTTAAGTATGAGACCTTCCTAGGAAACTGGAAGAACAATAATAATGAGATGATTCTGGGGAGAACTTCTTTGACTTGTGTTTTTCTTAACTTCATACTCATGCAACCATATACATCTTCATTTTAAATCACTTTTTAAAGAATAAATTAATTCAGAAGCACCTAAAATATAAAAGACTCATGTATGCACATATTTTTATCCATTTTAGATTGCCTTTTGGAGTTATTTTAGGGACAGTTTTGTCAATTATGTAAGGATTTTTATTACTTTAAGCCTACTCTTGACTACCACCTCCCAATCCTTCTTTGTACTTGCTATTTATGTTAGGTTTTCAAAACACAAACTAATAAAAATATCATAGTATTAACCATTATGTTCAGAAATGGAATATTTTTGTAATCTGTATTTGAAATAGATGGAATGTTCTGCAAAGGAAAAAAAAAGATGGAATGAAGAAGCAACTCAATTTCATTCTTTTAACACCTGGGTAGAACATGAAGCAGATATGGTGCCATGAATTAAAGCAGAGTAAAGTGAATTAAAGTGTCTTTTACCTTTGGTGTTTTTCTATCTTCTCTTTTCTTTTTTCTCTTCTTGACTTTAGATATCAAGCTACACATTTCTTTGAAGATGTTTCAAATGCCTCTTTGTATTTTAGGAGGCCATTTGATAATAAGCTAACAGCCATGGAACATGTTCTAACTGTCAAGTGCTGTGTCATGTACATTACCTGCATTAGCTCTTATTTCTTAAAAAAATAGATACTTAAATTACTCCCATTCACAGAGGGAGACACTGACAGATTGGGTATGAACATCATCTAGTGTATCTTTGAGAATAACTAAACAAATGCACTATTCAGTCATTTATCTCTAAACAAAAGTTCCAAAACTAAAGCAAGAGAGGAAGAAGACTTTACAACCATTACCTTGGGGGAAAAATTATAAACTGGGACCAGGGAGCAAGCTCTTAAATAATAGCAACAGAAAAGTCCTGAGGCCTATTGTTAGGAGCAGCAATGGAGGGCTCATTGGATTAAAAAGATTTAATCTCATTGCTTTTCCTTTCTAAGGGAGGAAGAACAGATTGGTTTCTGTTTTCTCTGAATGGTGGGAAGAAATTCCCACATAATAAGAACAAAGAATATACATTTTTTAACCTAAAAAAAACCGTGAAAGCTCTCTGATAAACTTGAAATGCCAAAAATGAACACTTATTGGTAACAAGTCTTATAATCTGACCTGCTGAATTATTTTAGAATGTGTGGACAATTTTTCTGGCATTTTGTGAGTCTGTTGTTTTTAAATTGCATTAAAACTCAGGCAGCATTGACTGATTTTATTTTGGATCATACATTATTTTGCGGTTAATTTTGCCATCTGGTCTTTTTTTTCTTTTAACTTTTTCAAAAGCTTTTTATTCTCTGACTAATCTTAATAGCTTCTCAGTTTAAAAATAACTGTTATCAGATAGTATGCACTTACAGCTTGACCAATGAAACCATCTCTCCAGGAGGGATATTTTGTTTGTGGGAGCACAGCATTGCTGAACTAATCCCCCTGGTACAAACACACTATCCAAGGCAATACATTGCAGTGTATTTTAAATGAATAGGTACATTCCAAAATGCAATGAGGGCTTTGGGGAATTGCCAACATTTAACCAAATAACCAGCTGTGCAAAATGCTAAAACACAATTGATCTACTACGGTATTTGAAAATCATGGAAGGTCATTTCGTTCAATACTCAGACGGCTACCCAGCAGGTCTAGAAGCTTTGCAGGCCCAGCAGTAACTGGTATTAATCATTACTGGAGATGATCAAAAAGGCCAACTGGGCCTCTCTGAATCCAGCTACAATTCCGTTCATGTATTCCTCCCCACAATTCCCAGATTCTGTAAATTTCCTCCTTAAATTTTGGCTAAGGAGAAAGTTTTTGTTACGTTTTTTTTTCCCTGGTTCATTTGACTTCTTACTCCTAGAAAGGAATGACAAAATTAAACAGAGATACAATGGAGGAACGGGGTTTGTATCAAAGGGAAAATAAGAATTTTAGGCAAAAGTATTTTTGTCATCCACTATCTCTTCCTTTCATGTTTTATTACTTCATTTTTCATGCTTTAGTCAAATTTAATTTATTTCATGAGGTTATACCCCTGAAGTCTGTATTCACTTTTTTCTTCTAAATGGAAATAAAACTCTTTCACAAATCTTAAATTTCATTGTTATATTTCCTTTGTTTTTTTCTGTGTTGGTTCTTTTTTTTTTCTCAGTTCTATTCTAATGAGTTATTCCAGTGAATGAAATATTATCCTGGTTTATATATACCCTTTTTTTTTGCCAGTACTGTAGATAAAATCATTAATTTATTAAGAAGAGTCATGCATTCCACTTCAAATTGTACCAGTGTATTTTCAAACTATTTAGAATAGGTTGGTATAAGATGTTGCTGAGTTGGTAGCCCTTTGTTTTTTTAGATAGGGGCCCTTATAGCAAACAAAAAAGTATTTCATTTTGGCATTTTGAGTTGTGAAGGAGCTTTGAAAAAATTATTTGAAACATGCTTAAGAAATGTAATTTTGGTTCAAATAAAAATGTTTATTTTTTGAGAGAGGCTATTTTTTTACATTTTACAGAAAAATTTTACATTTTTCTAATGAGATGCAAGCCCAAAAGGGATCAACTAAATGTATTCTTTTGCTTAGATTAATAGCAGTTGCAGCAGAAAATGCTGAAAAATTGCACTTCTGCAGAGCTCTAGAGTTTTATGTAAAGCAGTGTTATTACATAAAAGGGTCTAAGAACCTAATGATACAAGGAAAATGAAACTATCAGGTAGACAGAAGCTTTTCCTTTTCGTTTTTACAATTATGTATATGTAAGGTATACACAATAAAAAGAATCTTATTGATGATACGGAAGTGTTGCATTTGGATGATGAATGCCAATGCATGTTTTTTGTTTGTTTGTTTGTTTGTTTGTTTTGAGATGGAGTCTCACTCTGTTGCCCAGGCTGGAGTGCAATGGTGCAATCTTGGCTCACTGTAACCTCTGCCTCCCGGGTTCAAGCAAATCTCCTGCCTCAGCCTCCCGAGTAGCTGAGATTATAGGCGTGCACCCCCACACCAGCCTAATTTTTCATTTTTAGTAGAAACGGGGCTTCGCCATGTTGACCAGGCTGGTATCGAACTCCTGACCTCAGGCGATCTACCCGTTTCAGCCTCCCAAAGTGCTGGGATTACAGGCGTGAGCCACCGTGCCCGGCCCAGTGCATCTTTAACTCTGAATTTCAGGAGGAAACTTTAAATTTAGTTTTAACTTGTTTCATGGCCTTTGTGTTACAAAAGACACCCTCTTTCTTAGATGATGTGTGTGAGATACAAGGACTACTAGGTTCCTCCTTTATACAGTGCTTTGAAGTTGGGCTTCTCATATCTCTCACCACCAAGGAGTTCAGGAAACTTTCAGGATGTATTTATACAAAACCTTTCATTATGTAGATTTAAAATCTAGTGTCTGCTGCTTCATGAAAGAATCATGTAATTTACATTTGCAGAGTCACTAGACTGCTTTGTATCTAGGGTCAAGTTGCAGGCTTGCACAGGTTGTCTCCTTTTGTGCAGGGAAGAATAACATTTACATTGAAATTATTGCTCTCTCACAATATTTAGCACAGACGACTAGCACTAATAGAATACCAGTAAATGTTTGATGAGTCTAATTGAATTAAATTGCTTTCAGATAAAAAGTGGTGGGTTGTTGAAGAATAATTATGATCATCCAAAATTTGTTCTGCCATTTTGGGAAGAGGTGGGCTGACTTTTCTACAGACTTGCTTTTAAATTTGCAATCTAATAGTAGGCCACAATCTAGGTTGGTGCATTTGAATAGTTTAATTGATAATGTTCACCTCAAGTAAAGCTGACTACTGTTTAAATACGATATTCTCTTTTTAGAAGTTAGATTTTGACACTTGCATTCTGCTACTCGTCTGATAAATTTGGATCTTTTCTGACACCTAAGTTTAGCTAGTTACTTGAATAGACCAATATCACAAAATCAATCCAACCACTTCAATCCAAAACTTAACAAATATATCACAAGGGGTTAGAATAATCAAAAGTAGAAAAAGACTGGCAGTGATTGAAGATAGGGAAGGAAGTAGGACAAAAAGGGGAGGGCTACATGTTAACTAAAAAGTCTAGTTTGGAGTCACTGGGCAAGAAAAGTACGGGACTGATGTGGTTTGGATTTGTGTCCCAACCCAAATCTCATGTCGAATTGGAGGAGGGGCCTGGTGGGAGGTGAATGGATCATGGGGGAGGGTTTCCCCCATACTGTTCTCATGATAGTGAGCCAGTTCTTATAAGGGCCAATGGTTTAAAAGAATGTGGCACTTATCCCTTCTTTCTCTCTTTCTCCTGCCACCATGTGAAGAAACTCCTTGCTTCCCTTTCACCTTCCACCATGATTTTAAGTTTCCTGAGGCCTCCCAGTCATGCTTCCTGTTAAGCCTGTGGAACTCTGAGTCAATTAAACCTCTTTTCTTCATAAATTTCACAGTCTCAGGTAGTTCTTTATATTAGTGTTTGAATGGACTAACATAGCAACAAAGAGATGTCATTAAGCATTTCAAGGCCAGGTATACAGAAGGTGAAGTATTAATGGATGGAGTACCATAGCAGAACCAAGTCTTCAAATCACTGGAAGTAAATGAGGCCTAATGTCAGAAAGGCAAGACCAAAACACAAGAAAATGCTTAGTTTCATTAATAACTGGAATGTATGAAGCCATATGCCCTTAACAGAAATAGAATGATAACATGACTTGTTACTAAAACAAATTATAGGTAAAAAAAAATCATTAATCTTTTCATTATAGATAGAATTATAATTACATTATATAAGGGTAGCATATATTATAGAAAAGTATGACATTTGTGCAAATTGCATTAGGGCTTACATTATTGAGAAAGTAAAATTATGAGAGAAATAATGATCAGCCAGGCTAAGATAAAAACCCCTCTATATCTAATTCTACCCATTTTAGGCCTGGAATGATCTGTGCTATAGTTCATATAGCTGTCTTAAAGTCTATTTTCAAAGTTTGGCTATAAATTGGTGTGTTTATTTATTTTTGCCTGGATAGCATTTGCACTTTTCTTATTTCTCGTTATCTGTTTTTGCAGGTAGAACATTAGTAATAATTGGAATTGGTTTGTGGTTTGAATTGGGGATAATTTCGTTTTCTACTTGGTATTTGCCAACCTATTATTTTAAAAGCTCTACTTTACACCTATGCACAGCCTGAGGAAAATGGAAGTTTGGTACAATCAGCTAGGTCATTTATTTATTTGCAATTAGCATTCTTTTATCAATTATACAATGTTCATAGACAACTGTTCACTAAATTAATTTCTTTTGTTCCTTCAAATTGTATTCCCTTTAAACATGTTCCCAGTGGTAAGGGAATTTGTAAGTAAGAAATATGATCTATGATGTCAATGATAAGGCTTTATTTTAAGATATTATTATTTCAAACACACAAAAATAAATACATTATCCCCAGCACTGGTATTGTTATTAGTCAAGCATTTTAATAACACAGGAAAGAAACACACAAGAATGGAGGGTGGAGCCAAGATGGCCGAATAGGAAAAGCTCCAATCTTCAGCCCCCAGAGTGAGCGATGCAGAAGATGGGTGATTTCTGCATTTCCATCTGAGGTACTGGTTTCATCTCACTAGGCAGTGCCAGACAGTGGGTGCAGGACAGTGGGTGCAGCGCACCGTGTGCTAGCCTAAGCAGGGCAAGGCATTGCCTCACTCGGGAAGCGCAAGGGATCAGGGAGTTCCCTTTCCTAGTCAAAGAAAGGGATGACAGATGGCATCTGCAAAATCGGGTCACTCCCACCTTAATACGGCACTTTTCCGATGGACTTAAAAAACAGCACACCAGGAGATTATAACCCGCACCTGGCTCAGAGGGTCCTACACCCACAGAGTCTTGCTGATTGCTAGCACAGCAGTCTGAGATCAAACTGCAAGGCGGCCGCGAGGCTGGGGGAGGGGCACCTGCTATTGCCCAGGCTTGATTAGGTAAACAAAGCAGCTGGGAAGCTCCAACTGGGTGGAGCCCACCACAGCTCAAGGAGGCCTGCCTGCCTCTGTAGGCTCCACCTCTGGGGGCAGGGCACAGACAAACAAAAAGACAGCAGTAACCTCTGCAGACTTAAATGTCCCTGTCTGACAGCTTTGAAGAGAGTAGTGGTTCTCCGAGCATGCAGCTGGAGATCTGAGAATGGGCAGACTGCCTCCTCAAGTGGGTGCCTGACCCCCAAGCAGCCTAACTGGGAGGCAGCCCCCAGTAGGGGCAGACTGACACCTCACACGGCCGGGAACTCCTCTGAGACAAAACTTCCAGAGGACTGATAAGGCAGCAGCATTTGCGGGACACCAATATCCACTGTTCTACAGCCACTGCTTCTGATACCAGGCAAACAGGGTCTGAAGTGGACCTCTAGCAAACTCCAACAGACCTGCAGCTGAGAGTCCTGTCTGTTAGAAGGAAAACTAACAAACAGAAAGGACATCCACACCAAAAATCCATCTGTATGTCACCACCATCAAAGACCAAAGTAGATAAAACCACAAAGATGGGGAAAAAACAGAGCAGAAAAACTGGACACTCTAAAAAGCAGAGCACCTCTCCTCCTCCAAAGGAGTGCAGCTCCTCACCAGCAATGGAACAAAGCTGGACGGAGAATGACTTTGATGAGTTGAGAGAAGAAGGCTTCAGACGATCAAACCACTCTGAGCCACACGACGAAACTCAAACCAATGGCAAAGAAGTTAAAAACTTTGAAAAAAAAATTAGATGAATGGATAACTAGAATAATCAATGCACAGAAGTCCTTTTTTTTCTTTTATTATTATACTTTAAGTTTTAGGGTACATGTGCACATTGTGCAGGTTAGTTACATATGTATACATGTGCCACGCTGGTGCGCTGCACCCACTAACTCGTCATCTAGCATTAGGTATATCTCCCAATGCTATCCCTCCCCCTCCCCACACCCCACAACAGTCCCCAGAGTGTGATGTTCCCCTTCCTGTGTCCACGTGATCTCATTGTTCAATTCCCACCTATGAGTGAGAATATGCGGTGTTTGGTTTTTTGTTCTTGCAATAGTTTACTGAGAACGATGATTTCCAATTTCATCCATGTCCCTACAAAGGACATGAACTCATCATTTTTTATGGCTGCATAGTATTCCATGGTGTATATGTGCCACATTTTCTTAATCCAGCCTATCATTGTTGGACATTTGGGTTGGTTCCAAGTCTTTGCTATCGTGAATAGAGTCACAATAAACATACGTGTGCATGTGTCTTTATAGCAGCATGATTTATAATCCTTTGGGTATATACCCAGTAATGGGATGGCTGGGTCAAATGGTATTTCCAGTTCTAGATCCCTGAGGAATCGCCACACTGACTTCCACAATGGTTGAACTAGTTTACAGTCCCAACAACAGTGTAAAATTGTTCCTATTTCTCCACATCCTCTCCAGCACCTGTTGTTTCCTGACTTTTTAATTATTGCCATTCTAACTGGTGTGAGATGGTATCTCATTGTGGTTTTGATTTGCATTTCTCTGAATGCCAGTGATGACGAGCATTTTTTTATGTGTTTTTTGGCTGCATAAATGTCTTCTTTTGAGGCAAGGACTTCATGTCTAAAACACCAAAAGCAATGGCAACAAAAGCCAAAATTGACAAATGGGATCTAATTAAACTAAAGAGCTTCTGTACAGCAAAAGAAACTACCATCAGAGTGCACAGGCAACCTAGAGAATGGGAGAAAATTTTTGCAACCTACTCATTTGACAAAGGGCTAATATCCAGAATCTACAATGATCTCAAACAAATTTACAAGAACAAAACAAACGACCCCATCAAAAAGTGGGAAAAGGACATGAACAGAGAAGTCCTTAAAGGAGCTGATGGAATTGAAAGCCAAAGCTTGAGAACTACGTGAAGAATGCAGAAGCCTCAGGAGCTGATGCAATCAACTGGAAGAAAGGGTATCAGTGATGGAAGATGAAATGAATGAAATGAAGTGAGAAAGGAAGTTTAGAGAAAAAAGAATAAAAAGAAATGAACAAAGCCTCCAAGAAATATGGGACTATGTGAAAAGACCAAATCTACATCTGACTGATGTACCTGAAAGTGACGGGGAGAATGGACCCAAGTAGGAAAACACTCTGCAGGATATTATCCAGGAGAACTTCCCCAATCTAGCAAGGAAGGCCAACATTCAGATTCAGGAAATACAGAGAACGCCACAAAGATACTCCTCGAGAACAGCAACTCCAAGACACATAATTGTCAGATTCACCAAAGTTGAAATGAAGGAAAAAATGTTAAGGGGAGCCAGAGAGAAAGGTCGGGCTACCCACAAAGGGAAGCCCATCAGACTAACAGCAGATATCCCAGAAGAAACTCTACAAACCAGAAGAGAGTGGGGGCCAATATTCAACATTCTTAAAGAAAAGAATTTTCAACCCAGAATTTCATATCCAGCCAAACTAAGCTTCATAAGTGAAGGAGAAATAAAATACTTTACAGACAAGCAAATGCTGAGAGATTTTGTCACCACCAGGACTGCCCTAAAAGAGCTCCTGAAGGAAATGCTAAACATGGAAGGGAACAACTGGTACCAGCTGCTGCAAAATCATGCCAAAATGTAAAGACCATCGAGACTAGGAAGAAACTGCATCAACTGATGAGCAAAATAACCAGCTAACATCATAATGACAGGAACAAATTCACACATAACAATATTAACTTTAAATGTCAATGGACTAAATTCTCCAATTAAAAGACACAGACTGGCAAATTGGATAAAGAGTCAAGACCCATCAGTGTGCTGTATTCAGGAAACCCATCTCATGTGCAGAGACACACATAGGCTCAAAATAACAGGATGGAGGAAGATCTACCAAGCAAATGGAAAACAAAAATGGCAGGGGTTTCAATCCTAGTCTCTGATAAAACAGACTTTAAATCAACAAAGATAAGAAGAGACAAAGAAGGCTATTACATAATGGTAAAGGGATCAATTCAACAAGAAGAGCTAACTATCCTAAATATATATGCACCCAATACAGGAGCACCCAGATTCATAAAGCAAGTCCTGAGTGACCTACAAAGAGACTTAGACTCCCACAAAATAATAATGGGAGATGTTAACACCACACTGTCAACATTAGACAGATCAATGAGACAGAAAGTTAACAAGGATACCCAGGAAGTGAACTCAGCTCTGCACCAAGCGGACCTAACAGACATCTACAGAACTCTCCACCCCAAATCAACAGAATATACATTTTTTTCACCACCACACCACACCTATTCCAAAATTGACCATATAGTTGGAAGTAAAGCACTCCTCAGCAAATGTAAAAGAACAGAAATTATAACAAACTGTCTCTCAGACCACAGTGCAAGCAAACTAGAACTCAGGATTAAGAAACTCACTCAAAACTGCTCAACGACATGGACACTGAACAACATGCTCCTTAGTGACTACTGGGTACAGAACGAAATGAAGGCAGAAATAAAGATGTTCTTTGAAACCAATGAGAACAAAGACACAGCATACCAGAATCTCTGGGACACATTAAAAGCAGTGTGTAGAGGGAAATTTATAGCACTAAATGTCCACAAAAGAAAGGAGGAAAGATCTAAAATTGACACCCTAACATCACAATTAAAAGAACTAGAAAAGCAAGAGAAAACACATGCAAAAGCTAGCAGAAGGCAAGAAATAACTAAAATCAGAGCAGAACTGAAGGAAATAGAGACACAAAAAACCCTTCAAAAAATTAATGAATCCAGGAGCTGGTTTTTTGATAAGATCAACAAAATTGATAGACCACTAGCAAGACTAATAAAGAAGAAAAGTGAGAAGAATCAAATAGATGCAATAAAAAATGTTAAAGGTGATATCATCACTGATCCCACAGAAATACAAACTACCATCAGAGAATACTACAAACACCTCTATGCAAATAAACTAGAAAATCTAGAAGAAATGGATAAATTCCTGGACACATACACCATCCCAAGACTAAACCAGTAAGAAGTTGAATCTCTGAATAGACCAATAACAGGATCTGAAATTGAGGCAATAATCAATAGCTTACCAACCAAAAATAGTCCAGGACCAGATGGATTCACAGCCGAATTCTACCAGAGGTACAAGGAGGAGCTGGTACCATTCCTTCTGAAACTATTCCAATCCATAGAAAAAGAGGGAATCCTCCCTAACTCATTTTATGAGGCCAGCATCATCCTGATACTAAAGCCTGGCAGGGAAACCACCAAAAAGGAGAATTTTACACCGATATCCTTGATGAACATTGATGCAAATATCCTCAATAAAATACTGGCAAACCGAATCCAGCAACACATCAAAAAGCTTATCCACCATGATCAAGTGGGCTTCATCCCTGGGATGCAAGGCTGGTTCAACATACACAAAACAATAAATGAAATCCAGCATATAAACAGAACCAAAGACAAAAACCACATGATTATCTCAATAGATGCAGAAAAGGCCTCTGACAAAATTCAAAAACGCTTCATGCTAAAAACTCTCAATAAATTAGGTATTGATGGGACATATCTCAAAATAATGAGAGCTATCTATGACAAACCCACAGCCAATATCATACTGAATCGACAAACACCAGAAGCATTCCCTTTGAAAACTGGCACAAGACAGGGATGCTCTCTCTCACCACTCCTATTCAACATAGTGTTGGAATTTCTGGCCAGGGCAATCAGGCAGGAGAAGGAAATAAAGGGCATTCAATTAGGAAAAGAGGAAGTCAAATTGTCCCTGTTTGCAGATGACATGATTGTATATCTAGGAAACCCCATCACCTCAGCCCAAAATATCCTTAAGCTGATAGGTAACTTCAGCAAATTCTCAAGATACAAAATCAACATGCAAAAATCACAAACATTCTTATACACCAATAACAGACAGAGAGACAAATCATGAGTGAACTCCCATTCACAATTGCTTCAAAGACAATAAAATACCTAGGAATCCAACTTACAAGGGATGTGAAGGGGCTCTTCAAGGAGAACTACAAACCACTGCTCAAGGAAATAAAAGAGGATAAAAACAAATGGAAGAACATTCCATACTCATGGGTAGGAAGAATCAATATCATGTAAATGGCCATACTGCCCAAGGTAATTTATAGATTCATTGCCATCCCCATCAAGCTACCAATGACTTTCTTCACAGAATTGGAAAAAACTACTTTAAAGTTCATATGGAACCAAAAAAGAGCCCGCATTGCCAAGTCAATACTAAGCCAAAAAAACAAAGCTGGAGGCATCATGCTACCTGACTTCAAACTATACTACAAGGCTGCAGTCACCAAAACGGCATGGTACTTGTACCAAAACAGAGATATAGATCAATGGAACAGAACAGAGCCCTCAAAAATAATGCTGCATATCTACAACCATCTGATCTTTGACAAACCTGGCAAAAACAAGAAATGGGGGAAGGATTCCCTATTCAATAAATGGTGCTGGGAAAACTGGCTAGCCACATGTAGAAAGATGAAACTGGATCCCTTCCTTACACCTTGTACAAAAATTAATTCAAGATGGATTAAAGACTTACATGTTAGACCTAAAACCATAAAAATACCAGAAGAAAACCTAGGCAATACCTTTCAGGACATAGGCATGGGCAAGAACTTCATGACTAAAACACCAAAAGCAATGGCAACAAAAGCCAAAATTGACAAATGGGATCTAATTAAACTAAAGAGCTTCTGCACAGCAAAAGAAACTACCATCAGAGTGAACAGGCAACCTACAAAATGGGAGAAAATTTTTGCAACCTACTCATCTGACAAAGGGCTAATATCCAGAATCTACAATGAACTCAAACAAATTTACAAGAAAAAACAAATGACTCCATCAAAAAGTGGGCAAAGGATATGAACAGACACTTCTCAAAAGAAGACATTTACGCAGCCAAAAAACACAGGAAAAAATGCTTGTCATCACTGGCCATCAGAGAAATGCAAATCAAAACCACAATGAGATACCATCTCACACCAGTTAAAATGGTGATCATTAAAAAGTCAGGAAACAACAGGTGCTGGAGAGGATGTGGAGAAATAGGAACACTTCTACACTGTTGGTGGGAGTGTAAACTAGTTCAACCATGGTGGAAGTCGGTGTGGCGATTCCTCAGGGATCTAGACCTAGAAATACCATTTGACCCAGCCATCCCATTACTGGGTATATACCCAAAGGATTATAAATCATGCTGCTATAAAGACACATGCACACATATGTTTATTGCGGCACTATTCACAATAGCAAAGACTTGGAACCAACCCAAATGTCCAACAATGATAGAATGGATTAAGAAAATGTGGCACATATATACCATGGAATACTGTGCAGCCATAAAAAATGATGAGTTCATGTCCTTTGTAGGGACATGGATGAAACTGGAAACCATCACTCTCAGCAAACTATCACAAGGACACAAATCCAAACACTGCATGTTCTCATTCGTAGGTGGAAATTGAACAATGAGAACACATGGACACAGGAAGGGGAACATCATACTCCGGGGACGGTTGTGGGGTGGTGGCAGTGGGGAGGGATAGTATTAGGAGATATACCTAATGCTAAATGACGTGTTAATGGGTGCAGCACACCAACATGGCACATGTATACATTTTTAAGAAACCTGCACATCGTGTGCATGTACCCTAAAACTTAAAGCATAATAATAATAATAAAATTTTAAAAAAGATAGTTCTATTTCTTCCTTCATGGTCTGGATGACCTTTGTTTCTTTATCTTGCCTAATTACCCTATCTGAGATTTCCAGCACAATATTAAATACAAGTGGCAAGAGCAGATACCCTTGTCTGGCTCCTGACCTTAGAAGTAAGGCATTCAGCCTTCCACTATCAAATATAAGGTTATCCGTGGGTTTCTTGTGTATGGCCTACACCTAGTTGAGGAGGTAGTTTTCTATTCCCAGTTTGTTGGGTGTTTTTATCATGAAATGGTATTGTATTTTTTAAATGTTTCCTGTCTATATTGAGATGATGATATGAAGTTTATCCTTTCTTCCATTAATATGGTTTATTATACTAATTGATTTTCAGATATTAAACAAACCTTGCATTTCTAAGATAAATCCCACTTGGTCATGTTGCATGTGGTATAACTTTTTTCTTTTTTTTCTGAGACAGAGTCTCCCTTTGTCACACAGGCTGGAGCACAGTGGTGTGATCACAGATCACTGCAGCCTGAGACTTTCCAAACTCAAGTGATCTTTCCACCTCCTGAGTGGCTGGAATCAGAGACATGTGCCACCACACCTAGCAATTAAATTTTTTTGTATAGACAGGGTCTCAGTATGTTGTCCAAGCTGGTCTCAAACTCCTGTGCTCAAACAATCCTCTCACCTCAGCTTCCTAAAGTGCTGGGATTACAGGCGTTAGCCACTGCACCCAGCCTGTATGCATGCTTTTTATAAGTTGCAGGATTCAGTCTGATAGTATTTTGTTGAGAATTATTTTGTATATTAATATGCTAATATTCAGTTGGTTTATTGATCTGTAGTTTTCTTTAATGTGTTTGGTTTTGGTATCAGAATAAATGCAACATTATAGAATAAGTTAAGAAATGTTCCCTCCTTCTGCATATTTTGGAAGAGTACAGGAAAGATACTTATCTTTGAATGTTTGGTAGATTCACATTGAAGCCATCTGGGCCTGGGCTTTTCTTTGTGGAAAGTTTTCAAGTTACTAAATTGATATATTTACTTGCTTTGGTTCTCTTAATATTTTTAATCAAGAGACAACTGAAGAAGAAATATGCAATTATGTTGCCTTTTGTAATTATATTTATATTACCTTTATGTTAATTATGTTTTTACATGTGGATTCAAATTATTGTCTAACGTCTTTATTTTCAGTGTGATAAATTTCCATTTGCATTTCTGTAAGGCATGTCTTCCAGCAATAAATTCTCTGTTTCTTTCTCTTAAAAAAAAAAAAAAAAGAAAATGCATTGTGATCTGTGCATTCGTCTCACAGAGGTAAACCATTATTTTCATAGAGTAGTTTGGAAACACAGTGTTTGTAGAATGTGTGAAGGGATATTTGGAGTTGCCTTGAGGCCTGTGGTGACAGAAGAAACATCTTCTGATACAAACTAGATAGAAGTTTTTTGATAAACTGCTTTGTGATGTGTGCATTCTTCTCACAGAGTTAAACGTTTCTTTTCACTGAGCAGTTTGGAAACTCTGTTCTTCTAAAATCTGCAAAGCAATATTTGGGAGCACATTGAGGCCTATGGTGAAAAAGGAAATATCTTCTGATACAAATTAGAAAATTTCTGTGAAATTGCTTTGTGATGTGTGCATTCATCTCACAGAGTTGAACCATTCTTTTGATTGTGCAGTTTAGAAACACGTTGTTTGTAGAATCTGCAAAGGGATATTTGCATTCACATGGAGGCCTGTGGTGAAAAAGGAAATATCTTCCAATACAAAGTGGGAAGGAGCTTTCTGAGAAACTGCTTTGTGATGTGTGCATTGATCTCACATACTTGAGCAATTCTTTTGATTGAGCAGTTTGGAACCACTGTTTTTGTAGTATCTGCAAAGGGATATTTGGGAGTGCTTTGAGGCTTATGGTGAAAAAGGAAATATCTTTACATAAAAACTGGAAAGAAGCTTTCTGAGAAACTGCTTTGTGATGTGTGCATTCATCTCACATAGTTAAACATTTCTTTTCATTGAGCAGTTTCAAAACACTCTTCTTCTAGAATCTGCAAAGGGATATTTAGGAACGCATTGAGGCCTATGGTGAAAAAGAAATATTTTTCAATACAAACTAAAAAGAAATTTTCTGAGAAACTGATTTGTGATGTCTGCATACATCTCACAGAGTTGAACCATTCTTTTGTTTGAGCAGTTTGGAAATGCAGTGTTTGTAGAATCTGCGAAGGGATATTTGCATTCGCATGGAGGCCTATGGTGAAAAAGGGAATATCTTCCTATACAAACTGGACAGAAGCTTTCTGAGAAACTGCTTTGTGATGTGTGCATTCATCTCACAGAGTTGAACAATTCTTTTGATTGTGCAGTTCGGAACCACTGTTTTTGCAGAAAGTGCAAAGTTATATTTGGGAGCACTTTGAAGCTTATATTGAAAAAGGAAATATCTTCAAACAAGAACTAGAAAGAAGCTTTCTCAGAAACTTCTTTGTGATGTGTTCATCCCTGTAACAGAGTTGAACCATTCTTTTTTTTGAGCAGTTTGTAACCACTGTTTTTCTAGAATCTGCAAAGGGATATTTTTGAGTGCTTTGAGGCCTATGGTGAAAAAGGAAATATCCTCACATAAAAACCAGAAAGGAGCTTTCTTAGAAAGTGCTTTGTTATCTGTGCATTCATCTCACAGAGTTAAACCATTCTTTTGGTACAGCAGTTTGGAAACACAGTGTTTGTAGAATCTGCAAAGGGAGATTTGGATTCTCACAGAGGCTTGTGGTGAAAAAATGAATAACTTCCGATACAAACCTGAAAGAATCTTTCTGAGAAACTGCATTGTGATGTGGGCATTCATCTCACAGAGTTGAAAAATTCTTTTGATTGAGCAGTTTGGAACCACTGTTTTTCTAGAATCTGCAAAGGGATATTTGTGAGCACTTTGAAGCCTATGGTGAAAAAGGAAATATCCTCACATAAAAAATAGAAAGGAGCTTTCTTAGAAACTGCTTTGTGATCTGTGAATTCGTCTCACAGAGTTGAACCATTGTTTTGATTGAGCAGTTTGGAAACACAGTGTTTGTAGAATCTGAAAAGGGATATTTGTGAGTGGTTTGAAGCCTATGGTGAAAAAGAAAATATCTTCAAATAAAAACTAGACAGAAAGTTTCTGAGAAACTGCTATGTGATGTGTGAATTCATCTCTCAGAGCTAAACGTTTCTTTTCATTGAGCAGTTTGGAAACTCTGTTCTTGTAGAATCTGCAAAGGGATATTTCTGAGCACTTTGAGGCCTATGGTGAAAAAGGAAATATTTTCACATAAAAACTGGGCAGAAGTTTTCTGAGAAACTTCTTTGGGATGTTTGCATCCGTCTCACAGAGTTGAACCATTCTTTTCATTGAGCAGTTTGGAAACAGTCTTTTGGTGGAATCTGCAAAGGGATATTTGGGAGTCCTTTGAAGTCTATGGTGATAACAGAAATGTCTTCACATAAAAACTACAGAGAAGCTTTCTGAGAAACTTCTTTGTGATGTGTGCATTCATCTCACAGAGGCAAACATTTCTTTTTATAGAGCAGTTTAGAAACTCTTTTCTTCAAGAATCTGCAAAGGGATATTTGTGAGCGCTTTCAATCCAAGGGTGGAAAAGGAAATATCTTCCATAAAAACTAGACAGAAGTTTTCTGAGAAACTTATTTGTGGTGTGTGCATTTGTCTCATGGAGTTGAACCATTCTTTTGATCAAGCAGTTAGGAAACAGTCTTTTTGAAGAACCTGCAAAGGGATATTTGGGAGTGCTTTGAGGCCTGTTGTGAAAAAGGAAATATCTTCACATAAACATCAGAAAGAAGCTTTCTGAGGAACGACTTTGCAATGTGTGCATTCATCTCACACAGTTGAACCATTCTTTTGATTGAGCAGTTTGGAAACCGTCTTTTTATAGAATCTTCAAGGGATATTTGGGACTGCTTTGAGGCCTGTGGTGAAAAAGGAAATGTCTTCATATAAATACTACACAGAAGCTTTCTGAGAAACTGCTTTGTGATGTGCACATTCATCTCACAGAGGTAAACATTTCTTTCCACTGACTAGTTTGGAAACTCTGTTCTTGTAGAATCTGCAAAGGGATATTTGTGAGCACTTTGAGGCCCATGGTGCAAAAGGAAATAATTTCACATAAAAACTGGACAGAAGCTTTCTGAGAAACTTCTTTGTGATGTGTGCATTCATCTCACAGAATTGAAATATTCTTTTCATTGAGCAGTTTGGAAACTCTGTTTTTGTAGAAATTGCAAAAGGATATTTGGGAGCACTTTGAGGCATATGGTGAAAAGGTAAATGCCTTCTCATGAAAACTAGACAGAAGCTTTCTGAGAAACTTCTTTGAGATGTGTGCATTCGTCTCACAGAGTTGAATCATTCTTTTCATATAGCAGTTTGGAAACACTCTTTCTGTAGAATCTGCAAAGGGATATCTGATAGCGCTTTGAAGCCTATGTTGAAAAATGAAATATCTTCACAGAAAAACTAGACAGAAGCTTTCTGAGAAACTTCTTTGTGATGAGTGCATTTGTCTCACAGAGTTGAACCATTCTTTTGATTGAGCAGTTTGGAAACAATCTTTTTGTTAAATCTGCAAAGGGATAATTGGAGCTCTTTGAGGCCTATGGTGAAAAAGGAAATGTCTTCACATATAAACTAGAAAGAAGCTTTCTGAGAAACTGCTTTGTGATGTGTGCATTCATCTCAAAAAGTAAACCTTTCTTTTAACTGAGAAGTTTGGAAACTCTGTTCTTGGAGAATCTACAAATGGATATTTGTGAGCGCTTTGAGGCCTATGGTGAAAAATGAAATATCTTCACATAAGTACTAGACAGAAACTTTCTGAGAAACTTCTTTGTGATGTGTGCAATCAAGTCACAGAGTTGAACCATTCTTTTCATAGAGCAGTTTGGAAATAGTCTTTTTGTAGCATCTGCAATGGGATATTAGACAGCACTTTGAGGTCTATAGTGGAAAAGGATATATCTTCACATTAAAACTAGACAGAATCATTCTGAGAAACTTCTTTGTGATGCGTGCATTCATCTCACATAGTTGAATCTTTCTTTTGATTGAGCAGTTTTGAAACACTCTTTTTGTAATATCTGCAAGTGGATATTTGGAGCGCTGTGCGAACTATAGTGGAAAAGGAAATATCTTCACATAAAAACTAGACAGAAGCATTCTGAGAAACTTCTTTGTGATGTGTGCATTCATCTCACAGAGTTGAACCTTTCTTTTGACTCAGCAGTTCTGAAACACTCTTTTTGTAGAGTCTGCAAGAGGATATTTGGAGTGCTTTAAGGCCTATTGTGGAAAAGGGGATATCTACACATAAAAACTAGACAGAAGCATTCTGAGAAACTTCTTTTTGATGTGTGCATTCAACTCACAAATTTGAGCCTTTCTTTTGATTTAGCAGTTTGGAAACGGTCTTTTTGTAATACTTGAAAATGGATATTTGGAGCGCTTCGAGGCCTGTGGTGGAAAAGGAAATATCTTCACAGAAAAACTAGTCAGAAATATTCTGAGAAACTTCTTTGGGATGAGTGAATTCATCTCAAAGAGTTGACCCTCTTTTTTGATTGAGCAGTTTTGAAACACTCGTTTTGTAGGATCTGCAAATGGATATTTGGAGGGCTTTCTGGTCTATAGTGGAAAAGGAAATATCTTCATATAAAAACTACACAGAAGCATTCTGAGAAACTTCTTTGTGATGTGTGCATTCATCTCATGGAGTTGAACCTTTCTTTTGATTGAGAAGTTTTGAAACACTCTTTTTGTAGAATTTCCAAGTGTATATTTGGAGCACTTTGAAGCCTATGGTGCAAAAGGTAATAACTTCACATAAAAACTAGACTGAAGCATCCTGAGATACTTGTTTCTGATGTGGGCATTGGTCTCAGAGAGTTGAACCTTTCTTTTGATTGGGCAGTTTTGAAACACTCTTGTAGAATCTGCAAGTGGATATTTGCAGTGCTCTTCAGCCTATAGTGGAAAAGGAAATATCTTTACATAAAATCTAGACAGAAGTATTCTGTGAAACTTCTTCATGATGTGTGCATTCATCACACAGTGTTCAACTTTTTTTTGATCGAGCAGTTTTGAAACACTCTTTTTGGAGCATCTGCAAGTGCATATTTGGAGTGCTTTGCGGCCTATAGTGGAAAAGGAAATATCTTAACATAAAAACTACACAGAATCATTCTGAGAGTCTTCTTAGTGACGTGTGCATTCATCTCACAGAGTGTAAACTTTTTTTTGATTGAGCAGTTTGGAAACCGTCTTTTTGTAGTATCTGCAAATGGATATTTGGAGTGCTTTGAGTCCTATGGTGGAAAAGGAAATATCTTCACATAAAAACTAGACAGAAGCATTCTGAGAAACTTCCTTGTGATGTGTGCATTCAACTCACAAAGTTGAGCCTTTCTTTTGATTGAGCAGTTTGAAAATGGTCTTTTTGTAATATCTGCAAATGAACATTTGGAGCGCTTTGTGGCCTGTGGTGGAAAAGGAAATATCTTCACAAGAAAACTAGTCAGAAACATTCTGAGAAACTTCCTTGTCATGTGTGCACTCATCTCACAGAGTTGACACTCTCTTTTGATTGAGCAGTTTTGAAACACTCGTTTTGTAGGATCTGTAATTGGATATTTGGAGCACTTTCTGGCCTATAGTGGATAAGGAAATATCTTCACATTAAAACTAGACAGAAGAATTCTGAGAAACATCTTTGTGACGTGTGCATTCATCTCACCGAGTTGAACCTTTCCTTTGATTGAGCAGACTGAAACACCCTTTTTGTAGAATCTGCAAGTGGAAATTTGGAAGGCTTTGAGGCCTAGGTTGGAAAAGGAAATATCTTCACAGAAAATCTAGACAGAAGCATATTGAGAAACCACTTTGTGATGTGAGCATTCATCTCATGGAGTTGAACCTTTCTTTTGATTGAGCAGTTTTCAAACACTCTTTTGGTAGAATCTGCAAGTGGATATCTGGAGCGCTTTGAGGCCTATGGTGGAAAAGGAAATGTCTTCACATAAAAACTAGACAGAAGCCTTCTGAGAAACTTCTTTGGGATGTGAGCATTCATCTCACAGAGTTGAACATTTCTTTTGACTGACAAGTTTGGAAACTCTCTGTGTAGAATCTGCACGTGGATATTTGGAGAGCCTTGGAGCCTATAGTGGAAAAGGAAATATTTTCACATAAAAACTAGACAGAAGCATTCTGGGAAACTTCTTTGTGATGTGTGCATTCATCTTACTGAGTTGAAACTTTCTTTTGATTGAGCAGTTTTGAAACACTCTTTTTGTAGAATCTGCAAGTGGATATTTGGAGCGCTTTGAGGCCTATGGTGGAAAATGAGATATCTTCATATAAAAACAAGACAGAAGCATTCTGGGAAACTTCTTTGTGATGTGTGCACTCATCTCACTGAGTTCAACCTTTTTTTTGATGGAGCAGGTTTGAAACACTCTTTTTGTAGTATCTGCAAGTGGATATTTGAAGTGCTTTGTGGCCTATAGTGGAAAAGGAAATACCTTCACATAAAAACTACACAGAGCATTTTGAGAGACTTCTTTCTGATGTGTGCATTCATCTCACAGAGTTGAACCTTTCTTATGATTGAGCAATTTGGAAACCGTCTTTTGGTAGTATCTGCAAATGGATATTCAGAGCGCTTTGGAGCCTATGGTGGAAAAGGAAATATCTTCATATAAATACGAGACAGAAGCATTCTGAGAAGCTTATTTGGGATGTGTGCATTCATCTCACAGAGTTTAACATTTCTTTTGATTGAGCAGTTTCGAAACACTGTTTTTGTAGAATCTGCAAGTGGACATTTGCAGCGCTTTGCAGCCTATAGTGGAAAAGGAAGTACCTTCACATAAAATCTAGACAGAAGCATTCTGTGAAATTTCTTTGTGATGTGTGCATTCAGCTCACTGAGTGGAAACTTTTTTTGCCTGAGCAGTTTTGAAACACTCTTTTTGTAGATTCTGTAAGTGGATATTTGGAGATTTCTGTGGCCTCTATTGGAAAGGTAAATACCTTCCCATAACAACTAGATGGAAGCATTCTGAGAAACTTCTATGTGATGTGTGCCTTCCACTCACGGAAATGAACCTTTCTTTTGATTGAGCAGCTTGGAAACAGGCTTTTTGTAGTATTTGCAAATGGATATTTGGAGTGCTTTGCGTTCTATAGTAGAAAAGGAAATATATTCACCTAAAAACTAGACAGAAGCATTCTGAGAAACTTCTTTGTGAAGTGTGCATTCATCTCACAGAGTTGAACTTTTCTTTTGATTGAGCAGTTTTGAAACACTGTTTTTGTAGAATCTGCAAGTCGATATTTGGAGCGCATTTTGGCCTAAAGTGGAAAAGGAAGTATGTTTACATAAAAACTGGATAGAAGCATTACGAGAAACTCCTTTGTGATATGTGCATTCATCTCACAGAGTTGAACATGTCTTTTGATTCAGCAGTTTTGAAACACTCTTTTTGTAGAATCTACGAGAGGATATTTGGAGTGCTTTGCACCTTCTATTGGAAAAGGAAATATCTTCACATAAAAACTAGACAGAAGCATTCTGAGAGACTCCTTTGTGATGTGTGCATTCCTCTCACAGAGTTGAAACTTTCTTTTGATTGAGCAGTTTTGAAAAACTCTTTTTGTAGAATCTGCAAGTGGATATTTGGAGCGATTTGTGGCCTATATTTGAAAAGGAAATATCTTCACATAAAAACTACACAGAAGCATTCTGAGAAACTTCTTTGTCATGTGTGCATTCATCTCACAAAGTTGAACCTTCTTTTGATTGAGCAGTTTTGAAGCAGTCTTTTTGTGGAATCTACAAGTGGATATTTGGAGCACTTTGCAGCCTATTGTGATAAAGAAATGTCTTCACATATAAACTAGACTGAAGCATTCTGAGAAACATATATGTGATGTGAACATTCATCTCACAGAGTTGAACCTCTCCATTGATTGAACAGTTTTGAAACAGTCTTTTCATAGAATCTGGATGTGGATATTTGAAACGTTTTGCAGCGTATAGTGGAAAAGGGAATATCTTCAGATAAAATCTAGACAGAAGTATTCTGAGAAACTTCTTTGGGACGTGTGCATTCAACTCACTGAGTTGAAACTTTCTTTTGTTTGAGTAGTTTTGAAACACTCTTTTTGTAGAATCTGCAAGTGGATATTTGGAGATTTTTGCGGCCTGTAGTGGAAATGTAAATGTCTTCACACAACAACTAGAGAGAAGCATTCTGAGAAACATCTTTGTGATGTATGCATTAAATTCACAGAGCTGAACTTTTCTTTTGATTCAACAATTTTGAAACATTCCTTTTGAAGAATCTGCAAGTGGATATTTTGAGTACTTTGAAGCCTATGGTGGAGAAGGAAATATTTTGACATAAAAACTAGACAGAAGCATTCTGAGAAACTTCTTTGTGATGTGTGTATTCATCTCACAGAGTTGAACTTTTCTTTTGTTTCAGCAGTTTTGAAAACCTCTTTTTGTAGAATCTACAAGTGGATATTTGGAGCTCTTTGAGGCCTCTATTGGAAAGGGAAATATCTTTCATAAAAACTAGACAGAAGCATTCTGAGAAACTTCTTTGTGATGTGTGCATTCATCTGACAGAGTTGACCCTTTCTTTTTGTTGAGCAGTTTTGAAAGCCTCTTTTTTTGGAATCAGCAAGTGGATATTTGGAGCGCTTTGAGGCCTATAGTGGAAAAGGAAATATCTTCATAAAAAAACTAGACAGAAGCATTCTGAGAAACTTCCTTGTGATGTGTGCATTCACCTCACAGAGTTGAACTTTTCTTTTGATTGAGCAGTTTTGAAACAGTCTTTTTTTTTTTTTAATTTTTTTTTTTATTATACTCTAAGTTTTAGTGTACATGTGCACATTGTGCAGGTTAGTTACATATGTATACATGTGCCATGCTGGTGCGCTGCACCCACTAACGTGTCATCTAGCATTAGGTATATCTCCCAATGCTATCCCTCCCCACTCCCCCGACCCCACCACAGTCCCCAGAGTGTGATATTCCCCTTCCTGTGTCCAAGTGATCTCATTGTTCAATTCCCACCTATGAGTGAGAATATGCGGTGTTTGGTTTTTTGTTCTTGCGATAGTTTACTGAGAATGATGGTTTCCAATTTCATCCATGTCCCTACAAAGGACATGAACTCATCATTTTTTATGGCTGCATAGTATTCCATGGTGTATATGTGCCACATTTTCTTAATCCAGTCTATCATTGTTGGACATTTGGGTTGGTTCCAAGTCTTTGCTATTGTGAATAGTGCCGCAATAAACATACGTGTGCATGTGTCTTTATAGCAGCATGATTTATAGTCCTTTGGGTATATACCCAGTAATGGGATGGCTGGGTCAAATGGTATTTCTAGTTCTAGATCCCTGAGGAATCGCCACACTGACTTCCACAAGGGTTGAACTAGTTTACAGTCCCACCAACAGTGTAAAAGTGTTCCTATTTCTCCACATCCTCTCCAGCACCTGTTGTTTCCTGACTTTTTAATGATTGCCATTCTAACTGGTGTGAGATGATATCTCATAGTGGTTTTGATTTGCATTTCTCTGATGGCCAGTGATGATGAGCATTTCTTCATGTGTTTTTTGGCTGCATAAATGTCTTGTTTTGAGAAGTGTCTGTTCATGTCCTTCGCCCACTTTTTGATGGGGTTGTTTGTTTTTTTCTTGTAAATTTGTTTGAGTTCATTGTAGATTCTGGATATTAGCCCTTTGTCAGATGAGTAGGTTGCGAAAATTTTCTCCCATTTTGTAGGTTGCCTGTTCACTCTGATGGTAGTTTCTTTTGCTGTGCAGAAGCTCTTTAGTTTAATTAGATCCCATTTGTCAATTTTGTCTTTTGTTGCCATTGCTTTTGGTGTTTTGGACATGAAGTCCTTGCCCACGCCTATGTCCTGAATGGTAATGCCTAGGTTTTCTTCTAGGGTTTTTATGGTTTTAGGTCTAACGTTTAAATCTTTAATCCATCTTGAATTGATTTTTGTATAAGGTGTAAGGAAGGGATCCAGTTTCAGCTTTCTACATATGGCTAGCCAGTTTTCCCAGCACCATTTATTAAATAGGGAATCCTTTCCCCATTGCTTGTTTTTCTCAGGTTTGTCAAAGATCAGATAGTTGTAGATATGTGGCATTATTTCTGAGGGCTCTGTTCTGTTCCATTCATCTATATCTCTGTTTTGGTACCAGTACCATGCTGTTTTGGTTACTGTAGCCTTGTAGTATAGTTTGAAGTCAGGTAGTGTGATGCCTCCAGCTTTGTTCTTTTGGCTTAGGATTGACTTGGCGATGCGGGCTCTTTTTTGGTTCCATATGAACTTTAAAGTAGTTTTTTCCAATTCTGTGAAGAAAGTCATTGGTAGCTTGATGGGGACGGCATTGAATCTGTAAATTACCTTGGGCAGTATGGCCATTTTCATGATATTGATTCTTCCTACCCATGAGCATGGAATGTTCTTCCATTTGTTTGTGTCCTCTTTTATTTCCTTGAGCAGTGGTTTGTAGTTCTCCTTGAAGAGGTCCTTCACATCCCTTGTAAGTTGGATTCCTAGGTATTTTATTCTCTTTGAAGCAATTGTGAATGGGAGTTCACTCATGATTTGGCTCTCTGTTTGTCTGTTGTTGGTGTATAAGAATGCTTGTGATTTTTGTACATTGATTTTGTATCCTGAGACTTTGCTGAAGTTGCTTATCAGCTTAAGGAGATTTTGGGCTGAGACGATGGGGTTTTCTAGATAAACAATCATGTCGTCTGCAAACAGGGACAATTTGACTTCCTCTTTTCCTAATTGAATACCCTTTATTTCCTTCTCCTGCCTGATTGCCCTGGCCAGAACTTGCAACACTATGTTGAATAGGAGCGGTGAGAGAGGGCATCCCTGTCTTGTGCCAGTTTTCAAAGGGAATGCTTCCAGTTTTTGCCCATTCAGTATGATATTGGCTGTGGGTTTGTCATAGATAGCTCTTATTATTTTGAAATACGTCCCATCAATACCTAATTTATTGAGAGTTTTTAGCATGAAGGGTTGTTGAATTTTGTCGAAGGCTTTTTCTGCATCTATTGAGATAATCATGTGGTTTTTGTCTTTGGCTCTGTGAAACAGTCTTTTTGTAAAATCTGCAAGTTGATATTTGGAGCGATTTGAGGTCTAAGGTGTAAAAGGAAGTCTCTTCACATAAAAATTAGACAGAAGCATTCTGAGAAACTTCATTGTGATGTGTGCATTCAACACACAGAGTTGAACCACTCTTTTGATTGAGAAGTTTAGAAACACTCTTTCTGTAATATCTGCAAATGGATAATTCGAGCGTTTTGTGGCCAATTGTGGAAAAGGAAATATCTTCTCATAGAAACTGGTCAGAAGCATTCTGAGAAACTTCTTTGTGATGTGTGCATTCAACTCAAAGAGTTGAACCTCTTTTTAGATGGAGCAGTTTTGAAACACTCTTTTTGTAGAATCTGCAAGTGGATATTTTGAGCACTTTGAGGCCTATGGTGGAAAAGGAAATATTTTGACATAAAAACTAGACAGAAGCATTCTGAGAAACATCTTTGTGATGTGAGCATTCAACTCACAGAGTTGAACCTCTCTTTTGATTGAGTAGTTTCAAAACACTCTTTTTGTAAAATGTGCAAGTGGATATTTGGATTGATTTGAGGCCTCTGGTGTAAAAGGAAATATCTTCACATAAAAGGTAGACAGAAGTATTCTGAGGAACTTCTTTCTGATGTGTGCATTCATCTCACAAAGTGGAAACTTTCTTTTGTTTGAACAGCTTTGAAACACACGTTTTGTAGAATCTGCAAATGGATCGTTGGAGCTCTTTGAGGTTTATGGTGGAAAAGGAAATATCTTTACATAAAAACTAGAGAGAAGCATTCTGAGAAACCTCTTTGTGATGTGTGCATTCAACTCACCGAGTTGAATGCATCTTTTGATTGAGCAGTTTTGAAACACTCTTCTTGTGGAATCTGCAAGTGGATATTTGGAGAGATTTGAGGACTTTTAGGGAAAAGGAAATTTATTCACAGAAACACTACACACAACCAATCTCATAAATTACTTTGTGATGTGTGCATTCAACTCACAGAGTTGAACGTTAGTTTTGATTGAGTAGTTTGGAAACAGTCTTTTTGTAGTTTCTCCAAATGGATATTGGGAGAGGTTTGAAGCATATGGTGGAAAAGGAAACATTTTCACATTAAAACTAGACAGAAGCATTCTGAGAAACTTCTTTGTGATACATGCATTCAACTCATAGAGTTGAACCTTTCTTTTGATTGAGCAGTTTTGAAACACACATTTTGTAGAATCTGCAAGTAGATATTTTTAGCCATTTGAGGTCTATGGTGGAAAATGAAATATCTTCAAATATAAACTAGACAGAAGCATAATGAGAAACTTTTTTGTGATGTGTGCATTCATCTCACAGAGTTGAACTTTTCTTTTGATTCCACAGTATTGAAACACTCTTTATGTAGAATCTGCAAGTGGATATTTGGAGCCCTTTGCGGCCTAGGGTTGAAAAGGAAATATCTTCACATAAAAACTAAACAGAAGTATTCTGAGAAACTTCTTTGTGATGTGTGCATTGATCTGACGGAGTTGGACCTATCTTTTGATTGTGTAGTTTTGAAACACTCTTTTTGTAGAATCTGCAAGTGGATTTTTGGAGTGATTTCAGGCCTATGGTGGAAAAGGAAATACCTTCACATAAAAACTATACAGAAGCATCCTGAGAAACTGCTTTGTGACGTGAGCATTCATCTCACAGAGTTGAACGTTTCTTTTGATTCATCAGTTTTGAAACACTCTTTTTGTAGAATCTGCAAGTGGATATTTGGAGAGCTTGGAGGGCTGCGGTAGAAAGGGAAATATCTTCATATAAAAACTGCACCGAAGCATTCTGAGAAACTTCTTTTTGATGTGTCATTCATCTCACATATTTGAACCTTTCTTTTGATTCTTCAGTTTTGAAACACTCTTTTTGTAGTATCTGCAAGTGGATATTTGGAGCGCTTGGAGCCCTGTGGTGGAAAAGGAAATACCTACACATAAAAACTACACAGAAGCATTCTGAGAAACTTCTTTGTGATGTGTGTGTTCACCTCACAGAGTTGCACTCTTTTTTTGATTGCCCAGTTTGGAAACTGTCTTTATGTGGTATCTGTAAATGGATATTTGGAGAGTTTTGACGCCTATGTGGGAAAAGGAAATATCTTCAAATAAAAACTACACAGAGGGATTCTGAGAAACTTCTTTGTGATGTGTGCATTCATCTCACAGAGTTGAATCTTTCTTTTCATTGAGCAGTTTTGAAACACTGTTTTTGTAGAATCTGCAAGTGGATATTTGTAGCACTATGAGGCCTATAGTGGAAAAGGAAATACCTTTACATAAACACTAGAGAGAAGGATTCTGTGAAACTTCCTTGTGATGTGTGCATTCATCTCACAGAGTTGAACCTTTCTTTTGATTGAGCAGTTTGGAAACTCTTTTTGCAGAATCTGCAATTGGATTGTTGGAGCGCTTTGAGGCCTAGTGTGGAAAAGGAAATATCTGCACATAAAAAAAAACACAGAAGCATTTTGAGAAAGTTCTTGGTGATGTGTGTGTTCAACTCACAGTGTTGTAAGTTTCTTTTGATTGAGCAGTTTTGAAACAGTCTTTTTGTAGAATCTGGAAGTGGATGATTGGAGCCCTTTGTGGCCTATGGTGGAAAAAGAAATATCTTCACATAAAAACTACACAGAAGCAATCCGAAAAAACTTCTTTGTGAAGTGTGAATGTAACTCACAGAGTTGAAACTTTCTTTTGTTTGTGCAGTTTAGAAACAGTGTTTTCTTGGAATCTGCAAATGGATATTTGGAGAGGTTTAAGACCTATGGTGGAAAAGGAAATATCTTCAAATAAAAACTAGGCAGAAGTATTCTCAGAAACCTCTTTGTGTTGTGTGCATTAATCTTTCAGAGTTGAACCTTTTTTTTGATTGAGCAGTTTGGAAAAACTCTTTATGTGGAATCTGCAAGTGGATATTTGGAGCACTTTGAGGCCTATGGTGGAAAAGGAAATATCTTCACATAAAAACTACACAGAAGCATTCTGAGAAAGTTCCTCGTGATGTGTGCATTGAACTCACATAGTTGAACCTTTCTTTTGACTGAGCACTTTGGATACACTCTTTTTGTAGAATCTGCCAGCGGAAAAGGAAATATGTTCACATAAAAACCACACAGAAGCATTCTGTGAAACTTCTTTGTGATGTGTGAATTCAACTCACAGAGTTGAACCTTTCTTTTGATTGAGCAGTTTTGAAACATGCTTTTTGTAGAATCAGCATGTGGATATTAGGAGCGCATTTCGGCCTACAGTGCAAAAGGAAATATCTTCACATAAAAACTAGACAGAAGCATTCTGAGAAACTTCTTTGAGTCATGTGCATTCATATCACGGAGTTGAACCTTTCTATTGATTGAGCAGTTGTGAAACACTCTTTTGTGGAATATGCAAGTGGATATTTGGAGCGACTTGAGGCCTATGGTGGAAAAGGAAACATCTTCACATAAAAACTAGACAGAAGCATTCTGAGAAACGTCTTTGTGATGTACTCATTCATCTCACAGAGTTGAACCTTTCTTTTGATTCATCAGTTTTGAAATACTTTTTTTTGAAGGATCTTCAAGTGGATATTTGGAGGGCTAGCAGGCCTATGGTGGAAAAGGAAATATCTTCACATCAAAACTTATACAGAAGCATTCTGAGAAACTCGTTTGTGATGTGTGCTTTCATCTCAACAATTTGAAACTTTCTTTTCATTGAGCAGTTTTGAAAGACTCTTTCTGTAGAATCTTCAAGTGGACATTTGGAGTGCTTTGAGGCCTATTGTGGAAAAGGAAATATCTTCACATAAAAACCAGACAGAAGCATTCTGAGAAACTTCTTTGGGATGTGTGCATTCATATCACAGATTTGAAACTTTCTTTTGATTGCACAGTTTGGAAACACTCTTTTTGTAGTTTCTGCAAGTGGACTTTTGGAGAGCTTTGTGTCCTGTGGTAGAAAAGGAAATATCTTCACATAAAATCTGACAGAAGCAATCTGAGAAACTTCTTGTGATGTGTGCATTTATCTCAGAGAGTTAAAAATTTCTTTGGATGGAGCAGTTTTGAAATTCTCTTTTTGTAGAATCTGCAAGTGGACATTTGGAGCACTTGGGGCCTATGGTGGAAAAGGAAATATCTTCACATAAAAACTACACAGAAGGATTCTGAGAAACTCCTTTGTAATGGGTGCATTCATCGCACAGAGTTGAACCTCTCTTTTCATTGAGCAGTTTGAAACATTCTTTTTGCAGAATCTGCAAGTGAATATTTGGAGCCCTTTGTGGCCTATTGTGGAAAAGGAAATATCTTCCAATAAAAACTACACAGAAGCATTCTGAGAAACTTCCTTGTGATGTGTGCATTCATCTCACAGAGTTGAACCTTTCATTTGATTGAGCAGTTTTGAAACACTCTTTTTATAGAATATGCAAGTGGATATTTGGAGTGCTTTGAGGCCTATGGTGGAAAAGGAAATATCTCAACATAAAAACTACACAGAAGCATTCTGAGAAACTTCTTTGTGATGTGTACATTCAGCTCACATAGTTGAACATATCTTTTGATAGAGCAGTTTGGAAACACTCTTTTTGTAGAATCTGCAAGTGGACGTTTGGAGCCCTTTGTGGCCTATGGTAAAAAAGGAAATATCTTCTCATAAAATCTAGACAGAAGCAATCTGAGAAACTTCTTTGTGATATGTGCGTTCATCTCACAGAGTTGAACTTTTCATTTGATAGGGCAGTTTTGAAACTCTCTTTTTGTAGAGTCTGCAGGTGGATATTTGGAGTGCTTTGAGGCCTCTTGTGGAAAAAGAAATATCCACACATAAAAACTACTCAGAAGCATTCTGAGAAACTTCCTTGTGATCTGTACATTCATCTCACAGAGTGGAACCTTTCATTTGATTGAGCAGTTTGGAAACACTCTTTTTGTAGAATCTGAATTGGATATTTGGAGTGCTTAGAGGACTATTGTGGAAAAGGAAATATCTTCCCATAAAAACTACACAAAAGCATTCTCAGAAACTTCCTTGTTTTGTTTACATTCATCTCACAGTGTTGAAACTTTCTTTTGATTTAGCAGTTTTGAAACTCTCTTTTTGTAGAAACTGCAAGTGGATATTTCGTGTGTTTTGAGTCCTACAGTGGAAAAGAAATATCTTCACATAAAAACTACACAGAAGAATTCTGAGAAACTTCCTTGTGATGTGTGCATTCAAATTACAGTGTTGAATCTATCTTTAGATACAGCAGTTTTGAAACTCTCTTTTTGTAGGATATGCAATTGCATATTTTTAGCCCTTTGAGGCTAAGGAAGAAAAGGAAATATCTTCACATAAAAACTACACAAACGCATTCTGAGGAACTCCTTTGTGATGTGTGCATTCATCTCACAGAGTTGAATCATTCTTCTGATTGAGCAGTTTGGAAACACCCTTTCTGTAGAATCTGCAAGTGGATATTTGGAGAGCTCTGAGGTCTATGGTGGAAAAGGAAATATATTCACATAAAAACTACACAGAAGCATTGTGAGAAACTTCCTTGTGATGTGTGCATTCATCTCACAGAGTTGAACCTTTCTTTTGATTGAGCAGTTTGGAAACACTCTTTTTGTAGAATCTGCAAGTGGAAATTTTGAGCGCTTTGAGGCCTATGGTGGAAAAGGAAATATCTTCACATAAAAACCACACAGAAGCATTCTGAGAAACTTCTCTGTGATGTGTGCATTCGACCCACAGTGTTGAACCTATCTTTTGAAAGAGCAGTTTTGAAACTCTCTTTTTGTAGAACCTGCAAGTGGATATTTGGATCCCTTTGCAGCCTATGGTGGAAAAGTAAATATCTTCCAATAAAAACTACATGGAAGCATTCTCAGAAACTTCTTTGTGATGTGTGCATTCAACTCACAGAGTTGCATCTATCTTTCAATTGAGTAGTTTTGAATCTCTCTTTTTTTAGAATTTGCCAGTGGATATTTGGAGACCTTTCATGCCTCTTGTGGAAAGGAAATATCTTCACATAAAAACTACACAGAAGCATTCTGAGAAACTACTTTGTGATGTGTGCATTCATTTCACAAAGTTGAACCTTTCTTTTGATTGAGCAGTTTGGAAACACTCTTTTTGTAGAATCTGCAAGTGGACATTCCAAGCGCTTTGCAGCCTATGGTAGAAAAGGAAATACCTTCACATAAAATCTAGAAAGAAGCAATCTGAGAAACTTCTTTTTAATTTGTGCATTCATCTCACAGAATTTACCCTTTGTTTTGATTGAGCAGTTTTCAAACTCTCTTTTTGTAGAATCTGCAAGCGGACAATTGGGGCGCTTTGAGGCCTATGGTGGAAAAGGAAATATCTTCTCATAAAAACTAGACAGAAGAATTCTGAGAAACTTCATTGTGATGTGTGCCTTCATCTCACAGATTTGAACCTTTCTTTTGAGAGAGCAGTTTGGAAACACTCTCTTTGTAGAATCTACAAGTGGACATTTGGAGCTCTTTGCGGCCTATGGTAGAAAAGGAAATATCCTCACATAAAATGTAGACAGAAGCAAACTGAGAAACTTCTTTGTGATGTGCGAATTCATCTCACAGGGTTAAAACTTTCTTTTGATTGAGCAGTTTTGAAACTCTCTTTTTGTAGAATCTGCAAGTGGACATTTGGAGTGTTTTGAAGCCTATGGTGGAAAAGGAAATATCTTCACATAAAAGTCAGACGAATTCTGAGAAACTCCTTTGTGATGTGTGTGTTCATCTCACAGAGTTGAACCTTTCTTTTGATTGAACAGTTTGGAAACACTCTTTTTGTAGAATCTGCAAGTGGACATTTGGAGTGCTTTGTAGCCTATGGTAGAAAAGGAAATATCTTCACATAAAATCTAGACAGAAGGAATCTGGGAAACTTCTTTCTGATGTGTGCATTCATCTCACTGTGTTAAACCTTTCTTTGGATGGAGCAGCTTTGAAACTCTCTTTTGCAGAATCTGTAAGAGGACATTTGGTGCGCTTTGAGGCCTATGGTGGAAAACGAAATATCTTCACATAAAAACTAGATAGAAGAGTTCTGAGAAACTACTTTGTGATGTGTGCATTCATCTCTCAGAGTTGAACTTTTCTTTTGATTTAGCAGTTTGGAAACTCTATTTTTGTAGGATCTGCAAGGGCACATTTGGAGTGCTTTGCAGCCTATGCTAGGAAAGGAAATATCTTCACCTGAAATCTAGCAGAAGTAATCTGAGAAACTTCTTCGTGATGTGGGCATTCATCTCTCAGAGTGAAACCTTTCTGTTTATGGAACAGTTTTCAAACTCTTTTTGTAGAATCTGCAAGTGGATATTTGGAGCACTTTGCAGCCTATGGTAGAAAAGTAAATATCTTCACATAAAATCTAGGTAGAAGATATCTGGGAAACCACTTTGTGATGTGTGCATTCATCTCACAGAGTTAAATCTTTCTTTTGATTGAGCAGTTTTGAAACTCTCTTTTTGTAGAATCTGGAAGTGGACATTTGGAGCACTTTGATGCCTGTGGTGGAAAAAGAAATATATTCACATAAAACTAGACAGAAGAATTCTGAGAAACTTCTTTGTGATGTGTGCATTCATCTGACAGAGTTGAACCTTTCTTTTGATTGAACACTTTGGAAACACTCTTTTTGTAGAATCTGCAAGTGGACATTTGGAGCGCTTTGCAGCCTATGGTAGAAAAGGGAATATCTTCAAAGAAAATCTAGACAGAAGCAATCTGAGAAACAACTTTGTGATGCGTGCATTCAACTCACAGAATTAAACCTTTCTTTCTATTGAGCAGTTTTGAAACTCTCTTGTTTTAGAATCTGCAAGTGGACATTTGGAACCCTTTGAGGCCTCTGGTGGAAAAGAAAATATCTTCACAATAAAACTAGATAGAAGCATTCTGATAACCTTTTGTGATGTGTGCATTAGTCTTCCAGAGTTGAAACTTTCTCATGAAGGACCAAGTTTGAAATAATCTTTTTATTGAATCTGCAAGTGGACATTTCGAGTGCCTTGAGGCCTATGGTGGAAAATGAAATATCTTCACATAAAAATTAGACAGTAGAATTCTGAGAAACTTCTTTGTGATGTGTGCATTCATGTCACAGAGTTGAAACTTTCAGTTGGTTGAGCAGTTCATAAACACTATTTTTGAAGGATCTGCAAGTGGACATTTGGAGCGCTATGTGGCCTATGTTAGGAAAGTAAATATCTTCACATAAAATCTAGACAGAAGAATTCTGAGTAACTACTTTGTGACGTGTGCTTTCCTCTCACAGAGTTGAAGCTTTCTTTTGATTGAGCAGTTTGGAAACACTCTTTTTGTAGAATCTGCAGGTGGACATTTGGAGAGCTTTGTGGCCTATGGTAGAAAAGGAAATATCTTCACATAAAATCTAGACAGAAACAATCTGAGTAACTTTTTTGTGATGTGTGCATTCATCTCACAGAGTTAAAACTTTCTTTTGATTGAGCAGTTTTTAAACTCTCTTTTTATAGAATCTGCCACTGGACATTTGGGGCACTTTGAGGCCTATGGTGGAAAAGGAAATATCTTCACATAGAAATTAGACAGAAGAATTCTGCAAAACTTCTTGTGATATGTGCGTTCATCTCATAGAGTTGAAACTTTCTTCTGATTGAGCAGTTTGGAAACACCCTTTTTGTAGAACCTGCAAGTGGACATTTTTAGCACTTTGCGGCCTATGGTAGAAAAGGAAATATCTTCACATAAAATCTACACAGAAGCAATCTGAGAAACTTCTTTGTGATATGTGCATTCATCTCAAAGAGTTATACCTTTCTGTTGATTGAGCAGTTTTGAATCTCTCTTTTTATATATTCTGCAAGGGGACATTTGGAATGCTTTGAGGCCTATGGTGGAACAGGAAATATCTTCACATAAAAACTAGACAGAAGATTTCTGAGAAACTTCCTGGTGATACGTGCATTCCTCTCACAGAGTTGAGGCTTTCTTTTGATTCAGCAGTTTGGAATCACTCTTTTTGTAGAATCTGCAAGTGGACATTTGGAGTGCTTCGCAGCATATGGTAGAAAAGGAAATATCTTCATATAAAATCTAGACAGAAGCAATCTGAGAAACTTCTTTATGGTGTGCATTCCTCTCACAGAGTTAAACCTTTCTTTTGAATGAACAGTTTTGAAACTCTCTTTTTCTAGAATCTACAAGTGGACATTTGGTGCACTTTGAGGTCTGTGGTGGAAAAGGAAGTAATTTCACATGGAAACTAGGCAGAAGTGTTCTGAGAAACTTCTTTGTGATGCTTGCATTCATCTCACAGATTTAAACTTTTCTTTTGGTTGAGCAGTTTGGAAACACTCTTTTAGTAGAGTCTGCAAGTGGACATTTGGAACGCTTTGGGGCCTATGGTACAAAAGGAAATATCTTCACATAAAATCTATAGAGAGGCAACCTGAGAAATTTATTTGTGATGTGTGCATTCATCACACAGAGTTAAAGGTTTCTTTTGATTGAGGAGTTTTGAAACTCTCTTTTTCTAGAATCTGCAAGTGGACATTTGGAGAGCTTTGAGGCCTATGGTGGAAAAAGAAATATCTTCACATAAAAACTAGACAGAAGAATTCTGAGAAACTACTTTGTGATGTGTGCGTTCATCTCACAGAGTTAAAGGTTTCTTTTGATTGAGGAGTTTTGAAACTCTCTTTTTCTAGAATCTCCAAGTGGACATTTGGAGCACTTTGAGGTCTACTGTGGACAAGGAGATATCTTCAAATTAAAACTAGACAGAAGAATTCTGAAACTTTTTGTGATGTGGGCATTCATCTCACAGAGTTGAACATTTCTGTTGATTGAGCAGTTTGGAAACACTCTTTTTGTAGAATCTGCAAGTGGACATTTGGAGTGCTTTGAGACCTATGGTAGAAAAAGAAATATCTTCACATAAAAACTAGAAAGAAGAATTCTGAGAAACTTCTTTGAGTTGTATGCGTTCATCTCACAGAGTTGAACCTTTCTTTTGATTGAGCAGTTTGGAAACACTCATTTTATAGAATCTGCAAGTGGACATTTTCAGCACTTTGTGGCCTAGAGTAGAAAAGGAAGTATCTTCACATAAAATCTAGTTAGAAGCAATCTAAGAAACTACTTTGTGATGTGTGCATTCCTCTCACAGAGTTAAACCTTTCCTTTGATTGAGGAGTTTTGAAACTCTCTTCTTGTAGAATCTGCAAGTGGACATTTGGAGTGCTTTGAGGTCTGTGGTGGAAAAGTAGATATCTTCACATAAAAACTATACAGAAGAATTCTGATAGACTTCTTTGTGATGTGTGCATTCATCTCACAGAGTTGAAACTTTCTTTTGATTGAGCAGTTTGGAGACACTCTTTTTGTATAATCTGCAAGTGGACATTTGGAGCGCTTTGCAGCCTCTGGTAGAAAAGGAAATATCGTCACATAAAATCTACACAGAAGCAATCTAGGAAACTTCTTTGTGATGTGTGCATTCATCTCAAAGAGTTACACCTTTCTTTTGATTGAGCAGTTTTGAAAATCTCTTTTTGTAGATTCTGCAAGGGGACATTTGGAACGCTTTTAGGCCTATGGTGGAACAGGAAATATCTTCACATAAAATCTAGACAGAAGCAATCTGAGAAACTTCTTTTTGATGTGTGCGTTTATCTCCCAGAGTTGAACCTTTCTTTTGATGGACCAGTTTTGAAATACTCTTTTTGAAGAATCTGCAAGAGGACATTTCGAGCGCCTTGAGGCCTATGGTGGAAAAGAAAATATCTTCACATAAAAACTAGACAGAAGTATTATGAGAAACTTCTTTGTGATGTGTACATTCATCTCACAGAGTTGAACATTTCTTTTGATTGAGCAGTTTGGAAACACTCTTTTTGTAGAATCTGCAAGTGGACATTTGGAGCACTTTGCGGCCTTTGGTAGAAAAGGAAATATCTTCACATAAAATCTAGACAGAAGCAAACTGAGAAACCAATTTCTGATGGGTGCATTCATCTCACACTGTTACAAATTTCTTTTGATTGAGCAGTTTGGGAAATCTCGTTTTGTAGAATCTGCAAGTGGACATATGGAGTGCTTTGTGGCATATGGTGGGAAAGGAAATATTTTCACATAAAAACTACACAGAAGCATTCTGAGAAAATCCTTTGTGATGTGTGCATTCAACACACAGAGTTGATCCTTTCTTTTGAATAAGGAGTTTTAAAACACTGTTTTTATAGAATCTGCAGGTGGATACTTAGGGCGCTTTGAGGCCTACTCTAGAAAAGCAAATATCTTCACGTAAAAACTACACAGAAGCATTCTGAGAAACTCTTTTGTGATGTGTGCACTCATCTCAGAGAGCTGAAGCTTTCTTTTGATTGAGCAGTTTTGAAACACTCTTTTTGTAGAACCTGCAAGTAGATATTTGGAGGGATTTGAGGCATATTGTGGAAAAGGAAATATCTTCATATAAAAACTACACAGAATGATTCTGAGAAACTTCTTTGTGATGTGTGCATTCAACTCAGAGAGTTGCACCTAACTTTCGAAAGAGCATTTTTGAAACACTCTTTGTAGAATCCGTAAGGGGATATTTGGAGGGCTTTGAGGCCAATTTTGGAAAAGGAAGTATGTTCACATAAAAACTACACAGAAGAATTCTGAGAAACTTTTTTATGAGTACATTATCACACAGAGCTGTAATTTTCTTTTAATTGAGCAGTTTTGAAACACTGTTTTTATGGAATCTGGATGTGGATATTTTGAGGGCTATGAGGACTATTTTGGAAAAGGAAACATCTTCACATAAAAACTACACAGAAGCATTCTGAGAAACTTCTTTGTTATGTGTGCATTCAATTCACAGTGTTGAATCTGTCTTTTGATTGAGTAGTTTTGAATCTCTCTTTTTAAGAATCTGCAATTAGATTTTCGGAGCGCTTTGAGACCTATGGTGGAAAAGGAAATATTTTCACATAAAACTAGACAGAAGCATTCTCAGAAACCTCTTTGTGATGTGTGCATTCAACTCACAGAGTTGAATCTTTCTTTTGATAGAGAAGTTTTGAAACACTCTTTTTGAAGAATCTGCCAGTGGATATATGGAGTGCTTTGAGGCCTACAGTGTAAAAGTAAATATATTCACATAAAAACTATACAGAAGCATTCTCAGAAACTTCTTTGAAATGTGTGCATTCAATTCACAGTGTTGAACCTTTCTTTTCATTGAGCAGTTTTGAAACACTCAATTTGTAGAATCTACAAGTGGATACTTGGAGCACTTTGTGGCCTATAGTGGAAAAGGAAATATCTTCACATAAAAACTAGACAGAAGCATTCTCAGAAACTGCTTTGTGATGTGTGCATTTAACACACAGTGTTGAACCTCTCTTTTGATTGAGGAGTTTTGAGACACTCTTTTTGTAGAATCTGCAAGTAGATATTTGGAGTGCTTCGAGGCCAATGCTGGAAAAGGAAATATCTTCACATAAGAACTAGACAGAAGCATTCTCAGAAACTACTTTGTGATGTGTGCATTCAACTCAAGCTGAACATTTCTTTTGATAGAGCAGTTTTGAAACACTATTTTTGAAGAATCTGGATTCTTGAAAATCCAAGTGGATTGTTGGAATGCTTTGAGGCCTATGGTGGAAAGGAAATATCTTCACACAAAAACTAGACAGAAGCATTCTCAGAAACTTCTTTTTGATGTGTGCATTCAACTCACAGAGTTGAACCTTTCCTTTGATTGAGCTGTTTTGAAACACTCTTTTTGAAGAATCTGCTAGTGGATATTTGGAGCACTTTGAGGCCTATGGTGGAAAAGGAAATATCTTCACATAAAAACTAGACAGAAGCATTCTCAGAAACTTGTTTGTGATGTCTGCATTCAACTCACAGAGTTGAACCTTTCTTTTCATAGAGCAGATTTGAAACATTCTTTTTGTGGAATATGTAAGTGGATAGTTTGGGTGCTTTGGGGCTTATGGTGGAAAAGGAAATATCTTGACGTAAAAACTAGACAGAAGAATTCTCAGAAACTTCTTTGTGATGTATGCATTCAACTCACAGATGAGAACCATCTTTTGATAGAGGAGTTTTGAAACTCTCTTTTTGCAGGATCTGCAAGTGGATATTTGGAACGCTTTGAGGTCTGTGGTGGAAAAGGAAATATCTTCACATAAAAACTAGACGGAAAGATTCTCAGAAACTTCTTTGTGACGTGTGTGTTCATCTCACAGAGTTGAACCTTTCTTTTGATAGAGCGGTTTGAAAAACTCTTTTTGTAGTATCTGAAAGTGGATAGTTGGAGTGCTTTGAGTTCCATGTTGGAAAAGGAAATATCTTCACATAAAAACCAGACAGAAGGATTCTCAGAAACTCCTTTGTGATGTGTGCATTTAATTCACAGAATTGAACCTTTCTTTTGATAGAGCAGTTTTGAAACACTGTATTTGTAGAACCTGCAAGTGGATTTATTGTTCCCTTTGAGGCCTATGTTTCAAAACGTAATATTTTCACATAAAAACTAGACAGAGGTATTCTCAGAAACTTCTTGGTGATGTGTGCATTCATCTAACAGAGTTGAACCTTTCTTTTGATAGAGAAGTTTTGAAACACTCTTTTTGTATAATCTGCAAGGGGATATTTAGTTCCCTTTAGGCCTGTGTTGGAAAATGAAACATATTCACATAAAAACTAGACAGAAGAATTCTCAGCAACTTCTTTGTGGCATGTGCATTCAGCTCACAGGGTTGAACTTTTCTTTTGATAGAGCAGTTTTGAAACACTCTTTTTGTAGAATCTACAAGTGGATATTAGGTTTCCCTTGAGGCCTATGTTTGAAAACGAAATATCTTCCCATAAAAACAAGACATAAACCTTCTCAGAAACTGCTTTCTGATGTGTGCATTCAACCCAGAGAGTTGAAACTTTCTTTTCATAGAGCAGTTTTGAAACACTCTTTTTGTACAATCTGCAAGGGGATATTTTTTTCCCTTTGAGGCCTATGTTGGAAAACGAAATATCTTCACATAAAAAGTAGACAGAAGCATTCTCAGAAACTTCTTTTTGATGTGTGCCTTCAACTCACAGTTTTGAACCCTTCTTTTGATAGGGCAGTTTTGAAACACTCCTTTTGTAGAATCTTCAAGTAGATATTTTGTTCCCTTTAAGTTCTACAGTAAAAAAGGAAATATCTTGACATACAAACAGACACAACCATTCTCAGAAACTTCTTTGTGATGTGTGCATTCAACACACAGAGTTGAAACTTTTTTTATAGAGTAGTTTTGAAACTCTCTTTTTGTAGAATCTGCAAGTGGATATTTGGAGCGCTTTGAGGCCTATGGTGGAAAGGGAAGTATCTATCTTCACATAAAAATTAGACACATGCATTCTTAGAAACTTCTTTGTGATGTGTGCATTCAACTCACAGAGTTGAACCTTTCTTTTGATAGAGCAGTTTTGAAACACTCTTTTGTAGATTCTGCAAGTGAATATTTCATTCCCTTTGAGGCCTGTGGTGAAAAAGGAAATACCTTCAGACTAAAACTGGACACAAGCATTCTCTGAAACTTCTTTGTGATATGGGCACTCAACTCACAGAGTTGAAACTTTCTTTTGATAGAGCAGTTGTGAAACACTCTTTTTGTTGGATCAGCAAGTAGATATTTTGTTTCCTTTCAGGCCTGTGGTGGAAAACGAAATATTTTCACATAAAAACTAGACAGACGCATTCTCAGAAACTACTTTGTGATGTGTGCATTCAACTCACAGAGTTGAACCTTTATTTTGATAGAGCAGTTTTGAAACACTCTTTGTGTAGAACCTTCAAGTGGATATTTGGAGCGCTTTGAGTCCTATGCTGGAAAAGGAAATATCTTCACATAAAAACTACATCGTGGCATTCTCCGAAACAACTTTGTGATGCGTGCATTGAAGTCAAAGTGTTGAAATTTTCTTTTGATAGAGCAGTTTGGAAACGCTCTTTTTGTAGAATCTTCAAGTGGATATTTGGAGCGCTTTGAGGCCTATGGTGGAAAAGGAAATATCTTCACATAAAAACTAGACAGAAGCATTCTCAGAAACTTCTTTGTGATGTGTGCATTCAACTCACAGTGTTTAACCTTTCTTTTGATAGAGCAGTTTTGAAACACTCTTTTTGTAGAGTCTGCAAGTGGATATTTTGTTTCCTTTGAGGCCTATGTTGGAAAACGAAATATCCTAACATAAAAAGTAAACAGAAGCATTCTCAGAAACTGTTTTGTGGTGTGTGCATTCAACACACAGAGTTGAACCTTTCTTTTGATAGAGCAGTCTTGAAACACTCTTTTTGGAGAATCTGCCAGGAGATATTTTGTTCCTTTTGAGGCCTATGTTGGAAATCGCAATATCTTCACATAAAAACTTGACAGAAGCATTGTCAGAAACTTCTCTGTGATGTGTGCATTCAACTCACAGAGATGAAACTATCTTTCGATAGAGCAGTTTTCAAAAACTCTTTTTGTAGAATCTGCAAGTGGATACTTGGGGAGCTTGGGGGCCTATGGTAGAAACGGAAATAACTTCACATAAAAACTAGACAGAGGCATTCTCCGAAACCTCTTTGTGACGTGAGCATTCAACTCACAGAATTGAAACATTCTTTTGATACAGCAGTTTAATAACACTCTTTTTGTAGAATCTGCAAGTGGATATTTTTTTCCCTTTGAGGCCTATGGTGAAAAAGGAAATATCTTCACATTAAAACTAGACACCAGCATTCTCCGAAACTTCTTAGTGATATGTGCATTCAACTCACAGAGTTGAACCTTTCTTTGATAGAACAGTTTTGAAAAACTCTTTTTATAGAATCTGCAAGTGGATATTTTGTTTCCTTTGAGGCCTATGTTGGAAAACGAAATATCTTCACATAAAAACGAGACGGAAGCATTCTCAGAAACTTTTTGTGATGTGTGCATTCAATTAACAGTGTTGAACCTTTCTTTTGATAGAGCACTTTTGAAACACTCTTTTTGTAGAATCTGCAAGTGGATATTTGTAGCGCTTTGATGTCTATGCTGGAAAAGGAAATATCTTCACATAGAAACTAGACAGAAGCATTCTCCGAAAATTTTTTGTGATGCCTGCATTCAACTCACAAAGTTGAACCTTTCTTTTTTTTTTTCCCAGTTCTTTCCCTTTATTTATTTATTTTTTTTTAAGTTTTTTTTTTTCCTTTATTATTATACTTTAAGTTTTAGGGTACATGGGCACCTTGTGCAGGTTAGTTACATATGTATACATGTGACATGCTGGTGTGCTACACCCACTAACTTGTCATCTAGCATTAGATATATCTCCCAATGCTATCCCTCCCCACTCCCCCCACCCCACAACGGTCCCCAGAGTGTGATGTTCCCCTTCCTGTGTCCATGCGATCTCATTGTTCAATTCCCACCTATGAGTGAGAATATGCACTATTTGGTTGTTTGTTCTTGCAATAGTTTACTGAGAATGATGATTACCAATTTCATCCATGTCCCTACAAAGGACATGAACTCATCAATTTTTATGGCTGCATAGTATTCCATGGAGTATATGTGCCACATTTTCTTAATCCAGTCTATCATTGTTGGACATTTGGGTTGGTTCCAAGTCTTTGCTATTGTGAATAATGCCACAATAAACATATGTGTGCATGTGTCTTTATAGCAACATGATTTATAGTCCTTTGGGTATATACCCAGTAATGGGATGGCTGGGTCAAATGGTATTTCTAGTTCTAGATCCCTGAGGAATCGCCACACTGACTTCCACAATGGTTGAACTAGTTTACAGTCCCACCAACAGTGTAAAAGTCTTCCTATTTCTCCACATCCTCTCCAGCACTTGTTGTTTTCTGACTTTTTAATGATTGCCATTCTAACTGGTGTGAGATGGTATCTCATTGTGGTTTTGATTTGCATTTCTCTGATGGCCAGTGATGATGAGCATTTTTTCATGTGTTTTTTGGCTGCATAAATGTCTTGTTTTGAGAAGTGTCTGTTCATGTCCTTTGCCCACTTTCTGATGGGGTTGTTTATTTTTTTCTTGTAAATTTGTTTGAGTTCATTGTAGATTCTGGACATTAGCCCTTTGTCAGATGAGTAGATTGTGAAAATTTTCTCCCATTTTGTAGGTTGCCTGTTCACTCTGATGGTAGTTTCTTTTGCTGTGCAGAAGCTGTTTAGTTTAATTAGATCCCATTTGTCAATTTTGTCTTTTGTTGCCATTGCTTTTGGTGTTTTAGACATGAAGTCCTTGCCCATGCCTATGTCCTGAATGGTAATGCCTAGATTTTCTTCTAGGGTTTTTATGGTTTTAGGTCTAACATTTAAGTCTTAATCCATCTTGAATTGATTATTGTATAAGGTGTAAGGAAGGGATCCAGTTTCAGCTTTCTACATATGGCTAGCCACTTTCCCCAGCACCATTTATTAAATAGGGAATCCTATCCCCATTGCTTATTTTTCTGAGGTTTGTCAAAGATCAGATAGTTGTAGATATGCGGCATTATTTCTGAGGGCTCTGTTCTGTTCCATTGATCTATGTCTCTGTTTTGCTACCAGTACCATGCTGTTTTGGTTACTGTAGCCTTGTAGTATAGTTTGAAGTCAGGTAGTGTGATGCCTGCAGCTTTGTTCTTTTGGCTTAGGATTGACTTGGAGATGCAGGCTCTTTTTTGGTTCCATATGAAATTTAAAGTAGTTTTTTCCAATTCTGTGAAGAAAGGCATTGGTAGCTTGATGGGGATGGCATGGAATCTGTAAATTACCTTGGGCAGTACGGCCACTTTCACAATATTGATTCTTCCTACCCATGACCATGGCAAGTTCTTCCATTTGTTTGTATCCTCTTTTATTTCCTTGAACAGTGGTTTGTAGTTCTCCTTGAAGAGGTCCTTCACATCCCTTGTAAGTTGGATTCCTAGGTATTTTATTCTCTTTGATGCAATTATTATTGGGAGTTCACTCATGATTTGGCTCTCTGTCTGTTGTTGGTGTATAAGAATGCTTGTGATTTTGGTACATTGATTTTGTAACCTGAGACTTTGCTGAAGTTGCTTATCAGCTTAAGGAGGTTTTGGGCTGAGACAATGGGGTTTTCTAGATAAACAATCATGTCGTCTGCAAACAGGGACAATTTGACTTCCTCTTTTCCTAATTGAATACCCTTTATTTCCTTCTCCTGTCTAATTGCCCTGGCCAGAACTTCCAACACTATGTTGAATAGGAGTGGTGAGAGAGGGCATCCCTGTCTTGTGCCCGTTTTCAAAGGGAATGCTTCCAGTTTTTGCCCATTCAGTATGATATTGGCTGTGGGTTTGTCATTGATAGCTTTTATTATTTTGAAATACTTCCCATCAATACCTAATTTATTGAGAGTTTTTAGCATGAAAGGTTGTTGAATTTTGTCAAAGGCCTTTTCTGCATCTATTGAGATAATCATGTGGTTTTTGTCTTTGGCTCTGTTTATATGCTGGATTACATTTTTTGATTTGCATATATTGAACCAGCCTTGCATCCCAGGGATGAAGCCCACTTGATCATGGTGGATAAGCTTTCTGATGTGCTGCTGGATTCGTTTTGCCAGTATTTTATTGAGGATTTTTGCATCAATGTTCATCAAGGATATTGGTCTAAAATTCTCCTTTTTGGTTGTGTCTCTGCCCGGCTTTGGTATCAGAATGATGCTGGCCTCATAAAATGAGTTAGGGAGGATTCCGTCTTTTTCTATTGGTTGGAATAGTTTCAGAAGGAATGGTACCAGTTCCTCCTTGTACCTCTGGTAGAATTCGGCTGTGAATCCATCTGGTCCTGGACTATTTTTGGTTGGTAAGCTATTGATTATTGCCACAATTTCAGATCCTGTTATTGGTCTATTCAGAGATTCAACTTCTTCCTGGTTTAGTCTTGGGAGAGTGTCTGTGTTGAGGAAATTTATCCTTTTCTTCTAGATTTTCTAGTTTATTTGCGTAGAGGTGTTTGTAGTATTCTCTGATGGTAGTTTGTATTTCTGTGAGATAGGTGGTGATATCTCCTTTATCATTTTTTATTGCGTCTATTTGATTCTTCTCTCTTTTTTTCTTTATTAGTCTTGCTAGTGGTCTATCAATTTTGTTGATCCTTTCAAAAAACCAGCTCCTGGATTCATTAATTTTTTGAAGGGTTTTTTGTGTCTCTATTTCCTTCAGTTCTGCTCTGACCTTAGTTATTTCTTGCCTTCTGCTAGCTTTTGAATGTGTTTGCTCTTGCTTTTCTAGCTCTTTTAATTGTGATGTTAGGGTGTCAATTTTGGATCTTTTCTGCTTTCTCTTGTGGGCATTCACTGCTATAAATTTCCCTCTACACACTGCTTTGAATGCATCCCAGAGATTCTGGTATGTTGTGTCTTTGTTCTCGTTGGTTTCAAACAACATCTTTTTTTCTGCCTTCATTTAGTTATGTACCCAGTAGTCATTCAGGAGCAGGTTGTTCAGTTTCTATGTAGTTGAGCGGTTTTGAGTGAGATTCTTAATCCTGAGTTCTACTTTGATTGCACTGTGGTCTGAGAGATAGTTTGTTATAATCTCTGTTCTTTTACATTTGCTGAGGACAGCTTTACTTCCACGTATGCGGTCAATTTTGGAATAGGTGTGGTGTGGTGCTGAAAAAAATGTATATTCTGTTGATTTGGGGTGGAGAGTTCTGTAGATGTTTATTAGGTCCGCTTGGTGCAGAGCTGAGTTCAATTCCTGGGTATCCTTGTTGACTTTCTGTCTCGTTGATCTGTCTAATGTTGACAGTGGGGTGTTAAAGTCTCCCATTATTAATGTGTGGGAGTCTAAGTCTCTTTGTAGGTCTCTCAGGACTTGCTTTATGAATCTGGGTGCTCCTGTGTTGGGTGCATATATATTTAGGATAGTTAGCATTTCTTGTTGAATTGATCCCTTTACCACTATATAATGACCTTCTTTGTCTCTTTTGATCTTTGTTGGTTTAAAGTCTGTTTTATCAGAGACTAGGATTGCAACCCCTGCCTTTTTTTGTTTTCCATTAGCTTGGTAGATTTTCCTCCATCCTTTTATTTTGAGCCTATGTGTCTCTGCACATGAGATGGGTTTCCTGAATACAGCACACTGATGGGTCTTGACTCTTTATCCAATTTGCCAGTCTGTGTCTTTTAATTGGAGAATTTAGTCCATTTGCATTTAAAGTTAATATTGTTATGCGTGAATTTGATCCTGTCATTATGATGTTAGCTGGTTATTTTGCTAGTTAGTTGATGCAGTTTCTTCCTAGTCTCGATGGTCTTTACATTTTGGCATGATTTTGCAACGGCTCGTACCGGTTGTTCCTTTCCATGTTTAGCACTTCCTTCAGGCGCTCTTTTAGGGCAGGCCTGGTGGTGACAAAATCTCTCAGCATTTGCTTGTTTGTAAAGTATTTTATTTCTCCTTCACTTATGAAGCTTAGTTTGTCTGGATATGAAATTCTGGGTTGAAAATTCTTTTCTTTAAGAATGTTGAATATTGACCCCCACTCTCTTCTGGCTTGTAGGGTTTCTGCCGAGAGATCTGCTGTTAGTCTGATGGGCTTCCCTTTGAGGGTAACCCGACCTTTCTCTCTGGCTGCCCTTAACATTTTTTCCTTCATTTCAACTTTGGTGAATCTGACAATTATGTGTCTTGGAGTTGCTCTTCTCGTGGAGTATCTTTGTGGTGTTCTCTGTATTTCCTGAATCTGAACGTTGGCCTGCCTTGCTAGATTGGGGAAGTTCTCCTGGATAATATCCTGCAGAGTGTTTTCCAACTTGGTTCCATTCTCCCTCTCACTTTCAGGTACACCAATCAGACGTAGATTTGGTCTTTTCACATAGTCCCATATTTCTTGGAGGCTTTGCTCATTTCTTCTTATTCTTTTTTCTCTAAACTTCCCTTCTCACTTCATTTCATTCATTTCATCTTCCATCACTGATACCCTTTCTTCCAGTTGATCGCTTTGGCTCCTGAGGCTTCTTCATTCTTCACGTAGTTCTCGAGCCTTGGTTTTCAGCTCCATCAGCTCCTTTAAGCACTTCTCTGTATTGGTTATTCTAGTTATATATTCTTCTAAATTTTTTTCAAAGTTTTCAAATTCTTTGCCTTTGGTTTGAATGTCCTCCCATAGCTCAGAGTAATTTGATCATCTGAAGCCTTCTTCTCTCAGCTTGTCAAACTCTTTCTCCGTCCAGCTTTGTTCCGTTGCTGGTGAGGAACTGCATTCCTTTGGAGGAGGAGAGGTGCTCTGCTTTTCAGAGTTTCCAGTTTTTCTGTTCTGTTTTTTACCCATCTATGTGGTTTTATCTACTTTTGGTCTTTGATGATGGTGATGTAGAGATGGGTTTTTGGTGTGGATGTCCTTTCTGTTTGTTAGTTTTCCTTCTAACAGACATGACCCTCAGCTGCAGGTCTGTTGGAGTACCCTGCCGTGTGAGGTGTCAATGTGCCCCTGTTGGGGGGTGCCTCCAAGTTAGGCTGCTCGGAGATCAGGGGTCAGGCACCCACTTGAGGAGGCAGTCTGCCCCTTCTCAGATCTCCAGGTGCGTACTGGGAGAACCACTGCTCTCTTCAAAGCTCTCAGACAGGGATATTTAAGTCTTCAGAGGTTACTGTTTTCTTTTTGTTTGTCTGTGCCCTGCCCCCAGAGGTGGAGCCTACAGAGGCAGGCAGACCTCCTTGAGCTGTGGTGGGCTCCACCCAATTCGAGCTTTCCTGCTGCTTTGTTTACCTAAGCAAGCCTGGGCAATGGTGGGCGCCCCACCCCAGCCTCGCTGCCGCCTTGCAGTTTGATCTCAGTCTGCTGTGCTAGCAATCAGTGAGACTCCGTGGGTGTAAGACCCTCTGAGCCAGGTGCAGGGTATAATCTCGTGGTGTGCTGTTTTTTAAGCCCGTGGGAAAAGCGCAGTATTCGGGTGGGAGTGACCCGATTTTCCAGGTGCCATCCATCACCCCTTTCTTTGACTAGGAAAGGGAACTCCCTGACCCCTTGCACTTCCCGAGTGAGGCAATGCCTCACCCTGCTTCAGCTCACTCATGGTGCACGCGCCCACTGTCCTGCACCCACTGTCTGGCACTCCCTAGTGAGATGAACCCGGTACCTCAGTTGGAAATGCAAAAATCACCTGTCTTCTGCGTTGCTCATGCTGGGAGGTGTAGACCATAGCTGTTCCTATTCGTCCATCTTGGCTTCTCCTTGAACCTTTCTTTTGATAGAGCAGTTTTGAAACACTCTTTTTGTAGCATCTGTAAGTGGATATTTGGTTTCCTTTGAAGCCTATATTGGAGATCAAAATATCTTCACATAGAAACTAGACAGAACCATTCTCAGAAACTACTTTGTGATGTGTGCATTCAACTCACAGAGTTGAACCTTTATTTTGATAGAGCAGTTTTGATACACTCTTTTTGTAGAATCTGCAAGTGGATATTTGGGGTGTTTTGATGCCTATGCTGGAAAAGGAAATATCTTCACATAAAAACTAGACAGAAGCATTCTCCCAAACTTCTTTTTGATATGTTTATTCAACTCACAAAGTTGAACCTTTCTTTTGATAGAGCAGTTTTGAAACAGTCTTTTTGTAGAATCTGCAAGTGGATATTTTGTTTCCTTTGAGGCCTATGTTGGAAAACGAAATATCTTCACATAAAAACTAGACAGAACCATTCTCAGAAACTTCTTTGTGATGTGTGCATTCAACTCACAGAGTTGAACATTTCTTTTGATAGAGCAGTTTTGAAACACTCTTTTTGTATAATCTGCAAGTGGATATTTTGTTTCCTTTGAGGCCTATTTTGGAAAACGAAGTATCTTCACATAAAAACTAGACACCAGCATTGTCTGAAACTTCTTATTGATGTGTGCATTCAACTCACAGAATTGAACCTTTCTTTTGATAGAGCAGTTTTGAAACACTCTTTTTGTAGAATCTGCAAGTGGATATTTTGTTCCCTTTGAGGCCTATGTTGGAAAAGGAAATATCTTCACATAAAAACTAGACAGAAGCATTCTCAGTAACTGTTTTGTGATGTGTGCATTCAACTCACAGAGTTGAACCTTTCTTTTGATAGAGCAGTTTTGAAACACTCTTTTTGTGGAATCTGGAAGGGGATATTTCGTTCCCTTTGAGGCCTATGTTGGAAAACGAAGTATCTTCACATAAAAACTAGACAGAAGCATTCTCCGAAACTTCTTTGTGATGTTTGCATTCAACTCACAGTGTTTAACCTTTCTTTTGATAGAGCAGTTTTGAAACACTCCTTTGTAGAATTTGCAAGTGGATATTTGGAATGCTTTGAGGTCTATGTTGGAAAACGTAATATCTTCACATAAAAACTAGACAGAAGCTTTATCAGAAACTGCTTTGCGATGTGTGTATTCAACTCACAGAGTTGAAACTTTCTTTTCATAGAACAGTTTGGAAACACTCTTTTTGTAGAATCTGCAAGGCGATATTTTGTTCCCTTTGAGGCCTATATTGGAAAATGAAATATCTTCACGTAAAACCTTGACAGAAGCATTCTCAGAAACTGCTTTGTGATGTGTGCTTTCATCTCACAGAGTTGAAACTTTATGTTGGTAGAACAGTTTGGAAACCCTCTTTTTGTAGAATCTGCAAGGGGATATTTGGTTTCCTTTGAAGCCAATGTTGGAAAATGGAATATCTTCACCTTAAAACTAGACAGAAGCATTCTCAGAAACTTCTTTGTGATGTGTGCATTCAACTCACATAGTTGAACCTTTCTTTTGTTAGAGCAGTTTTGAAACACTCTTTTTCTCCCTCTCCCTCTCCCTCTCCCTCTCGCTCTTGCTCTCGCTCTCTGTCTCCCTCTTTCTACAGTCTGTCTCTCTTGCGGAGTCTGGACTGTACTGCGGTGATCTCGGCTCGCTGCAACCTCCCTGCCTCGGGCTCCAGTGATTCTCCTGCCTTGGCCTGCTGAATACCTGGGATTCCAGGCATGCGACCCCACTCCTGACTGGTTTTTGTATTTTTGGTGGAGACGGGGTTTCACCGTGTTGACCAGGCTGGTCTCCAGCTCCTGGCCTTGGGTGATCTGCCCGCCTTGGACTCCCAAGGTCCTGGGATTGCAGATGGAGTCTCGCTCACACAATGCTCAATGTTGCCCAGGCTGGAGTGCAGTGGCGTGATCTTGGCTCACTACATCCTCCACCTCCCAGCCCCCTGACTTGGCCTACTACATCCTCCACCTCCCAGCCCCCTGCCTTGGCCTCCCAAAGTGCTAAGATTATAGCCTCTGCCCAGCAACCACCCCGTCTAGGAAGTGAGCAGCATCTCTGCCTGGCCACCCATCACCCGGAAAATGAGGAGTGCCTCTGCTTGGCCGCCCATCATCTGGAATGTGAGGAGCACCTCTGCCTGGCCGCCCCATCTGGGAGGAAGTGAGGAGTGCCTCTGCCTGGCTGCCACAAAGGAGATGTGAGGGGCGCCTCTGCCTAGCCATCCCAGAGTGGGAAGTGAGGAGTGCCTCTGTCCAGTCGCCCCATCTGGGAGGTGAGGAGCTCCTCTGCCCAGCCACCCCATCTGGGAGGTGAGGAGTGCCTCTGCACGGCTGCCCCGTCTGGGAGGTCAGGAGTGCCTCTGCATGGCCGCCCCATCTGGGAGGTGAGGAACGCCTCTGCCTGGCCACCACCCAGTCTGGGAGATGAGGGGCGTCTCTGCCCAGCTGTCCTGCCTTGGAAGTGAGGGGCGCCTCTGCCCGGCCGCCCTTCGTCTGGAGGTGGGGAGCGCCTCTGCCTGGATGCCCCATCTGGGAAGTGGGTGCCTCTGCCCAGCCGCCCCATCTGGGAGGTGAGGGGTGTCTCTGCCCGGGCGGCCCGTCTGGGAGGTGAGGGGTGCCTCTGCCTGGCTGCCCTGCCTGGGAAGTGAGGAGGGCCTCTGCCCGGCTGCCCTTCATCTGGGAGGTGGGGAGTGCCTCTGCCTGGCTGCCCCGTCTGGGAAGTGAGCACCTCTGCCCGGCCACCCCGTCTGGGAGGTGATGGGAGTCTCTGCCTGGCCGCTCCATCTGGGAGGTGAGGAGCGCCTCTGCCCGGCCGCCCCGTCTGGGAGGTCAGAGCACCTCTGCCCAGCCGCCCATCTTCTGGGAGGTGAGGTGCGCCTCTGCCTGGCTGTCCCGTCTGGGATGTGGGGAGCATCTCTGCCCAGCCACCCCATCTGGGAAGTGGGGGGCGCCTCTGCCCGGCCACTCTTCTTCTGGGAGGTGGGGAGCGCTTCTGCCCGGCCGCCCCGTCTGGGAGGTGAGGAGCACCTCTGCCCAGCCGCCCATCGTCTGGGATGTGAGGAGTGCCTCTGTCCAGCCACCACCCCATCTGGGAAGTGAGGTGCGCCTCTGCCCAGCTGCTCTTCATCTGGGAGGTGAGGAGTGCCTCTGCCCGGCCACCCCTTCTGGGAGGTGAGGAGCGCCTCTGCTGGCCATCCTGTCTGAGAGGTGAGGAGTGCCTCTGCATGGACGCCCCGTCTGGGAGGTGAAGAGTGCCTCTGCCCGGCCACCACCCCGTCTGGGAGGTGAGTGGCGTCTCTGCCTGGCCGCCCCACCTGGGAAGTGAGGGGCACCTCTGCCCGGCCGCCCTTCTTCTGGAGGTGGGGAGCGCCTCTGCCCGGCCACCCCGTCTGGGAGGTGAGGGGAGTCTCTGCCCAGCTGCCCCGTCTGGGAGCTGAGGGGGGCCTCTGCCTGGCCGCCCTGCCTGGGAAGTGAAGAGGGCCTCTGTCCAGCCACCCTTCTTCTGGGAGGTGGGGAGCGCCTCTGCCCGGCCTCCCCGTCTGGGAGGTGGGGAGCACCTCTGCCTGGCCGCCCATCATCCGAGAGGTGAGGAGCACCTCTGCCCAGCTGTCCCGTCTGATATGTGGGGAGTGCCTCTGCCTGGCCACCCTGTCTGGGAGGAAGTGAGGAGTGCCTCTGCCTGGCCACCCCATCTGGGATGTGAGGAGCACCTCTGCCCAGTTGCCCTGAATGGGAAGTGAGGAGCGCCTCTGCCCGGTCGCCCCATCTGGGAGGTGAGGAGCATCTCTGCCCGGCCACCACCCCATCTGGGAGGTGAGGGGCATCTCTGCCCAGCCGCCCCACCTGGAAAGTGAGGGGCACCTCTGCCCGGCCACCCTTCGTCTGGAGGTGGGGAGCGCCTCTGCCCAGCTGCCCCATCTGGGAAGTGGGCACTACTCCCAGCTGTCCCATCTGGGAGGTGAGGGGCATCTCTGCCCAGGCACCCCATCTGGGAGGTGAGGGGCATCTCTGCCCAGGCACCCCATCTGGGAGGTGAGGGGCATCTCTGCCCAGGCACCCCATCTGGGAGGTGAGGGGCACCTCTGCCTGGCCGCCCTGCCTGGGAAGTGAGAAGGGCCTCTGCCCAGCCGCCCTTCATCTGGGAGGTGGGGAGCTCCTCTGCCCGGCCGCCCTGTCTGGGAAGTGGGCGCCTCTGCCCGGCCGCCCTGTTTAGGAGGTGAGGGGCATCTCTGCTTGGCCGCCACCCCGTCTGAGAAGTGAGGAGTGCCTCTGCCCAGCTGCTGCCCCGTCTGGGAGGTGAGGGGCACCTCTACCCGGCTGCTTTTCATCTGGGAGGTGAGGAGTGCCTCTGCCCAGCCGCCCCACCTGGGAAGTGAGGAGCACCTTTGCCCAGCCACCCCATCAGGGAAGTGGGTGCCTCTGCCCGGCCACCCCATCTTGTAGGTGAGGGGCGTCTCTGCCTGGCCACCCCATCTGGGAGGTGAAGAGTGCCTCTGCCCGGCCACCCTGTCTGGGAGGTGAAGAGTGCCTCTGCCCGGCCATCCCATCTGGGATGTGGGGAACGCCTCTGCCTGGCTGCCCTGTCTGGGAGGTGAGGAGCACCTCTGCCTGGCTGCCCATCATCTGGGAAGTGAGGAGCGCCTCTGTCTGGCCGCCACCCCATCTGGGAAATGAGGTGCATCTCTGCCCGGCCGCTCTTCCTCTGGGAGATGAAGAGCGCCTCTGCCCAGCCGCCTGCCTGAGAAGTGAGGAGCGCCTCTGCCCGGCCGCCCTTCATCTGGGAAGTGGGGAGCGCCTCTGCCCAGCCGCCCCATTGGGGAAGTGGGTGCCTCTGCCCGGCCACCCCGTCTGGGAGGTGAGGGATGTCTCTGCCCGGCCACCCCATCTGGGAGGTGAGGAGCGCCTCTGCCCGGCTGCCCCGTGTGGGAGGTGAGGAGCACCTCTACCCGGCCACCCCATCTGGGAGGTGGGGAGCGCCTCTGCCCAGCTGCCCATCATCTGGGAGGTGAGGAGCGCCTCTGCCCGGCCATCCCATCTGTGATATGGGGAGTGCCTCTGCCCGGCCACCCTGTCTGGGAGGTGAGGAGCGCCTCTGCCCGGCTGCCCCTTTTGGGATGTGAGGGGTGCCTCTGCCCGGCCACCCCATCTGGGAAGTGAGGAGCGCCTCTGCCTGGCCGGCCCGTCTGGGAGGAAGTGAGGAGTGCCTCTGCCTGGCCGCCCTGTCTGGGATGTGAGGAGCGCCTCTGCCTGGTAGCCCCGTCTGGGAGGTGAGGAGCGCCTCTGTCCGGCCCCCCCACCTGGGAGGTGAGGGGTATCTCTGCCCAGCCACCCAGTCTGGGAGGTGAGGGGCGCCTCTGCCCGGCTGCCCCCTTTGCCAGGTGAGGGGCATCTCTGCCTGGCCGCCACCCCATCTGAGAAGTGAGGAACGCCTCTGCCCGGCCGCCGCCCCATCTGGGAGGTGAGGGGCATCTCTGCCCGGCCGCCACCCCATCTGGGAAGTGAGGAACATCTCTGCCCGGTCGCCACCCCATCTGGGAGGTGAAGAGTGCCTCGCCGGGCCACCCCACCTGGGAAGTGAGGAGCGCCTCTGCCTGGCCACCCTTCATCTGGGAGGTGGGGAATGCCTCTGCCCGGCCACCCCATCAGGGAAGTGGGTGCCTCTGCCTGGCCGCTCCATCTGGGAGGTGAGGAGCACCTCTGCCCAGCCGCCCTGTCTGGGACGTAGGGAGTGCCTCTACCCGGCCACCCATCATCTGGGAGGTGAGGAATGCCTCTGCCTGGCCATCCTCTCTGGGATGTGGGGAGCACCTCTGCCCAGCCGCCCTGTCTGGGAAGTGAGGAGCACCTCTGCCCGGCCACCCCATCTGGGAAGTGGGGGGCGCCTCTGCCTGGCCGCTCTTCGTCTGGGAGGTGGGGAGCGCCTCTGCCCGGCCGCCCCATCTGGGAGGTGAGGAGCACCTCTGCCCGGCCACCCATCATCTGGGAGGTGAGGAGCACCTCTGCCCGGCCACCCATCATCTGGGAGGTGAGGAGCACCTCTGCCTGTCTGCCAACCCATCTGGGAAATGAGGAGTGTCTCTGTCTGGCCGCCACCCAGTCTGGGAAGTGAGGTGTGCCTCTGTCCAGCCGCTCTTCATCTGGGAGGTGAGGAGTGCCTCTGCCCGGCCGCCCCGCCTGGGAAGTGAGGAGCGCCTCTGCCCGGCCGCCCTTCATCTGGGAGGTGGAGAGTGCCTCTGCCCGGCTGCCCTTTTGGGGAAGTGGGCACCTCTGCCTGGCCTCCCCATCTGGGAGGAGAGGGGAATCTCTGCCCGGCCACCCAGTCTGGGAGGTGAGGAACACCTCTGCCCGGCTGTCGCTTCTGGGATGTAGGGAGCGCCTCTGCCCGGCCTCCCCATCTGGGAAGTGGGGGGCGCCTCTGCCCAGCCACTCTTCATCTTGGAGGTGGGGAGCGCCTCTGCCCGGCCACCCCATCTGGGAGGTGAGGAGCACCTCTGCCTGGCCACCCACCGTCTGGGAAGTGAGGAGCGCCTCTGCCCGGCCGACACCCCATCTGGGAAGTGAGGAGCATCTCTGTCCAGCTGCCACCCTATCTGGGAAGTGAGGTGCACCTCTGTCTGGCCGCCCCATCTGGGAAGTGAGGAGTACCTCTGCCCAGCCACCCCATCTGGGAAGTGAGGAGTGCCTCTGCCAGGCTGCCCCATCTGGGAAGTGTACCCAACAGCTCCAAAGAGACAGTGACCATCGAGAACGGCCAATGATGACCATGGCGGTTTTATTAAAAAGAAAAGGGGGAAATGTGGGGAAAAGAAAGAGAGATCAGATTGTTACTGTGTCTGAGTAGAAAGAAGTAGACATAGGAGACTCCATTTTGTTCTATACTAAGAAAAATTCTTCTACCTTGGGATGCTGTTAATCTATAACCTTACCCCCAACCCCCGATCTCTGAAACATGTGCTGTGTCAACTCAGGGTTAAATAGATTAAGGACAGTGCAAGATTTGCTTTGTTTGTTAAACTGATGCTTGAAGACAGCATGCTCGTTAAGAGTCATCACCACTCCCTAATCTCAAGTACCCAGGAACACAAAATGGCCGGAAGCTGCAGGGACCACTGCCTAGGAAAAAAAGAGAACTTTGTTCTCGTGTTCATCTGTTGACCTTCTTTCCACTATTATCCTATGACCCTGCCACATCCCCCTCTCTGAGAAACACCCAAGAATGATCAATAAATACTAAAAAAAAAAAAAGGAACCTTCTAAAGCCTAGAATAGTCTCAGCCCTTAGAACAGTGTCTGATAATAAACACTAGTCGAACAGTTAAAAAAAAAAAAGAAGAAACACTCTTATTGTAGAATCTGCAAGTAGATGTTTGGAGAGCTTTGAGGCCTATGGTGGAAAAGGAAATATCTTCACATAAAAAGTAGACAGAAGCATTCTCCGAAACTTCTTTGTGATGTGTGCATTCAACTCACAGAGTTGAAACTTTCTTTGGAGAGAGCAGTTTTGAAACACTCTTTTTGTAGAATCTGCAAGTGGATATTTGGTTTCCTTTGAGGCCTATGTTGGAAAAAGAAATATCTTCACACAAAAACTAGACAGAAGCATTCTCAGAAACTTATTTGTGATGTGTGCATTCATCTCACATAGTTGAACCTTCCTTTTGATAAAGCAGTTTTGAAACACACTTTTTGTAGAAAGTGCGAGTGGATATTTGGAGCGCTTTGAGTCAATGCTGGAAAAGGGAATATATTCACATAAAAACTAGACAGAAGCATTCTAAGAAACTTGTATTGTGTGCATTGAACTTACAGAGATGAGCATTCCTTTTGATAGAGCAGTTTTGAAACACTCTTTTTGTAGAATCTGCAAGTGGATATTTGGAGCGCTTTGAGGCCTATGTCAGAAAAGCAAATATCTTCATACAAAAAGTAGACAGGAGCATTCTCAGAAAGCTGTTTGTGATGTATGCATTCAACTGACAGAAATGAACCTTTCTTTTAATAGAGCAGTTTTGAAACAGGCATTTTGTAGAATCTACAAGTGGATATTTGGAGGGCTTTGAGGCCTAAGGTGGAAACGGGAATATATTCACATAAAAACTAGACAGAAGCATTCTCAGAAACTTCTTTGTGATGTGTGCATTCAACTCACAGAGTTGAACATTCCTTTTGATAGAGCAGTTTTGAAACACTCTTTTGTAAGATCTGCAAGGGGATATTTGGGCAGCTTTGAGGCCTTCTGTGGAACGGGAATATCTTCACGTAAAAACTAGACAGAAGCATTCTCAGAAACTTCTCTATGACATGTGCATTCGACTCACAGGGTTGAACCTTAGTTTTGATAGAGCAGTTTTGATACACTCTTTTTGTAGAATCTGCAAGTGCATATTAGGACAGCTTTGAGGCCTTCTATGGGAATGGGAATATCTTCACCTAAAAACTAGACAGAAGCATTCTCAGAAACATCTTTATGACGTGTGCATTCAACTCACAGAGTTGAACTTTCCTTTTCATAGAGCAGTTTTGAAACAGTCTTTTTGTAGAATCTGCATGTGTACATTTTGAGGGTTTTGAGGTCTGTGGTGGAAAAGGAAATATCTTCACATAAAAACTAGACAGAAGCATTCTCAGGAATTTCTTTGTGACGTGTGCATGCAACTCACAGAGTTGAACCTTCCTTTTGATAGAGCAGTTTTCAAACACTCTTTTTGTAGAATCTTCAAGTGGATATTTGGATCACTTGGAGGCCTTCATTGGAAACGGGAATATCCTCACATAAAAACTAGATAGAAAAATTCTCAGAAACTTCTCTGTGATGTGTGCATTCACCTCACAGAGTCGAACCTTTCTTTTGATAGAGCAGTTTTGAAACACTATTTTTGTTGAATCTGCAAGTGGATATGTGGTTTCCTTTGAGGCCAATGTTGGAAAACGAAATATCTTCACATAAAACTACACGGAAGCATTCTCAGAAACATCTTTGTGATGTGTGCATTCAACTCATAGAGTTGAACATTCCTTTTGATAGAACAGTTTTGAAACACTCTTTTTGTAGAACTTGCAATTGGATATTTGGAGCGCTTTGAGGCCTGGGGTGGAAAAGGTAATATCTTCACATTAAAACTAGACTGAAGCATTCTCAGAAACTGCTCTGTGATGTGTGCATTCAACTCACAGAGTTGTACCTTTCTTTTGATGAGCAGTTTTGAAACACTCTTTTTGTACAATCTGCAAGATGATATTTACTTTCCTTTGAGGACTACATTGGAAAAAGAAATATCTTCACATAAATACTAGACAGAAGCATTCTCAGAAACTTGTTGGTGATGTTTCATTCAACTCACAGAGTTGAACCTTTCTTTTGATAGAGCAGTTTTGAAACACTCTTTTAGAAGAATCTGCAAGTGGATATTTGGAGCACTTTGAGGCCTATGTTGGAAGAGGATATATCTTCACATAGAAACTAGACAGAAGCATTCTCAGAAATTTCTTTGTGACGTGTGCATCCAACTCACAGAGTTGAACATTTCTTTTATTAGAGAAGTTTTAAAACACTCTTTTTGTAGAATCTGCAAGTGGATATTTGATTATCTTTGAGGCCTATGTTGGAAAATGAAATATCTTCACATAAAAACTAGATGGAAGCATTCTCTGAAACTTCTTTGTGATGTGTGCATTCACGTCACAGAGTTGAACCTTTCTTTGGTAGAGCACTTTTGAAACACTCTTTTTGTGGAATCTGCAAGTGGATATTTGGACCGCTTTGAGGCCTTCGTGGGAAACAGGAATATCCTCACACAAAAACTAGACAAAAGCATTCTCAGAAATTTCTTTGTGATGTGTGCATTCAACCCACAGAGTTGAACCTTTCCTTTGATAGAGCAGTTTTCAAACACTCTTTTTGTAGGATCTGCAAGTGGATATTTGGACAGCTTTGAGGCCAGCTGTGGTAACGGGAATAACTTCACCTAAAAATTAGACAGAAGCATTCTCCGAAACTTCTTTGTGTTGTGTGCATTCAACTCACAGAGTTGAACCTTCCTTTTGATAGAGCAGTTTTGAAACATTCTTTTTGTGGAATCTGCAAGTGGATATTTGGACCACTTTGAGGCCTATGGTAGAAAAGAAAATATCTTCATATAAAACTAGATGGAAGCATTCTCAGAAACTACTTTGTGATGTGTGCATTCGACTCACACAGTTTAACATTTTTTTTTTTTGATAGAGCAGTTTAGAAACACTCTTTTTGTAGAATCTGCAAGTGGACATTTGGAGGGCTTTGAGGCCTGTGGTGGAAAAGGAAATATCTTCACATAGAAAGTAGACGGAAGCATTTTCAGGAACCTCTTTCTGATGTGTGCATTCAACTCACAGAGTTGAACCTTCCTTTTGATAGAGCAGTTTTGAAACACTCTTTTTGTTAAACCTGCAAGTGGACATTAACAGGGCTTTGAGGCCTGTGGGGGAAAAGGAAATATCTTCATATAAAAACTAGAGAGAAGCATTCTCAGAAACTTCTTTGTGATGTGTGCATTCAACTCACAGAGTTGAACCTTCCTTTTGATAGAGCAGTTTTGAAACACTCTTTTTGTTGAATCTGCAAGTGGATTTTTGGACCACTTTGAGTTTTTCCCTGGAAACGGGAATATCTTCAAATAAAAACTAGACAGAAGCATTCTCAGAAGCTTCTTTGTGATGTGTGCATTCACCTCAATGGGATGAACCTTCCTTTTGATAGAGCAGTTTTGAAACACTCTTTTTGTAGAATCTGCAAGTGGATATTTGGTCGCATTTGAGGCCTTCTGTGAAAACAGTAATATCTTCACCTAACAACAAGACAGAAGCATTCTCAGAAACTCCTTTCTGATGTGTGCATTCAATTCACACAGTTGAACCTTCCTTTTGATAGAGCAGTTCTGAAACAGACTTTCTATAGAATCTGCAAGTGGATATTTGGAGCTCTTTGAGGCCTACGGTGGAAACGGGAATATCTTCAAACAAAAACTAGACTGAAGCATTCTCAGAAATTTCTTTCTGATGTGTGCATTCATCTTACATCGTTGAACCTTTCTTTTGCTAGAGCAGTTTTGAAACAGACTTTTTGTAGAATCTGCAGGTGGATATTTGGAGCGCTTCGAGGACTATGGAGGAAACAGGAATATCTTCACATAAAAATTAGAGAGAACCATTCTCAAAAACTTCTTCGTGATGTGTGCATTGAACTCACAGAGTTGAACATTCCTTTCAAAAGAGCAGTTTTGAAACTCTCTTTTTGTAAGATCTACAAGTGGATATTTGGACAGCTTTGAGGCCTTCTGTGGAAAAGGGAATATCTTCACCTAAAAACTAGAAAGAAGCATTCTCAGAAACTTCTTTGTAATATGTGCATACAACTCACAGTGTTGAACCTTCCTTTTGATAGGACAGTTTTGAATGACTCTTTTTGTAGAATCTCCAAGTTGATATTTGGACAGTTTGAGGCCTTCTGTGGAAACAGGAATATCTTCACCTAAAAGTTAGACAGAAGCATTCTCAGAAACTTCTTTGTGATGTGTTCATTCAACTGACAGAGTTGAACCTACTTTTTGATAGAGCAGTTTTGGAACACTCTTTTTGTGTATCTGCAAGTGGATATTGGAGCGCTTTGAGGCCTATGGTAAAAAAGGAAATATCTTCATTTAAAAACTAGGCAGAAGCATTCTCAGAAACTACATTGTGATGTGTGCATTGAACTCACAGAGTAGAACATTCCTTCTGATAGAGCAGTTTTGAAACACTCTTTTTGTACAATCTACAAGTGTATATTTGGATGGCTTTGAGGCTATCGGTGGAAACGGGAATATCTACACGTAAAAACTAGACAGAACCACTCTCAGAAATACGTTTGTGATGTGTGCGTTCAACTCACGGAGTTGAACTTTCCTTTTCATAAAGCAGTTTTGAAACAGTCTTTTTGTAGAATCTGCAAGTGTACATTTGGAGGGCTTTGAGGCCTCTGGTGGAAAAGGAAATGTCTTCACATAAGAACTAGACAGAAGCATTCTCAGAAACTTATTTGGGATGTGTGCATTCAACACCCAGAGTTGAACATGTCTTTTGATAGAGCAGCTTGAAACACTCTTTTCGTTGAATCTGCAACTGGACATTTGGAGTGCTTTAAGGCCTGTGGTGGAAAAGGAAATATCTTCACATAGTAATCAGACGGAGGCATTCTCCAAAACGTGTTTGCGATGTGTGCATTAAACTCACAGAGTTGAACCTTCCTTTTGATAGAGCAATTTGAAACACTATTTTTGTAGAAACCGCAAGTGGATATCAGTACCTCTTTGAGGCCTTCTTTGGAAACGGGAACGTCCTCACATAAAAACTAGACAGAAACATTCTCAGAAACAACTTTGTGATGTGTGCATTCAACTCACAGATTTGAACCTTCCTTTTGATAGAGCAGTTTTGAAACACTCTTTTTGTAGAATCTGAAGTGGACATTTGGAAGGCTTTGAGGCCTCTGGTGGAAAAGGAAATATCTTCACATAGAGACTACACAGAAGCATTCTCAGAACTTCTTTGTGAGGTGAGCATTCACCTCACAGATTTGAACCTCCTTTTTGATAGAGCAGTCTTTAAACACTTTTTTTGTAGAATCTGCGAGTGGACATTAGGAGCACTTTGAGGCTTATGGTAGAAAAGCAAATATCTTCATATAAAACTAGACAGAAGCATTCTCAGAAACTACTTTGTGATGTATGCATTAAACTCAGAGAGGTGAACTTTTCTTTTGATAGAGCAGTTTTGAAACACTCCTTTGGAGATTCTGCAAGTGGATATTTCGAACTCTTTGAGGCCTTCGTTGGAAAAGGGAAAATCTTCGAATAAAAACTAGACAGAAGCATTCTCAGAAACTTCTTTGTGATGTGTGCATTCAACTCACAGAGTAGAACCTTCCTTTTGGTAGAGCAGTTTTGAAACACTCTTTTTGTAGAATCTGTAAGTGGACATTTGGAGGGCTTTGAGGCCTGTGGGGGAAACGGGAATAGCATCACTTAAAAACTAGACAGAAGCATTTTCAGAAACTTCTTTGTGATGTGTACATTCAACTTACGGAATTGAACCATGCTTTTCATAGAGTGGTTTCGAAACACTATTTTTGTAGGATCTGAAAGTGGACATTTGGAGCGTTTTGAGGCCCATGGTAGAAAAGGAAATATCTTCATATAAAAACTAGACAGAAGCATTCTCATAAACTGCTTTGTGATGTGTGCATTCAACTCACAGAGTTGAACCTTCCTTTTGATAGAGCAGTTTTGAAGCACTCTTTTTGCAGAATCCGCAAGAGGATACTTGGACTGCTTTGAGGCCTTCACTGGAAACGGGAATATCTTGAAATAAAAACTAGACAGAAGCATTCTCAGAAACTTCTTTGTGATGTGTGCATTCAACTCAATGGGATGAACCTTCCTTTTGATAGAGCACTTTTGAAATACTCATTTTGTAGAATCTGCAAGGGGATATTTGCAGCATTGAGGCCTTCTGTGGAAACGGGAATATCTTCACCTAAAAACTAGACAGAAGTATTCTCAGAAATTTCTTTGTGATATGTGCATTCAAGTCACAGTGTTGAGCATTCCTTTTGTTAGAGCACTTTTGAAACACTCTTTTTGAAGAATCTGTAAGTGGATATTTGGAGCGTTTTGAGGTCTATGGTAGAAAAGCAAATATCTTCATATAAAAACTAGACAGAAACATTCCCAGAAAATTCTTTGTGATGTGTGCATTCAACTCACAGAGTCAAAACTTTCTTTTGATAGAGCAGCTTTGAAACAATCTTTTTGCAGAATCCACAAGTGGATATTTGGACAGCTTTGAGGTCTTCATTGGAAACGGGAATATTCCCAAATAAAAATTGGACAGAAGCATTTTCAGAAACTACTTTGTGATGTGTGCATTGAACTCACAGAGTTGAACATTCCTTTTCTTGGAACACTTTTGAAAGACTATTTGTAGAATCTGCAAGTGCATACTTGGAGTGCTTTGAGGCCTTTGTTAGAAAAGGAAATATCTGCATATAAAAACTAGACAAAAGCATTCTCAGAAACTACTTTATGATGTGTGCATTCAACTCACAGAGTCGAAGCTTTTTTTTGATAAAGCAGTTTTTAAACACTCTTTTTGTAAAATCTGCAAGCTGCCGTTTGGAACGCTTTAAGGCCTGTAGTGGGAAAGGAAATATCTTCACATACAAACTAGTCAGAAGCATTCTCAGAAACTTCTTTGAGATGTGTGCATTCAACACACGGAGTTGTACCTTCCTTTGGATAGAGCAGTTTTGAAACACTCTTTTTGTAGAATCTGGAAGTGGATATTTGGAGCGCTTTGATGCCTATGGTAGAAAAGCAAATATCTTCTCATAAAAATTAGACAGAAGCATTCTCATAAAATACTTTGTGATGTGTGCATTCAACTAACAGAGTTGAAACTTCCTTTTGATAGAGCAGTCTTGAAACACACTTTTTGTAGAATCTGCAAGTGGACATTTGGAGGGCTTTGAGGCCTGTGGTGGAAAAGGAAATAACTTCACATAGAGACTAGACAGAAGCATACTCAGAAAGCTCTTTGTGCGTTCAACTCACAGAGTTGAACCTTCCTTTTGATAGAGCAGTTTTGTAACACTCTTTTTGTAGAATCTGCAAGTTGACATTTTCCACGCTTTGAGGCCTATGGTAGAAAAGGAAATGGCTTCAAATAAAAACTAGAGAGAAGCATTCTCAGAAACTTCTTTGTGATGTGTGCATTCCACTCACAGAGTTGATCATTCCTTTTGATAGAGCAGTTTTGAAACTCTCTTTTTGTAGAATATGCAAGTGGACATTTTTAGGGCTTTGAGGCCTGTGGTGGAAAAGGAAATATCTTCACATAGAGACTAGAGAAAAGCATTCTCAGAAACCTCTTTGTTATGTGTGTGTTCAACTTACAGAGCTGAAAATTCCTTTTGATAGAGCAGTTTTGAAACACTCTTTTTGTAGTATCTGCAAGTAGATATTTGGAGCGCTTTGAGGCCTATGGTAGAAAAGCAAATATCTTCATATAAAACTAGACAGAAGCATTCTCAGAAACTACTTTGTGATGTGTACATTCAACTCACAGAGTTAAACCTCCCTTTTGATAGGGCAGTTTTGAAACAATCTTTTTGTAGAATCTGCAAGTGGATATTTGGACCACTTTGAGGCCTTCATTGGAAACGGGAATATCTTCAAATAAAAACTAGACAGAAGCACTCTCAGAAACTTGTTTGTGATCTATGCATTGAACTCACAGATTTGAACATTCCTTTTGATAGAGCAGTAGTGAAACACTCTTTATGTGGAATGTGCAAGCAGTCATTTGTTGGGCTTTGAGGCCCGTGGTGGAAAAGGAAATATCTTCACATAGAGAGTAGACAGAAGCATTCTAAGAGACTTCTTTTTGATGTGTGCATTCAAGTCAAAGAGTTGAACCTTCCTTTTGATAGAGCAGTTTTGAAACACTCTTTTTGTAGAATCTGCAAGTGGATATTTGGAACGCTTTGAGGCATTCATCAGAAATGGGAATATCTTTAAATAAGAACTAGACAGAAGCATTCGCAGAAACTTCTTTGTGATCTGTGCATTCAACTCACAGAGTTGAACCTTCGTTTTGATAGAGCACTTTTGAAACAGTCTTTTTGTAGAATCTGCAAGTGGACATTTGGAGGGATTTGAGGCCTGAGGAGGAAGCGGGATTATCCTCACTTAAACACTAGAGAGAAGCATTTTCAGAAACTTCTCTGATGTTTGCATTCAACTTACAGAGTTGAACCTTCCTTTTGATAGAGCAGTTTTGAAACACTCTTTTTGAAGAATCTGCAAGTGGACATTTCGAGCGCTTTAAGGCCTATGTTAGAAAAGGAAATATCTTCACATAGAAACTAGACAGAAGTTATTTCCAATTCTGTGAAGAAAGTCATTGGTAGCTTTATGGGGATGGCATTGAATCTGTAAATTACCTTGGGCAGTATGGCCATTTTCACAATATTGATTCTTCCTACCCATGAGCATGGAATGTTCTTCCATTTGTTTGTATCCTCTTTCATTTCCTTGAGCGGTGGTTTGTAGTTCTCCTTGAAGAGGTCCTTCACATCCCTTGTAAGTTGGATTCCTAGGTATTTTATTCTCTTTGAAGCAATTGTGAATGGGAGTTCACTCATGATTTGGCTCTCTGTCTATCTGTTGTTGGTGTATAAGAATGATTGTGATTTTTGTACATTGATTTTGTATCCTGAGACTTTGCTGAAGTTGCTTATCAGCTTAAGGAGATTTTGGGCTGAGGCAATGGGGTTTTCTAGATATAAAATCATGTCGTCTGCAAACAGGGACAATTTGACTTCCTCTTTTCCTAATTGAATACCCTTTATTTCCTTCTCCTGCCTAATTGCCCTGGCCAGAACTTCCAACACTATGTTGAATAGGAGTGGTGAGAGAGGGCATCCCTGTCTTGTGTCCGTTTTCAAAGGGAATGCTTCCAGTTTTTGCCCATTCAGTATGATATTGGCTGTGGGTTTGTCATAGAGAGCTCTTATTATTTTGAAATACATCCCATCAATACCTAATTTATTGAGAGTTTTTAGCATGAAGGTTGTTGAATTTTGTCAAAGGCTTTTTCTGCATCTATTGAGATAATCATGTGGTTTTTGTCTTTGGCTCTGTTTATATGCTGGATTACATTTATTGATTTGCGTGTATTGAATCAGCCTTGCATCCCAGGAATGAAGCCCACTTGATCATGGTGGATAAGCTTTTTGATGTGCTGCTGGATTCGTTTTGCCAGTATTTTATTGAGGATTTTTGTATCAATGTTCATCAAGGATATTGGTCTAAAATTCTCTTTTTTTGTTGTGTCTCTGCCTGGCTTTGGTATCAGAATGATGCTGGCCTCATAAAATGAGTTAGGGAGGATTCCGTCTTTTTCTATTGGTTGGAATAGTTTCAGAAGGAATGGTACCAGTTCCTCCTTGTACCTCTGGTAGAATTGGGCTGTGAATCCGTCTGGTCCTGGACTCTTTTTGGTTGGTAAGCTATTGATTATTGCCACAATTTCAGCTCCTGTTATTGGTCTATTCAGAGATTCAACTTCTATCTGGTTTAGTCTTGGGAGAGTGTATGTGTCAAGGAATTTATCCATTCCTTCTCGATTTTCTAGTTTATTTGCGTAGAGGTGTTTTTAGTATTCTCTGATGGTAGTTTGTATTTCTGTGGGATCGGTGGTGATATCCCCTTTATCATATTTTATTGCGTCTATTTGATTCTTCTCTCTTTTTTTCTTTATTAGTCTTGCTAGCGGTCTATCAATTTTGTTGATCCTTTCCAAAAACCAGCTCCTGGATTCATTAATTTTTTGAAGGGTTTTTTGTGTCTCTATTTCCTTCAGTTCTGCTCTGATTTTAGTTATTTCTTGCCTTCTGCTAGCTTTTGAATGTGTTTGTTCTTGCTTTTCTAGTTCTGTTAATGGTGATGTTAGGGTGTCAATGACTTTCTTCACAGAATTGGAAAAGCTACTTTTAAGTTCATATGGAATAAAAAAATAGCCTGCATCGCCAAGTCAATCCTAATCCAAAAGAACAAAGCTGGAGGCATCACACTACCTGACTTCAAACAATACTACTAGGCTACAGTAACCAAAACAGCATGGTACTGGTAGCAAAACAGAGATATAGATCAATGGAACAGAACAGAGCCCTCAGAAATAATGCCGCATATCTACAACTATCTGATCTTTCACAAACCTGAGAAAAACAAGCAATGGGGAAAGGATTCCCTATTTAATAAATGGTGCTGGGAAAACTGGCTAGCCATATGTAGAAAGCTGAAACTGGATCCCTTCCTTACACCTTATACAAAAATCAATTCAAGATGGATTAAAGATTTAAACGTTAGACCTAAAACCATAAAAACCCTGGAAGAAAACCTAGGCATTACCATTCAGGACATAGGCATGGGCAAGGACTTCATGTCTAAAACACCAAAAGCAATGGCAACAAAAGACAAAATGGACAAATGGGATCTAATTAAACTAAAGAGCTTCTGCACAGCAAAAGAAACTACCATCAGAGTGAACAGGCAACCTACAAAATGGGAGAAAATTTTCGCAACCTACTCATCTGACAAAGGGCTAATATCCAGAATCTACAATGAACTCAAACAAATTTACAAGAAAAAAACAAACAACCCCATCAAAAAGTGGGCGAAGGACATGAACAGACACTTCTCAAAAGAAGACATTTATGCAGCCAAAAAACACATGAAAAAATGCTCATCATCACTGGCCATTAGAGAAATGCAAATCAAAACCACTATGAGATACCATCTCACACCAGTTAGAATGGCAATCATTATAAAGTCAGGAAACAACAGGTGCTGGAGAGGATGTGGAGAAATAGGAACACTTTTACACTGTTGGTGGGACTGTAAACTAGTTCAACTATTGTGGAAGTCAGTGTGGCGATTCCTCAGGGATCTAGAACTAGAAATACCATTTGACCCAGCCATCCCATTACTGGGTATATACCCAAAGGACTATAAATCATGCTGCTATAAAGAGACCTGAACATGTATGTTTATTGTGGCATTATTCACAATAGCAAAGACTTGGAACCAACCCAAATGTCCAACAATGATAGACTGGATTAAGAAAATGTGGCACATATACACCATGGAATACTATGCAGCCATAAAAAATGATGAGTTCATGTCCTTTGTAGGGTCATGGATGAAATTGGAAATCATCATTCTCAGTAAACTATCGCAAGAACAAAAAACCAAACACCGCATATTCTCACTCATAGGTGGGAATTGAACAATGAGATCACATGGACACAGGAAAGGGAATATCGCACTCTGGGGACTGTTGTTGGGTGGGGGTATGGGGGAGGGATATCATCGGGAGATATACCTAATGCGAGATGACGAGTTAGTGGGTGCAGCGCACCAGCATGGCACATGTATACATATGTAACTAACCTGCACTACGTGCACATGTACCCTAAATCTTAAAGTATAATAATAATAAAAAGAAAGAAACTAGACAGAAGTATTCTCTGAAACCAGTTTGTGATGTGTGCATTCAACTCACAGTTTTCAACCTTCCTTTTGATAGAGCAGTTTTGAAACACTATTTTTGAAGGATCTGCAAATGGATATTTGGAGCGCTTTGAGGCCTATGGTAGAAAAGAAAACATCTTCATATAAAACTTGACAGAAGCATTCTCAGAAACTTCTTTGTGATGTGTGCACTCAACTCACAAACGTGAATCTTTCTTTTGATAGAGCAGTTTTGAAACACTCTTTTTGTAGAATCTGCAAGGGGGTATTTGGACCACTTTGAGGCTTTCATAGGAAACGGGAATATCCTCCCTTAAAAACTAGACAGAAGCATTTTCAGAAACTTCTTTGTGATGTGTGCATTCAACTCACAGAGTTGCACCTTTCTTTTGATAGAGCAGTTTTGAAACACTCTTTTTGTAGAATCTGCAAGTGGATATTTTGCAGCTGTGAGGCATTCTGAGGAAATGGGAGTATCTTCACCTAAAAACTAGACAGAAGCATTCTCAGAAATTTCTTTGGATGTATGCATTCAACTCACAGAGTTGAACCTTCCTTTTGATAGAGCAGTTTTGAAACACTATTTTTGTAGAATCTGCAATTGCAACTTGGGAGGGCTTTGAAGCCTGTGGTGGAAGAGGAAATATCTTCACATAAAATCTAGACAGAAGCATTCTCAGAAACTTCTTTGTGATGTGTGCATTCATGTCACATAATTGAACCTTCCTTTTGATAGAGCAGTTTTGAAACAGACCTTTTGTAGAATCTGCAACTGGATATTTGGAGTGCTCTGAGGCCTACGGTGGGAACAGGAATATATTCACACAAAAACTAGACAGAAGCAATCTCAGAAACTTCTTTGTGATGTGTGCATTCAACCCACGGAGTTGAACATTCCTTTTGATGGAGCAGTTTTGAAACACTCATTTGTAAGAAAAATCAGCAAGTGGATATTTAGATATCTTTGCGACCTTCTGTGGAAACGGGAATATCTTCACCTAAAAACTAGACAGAAAGATTCTCAGAAACTTCTTTGTGATGCGTGCTTTAAACTCTCAGAGTTGAACCTCTCTTTTGATGGAGCAGTTTTGAAACACAGCTTTTGTGGAATCTGCAAGTGGATATTTGGAGTGCTTTGAGGCCTATGGTGGAAAAGGAAATATCTTCATATAAAAACCAGACAGGAGCATTCTCAGAAACTACTTTGCGATGTGTGCATTCAACTCACAGAGCTGAACCTTCCTTTTGATAGGGCAGTTTTGAAACACTCTTTTTGTAAGATCTGCAAAGGGATATTTTGCCAGATCTGAGGCCTTCTGTGAAAACGGGAATAACTTCAAATGAAAACTGGACAGAAACATTCTCAGAAACTTCTTTGTGATGTATGCATTCAACTTACAGAGGCGAAACTTTCTTTTGATAGAGCAGTTTTGAAACACACTTTTTGTAGAATCTGCAAGTGAACATTTTGAGGGCTTTGAGCCCTGTGGTGAAATAGGAAATATCTTCACATGGAGACTAGACAGAAGAATTCTGAGAAGCCACTTTGTGATGTGTGCATTCAACTCACAAAGTTGAACATTTCTTTTGATAGAGCACTTTTGAAACACTCTTTTTGAAGAACGTGCAAGTGGACATTTGAACCGCTTTAAGGTCTGTGGTGGAAAAGGAAACATCTTCATATAGAGACTAGACAGAATTATTCTCACAAAACACATTGTGATGTGTGCATTCAACTCACAGAGTTGAACATTCCTTTTGATAGAGCAGTTTTGAAACACTCTTTTTGTAGTATCTGCAAGTGGATATTTGGAGCGATTTGAGGCCTATGGTAGAAAAGCAAATATCTTCATATAAAAGTAGAGAGAAGCATTCTCAGAAACTACTTTGTGATGTGTGCCTTCAACTCACAGAGTTGAACCTTCTTTTTGATAGGGCAGTTTTGAAACACTCTTTTTGTAGAATCTTCAAGTAGATATTTGGACCACTTTGAGGCCTTCATTGGAAACGGGAATATCTTCAAATAAAAACTAGACAGAAGCATCTCAGAAACTTTTTTGTGATCTATGCATTCAACTCACAGAGTTGAACATTCCTTTTGATAGAGCAGTAGTGAAACACTCTTTTTGTAGAATGTGCAAGTGGACATTTGTTGGGCTTTGAGGCCCATTGTGGAAAAGGAAATATGTTCACATAGAAACTAGACAGAAACATTCTGAGAGACTCCTTTTTGATGTGTGCATTCAACTCATGGAGTTCAACCTTCCTTTTGATAGAGCAGTTGTGAAACACTCTTTTTGTAGAATCTGCAAGAGAATATTTGGACCGCTTTGAAGCATTCGTTGGAAACGGGAATATCTTCAAATAAGAACTAGACAGAAGCATTCGCAGAAACTTCTTTGTGATGTGTGTATTCACCTCACAGAGTTGAACCTTCCTTTTGATAGAGCACTTTTGAATCTCTCTTTTTGTAGAATCTGCAAGTGGACATTTGGAGGGCTTTGAGGTCTGTGGAGGAAGGGGGAATATCCTCACTTAAACACTAGACAGTAACATTTTCAGAAACTTCTTTGTGATGTGTGCATTCAACTCACAGAGTTGAGCCTTCCTTTTGATAGAGCAGTTTTCAAACACTCTTTTTGAAGAATCGGCAAGTGGAAATTTCGAATGCTTTGAGTCCTATGTTAGAAAAGGAAATATCTTCACATAGAAACTAGACAGAAGTATTCTCTGAAACCATTTAGTGATGTGTGCATTCAACTCACAGTTTTCAATTTTCCTTTTGATAGAGCAGTTTTGAAAAACTCTTTTTGAAGAATCTGCAAGTGGATATTTGGAGCGCTTTGAGGCCAATGGTAGAAAAGCAAATATGTTCATATAAAACTTGACAGAAGCATTCTCAGAAACTTATTTGTGATGTGTGCATTCAACTCACAGAGGTGAATCTTTCTTTTGATAGAGCAGTTTTGAAACACTCTTTTTGTAGAATTTGCAATAGGATATTTGGACCACTTTGAGGCCTTTGTTGGAAACAAGAATATCCTCACCTAAAAAGTAGACAGAAGCATTTTCAGAAACTCCTTCGTGATGTGTGCATTCAACTCACAGAGTTGAACCTTTCTTTTGATAGAGCAGTATTGAAACACTCTTTTTGTAGAATCTGCAAGTGGAGATTTGGAGCTCTTTGAGGCCTCTGGTAGAAAAGGAAATGTCTCATATGAAAACTGGATAAAAGCATTCTCAGAAACTTCTTTGTGATTTGTGCATTCAACTCACAGATTTGAAGCTTCTTTGTGATAGAGCAGTTTTGAAACACTCTTCTAGCAGAATCTGCAAGCGGCTATTTGGACTGCTTTTGGGCCTTCGTTGGAAACTGGAATATTTTCGAAGAAAAACTACACAGAAGTATTCTCAGAGACTTGTTTGTGATGTGTGCATTCAACACACAGAGCTGAACCATCCTTTTGATAGAGCAGTTTTGAAACACTCTTTTTATAGAATCTGCAATTAGATATTTGGAGCACTTTGAGGCCTATGATAGAAAAGCAAATATCTTCACAGAAAAACTAGACAAAAGCATTCTCAGAAAGTACTTTGTGATGTGTGCATTCAACTAGCTGAGATGAATCTTTCTTTTGATAGAGCAGTTTTGAAACACTTTTTTTGGACAATCTGCAAGTGGATATTTCGACTGCCTTGAGGCTTTCATTGGAAACGGGAATATTCTCACATAAAAACTAGACAGAAGCATTTTCAGAAACTTCTTTGTGATGTGTGCATTCAACTCACAGAGTTGAACATTACTTTTGATAGAGCAGTTGTGGAACACTCTTTTTGTAGAATCTGCAAGTGGACATTTGGAGCTATTTGAGGCCTATGGTAGAAAAGGAAATATCTTCAAATAAAAACTAGACATAAGCTTTCTCAGAAACTACTTTGTGATGTGTGTATTCAACTCACAGAGTTGAACCTTCCTTTTGATAAATCAGTTTTGAAACACTCTTTTTGTAGAATCTGCAATTGAACATTTGGAGGGCTTTGAGGCCTGTTGTGGAAAAGGAAATATCTTCACATTGAAACTAGACAGAATTATTCTCAGAAACAACTTTGTGATTCGTGCATTCCACTCACAGAATTGAAACTTCCTTTTGATAGAGCAGTTTTGAAACACTTTTTTTGAAGAATCTGCAAGTGGACATTTGGAGCATTTTGAGGCCTATGGTAGAAAAGGAAATATCTTCATATGAAAACTAGAGAAAAGCATTCTCAGATACTTCTTTGTGATGTGTGCATTCATCTCACTGTGTTGAACCTTCTTTATGATAGAGAAGTTTTTAAACACTCTTTTTGTAGAATCTGCTAGTGGATATTTGGACCACAATGAACCCTTCGTAGGAAATGGGAATATCTCCAAATAACAACTAGACAGAAGCATTCTCGAAACTTCTTTGTGATCTGTGCATTCAACCCACACATTTGAAACTTCTTTTTGATAAAGTAGTTTTGAAACACTCTTTTTGTAGAATCTGCAAGTGGATATTTGGACAGATTTGAGGCCTTCATTGGAAACGGGAATATCTTCACCTAAAAACTTGACAGAAGAATTCTCAGAAATTTCTTTTTGATGTGTGCATTCAACTCATAGATGTGAACATTCCTTTTGATAGAGTACTTTTGAAACCCTCTTTTTGTAGAATCTGCAAGTGGATATTTGCAGTACTTTGAGGCCTATGGTAGAAAAGCAAATATCTTCATATAAAAACTAGAGAGAAGCATTCTCAGAAACTTCTTTGTGATGTGTGTATTCAACTCACAGAGTCGAAATTTTCTTTTGATAGAGCAGTTTTGAAACACTCTGTTTGTAGAATCTGCTAGTGTAAATGTGGAGCACTTTAAGGCCCGTTGTGGAAAAGGAAATATCTTCACATGGAAACTAGACAGAGCCATTCTCAGAAAGTTCTTTGTGATGTGTGCATTCAACTCACAGAGTTGAAAAATCTTTTTGATAGGGCAGTTTTGAAACACTCTTTTTGTTGAATCTGCAAGTGTATATTTGGAGTGCTTTGAGGCCTATGGTAGAAAAGCAAATATCTTCACATAAAAACTAGACAGAAGCATTCTCAGAAAGTACTTTGTGATGTGTGCATTCAACTCACATAGGGGAAAATTTCTTTTGATAGGGCACTTTTGAAACACTCTTTTTGGAACATCTGCAAGTGTATATTTGGACCACCATGAGGCCTTCGTTGGAAACCGTTATATTCTCACATAAAAACTAGACAAAAGTATTTTCAGAAACATATCTGTGATGTGTGCATTAAACTCACAGAGCTGAACACTCGTTTTGATACAGCAGTTTTGAAACACTATTTTTGTAGAATCGGCAAGTGGATATTTGGAGCGCTTTGAGGCCTCTGTTAGAAAAGGAAATATCTTCATGTGAAAACTAGACAGAAGCATTCTCAGAAACTTCTTTGTGACGTGTGCATTCAACCCACAGAGTTGAACCTTCCTTTTGATAGAGCAGATTTGAAACACTCTTTTTGTAGAATTTGAAAGTGTGTATTTAGAGTGCTTTGAGGCCTATGGTAGAAAAGGAAATATCTTCACCTAAAAAGTAGACAAAGTATTCTCAGAAACTAGTTTGTGATGTTTGCATTCAACTCACAGAGTTTAACATTCCTCTTGATAGAGCCGTTTTGAAACATTCTTTTTGTAGATTCTGCAAGTGGATATATGGACCTCTTTGAGGCCTTCGTTGGAAACGGGATTTCTTCATATAAAACTAGACAGAAGTATTCTCAGAAACTTCTTTGTGATGTGTGCATTCAACTCACAGAGTTGAACCTTCCTTTGGATATAGCAGTTTTGAAACACTCTTTTTGTAGAATCTGCAAGTGGATATTTCGAGGCTTTGAGGCCTATGGTAGAAAAGCAAATATCTCCATAAAAAAACTAGACAGAAGCATTCTCAGGAACATTTTTTGATGTTTGCATTCAACTCGCAGAATCGAACCATTGTTTTGATAGAGTACTTTTAAAACACTCTTTTTCTAGAATGTGCAAGTGGACATTTGGAGTGCTTTAAGGCCTTGCTTGGAAAAGGAAATATCTTCACATTGAAAGTAGACAGAAGCATTCTCAGAAACTTCTTTTTGTTGTGTGCATTCAATACACAGATTTGAACATTCCTTTTGCTACACAAGTTTTGAAACACTCTTTTTGTAGAATCTGCAAGTGGATATTTGGATCACTTTGGGGCCTATGGTAGAAAAGCAAATATCTTCACATAAAAACTAGACACAAGCATTCTCAGAAATTACTTTGTGAAGTGTGCATTCACCTCATAGAGGTGAAACTTTCTTTTGATAGAGCAGTTTTGAAACACTCTTTTTGGAGAATCTGCAAGTGGGTATTTGCACCGCTTTGAGGCCTTCATTGGTAATGGGAATGTCTTCAAATAAATAGACAGAAGCATTCTCGGAAACTTCTTTTTGACATGTGCATTCAACTCACAGAGTTGAACCTTCCTTTTGATAGAGCAGTATTGAAACACTCTTTTTGTAGAATGTGGATGTGTACATTGGGAGAGCTTTGAGGACTGTGGGGGAAAGGGAAATATTTTCACATAGAAGCTAGACATATGCATTATCAGAAACTTCTTGATGATGTGTGCATTCAACTCACACAGTTGAAACTTCCTTTTGCTAGAGCAGTTTTGAAACCCACTTTTTGTAGAATCTTCAAGTGGATATTTGGACAGCATAGAGGCCTTCGTTGAAACGGGATCATCTTCAGCTAAAAACTAGACAGAAGGATTCTCAGACATTTCTTTGTGATGTGTACATTCAACTCATGGAGTTGAACATTCCTTTTGATAGAGAACTTTTGAAACCCTCTTTGTGTAGAATCTGCAAGTGTATATTTGAAGCACTTTGAGGCCTACGGTAGAAAAGTATCTTCATATAAAAAGTAGACAGAAAATTTCTCAGAAACTTCTTTGTGATGTGTGCATTCAACTCACAGGGTTGAACCGTCCTTTTGATAACGCAGTTTTGTAACACTCTTCTCATAGAATCTGCAATTGAATATTTGGACTGCTTTGAGGCCTTCGTTGGGGAGTGGAATGTTGTCAAATAAAAAATTGACAGAAGCATTCTCAGAAACTTCTTTGTGATGTGTGCATTCAACTCACAGAGTTGAACCTTCCTTTTAGTAGAGCAGTTTTGAAACACTCTTTTTGTGGAATCTGCAAGTGGGTATTTGGAGTGCTTTGAGGCCTACGGTAGAAAATCAAATATCTTCATATAAAACCTAGACAGAAGCATTCTCAGAAAGTAACTTGTGATGTGTGCATTCAATTCACAGAGGTAAACTTTTCTTTTGATAGAGCAGTTTTGAAAAACTCTTTTTGGAGAATCTGCAAGTGGATATTTGGACCCCTTTGAGGCATTCTTTGGAAACGGGAATATTCTCATATAAAAAGTAGACAGAAACATTTTCAGAAACTTCTTTGTGATGTGTGCGTTCACCTCACAGAGTTGGACATTACTTTTGATTGAGCAGTTTTGAAACACTCTTTTTGTAAGTGGATATTTACATGGCTTTGAGGTCTTCGATGAAAATGGGAATGTCTTCAAATAAGTAGACAGAAGCATTCTCAGAAACTTCATTGCGATGTGTGCATTCAACTGAAAGAGTTGAATATTATTTTGATAGAACAGTATTGAAACACTCTTTTTGTAGAATGTGCAAGTGGACATTTGGAGGGCTTTGAAGCCTGTGGTGGAAAGGGAAATATTTTCACATAGAAGCTAGACATAAGCATTATCAGAAACTTCTTTGTGATGTGTGCATTCAACTCACAGAGTTGAAACTTCCTTTTGATAGAGCAATTTTGAAACACTGCTTTTGTAGAATCTGCAGGTGGATATTTGGACTGCTTTGAGGCCTTCGTGAGAAACGGGAATATCTTCAAATAAAAACTAGACAGAAGCATTCTCAGAAACTTCTTTGTGATGTGTGCATTCAACTCACAGAGCTGAACCTTCCTTTTGATAGAGCAGTTTTGAAACACTCTTTTTGTAGAATGTTCAAGTGGATATTTGGAGTGCTTTGAGGCCTATGGTAGAAAATCAAATATCTTCACATAAAAACTAGACAGAAGCATTCTCAGAAAGTAATTTGTGATGTGTGCATTCAACTCACAGAGATGAACCTTTCTTTTGACAGAGCAGGTTTTAAACACTCTTTTTGGAGAATCTGCAAGTGGATATTTGGACCCCTTTAAGGCCTTCGTTGGAAACGGGATTTCTTCATATAAAACTAGACAGAAGCATTTTTGGAAACTTCTTTGTGATGTGTGCATTCAAATCACAGAGTTGAACATTACTTTTGATAGAGCAGTTTTGAAACACTCTTTTTGTAGAATCTGCAAGTTGACATTTGGAGGGCTTTGAGGCCTGTGATGGAAAAGGAAATATCTTCACATGGAGACTAGACAGAAGCATTCTTAGAAACCTCTTTGTTATGTGAGCATTCAACTCACAGGGTTGAACCTTCCTTTTGATAGAGCAGTTTTGAAACACCCTTTTTGTAGAATCTGCAAGTGACATTTAGAGGACTTTGAGGCCCTTGGTGGAAAAGGAAATATCTTCACATAGAAATTAGACAGAAGCATTCTCAGAAACTTCTTTGGATGAGTGCATTCATCTCACAGAGTTGAACCTTCCTTTTGATAGAGCAGTTTTGAAACTCTCTTTTTGTATAATCTGCAAGTGGATATTTTGACCTCTTTGAGTCCTTCATTGGAAAAGAGATTATCTTCAAATAAAAACTAGACAGAAGCATTCTCAGAATCTCCTTTGTAATGTGTGCATTGAACTCACAGAGTTGAACATTCCTTTTTATAGAGCAGTTTTGAAGCACTCTTTTTGAAGAATCTGCAAGTGGACATTTGGAGCACTTTAAGCCCTATGGTAGAAAAGAAAATATCTTCATAGGAAAAGTAGACAAAAGCATTCTCAGAAACTTCTTTGTGATGTGTGCATTCAACTCACAGAATTGAACATTCTTTTTGATAGAGAAGTTTTGAAACACTCTTTTTGTAGGATCTGCAATTGTATATTTGGACTGCTTTGAGGTATTCGTTGGAAATGGGAATATCATCAAATAAAAACTAGACAGAACCATTCTCAGAAACTTCTTTGTGATATGTGCATTCAATTCACAGATTTGAAAATTTCTTCTGATAGAATAGTTTTGAAACACTCTTTTTGTAGAATCTGGAAGAGGACATTTGAAGGATTTTGTGGCCTGTGGTGGAAAAGGAAATATCTTCACATAGAAACTAGACAGAGCCATTCTCAGAAACCACTTTGTGATGTGAGCATTCAACTCACAGAGTTGTACCTTCCTTTTGATAGAGCGGTTTTGAAACACGCTTTTTGTAAAATCTGCAAGTGGATATTTGGACACCTTTGTGGTCTTCGTTGGAAATGGGAATATATTCAATTATGTACACAGGAGCATTCTCAGAAACTTCTTTGTGATGTGTGCATTCAACTCACAGATTTGAACCTTCCTGTTGATAGAGCGGTTTTGAAACACGCTTTTTGTAAAATCTGCAAGTGGATATTTGGTCAGCTTTGAGGCCTTCGTTGGAAAAGGGAATATCTTCAAATAAATAACTAGACAGAAGCATTCTCAGAAACTTCTTTGTGATCTGTGCATTCAACTCACAGAGTTGAACCTTCCTTTTTATAGAGCAGTTTTGAAACACTCTTTTTGTAGAGTCTGCAAGTCGATATTTGGACAGATTTGAGGCCTTCGTTGGAAACGGGAATATCTTCACCTAAAAACCAGACAGAAGCATTTTCAGAAATTTCTTTGTGTTGTGTGCATTCAACTCCCAGAGTTGAAACTTCTTTTTGATAGAGCAGTATCGATACACTCTTTTTGTAGAATCTGCAAGTGGATATAGGGAGCGCTTTGAGGTCTATGGTAGAAAATCAAATATCATCACATAAAAAGTAGACAGAAGCGTTCTCAGAAAGTTCTTTTGGTGTCTGCATTCAACTCACAGAGGTGAACATTTATTTTGTTACAGCAGTTTTGAAACACTAATTTTGGAGAATCTGCAGAATATTTGGACCACTTTGAGGCCTTCGTGGGAAAGGGGAATATTCTCACATAAAAACTAGACAGAAGCATTTTCAGAAACTTCTTTGTGATGTGTGCATTCAACTCACTGAGTTGAACATTACTTTTGATAGAGCTGTTTTGAAACACTCTTTTAGTAGAATCTCCAAGTGGATATTTGGAGCTCTTTGAGGCCTATGGTAGAAAACAAAATATCTTCAAATAAAACCTAGTCAGAAGCATTCTCAGAAACTTTTTTGTGATGTGTGCATTCAACTCACAGAGTTGAATCTTCCTTTTGAATGAACAGTTTTGAAAACCTCTTTTTGTAGAATCTGCAAGTGGACATTTGGAGGGCTTTGAGGCCTGTGATGGAAAAGGAAATATCTTCACATAGGGACTGGACAGAAGCATTCTCAGAAACCTGTTTGTGATGTGTGCACTCAACGCACAGAGTTGAACCTTCCTTTTGATAGATCAGTTTTGAAACAAACTTTTTGAAGAATCAGAAAATGAACATTTGGAGCACTTTGAGGCCCCTGTTAGAAAAGGAAATATCTTCACATAGAAACTAGACAGAAGTATTCTCAGAAACCTCTTTGTGATGTGTGCATTCAACTCACAGAGATGAACCTTCCTTTTGGTAGAGCAGTTTTGAAACACTCTTTTTGAAGAATCTGCAAGTTGACATTTTGAGCGCTGTGAGGCCTCTGATAGAGAAGGAAATATCTTCATAAGAAAATTAGACAAAAGCATTCTCAGAAACTTCTTTGTGGTGTATGCTTTCAACTCACAGAGTTGAACTTTCTTTTTGATAGAGAAGTTTTGAAACACTCTTTTTGTAGAATCTGCAATAGGATATTTGGACTGTTTTGAGTTCTTCGTTGGAAACGGGAATATCTTCGAATAAAAACTAGACAGAAGAATTCTCAGAAACTTCTTTGTAATGTGTGCATTCAACTCACAGATTTGAAAATTCCTTTTGATAGAACAGTTTTGAAACACTCTTTTTGTAGAATCTGCAAAGGGACATTTGGAGGGTTTTGAGGCCTATGGTGGAAAAGAAAATGTCTTCACATGGAAACTAGACAGAAACATTCTCAGAAACCTCTTTGTGATGTGTGCTTTCAACTCACAGGGTTGAACCTTCCTTTTGATAGAACAGTTTTGAAACACTCTTCTTGTAGAATCTGCAAGTATATATTTGGACCGCTTTCAAGCATTCGTTGGAAAGGGGAATATGTTCAAATAACTAGACAGAAGCATTTTCAGAAACTTCTTTGTGATGTGTGCATTCAACTCACAGAGGTGAATATTTCTGTTGATAGAGCAGTTTTGAAACAATCTTTTTGGAGAATACACAAGTGGATATTTGGACCGCTTTGTGGTCTTCATTGGAAACGGGAATATTCTCACATAAAAACTAGACAGAAGCATTTTCAGAAACTTCCTTGTGATGTGTGCATTCAACTCACAAATTTGAATGTTACTTATGATGGAGCAGTTTTGAAATACTCTTTTTGTAGAATCTCTAAGTGGACATTTGGAGCACTTTGAGGCCTAAGGTAGAAAAGTAAATATCTTCAAATAAAAACTAGACAGAAGGATTCTCAAAAACTTCTTTGTGATGTGTGCATTCAACTCACAGCGTTGAACTTGCCTTTTGACAGAGAAGTATTGAAACATCCTTTTTGTAGAATCTGCAAGTGGACATTTGGAAGGCTTTGGTGCCTGTGATGGAAACGGAAATATCTTCACATTGAAAGTAGACAGAAACATTCTCAGAAAATTCTTTGTGATGTGTGCATTCATCTCACAGAGTTGAAACTTCCTTTTGATAGAGCAGTTTTGAAACACTCTTTTTTATAATCTGCAAGTGGATATTTTGACCGCTTTGAGGTCTTTGTTGGTAACGGCAATATCTTCAAATAAAAAATAGAAAGAAGCATTCTCAGAAAGTTCTTTGTGATCTGTGCATTCAACTCGCAGACTTGAACCTTTCTTTTCATAGAGCACTTTTGAAACACTCTTTTTGAAGAATCTGCAAGTGGATGTTTGGAGCGCTTTGCGGCCTAAGGTAGTAAAGCTTATATCTACATATAAAAAGTAGACAGAAGCATTCTCTGAAGCTTCTTTGTGATGTGTGCATTCATCTCACAGAGTTGAACCTTTCTTTTGATAGAAAGCCTTTGAAGCACTCTTTTTGTAGAATCTGCAAGTGGACATTTCGAGCGCTTCAAGGCCTGTGGTGGAAAAGGAAATATCTTCACATAGAAAATAGATGGAAGCATTCTCAGAAACTTCTTTGTGATGTGTCCATTCAACACACAGAGTTGAACCTTCCTTTTGATAGAGCATTTTTGAAACACTCTTTTTGTAGAATGAGCAAGTGGATATATGGAGCGCTTTGTGGCTTATGGTAGAAAAGCAAATATCTTAACTTAAAAATTAGACGGAAGCATTCTCAGAAAGTACTTTGTGATGTGTGCATTCAACTCACAGAGTTCAATCTTCTTTTAGATAGAGAAGTTTTGAAAAACTCTTTTTGTAGGATCTGCAAGTGGATGTTTGGACTACTGTGTGGCCTTCGTTGGAAACGGTAATATCTTCGAATAAAAACTAGACAGAAGCATTCTCAGGAACTTCTATGTGATGTGTGCATTCATCTCAGAGATTTGAAACTTCCTTTTGATAGAACAGTTTTGAAACACTCTTTTTGTAGAATCTGAAATTGGAAATTTGGAGTGTTTTGAGGCCTGCGGTGGAAAAGGAAATATCTTCACATAGAAACTTGACAGAGCCATTCTCAGAAACATCTTTGTGATGTGTGCATTCAACTCACAGTGTTGAAACTTCTTTTTGATGGAGCAGTTTTGAAACACTCCTTTTGTAGAATCTGCAAGTGCATATTTGGACCGCTTTGAGGCGTTAATTTGAAATGGGAATATCTTCAAATAACTAGACCTGAGCATTCTCAGAAACATCTTTGTGATGTGTGCATTCAATTCACAGAGTTGAACATTCCTTTTGATAGAGCGGTTTTGAAACACTCTTTTTGTAGAATCTGCAAGTGGATATTTGGTCCGCTTTGAGGCCTTCGTTGGAAACAGGAATATCTTCAAATAACTAGACAGAAGCATTCTCAGAAACTTCCTTGTGATCTGTGCATTCAACTCACAGAGTTGAACGGTCTTTTTGATAGATCAGTTTTGAAACCCTCTATTTGTAAAATCTGCAAATGGATATTTGGACAGATTTGACGCCTTCGTTGGAATCGTGAATATCTTCACCTAAAAACTAGACAGGAGCATTCTCAGAAATTTCTTTGCGTTGTGTGCGTTCATCTCACAGAATTGAGCCTTCCTTTTGATAGATCAGTTTTGAAACACTTTTTTTTTATATTCTGCAAGTGGATATTTGGACCGCTTTGAGGCCTTCATTGGAAATGGGAATATCTTCAAATAAAAACTAGACAGAATCGTTCTCAGAAACTTCTTTGTGATCTATGCATTCATCTCATGGAGTTGAACTTTCCTTTAGATAGAGCACTTTTGAAACACTCTTTTTGAAGAATCTGCTAGTGGATATTTGGAGCGCTTTGAGGTCAATGGTAGAAAAGCAAATATCTTCATATAAAAAGTAGACAGAAACATTCTCTGAAACTTATTTGTGATGTGTGAATTAAACTCACTGAGTTGAACCTTTCTTTTGATAGACAGCGTTTGAAACACCCTTTTTGTAGAATCTGCAAGTCGACATTTCGAGAGCTTTAAGACCTGTGGTGGAAAAGGAAATATCTTCACATGGAAACTAGACAGAGCCATTCTCAGAAACCACTTTGTGATGTGTACATTCAACTCACAGAGTTGAACATTACTTTAGATTGGGCACTTTTGAAACACTCTTTTTGTAGAATCTGCAAGTGGATATTTAGAGCGCTTTGAGGCCTATGGTAGAAAAGCAAATATCTTCATATAAAAACTAGACAGAAGCATTCTCAGAAACTTCTTTGTGATGTGTGCTTTCATCACACAGAGTTGAACTTTCCTTTTGTTAGAGCAGTTTTGAAACACTCTTTTTGTAGAATCTGCAAGTGGATATTTGGACAGCTTAGACGCCTTCGTTGGAAATGGGAACACCTTCACCTAAAAACTAGACAGAAGCATTTTCAGAAACTTCTTTGTGATGTGTGCATTCAACTCACAGAGTTGAAGATTACTTTGGTAGAGCAGTTTTGAAACACTCTTTTTGTAAAATCTCCTAGTGGACATTTGGAGACCTTTGAGGCCTATGTTAGAAAAGGAATTATCTTCAAATAAAAACTAGACAGAAGCATTCTCAGAAACTTCTTTGTGATGTGTGCATTCAACTCACAGGGTTGAACCTTTCTTTTGATAGAGCAGTTTTGAACCACTCTTTTAGTAGAATCTGCAAGTGGATATTTGGACGGCTTTAAGGCCTTCAATGGAAAGGGAATATTGTCACATAAAAACTAGACAGAAACATTTTCAGAAAGTTCTTTGTGATGTGTGCATTCAACTCACAGAGATGAACCTTCCTTTTGATAGAACACTTTTGCAACACTCTTTTTAAAGAATCTGCAAGTGGACTTTTGGAGCCTTTTGAGGCCTATGGTACAAAAGGAAATATCTTCACATAGAAACTAGACAGAAGTATTCTCAGAAACCTCTTTGTGATGTGTGCATTCAACTCACAGAGTTGAACTTTCCTGTTGATAGAGCAGTTTTGAAACACTCTTTTTGTAGTTTCTGCAATTGGATATTTGGAGAGCCTTGAGGCCTCTGGTAGAAAAAAAAATATCTTCATATAAAACTAGACAGAAGCATTCTCAGAAACTTCTTTGAGGTGTCTGCATCCAACTCACAGAGGCGAACCTTACTTTCGATAGAGCAGTTTTGAAACAGTCTTTTTGTAGAATCTGCATGGGGATATTTGGACCGCTTTGAGGCCTTCATTGGAAACGGAAATATCCCCACTTAAAAACAAGACAGAAGCATTTTCAGAAACTTCCTTGTGATGTGTGCATTCAAATCACAGATTTGAACCTTCTTTTTAATAGAGCAGTTTTGAAAGTCAATTTTTTTGAATCTGAAATTGGACATTTGGAGGGCTTTGAGGCCTATTGTGGAAAAGGAAATATCTTCATATGAAAACCAGACAGAAGCCTTCTCAGAAACTTCTTTGTGATGTGTGCAATCAACTCACAGAGTTGAAACTTCCTTTTGATAGAGCAGTTTTGAAACACTTTTTTATAGAATCTCCCAGGGGATATTTGAGGCGCTTTGAGGCCTTAGTTAGAAACCAGAATATCTTCAAATATAAAGTAGACATAAGCATTCTCAGAAATTTTTGTGATCTGTGCATTCAACTCACGGAGTTTAACCTTACTTATGATAGAGCGGTATTGAAAATCTCTTTTCGTAGAATCTGCACGTGGACATTTTGGGGGCTTTGAGGCCTGTGGTGGAAAGGAAATATCTTCACATAGAAACTAGACAGAAGCATTCTCAGAAATTTCTTTGGAATGTGTGTATTCACCTCACAGATTTGAACATTCCTTTTGGTAGAGCGCTTTTGAATCACGCTTTTTGTAGAATCTGCAAGTGGATATTCGGAGCACTTTGACTCCTACGGTAGAAAAGGCAATATTTTCATATAAAAACTAGACAGAAGCATTCTCAGAAACTTCTTTGTGAACTGTGCATTCAACTCACAGAGTCGAATATTTCTTTGGATAGAGCAGTTTTGAAACAGTCTTTTTGTAGAATCTGTAACTGGACATTTGGAGCCCTTTAAGGTCTGTGATAGAAAAGGAAATATCTTCACATATAAGCTAGACAGAAGCATTCTCAGAAACTTCTTTGTGATGTGTGCATTCAACTCAGAGTATTGAACCTTCCATTTGCTAGAGCAGTTTTGAAACACTCTTTTTGTAGAATCTGCAAGTGGATATTTGGAGCGCTTTGAGGCCTAATGTAGGAAAGCAAACATCTTCATATAAAACAGGACAGAAGCATTTTCAGAATGTACTTTGTGATGTGTGCATTCAATTCACAGAGGTGAACCTTTCTTTTGATAGAGCAGCTTTGAAACACTCTTTTTGTAGAATATGCAAGTGGATATTTGGCAGCTTTGAAGCCTTCGTTGGAAACGGGAATATCTTCAAATAAAAACTAGACACAAATGTCCCTGTCTGACAGCTTTGAAGAGAGCAGTGGTTCTCCCAGTACGCACCTGGAGATCTGAGAAGGGGCAGACTGCCTCCTCAAGTGGGTGCCTGACCCCTGACCCCAGAGCAGCCTAACTGGGAGGCAAACCCCAACAGGGGCACATTGACACCTCGCACGGCAGGGTACTCCAACAGACCTGCAGCTGAGGGTCATGTCTGTTAGAAGGAAAACTAACAAACAGAAAGGACAACCACACCAAAAACACATCTGTACATCACCATCAAAGACCAAAAGTAGATAAAACCACAAAGATGGGGAAAAAACAGAACAGAAAAACTGGAAACTCTAAAAAGCAGAGCCCCTCTCCTCCTCCAAAGAAACGCAGTTCCTCACCAGCAACGGAACAAGGCTGGACGGAGAATGACTTTGACAAGCTGAGAGAAGAAGTCTTCAGATGATCAAGTTACTCTGAGCTATGGGAGGATATTCAAACCAAAGGCAAAGAAGTGGAAAACTTTGAATAAAATTTACAGGAATGTATAACTAGAATAACCAATACAGAGAAGTGCTTAAAAGAGCTGATGTAGCTGAAAACCAAGGCTCGAGAACTACGTGAAGAATGCAGAAGCCTCAGGAGACAATGCGATCAACTGGAAGAAACGGTATCAGTGATGGAAGATGAAATGAATGAAATGAAGTGAGAAGGGAAGTTTAGAGAAAAAAGAATAAAAAGAAATGAGCAAAGCCTCCAAGAAATATGGGACTATGTAAAAAGACCAAATCTACGTCTGATTGGTGTACCTGAAAGTGATGGGGAGAATGGAACCAAGCTGGAAAACACTCTGCAGGATATTATCCAGGAGAATTCCCCCAATCTAGAAAGGCAGGCCAATATTCAGATTCAGGAAACACAGAGAACGCCACAAAGATACTCCTCGAGAAGAGCAACTCCAAGACACATAATTGTCAGATTCACCAAAGTTGAAATGAAGGAAAAAATGTTAAGGGCAACCAGAGAGAAAGGTCGGGTTACCCTCAAAGGGAAGCCCATCAGACTAACAGCAGATCTCTCGGCAGAAACCCTACAAGCCAGAAGGGAGTGGGGGCCAATATTCAACATTCTTAAAGAAAAGAATTTTCAACCCAGAATTTCATATCCAACCAAACTAAGCTTCGTAAGTGAAGGAGAAATAAAATACTTTACAGACAAGCAAATGCTGAGAGATTTTGTCACCACCAGGACTGCCCTAAAAGAGCTCCTGAAGGAAGTGCTAAACATGGAAAGGAACAACCGGTACCAGCCGCTGCAAAATCATGCCAAAATGTAAAGACCATCAAGACTAGGAAGAAACTGTATGAACGAATGAGCAAAATAACCAGCTAACATCATAACGACAGGATCAAATTCACACATAACAATATTAACTTTAAATGTAAATGGACTAAATGCTCCAATTAAAGGACACAGACTGGCAAATTGGATAAAGAGTCAAGACCCATCAGTGTGCTCTATTCAGGAAACCCATCTCACGTGCAGAGACACACATAGGCTCAAAATAAAACAAAAAAAAACAGGGGTTGCAATTCTAGTCTCTGATAAAACAGACTTTAAACCAACAAAGATCAAAAGAGACAAAGAAGGCCATTATATAATAGTAAAGGGATCAATTCAACAAGAAGAGCTAACTATCCTAAATATATATGCACCCAACACAGGAGCACCCAGATTCATAAAGCAAGTCCTGAGAGACCTACAAAGAGACTTAGACTCCCACACATTAATAATGGGAGACTTTAACACCCCACTGTCAACATTAGACAGATCAACGAGACAGAAAGTCAACAAGGATACCCAGGAATTGAACTTAGCTCTGCACCAAGCGGACCTAATAGACATCTACAGAACTCTCCACCCCAAATCAACAGAATATACATTTTTTTCAGCACCACACCACACCTATTCCAAATTTGACCACATACTTGGAAGGAAAGCTCTCCTCAGCAAATGTAAAAGAACAGAAATTATAACAAACTATCTCTCAGACCACAGTGCAAGCAAACTAGAACTCAGGATTAAGAATCTCACTCAAAACTGCTCAACTATATGGAAGCTGAACAATCTGCTTCTGAGTGACTACTGGGTACATAACGAAATGAAGGCAGAAATAAAGATGTTCTTTGAAACCAACGAGAACAAAGACACAACATACCAGAATCTCTGGGAGGCATTCAAAGCAGTGTGTAGAGGGAAATTTATAGCACTAAATGCCCACAAGAGAAAGCAAGAAAATCCAAAATTGACACCCTAACATCACAATTAAAAGAACTAGAAAAGCAAGAGCAAATACATTCAAAAGCTAGCAGAAGGCAAGAAATAACTAAAATCAGAGCAGCACTGAAGGAAATAGAGACACAAAAAACACTTTAAAAATTTAATGAATCCAGGAGCTGGTTTTTTGAAATGATCAACAAAATAGACCACTAGCAAGACTAATAAAGAAAAAAAGAGAGAAGAATCAAATAGACGCAATAGAAAATGATAAAGGGGATATCACCACCGATCCCACAGAAATACAAACTACCATCAGAGAATACTACAAACACCTCTATGCAAATAAATTAGAAAATCTAGAAGAAATGGATAAATTCCTTGACACATACACTCTCCCAAGACTAAACCAGGAAGAATTTGAATCTCTGAATAGACCAATAACAGGATCTGAAATTGTGGCAATAATCAATAGCTTACCAACCAAAAAGAGTCCAGGACCAGATGGATTCACAGCCGAATTCTACCAGAGGTACAAGGAAGAACTTGTACTATTCCTTCTGAAACTATTCCAACCAAAAGAAAAAGAGGGAATCCTCCCTAACTCATTTTATGAGGCCAGCATCATTCTGATACCAAAGCCGGGCAGAGACACAACCAAAAAAGAGAATTTCAGACCAATATCCTTGATGAACTTTGATGCAAAAATCCTCAATAAAATACTGGCAAACCAAATCCAGCAGCACATCAAAAACTTATCCACCATGATCAAGTGGGCTTCAAGGTTCAATATATGCAAATCAAAAAATGTAATCCAGCATATAAACAGAACCAAAGACAAAAGCCACATGATTATCTCAATAGATGAAGAAAAGGCCTTTGACAAAATTCAACAACCCTTCATGCTAAAAACTCTCAATAAATTAGGTATTGATGGGATGTATTTCAAAATAATAAGAGCTCTCTATGACAAACCCACAGCCAATATCATACTGAATGGGCAAAAACTGGAAGCATTCCCTTTGTAAACGGGCACAAGACAGGGATGCCCTCTCTCACCACTCCTATTCAACATAGTGTTAGAAGTTCTGGCCAGGGCAATTAGGCAGGAGAAGGAAATAAAGGGTATTCAATTAGGAAAAGAGGAAGTCAAATTGTCCCTGTTTGCAGACGACATGATTGTATATCTAGAAAACCCCATTGCCTCAGCCCAAAATCTCCTTAAGCTGATAAGCAACTTCAGCAAAGTCTCAGGATACAAAATCAATGTACAAAAATCACAAGCATTCTTATACACCAACAACAGACAAACAGAGAGCCAAATCATGAGTGAACTCCCATTCACAATTGCTTCAAAGAGAATAAAATACCTAGGAATCCAACTTACAAGGGATGTGAAGGACCTCTTCAAGGAGAACTACAAACCACTGCTCAAGGAAATAAAAGAGGATACAAACAAATGGAAGAACATTCCATGCTCATGAGTAGGAAGAATCAATATCACGAAAATGGCCAAACTGCCCAAGATAATTTACAGATTCATTGCCATCCCCATCAAGCTACTAATGCCTTTCTTCACAGAACTGGAAAAAACTACTTTAAAGTTCATATGGAACCAAAAAAGAGCCTGCATCACCAAGTCAATCCTAAGCCAAAAGAACAAAGCTGGAGGCATCACACTACCTGACTTCAAACTATACTACAAGGCTACAGTAACCAAAACAGCATGGTACTGGTACCAAAACAGAGATATAGATCAATGGAACAGAACAGAGCCCTCAGAAATAATGCCACGTATCTACATCTATCTGATCTTTGACAAACCTGAGAAAAACAAGCAATGGGGAAAGGATTCCCTATTTAATAAATGGTGCTGGGAAAACTGGCTAGCCATATGTAGAAAGCTGAAACTGGATCCCTTCCTTACACCTTATACAAAAATCAATTCAAGATGGATTAAAGACTTAAACGTTAGACCTAAAACTATAAAAATCCAAGAAGAAAACCTAGGCATTACCATTCAGGACATAGGCATGGGCAAGGACATCATGTGTAAAACACCAAAAGCAATGGCAACAAAAGCCAAAATTGACAAATGGGATCTAATTAAACTAAAGAGCTTCTGCACAGCAAAAGAAACTACCATCAGAGTGAACAGGCAACCTACAAAATGGGAGAAAATTTTCACAACCTACTCATCTGACAAAGGGCTAATATCCAGAATCTACAATGAACTCAAACAAATTTACAAGAAAAAAATAAACAACCCCATCAAAAAGTGGGCAAAGGACATGAACAGACACTTCTCAAAAGAAGACATTTATGCAGCCAAAAAACACATGAAAGAATGCTTATCATCACTGGCCATCAGAGAAATGCAAATCAAAACCACAATGAGATACCTTCTCACACCAGTTAGAATGGCAATCATTAAAAAGTCAGGAAACAACAGGTGCTGGAGAGGATGTGGAGAAATAAGAATACTTTTACACTGTTGGTGGGACTGTAAACTAGTTCAACCATTGTGGAAGTCAGTTTGGCGATACCTCAGGGATCTAGAACTAGAAACACCATTTGACCCAGCCATCCCTTTACTGGGTATATACCCAAAGTATTATAAATCATGCTGCTATAAAGACACATGCACACATATGTTTATTGTGGCATTATTCACAATAGCAAAGACTTGGAACCAACCAAGATGTCCAGAAATGATAGACTGGATTAAGAAAATGTGGCACATATACACCATGGAATACTATGCAGCCATAAAAAATGATGAGTTCATGTCCTTTGTAGGGACATGGATGAAACTGGAAATCATCATTCTCAGTATACTATCACAAGAACAAAAAACCAAACACCACATATTCTCACTCGTAGGTGGGAATTGAACAATGACATCACATGGACACAGGAAGGGGAACATCACACTCTGGGGACTGTTGTCGGGTGGAGGGTGGGGTGAGGGATAGCATTGGGAGATATACCTAATACTAGATGACAAGTTAATGGGTGCAGCGCACCAGCATGGCACATGTATACATATGTAACTAACCTGCACAATGTGCACATGTACCCTAAAACTTAAAGTATAATAATAGAAGAAAAAACTTAAAATAAATAAATAAATCAATAAAAACTAGACAGAAGCATTCTCAGAAACTTGTTTGTGATCTGTGCATTCAACTCATAGAGTTGAAACTTCCTTTTGATAGAGTGGTTTTGAAACACTCTTTTTGTAGAATCTCCAAGTGGACATTTGGAGTGCTTTGAGGCCTATGGTAGAAAAGGAAATATCTTCACATGGAAAATAAAAAGAAGCATTCTCAGAAACAACTTTGTGATGTGTGCATTCAACTCACAGAGTTGAACCTTCCTTTTGATAGAGCAGTTTTGAAACACTCTTTTTGTAGAATCTGCAACTGGATAATGGGACGTCTTTGAGGCCTTCTTTGGAAACGGGATTTCTTCATATAAAACTAGACAGAAGAATTTTCAGAAACTTCTTTGTGATGTGTGCATTCAACTCACAGTGGTGAACGTTCCTTTCAATGGAGCATTTTTGAAACACTCTTTTTGTAGAATTTCCAAGTGGATATTTAGCGCCGTTTAAGGCCTATGGTAGAAAAGGCAATATCTTCGTAGAAAAACTAGACAGAATGATTCTTAGAAACTACTTTGTGATGTGCGCATTCAACTCACTGAGTTTAACCTTTCTTTTGATAGAGCAGTTTTGAAACACTCTTTGGTAGAATTTGCAAGTGTGTATTTAGAGCGCTTGGAGGCCTTTTTAGAAAAGTAAATATGTTCACATAAAAACTAGGCCGAAGCATTCACAGAGACCACTTTGTGATGTTTGCATTCAATCACAGAGTTGAACATTCCTCTTGATAGAGTAGTTTTGAAACACTATTTTTGTAGAATCTGCAAGTGGATATTTGGACCTCTTTGAGGCCTTCATTGGAAATGGGATTTCTTCATATAAAAGTAGACAGAAGAATTCTCAGAAACTTCTTTGTGATGTGTGCCTTCAACTGACAGAATTTTACCTTTCTTTTGATAGAGTAGCTTTGAAACACTCTGTAAAGTCTGCATCTGGATATTTCGAGCGCTTTCAGGTTTTCCATGGAAACGGGAATATCTTCACCTAAAAAGTAGACACAACTATTCTCAGAAACTTCTTTGTGATGTCTGTACTCAACTCACAGATGTGAACCTTCCTTTTGATAGAGCAGTATTGAAACACTCTTTTTGTAGTGTTTGCAAGTGGATATTTGGAGTGCTTTGAGGCCTATGGTAGAAAAAGAAATATCTTCACATAAAAACTAGACAGAAGCATTCTCAGAATCTACTTTGTGATGTTTGCATCCAACTCACAGAGTTGAACATTCCTCTTGATAGAGCAGTTTGGGAACACTCTTTTTGTAGAATGTGCAATTGGATATTTGGACCTCTTTGAGGCCTCCGGTGGAAACGGGATTTCTTCATTTAAAACTAGACAGAAGAATTCTTAGAAACTTCTTTGTGATGTGTGCATTCAACTCACAGAGTTGAACCATCCTTTTTATAGAGCAGATTTGAAACACTCTTTTTGTAGTATTTCCAGGTGGTTACTTAGCGCGCTTTGAATCCTACGGTAGAAAAGGAAATACCTTCATATAAAAACTAGACAGAATCATTCCCAGAAACTACTTTGTGAAGTGTGCGTTCAACTCTCAGAGTTTCACCTTTCTTTTGATAGAGAAGTTTTGAAACACTCTGTTTGTAAAGTCTGCTTTTGGATATTTGGAGGGTTTTTAGGTTTTCTTTGAAAACGGGAGTATCTTCACATAAAAAGTAGACAGAAGTATTCTCAGAAACTTCTTTTTGATGTCTGTACTCAATTCACAGAGGTGAACCTTCCTTTTGATAGAGCAGCGTTGAAACACTTCTTTGTGGAGTTTGCTAGTGGATATTTAGAGTGTGTTGGGGCCTATGGTAGAAAATGATATATCTTCACATAAAAGCTAGACAGAACCATTCTCGGAAACAACTTTGTGATGTTTGCATTCAACTCACAGAGTTGAACTTTCCTCTTTATAGAGCAGTTTTGTCACCTTCTTCTTGTAGTATCTGCAAGTGGATATTTGACTTCTTTGAGGCCTTCTTTGGAAAAGGGTATTTCTTAATAAAAAAACTAGACAGAAGAATTCTCAGAAGCTTCTTTGTGATGTTTGCATTCAACCCACAGAGTTCAACGTTCCCTTCAATAGAGCAGTTTTGAAACACTCTTTCTGTAGAATATCTAAGTGGATATTTAGGGTGATTTAGGTCTATATTAGACAACGAATTATCTTCATATATAAACTAGACAGAATCATTCTCAGAAACTACTTTGGATGTGTGCATTGAACTCACTGAGTATAACCTTTCTTTTGATAGAGCAGTTTTGAAACACTCTTTTTGTAGAATTTGCAGGTGTTTATTTAATTTAAAGCACTTTGAGGCCTACGGTGGAAAAGGACATATCTTCACATAAAAATTGTACAGAAGCATTCACAGAAACTACTTTGTGATGTTTGCATTCAACTTACGGAGGTGAACATTTCTCTTTATAGAGCAGTTTTGAAACACTCTTTTTGTAGAATCTGCAAGTGGATATTTGGACCTCTTTGAGGCCTTCGTTGGAAAATGGATTTCTTCATTTATACCTAGACAGAAGAATTCTCAGAAACTTCTTTGTGATGTGTGCATTCAACTCACATAGTTGAACCTTCCTTTTGATAGAGCAGTTTTGAAACAGTCTTTTTGTAGAATTTCAAAGTGGATATTTAGAGCGATTTGAAAACTATGGTAGAAACGGAAATATCTTCATATAAAAATAAGACAGAATCATTCCCAGAAACTACTTTGTGATGTTTGCATTCAACTATCAGAGTTTAACCTTTCTTTTTTTAGAGCACTTTTGAAACACTCTGTTTGTAAAGACTGCGTTTGGATATTTGGAGCGCTTTGAAGTTTTCTTTGGAAACGGGAGTATCTTCACATAAAAAGTAGACAGAAGTATTCTCAGAAGCTTCTTTGTGATGTCTGTATTCAACTCACAATGGTGAACCGTCTTTTGATAGAGCATCTTTGAAACGTTTCTTTGTAGAGTTTGCAAGTGGATTTTTAGAGCGCTTTGTGGTCTATTGTAGAAAAGGATATATCTTCACATAAAAACTAGACAGAAGCATTCTCAGAAAATACTTTGTGATGTTTACATTCACCTCACAGAGTTGATCATTACTCATGATAGAACAGTTTTTAAATACTGTTTTTGTAGAATCTGCAAGTGGATATTTGGAACTGTTTGAGGCCATCGTTGGAAATGGGATTTCTTCATATAAAACCAGACAGAAGAATTCTCAGAAACTTCTTTGTGATGTGTGCATTCACCTAACAGATGTGAACATTCCTTTCAGTAGAGCTGTTTTGCAATACTCCTTTGCAGAATTTCCAAGTGGATATATAGTGAGCTTTGAGGCATATGTTAGAAAAGGAAATATCTTCCTATAAAAGCTAGACAGAATCATTCTCCGATACAACATTGTGATGTGTGCATTCAACTCACTGAGTTTAACCACTCTTTTGATAGAGCAGTTTTGGAACACACTTTTTGTAGAATTTGCAAGTGTGTATTTAGAGCACTCTGATGCCTGTGTTAGAAAAGGAAATATCCTAACATAAAAACCAGACAGAAGCATTCTCAGAAACTACTTTGTGATGTTTGCATTCAACTCACAGAGTTGAACGTTTCTCTTGATAGAGCAGTTTTGAAACACTCTTTTTGTAGAATCTGCAAGTGGATATTTGGACCTCTTTGAGGCCTTCGTTGGAAAATGGATTTCTTCATATAAAACTAGACAGAATAATTCTCAGAAACTTCTTTCTGATGTGTGCATTCATCTCACAGAGTTGAACCATCCTTTGTATAGAGCAGATTTGAAACACTCTTTTTGTAGTATTTCCAGGTGGTTATTTAGAGCGCTTTGAATCCTAGAGTAGAAAAGGAAATATCTTCATATAAAAGCTAGACATAATAATTTCCAGAAACTACTTTGTGATGTGTGCGTTCAACTCTCAGAGTTTCACCTTTCTTTTAATACAGCAGTTTTGAAAAACTCTGTTTTTAAAGTCTGCATTTGGATATTTGGAGGGCTTTTAGGTTTTCTTTGGAAACGTGAGTATCTTCACATAAAAAGTAGACAGAAGCATTCTCAGAAACTTCTTTTTGATGTCTGTACTCAACTCACAGAGGTGAACCTTCCTTTTGATAGAGCAGCTTTGAAACACTTCTTTGTAGAGTTTGCAAGTGGATATTTAGAGTGCTTTGAGGCCTATGGTAGAAAACGATATATCTTCACATAAAAACTAGACAGAACCATTCTCAGAAACAACTTTGTGATGTTTACATTCAACTCACCGAGTTGAACATTCCTCATGATAGAGCAGTTTTGAAACACTCTTATTGTGGAATCTGCAAGTGGATATTTGGACCTCTTTGAGGACTTCGTTGGAAATGGGATTTTTTCATATAAAGCTAGACAGAAGAATTGTCAGAAACTTCCTTGTGACATGTGCATTCAACTCACACAGTTGAACCTTCTTTTTGATAGAGCAGATTTGAAACTCTCTTTTGGTAGCATTTCCAAGTGGATATTTAGAGTGCTTTTAATCCTATGGTAGAAAAGGAAATATATTCATATAAAAACTAGACAGAATCATTCCCAGAAACTAGTTTGTGATGTGTGCGTTCATCTCACAGAGTTTAACCTTTCTTTTGATAGAGCAGTTTTGAAACACTCTTTTGGTAGAATCTGCAAGTGGATATTTGGACCTCTTTGAGGCCTTTATTGGAGACAGGAATTCTTCATATAAAACTGGACAGAAGAATTCTCAGAAACTTCTTTGTGATGTGTGCATTGAAGTCTCAGAGTTGAAACTTCCTTTTGGCAGAGTAGATTTGAAACACTCTTTTTGTAGAATTTCCAAGTGGATTTTTGGACCGCTTTGAATCCTATGGTAGAAAAAGATATATATTCATATAAAATCTAGACAGAATGATTCCCAGAAACTACTTTGTGATGTGTGCGTTCAACTCACAGAGTTTAAATTTTCTTTTGATAGAGCAGTTTTGAAAAACTCTGTTTGTAAAGTCTGCACCTGAATAATTGGAGGGATTAGAGGTTTTCTTTGGAAACAGGCATATCTTCAGATAAAAAGCAGACAGAAGTATTCTCACAGACTCCTTTGTGATGTCTGTACTCAACTCACAGAAGTGAACCTTCCTTTTGACAGAGCACTTTTGAAACACTCTTTTTGTAGAGTTTGCAAGTGGATATTTAGAGCACTTTGAGAACTACTGTAGAAAAAGGAATATCTTCACCTAAAATCTAGACAGAAGCATTTTCAAAAACTACTTTCTGATGTTTGCATTCAACTCAAAGAGTTGAACATTCCTCTTTAAAGAGCAGTTTTGAAACACTCTTTTTGTAGAATCAGCAACTGGGTATTTGGACCTCTTCGAGGCATTCGTTGGAAACGGGATTTCTTCATATAAATCTACACAGAAGAATTATCAGAAACTTCTTTGTGGTGTGTGCATTCAACTCACAGAGTTGAACCCATCTTTTGATAGAGCAGATTTGAAACACTCTTTTTGTAGAGTTTCCAAGTGAATATTTGGAGCGCATTGAATCCTATAGCACAAATGTAAGTATCTTCATATAAAAAATAGACAGAATCATTCCCAGAAACCACTTTGTGATGTGTGCCTTCAACTCACAGAGTTTAAACTTTCTTTTGTCAGAGCAGTTTTGAAACATTCTGTTTCTAAAGTCTGCATCTGGATATTTGGAGCGCTTTGAGGTTTTCTTTGGAAACTTGAATATCTTCACATAAAAAGTAGACTGAACTATTCTCAGAAACTTCTTTGTGACGTCTGTACTGAACTCACGGAAGTGAAACTTCTTTTGGATAGAGCAGTTTTGAAACTCTCTTTTTGTAGGGTTTGCAAGTGGATATTTAGAGCGCTTTGATGTCTAAGATAGAAAAGGAAATATCTTCACATAAAAACTAGACAGAAGCATTCCCACAAACTACTTTGTGATGTGTGCCTTCAACTCACAGAGTTTAACCTTTCTGTTGATAGAGCAGTTTTGAAACACTCTGTTTGTAAAGTCTGCATCTGTATATTTGGAGCGATTTGTGGCTTTCTTTGGAAACGGAAGTATCTTCACATAAAAAGTAGACGGAAGTATTCTCAGAAACTTCTTGGTGATGTCTGCATACAACTCACAGAGGTGAACCTTCCTTTTGACAGAGCAGTTTTGAAACACTCTTTTTGTAGAGTTACCAAGTGGATACTTTGAGTACTTTGAGGCCTGTGATTGATAGAAATGGAGATATCTTCACAGAAAAACTAGACAGTACAATTCTCAGAAACTACATTGTGATATTTGCATTCAACGCACAGAGTGGAACATTCTACTTTAGAGAGCAGTTTTGAAACACTCTTTTTGTAGACTCTGCAAGTGGATATTTTGACCTGTTTGAGGAATTCGTTGGAAACGGGATTTCTTCACATAAAACTAGACAGAAGAATTCTCAGAGACTTCCTTGTGATGTGTTCATTCAACTCACAGAGTTGAATCCTCCTTTTGATAGAGCAGATTTGAAACACTCTTTTTGTAGAATTTCCAAGTGAATATTTAGAGCGCTTTGAAACCTGTGATAGAAAAGGAAGAATCTTCATGTAAAAACTAGACAGAATCGTTCCCAGAAACTACTTTGTGATGTGTGCGTTCAACTCACAGAGTTTAACCATTGTTTTGATAGAGCAGTTTTGAAACACTCTGTTTGCACATTCTGCATCTGGATATTTGGAGTGCTTTGAGGTTTTCTTTGGAAAAAGGAACATCTTCACCTAAAAAGGAGACAAAAGTATTCTCAGAAACTTCTCTGTGATGTTTGTACTCAACTCACAGTGGTGAAACTTCCTTTTGATAGAGCAGTTTTGAAACACTCTTTTGGTAGAGTTTGCAAGTGGATATTTGGAGCGCTTTGAGGCCTATGTTAGAAAACGCAGTATCTTCATATAAAAACTAGACAGAAGCATTCTCAGAAACTACTTTGTTTTGTTCGCATTGAACTCACAGAGTTGAGGAATCGTCTTGATAGAGCAGTTTTGCAACACTCTTTTTGTAGAATATCCAAGTGGATATTGAGTGCACTTTTAGGCCTATGGTTGAAAAGGAAATGTCTTCATATAAAAAGAAGACAATCATTCTCAGAAACTACATTGTGATGTGTTTATTCAACTCACTGATTTTAATCTCTCTTTCTATAGGCAGATTTGAAACGTTCTTTTTGTAGAATTTACAAGTGTGTATTTAGAGGTCTTTGAGGCCTATCGTAGAAAAGGAAATATCTTCACATAAAATCTACACAGAAGTATTCTCAGAAACTACTTTGTGATGTTTGCAGTGAACTCACAGAGTTGAGCATTCGTCTTGATAGAGCAGTTTTGAAACACTCTTCTTGTAGAATCTGCAAGTGGATATTTGGACCTCTTGGAGGAATTCGTTGGAAACGGGATTTCTTCTCATGAAACTAGACAGAAGAATTCTCAGAGACATATTTGTGATGTGTGCATTCAACTCACAGAGTTGAACCTTCTTTGGATAGAGCAGATTTGGAACACTCTTTGTAGAATTTCCGTAGTGGATATTTAGAGCGCATTGAATCCTATGGTAGAAAAGCAAGTATCTTTATATAAAAACTAGACAGAATCATTCCCACAAATTAGTTTGTGATGTGTGCCTTCAACTCACAGAGTTTAACCTTTGTGTTGATAGAACAGTTTTGAAACACTGTTTGTAAAGTCTGCATCTGTATATTTGTAGCGCTGTGAGGCTTTCCTTGGAAATGGGAGTATCTTCACATAAAAAGTAGATGGAAGTATTCCCAGAAACTTCTTGGTGATGTCTGCACTCAACTCACAGAGGTGAACCTTCCTTTTGACAGAGCAGTTCTGAAACACTCTTTTTGTAGAGTTAGCAAGTGGATACTTTGAGCACTTTGAGGCCTGTGATAGAAATGGAGATATCTTCACAGAAAAACTAGACAGTACCATTCTCAGAAACTGCATTGTGATATTTGCATTCAACTCACAGAATGGAACATTCCTCTTTAGAGAGCAGTTTTCAAACACTCTTTTTATAGAATTTGCAAGTGGATATTTCGAGCTGTTTGAGGAATTCGTTGGAAATGGGATTTCTTCACATAAAACTAGACAGAAGAATTCTCAGAGACTTCTTTGTGATGTGTGCATTCAACTCAGAGTTGAATCCTCCTTTTGATAGAACAGATTTGAAACACTCTTTTTGTAGAATTTCCAAGGGAATATTTAGAGCGCTTTGAAACCTGTGGTAGAAAAGGAAGAATCTACATGTAAAAACTAGACAGAATCGTTCCCAGAAACTACTTTGTGATGTGTGCGTTCAACTCACAGAGTTTAACCATTCTTTTGATAGAGCAGTTTTGAAACACTCTGTTTGCACATTCTGCATCTGGATATTTGGAGTGCTTTGAGGTTTTCTTTGGAAAAGGGAACATCTTCACATAAAAAGAGACAGAAATATTCTCAGAAACTTCTCTGTGATGTCTGTACACAACTCACAGTGGTGAACCTTCCTTTTGGTAGAGCAGTTTTGAAAAACTCTTTTTCAAGAGTTTGCAAGTGGATATTTGGAGCGCTTTGAGGCCTATGGTAGAAAAGGCAATATCTTCACATAAAAACTAGACAGAAGCATTCTCAGAAACTACTTTGTTATGTTTGCATTGAACTCACAGAGTTGAGCATTCATCTTGATAGAGCAGTTTTGAAACACTCTTTTTGTAGAATCTGCAAGTGGATAGTTGGACCTCTTTGAGGAATTCGTTGGAAACGGGATTTCTTCATATACAACTAGACAGAAGAATTCAAAGAAACTTCTTTGTGAAGTGTGCATTCAACTCACAGAGGTGAACATTTCTTTCAATAGAGCAGTTTCGCAACACTCTTTTTGTAGAATATCCAAGTGGATATTAAGGGCGATTTTAGCCCTATGGTAGAAAAGGAAATGTCTGCATATAAAAAGAAGACAGAATCATTCTCAGAAACTACATTGTGATGGGTGCATTCAACTCACTGATTTTAATCTCTCATTCTATAGGCAGATTTGAAACTCTCTTTTTGTAGAATTTGCAAGTGTTTATTTAGAGGTGTTTGAGACCTATCGTAGAAAAGGCAATATCTTCACATAAAATCCAGACAGAAGCATTCTCAGAAACCACATTGTGATGTTTGCATTGAACTCACAAAGTTGAGCGTTACCCTTGATAGAGCAGTTTTGAAACACTCTTCTTGTAGAATCTGCAAGTGGATAATTGGACCTCTTGGAGGAAATCGTTGGAAAAGGGATTCCTTCTTATAAAACTACAGAGAAGAATTCTGAGTAACTTCTTTGTGATGTGTGCATTCAACTCACAGAGTTGAACCTCACATTCAAAAGAGTAGTTTTCAAACACTCTTTTTGTAGAACTTCCAAGTGCATACTTAGAGTGCTTTGAAGCCTACGGCAGACAGTGAAATATCTTCATGCAAAGACTAGACAGAATCATTCTCAGAAACCACGTTGTGATCTGTGCGTTCAACTCACAGAGTTTCACCTTTCTTTCCTTAGAGCAGTTATGAAACACTCTCTTGGTAGAATTTGCAGGGGTGTATTCAGAGGGCTTTGAGGCCTATGGCAGAAAAGGAAATATCTTACTATGAAAACAAAACAGAAGCATTCTCAGAAACTAAGTTGAGATGTTTGCATTCAACTCACAGAGTTCAACCTTCCTTTTGATAGAGCGGTTTTGAAACACTATTTTTGCAGAAAATGCAAGTGGATATTTGGACCTCTTTGAGGCCTTCATTGGAAACGGGATATCTTCATAAAATGCTAGACAGAAGAATTCTCAGTAACGTCTTTGTGTTGTGTCTATTCAACTCACAGAGTTGAACCTTCCTTTAGACAGAGCAGATTTGAAACACATTTTAGTGGAATTTGCAAGTGGAGATTTCAAGCGCTTTGAGGCCAATGGTAGAAAAGGAAATATCTTCCTATAAAAACTAGACAAAATCATTCTCAGAAATTACTTTGTGATGTGTGACTTCAATTCACAGAGGTTAACATTTCTTCTCACAGAAGTTTGGAAAAACTCTGTTTGTAAAGTCTGCAAGTGGATATTTGGACCTCTTTGAGGCCAAATATCCCATTGAAAACGGGATTTCTTCATATAATGATAGACAGAAGAATTCTCAGTAACTTCTTTCTGTTGTGTGTATTCAACTGACAGAGTTGCACCTTCCTTTAGACAGAGCAGGTTGGAAACACTCTTTTTGTGGAATTTGCAAATGGAGATTTCAAGCGCTTTAAGGCCAATGGTAGAAAAGGAAATATCTTCGTATAAAAGTAGACGGAATCATTCTCAGAAAATACTTTGTGATGTGTGCATTCAACTCACACATTTATTTTGATAGAGAAGTTTGGAAACACTCTGTTTGTAAAGTCTGTAAGTGGATATTTGGACGTATTTGAGGCCTTCGTTGGAAACGGGATTTCTTCATATAATGCTAGAAAGAAGAATTCTCAGTAACTAATTTGTGTGTCTGTATTCAACTCACAGAGTTGAACCTTCCTTTAGACGGAGCAGATTGGAAACACTCTTTTTGTGGAATTTTCAGGTGGAGATTTCAAGCGCTTTGAGGCCAATGGTAGAAAAAGAAATACCTTCGTTTAAAAACCAGACAGAATCATTCTCAGAAACTACTTTGTGATGTGTGCGTTCAACTCACAGAGTTTATCCTTTCTTTTCATAGAGCAGATGACAAACACTCTGTTTGTAAAGTCTGCAAGTGGATATTTGGACCTCTTTAAGGCCTTGGATGGAAATGGGATTTCTGCATATAAACCTACACAGAAGAATTCTGAGAAAATTCTTTGTGATGTGTGCATTCAACTCACAGAGTTGAACTTACTTTTGAAAGAGCAGTTCTCAAACACTCTTTTTGTAGAACTTCCAAGTGCATACTTAGAGTGCTTTGAAGCGAATGGTAGACAACGAAATATCTTCATGTAAAAACTAGACAGAATCTTTCTCAGAAACCACATTGTGATCTGTGCGTTCAACTCACAGAGTTCAAACTTTAAATCCATAGAGCAGTTATGAAACACTCTCTTTGTAGAATTTGCAAGGGTGTATTTAGTGGGCTTTAAGGCCTATGGTAGAAAAGGAATTATCTTACCATAAAAACTAGACAGAAGCATTCTCAGAAACTGAGTTGCGAAGTTTGCATTCAACTCACAGAGTTCAACATTCCTTTTAATAGAGTGGCTTTGAAACACTCTTTTTGCAGAATATGCAAGTGGATATTTGGACTTTTTGAGGCCTTCGTTGGAAATGGGATTTCTTCATATAATGCTAGATAGAAGAATTCTCAGTAACTTCTTTGTGTTGTGTGTCTTCAACTCGCAGAGTTGAACTTTCCTTTTGACAGAGCAAATTGGAAACCCTCTTTTTGTGGAATTTTCAGGCGGAGAATTCAAGCAATTTGAGGCCAATGGTAGAAAAGGAAATATCTTCGTATAAAAACTAGACAGAATCATTCTAAGAAACTACTTTGTGATGCGAGCATTCAACACACAGAGTTTAACTTTTCTTTTCATAGAGCAGTTTGGAAACACTCTTTTTGCAGAATGTGCAAGTGGATATTTGGACTTTGAGACCTTCCTTGGAAGCGGGATTTCTTCATATAATGCTAGACAGAAGAATTCTCAGTAACTTCTTTTTCTGGTGTGTATTCAACACACAGAGTTGAACTTTCCTTTAGACACAGCAGATTTGAAACTCTCTTTTTGTGGAATTTGCAAGTGGAGATTTCAAAGCTTTGAGGGCAATGGTAGAAAAGGAAATATCTTCGTATACAAATTAGACAGAAACATTCTCAGAAACTACTTTGGTATGTGTGTGTTCAACTCACAAAGTTTAACCTTTTTTTCACAGAGCAGTTTGGAAACACTCAGTTTGTAGAGTCAGCAACTGGATATTTGGATGTATTTGAGGCCTTCGTTTGAAACGGGATTTCTTCATATAATGTTAGACAGAAGAATTCTCAGTAACTTCTTTGTGGTCTGGGTATTCAACTCACAGAGTTGAAGCTTCCTTTAGGCGGAGCCGATTGGAAACACTCTTTTAGTGCAATTTTCAGGGGGAGACTTCAAGCGCTTTGAAGTGAATGGTAGAAAAGGAAATATCTTCGTATAAAAACTAGACGGAGTCATTCTCAGAAACTACATGGTGATGTTTGTGTTCAACTCACTGAGTTTAACATTTCTTTTCATAGAGCAGTTTGGAAACACTCTTTTTTCAGAATCTGCAAGTGGATATTTGGACCTCTTTGTGGCCTTCGTTGGAAACGGGATTTTTCATATAATGCTAGACAGAAGAATTATCAGTAACTTCTTTTTGTGGTGTGTATTCAACTCACAGAGTTGAACGTTCCTTTAGACAGAGTAGATTGGAAACACTCTTTTTGTGGAATTTTCAGGTGGAGGTATCAAGCGCTTTGAGGCCAATGATAGAAAAGGAAATACCTTCGTATAATAATTAGACGGAATCATTCTCAGAAACTGCTTTGCAATGGGTGTGTTCAACTCACAGTGTTTAACCTTTCTTTTCATACAGTTGTTTCGAAACACTCTTTTTGCAGAATCTGCAAGTGGATATTTGGACCTGTTTGAAGTCTTCTTTGGAAATGGGATTTCTTCATATAATGCTAGACAGAAGACTTCTCAGTAACTGCTTTTTCTGGTGTGTATTCAACTCTCAGAGTTGAACTTTCCTTTAGAAACAGCAGATTTGAAACTCTCTTTTTGTGGAATTTGCAAGTGGAGATTTCAAAGCTTTGAGGCCAGTGGTAGAAAAGGAAATATCTTTGTATGCAAACTAGACAGAATCATTCTCAGAAACTACTTTGGTACGTGTGTGTTCAACTCACAGTGTTTAACCTTTCTTTTCATAGAGCAGTTTGGAAACACTCAGTTTGTAAAGTCAGCAACTGGATATGTGGATGTATTGAGGCCTTCGTTGGAAACGGGATTTCTTCATATAATGCGAGACAGAAGAATTCTCAGTAACTTCTTTGTGTTGTGGGTATTCAACTCACAGAGTTGAAGCTTCCTTTAGGCGGAGCAGATTGGAAACACTTTTTGTGGAATTTTCAGGGGGAGACTTCAAGCGCTTTGAGGCCAACGGTAGAAAAGGAAATATCTTCGTATAAAAACTAGACGGAGTCATTCTCAGAAACTACTTTGTGATGTTTGCGTTCAACTCACAGAGTTTAACGTTTCTTTTCATAGAGCAGTTTGGAAACACTCTTTTTTCAGAATCTGCAAGTGGATATTTGGACCTCTTTGTGGCCTTCGTTGGAAACGGGATTTTTCATATAATGCTAGACAGAAGAATTCTCAGTAACTTCTTTTTGTGGTGTGTATTCAACTCACAGAGTGGAACTTTCCTTTAGACAGAGCAGATTTGAAACTCTCTTTTTGTGGAATTTGCAAGTGGAGATTTCAAGCGCTTTGAGGCCAACGGTAGAAAAGGAAATATCTTCGTAGAAAAAATAGACGGAATCATTCTCAGAAACTGCTTTGGGATGTGTGCATTGAACTCACAGTGTTTAACACTTCTTTTCATAGAGCACTTTGGAAACACTCAGTTTGTAATGTCTGCAGCTGGATATTTGGACCTCTTTGAGGCCTTCGTAGTAAACGGGATTTCTTCGTGTAATGATAGACAATAGAATTCTCAGTGAATTTTTTTCTGTGTGTGTGTATTCAACTCACAGGGTTGAACCTTCCTTTAGACAGTGCAGATTTGAAACACGTTTCTGTGGAATTTGCAAGGGGAGATTTCAAGCACTTTGAGGCCATTGGTGGAAAAGGAAATATCTTCGTATAAAAACTAGACAGAATCATTCTCAGGAACTACTTTGTGATATGTGCATTCAACTCACAGAGTTTAACCTTTCTTTTCATAGATGAGTTTGGAAACAGTCAGTTTGTAAATTCTGCAACTGGATATTTGGACCTCTTGGAGGCTTTCGTTGGAAACGGGATTTCTTCACATAATGCTAGACAGAAGAATTCGCAGTAACTTCTTTTGGGATGTATGTATTCAACTCAGAGAGTTGAACCTTCCTTTAGACAGAGCGGATTGGAAACACGCTTTTTGCGGAATTTTCAGGTGGAGATTTCAAGAGCCTTGAGGCCAATGGTAGAAAAGGCTATGTTCGTATAAAAACTAGACGGAATCATTCTCAGAAACTGCTTTGTGATGTGTGCATTAAACTCACAGAGTTGAACATTTCTTTGCATAGAGCAGTTTGGAAAGACTTAGTTTGTACAGTGTGCAAGTGGATATTTGGAACTCTTTGAGGCCTTCGTTGGAAACGGGATTTCTTCTTATAATTCTTGACAAAAGAATTCTCAGTAGCTTCTTTGTGTGTGTGTATTCAACTCACAGAGTTGAACCTTCCTTTAGACAGAGCAGATTGGAAACACTCTTTTTGTGGAATTTGCAAGTGGAGAATTCTAGCGCTTTGACGCCAATGGAAGGAAAGGAAATATCTCCGTATAAAAACTAGACAGTATCATTCTCAGAAACTACTTTGTGATGTGTGCGTTCAACTCACAGAGTTTAACCTTTCTTTTCATAGAGCAGTTTGGAAACACTCTGTTTGTGAAGTCTGCAAGTGGATATTTAAACGTCTTTGAGGCCTTCGTTGGAAACGGGATTTTTTCATATAAACCAGGACAGAAGGATTCTCAGAAACTTCTTGTTTGTTATGTGTGCATTCAACTCACAGAGTTGAACCTTACTTTGGAAAGAGCAGTTTTCTAACACTCTTTTTGTAAAAGTTCCAAGTGAATACTTTGAGTGCTTTGAAGCCTACGGTAGACAACGAAATATCTTCATGTAAAAACTACAAAGAATCATTCGCAGAAACCACGTTGTGATCTCTGCATTCAACTCACAGAGTTCAACCTTTCTTCCTATAGAGCAGTTATTAAACAGTCTCTTTGTAGAATTTGCAAGGGTGTATTTAGAGGGCATTGAAGCCTACGGTAGAAAAGGAAATATCTTACCATAAAATCTAGTCAGAAGCATTCTCAGAAACTGAGTTGTGATGTTTGCATTCAACTCACAGAGTTCAACATTCCTTTTAATAGAGCGGTTTTGAAACACTCTTTTTGCAGAATCTGCAAGTGGATATTTGGACCTCTTTGAGGCCTTCGTTGGAAACGGGATTTCTTCATGTAATGCCAGACAGAAGAATTCTCAGTGAATTCTTTCTGTGTGTGTGTATTCAACTCACAGAGTTGAACGTTCCTTTAGACAGAGTAGATTGGAAACACTCTTTTTGTGGAATTTTCAGGTGGAGGTATCAAGCGCTTTGAGGCCCATGATAGAAAAGGAAATACCTTCGTATAATAATTAGACGGAATCATTCTCAGAAAATGCTTTGCAATGGGTGCGTTCAACTCACAGTGTTTAACCTTTCTTTTCATACAGTTGTTTCGAAACACTCTTTTTGCAGAATCTGCAAGTGGATATTTGGACCTGTTTGAAGTCTTCTTTGGAAATGGGATTTCTTCATATAATGCTAGACAGAAGACTTCTCAGTAACTGCTTTTTCTGGTGTGTATTCAACTCTCAGAGTTGAACTTTCCTTTAGAAACAGCAGATTTGAAACTCTCTTTTTGTGGAATTTGCAAGTGGAGATTTCAAAGCTTTGAGGCCAGTGGTAGAAAAGGAAATATCTTTGTATGCAAACTAGACAGAATCATTCTCAGAAACTACTTTGGTACGTGTGTGTTCAACTCACAGTGTTTAACCTTTCTTTTCATAGAGCAGTTTGGAAACACTCAGTTTGTAAAGTCAGCAACTGGATATGTGGATGTATTTGAGGCCTTAGTTGGAAACGGGATTTCTTCATATAATGCGAGACAGAAGAATTCTCAGTAACTTCTTTGTGTTGTGGGTATTCAACTCACAGAGTTGAAGCTTCCTTTAGACGGAGCAGATTGGAAACACTTTTTGTGGAATTTTCAGGGGGAGACTTCAAGCGCTTTGAGGCCAACGGTAGAAAAGGAAATATCTTCGTATAAAAACTAGACGGAGTCATTCTCAGAAACTACTTTGTGATGTTTGCGTTCAACTCACAGAGTTTAACGTTTCTTTTCATAGAGCAGTTTGGAAACACTCTTTTTGCAGAATCTGCAAGTGGATATTTGGACCTCTTTGTGGCCTTCGTTGGAAACGGGATTTTTCATATAATGCTAGACAGAAGAATTCTCAGTAACTTCTTTTTGTGGTGTGTATTCAACTCACAGAGTGGAACCTTCCTTTAGACAGAGCAGATTTGAAACTCTCTTTTCGTGGAATTTGCAAGTGGAGATTTCAGGCGCTTTGAGGCCAACGGTAGAAAAGGAAATATCTTCGTAGAAAAAATAGACGGAATCATTCTCAGAAACTGCTTTGGGATGTGTGCATTGAACTCACAGTGTTTAACACTTCTTTTCATAGAGCACTTTGGAAACACTCAGTTTGTAATGTCTGCAGCTGATATTGGACGTCTTGAGGCGTCGTAGTAAACGGGATTTCTTCGTGTAATGATAGACAATAGAATTCTCAGTGAATTTTTTCTGTGTGTGTGTATTCAACTCACAGGGTTGAACCTTCCTTTAGACAGTGCAGATTTGAAACACTTTTCTGTGGAATTTGCAAGGGGAGATTTCAAGCACTTTGAGGCCATTGGTGGAAAAGGAAATATCTTCGTATAAAAACTAGACAGAATCATTCTCAGGAACTACTTTGTGATATGTGCATTCAACTCACAGAGTTTAACCTTCCTTTTCATAGATGAGTTTGGAAACAGTCAGTTTGTAAATTCTGCAACTGGATATTTGGACCTCTTGGAGGCTTTCGTTGGAAACGGGATTTCTTCACATAATGCTAGACAGAAGAATTCGCAGTAACTTCTTTTGGGATGTATGTATTCAACTCAGAGAGTTGAACCTTCCTTTAGACAGAGCGGATTGGAAACACGCTTTTTGCGGAATTTTCAGGTGGAGATTTCAAGAGCCTTGAGGCCAATGGTAGAAAAGGCTAACTTCGTATAAAAACTAGACGGAATCATTCTCAGAAACTGCTTTGTGATGTGTGCATTAAACTCACAGAGTTGAACATTTCTTTGCATAGAGCAGTTTGGAAAGACTTAGTTTGTACAGTGTGCAAGTGGATATTTGGAACTCTTTGAGGCCTTCGTTGGAAACGGGATTTCTTCTTATAATTCTTGACAAAAGAATTCTCAGTAGCTTCTTTGTGTGTGTGTATTCAACTCACAGAGTTGAACCTTCCTTTAGACAGAGCAGATTGGAAACACTCTTTTTGTGGAATTTGCAAGTGGAGAATTCTAGCGCTTTGACGCCAATGGAAGGAAAGGAAATATCTCCGTATAAAAACTAGACAGTATCATTCTCAGAAACTACTTTGTGATGTGTGCGTTCAACTCACAGAGTTTAACCTTTCTTTTCATAGAGCAGTTTGGAAACACTCTGTTTGTGAAGTCTGCAAGTGGATATTTAAACGTCTTTGAGGCCTTCGTTGGAAACGGGATTTTTTCATATAAACCAGGACAGAAGGATTCTCAGAAACTTCTTGTTTGTTATGTGTGCATTCAACTCACAGAGTTGAACCTTACTTTGGAAAGAGCAGTTTTCTAACACTCTTTTTGTAAAAGTTCCAAGTGAATACTTTGAGTGCTTTGAAGCCTACGGTAGACAACGAAATATCTTCATGTAAAAACTACAAAGAATCATTCGCAGAAACCACGTTGTGATCTCTGCATTCAACTCACAGAGTTCAACCTTTCTTCCTATAGAGCAGTTATTAAACAGTCTCTTTGTAGAATTTGCAAGGGTGTATTTAGAGGGCATTGAAGCCTACGGTAGAAAAGGAAATATCTTACCATAAAATCTAGTCAGAAGCATTCTCAGAAACTGAGTTGTGATGTTTGCATTCAACTCACAGAGTTCAACATTCCTTTTAATAGAGCGGTTTTGAAACACTCTTTTTGCAGAATCTGCAAGTGGATATTTGGACCTCTTTGAGGCCTTCGTTGGAAACGGGATTTCTTCATGTAATGCCAGACAGAAGAATTCTCAGTGAATTCTTTCTGTGTGTGTGTATTCAACTCACAGAGTTGAACGTTCCTTTAGACAGAGTAGATTGGAAACACTCTTTTTGTGGAATTTTCAGGTGGAGGTATCAAGCGCTTTGAGGCCCATGATAGAAAAGGAAATACCTTCATATAATAATTAGACGGAATCATTCTCAGAAAATGCTTTGCAATGGGTGCGTTCAACTCACAGTGTTTAACCTTTCTTTTCATACAGTTGTTTCAAAACACTCTTTTTGCAGAATCTGCAAGTGGATATTTGGACCTGTTTGAAGTCTTCTTTGGAAATGGGATTTCTTCATATAATGCTAGACAGAAGACTTCTCAGTAACTGCTTTTTCTGGTGTGTATTCAACTCTCAGAGTTGAACTTTCCTTTAGAAACAGCAGATTTGAACTCTCTTTTGTGGAATTTGCAAGTGGAGATTTCAAAGCTTTGAGGCCAGTGGTAGAAAAGGAAATATCTTTGTATGCAAACTAGACAGAATCATTCTCAGAAACTACTTTGGTACGTGTGTGTTCAACTCACAGTGTTTAACCTTTCTTTTCATAGAGCAGTTTGGAAACACTCAGTTTGTAAAGTCAGCAACTGGATATGTGGATGTATTTGAGGCCTTCGTTGGAAACGGGATTTCTTCCTATAATGCGAGACAGAAGAATTCTCAGTAACTTCTTTGTGTTGTGGGTATTCAACTCACAGAGTTGAAGCTTCCTTTAGGCGGAGCAGATTGGAAACACTTTTTGTGGAATTTTCAGGGGGAGACTTCAAGCGCTTTGAGGCCAACGGTAGAAAAGGAAATATCTTCGTATAAAAACTAGACGGAGTCATTCTCAGAAACTACTTTGTGATGTTTGCGTTCAACTCACAGAGTTTAACGTTTCTTTTCATAGAGCAGTTTGGAAACACTCTTTTTGCAGAATCTGCAAGTGGATATTTGGACCTCTTTGTGGCCTTCGTTGGAAACGGGATTTTTCATATAATGCTAGACAGAAGAATTCTCAGTAACTTCTTTTTGTGGTGTGTATTCAACTCACAGAGTGGAACCTTCCTTTAGACAGAGCAGATTTGAAACTCTCTTTTCGTGGAATTTGCAAGTGGAGATTTCAGGCGCTTTGAGGCCAACGGTAGAAAAGGAAATATCTTCGTAGAAAAAATAGACGGAATCATTCTCAGAAACTGCTTTGGGATGTGTGCATTGAACTCACAGTGTTTAACACTTCTTTTCATAGAGCACTTTGGAAACACTCAGTTTGTAATGTCTGCAGCTGGATATTTGGACCTCTTTGAGGCCTTCGTAGTAAACGGGATTTCTTCGTGTAATGATAGACAATAGAATTCTCAGTGAATTTTTTTCTGTGTGTGTGTATTCAACTCACAGGGTTGAACCTTCCTTTAGACAGTGCAGATTTGAAACACTTTTCTGTGGAATTTGCAAGGGGAGATTTCAAGCACTTTGAGGCCATTGGTGGAAAAGGAAATATCTTCGTATAAAAACTAGACAGAATCATTCTCAGGAACTACTTTGTGATATGTGCATTCAACTCACAGAGTTTAACCTTTCTTTTCATAGATGAGTTTGGAAACAGTCAGTTTGTAAATTCTGCAACTGGATATTTGGACCTCTTGGAGGCTTTCGTTGGAAACGGGATTTCTTCACATAATGCTAGACAGAAGAATTCGCAGTAACTTCTTTTGGGATGTATGTATTCAACTCAGAGATTTGAAACTTCCTTTAGACAGAGCGGATTGGAAACACGCTTTTTGCGGAATTTTCAGGTGGAGATTTCAAGAGCCTTGAGGCCAATGGTAGAAAAGGCTATGTTCGTATAAAAACTAGACGGAATCATTCTCAGAAACTGCTTTGTGATGTGTGCATTAAACTCACAGAGTTGAACATTTCTTTGCATAGAGCAGTTTGGAAAGACTTAGTTTGTACAGTGTGCAAGTGGATATTTGGAACTCTTTGAGGCCTTCGTTGGAAACGGGATTTCTTCTTATAATTCTTGACAAAAGAATTCTCAGTAGCTTCTTTGTGTGTGTGTATTCAACTCACAGAGTTGAACCTTCCTTTAGACAGAGCAGATTGGAAACACTCTTTTTGTGGAATTTGCAAGTGGAGAATTCTAGCGCTTTGACGCCAATGGAAGGAAAGGAAATATCTCCGTATAAAAACTAGACAGTATCATTCTCAGAAACTACTTTGTGATGTGTGCGTTCAACTCACAGAGTTTAACCTTTCTTTTCATAGAGCAGTTGGAAACA